>NC_000001.11:20599163-21849163 GCF_000001405.40 Homo sapiens | reverse complement strand
GTTTTCCCTGGAAGAGTTTCCATCGAGTTCCAGCTGGCTGGGCTGGGAGTGGCACCAGGGAAGGGAACAGGAGCTTGGCGTGAGCCGCAGTGCCCAGCTCTGAGCCTGCCTCCTCCCTCCTGACCCTCCCAGGTGCATGGCTCGAGGCTACGCCTGCTCCAGGTGACCCCAGCTGATTCAGGGGAGTACGTGTGCCGTGTGGTCGGCAGCTCAGGTACCCAGGAAGCCTCAGTCCTTGTCACCATCCAGCAGCGCCTTAGTGGCTCCCACTGTGAGTGTCTCGGGGGTCATGCAAATGGTGGAGGGCTGGGGGACCCCGACTGCACCCTCAGCAGCTCCCACACCCTGCCTTACATCTCACCCTCCCAGCCCAGGGTGTGGCGTACCCCGTCCGCATCGAGTCCTCCTCAGCCTCCCTGGCCAATGGACACACCCTGGACCTCAACTGCCTGGTTGCCAGCCAGGCTCCCCACACCATCACCTGGTATAAGCGTGGAGGCAGCTTACCCAGCCGGCACCAGGTACAGGGCCAGCAGGTGGGGAGGGCAAAAGCAGGGCACACCAGCCCCCAATGGGAAGAGGGGGGACTCTCAGCACCTCACTCTGTGCTCATTCAGTCATTCAACAAACATTGAGTATCCTTGCTGGATGGGTCCTAGACCAGTGCTGAGAATACAGAAATAAGGCTCCCTGACCTCAGGGAGATCCACTTCTGCACCAAATCTCACTGAAAAGCTGCTCCGGGCCATGTCCTGTGCCTGACACTGAAGATTCCAGATGGAATGAGACAGTTGCCTGCTCTCAGGCAGCTCGCAGGCTGTGGGAGCCCCAGCAGGATACTGTGTCAACACTCCGGAGGGCCTTAACAGGCTTTCTGGAGGGGTGACAAAAGGCTAGACGTCCACCCCAGCCCAGAGACAGGCCACATGCCATGCTGGGAGCTTCACGAAGGCCACTGAGGAGGCAAGGCAGGGAGGCCCCCAGAGTCCAGGGGCAGCGGCAGCAGTGCCCAAGATGTGGAGGAGCTGCCCACACCTACTGCCATACCTCCTGCCATCTGCTTCCTGCAGATCGTGGGCTCCCGGCTGCGGATCCCTCAGGTGACTCCGGCAGACTCGGGCGAGTACGTGTGTCACGTCAGTAACGGTGCAGGCTCCCGGGAGACCTCGCTCATCGTCACCATCCAGGGCAGCGGTTCCTCCCACGGTGAGAGCAGAGAGGGCAGGGGGTACAGACAAGTGGCGCAGAGGGTGGCAGAGAGGTCCCCGGTGCCATCACTGTTATCTCACTCTGGCTGCGTGGTCCACACCCGTCTGTCCCCAGTGCCCAGCGTCTCCCCACCGATCAGGATCGAGTCGTCTTCCCCCACGGTGGTGGAAGGGCAGACCTTGGATCTGAACTGCGTGGTCGCCAGGCAGCCCCAGGCTATCATCACATGGTACAAGCGTGGGGGCAGCCTTCCCTCCCGACACCAGGTACAGAGTGGAGCCACAGCAGCGGGGGTGGAACCATGGTCTCCTGGGGTGAGCAGAGCAGGCTCCCTGTCTCACGGATTGGGCCCTGGGTAGACCGATAGCAGCCTCAACAGGCTGAGCAGGAAGGCCTGAGCCAGCTGGTGACCCCAGCGTCCCTCCACTCCCTCTCCCTCTCCTTCCCCATCCGCACGTCCAGACCCATGGCTCCCACCTGCGGTTGCACCAAATGTCTGTGGCTGACTCGGGCGAGTATGTGTGCCGGGCCAACAACAACATCGATGCCCTGGAGGCCTCCATCGTCATCTCCGTCTCCCCTAGCGCCGGCAGCCCCTCCGGTGAGTCTGCCTAGGAAAGGGACGAGGGATGCAGGCAACAGTGTTCCCTGGGGAGAAGGAACTTTCAGGTCAGAGTCCTCAGACCTGGTGGTACTCAGGCAAGGGCCAGCGGAAAGATGCGTGGGTTCAGTGGCTACGGCTACCCCATTTCTAACATTTCAAATTCTCAATAGCCACGTGTGGCTTGCAGCCACTGACTTGGCCTGTGCAGATAAAAAGCATTTCCATCATCACAGGAAGTTTACGAATTTTGTGAGGGTTAAGTGAGTTAGTGCATGTAATGTGCTTAGAGCGTGCCTGGCATGCCAGAAGTGCTTTATAAGTGTTAACTATTATTATCATTTTTTTTTTTTTGAGAGGGAGTCTCGCTCTGTCACCCAGGCTGGAGTGCAGTGGCGCGATCTCAACTCACTGCAACTTCCGCCTTCCAGGTTCAAGCGATTCTCCTGTCTCAGCTTCCCGAGTAGCTGAGACTACAGGCACATGCCACCGTGCCCGGCTAATTTTTGTATTTTTAGTAGAGACAGGATTTCACCATATTGGTCAGGCTAGTCTCAAACTCCTGACCTCAGGTCATCCACCCACCTCAGCCTCCCAAAGTGCTGGGATTACAGGCATGAGCCACCATGCCCGGCCAAGTGTTAACTATTAGTGTTACTCTGGGGGGTGAGATTTTCTATGGCAGAGGGTCCCACCAACCCTGTTCCCAAATCTGACAACGGCTGTGCCGACTCACTGATCTCTGTTCCCCCAGCCCCTGGCAGCTCCATGCCCATCAGAATTGAGTCATCCTCCTCACACGTGGCCGAAGGGGAGACCCTGGATCTGAACTGCGTGGTCCCCGGGCAGGCCCATGCCCAGGTCACTTGGCACAAGCGTGGGGGCAGCCTCCCCAGTCACCATCAGGTATGCAGCTGGCAGGAAATGGTGGGAGAGCCGCTGGATGTGGGGGCCCTGGCTAGCTTTGCCAAGAGGGAGACCTAGGAGCCCCCGTGGGGTGCAGTACCCCCCTGTGTCAGAGGTTAGACCCTGGCCCCAGGCCTTCAACAGTTCCAGACTGGCACCTGACTCTGTTCCTCTGTCCTGTCCCCTATTCAGACCCGCGGCTCACGGCTGCGGCTGCACCATGTGTCCCCGGCCGACTCGGGTGAATACGTGTGCCGGGTGATGGGCAGCTCTGGCCCCCTGGAGGCCTCAGTCCTGGTCACCATCGAAGCCTCTGGCTCAAGTGCTGTCCACGTCCCCGGTGAGGGTCCCTGCAGTGGGACGGGAAGGCCGGGGGAGGGAGGAAGGGACAGAGACCAGGGGGCAGAACTGGCAGAAGGAAACACTTTCTGGCACTCGGCGAGAACTGCCGCTCTGATTCCAGACTTCACCTCCCGCCACCCACACGGTCCCAGGACCAAGGAGCCGGCTCAGGTGGAGTGGTTCCTGTCCCTCTCCACGGCTTGCGAGCATAGGCTTTGGACTATGCTCATCTGTGCATGAGTCCCAGTTCCTCTGGCCACACTTGGAGATGTTGCACAAGGGACCTCAGCTTTCCACCTGTCACTGTCCCTTATCTGTAAAGAAGGGGTAGTAGTACTCTTGTACTCTACTATCTAATTATAGAGTTCCCAAAAGCCTGGGACTGCACCTCTGCGAGTATTGGAGGGTGATTTACACATCTTTATTAGAGCCGGTGTGGTAGCTCCCACCTGAATCCCAGCACTTTGGGAGGCCGAGGTGGGCAGATTGCCTGAGCTCATGAGTTCGAGACCAGTCTGGGTAACATGGTGAAACCCCATCTCTACTAAAAATACAAAAAATTACCTGGGTGTGGTGGCGCCTACCGTTAGTCCTAACTACTCGAGAGGCTGAAGCACAAGAATCACTTGAACCCAGGAGGCAGAGGTTGCAGTGAGCCAAGATTGCACCACTGCACTCCAGCCTGGGCAACAAAGTGAGACTCTGTCTCCAAAAATAAATAAATAAATAAATAAACATCTTTATTAGTACTGGTGGCATATAAGGGACAAAAAAACACATCAAGCCTGTCCTTATTTCTTGGAAATCTTTGCTTACAATGGGGCTAAGTAGTTAAGGTTTTTTTTGTTTTGTTTTGTTTTGAGACGGAGTCTTGCTCTGTCGCCCAGGCTGGAGTGCAGTGGCATGACCTCGGCTCACTGCAATCTCCACCTCTGGGGTTCAAGCGATTCTCCTGCCTCAGCCTCCTGAGTAGCTGGGATTACAGGTGTGCTCCACCACGCCCAGCTAATTTTTGTATTTTTAGTAGAGACGGGGTTTCACCATGTTGGTCAGGCTGGTCTCGAACTCCTGACCTCATGATCCGCCCAGCCCGGCCTCCCAAAGTGCTGGGATTACAGGCGTGAGCCACCGCGCCCAGTGTGTAGTTAAGGCTTTTTTAAAGTGAATCAGTTGAAAGGAAAATGTCCAGTAATTAATAGCACAGGGGGCACATGCTATGCAGAAATCATGATAAGGGGACACAGATTGCTAAGCAGTAAACATGATCCAGCACTTCTTAGGTGTTGGACCCTATCATATTTACACATATTAGTTCATTTTATCCTCACAACAGCCCTTTGAGGTAGATGGCATTGTTCTCTCCATTTTACAGATGGGGAAACTGAGACTCAGAGAGGTGAAGTTGTTTTCCAAAGGTCATACAACTAATCAATGGCAGAGCTGGGATTTGAACCCAGGCAGTCTGGCCCCAGAGTCTGGGTTCTTAGCCACATTCTATCTGAGTCTGCCAAACATTAGTGGTCTAGTGGTCTGTGTGGAAGTGTCTAGACCTCAGCCCTGGCCCCACTGGTGCTGGGAGCATGGGAGGAGGAGGAGATGGTGGGGCCATTGCCTGGGGGCGGGGCTGGGGGAATGAGAAGTGCCTCCACCTCCCAGGCTAGCCCAGCTGCTCCAGGCCTCAATGGAACGGGAAGGGAAAGAAGCCATGTCCCAAATGGCCTCTGGTCCTAGTATCTGGGCCCCAGGGGAAGGGCTGAGGGCATCAGGGTGGCATCTCAGCTCACTGACCTCTCCCCTGTGCCCCAGCCCCAGGTGGAGCCCCACCCATCCGCATCGAGCCCTCCTCCTCCCGAGTGGCAGAAGGGCAGACCCTGGATCTGAAGTGCGTGGTGCCCGGGCAGGCCCACGCCCAGGTCACGTGGCACAAGCGTGGAGGAAACCTCCCTGCCCGGCACCAGGTAAAGGAGCTGGAGAAGGATGCATGCATCCTCCACACCTGCAGTGGTCCTGCCTGAATCCAGCGTTGAAGGGAAAGTGGCCTCAGCAACTGGGGCTTGTGGGAAATGGCAGCAGGAGGTCAATGGAATCAGGAAGTTGAGAGCGGGCTGGGCACAGCAGGGCCACCACCAGCCCCACAGCACCTTGGTGCAAAATAGAAAAGGACATCTCTGGCTGGGCGCAGTGGCTCATGTCTATAATCCCAGCACTTTGGGAGGCCGAGGCAGGTGGATCACTTGAGGTCAGGAGTTCAAAGCCAGCCCGGCCAACATGGCGAAACGAAAAACACAAAAATTGGCCAGGCATGGTGGCAGATGCCTGTAATCCCAGCTACTCAGGAGGCTGAGGCAGGAGAATCACTTGAACCCAGGAGGCAGAGGTTGCGGTGAGCCGAGATTGCACCACTGCACTCCAGCCTGGATGACAGAGCGAGACACTGTCTCAAAAAAAAAAGAAAAGGACACCTGTTACTCAAGGCTCTTGACTTCCTCCTGCCGGAGAAACCATCATAATAAACATGCCCTCCACAATGCGGACTGTCAAAGGGGTCGCCTCCAACAGGATGCGCCTACATATCTGTGCATGGCAGTCCCAGGGTGTGGGTACCAGAGGCCTGGGCATCTGAAGGCTCCCAGCTCACCCTCCCCGCTCTCACCCCACCTTGGCCAGGTCCACGGCCCACTGCTGAGGCTGAACCAGGTGTCCCCGGCTGACTCTGGCGAGTACTCGTGCCAAGTGACCGGAAGCTCAGGCACCCTGGAGGCATCTGTCCTGGTCACAATTGAGCCCTCCAGCCCAGGACCCATTCCTGGTGAGTGATAGGGAGCAGTGGGCGATGCCAGAGCACAGGCGCGGGGCTCCTTCCCAGCTCTGCTCCTCTCCTCTCTCCCAGCCGGGCACTTATTGTTGCCTGCAGGCGGGGTTTCCTACCACGGAGGATCAAGCCAACCCAGGTGTTCCCAAGTCTGACAATGGTCCCGTCCCCTCAACCAGGGGGACCCCAGCCCTGAGTTTCAGGAGGACCCTTGAGTCCCCAGGGAAAGGAGACCCTTCTTAGGTTATATCAGCCACTCTCAAGCCACCGCGCCCCCAGGATCAACTGGAGCTGGTCTTCACTGCCACCACCTTCAGCCCCTGCCTTGATCCCCGGAGCCTGGCCTCTCTCACCCACCCCCTGTGCCCACAGCTCCAGGACTGGCCCAGCCCATCTACATCGAGGCCTCCTCTTCACACGTGACTGAAGGGCAGACTCTGGATCTGAACTGTGTGGTGCCCGGGCAGGCCCATGCCCAGGTCACGTGGTACAAGCGCGGGGGCAGCCTCCCCGCCCGGCACCAGGTACAGGGGCCAGGATGGGGAGGATTCCAGGTCAGGCAAGGTTAGACCTGCAGTTGCTTTCTGTACCCAAACCTCATGCAAACACCAGCCTGCTTGGGGACCCCAGGGGATAAAATACGTTTGCGGGACGAGTTCACCAGCCTGCAAATCAGGAGACCTGGGTTTTTCTCTTGGCTCTGCAGCTGAATCCTTTCCTGGGCCTCAGTTTCCTCCACTGTAAAGTGAGTGGGTTGGACCTCTAGGATTCTGTGAATGAAGCTTCCACCAGCCCTACCAGCTGAGACCCTGAGCTTCCGAGAGAACTCTTGGGTACCGGCACAGTTGGGCTTGGGGACATTCCTTGTCCTGGGGACTTTGCCCTGATAACTGTCCCCTCGCTGCTCTGACAGACCCATGGCTCCCAGCTGCGGCTCCACCTCGTCTCCCCTGCCGACTCAGGCGAGTATGTGTGTCGTGCAGCCAGCGGCCCAGGCCCTGAGCAAGAAGCCTCCTTCACAGTCACCGTCCCGCCCAGTGAGGGGTCTTCCTACCGTGAGTATGGCAGATGCCATGGGCAAGGGGGGAAGGGAGGGCCCTGAAGCTAAGCCCACCCCTGCTGAGCCCAGCCCTCTGCCCCTTTGGCCCCAGGCCTTAGGAGCCCGGTCATCTCCATCGACCCGCCCAGCAGCACCGTGCAGCAGGGCCAGGATGCCAGCTTCAAGTGCCTCATCCATGACGGGGCAGCCCCCATCAGCCTCGAGTGGAAGACCCGGAACCAGGAGCTGGAGGGTGAGCCAGGCTGGTGGGCAGGTGGGCAAGCTGGGGGCAGGCATGGGGGTGCCGTCATCCCCACTGTGCAAGGGTGGGGCAGAAGTCTGGACGCCCCACATTCATGGTGTGGCCCTGAGTAAGGCCCTTCCCGTCTCTGTATGGCAAGAGCGCTGGACCCAGGAGTTTCCAAGGCCTTTGTTACTTTCTGCTATCTGCGACTCCATGAGCTAGACACACCCAGGCCGGAGGGATTGGGGAAGTGGGCCCAGGGGCACAGGCTGGCAGCACCAAGACACGAGAAGGACCAGGTCAATCCTCTCTCACCCTCCCCCATGCAACCTCACAGACAACGTCCACATCAGTCCCAATGGCTCCATCATCACCATCGTGGGCACCCGGCCCAGCAACCACGGTACCTACCGCTGCGTGGCCTCCAATGCCTACGGTGTGGCCCAGAGTGTGGTGAACCTCAGTGTGCACGGTGAGGGGACGTTGACCCTGTGGGGCTCTGCCCTGTTTCCAGCCCTGATTCTCAGCTCAGAGCCTCCAAGTTTAAATCCTCCTTCCACCATTGACTCTGTCTTGGGCATTCTCCCTCTCTGAGCCTCAGTTTCCACCTCAGTGCAGTGGGGAGACAGGTGCCCACCCAGCAGTTACTAAGCTGGAGGCCATGGCAGTGTGGGTGAGCAGCAGAGCCCTGCCTGTGTGTCAGTGGTTGTCATTCCTCCGCACAGGGCCCCCTACAGTGTCCGTGCTCCCCGAGGGCCCCGTGTGGGTGAAAGTGGGAAAGGCTGTCACCCTGGAGTGTGTCAGTGCCGGGGAGCCCCGCTCCTCTGCTCGTTGGACCCGGATCAGCAGCACCCCTGCCAAGTTGGAGCAGCGGACATATGGGCTCATGGACAGCCACGCGGTGCTGCAGGTGAAGCCGGGGCTGCCTCTCTGGGTCTGAGGCCCAGTCCATGGCCCAGCCTTGAGCGGGTGCTTGGAGGAGATAGTAGTGGATGGGCAGGTGGTGATGAGTGGATGGAGAGAGGAAGGGAGGAATGGGATGGGATGGGTGGATGACGAATAGACTGGAAGATGAGAGGGAAGAGAGAAGGAAGGTAGGAGAAGGAAGAAAGAATGAGTGGGAGGGTGGGTCGAAGGCCAAGTGGATGGATGGACTAATGGGGTGTCATGAGGGTGAGCCCTCAAGCAACCAGATGGGACAGCTAAAAACCAAGGAAAGGGCCAGGCATGGTGGCACGTGCCTGTAATCCCAGCACTTGGAGAGGCTGAGGCAGGAAGATCACTTGAGCCCAAGAGTTTGAGACCAGCCTGGGAGGCCAAAGTGGGTGGATCACCTGAGGTCAGGAGTTCGAGACCACCCTGGCCAATATGGTGAAACCCCGTCTCTACTAAAAATACAAAATTAGGCTGGGTGCAGTGGCTCACACCTGTAATCCTAGCAATTTGGGAGGCTGAGGCGGGCGGATCACAAGGTCAGGAGATTGAGACCATCCTGGCTAACATGGTGAAACCCCGTCTCTACTAAAAATACAAAAAAATTAGCCAGGCGTGATGGCGGGTGCCTATAGTCCCAGCTACTCAGGAGGCTGAGGCAGGAGAATGATGTGAACCTGGGAGGTAGAGCTTTCAGTGAGCAGAGATCGTGCCACAGCACTGCAGCCTGGGTGACAGAGCAAGACCCTCAAAAAACAAACAAACAAACAAAATTAGCTGAGTGTGGTGGCACATACCTGTAGTCCCAGCTATTCAGGAGGCTGAGGCGAGAGGATTGCTTGAGCCCAGGAGGCAGAGGTTGCAATGAGCCAGATGGTGCCACTGCACTCCAACCTGTGCGACAGAGTAAGACCCTGTCTCAAAAAATAAATATATAAATAAGTAAATAAATAGATACCAAGGCAGGGTAGAGGAAATAGGGAAGACCAAGCCAGAGCTGGGGCTGACATCAGCGTCCCCACTGAGTCCCCACATAACCAGCCTCCTTGCTTTCTCCCAGATTTCATCAGCTAAACCATCAGATGCGGGCACTTATGTGTGCCTTGCTCAGAATGCACTAGGCACAGCACAGAAGCAGGTGGAGGTGATCGTGGACACGGGCGCCATGGCCCCAGGGGCCCCTCAGGTCCAAGCTGAAGAAGCTGAGCTGACTGTGGAGGCTGGACACACGGCCACCTTGCGCTGCTCAGCCACAGGTGTGACCAAGGGCTGGCACATAGGGCTGGCAGGGCAGGGATGCCCTGGGGTCTGAAATGTAGACACATGTGATCTAGAGATGATGTCATGCCCAGGGGTGGGGAGTACGGGGAGACCGTGTTGCTAGCATCCCCCAGTGATGGCCGAGGAACCCAACTGGGGTCCCCATAGAGGGACAGGATCACCCAGGGCCCTTCCTCACCATGGCCACCCTCTGCGGGTCCCTGAGGTAGCCCAGTGACTTCTGTCATCTTCCACTCGACTCCACAGGCAGCCCCGCGCCCACCATCCACTGGTCCAAGCTGCGTTCCCCACTGCCCTGGCAGCACCGGCTGGAAGGTGACACACTCATCATACCCCGGGTAGCCCAGCAGGACTCGGGCCAGTACATCTGCAATGCCACTAGCCCTGCTGGGCACGCTGAGGCCACCATCATCCTGCACGTGGAGAGTAAGGCCTCATCCCTTCTTTGTCTGCACCAAATGGAGATCTGAGCCCCCCGACTAGGCTCCACCCCACACAGAACCCCAGGAACCCCATCCAGAGGTCTCCAGGCGCTGCAGGGTCCTGGAGCCTGCCCTGCCCGACACCCACACCCTGGCCTGGGACCTTTGCTTTCCTTATCCCCAGTCCTCTGGGCTCACCATTCAGCTTCCCTGGACACTGGATCCAACGACCTGCTGCCATTCTGACCTTTGCCCTCCCCAATCCTGACCTCTGTGTCCCCCCACTCAGGCCCACCATATGCCACCACGGTCCCAGAGCACGCTTCGGTGCAGGCAGGGGAGACGGTGCAGCTCCAGTGCCTGGCTCACGGGACACCCCCACTCACCTTCCAGTGGAGCCGCGTGGGCAGCAGCCTTCCTGGGAGGGCGACCGCCAGGAACGAGCTGCTGCACTTTGAGCGTGCAGCCCCTGAGGACTCAGGCCGCTACCGCTGCCGGGTCACCAACAAGGTGGGCTCAGCCGAGGCCTTTGCCCAGCTGCTCGTCCAAGGTAAGCAGCCCCGGCTCTGCGTGGAAGGGGATCACCTTTCCTCCTGGCCCTTTGATGACCCAGCTAGGCAGACTCGGGTGGGAAGGCCTCCCTCCATAACCCCACCTGGAATGCCCTCATCTCCCCTACTCTCCAGGGCCCGAGGCAGGCTTGCCACCTCCAGGAAGCCCTCCATCATGTGTGCTCAGCTCCTCTAGCTCTCACGGCTGCTCCCCACCTTTGGCACAGCCCTGGCACTGCCAAAGGAAACCATTCTGTGTACATAAGCACCCCAGCCTGCCTCCCCTGCCAGGCAGTGAGAATGCTCAGGGCAGGGCCTGGACCCAGGCATCTCAGCAGCCCTGGGCTTAATTGAGGGCAACAAGGCCCAGGATGGGCTGGGTAAATGCTTGACAGGGACAACAGTGAATGAGTGACAGGAGCACCCACCCCAGCACGCCCAGGGCTTCAGTGGATCTTCAGAGAGCCCAGCATTTCCATGGCCTCCTGCATCAATGATACAAATGAGGGCTTTTGGGCCCCAAACTTAAAGCAGCACAGCATGTAGCCCACTGGTCAAGAGCCTGGACTGTGGACTCAGACCTGGGTTCAAAGCACAGCTTGGCCATTTGCTGGCTGTGCAACCTTGGCCAAGTCACTGAACCTTTTTGAGCCTCAGTTTCTTTCTTTTTTTTTTTTTTTTTTTTTTTGAGACAGAATCTCACTCTTTCACCCAGGCTGGAGTGCAGTGGCATGATCTCGGTTCACTGCAACCTCCATCTCCCGAGTTCAAGCCTTTCTCGTGCCTCAGCCTCCCGAGTAGCTGGCACTACAGGCACGCGCCACCACGCTTGGCTAATTTTTGTGTTTTTAGTAGAGAAGGGGATTCGCCATGTTGGCCAGGCTGGTCTCGAACTCCTGACCTCATGTGATCCACCCACCTCAGCCTCCCAAAGTGCTGGGATTACCGGCGTGAGCCACTGCACTCGTCCTGAGCCTCAGTTTCTTTATCTGTAAAGTGGAGAGAACAATGCCAACCATGTAGGCTGAGTTGGAAAGGTACACAGAGGTAAACACAGATGTAAAACTGTGGCTCGCAGTAGGCACTTAGTAAATGGGGACAGTATGCATCAGCCCCCGCCTCCCATCTGTCCCCTGCATGTGTAGGTGTCTTTGCCATGGCCAAGTCCCTGGATTCTCTTATTTAAACTGCAGGCAGAATAGGCTTTGCTGTCCTTCCTTAAAATGTCTGAGTATGGCCGGGCGCGGTGGCTCACGCCTGTAATCCTAGCACCTTGGGAGGCCGAGGCAGGCAGATTGCCTGAGCTCAGGAGTTTGAGACCAGCCTGGGCAACATGGTGAAACCCCGTCTCTACTAAAATACAAAAAAAAAAAAAAAATTAGCCAGGCACGGTGGCGCACCTGTAGTCTCAGCTACTCGGGAGGCTGAGGCAGGAGAATCGCTTGAACCCGGGAGGTGGACGTTGCAGTGAGCTGAGATCGTGCCACTGCACTCCAGCCTGGGAACAGAGCGAGACTCCGTCTCAAAAAAAGTATTGAGTCCCTCCCACTCTTTTCGTGGCCTGCCCTCCCCACCCAGAAGCGAGGAGCTGTGGAAACAGAGCCCAGCGCTCCACAGGCCCTTATCCATGTTGGTGGAATGGCAGCTGTGTGTGCAGATGAATGAATCTGCCACTGAACGGTCTTTTTTCCCTGGTCAGAGAGGCTATCAGGAGAACATTCCTTGAATGTTGGGCTGGGGGTTTCCTGGGTCCCTGGAGGGGCATCAGGGACATCACACACACATATACCTGCAGAACCTCATACATGTCCCCGCAGGCCCTCCCGGCTCTCTCCCTGCCACCTCCATCCCAGCAGGGTCCACGCCCACCGTGCAGGTCACGCCTCAGCTAGAGACCAAGAGCATTGGGGCCAGCGTTGAGTTCCACTGTGCTGTGCCCAGCGACCGGGGTACCCAGCTCCGTTGGTTCAAGGAAGGGGGTCAGCTGCCTCCGGGTCACAGCGTGCAGGATGGGGTGCTCCGGTGAGTGGGGCCGGGGGCAGGACTGGACTTGGGCAGCATAGCCCAGGGCTCACAGTGAGCAGAGTTAAAGCACCTGCCCCAGGGGGCGCAACATGAAGCACTGTCCTTGGACACATCACTTTACCTCTCTGAGCCTCAGTGTTCTCAGCTGTACAGTGGGTTATATAAGACTGAATGAGGTCCAGGCACGGTGGCTCATGCCTGTAATCCCAGCACTTTGGGAGGCTGAGGCGGGCAGATCACCTGAGGTCAGGAGTTTGAGACCAGCCTGGCCAACATGGTGAAACCCTGCCTCTACTAAAAATACAAAAAATTAACTGGGTGTGGTGGTGGGCACCTGTAATCCCAACTACGCTGGAGGCTGAGGCAGGAGAATCACTTGAACCCAGGAGGCGGAAGTTGCAGTGAGCCAAGATCGCACCATTGCACTCCAACCTGGGTGACAAGAGCAAAACTCCATCTCAAAAAGAAAAAAGACTGAAAGGAGATTGTCTGAAGCACTTGCACAGTGCTTGGTGCTTGGAAGGCCTTCAGTAAACAGTGGCCCATTCATATTTATTATTAGCGGAGGAAAGAGAACAGGCCCTGGGGCCAGAAATACACAAATGACCCCAGATCTCAGCTCTGCTACTTGATAACTGTGTAATCTTGAGCCCTAGACCATAAGGTCTTTGTCTAAAATGAGTGTGGTGCCCCCCAACCTGCCTGCCTACCTCTAGTGGTTATTGGGAAACTAGAATGCAACACTGCGTGCTGTTCTACATCAGTTTTTAATGCCCACACAATTGCAAAGCATTCTTTTTTTTTTTTTTTTTTTTGAGATGGAATCTTACTCTGTCACCCACGCTGGAGTGCAGTGGCGCAATCTCGGCTTACTGCAACCTCCGCCTCCCGGGTTCAAGCGTTTCTCGTGCCTCAGTCTCCCAAGTATCTGGGATTACAGGCGTGTGCCACCACGCCTGGCTAATTTTTGTATGTTTAGTAGAAACAGGGTTTCACCATGTTGGCCAGGCTGGTCTCAAGCTCCTGATCTCAAGTGATGCGCCTGCCTCAGCCTCCCAAAGTGCTGGGATTACAGGCGTGAGCCACCACGCCCAGCCCAATTGCAAAGCATTCTATCAGTTGTTTTCAACTCCCTGATGTCTTATTATTTTTTCTTTATAGAATCCAGAACTTGGACCAGAGCTGCCAAGGGACGTATATATGCCAGGCCCATGGACCTTGGGGGAAGGCCCAGGCCAGTGCCCAGCTGGTTATCCAAGGTAGGAGGGTGGCTTCAGGCCTCTGCTAAGAGCAGGGAACAGAGATGAGAAAGGCAGAGAGGCACAAGGCCCAGACCCTGTTCCCTAGGAATCCCCCTAAATGTGTCAGAATAAAGAGAATTATTCCATTTTGCCTTGCTTGTGTCTAGCATAGAGTAAAAGGGGCTTGATACATATTTCAAGGGAGGGAAGAAGGATATGGATGGAGTGTGTGAGTGCTCAGATGAACCGATGAAGATTGAATCAGTGTGAACCGGGCATGGTGGAACGCACCTGTAGTCCCACCTACTCAGGAGGCTAAGCTGGGAGCATTGCTTGAGCGCATGAATTCTAGGCTGTGGTGAGCCGTGATCACACCTGTGAATACAACCAAGACCCTTTGTCTAAAAAAAAAAAAGAAGTGGACACGTGAGTGAGTAAATGCATAAGACCTGACAAGTGAGTGTGTTTGTGAGTGAATGCATGAAAAAGTGAATGAGGAGTGAATGAATGCTGGAGCTTCAGTGCTCACCTTTCCTTGGGCAGTCTATGGCCTCCCTCGGGCCAGGCCTGCAGTGACTGATCTCACTGGACCTCTGCCTCCCTCCTCCCCAGCCCTGCCCTCGGTGCTCATCAACATCCGGACCTCTGTGCAGACCGTGGTGGTTGGCCACGCCGTGGAGTTCGAATGCCTGGCACTGGGTGACCCCAAGCCTCAGGTGACATGGAGCAAAGTTGGAGGGCACCTGCGGCCAGGCATTGTGCAGAGCGGAGGTGTCGTCAGGATCGCCCACGTAGAGCTGGCTGATGCGGGACAGTATCGCTGCACTGCCACCAACGCAGCTGGCACCACACAATCCCACGTCCTGCTGCTTGTGCAAGGTGAAGGCCAGTGGGGACTTTTGTTGGGGGACAGTGAGTGGGGCAGGGGCTTCTCCTGCTGCCATCTTCTGCCTGCCCGCTCTGCTCTTCCTTTCTGTTCACTTGGGACATTTTCCATTGTGTGTGTTTAAGGGGCAGGTTTCATAACAGGTGGCAGCAGCAGGGGATAAAAGTGAGATTCCCCCAGGGCAGCCTGGAATGTACAGGGAGAGAGCTAGGCCATAGAGCATCAAGAAGAAAAAAGAAACCTTGTCCTCATCTGCAGGGAGTGCCTGCTCTGCTGGGAGAGACCTGCAGCATAGTCTGAGGGCAGAGACATAACCCAGTCAACAAACAGACCTAATAGAGAGTAAAACAAGGACAACAGATGCAGGGCAGACACAAACACTGTGTGTTCTTTAAAGGCAATTCCTTTTTACCCCAAGCCCTGTGACTTGCCTCCAAACTTCCTTACCTATACTGCCCCTAGTGTGCACTTCTCAGGTCCCCAAAGGGCTGCACAATTTTTTGCCCAGGCATGTTGAAGAGGTCTCAGGCTGTGGAGTGAAATGGATCTGGCCCTGAACCCTGACTCTGCCCGACCAGGAGCAAACAGCCGCTTTTCCCCTCTGAGCCATAATTTCCTCATCTGTGAAATGGAATGTAGTGGCTTCCTTCAAGGGGTGGTGTGAAGATGAAATGAATCAGGGTGCAGGCTGGGCACATATCTGTGACTGTCATGTTGATGGCCTATGTCTCTTCCATGCCTCTCAGCCTTGCCCCAGATCTCAATGCCCCAAGAAGTCCGTGTGCCTGCTGGTTCTGCAGCTGTCTTCCCCTGCATAGCCTCAGGCTACCCCACTCCTGACATCAGCTGGAGCAAGGTAAGTGCTGGAGAGGGAACCAGCGGGCATGACTTGGGGGCTGGGAACAGATCTGAAGCGTCTCAGTGTCCCCAGGATGTGGCACAGGCTTGGCCAAGAGCAAACGCTCAATGTTGGAAGGTGGGCCTGAGGCACAGATGGGAGGTGGGCCCCTGGAGCCGTGGGCCAAGGCCAGGGCCCTCAGTGCTAGTGCATTTGCAGCTGGATGGCAGCCTGCCACCTGACAGCCGCCTGGAGAACAACATGCTGATGCTGCCCTCAGTCCGACCCCAGGACGCAGGTACCTACGTCTGCACCGCCACTAACCGCCAGGGCAAGGTCAAAGCCTTTGCCCACCTGCAGGTGCCAGGTAAGACACCACCCCTAAGAATTGGCAGTGCCCTGCCCACTCCCTGACTGGCAGGGTCTTCAGCTGTGCTCTCTGCTGGCAGAGCGGGTGGTGCCCTACTTCACGCAGACCCCCTACTCCTTCCTACCGCTGCCCACCATCAAGGATGCCTACAGGAAGTTCGAGATCAAGATCACCTTCCGGCCCGACTCAGCCGATGGTGAGCAGGAGGGTTAATTTGCGGGGTGGGCTGGCCTGGGTTGAGGGACCTCGTGGAGTAACTGCCATCATGGCAGGAGCCCTGGCTGCCCCTCAGTCCTGCCCCAATCCCTCAGCCCTCCCTCTCCAGAAGCCCCCAGACCTCTGGGCCTCCACCCTGGTGTGCCTTCTCTTGTGCCTCCCGGCTTCTCCATCCCTGCCTCTGTGATATCTCCAGCCTCCTCGTGGCTCCTCTGCCACCGGGGCATCACCCCCAGTCCTCCTGTCCCAGCTTCCTTTCCCCATCTCTGCTCCTTCCTCCCTCCTCTGCCTCCATCTCACCCTTTCCTCCTCTCTTTCTCTCGTCTCTTACGGGTCTCTGACTTTCACTGTCCAGGCCTCCTTCTCTACTCGGGTGAGTCTCTGCCTCCCTCTCCCCCTTGAGGGAGACTCCAGTGTGTGTGAAGCAAATTCAGTTTCTTTCTAGGGGCGCTCAGTAAGGCCCTTGCGTTTGGGGCACCAGCCCTGAGATAGTGAGAAGGCCCTGGCTGTGTGAGGAGTGCCAGAGGGAGGGACAGGTTCCGAGAGTGGACAGGCTCAAGAGCTTGGGTGGTTTCTAGGGTGGGGGAGGACAGGGAGCCTGTGGCTGGAAGGGGGCCCCTTACACAGTGGTGCCCACCCAGGGATGCTGCTGTACAATGGGCAGAAGCGAGTCCCAGGGAGCCCCACCAACCTGGCCAACCGGCAGCCCGACTTCATCTCCTTCGGCCTCGTGGGGGGAAGGCCCGAGTTCCGGTGAGACCCCCAGCCTCCCCACCTACAGGGGGACTGGACACAGGGCTTTGGTCTGGCAAGTGCTACCCTGGGCTCCATTATACAAAGGAGATCTGGAGGAAGGAGAAAATGTGGCCGTTACCCTTGGTGACCACCCAATCTGCTAGAGTAGGAATAGTATGCCAGTCAGGTGGAGGAGGGTGCAACCTCAGACTTGGGACTGCTGCAGGCCAGGATTCATTCATTCATTCATTCATTCATGCATGCATGCATCAGTTATTTGCTGACCACCCCATGTGTGCCAGGCACTGATACAGGTAAAACAAAACAGACCAAATTCTGGCTCTTGTGGGAAGAGGTGTATTCTCACTGGGGAAGAATAAACAAGCCATAAACAGAGAAACAAGGTGATCACAGGGAGAGAGGAGTCCTCAGAGGAACAAGGAGGCCAGGTGCTAGGCTGCAGGGCGCTGAGCCTGGGGTCCCTGTGGGCTGCTCTGGGAAAGCTCCCAGCAAAAGGATGTGGGGAGAGAAGATCCAGGGGATGGGTCACGGGGAGGGACGACAAGACAGGGACAGGAACGGGAACAGCCCCAGGGCTGGGACTGCAGGAAGTGGTGACATCCCTCCTCTGGGACCCCTCTACCCAACTGGGCCCCTAGCCCTTCTTACAAACCCCCTATCCACTCTCTCCTGCCCCGGCCTGCCCCACGGAGCAGGTTCGATGCAGGCTCAGGCATGGCCACCATCCGCCATCCCACACCACTGGCCCTGGGCCATTTCCACACCGTGACCCTGCTGCGCAGCCTCACCCAGGGCTCCCTGATTGTGGGTGACCTGGCCCCGGTCAATGGGACCTCCCAGGTGAGACCCAACCCCATACTGCTACTTCCAGCCCTCATCCCGCCCTTGCCCAGCCTCTGTTGCCATTCCTGACTTCCCCACCTCCCCAGGGCAAGTTCCAGGGCCTGGATCTGAACGAGGAACTCTACCTGGGTGGCTATCCTGACTATGGTGCCATCCCCAAGGCGGGGCTGAGCAGCGGCTTCATAGGTGAGCCCCCTCCCCACCTCCAGCTGAGGCTGGGCCTTACCTGGCTGGCTGGAAGAGCCCTGGAGAGCCTGGGAGGGCACCTCAGGGTATGGGCTGGGACACCCTGCCCTGTGCTCATCCTGCCCACTCACCTCCCAGGCTGTGTCCGGGAGCTGCGCATCCAGGGCGAGGAGATCGTCTTCCATGACCTCAACCTCACGGCGCACGGCATCTCCCACTGCCCCACCTGTCGGGACCGGCCCTGCCAGGTGACCCCACACCCCACACACCACCTGGCTGCCGTGGCCTCCACCCCTAGCCATGGCTGGCCCCTGTGGGGATTATGGGGGGTACTGAATGTTCTCGGCCTTACTTCTGGGGGCTGCTTTGCAGAATGGCGGTCAGTGCCATGACTCTGAGAGCAGCAGCTACGTGTGCGTCTGCCCAGCTGGCTTCACCGGGAGCCGCTGTGAGCACTCGCAGGCCCTGCACTGCCATCCAGGTACGCACCCCGACCGCCAGTCGCTGTCGCCCCAGGGCCTGCCTCTTCCCTTTGCTGCCTCCCCATATCCACCACCATCTCAACCACTGGGGCACTTCCACACCCCCCACTCTCACCTGAGCACTCTCCACTCCTCCCATGTACCCATCCCCCATCTCTGCTACCCGAAGGCCCTCACCCCATCACTGCTGCTTCCCCTCCTCCAGCCCTGCTGACCAAATTCTTACCACTACCCCGCCACCCAGGCACTCCCCCACCCCCAGCCCATCTTTTTTTTTTTTTTTTTTTTTTGAGACGAAGTTTCGCTCTTGTTGCCCAGGCTGGAGTGCAGTGGCACGATCTCAGCTCACTGCAACTTCCACCTCCCGGGTTCAAGCGATTCTCCTGCCTCAGCCTCCTGAGTAGCTGGGAATACAAGTGTCTGCCACCACCCCTGGCTAAATTTTTTGCATTTTTAGTAGAGGCGGGGTTTCACTACGTTGGCCATGGCTGGTCTTGAACTCCTGACCTCAGGTGATCCACCCACCTCGGCCTCCCAAAGTGCTGGGATTACAGGCATGAGCCCCCACGCCCGGCCCCCAGTCCCATCTTATTACCCAGGTGCCCACCCCATTACCCGCCACCAGGTGCTCCCCCTCCAACACTGTCCAGTCTCTGAAGAACCTGCAGACACACAGAGTCCCTCGACTGCTTCCCCTGCAGTCCTCCCTGTGGCCTCTTCTGGCTCCCGCCTTGCTCTGCTCAGTTCCCTCCTCCAAGGCCTCCCAGGAGGCTGGCCTGGCCCTCACTAGCCCAGCCCCCCGGGGTGTGATGGGCAGACCTCTGGCATCAGGACCCCCCTCCCTCCAGAGTCACCTCCGTGTCTTTTCACTGGCCTATGTGCCCCCCAGAGGCCTGTGGGCCCGACGCCACCTGTGTGAACCGGCCTGACGGTCGAGGCTACACCTGCCGCTGCCACCTGGGCCGCTCGGGGTTGCGGTGTGAGGAAGGTGAGGGGAGCCAGGCCTGAGACCCCCAGGGTCCTAGTGTCAGCTGGGGAGGCTGGGTGGGGCACTCTGAGGCCATGATGGGCCCTACGGATGATAAAACGATTCCCAAGCCAGAGGATCTCGAAGTCACCTGGCCACATGTCTGCCCAGCCTGAGCCCCTTATTGAGTGAGGGCCCCCAAAGAGGACCCCTGTCATATTGGAGCTCCTCCCAGCCCCGTGTGCAAGGGCAGGGGGGCTCCTGTGCCACTGCAGCTGGTGCCAACTGGTCCTGAGCCTCTGGGCCTGGAGAGTGAGGCAGGCAAGGGTCCCAGAGGAAGGCAGAGTAGCTGGACCCCACCCGAGGGTCCAGGATCCCCACTGCCTCAGCTGAGCTGTGGCTGCTGCAGGTGTGACAGTGACCACCCCCTCGCTGTCGGGTGCTGGCTCCTACCTGGCACTGCCCGCCCTCACCAACACACACCACGAGCTACGCCTGGACGTGGAGTTCAAGCCACTCGCCCCTGACGGGGTCCTGCTGTTCAGCGGGGGGAAGAGCGGGCCTGTGGAGGACTTCGTGTCCCTGGCGATGGTGGGCGGCCACCTGGAGTTCCGCTATGAGTTGGGGTCAGGTAAGCACCCAGCACCAAATGCGGGGCTCTGCACACCAAGCCTTGTGCCCCCCTCGGCTCTTCAAGCCCCAGGGAGGCATGGGAGGATAAATGCAGGGATCAGGGCAAGTCCCCTCTTCCTGTGCATTTCGTCTCTGTGTCACTTGAGGCCAATCCCTAGCCCTCTCTGAGCCATGGGCTCCTCATCTGGAATACAGAAGGCTGTAGGGCATTCCCCATCTGCTCAGGGCCCTGTTTGTGGTGGAGAGGGCAGGGAGCCCCGTGTGCCCCCATGTGCCCAACCCTGCCTGGCATCCTCCCCAGGGCTGGCCGTTCTGCGGAGCGCCGAGCCGCTGGCCCTGGGCCGCTGGCACCGTGTGTCTGCAGAGCGTCTCAACAAGGACGGCAGCCTGCGGGTGAATGGTGGACGCCCTGTGCTGCGCTCCTCGCCCGGCAAGAGCCAGGGCCTCAACCTGCACACCCTGCTCTACCTGGGGGGTGTGGAGCCTTCCGTGCCACTGTCCCCGGCCACCAACATGAGCGCTCACTTCCGCGGCTGTGTGGGCGAGGTAAGAGCAGCCTCCTCGGGACAAGCGGGAGGGGAGGGGTGCCAAGCCTTGTGTCCCCCTCGGCTCTCCAAGCACCTTGGCATTGGGCCCCTCCACCTGCAGCCACCCACGGGCCCTGGGCCAGGACACTGTACCTCTGAGCCTCAGTTTCCTCCTCTGTAAAATGGGCATGATCACACCTACTTTGAAAGGTTGGGCAGAGGATTGTCTGCACTGACGGATGAATGTTTCTAGCACACAGTAGGCACTCAACTCCTGCGCCTCCCTCCCCACACCGAGAATCCATGCTACCACTCAGGGCCCAATGTGGGCTCCCAGCTCCCCTCTGCTGCATTCTTCTCCCTGCTGGTACACCTGGGTCTCTGCCTCCCAGGCCCCTTTAGTCCCTCGGTGTCCCTGTCCCCACAGGTGTCAGTGAATGGCAAACGGCTGGACCTCACCTACAGTTTCCTAGGCAGCCAGGGCATCGGGCAATGCTATGATAGCTCCCCATGTGAGCGCCAGCCTTGCCAACATGGTGCCACGTGCATGCCCGCTGGCGAGTATGAGTTCCAGTGCCTGTGTCGAGATGGATTCAAAGGTGGGAAAGCCTGCCCAGGGCACCGGAGGGGAGGGGCACAGGTGGTCAGCGACACCTCCAGCCCATGCCCACCCACCCACTCGCCTCTGCCCTGGCCCACAGGAGACCTGTGTGAGCACGAGGAGAACCCCTGCCAGCTCCGTGAACCCTGTCTGCATGGGGGCACCTGCCAGGGCACCCGCTGCCTCTGCCTCCCTGGCTTCTCTGGCCCACGCTGCCAACAAGGTACCCAGGCCTGGCTTCTCTCCACTTCATCTCTGTCTTGGGGCCCCGGAGCTCGACATAGTACCCACGGGTGTCTATGCCCACCAACTGGACCCTGCCCTTCTCCATAGGCTCTGGACATGGCATAGCAGAGTCCGACTGGCATCTTGAAGGCAGCGGGGGCAATGGTGAGTACTTGCCATGGCCTCCTCCCCAGCTTCAGCTCAGCTCACTCTTCCAGTTACCCCACACCCTCAATTCTGGCCTGCAAGCAAAACAGCTTTATATGAGGAGCTTGCTGGGCAGAGAGACAGAATGAAGACCACAGCCATGTGGAGCTAGGGCCTGCCCCACACTTACTGGCTGGGTGACCTTGGGCAGGCCTTTGAAACCACTCTGACCTCAGTTTCCTCCTCTGTATTCATGTATTCAGTCAACAAACTATTGTTGCCCATCCTTGCCCTGAGAGCAGTAAATATAAGATGCATAAAGCAAGACCCTCATTCCCAAGAATTCCACCGTCTACTGAAAAGCTAAGGAAACAGTGAAGAGTGAATGCTGATTGAATGTTTACGGACACTGTGCTAACCCCTTTACAGACACATCTCTTCTTATGTATCACTAATATAATAGGCGAGGCAGTGGTATAGTGGGTAAGAGTATAGACTTGGAGCCAGCCTGCTTGGGTTCAAATCCTAGCTCTCCCACTTACTAGCTGTGGAACTTTGGGTGAGTCGCTTAACCTCTCTGTGCCTCATATAAAATGGAGATGAGTAACATCTTTCCCTAAAGATTTGGATAAAATTTTATGTGAGAGTAAAATTACTTAGTGCATTTTTTTTTAAGGTGGAGTCTTGCTCTTTCACCCAGGCTGGAGTGCAGTGGCACAATCTCGGCTCACTGCAACCCCCGCCTCCCAGACTCAAGCGATTCTGCTGCCTCAGCTTCCTGAGTAGCTGGGATTACAGGTGCCTGCCACCACACCCCGCTAATTTTTGTATTTTTTGTAGGGATGGGGTTTCACCATGTTGGCCAGGCCTGTCTCTAACTCCTGACCTCAGGTGATCCGCCCCCCTTGGCTTCCTAAAGTGCTGGATTACAGGCGTAAGCCACCGTCCTAAAGTGCTGGATTACAGGCATAAGCCACCGCGCCCGGCCACTTAGTGCATTTTAAATGCCTAGAACAATGTGTGGTACAGAGTCAGTACAGAATGTTAGCTGTTGTTAATATTATGTTCAGCTGGCCGGGCACACTGGCTCACGCCTGTAATCCCAGCACTTTAGGAAGCTGAAGCGGGCAGATCACCTGAGGTTGGGAATTTGAGACCAGCCTGACCAACATGGAGAAACCCCATCTCTACTAAAAATACAAAATTAGCTGGGCGTGGTGGCACATGCCTATAATCCCAGCTACTCCGGAGGCTGAGGCAGGAGAATCGCTTGAACCTGGGAGGTGGAGGTTGCCATGAGCCAAGATTGCATGCACCATTGCACTCCAGCCTGGGCAACAAGAGCGAAACTCCCTCTCAAAAAAAAATACTATATTCAGCTGGGTATGGTGACTCACGCCTATAATCCCAGCACTTTGGGAGGCTGTGGCGGGCAGATTGCTTGAGCCCAGGAGTTCCAGACCAGCCTGGGCAACAAGGCGAAATCCTGTCTCTACAAAAAAATACAAAAAGTAGCTGGGCATGGTGGTGCTCATCTATGGTCCCAGCTACTCAGGAGACAGGCAGGAGGATTGCTTGAGCCCAGGAGTTCAAGATCAACCTGGGCAACACAGGGAGACCTCATCTCTACAAGAAATTTAAGAATTAGCTGGGTGTGGTGGCACATGGCTATGGTCCCAGCTGAGGCAGAAGGATCACTTGAGCCCAGGAGGTCGAGGCTGTAGTGAGCTACAATTGTGTCACTGCACTCTAGCCTGGGCAACAGACTGAGACCCTGTCTCAAAAAAATAAAAAATAAGGCTGGGTGCGGTGGCTCACACCTGTCATCCCAGCACTTTGGGAGGACAAGGTGGGTGGATCACCTGAGATCAGTTCGAGACCAGCCTGGCCAACATGGCGAAACCCCATCTCTACTAAAAATACAAAAATTAGCCAGGTGTGGTGGTGCACACCTGTAGTCCCAGCTACTCGGGAGGCCAAGGCAGGAGAATTGCTTGAACCTGGGAGGTGGGGGTTGTAGTGAACCAAGATTGTGCCACTGCACTCCAGCCTGGGCCACGGAGCGAGACTCCATCTCAAAAATAAATAAATAAAATAAAAATTATCTATATATAATATTCATTCATAGGGTTGTTGTAAGGATTGAGTTAAATGCAGTGGTGTCTGTAGCTGGATGGGACGCTCCCCGCACAGCCACATCATAGGTGTTAGGTAAATGTCAGCCGTTCTCCTCATCATTTGGTGGAGGGTAGCAGAGGGTCCCCTACTCTTGTCCCCTGCCAGAGCTACTGTGGCCAGTGCCGGCCTGTGGGATGGGTCATGAGCAGATAGGGCTGGGGGGGTGTGGAGCCACACACAGTATGGACATCCTGGGCCAGTCACTCGCCCAAGCCTGCCTGCTCTTCTGTAAGATGGAGAGAACACCAAGGCTCTGAACCATTTATTGCCACAGTCCAAGGTGACCAACGGTCCCAGTAGCTCCGGACTGAGGGGTTTCTTGGGATGTGGGACTTTCAGGGCTAAAGCCAGACAGAATTTGGCAAGTAGAATGGCGGGTCACCCGACACGGATCCTGTTGACTACACAAAATAAAATAAAATAAAATACATTGATTTAAGGAAAGCAATTATGCTGAAGTAAAGTAATCAAAACATGTTTTAAGTTTCCTGACTTGCTATATATGTGCTTCTTTATTAACACATCAAATAACAAGATCTGGTGATCTCAGTAGCTACCACAATTTCAAAGCAGCAATATGTGTAAATGATATTTTGAAATATTTGCAGCTACTGTCATGTGATAAGCAAATACTAGTAACAAAGTTGCAGGTCCTACCACTGCTACTTTGGTTTCTTGCCTACATCTCATTGAAAGAACTGCTCAATTTCAGTGAGAAGTGAGTGAAATTGAGGTGTAATGCTTTCCCATCCAAGGTCATAGGCTCCCTGAATTCTGTTGGCAGCCCCCGTGGGTCCCCAGGGACTGCAGGCTCGGAGCCCCCTAGTCCTGCATGTTGGCGTGGAGGTGGGGGTCAGGGGAACTGACGGGGGATTTTGATGCCTGATGCAGCAGGTATGGCACCACCCTCCTCTCTCCCACAGATGCCCCTGGGCAGTACGGAGCCTATTTCCACGATGATGGCTTCCTCGCCTTCCCTGGCCATGTCTTCTCCAGGAGGTGAGACTGGCATTGGAAGGGCCCATGGGCCTAATGGGGAGGATGGGAATCTGGGACTTCTGTCCCCTCACCCGCTCTTCCTCCGCAGCCTGCCCGAGGTGCCCGAGACCATCGAGCTGGAGGTTCGGACCAGCACAGCCAGTGGCCTCCTGCTCTGGCAGGGTGTGGTGAGTGTGGGTATCCGGCTGGGCTCTTGGGGCTCCTGGGGCAGGAAGCTGGCTTCCTGGTGGCCGGAGTGGTGGGGGGAGGGGAAAGCAGAGCCCCCTGGCCTCGGCAGCCTCTGCTCTCCAGGCTGGGGACCCCAGAGACCCTGTGCTTCCCTGGCAGGAGGTGGGAGAGGCCGGCCAAGGCAAGGACTTCATCAGCCTCGGGCTTCAAGACGGGCACCTTGTCTTCAGGTAGGTCCTGGCACCTGGCCCTTCCTCTCCCTTCCCTGGTCCCAGCACCCCACCCCCCGGTCCTGCCCCAGCTCATACTTCTTGGGCCTGGATGACTGCAGGTACCAGCTGGGTAGTGGGGAGGCCCGCCTGGTCTCTGAGGACCCCATCAATGACGGCGAGTGGCACCGGGTGACAGCACTGCGGTAAGGGACCCTGCCGGGCACTCGGGATGGGGCCCAGCGTTCTGGAGTGGGGCAGGACGCCCCCTACCATGGGCAGAGAGGCAGGTATTGAGCTCTGTGGAGACAGAACTTGAAGCCAGGGGAGGGGAGAACCCACCAGCCAGGGCTCGGGCTTCCATCTCGGACTGAACTCCGCTGGGGGCAGGCGAGTGCCCCAGGAGTGGGAGGAAACCTGGGTGCAGAAATGAGGAAGCTGTGTTTGTGGGGCCCGATCTCTCGTTCAGCGGGGGAAAGAAAGAGCTTGGGAAACAGGGACAGACTTCTGAGTCTGGAGTCTCGATATCAGAGGGAGGGGACTCTGTCGTGGGGCCGGGGAGGACCAGGAAGTTTGTGGAAAGGGGCCTGACCCAGTTCCACTGCAGGGAGGGCCGCAGAGGTTCCATCCAAGTCGACGGTGAGGAGCTGGTCAGCGGCCGGTCCCCAGGTCCCAACGTGGCAGTCAACGCCAAGGGCAGCGTCTACATCGGTAAGTCTGGGGCTCCTTCTCAGGGCAGGGGCAGGAACGGCACTCCCTTAGGGCTAGAGCTCGCCCAGCCTTCCTCGCCTCCTGGGCTGCTGGAGCCCACAGGCCCTGTCCTCTCACCTCCCGGCAGGCGGAGCCCCTGACGTGGCCACGCTGACCGGGGGCAGATTCTCCTCAGGCATCACAGGCTGTGTCAAGAACCTGGTGCTGCACTCGGCCCGACCCGGCGCCCCGCCCCCACAGCCCCTGGACCTGCAGCACCGCGCCCAGGCCGGGGCCAACACACGCCCCTGCCCCTCGTAGGCACCTGCCTGCCCCACACGGACTCCCGGGCCACGCCCCAGCCCGACAATGTCGAGTATATTATTATTAATATTATTATGAATTTTTGTAAGAAACCGAGGCGATGCCACGCTTTGCTGCTACCGCCCTGGGCTGGACTGGAGGTGGGCATGCCACCCTCACACACACAGCTGGGCAAAGCCACAAGGCTGGCCAGCAAGGCAGGTTGGATGGGAGTGGGCACCTCAGAAAGTCACCAGGACTTGGGGTCAGGAACAGTGGCTGGGTGGGCCCAGAACTGCCCCCACTGTCCCCCTACCCACCGATGGAGCCCCCAGATAGAGCTGGGTGGCCTGTTTCTGCAGCCCTTGGGCAGTTCTCACTCCTAGGAGAGCCAACCTCGGCTTGTGGGCTGGTGCCCCACAGCTACCTGAGACGGGCATCGCAGGAGTCTCTGCCACCCACTCAGGATTGGGAATTGTCTTTAGTGCCGGCTGTGGAGCAAAAGGCAGCTCACCCCTGGGCAGGCGGTCCCCATCCCCACCAGCTCGTTTTTCAGCACCCCCACCCACCTCCACCCAGCCCCTGGCACCTCCTCTGGCAGACTCCCCCTCCTACCACGTCCTCCTGGCCTGCATTCCCACCCCCTCCTGCCAGCACACAGCCTGGGGTCCCTCCCTCAGGGGCTGTAAGGGAAGGCCCACCCCAACTCTTACCAGGAGCTGCTACAGGCAGAGCCCAGCACTGATAGGGCCCCGCCCACCGGGCCCCGCCCACCCCAGGCCACATCCCCACCCATCTGGAAGTGAAGGCCCAGGGACTCCTCCAACAGACAACGGACGGACGGATGCCGCTGGTGCTCAGGAAGAGCTAGTGCCTTAGGTGGGGGAAGGCAGGACTCACGACTGAGAGAGAGAGGAGGGGGATATGACCACCCTGCCCCATCTGCAGGAGCCTGAAGATCCAGCTCAAGTGCCATCCTGCCAGTGGCCCCCAGACTGTGGGGTTGGGACGCCTGGCCTCTGTGTCCTAGAAGGGACCCTCCTGTGGTCTTTGTCTTGATTTTTCTTAATAAACGGTGCTATCCCCGCCAGGGGCCTCCTGAGTCTTTGATGAGGGCTTCACTCAGTGGAGCCTGTGGATGGGGCAGAGCAGGGCAGGTGAGATCTGGGGGTGAAGCAAGCTGGCTTGGGATCAGCGAGGCCCCCAGGCCCCCAACCCTGTGAGGCAGGAATTGTCCTATTTTCTAGAGGGGCAGCTGAGTCTCAGAGGGTTAGGGGGCCTGTCCAACATCAGACAGAGAGCCAGGGGGTTAGAACCCAAAGAGTCTGACCCCAGAGCCTAGTATCATTCCCATGTGCCCGAAGCCCCTCTAGGGATGGCCTCCCTGATCCTATAAGGCTGGGCCACTCAACTGCAGCCCCCTGGGGAGACCTGGCTGGGACATGGGTAGCACGTGGTACAGGCTGTGCTGCAGTGGAGGCAGAGGCCACGGGCACCAGGTTGCCAGGCCAGCCAGCTGGGAGAGCAACAGCACCAGAGGAGGCCCAGGAGGAGGCCAGCAGAGGCCAGGAGCATCGAGGAGGCCAGCGCCACCCCTCAGAGCTGGGGGCCTGTGGGAAGAGAAAGTCCACTCAGGCCTCGGCCTGGGTCCTCTGCCCCGTCCCCATCACCTAGAGAGGGACAGGTATGATTTTGGTGGGAAGAGTAGGAGCAAGGTGTAACCTTCCAAAGCTGCGTCTTGTCTCGTGGGGTCCCTGCCTGCTGGGGAACTCCTCTCAGCTGCAATCCAGAGGGATCCTGCAGACCCGAGAGCTGGGGAGGGAGTCAGGGATCTGGAGGTATGGGCATCTGTACTTCCTGTCTGGCTGGGCACCGGAGAGGGACCTGCATGGGAAAGAACAGAACTAGCACACTGAGAACTGCCCTTTCTGGGACACTTGTGTGTTTCATTCAATCCTCACAAGACTTCCCTGAGTTTGTCACTCTGTGTTTCCATTTTACAGAGAGGTTGTCACTTGCCGAGTTCAATTAGCTGGAAGTGATAGGAGGACTTGAACTCACATGGTCTGGCTCCAGGGCCTAAGGTCTATGAGTGGAGCTACTTCCCAAGGAAGAGGGTGTACATGTACTGAGCATTGAGGCAGGGTCTCACTCTGTCGCCCAGGCTGGAGTCCAGTGGCGCAATCACCACTCACTGCAACTTCTGCCTCCCAGGCTCAAGTGATCCTCCTACCTCAGCCTCCCGAGTAGCTGGGACTACCAGCACGTGCCACCATGCCTGGCTAATTTTTCTATTTTTTGTAGAGACGGGATCTCACTATGTTGCCCAAGCTGGTCTCGACTCCTGAGCTCAAGCAATCCACCTGCCTCAGCCTCCCAAAATGCTGGGATTCCAGGCGTGAGCCACCATGCCCGGCCATGAGCATTTTCTGTGCATCAAGCACCACACTCTGTGCTGGGCCCGTTACCTATGTATGCCACTCACAGTTTACAACAACTCTGAAGGGTGAGGTTTATCCCCATTTCACAGATAAGGAAACTGAGGCATAGAGGTTCCTTCTTCCATTCATTTGACTAGTATTTCTTGAGCATCTCCTATGCCCCCAGGCATGGCTCTAGCAACTGGGGGATACAACCATGAGCACATGACAAATATGTCTTCATGGCACTGGGAGTTTAGTGTGGGGAGAAACAAAACACATGAATAGAATTTATGTCTAAAGGAGATAGATGCTAGTGAGAAAAATTACGCATGTTGGTGGGGGCAGGGCTGCCGCTTTTCTTTTCTTTTCTTTTTTTTTTTTTTTTTTTGAGACGGAGTCTCGCTCTGTCGCCCAGGCTGGAGTGCAGTGGCAGGATCTCGGCTCACTGCAAGCTCCGCCTTCCGGGTTCACGCCATTCTCCTGCCTCAGCCTCCCGAGTAGCCGGGACTACAGGTGCCCGCCACTGCGCCCAGCTAATTTTTTGTATTTTTAGTAGAGACGGGGTTTCACTGTGGTCTCGATCTCCTGACCTCGTGATCCTCCCGCCTCTGCCTCCCAAAGTGCTGGGATTACAGGCGTGAGCCACCGCGCCCAGCGGGCTGCCGCTTTTCTTACTGTGGCAAAGCACATAACGTTTACCATTTAACCATGGTTAGGGGTACAGTTCAGTGGCATTAAATATATTCTGATAGAGTTTGGATCTGTGTTCCCACCCAAATCTCAGGTCAAATTGTAATTCCCAGTGTTGGAGGTGGGGCCTGGTAGGAAGTGATTAGATCATGGGGGTGGATTTC
The DNA here is from genome assembly GCF_000001405.40 of Homo sapiens. Lineage (NCBI taxonomy): Eukaryota > Metazoa > Chordata > Mammalia > Primates > Hominidae > Homo > Homo sapiens. The sequence goes on along the minus strand of NC_000001.11, from coordinate 21,820,056 downwards.
TCATGAATAGTTTAGCACCATCCGTTTGGTGCTGTTCTCAAGATAGTGAGTTCTCTCAAGATCTGGTTGTTTAAAAGTGTGCAGTGCCTCCCCACTCACTCTCTCTTGCTCCTACTCTGGCTGTGCCTGCTCCCCTCGCCTTCTGCCAAGATTGTAAGTTTCTTGAGGCATCCCCTGAAGCTGAGCAGATGCCAGCATCATGCTTCCTGTATAGCCTGCAGAACTGTGAGATAATTAAACCTCTTTTCTTTATAAAGTACCCAGTCTCAGGTGTTTTTTTATAGCAATGCGAGAATGGACTAATACGCACTCACATTGTGCAGCCATCACCGCCATCCATCTCCAGAACTTTGTATCTGCCCAAACGGAAACTCCATCAACTCCGTCAATTCCATTAACTCCATATCCTCCTTGTCCCCACCCCCCCAGCCCCTAGTGACCATGGCTCTACTTCCTGTCTCTGTGATTTTGACTATTCTAATATACATATGTATATGCTTATAAAGAAAATTTATAATTTTCTTATAAATTTATAAAGAAAGGTAATTTATAAATTTATAAATTTATAAAGGTAATTTATAAAGAAAAGAGGTTTAATTGTCTCAGTTCTGCAGGCTGTACAGGAAGCATATCTAATATACATATTAGAATATAATAATAAGTTACTAATAATAACTTTTTTTTTGAGACAGTTTCGCTCTTGTTGCTCAAGCTGGAGTGCAACCGTGCGATCTCGGCTCACCGCAACCTATGCCTCCCGGGTTCAAGTGATTCTCCTGCCTTAGCCTCCCAAGTAGCTGGGACTACAGGCATATGCCACCACGCCCAGCTAATTTTGTATTTTTAGTACAGATGGGGTTTCTCCATGTTGGTCAGGTTGGTCTCGAACTCCCGACTACAGGTGATCCGCCCACCTCGGCCTCCCAAAGTGCTGGGATTACAGGCGTGAGCCACCGCACCTGGCCAGGGTTGCTATTTTTATATAAAGGAGTCAGGGAAGAACTTAAAGAGACCCACCAGGAAGCAAAGGAACGAGCTTGCAATGCAGATCTCAGAAGAAAAGTCTTCTGGTAGAGGACACAGCTACTGCAAAGGCCAGAACAAAGCTGGAGTGTGGAGGGGAGGCGGGGCCAGGGAGGGGGTGGGGCAGGGAGGAGGCGGGGCCAGGGAGGGGTGGGGCGGGGGGCGGGGCCAGGAAGGAAGAGGCGAGGCCAGGAAAGAAGGGGCAGGGCCAGATCGTGCAGGGCCTTTGAGCCCGGGCGAGGCTTTGCCTTTGCTGAATGTGATGAGGGTTTTGAGCAGGATAGTGACATAACCTGATTTACTGTTTTAAAAGGTACCTCTGGCGGGGAAGCATAACTCCCCACTCAAGTGGGCTATACATAGTGACTTCCCAAGAATACAGTGGGGAAAGATGGGACCAAAAGTAACGGTGGAGAAATGAGGCAGACATCAGCCAGGCGGTCAAGGTCAGCGTCAACCACCGTCCAACACCAAACACCCAACACCAAAGTCATGTTTGGTGTGATGTGATGTGATGAAGATGGCATTTCACCTCTGTGAACTGTAACTCTAGTCTTTTCATGAGAAAAGTATCAAATAAATCCCAATAGTGGGGCATCCTACAAAATCCCTGAGCAGTACTCACAACTGTCAAGATCATTAAAAACAAGGAAATCCTGAGAAACTGCCACAGCCAAGGGGAGCCTAAAGAGGCATGATGACTATTAATGAATGTAACATGAGGCCGGGTGCGGAGGCTCACGCCTGTAATCCCAGCACTTTGGGAGGCCAAGGCGGGTGGATCACTTGAGGTCAGGAGTTTGAGACCAGCCTGTCCAACATGGAGAAATCCCGTCTCTACTAAAAATACAAAAATTAGCTGAGCGTGGTGGTGTGCACCTGTAATCCCAGCACTTTGGGAGGCCAAGGCGGGTGGATCACTTGAGGTCAGGAGTTTGAGACCAGCCTGTCCAACATGGAGAAATCCCGTCTCTACTAAAAATACAAAAATTAGCTGAGCGTGGTGGTGTGCACCTGTAATCCCAGCTACACCGGAGGCTGAGGCAGGAGAATCGCTTGAACCAGGGAGGCAGAGGTTGCAGTGAGCCGAGATCACGCCACTGCAGTCTGTCTAGCCTAGGCGACAGAGCAAGACTCTATCTGAAAAAAAGTAATAAAATAAATAAATAAATAAATGTAACATGAGATGCTGAGTGGGATCCCGGGACAGAAAAAGGACATGAGGTAAAAACTAGGGAAAACTGAACAAACTGTGGACTTTAGTTAATAATATTACTTCATTAATTAAAACAAATGTCTCATACTAATGTAAAATGTCAGTAATAGCACCCAAACTGAGTGCTGGGTATATGAGAATTTTCTGTACTATCTTCTCAATTTTTTTGTAAATCTAAAACTGCCCTAAAAAATGAAGTTCATGCAATCCCAGCACTTTGGGAGGCCAAGGTGGGAAGATCTTGAGTCCAGGAGTTCGAGACTAGCCCTTGCAATACAGTGAGACCTCATCTCTACAGAAAACACAAAAATTAGCTGGGCATGGTGGTGCATGTGTGGTCCCAGCTACTCTGGGGGCTGAGGTGGGAGGATCACCTGAGCCCAGGAAGCAGAGGTTGCAGTGAGCCGAGATGGCGCCACTGCACTCCAGCCTGGATAACAGAATGAGAACCTATCTCAAAACAATAAATAAGTAAGTTCATTTGAAAAAAAGAAAAAGAAAAAGAAGGCTCCCCCAGGCTTCCTTCTTCCTGTGTTGTCAGAGGCAAAGGACAGAAGGAGGGAGACCAGTTCAGAAGTTATTAGAACAACCCAGACGAGAGCTGGTGGTGGCTCAGACCAGGTGATGGCAGAGCAGGTGTGAGAAGGGTCAGAGTCTGGAGAGCTTTCAAAGGACTTGTCACTGGCTTGGTTATGGGTTATAGGCTATGGGTTAAGCGGGGAGTAAAAGATGACTCAGTGAGGCCTGGGCAGCTGGAATGTGAAGTCGCTGCTCAGCGAGAGGGAAGCAGGATGCAGGGAGGGCTGTGGACAAGGAGTCCAGTATGGGGCAAGTTAAGTTTGAGATTTCGCCTATACATCCACGCAGAGATGCTGAGCAGGGAGGAGGTTATGTGGCTGAAGTTCAAAGACAAGTCCCACAGGTGATACGATATAAATGAGACCCACAAGGGAATGAGCCTGGATGGAGGACAAGGGGACATAGGACCTGGGTCTCATGGCACAAAGCATACAGCATCAGGGAAATGACCAGGAACCTGCAAAAAAGGCTGAGCGGGGGATGGGGAAGGTAAGTGTGTGGGGTTCTGGGAAACTGCATTTCACCCCTGTTCAACTGTACATGGCAGCCCTACCTCCATCCCACTCCTAATTGGGTGTGGTGGGCAGGTGGGACATCTTTAGATCCCCAGGAAGGTTATTCCTGGGTGATTTGTTCTGGTCCCTTCCACCAACCCTAGCCCTCCTATCCCACTCCCCTGTCTACAGAGATCATTCCTGCTCATTTTACTCACTGGCTTTATGACCTTGGGCAAGTCACTTCTCTCTAGGCCTCAGTTTCCTGATCTGTAAAGTGTGGGAATCAGACTGGATTGATGGTTTTCAAAGTATGTCTTGAGGGTGACACTCAGGGCCCTCAGAGAGACATCAGGCAGCCAGGGCCCCAGGCCCACCATCCAGTTAAGCAGAGGATATCTCCTTTGAATGTCTTGGGCCTCCATGCCAGGTCCCATTTAGCAAAAGTTTCCACCACTAAAGCATCATTTGGAATCCGCCGGATGAGATCATCTGCAGCATAGTTCTGGCCCTGACTGCTCTGCCCCTCCAGCCCTTGGCCTAAGCCGATTCCACACTTCCGCTTTCCTCTCTCCTGCCTCCCCATCGGGGCCCTGCCCTAGGGAAGGGGAGTTAGGGCCAGGCTTCCCTCCAGCTGTTCAGTAGGGCCCAGTCCACACCCCGCACTGACCTCTGCAGTCAGCTGGTGACCAGGAGCCCTGGTCACTGCCATCGCCACAGTTGTCCATGCCCCAGGGGTCACACACGAGGCTTGAGGGGATGCACCTGCCATTCTGGCAGCGGAAGTAGGCACCACAAGGTCCTGAGGCCAGAAGCAGAAGCCTGAGGTGAGGATTCCGGTCCAGCCCACGACACAGCAGGATGTGTGGCCCCCATGGTGACAGTGTGGGGGTGTGGGCAGGAGAGAGCTGCCCTCATGCATGCAGATGAGAACATGGATGAGTGTTTCATGGGGAGGAGGGTGGAGGATGGCAGCTAACATGTACTGACTTCCTCTTCTGTGCCATGCACAGCCGTAAATACTACACATCCTGGCCCATTGAGGCCTCACAATACCCCTATGGGGCAAGTACTGTTATTAATTTTATTATTTTTTAATTATTATATTTTTTAAATTATTTTTTGTTGTTGTTTTAGGCAGGTCTCTCTCTGTCACCCAGGCTGGTCTTGAATTCCTGAGCTCAAGTGATCCTCATGACTTGGCCTCCCAAAGTGCTGGGATTACAGGCGAAAGCCACGGCGCCCAGTTGGGCGAGTATTATTAATTTCAGTTCCAAGAGGGCCCTTTCCTGGCTTGAGTTGGTTTCTGCTGCCTACAGGCCTGGCGAGTCCTAAGCACACCCTTCTGCAAACATCTGAAGGGCTGACCCAGCGCAGAGCAGCCAGCATGTGGCATGAGAGCATGTGAGCTGTGTGTAAGTGTGCAAGGCGGTACTGTGTGCATATGAGGTGTGTGATGGTGAGTGTGCAGTGTGAGGCGTGTGCTGCAGTGAGAGGCATGAGTGTGGAGTGTGTGGGGGCGATGAGGTGCGTGGGTTGTGCGTATGTGACATGGGTGTGGATGTCAGAGTGTGAGGTGTGAACGTGTGGGAGTTGTGTGTGAATGTGTGTGGGGAGGAAGTTGTGTGTGGATGTGTGTGGATGTGTGTGCGCACTGGGGCTGGTAGGACAGTCTGACGCACACATCCATGGTAGCCAGATTTATATGGTTGGCTCTTAGGATCCGGGAGGTCCCTTATTGTGACTCTGCCACTAGCCACCACCTTCTTCCCTCCCGTTGGACCCAGTCCCTGCCATCTTGTGCTTCGGGCACCCCTGCCATTCCCCTGTCGGCAGCGGCCCTCACCGGGGCCCCCACTGTGGCCCCAGTCCCGCATGGCCTCTGCAGAGGGTCCCGTCCCGGCCTTCAGCCCCAGCTCACCCAGACGGAAAGAGGTGACTTCGCCCACGAAGTCCACGCGGGGCTGGCGGCCTCTCGTGACCAGGCGCAGGCCTAGAAAGGGTCCGGAGGATGCCACAGGCACCGGGATGTTCAGGCCGCACAGTGGGGACCCCAGGGGCCGGGGCGCCCCCGGCGGGCCCTCGTAGAACTGCAGGTAGGAGCCGGGGGCGCACGGGTCGGCCGGGGCCGGGGAGGAGGTGTTGAGCGCCGGGGGCGCGGGGGTCAGGCTGTAGACCAGGAAGAAGCGGAACTGGAAGCGGATCCGGTCGCCGGGGGCTGCCGCCTGCACCCAGAGCCCGCAGTCGGTGTCCGGAGCCACGAAGTAGAACCTGCGCGATGCGGCGTGCGAGCGCAGCAGCAGCCCGTCCCCCTGCCACGTCTGCCCGCACAGTTCCGCCAGGTCGGCTGCAGCGGAAGGCACGGAAACTGGAGCCGCGCGGCGCGACCCCGAACTCTACTCTGTCCCCTGCCCGCTGTGTGATCCCAAGCGAGTTACTCGCCCTCTCTGAGCCTCATTTTCCTCATCGGTAAAATGGGGATGATTAATCAATCTCAGAATGATTGTAAGGATTAAATGATTTAATTTAATTTAATTCAAATCTACAATCCCTTATTCGAAACCCTAAGATGCGGGGCCGAGCGCAGTGGCTCACGCCTGTAATCCCAGCACTTTGGAGGCCAAGGCAGGTGGATCACCTGAGGTCAGGAGTTCGAGACCAGCCTGGCCAACATGGTGAAACCCCATCTCTACTAAAATACAAAAAATTAGCCGGGCATGGTGGTGCGCACCTGTAATCCCAACTAATCGAGAGGCTGAGGATGAGAATCGCGTGAACTCTGGAGGCGGAGGTTGCAGTGAGCTGAGATCAAGCCACTGCACTCCAGCCTGGGTAACACAGCGAGACTCCGTCACCAAAAAAAAAAAAGGGGAGGGGGAGAGCTGTGTGATAAGGAGCCCCTTTTCTTCCTGCTTTTGAAAGCTGCTGACTGAGGATGAGGATGGGATGTCCAGAGCTGCAGCAGCCATTTTGCAAAGATGAGGTCAGAGCATTTCAGAGGAACAGTGACATTGTTGAGCCGTTGAGTTAACCATCTCTGGAATCACCTATGACCACTCTTAACTGAAATAGCAAATATCCTACCATTTAAGCCCCATTTAGTTTGTTATCTGTTACTTACAGCCCAAAACATCCTCACTGGTACAGGGTTGTTGTGAGGATTAAATGAGAAGATGTGCAAGTACTCAAAGTAGCCCTGATTTCTGTAAGCACAGAGAGGAAAGAGGAGGTGGGTTTTCTGGTGCAAGATAGGGACCAGTGGGTACTTGAGGACCAGCCAGGATGTGGGTCTTTGAGGAAAAAATCCTTCATCAGAGCTCAGGATGTGGGAGCACTTTCCAATATTTGGTATTTCTCTGCTAAAGCCAGAGCCTACCCTGAAGGTACACAGGGCAGGCATGGAGTTTAGAGAGTAAGGGAATTGGGCACCCTTTTTTTTTTTTATTTCTTTGAGACGGAGTCTCTCTCTGTTGCCAGGCTGGAGTGCAGTGGCGCAATCTCGGCTCACTGCAGCCTCCGACTCCCTGGTTCAAGCGATTCTCCTGCCTCAGCCTCCCAAGTAGCTGGGATTACAGGCACATGCCACCATGCCCAGCTAATTTTTGTATTTTTAGTAGAGATGTGGTTTCACCATGTTGGCCAGGATGGTCTTGATCTCGTGACCTCATGATCCGCCCGCCTCGGCATCACAGAGTGCTGGGATTACAGGCGTGAGCCACTGCGCCCAGCCGGGAATTTGGCACCTTTTATGTGCCAGGTATTATGAAGTGCCTTGCATGACTTATCTCATCTTATATGCCAATAATCATAGTCCCTTAAGGGGCAAGGGCCTATTATTTTCATTTTACTGCCAAAGAAATTCAGAGAGTTGAAACAATGATCTCAAAGGTACAAACATAAGAAGTGGCAGAGTGTGTAAATGCAGCTTCTCTGAATCCGAAGCCTACAGAGTTTTGCAAAGCAGGCCCTGAGGGCTGTCCTGCCCACTCCCAGACTCCTGCTTCTAGGTGACTGGCAGATCCAAGCCTTCCAGAAGGCTTTGGGTTGGATTTGGGGATGCCAAGCAAGACCAGACACAGTTTCCCAGCCTCCCCCAGCTCAAAAGGTCTCAGCCCAGCAGGATGAGTGCTGACTGGGGAAACATAGTCTCTAAGGATGGTGGGGGCCCAAGTCTTCTGGGTGCCCCAACCAAGCCCCCTGATACTTACCTGTCTCCAAAGCAGTTGCAGTCAGGGCGGCTGCCCCCAGCAAGAGCAACCTTTGGGGCAACTGCAGAAGACAACAAGCCTCCATCCAGGCTCTGCTGTGCCCAGCAATGGGGCAGACCCACAGAATCTTCAGCTTGGGGTCTCTGGGGAGACTGGAGTATGGGGCCTGGTCAGGCCAGCAGGGAGGCTGGTGGGACACAAGGAGAAGGGGGAGGCAAGTCTTCACTATGATCTTAGTGCTTTGCCTTCCAGATCCTCTTCATTTGGTTCAGAACTGTGTCCAGGGGTTGCCATGGAGATTTGGAGCAAGGGCTAGAGCCTGGGGAGAGGAGGCAGGGAGGAGATCTGCTCCCCTTCTGCCAGACAGGAACCAGGAAACTCAGATCCGGTTCAGCCATAGGGCTTCTGGGAGGAGGACCCACAGGAAGCCAGATCTGCTACCTTCCTAGATCAGCTGGCCCCTTAGGGACTGAGCTTGAGGGAGGTCCAGGACACCAAAGGAGCCTCTCTGAGGGCCTAGAGAGCAGCAGGCAGAGAAGGAGCACTGGACCAGGAGTCTGCTGTATTACTAACAAGCCATTCCTGCCTCAGGGCCTTTGCACTCATAGATCCCTCTGTCTGGAGTGTTGTCCCCCCATAGCAGTGCACGGCTGACTTCTTCAGGTCATCAGGTTGTGGCTCACATGTTACCTCCACAGACCACACTCTCCTGACCACCTCTCCAACTAAATTAACACTCTCTCTCTTTGTCACTCAATCACATCTCAAATGTATCATCCCAGCACTGTCTGGAATTATTTTGCCTATTCATTTCTTCTTGTATATATTGTCCACTGGCCTCCACTAAAATTATATTCCATGAGTATCTTGTTTACCTCTGAACCCTTATGTCATAGCACAGTCACTGGCACAAGGCAGGCGCCCAGGAAATAATGAAAGAATAAGTGTGTGGCATTGAACAAATGACCCCTTTTTCTGGATTTTACTTTCCCATGTGTAAAATAAATACCCTGGACTAATTCAGACTTTTTCAAAACGTGTTATTAGTAGAACAATTTTTTTTCAAAAGGTATGTTACAAGGAACCTTTATCTATAAAACTGAAGCTTTTCAAGCCCTGGCATCCTTCTCTGGAAAATGGGATAATGATTAATTCCAACCACATAGTTGCATTGTAAGAATTAAGTAACTTGGCCTGGCTTGGTGGCTCATGCCTGTAATCCCAGCACTTTGGGAGGCAGAGGTGGGTGGATCACAAGGTCAGGAGTTCAAGGCCAGCCTGGCCAACATAGTGAAACCCCATCTCTACTAAAAATACAAAAAAAATTAGCCGGGCATGGTGGTGCATTCCTGTAGTCCCAGCTACTCAGGAGGCTGAGGCAGGAGAATCGCTTGAATCCGGGAGGTGGAGGTTGCAGTGAGCTGAGATTGTGCCACTGCACTCCAGCTTGAGCAACAGAGTGAGACTTCATCTCAAAAAAAAAAAAAAAAAAAGAATTAAGTAACTTAATACAAGTGGGGTACTTGGAATAGTGTCTATCATGTAGTAAAGTAACCAATGTATTTCAGCTTGAATGATGATCATTAATGTCATCGTTATTATTTAAGCAGATGTTTCAAGTGTGGGGGAGGGGAGGAGCTAAGCAGCCCAAATTGGCAGTGCCTGAGACACCACCTCAAAATCCCAGGAATCCATGAGAAGGTTAAGACCTCTGGACCTGGCCGGGCACAGTGGCTCACACCTGTAATCCCATCACGTTGGGAGGCCAAGGCAGGCGATCACCTGAGGTTGGGAATTCGAGAGCAGCCTGGCCAGCATGGTGAAACCCCATCTCTACTATAAATACAAATATTAGCCGGGCGTTGTGGCACAGAGGCTGAGGCACAATAATCGCTTGAACCCGGGAGGCGGAGATTGCAGTGAGCCGAGATTGCACCACTGCACTCCAACCTGGGCGATAAAATAAAAAAAAAAAAAAACCCAAAACAAACACCTCTGGACCTATTATTCCCTAACAGCTCTCCCTCCTGGAGCGGTCATTTGATGCAACCTTGATTTCCTACAGTGTATGATGTCCAAATCTGTACCTTGGGGAACTCCAAAAAGACTCAAATCTTCCCTCAGCAAGAATGAATTTATCATGAAGCCCACTGAAGCTTAAACTTCAGAACTCATCACCTGCATGGGATTATATGGTTTTTGTTTTGTTTTGTTTTTGTTTTTGTTTTTGTTTTGAGACTGAGTCTTGCTCTGTCGCCCAGGCTGCAGTGCAGTGGCGCAATCTTGGTTTGTTGCAAGCTCCGCCTCCCGGGTTCACGCCATTCTCCTGCCTCAGCCTCCCAAGTAGCTGGGATTACAGGCACCCGCCATCACGCCCGGCTAATTTTTTGTATTTTTAGTACAGATGGGGTTTCACCGTGTTAGCCAGACTGGTCTTGATCTCCTGACCTTGTGATCCACCCACCTCAGCCTCCCAAAGTGCTAGGATTACAGGCGTGAGCCACCGCGCCCGACCTTTTGTTTGTTTTTTTTTTTTTTTGAGATGGAGTCTCACTCTGTTGCCCAGGCTGGAGTGCAGTGGCATGATCTCAGCTAACTGCAACCTCCCAGGCTGGAGTGCAGTGGCATGATATCAGCTCACTGCAACCTCTGCTTCCCGGGTTCAAGAGATTCTCCTGCCTCAGCTTCCCGAGTAGCTGGAACTACAGGTGTGTGCCACCACACCCAGCTAATTTTTTATTTTTAGTAGAGATGGGGGTTTCACCATGTTGGTCAGGCTGGTCTCGAACTCCTGACCTCAGGTGATCCGCCCACCTCGGCGTCCCAGAGTGCTGGGATTACCGGAGTGAGCCACCGCGCCCGGCCGGGATTATATGTCTTCATAAAATTTGCAAAAGTAAGAATGGTTATAAACTTTCAGTTTTGCAAGATGAAAATGTTTTAGAGATCTGTTGCACAGTACTGTGAAAATACTTAACACTACTGAACTGTACACTTAGAATGGCTAAGACTGGCCAGGTGCAAGGCTCACACCTTTAATCTCAACACTTTGGGAGCCTGAGGTGAGAGGATCGCTTGAAACCAGGAGTTCAAGACCAACCTGGGCCTGTAATCCCAGCACTTTGCCTGAGGTCAGGAGTTCGACAGCAGCCTGGCCAACATGGTGAAGCCCAATCTCTACAAAAAAATACAAAAAATTAGCCAGGCGTGGTGGCACACACCTGTAATCCCAGCTACTCGGCAGGCTGAGGCAGGAGAATCTCTTGAACCCAGGAGGCAGAAGTTGCAGTGAGCCGAGATCGAGCCACTGCACTCCAGCCTGGGCGACAGAGTGAGACTCCGCCTCAAAAACAAAAACAAAAAAGACCAACCTGGCAACATAGCGAAACCCTGTCTCTACAAAAAATTAAAGTTAAAATTAAAAAATTAGGTGGTGCCTACACTCTTAGCTATACTACAGCTACTCAGGAGGCTAAGGCAGAAGGATCACTTGAGCCCAGAAGCTTGAGGTTACAGTGAGCTATGATCATGACACTGCACTCCAGCCTAGGCAACAGAGCCGATCCATCTCAGAAAAAAATGGTTAAGATAGTAAGCTCTGTTATGTATTTTCTTGCCATAATTTTTTAAAATTTTGCAAACATGAGGGGTACATGTTCTCAGGACCTCTTGATACTGTGCCTCAAGCCAAATAAAATTTTTAAAAAATACAAATAGGGTTGGGAGTGGTGGCTTACGCCTGTAATCCCAGGACTTTGGGAGGCCAAGGTGAGTGGATCACCTGAGATCAGGAATTCAAAACCAGCCTGGCCAAACTGGTGAAAACCTATCTCTACTAAAAATACAAAAATTAGCTGGGCGTGGCCAGGCGCGGTGGCTCACGCCTGTAATCCCAGAACTTTGGGAAGCCGAGGCAGGTGGATTGCCTGAGGTCAGGAGTTCAAGACCAGCCTGACCAATATGGTGAAACCTCATCTCTACTAAAAATACAAAAATTAGCCGGGCGTGGTGGTGGGCGCCTGTAATCCCAGATACTCGGGAGGCTGAGGCAGCAGAATTGCTTGAACCCGGGAGGCGGAGGTTGCAGTAAACTGAGACTGAGCCATTGCACTCCCACCTGGGTGATATAGCGAGACTCTGTCTCAAAAACAATTAATTAATTAAATAAAAAATTAAAAAAATAAAAATAGGCCATGTGCAGTGGCTCACCCCTGTAACCCCTGTAACACCCTGTAAACCCAGCACTTTGGGAGGCCAAGACAGGCAGACCACCTGAGGTCAGGAGTTTGAGGCCAGCCTGGCCAACATGGTAAAACCCCATCTCTACTAAAAATACAAAAATTAGCAGGTGTGGTGGTATGTGCCTGGATTCCCAGCTACCTGGGAAGCTGAGGCAGGAGAATTGCTTGAATCCAGGAGGCGGAGGTTGCAGTGAGCTGAGGTTGTGCCATTGCACTCCAGCCTGGGCGACAGAGTGAGACTGTCTCAAAAAAGTAAAAATAAATAAATTAAAATAAAAATTTTGCAAACATAAGATATTTTAACCACAGTTAGTTCAGACTTTTTTCTCTTTCCACTCCCAACCTCTCCTTCATCACACCTCGCTTCATATCAGGTGGCCACAGGTGTTTTGAAATCTGGCTAGGGAGAGGCTGATTTGGGTTTAGGGCTGGGGGTGAGTATATTTATGGGATTCTGGCCCCTTGCGGGTATAGTTATATTACTCCTAGGTGCCCCAGATGGCATTCAGGAATATTCCTAATGCCATTGTTCTGTCTCCCTGAGTGTTGTGATCTGAAGGTGCTGACTCAGAGAATATATGATGCCCAGCCCCAGGAGTACAAGGGCATTGTAAAAGAAATAAAATTTGAAATGCACGAAGTCAGAAATAGTGTGTGGAAAATCCTTCCAAATACACAGCTCACATGAGTAAGATATTTTATAGCAGTTGCTCCAAATTTAACAACAATCATTGAGTTAAATAATCTTACCAACAATGAATTACAAAACTGAAGGAAAAAAATTCCTAAACTATCACTAATAAAAAACTAATTTTGGGCTGGGCACAGTGGCTCACGCCTGTAATCCCAGTACTATGAGAGGCCGAGGCGGGCGGATCACGAGGTCAGGAGATCGAGATCATCCTGGCTAACACGGTGAAACCCTGTCTCCACTAAAAATAAAAAAAATTCTCCAGGTGTGGTGGCGGGCGCCTGTAGTCCCAGCTACTCAGAAGGCTGAGGCAGGAGAATGGCGTGAGCCTGGGAGGCAGAACTTGCAGTGAGCCAAGATCGCGCCACTGCACTCCAGCCTGGGCGACAGAGCGAGACTCCGTCTCAAAAAACAAAAAAAAACAAAAACAAAAACACACAAAAAAACTAATTTTGATCAATCATGGCAGAGGAAAGACTGAATTATCTTTCCAGTCCTGCTATAAAAATATCCTGGCCAGGCGCGGTGGCTAACACCTATAATCCCAGCACTTTGGGAGGCCAAGGCGAGCGGATCACGAGGTCAGGAGTTTGAAACCAGCCTGGCCAACACGATGAAACCCTGTCTCTACTAAAAATACAAAAAAAATATCTGGGTGTGGTGGCAGGTGCCTGTAATCCCAGCAACTCGGGAAGCTGAGGCAGGAGAATCGTTTGAACCCAGGAGACGGAAGCTGCAGTGAGCCGAGATCACGCCATTGCACTCCAGCCTGAGCAACAGGGCAAGACTCGCTCTCAAAAACAAAAACAAAAACAATCCTACTGCCCAGGCACAGTGGTTCATGCTTGTAATCCCAGCACTTTGGGAGGTGGAAGTGGGAGGATCGCTTGAGGCTGGGAGTTCGGGACCAACCTGGGCAACAGAGTGACCAAACCCCATCTCTACAAAAAACATAAAAATTAACCAAGCGTGGTGGTATGCATCTGTAGTCCCAGCTCCTTGGGAGGCTGCAGCAGGAAGGTTGCTTGAGCCCAGGAGCTCAAGGCTGCAGTGAGCTATGATCGTTCCACTGCACTCCACCCTGGGCAACAGAGCAAGACTCCATCTAGCAAAAAAAAAAATAGAGAAAATACCATACAGTTGCTGTCACATAAAGAATCAAAAAGTGTGCAGCCAAAAAAAAAAAGTAAGCAAAAAAGGCCAGGTGCTGAGGCTCACACCTGCAATCTCAGTGCTTTGGGAAGTTGAGGTGGGAGGATTGCTTGCGCCCAGGAGTTTGAGCTCAGTCTGGGTAGCATTGTGAGACCCTGTCTCTATTTAAAAAAAAAAAAAAGTATTATAGAAGAATGTTAAGCAGTTAATAAAAGTTTGTTATTATTTTGGATTTTATTTTTTGTCTTATTTGTCCGTTTTTTACATTTCAAAACTTGTTGGGATTTTTTCTCATTCTAAATAAATATTCACTTTCAAACCAGGTTTTTGTTTTTTTTTTTTTTGAGATGGAATCTCGCTCTGTTGCCCAGGCTGGAGTGTAGTGGCACAATCTCGGCTCACTGCAGCCTCTGCCTCCCAGGTTCAACGAATTTTCCTGTCTCAGCCTCCCAAGTAGCTGGGACTACAGGTGCACATCACCACACCCAGTTAATTTTTGTATTTTTTGTAGAGACGGGGTTTCACCATATTGGCCAGGCTGGTCTCGAACTCCTGACCTCAGGTGATCCACCCGTCTCAGCCTCCCAAAGTGTTGGGATTACAGGCATGAGCCAGCACATCTGGCCTCAAACCTGATTTTGTGTTAATAATTTCATATTTTAAAGAGGGCCCCCAAATTGTTTCTGCTTCAGGACCCACAAAATGTGGCCCTCCAGGACCTCAGAGACTGGTAGGGGCTTCAGATTAAACAAACAAACAAAAAACAAATCAATAAATAAATTGCAACCCTAACTATAACAGGAATGTGACATACCTCAGGAAGTCAGGAGAAGCTTCCCAGAGGAGATTTTTGAGTTGGGCCATGAAGGATGCATATGAGTTTCCGTGCAGAAACTACGCTAAATGCATTCCAAGCAGAGGACCCAGTATGTGTCATGGTCACAGAGGAGCTCATTCTGGGAACAGGTTGGTATGGCTAAACCCTGCTGCACAGAAAAGTGATAGAAACGACAACAATATTAACGACAATAGGCCAAGTGAGCCAAGATCATGCCACTGTACTCCAGCCTGGGCAATAGAGGGAGACTTTGTCTCAAAAACAAAACAAGGCCGGGCGCGGTGGCTCACACCTATAATCCCAGCACTTTGGGAGGCCGAGGCGGGTGGATCACGAGGTCAGGAGTTCAAGACCAGCCTGGCCAAGATGGTGAAACCCCGTCTCTACTAAAAATACAAAAATTAGCCAGGTGTGGTGGTGGTTGCCTTTAATCCCAGCTACTCGGGAGGCTGAGGCAGAGAATTGCTTGAACCCGGGAGGTGGAGGTTGCAGTGAGCTGAGATCACACCACTCTACCCCAACCTGGGCAACAGAGTGAGACTCTGTCTCAAAAACAAAAACAAAAACAATACTAGTAACTTCCTGGCCCCTTGATCAGCCTCTGTGCTGAAATATTCCTACCTTTAATGACTAGGGACAAACACCTCGTACATCCTTTCGTATTTCTAGAGACTACTTCTGTTTTTTTTTTTGGTTTTGTTTTGTTTTGTTTTGTTTTTGAGATGGAGTCTCACTCTGTTAACCAGGCTGTAGTGCAGTGGTGCGATCTTAGCTCACTACAACCTCTGCCTCCCAAGATTGGCTGATCTTCCCACCTCAGCCTCCCAAGTAGCTGGAATTACAGGCATGTGCCACCTCACTCAGCCAGAGACTACTTCTTGAGTGATTACAGCATGCCAAGCACTGGCTTTAAGTTTGTCATATGCTCTATCACACATAATCTTCACAATATGTCTCAATGACCCTGCAAAGAGGGCATTCTTTTGGAAACCTCATTTAAATGATAAGAAATCTGAGGTAAGGGGGTAGAGTCTTCCCCTGAGCCACACTTCCCAGCCGTATGACCCTTAGGCAAGTGACCTGATCGCTCTGTGCCTCAGGTTTTTAATCTACAAAATGGAGACAATACTGAAGTATCTTACTGGGAAGATTAAAATGGAAAAAAATACGTATGCATTCATTTTTCAAATTTTACTAACCTCTGTTTTAAGCACTGAAGAAATTTCAGGGAACAAAATAAACAAAATTTCTGGGCCAGACATTGCGGCTCATGTCTATAATCCCAGCACTTTGGAAGGGCAAGGTAGGAGGACTGCTTAAACTCAGAAGTTCAAGGCTGCAGTGAGCTATGATTGTGCCACTGAACTCCAGCCTGAGTGACAGAGCGAGACCTTGAAAAAAATAAAATAAAATTTTTCTAATGTTTTAGAACTTACATTCCAGTGGAGGATAAATGAGTAAGATGTTTGATATATGGAATAGTAATAAATACAAAGGAGAAAATACACAAAGCATGGTTGGCAGGCATGTCAGAGGGGTGTTGACATTTTGATAGGATAGCCAGGGAATGTCACACTGAGAGGGGCCTTTTGAGTAGAGACCAGAAAGAAGCCAGGGGACCAGTCATGCAGTTATTTGGAGAAAGAACATTCTAGGCAGAGGCAATAGCAAGTGCAAAGGCCCTGAGGCAGGAATGTGCCTGGCACAAGCAATACATGCGGAACGAAGGCAGAGATGCAAAGAGTGATAAAAGATGAGTCAGATAATGTCAAGCCCTAGAGGTCATTGTAAAGACTTTGGCTTTTTCCGCTGGGCGCGAGGGCTCATGCTTGTAATCCCAGCACTTTGGGAGGCCAAGGCGGGTGGATCACGAGGTCAGGAGATCGAGACCATCCTGGCTAACATGGTGAAACCCCGTCTCTACTAAAAAAATACTAAAAATTAGCCAGGCATGGTGGCGGGCACCTGTAGTTCCAGCTACTTGGGAGGCTGAGGCAGGAGAATGGCGTGAACCTGGGAGGCGGAGCTTGCACTGAGCCGAGATCGCGCCACTGCACTCAAGCCTGGGCAACAGAGCAAGACTCCGTCTCAAAAAAAGAAAAAAAAGATTGCTTTCATGTATTGGCATATATACGTGTGTGTGTGTGTGTGTGTGTGTGTGTGTGTGTGTGTGTGTGTGTGTATTTTTTTTTTTTTAGACAGAGTCTTACTCTGCTGCCCGGGCTGGAGTGCAGTGGCACGATCTCGGCTCACTGCAACCTCCACCTCCCAGGTTCAAGCAATTCTCCCTCAGGCTCCCAAGTAGCTGGGATTACAATCATGCACCACAATGCCCAGCTAATTTTTTTTTTGTATTTTTAGTAGAGACGGAGTTTCACCATGTTGGTCAGCTCTTTATATGGTTTTTGAGACAGGGTCTTGCTCTGTTGCCCAGGCTACATTGCTGTGACGCGATTACAGCTCACTGCAGCCTCTACTTCCTGGGTTCAGGTGATCCTCCCACCTCAGCCTCTCAAGTAACTGGGACAACAGGCATGCACCACCATACCCGGCTAATTTTTTTGTATTTTTTGTAGAGATGGGGTTTCGCCACGTTGCCCAGGCTGGCCTTGAACTCCTAGGCTCAAGCGATCCTCCCAGTTTGGCCTCCCAAAGTGCTGGGATTATAGGCTTTAGGCACCTTGCCCGGACGGCTAATTTAAGCTGATTTATTCTTCACAGTAGTGCCATAAAGTGGGTACTCTTATCATCTCCATTTTGCAGAGGAAGAAGCTGAGGCACAAAGATGTTAAATGCAGAAATATTATGTAAGTAGGAAATGGGGAAGCAACAGTGTTCCAGGCAGAAGGAGAATCACACACAAAGCCTAGAAGGCCGGGGACAGCCTGCCTTTGCTGGCTTTTATGCAGCAACCGGAGAAAGTACCTTCTTCTGGCTACACTGGGCTCATATCCCACACACGCCAATCAAGTGTTAAGCTTCAGCCACAGTGGAAGGGACACAGCCAGGATTTGAACTCAGAGGCCATCTCACTTCCAAATCCATGACAACCATGTCAAGTAAGTTTTCTCAATATTGAGTCACGTGGGGAGAGAGTTCTTCCCTTTCTGTTACCCATATTTTTCTGGTTTTTTGGGTTTTTTGAGACAGAGTCTCACTCTGTCACCCAGGCTGGAGTGCAGTGGCATGATCTTGGCTCACTGCAGCCTCCGCCTCCCAGGTTCAAGCAATTCTGCCTCCTCCGCCTCCCGAGTAGCTGCGATTGCAGGCGTGCGCCACCATGCCCTGCTATTTTTGTGTTTTTAGTAGAGATGGGGTTTCACCATGTTGGCCAGGCTGGTCTCAAACTCCTGGCTTCAAATGATCCGCCAGTCTTGGCCTCCCAAAGTGCTGGGATTACAGGTGTATGGCCACTACATGACGGCCATATACTGACAGAGGTTGTTAATCCCCTCACAATACATAATTCAAGGATGAAATAATGAGATCACAGACATTTTTACTAGATTAGAAAAAGAAGGCATCATTAGGCAAACCTACGTCCCTACAAGTCACTAGTGTGGCCAGAAGGAAAATGAAAATTGACAACAGACAACAAAAAATACAAATATAACGTGCAAAATAAAATAAATGTACAAAAAATGTAGTGAGCTCTTATCTAACACATTAGAAATCACAGAAAGGGGTCAGGTGCTGTAGCTTATGCACATAATCCCAGCACTTTGGGAGGCCAAGGCAGGAGGATCACTTGAGTTCCAGTTTGAGACCAGTCTAGGCAACATGGTGAGACCCTGTCTCTACCAAAAAGGCTGGGTGCGGTGGCTCACGCCTGTAATCCCAGCACTTTGGGAGGCCGAGGCGGGCGGATCACCTGAGGTCAGGAGTTCGAGACAGGCCTGACCAACACGGTGAAACTCCGTCTCTACTAAAAATACACAAATTAGCCAGGCATGGTGGCACACGCCTGTAATCCTAGCTACTTGGGAGGCTGAGGCAGGAGAATCTCTTGAACCCAAGAGGCAGAGGTTGCAATGAGTCAAGATCGCAGCACTGCACTCCAGCCTGGGTGACAGATCGAGACTCTGTCTCAAGAAAAGAAAAAGAAAAAGCTTCTACAATTAATGAGATTATTTGGCTATTAGAGAAAACTTATACTAAGCTGAATATTGTTTTACAATGTATCAAGTCACCAGGAAAAAAATCCACAAATTTCCTTGAGGATCAGATATCCTTCAATGAACTGAATTGGGTAGCAAGACATTTTACCCTGAGCACCTATACTAATAATGTAAACAAAGATTTCAATGACTCATGAACATGCTGATTGGTCACTCTGAGTCAGATTTTGAAGGTTAGGCATGGGATCATTTCTTTGTCAGTCTACTGGACACAGAAATTTCTGATACAGAAAACTAGCCCCTGGCCATGTGTGGTGGCTCACACCTGTAATCCCAGCATTTTGGGAGGGCGAGGCAGGCGGATCACTTGAGGTCAAGAGTTCGACAACGGCCTGGCCAACATGGTGAAACGCCGTCTCTATTAAAGATACAAAAATTAGCTGGGCATGGTGGCAGTTGCCTGTAATCCAAGCTACTTAGGAGGCTGAGGCAGGAGAATCACTTGAACCGGGGAGGTGGAGGTTGCAGTGAGCCAAGACCACACCATTGCACTCCAGCCTGGGCAATAAGAGCAGAAATAAATAAATAAATAAATAAATAAAACTAGCCCCACAGAGAAAAAGGGCACTGGTGACATCCTTGCATTACAGGATGCAGAGGAACTATTGGTAGCCCCAAAATAAGAACAAAGCTACTCATCCTAACATGAGCTAGACTCAGTTCTGATCAGACAAAGGGAGTAGCCCAAGTATTACCCACCTAGAATGGAAATGGAACATAATGGAAAGGACAATGCAGGGTCCCAATGATACATCAAAGGTGCATGAGAGGCCAGGTGCGATGGCTCAGTTCTGTAATCCCAGCACTTTGAGATACTGAGGTGGGTGGATTGCTTGAACTCAGGAGTTTGAGACTAGCCTGGGCAACGTGGTGAAAACTCATCTCTACAAAAAAAGAAAAAAATTAGTCCAGGCGCAGTGGCTCACGCTTGTAATTCTAGCACTTTGGGAGGCCGAAGTGGGCAGATCACGAGGTCAGGAGATCGAGACCATCCTGGCTAACACGGTGAAACCCTATCTCTACTAAAAATACAAAAAATTAGCCGGGCGTGGTGGCAGACGCCTGTAGTCCCAGCTATTCAGGAGGCTGAGGCAGGAGAATGGCGTGAACCTGGGAGGCGGAGCTGGTAGGGAGCCGAGATCACACCACTGCACTCCAGTCTGGGCAACAGAGCGAGACTCCGTCTGAAAAAAGAAAAAAGAAAAAAATTAGCCAGGTGTGGTGGCATGCACCTGTAGTCCTAGCTACTCAAGAGGCTGAGGTGGGAGGATTGCTTGAGCCTGGGAGGCAGAGGTTGCAGTGAGCCGAGATTGCGCCATTGCACTTACACCTGGGGGACAGAGCCAGCAGACCCTGTCTCAAAAAAAAAAAAAAAAAAAAAGTGCATGAGGAGGTAGTGTCTTAGCTGTTGCTAGACTTGCTCTGTGAGCAGAGAGAATAGGAAACACCTTGACCACCACCCCTAGAGACAGCAGCTTCCTCCTGTCTGAGCTGGCACTGGGGCACAGGTGATGTGCGTGGTTCGTGGATGTGAATGCCTCACTCATACCACAGGAATCAAGCAGAAAGCAGCAGCAGCCCTAAATTCATCACAGGTGACACCCTGGCAGGTGGAGGGCCAGAAAAGTCATCCCAGTATAATGAATTACAATCAATGAGGCTGGTCACGGTGGCTCACACGTGTAATCCCAGCACTTTGGGAGGCAGAGGTGGGCAGATCACCTGAGGTCAGGAGTTCAAGACCCGCCTGGCCAACAAGGTGAAACCACTTCTCTACTAAAAATACAAAAATTAGATGGGTGTAGTGGCGGGCACCTGTAATCCCAGCTACTCAGGAGGCCAAGGCAGGAAAATCGCCTGAGCCTGGGAGGCAGAGGTTGCAATGAGCCGAGATCATGCCACTGCACTCCAGCCTGAGCAACAGAGGGAGACTCCGTCTCAAAAAAATATATTAAAAAAAAAAACAATGCAATTGCCGATAAGTCATAACTTACAGAAGGAACATCCCAGTCTGATCCATGGGTGGTAGCTAAGGGCCTGATAATTTGGTGCTCAAAGTGGAAAATAATTGTCTAACAAACATTCAGTATGGAGAAAACCGGTAGGGGAGTATATACATCCAATTACACAGTCTCACATTCAAGAGACCATGTTTCAGACCCAGAAAAGTAAAACTTTCTGAAGCAAAATAAAATTAGAAGGTAGATAAATTGGCAGGGCTCGGTGGCTCATGCCTGTAATCCCAGCAGTTTGGAAGACCAAGGTGGGTGGATCACCTGAGGTCAGGAGTTCGAGACCAGCCTGACCAACATAGTGAAACCCCATCTCTACTAAAAATGCAAAAATTAGCCAGGCGTGGTGGCAGGCGCCTGTAATCCCAGCTACTTGGGGGTCTGAGTCAGGAGAATTGCTTAAAGCCAGGAGGCAGAGGTTGCAGTGAGCCAAGATCACACCATTGCACTCCAGCCTGGGCAACGAGAGTGAAACTCCTTTTCAAAAAAAAAAAAAAAAAGAAGAAGAAAAGAAAAGAAAAAGGAAGTAGATAAATTAACCAGAAGTATAACATCAAAAATGTTCAATTGGCCAGGCGCAGTGGCTCACGCCTGTAATCCCAACACTTTGGGAGGAGGAGGCAGGTGGACCACTTGAGGTCAGGAGTTTGAAACCAGCCTGGCCAACATGGCAAAACCTCGTCTCTACTAAAAATACAAAAATTAGCCAGGCATGGTGGCACGTGCCTGTATTCTCAGCTACTTGGGAGGCTGAGGCATGAGAATCCTTTGAACCTGGGAGGCAGAGGTTGCAGTGAGCTGAGATGGTGCCACTGCACTCCAGCCTGGGCAACAGAGTGAGACTCCATCTCAAAACAAAAAAAAAGAGAGCAATGGTCCAGTTTCACATGAAAGGAAAGAAAGTGGGTCGGGCGCAGTGGCTCACACCTGTAATCCTAACACTTTGGGCGGCCAAGGCAGGTGGATCACTTGATTTCAGGAGTTCAAGACCAGCCTGAGCAACATGGAGAAACTCTGTCTCTATAAATAATACGAAAATAGGGCCGGGTGTGGTGGCTCACACCTGTAATCCCAGCACTTTGGGAGGCTGAGGCAGGTGGATCACGAGGTCAGGAGTTCAAGACCATCCTGGCTAACACAGTGAAACCCCGTCTCTACTAAAAATAAAAAAAAAATTAGACGGGTGTGGTGGTGGGCACCTGTAGTCCCAGGTACTCGGGAGGCTGAGGCAGGAGAATGGCATGAACCCAGAAGTGGAGGGTGCAGTGAGGTGAGATCACACCACTGCACTCCAGCCTGTGGGACAGAGTGAGACTCTGTCTCAAAAAAAAAAAAAACCAAAACCAAAACCAAAAATTACCCAGGTGTGATCGTGCACATCTGTAGTCCCAGCTACTCAGGAGGCTGAGGCCAGAGGATCCCTTGAGCCCAGGAGGTTGAGACTACTGTGAGCCATGATTGCACCACTGCACTACAGCCTGGGCAACAGTGTGAGACCCTGTCTCAAAAGAAAAGGAAAGAAAGCCAGATGACGCTTCAGATGGCCTGGCTGAGGTCAATGTAACTCAATCCAGGGATCCTAAATGGGGATATTGACCTTATCAGAGAGATGTCAGTAACAACAGAGAATCAGACATGTACCCTGTGGACCTCAGCCTATACGTAGAACTTCATCTCAGAGGCATCTACTAAGAGTAGATCCAACAGGAATTATAATGCCTTCCTAGAGGAAAACAAGTGAACTAAAAGACGGAGAAGACTTATAACATCATCATCATCAAAGAATGTGAAGACCATTAGGAAGAAGGGAAAATAGGCCAGGTGCAGTGGCTCAGGCCTGTAATCCCAGCACTTTGGGAGGCCGAGGCAGGCGGATCACTTGAGGCCAGGAGTTTGAGACCAGCCTGACCAACATGATGAAACCCTGTCTCTACTAAAAATACAAAAATTAGCTGGGCTTGGTGGCACGTGCCTGTAGTCCCAACCACTCAGGAGGCTGAGGCAGGAGAATCTCTTGAACCCAGGAGGTGGAAGTTGCAGTGAGCAGAGATCATGCCACTGCATTCCAGTCTGGGCGACAGAGTGAGACTCCATCTCAATAAAAGAAAAAAAGAAAGGAAGAAGAGAAAAGAGACAGACTTGAGAGAGGATATCACAAATGGTCATAGACACTGAGCACAGTGACCTGAACAGGTACATGGACAATTATAAAAAAGATGCACTGGAGGGAGTTATATCTCTTCCTGGGGTGGCAAGATTATGTGCCATGGGTATTTATAGGACTACGTTTTGGGTTTTTTTGAGACAGGGTCTCACTCTGTTACCCAGGCTGGAGTGTAGTGGTCCCATCACAGCTCACTGCAGCCTCGACCTCCTGGGCTCAATCGATCAGTAACAATCCATTAGAGTACCAGACACAGACCTTGTGTCCCTCCTGAGTGGCTGAGACTACAGGCACACACCATCGCACCCTGCTAATTTTTTTTATTTTTTATGTTGTAGAGATGAGGTTTCGGCATGTTGCCCAGGTTGGTCGCAAACTCTAGGGCTCAAGCGATGTGCCCACCTCAGTCTCCTAAAGTGCTAAGGCTGCAGGTATGAACCACCGCGCCCGGCCTATGAGATTCTTGATATGATCTCAGTGATTAGACACATCGAGACACTATCGCATACTTTATTTAATTATATATTTATTTATTTATTTTTTGAGACGGAGTTTCGCTCTTGTTGCTCAGGCTGGAGGGCAATGGTACAATCTCGGCTCCCTGCAACCTCCACGTCCTGGGTTCAAGCGATTCTCCTGCCTCAGCCTCCTGAGTAGCTGGGATTACAGGCATGCACCACCATGTCCGGCTAATTTTGTATTTTTAGTAGAGACGGGGTTTTACCATGTTGGCCAGGCTGGTCTCGAACTCCTGACTTCAGGTGATCCGCCCGCCTCGGCCTCCCAAAGTGCTGGGATTACAGGTGTGAGCCACCACACCTGGCCTCTTTTAAAAAATGGACTGATATAAGCCAGGTGCGGTGGCTCACGCCTATAATCCCAGCACTTTGGGAGGCCGAGGCAGGTGGATCACCTGAGGTCAGGAGTTCCAGACCAGCCTGGCCAACATGGTAAAACCCCGTCTCTACTAAAAATACAAAATTAGCTGGGCATGGTGGTGGGCACCTGCAATCCCAGCTACTCGAGAGGCTGAGGCAGGAGGATCACTTGAACCTGGGAGGTGGAGGTTGCAGTGAGCCGAGATTGCACCATTGCAATCCATCCTGGATGACAGAGTAAGACTCCATCTCAAACATAAATAAATACATATATAAAATAAAAATTGACTGATATAAAAGAGGGCCCAGGACAAAGGCTAGAAAAACTCCAGCATTTGGAAAACCAGTATAGGAGGAAGCACCAAAGAAGGTTGAGAGTGATAGAGGCAGGAGGCAGATGAAAGCCTAGGCAGATAGGGGTGGGTTCCCATTGAAACCCCAACTCCAAGTCAAAGACAGTTTAAAGGCTGAAAGTCAAGCTATAAGTCACATCCACAGACTGGATTGAGAACCTGTCTTACTGTTTGGCATGGTTTCCTCTGATTGATCCGTACCCTTCACCTATTTCACATATACCTACCCTTCCCTAATTTGTTTTTTACCCTGTAATGCCCACTTTTGACTGGGGTCTTTTTTTTTTTTTTTTTTTTCCAGACAGAGTCTCGATCTGTCACCCAGGCTGGAGTGCAGTGGCGTGATCTTGGCTCACTGCACCCTCCACCTCCTGGGTTCAAGCTATTCTCCTGCCTCAGACTCCCGAGTAGCTGGGATTACAGGGGCGTGCCACCATGCCTGGCTAATTTTTGTATCTTTAGTAGAGACAGGGTTTCACCATGTTGGTCAGGCTGGTCTCAAACTCCTGAATTTGTGATCTGCCCACCTCGGCCTCCCAAAGTGCTGAGATTACAGGTGTAAGCCATCACACCTGACTGACCGATGCCTTTGTTTTAACCTTTTTTTACATACTCACAAACCAATCAGCATGCACTCCCCTATTCTGAGCCCATAAAAGCCCTGGACTCAGCCATGCTCGGGGAGAAACCACCCCACTCCTGGTGGTTGACCACCCTCTTGTCCCCTCTCCACTGAGAGCTGTTTCATCACTCAGTAAAATTATTCTCCTCCCTCCTCATCCTTCGCTTATCAGTGTATCCTCATTCTTCTTGGATGTGGGACAAGAGCTTGAAAACCACCAAACACAGGTACGAGCTATAACACAGTTGGGCTGGGGTTAGTCCTGTGCACAAACCCAAGCACAAGCCAGGTATGGTCCAGTGGG
Source organism: Homo sapiens (assembly GCF_000001405.40). Classification (NCBI taxonomy): domain Eukaryota; kingdom Metazoa; phylum Chordata; class Mammalia; order Primates; family Hominidae; genus Homo; species Homo sapiens. Next base: position 21,795,103 of record NC_000001.11, on the reverse strand, counting down.
CCGAATGGATGGGACGCCTCCTGCAGCAGGCCCGGGGCCAAGCAAAGCCCAGGTAGGGACATCGCCAGCCAGAGGTCTCTGACCAGCAAAAGTGGCTGAGAAAAATCCTGTGTCAGAAGGAGCAGCCACTGAAGGAGGTGGAGAATCAAGAGGGACAGTTTGAGGTGGCAGGAGTGGTTATCTGTGCTGGTGACTGCAGAGAGCTGAGGCCTGAAAGAAGACCACTGAATTTGGTAACATGGAAGTCATGGTAACCTTGATAAAGGAGCTGTAGAAGAGTGACAAGGTCATAGGCCAGACTAGAGTTGGTTGATGAGTACATAGCAGATGAGGAAGCCAAAAGGGTGTAGATCTGTGCCATCTACTAGGGTAGCCACTTGCCATACGTGGCTATTGAGCACTTGAAATGTGGCTCCTGTGAACTGAGATGAGCTGTAAGTGCAAAATACACACGAGAGTTCCAAAACTTAGTGTGGAAAAAATAATGTAGAATATCTCATTAGTCTTTTCATAATACTGAAAAATATTGATTACATGTGGAAATGTAAATGTTCTAAATATACTAAAGATTTTTTTTTTTTTTTGAGACAAGGTCTCACTCTGTCACCCAGGCCGGAGTGCAGTGGTATGATCTTAGCTCGCTGCAACCTTTGCCTCCCAGGCTCAAGTGATCCTCCTACCTCAGCCTCACGAGTAGCTGGGACTACAGGTGCATGCCACCACAACCAGGTAACTTTTGTATTTCTTGTAGAGAGACAGGGTTTAGCCATGTTGCCTTGAACATTTCACTATGCTGGTCCGAAATCCTGGGCTCAAGCAATCTACCTGCCTTGGCCTCCCAAAGTGCTAGGATTACAGGCACGAGCCACCACGCCCAGCCAAGTTAAAGATATTATTTTTTCTTATTTTTATTTTTCGAGACGGAGTCTCACTCTGTCACCCAGGGTGGAGTGCAGTGGCACAATTTCAGCTCACTACAACCTCTGCCACCCAGGTTCAAGCGATTCTTTTGCCTCAGCCTCCCGAGTAGCTGGGACTGCAGGCACGTGCCACCACGTCCAGCTAATGTAAAGATATTATTAAATTAATTTTACTTGTTTCTTTGGACTTTTTAAAAAGTAGTTAACTAGAAAAATAAAAATTGGCTGGTTTGCTTGAGCCCAGGACTTCAGGACCAATCTGGGAAACATGAAGAAACTTCCTTTCGTCAGCCATGGTGGCTCACACCTGTAATCCCAGCACTTTGGGAGGCCGAGGCGGGTGGATCACGAGATCAGGAGATTGAGACCATCCTGGCTAACACGGAGAAACCCCATCTCTACTAAAAATACAGAAAATTAGCCAGGCATGGTGGCAGGCTTCTGTAGTCCTAGCTACTCGGGAGACTGAGGCAGGAGAATGGCGTGAACCCAGGAGGCAGAGCTTGCAGTGAGCCGAGATCACGCCGCTGCACTCCAGCCTGGGCGACAGAGTGAGACTCCGTCTCAAAAAAAAAAAAACAAAACAAAAACAAAAACAAAAAAACTTCCTCTCTACAAAAAAAAAAAAAAAATACAAAAATTAGTTGGGCATGGTGGTTTATGCTTGTAGTCCCAGCTAGTCAGGAGGCTGGGGTGGGAGGATTACCCGAGCCTGAAGAGGTTGAGGCTGCAGTGAGTCTCAAACTTCAAGGCTCAAGCAATCCTCCTGCCTCAGCCTGGGTGACATTCAAAGACCCTGTCTAAAAAAACAAATTGGCTAGGTGTGGTGGCTCATGCCTGTAATCCCAGTACTTTGGGAAGCCAAAGCATGAAGGTCACTTGATCCCAAGAGTGGTAGACCAGCCTGGGCAATATAGTGAGACCCTATCTGTACAAAAAAATTTAAAAATTAGCCACATGTGATGGCAAATGCCTGTAGTCTCAGCTACTGGAGAGGCTGAGGTGGCCTTGAACCTGGGAGGTCGAGGTTGCAGTAAGTTGAGAACATACCACTGCACTCCAGCCTGGGTGAGAGATTGAGACCCTGTCTCAAAAAAGAAAAAAAAAAAAAGGCCGGGTGTGGTGGCTCACACCTGTAATACCAGCACTTTGGGAGGCCGAGGTGGGCGGGTCACGAGGTAAGGGGTTCCAGACCAGCCTGGCGAACATGGTGAAACCCCATCTCTACTAAAATTACAAAAATTAGCCAGGTGTGGTGACACGTGCCTGCAATTCCAGCTACTAAGGAGGCTGAGGCAGGAGAATTGCTTGAACCCAGGAGGCAGAGGTTGCAGTGAGCCAAGATCGCACCACTGTACTCCGGCCTGGCTGACAGAGCAAGACTCTGTCTCAAAAAAGTAATAGTAAGAATAATAAATAAATAAATAAATAAAATTCACCATGAAAGGAGCCAAGAAATGAGGAGGAAGGTGGAGATTTCACATTGCTGATCAGGCTGGGCGTGGTGGCTCATGCCTGTAATCCTAGCACTTTGGGAGGCCAAGGTGGGTGGATCACCTGAGGTCAGTAGTTCAAGACCAGCCTGGCCAATATGGTGAAACCCTGTCTCTACTAAAAATACAAAAATTAGCTGGGCATGGTGGTGTGCACCTGTAGTCCCAGCTACTCAGGAGGCTGAGACAGGAGAACTGCTTGAACCTGGGAGGTGGAGGTTGCAGTGAGCCGAGATCATGCCACTGAACTCCAGCCTGGGCGACAGAGCGAGACTCTGTCTCAAAAAACAAACAAACAAACAAAAACCATTGCTGATCATTTCCAGCTTCTTTTAGCTTTCCTCTCTAAGGTTCTGAGATAGTTCTTGTGATTCTCCTCATATCTAACAGTTGTTCCTTCTGAACCCTCTTCTTAGGTCTTCTTCCTGTTCCTGTTGTCAGAGGTTGTTCTGACCAGAATGACTCCATCTTGAATAGGGGCTAGACAGAATGAGGATGGGACCTGCTGGGCTGGAGTGCAGCGGCACAATCTCGGCTCACTGCAAGCTCTGCCTCCTGGGTTCACGCCATTCTCCTGCCTAAGCCTCCCGAGTAGCTAGGATTACAGGCACCCACCACCACGCCTGGTCAATTTTTTTGTATTTTTAGTAGAGATAGGGTTTCACCATGTTAGCCAGGATGGTCTCCATCTCCTGACCTCGTGATCCGCCTGCTTCAGCCTCCCAAAGTGCTAGGATTACAGGCATGAGCCACCATGCCCGGCCGACGTTAGGCATTCTCAGTCACAGGATGAGATAGGAGGCCAGCACGACTGGTATCACAAGACACAGTTCATAAAGACCTGCTGATAAAACACAGGATGTGGTAAGGAAGCTGGCCAAAACCCACTGAAACCAAGATGGTGATGAAGGTGACCTCTGCTTGTCCTCACTGCTTATTACATGCTAATTATAATATATTAACATGCTAAAAGACACACCCACCACGCCACGATAGTTTACAAATGCCGTGGCAACATCTGAAAGTTACCCTCTAAGGTCTAAAAAGGGGAGGAACTCTCAGTTCTGGGAAATGCCCATCCCTTTCTCGGAAAACTCATGAATAATCCACCCCTTGTTTAGCATATAATCAAAAAGTAACTATCTCAAGTATACCCTGCTCTGTCCAAGTACACAGTTGCTCTGTCCAAGGAATATTCATTCCTTCGTATCTTTACTTCTCTAATAAACTTGCTTTCACTTTATTCTACGGACTCACCCCAAATTCTTTCTTGGAGCTTGCATGCACTCCAAGAACCCTTTCTTTCTTTCTTTTTTTTTTCTTTTTTTTGAGACAGAGTTTCGCTCTGTTGCCCAGGCTGGAGTGGAATGGTGCAATCTTGGCTCACTGCAAACTCCACCTACCAGGTTCAAGAGATTCTCCTGCCTCAGCCTCCCGAGTAGCTGGGATTACAGGTGCCCACCACCACGCCCAGCTAATTTTTGTATTTTTAGTAGAGACGGGGTTTCCCCACGTTGGCAAGGCTGGTCTCAAACTCCTGACCTCAGTTGAGCCACCCGCCTCGGCCTCCCAAAGTGCTGGGATTACAGGCGTGAGCCACCGCACCCAGCCTTCTTTTTTTTTTTTTTTTTTGAGATGGAGTCTCTCTCTTGTTGCCCAGGCTGGAGTGCAGTGGTGCTATCTCAGCTCATTGCAACCTCCACCTCCTGGGCTCAAGCAATTCTTCTGCCTCAGCCTCCCAAGTAGCTGGGATTACAGGTGCCCGCCATCACACCCAGCTAATTTTTGTATTTTTAGTAGAGACGGGGTTTTACCATGTTGACCAGGCTGGTCTTGAACTCCTGATCTCAGGCAATCCACCCACCTCAGCTTCCCAAAGTGCTGGGATTACAGGCGTGAGCCACCGCACCTGGCCTCACCTGGGTAATTTTTATAAACTTTTTTTTGTAGTGATGGAGTGTGTGCCTGTGGTACCACCTCAGCCTTCAGAGTAGTTGGGGACCACAGGCACACACCACCACACCTGGCAATTTTTTTTTTTTTTTTTTTTGGTAGAGACAGGGTCTCACTATGTTGCTCAGATAGGTCTCAAACTCTTGTCCTCAAGCAAGCAATCCTCTAGCCTCAGCCTTCCAAAAGGCTGAGATTACAGGCATGAGCCACTGTGCTCAGCCCTTTGTCATTTATTCTAAATGATAGGAAATCTTTGGAGGTTTTTCAGGAATGACATGATTTACATGCCCAGAGCAGACTATGTAAGGGGGCAAGGGTGAAAACAGGAAGACCAGTATTGACGAAAAGAGTCAAACTCTGTAAAATATTTGAAGAGGTTTATTCTGAGCCAAATATGAGTGACCACAGCCTGTGACACCGACCCTCAGGAGCTCCTGAGAACATGTAGCCAAGGTGGTCGGGGTGCAGCTTGGTTTCATACATTTTTAGGGAGACATGAGACATCGATCAAATACATTTAAGATATACATCGGTTCAGTCCAGAAAGGCAGGACATCTAGAAGTGAGGGAGGGTGCAGGGGGTGCTTCCAGGTTATAGGTAAATTTTAAATGTTTCTGATTGGCAACTGGTTGAAAGAGTTATTATCAATAGAAAGGATAGTCTGGGTTATGATAAGAGCTTGTGGAGATCAAAGTTTTCTCATGCAGATGAGGCCTCCAGGTAGCAGGCTTCAAAGAAAATAGATTGTAAATGTTTCTTCAAGACTTAAGGTCTGTGTTGATGTTAAATGCTGGTCACTTTTCCCAAACCCCAAACGGAAGGAGGGCATAATGAGGCATGGCTGAACCCCACTTCCTGTCAAGGCCTGAACCAGTCTTTGAGGTTAACTTTTGAGTACCTTGGCCAAGGAGGGAGTCCATTTAGGTGGTTGGGACACTTGTGAATTTTTTTTTTTTTTTAGACGGAGTTTCGCTCTTGTTGCCCAAACTGAAGTGCAGTGGTATGATCTCGGCTCACTGTAACCTCTGCCTCCTGGGTTCAAGCCATTCTCCTGCGTCAGCCTCCCGAGTAGCTGGGATTACAGGCATGTGCCACCACGCCCGGCTAATTTTTTTGTATTTTTAGTAGAAACGGGGTTTCATGATGTTAGCCATGGCTGGTCTCGAACTCCTGACCTCAGGTGATCCACCCGCTTCAGCCTCCCAAAGTGCTGGGATTACAGGTGTGAGCCACTGCGCCTGGCCGACACCTTTAAATTTTATTTTTGGTTTACACCATTTGGGAAGCTTTTGCAGTAATCCGGGTGAGACCAGAGTGATAATGATAACAGAACAGTGATGGCACTCTACATATATTTTGTTTTCCTGTTTGTTTGAGACAGAGTCTTGCTCTGTCTCCCAGGCTGGAGTGCAGTGGCGCAATCTCGGCTCACTGCAACCCTCGCCTCCTGGGTTCAAGCTATTCTCCTGCCTCAGCCTCCCAAGTAGCTGGGACTACAGGCATGTGCCACCACATACAGCTAATTTTTTTTTTTTCTTTGTATTTTTAGTGGAGGCGGGTTTTCGCCGTGTTGGCCAGGCTGGTCTTGAACTCCTGACCTCAAGTGATCTGTAGATCACTCCACAAAAATACAAAAATTAGCCGGGCGTGGTGGTGTGCCTCAGCCACCAAAAGTGCTGGGCTTGTGAGCACTTAATCTGCCTGGCCTCTACATCTATTTTGAAGGCAAGCTGACAGGTTTTGCGGGACTGGATGGGGATGTAAGGGAAAGAGAGAAGTCGGCCTGCAAGATTTCTGGTAGGATGAAGTTGACACCTACCAAGATGGAAAGATTTCTGTCTTTTGGATGGAAGGATATGTGAGGAGAGGGGAGGTTGGGGTGGAATAGGAATACACTTTGGCCCTGTAACATGTGAGATATCTATTGCACACTGGAGACGCCAAGCAAGCAGCAGGATATATAAATCTAGTATTTTAGAAGTTAGGTCAGGTCTGGAGATGTGAATTTAGGAGTCATCCACACACAGCAGGAGGAGATGAGATTGTAAAAAGTAAAGTAGAGATTCCTCTTCAAAGAGACTTTCCTCCCCATCTAATTAGGAATAAATAGTTACTTCTCAGCCCAGGCGTGGTGGCTCACGCCTGTAATCCTAGCACTTTGGGAGGCTGAGGTGGGCGGATCACCTGAGGTCAGGAGTGCAAGACCAGCCTGACCAATGTGGAGAAATCCCGTCTCTACTAAAAAAATACAAAATTGGCCGGGCATGGTGGCACATGCCTGTAATCCCAGCTACTCGGGTGGCTAAGGCAGGAGAATCGCCTGAACCCGGGAGGCAGAGGTTGTGGTGAGCGGAGATTGCGCCATCCAGCCTGGGCAACAAGAGTGAAACTCCGTCTCAAAATGTATTCAAAGACCTGTGCTAACATTCTTAAATATCTGCTAGCCGTAATAAAGAAATCAATGTACTTTATGTTCTTAGCTCCCACAATTTAGCCTAAATATTTGCCCTGGCATGCTTACACTGGTCCAAGCAAGCATGAGTCATAGCCTGTTCCTCTTCCTTATTTAAAGGTGTTTTTACCTTTCTCAGCATTCCACAGGTTACTTCCCTTGTTCGCCTCTGCCTCTGCTTTTTTTTTTCCTTTTTTTTGAGACAGAATTTCACTCTTGTTGCCCAAGCTGGAGTGCAATGCATGATCTTGGCTCACCGCAACCTCCACCTCCCAGGTTCAAGCGATTCTCCTGCCTCAGCCTCCCGATAGCTGGGATTACAGACATGCGCCACCACGCCCGGCTAATTTTTTTTTGCATTTTTAGTAGAGGCAGGGTTTCTCCATGTTGGTCAGGCTGGTCTCGAACTCCTGACCTCAGGTGATCCGCCCCCCTCAGCCTCCCAAAGTGCTGGGATTACAGGTGTGAGCCACTGCACCCAGCCAGCCTTTGCCTCTTTTAAAAAGTTCTAAGTTGCTAGCCAATCAGGACAAATATAGAATGTGAGGTCCTGTTCCAGCCAATGGAAGTCAGACACAGCAGTAGGGTGGACGCTTCAGGTTATAAATGACCCTGTCCTGTTTGTTCAGTGTACTCTACTGGCAAAACTGCTGGCGAGTGTACCCTTTCTGCAGAAAGTAAAAATGGCCTTGCTGAGGATGTTAAATTTATGTTCAAGTGCTATTTGTTTTTTGTTGTTTTTTTTTTAGATGAAGTCTCGCTCTGTCGCCAGGCTGGAGTGCAGTGGCACAATCTTGGCTCCCTGCAACCGCTGCCTCCCAGGTTCAAGCGATTCTCCTGCCTCAGCCTCCTGAGTAGCTAGGACTACAGGCGTGTGCCACCATGCCCAGCTAATTTTTTGTATTTTTTGTAGAGACGGGGTTTCACCATGTTGGCCAGGATGGTCTTGATCTCTTGACCTCATGATCTGCCTGCCTCGGCCTCCCAAAGTGCTGGGATTACAGGTGTGAGCCACCGCGCCCGGCCGTAAGTGCTACTTCTTTACGGCACTGGGGAACAAGCATTTCTAACAAGATCCCCCAGGGAGTAAACAAAGTTAAAGGAGAGGTCCAAAGGACTGAACCCTAGGCCACTCAAGTTTCCAGGTTAGAGGAGAAAGAAGCTGCAAAGGACACCGGAAGGGATGGCCAGCAGTAAAGAGAAAACCAGGAGAGTGTGGCACCCTGTGATTTAAGAGAAGAAAGTGTTTCTAAGAGGAAAGAGTGAATAACTGGGTCAATTGCTGCTAACAGGTCTAGTAAAATAAATAGAGTATGAGTTTACCACTGCATTTAACAAGGTGAAGGCCATTGGCATTCTTCATACGAGCAGTTTTGGAGGTGATAGAGGCAAGAACCTGATTTGGGAGGTTTAAGGAGGAATAGGAGGAGAACTGGAGAAGAGTACAGAAAATGCTTTCCAGGAGTTTTGCTATAAAGGGAAAAAGAGAAATGGGACAGTAGCTGGAGGGGGATGTGGGAGTCAAGAGAGGGTTTGTTAAACTTCAGAGAAATTACAGCAAATTAGCACATTTGGGTTTTGTTTGTTTGTTTTTGAGACAGGGTCTCCCTCTGTCGCCCAGACTGGAGTGCAGTGGTGAGATCTCTGCTCACTGCAACCTCGACCTCCTGGGCTCAAGCAATCCCTCCACTTCAGCCTTCTGAGTAGCTGGGACTACAGGTGCCTACCACCACACCTGGCAAATTTTTGTATTTTTGTAGAGACAGGGTTTCACCATGTTGCCCAAGCTGGTCTCGAACTCCTGACCTCAGATGATCTGTCCACCTCGGCCTCCCAAAGTGCTGGATTACAGGCGTGAGCTACCGTGCCTGGCCGAAATCATCTTCTTTCTAAATCTGTTCCTTCTTCTGGTGTTGCTATCTCATTTGGTAGAAATTCTATTTAATTATCCAATTTAGAAAACTGCCATATAGTAGTGTCTTCATGGTGAATGATAGTCACAATTTCATCATGTGCTAAGTGAAGCAAGGGATGACACAGGGAGCTGTGGATACTGAGGAAAGGGGTGTGACCAGACTTGAAGGTCAAATATCAGAAAGGTGAAGATATACCGGTCAGGTCAACATCATCAAGCTGTAGCAAGTCCTCATTCTGTCCAAGGCGTTTGAACCAGAGTGACTCTATCTTGAATGGGGGCTGGGTAAAATAAGGCTGAGACCTACTGGGCTGCATTCCCAGGAGGTGAAGACATTTTTTTTGCCTGAGTTTCCCACCGTCGCCTGGGATGGAGTGCAATGCCACGATCTTGGCTCACTGTAACCTCCGCCTCCTGTTCAAGCAATTGTCCTGCCTCAGCCTCCTGAGTAGCTGGGATTACAGGTGCCCGCCACCATGCCTGGCTAATTTTTGTATTTTTAGTAGACCCAGGGTTTCACTATGTTGGCCAGGCTCATCTCGAACTCCTGACCTCGTGATCCGCCCACCTTGGCCTCCTAAAGTGCTGGGATTACAGGCATGAGCCACCATGCCTGGCCTAAGGCATTCTTAGACACAGGATGAGATAGGAGGTCTACACAAGATACAGGTCATAAAGACATTGCTGAGAAAACAGAATGCAGTAAAGAAGCTGGTTAAAACCCACCAAAACCAAGATGGCCATGAGACTGACCTCTGGTCGTCCTCACTGCTTATTATATGCTAATTATTATACGCTAATTATTATACATTAGCATGCTAAAAGACATGCCCACCAGTGCATGACAGGTTACAAATGCCATGGCAAAGTCAGGAAGTTACCCTATATGGTCTAAAAAGGGGAGGAGGCCAGGCGCGGTAGCTCACACCTGTAATCCCAGCACTTTGAGAGGCCGAGGTGGGCGGATCACCTGAAGTCCGGAGTTCGAGACCAGCCTGACCAACATAGTGAAACCCCGTCTCTACTAAAAAATACAAAAAAATTAGGCGGGCGTGGTGGCAAAAGCCTGTAATCCTAGCTACTTGGGAGGTTGAGGCAGGAGAATCGCTTGAACCCAGGAGGCGGAGGTTGCAGTGAGCCCAGACCACACCATTGCACTCCAGCCTGGGCAACAAGAGCAAAACTCCGTCTCAGGAAAAAAAAAAGTCTTCTCTGCCTCACTATACAAAATGCAAATCTCCATTATAGCACTCAACAGCTGTATATCTTCAGTGGGTACTTTGAATAAAGGTCTTCCTTTTTTTGTTTTTTTTTTTGTTGTTATTGTTGTTTTATTGTTGTTGTTATTGTTGTTTTGTTTTGTTTTTGTTTTTTTTTTGGAGACAGAGTCTCGCTCAGTCGCCCAGGCCGGAGGGCAGTGGCGCGATCTCCGCTCACTGTAAGCTCCGCCTCCTGGGTTCCCGCCCTTCTCCTGCCTCAGCCTCCAGAGTAGCTGGGACTACAGGCGCCCGCCACTACGCCCGGCTATTTTTTTTGTATTTTTAGTAGAGAGGGGGTTTCACCGTGTTAGCCAGGATGGTCTCGATCTCCTGATCTCGTGATCCGCCCGCCTTGGCCTCCCAAAGTGCTGGGATTACAGGCGTGAGCCACCGCGCCCGGCGGCAAGGTCTTCCTTTCAAGCCATAACTCTCACCTGTCCCTGTCTCAGAAATTGTGGCCCTCTCACGCCAAGCTTTTCTCTTCTGTGCCTTTGCTCCTTGTGGTTTCTTTTTTTCTGGAATGGTGTCTTTCTTCTATCCTGGATAAGTCCAACTCACCCGTTAAAAGCGGGCTTCGGAATTACTTCTGGGAAGCCTTTTCTCAAGTACCCCGAAGCCTCCCAAGACTGGGATGGGGATCTTTGTATTTCTACCGCTCACTCCCTAACCCACTTCCAAGGGCAGGGACCACATCTTACTTTCTTCTGCCTTCAGCGAATTTTTTTGTTTTTTTTGAGACGGAGTTTTACTCTTGTTGCCCAGGCTGGAGTGCAATGGCGTTATCTCGGCTAACCACAACCTCCGCCTCCCGGGTTCAAGCGATTCTCCTGCCTCTGCCTCCCGACTAGCTGGGATTACAGGCATGCGCGACCGCGCCTTGCTAATTTTGTATTTTTAGTAGAGACGGGGTTTCTCCATTTTGGTCAGGCTGGCCTCGAACTCCTGACCTCAGGTGATCCGCCCACCTCGGCCTCCCAAAGTGCTGGGATTGGATCCTTGAGCCACGGTGCTCGGCCCAGTGAATGTTTATCTAAAGAATTCAGCCTAAGGTTTTCCAGCAGGCAAGCAGCTGAGTCAGAAGTTAGCGCTTAGATTCTGGCAGAGCTCTAATTCAAATTCAAAATTCTTAAATATCCTCACTTTAGTAGAGTTCTTTACAGTTTGCAAAACAATTCTCATAAAGCTACTCTTTATGTCCTGGGGCAGGAGTCGCAGAAAGGAAATGTTTTAAACCAGGAGCTAGAGAGGAACTAGAAAATCCTGGCATAGAGGTAACAGTCTTGAGAAGGGAGCCAACAGCAAACATGACCTTGCGCACCAGAGAAACTCCACCCTGGCACCTCGGACCCCCGCCCGCACAGTCTGCGGCGCACTGAGCACTCCCACCTCGAAGACTACAAATCCCAGCATGCCTCACAGTCAGTGGCAGGACGCAGGGCATGCCGGGACACGTAGTCCCACCCTAGCACGGGAAAAGGCCGGAAGGTCCCATGACGTCAGGAGGGCTCGGGAAAGGGGTTCGGAACCGGTCTAGGCTCAAGTTAAATCTCCCTCTAAAGAGCCAACACTGGTTTCTTTGGCGACTCGGTTTCTACTCTAAACAGGTCCCGCTCCACAGTCTGGGCGGGCCTGTGTGTGCGTTGAGTAGCCTCTAGCGTGAAAACTTCATGGTTAAAAGGGAAGTACCGGAGGCAAGAAATAGCTTTCGAGGCACTGGTTTGTTAGAGTAGTGGTACGTAGTGCGCCGCCCTGAACGGGGGCTGAGACGCTGCTTTTCCAGAAGTGCCAGTGAGGACGTGGCAAGACCGCCTCGGACGTACGCTTCCTCTACCTCAGCCCGTCGGGTTAGGGGCGCGGGAGGCGCAGAGGCTGCTGGGAACGCGCATGCGCTCAGCGCGGCGGGGAGTCCACCTTTAACGTCCGCGGGCGCGGGGTGTGTCGGGTGTCGACGGCGGCGCTTTGCGGCCGGTCGTGCGGGTCGGGCGCGGGCGGGCGCGGCGGCAGTGGCGCGCACAGGTGATTGACTGGCCAGCTGCCTGAAGGAGCGCCAGGTCCTCCTTGCTGGCAGGTGGCGAAGCCCATTGGGGCGGCGGTGCAGACCGCGGCGGCGGCTGCGGCGGTCTGGCTCGGGAGGCGTTCCTGGGGCCAAGGCCATGGCCCCGCGGCTGCAGCTGGAGAAGGCGGCCTGGCGCTGGGCGGAGACGGTGCGGCCCGAGGAGGTGTCGCAGGAGCACATCGAGACCGCTTACCGCATCTGGCTGGAGCCCTGCATTCGCGGCGTGTGCAGGTGAGGCCCGCGCACCGCGCCTCGCGGGCTCCTCGCGCCGGACCTTGGAAAGCCCGGGCGGGGTAGGGGAAAGGAAGACGGCAGCCCTTTGCGTGCATTTGGGAGGCGCGGAGCCGAGCGAGGTGGAGTTTCCCCCTTTGCGCCGTCTGCGCGACCTGGGAAACGCAGGCTTCCCGGGCTGTGCGCGGAGGTGATGCTGGCCAAAGCACTTTAGGAAGGTTTGGGTTCCCATCCAGAAGATGGCGGTGGAGATGAAGGCAGGAGCTGAGAGCTTAGCAAGCGTTGATGGTTGGGGTATCTTGGCCACAGCACGGCTCTTTCGTTTGTAAAAAGGAACTTTTTGGAAGTGAGCTTCATCACAGTGTATCTTGTTGGTGTTGACACCGAAGGCCTGATCATCTTAGTATTATTTTTGTAGAGGGCAGCTTTAGAAAAAACTGTGGTCAGCCTACGTCATCGATACCCTGCACCCCCGTTGGCCTTCCCTCACTCGTTAATCTAGTATTTTTTTTAAGCCTTTCTTTGGTCGTTCTGGTTCGACACCAGTTTACCGAGTACCAAGTTTAAGCTGTGATAGTGCTGTCCTTCACGTCTGCGCCGCCCTTGAACTTTACCTTTCCTTAACCCCCTCATATAGATTGAATCCTTAGGCTTTGCTCCCGTTTATTCCCTTTTTTCCACCTTGTAACGCGGGAACTATAGTTTTTGTTTCAGAATGTTGTTGAAATTGACTTGGCCAAGCCGGGCATGCTCAGTAGCCGTCTTTCGGCAGGCATTTAGGAAATGCTTTCTGGAGTTTTTACATTCCGCTGGGGGATCCGGAAGGAATGGAAGTCATGGTCTCTGGCTTTGGAGCTTAAAGTCTAGTATGAGAAGTGAAATAAGTTAGGGAGTTTCTATAAAGCAAACGAATAAGTCCAAGCTCTGGGCGTCTGTCTCACAAGGAGGGTAAATCTGACTTTAACAGTAAGTTCTGGAATGTTTGAAGTCTGTGTATAATAGAAATAATCAAGCTTCAGTCAGTTTCTCAACGTAATTAGTTTCCAGACTAACCAAATAATGTAAACTACTAATAGTTCTGGTGGTTTTTGAGACAGGGTCTCACTCTGTCACACAGGCTGGAGTGCAGTGTCACGAGCTCGGCTCACTGCAACCTCCGTTTCCCAGGCTCAAGCGATCCTCCCACCTCGGCCTCCGGAGTAGCTGGGATTAGAGGCACGGGCCACCACGCCCGACTCAGTTTTGTATTTTTAGTGGAGACGGGTTTTCGCCATGTTGGCCAGGCTGGTCTCGAGCTCTGGGCTCAAGCGATCTGCCCACCTCTTCTGGGATTACAGGCGTGAGCCACCATGCTGGGCCAATTTCTGATATTTATTTATTTATTGAGACGGTGTTTCGCTCTTATTGCCCAGGCTAGAGTGCAATGGCGTGATCTCGGCTCACTGCAACCTCTGCCTCCTTGGTTCAAGCGATTCTCCTGCCTCAGCCTCCTGAATAGCTGGGATTACAGGCATGCACCATCATGCCCGGCTAATTTTTTTTTATTATTTTTATTTTTTGTATTTTTAGTAGAGACAGGGTTTCTCCATGTTGGTCAGGCTGGTCTCGAACTCCTGACCTCAGATAATTTGACCGCCTTGGCCTCCCAAAGTGCTGGCATTACAGGCGTGAGCCACCGCCCGCCAGGCCGATACTTTTTTTTTTTTCGAGACAGCGTCGTGAGACGCTGGATAAATTTAAAAAAATAAATTTTTAAAATAAAAATTTTAAAAGAAAAAAGAATAGGCCGGGTGCGGTGGCTCATGCCTGTAATCCCAGCACTTTGGGAGGCCGAGATGGGCGGATCACGAGGTCAGGAGTTCGAGACCAGCCTGGCCAGCATGGTGAAACCCCGTCTCTACTAAAAATACAAAAATTAGCCGGGGGTGGTGGCGGGCGCCTGTAATCCCAGCTACTGGGGTGGCTGAGGCAGGAGAACCCTGGAACCCGGGAGGTGGAGGTTGCGGTGAGCCGAGATCACGCCACTGCACTCCAGCTTGGGCAACAGGGCGAGACTCAGTCTCAAAAAAAAAAAAAAAAAAAAAATTATCTTATCTTGGCTCTGTATGCCCTGTATGTTCCGCCTCTAAATTTCCCTATTCTGGACATTTCATATAAATGGAATCCTAAAATACGTGGACTTTTGTGACTGATTTCCTTTACTTATGTATTTAAGGGTCATCCATGTTGTAGCATGTTTCAGCACTTCATTTCATTAAAAAAATACCTGGGAAATACATATGACAGTGTTTACCATTTTAAAGTGCACAATTCGGTGGGTTTCAGTACCTTTATAGTGTTGTACAACCATCACCACTGTCTGGTTCCAGAACTTTTCATTATCCTAAAAGGAAACTGAGCATCTGTTAGTCACTTCCCATTTTCCCCCCTCGCCCAGCCCCTGGCAACTGCTAATCTACTTTCTGTCTCTGGATTTCTCTATTAATATTTCATAGCAATGGAATTATACAGTACGTGGCCATTTGTGTCTGGTTTCACTTAACGTAATGTTTCCAAGGGTTATCCCTGCTGCGCATGTGTCACTACTTTATTCCTTACGGCTGAGTAGTATTCCATTTTATGGATAATACCACATTTTATATATCTATTCATCAGTTGAGGGACATTTTGATTATTTCCACCTTTTGCTTATTTTGAGTAGTACTTCTCTGAACATTTGCATACAAGTTTTGGTCTGAACATCTGATTTCAGTTCTTTACCTGGGAGTGGAATTACTGGGTCATACACAGTCAATTCTGTGTTTAACTTAACCGAACCGCGAAACTTCCACAGTGGTTGTACCGATTTACATTCCCACCAGTGATGTATGAGGGTTCAAATGCTTCATCATCCTCATAAACAGGTACTATTTTCTGTTTTTCTGGTTAGGCCCTCCTACTTGGGTGTGAAGTGATGCATCTTTGTAGTTTTGATTTGCATTTTCCTAGTGACTAATGAGTTCAGCGTCTTTTCATGTGCTCGTTGCCTCTTTTCCTTTTATTGATCAATAATATGCCATCATATCTCTGTATCTACCACATTTTTAATTTGCATTCATCTGCTGATAGACATTTGGGTCATTTCTACTTTTTGGCTATTATAATGTTGCTATGAACATTAGTGTAGTAGTTTTTGTGTGGGCATTTATTTTTATTTCTCTTGGTTATAGAGCAAGAAGTGGGATTGTTGGGTTGTGTGGTAACTTTTAACTTTTTATTATTATTATTATTTTTTTTTTGAGACGGAGTCTCTCTGTGTTGCCCAGGCTGGAGTGCAGTGGCGCCATCTCGGCTCACTGCAACCTCTGCCTCCTAGGTTCAAGCGATTCTTGTGCCTCAGCCTCTGAGTCACTGGGATTACAGACGCCCACCACCACACCCGGCTAATTTTTTGTATTTTTTAGTAGAGACTGGGTTTCGCCAAGTTGGCCAGGCTGGTCTTGAACTCCTGACCTCAGGTGATCCACCTACCTCGGCCTCCCAAAGTGCTGGGATTACAGGCTTGAGCCACCGCACCCAGCTCTTTTAACTTTTATTTATTTATTTATTTTTAATGAGGTCTCACTCTGTAACACAGACTGTATTGCAGTGCAATCATGGCTCACTGCAGCCTTGAACTCCTGGGCTCAAGCAATCCTCCCGCCTCAGCCTCCTGCCACTACAGGCACATGCCACAACACGAGGCTAATTAAACAAAATTTTTTTGCTGGGCGTGGTGGCTCACGCCTGTAACCTCAGCACTGTGGGAGGCCAAGGCTGGCGGATCACGAGGTCAGGAGATCGAGACCATCCTGGCTAACGTGGTGAAACTCCGTCTCTACTAAAAATACAAAAAATTAGCCGGGCATGGTGGCGGATGCCTGTAGTCCCAGCTACTCGGGAGGCTGGGGCAGGAGAATGGCATAAACCCGGGAGGCAAAGGCAGGAGAATGGCACGAACCCGGGAGGCAGAGCTTGCAGTGAGCTGAGATACGCCACTGCACTCCAGCCTGGGTGACAGAACGAGACTCCGTCTCCAAAAAAAAAAAAAAATTTGTGGAAATGGAGTCCCACTTTGGTGCCCAAGCTGGTCTTGAACTCCTTGCTTCAAGTGATCCTCCTGCCTTGGCCCCCTGAAATGCTTGGATTGCATGAATGAAACTGTTCATGGCCTTTTTTTGGCTTTTTTTTTTTTTTTTTTTTTAAGATGAGGGTCTTGCTATGTTGTGTAGGCTGTCCTTGAACTCCTGGGCTCAATCAATACTCCTGCCCCAGCTTCCCTGGTAGCTGGGACTGTAGGCACGAACCACCATGTCTGTGTTTAATATTTTGAGGAATTGTCAGGTTACTTTCCAGAGTGGCTGCGCTATTTTACATATTCACAAGCAGTATATGAGGATTCCAATTGCTCTATGTCCCTATACTTGTTACTGCCTTTTTTCTTTTAGCCATCCTAGTGGGTGCGAAGTGGTGTCTTATGTTTTGATTTGTGTTTCATTGATGACTAATCACGTTAAACATCTTTTTGTGTACTTATTGGCCATTCATATATCTTTTTTGAGAAATGTCTGTTTAAATCCTTTGCGTGCTTTTAAATTGAGTTGCCTTTTGTTATTGAGTTGTGATCTTTTTTTGGTCTTGTTTTTGTTTTGTTTTTTTTTTTCAGACGGAGTCTCACTCTGTCACCCAGGCTGGAGTGCAGTGATGCCATCTCGGCTCACTGTAACCTCCGCCTCCCAGGTTCAAGCGATTCTCCTGCCTCAGCCTCCCGAGTAGCTGGGACTACAGGCGCACACCGCCACGCCTAGCTAATTTTTTTTTTTTTTTTTTTTTGGTATATTTAGTAGAGACGGGGTTTCACTATGCTGGCCAGGCTGGTCTCAAACTCCTGACCTTGTGATACGCCCACCTCAGCCTCCCAAAGTGCTAGGATTACAGGCGTGAGCCACTGCATCCAGCCAAGTTGTGTTCTTTATATATACTGCATATAAGTCCCTTATTAAATATATGATTTGCAAATATTTTTTCTAATTTCTATGGCTTTTAATTTTATTGGTGGTATCATTTTCAGTACAAAAGCTTTTCATGTTGATGTAGTCCAATTTCTTCTTCTTCTCCGCCTTCTTATTCTTATCAGTGAAGCAGGGTTCTTGCTTTGTTGCCCAACCTGGAGTGCAGTGGTGTGATTGTAGCTCACTGTAGCCTTAAACTCCTGGTCTCAAGTGATCTTTTTGCCTCAACATCCCCAGTAGGTACAACTGCAAGTTGTACCACCACACCCAGCTAATTTTTTTGGTATTTTTTGTAGAGTTGGGGTCTTACTATGTTACCCAGGCTGACCTTGAACCTTTAGCCTCAAGCAGTCCTGCTTCAGCTTCCCAGAGTACTGGGATTACAGGTGTGAACCACCTGGCCCCAACATTGTACTATTTTTTTTTTGACGCTTTTGGTCTTGTAAGAAGCCACACCTCACCCAAGGTTTGAGCAGTTTTAATTAATGAATTAGTTAATTTTATGAGACAAGGTCTGGCTCTGTTGCCCAGGCTGGAGTACAGTGGTGCAATCTTGGCTCAATGCAACCTCTGCCTCCCAGGGGCTCAAGCCATCCTCCTACTTCAGCATCCCGAGTAGCTGTGACTACAAGCATGCTCCACCACACTCGGCTAATTTTTGGTGTTTTGTTTTTTTTTTTCAGATGGAGTCTGGCTCTGTTGTCCAGGCTGAGTGTAGTGGCGCAATCTTGGCTCACTGCAACCTCCGCCTCCCATGTTCAAGCGATTCTCCTGCCTCAGCCTCCTGAGTAGCTGGGATTACAGGCATGCACCACCACACCTGGCTAATTTTTTTTTTTTTTCTTTGAGACAGAGTTTCACTCTTGTTGCCCAGGCTGGAGTGCAGCGGCACAAACTCGGCTCACTGCAGCCTCCGCCTCCCAGGTTCAAGCAGTTCTCCTACCTCAGCCTCCCGAGTAGCTGGCATTGCAGGCACCACGCCCGGCTAATTTTTG
This sequence comes from Homo sapiens, assembly GCF_000001405.40. Taxonomy (NCBI): domain Eukaryota; kingdom Metazoa; phylum Chordata; class Mammalia; order Primates; family Hominidae; genus Homo; species Homo sapiens. Next base: position 21,776,798 of record NC_000001.11, on the reverse strand, counting down.
TATTTTTAGTAGAGATGGGGTTTTGCCATATTGGCCAGGCTGGTCTCGAACTCCTGACCTCAAGTGATCCCCCCGCCTTGGCCTCCCAAAGTGCTGGGATTACAGGCGTGAGCCACTGTGCCTGGCCCTGTCAGCTTTTATTTAGATATCCAAAAAGCTCTCTTTCTACTCACTTTCTTCTTTTTTTTTTTTTTTTTTTTTTTTTTGAGACAAGACACTATTCACTTTCTCCTTTTTTATAGAGACAGAGTCTTGTCACATTGCCCAGGCTGGTCTCAAACTCCTGGGCTCTAGCAGTCCTCCCTCCTCAGCCTCCTAAATTGCTGGGATTCCAGACATGAGCCTTTCTCCTTTTGTTTATTTCTTCTCTTTGCAAGAAGAGACTAAATAAATAAATAGTATCACCAATATGTATTTTTCATACTTTATGCAACAATTTGTTATGAGATACCAAAGCTGAAGAATGAGGTGTTTGACCATATTCAAAGACCACATGTGTCAGGACTGTTTACATTTCTGAAAGTACTTAGGGCAATCACAGGATGAAAGCAGTGTGTACTAAATCCTCTGTCCACAGAATTCTGCAAATATTATGTGTCTTGAGGGCAGACTTGTTTGTTAACAGTGAGGTTGGTGGTCAAGTAAGTTCCTGGAAGTAAAATTGTTGGGTAAGGGATGTGTGTTTTTCATATTGATCCATGTTGCTAAATTGCCCCTCAGAATGAGGGTTTCTCTTTACATTTCCCTGTCAATGTGTAAGAGTATCTTACATATACATCATACCCTCACCAACATAATGTGTTAGTCACACTTTCTGATCTAAGTGCAAAGGGTTTCATATGTTTAATATGTATTTATTTTGTTACAATTTCTTTTTGTTACAGTTAATCTTTTGATGTGAAATTTGTTTTGTTTTGTTTTTGAGACGGGGTCTTACTATGTTGCTTAGGCTGGTCTCAAACTCCTGGGCTCAAGGGATCTTCCTTCCTCAGCTTCCTGAATAGCTGGGATTACAAGTGCATGTCACCATGCCCAGCCTTGATATGAATTTTCAAAGGCTGGATTTACTTATGCTTCCAGCCGTGTATAGGGAGTACAATGTCTGTTTTGTTCTCATTAGGGAAACATCATATGACTATTACTAAATTAAAACATTACAGAAATGTGTGAAGCACTCTAGAAAGCCAGTGTCATGCCACCTTACTTCAGTGGCTTTGTAGCTCTAGTCCCAAAACCCTAATGAGGGCCACGCACGGTGGCTTACGCCTGTAGTCCCAACACTTTGTTAGGCCGAGGTGGGAGGATTACTTGAGGTCAGGAGTTTGAGACCAGTCTGGTCAACATGGCAAAAACCCATTTCTACTAAATTAGCCGGGCATGGTGGCGGCATACACCTGTAATTCCAGCTACTCAGGAGGCTGAGGCGCGAGAATTGCTTGAACCCAGGAGGTGTAGGTTGCAGTGAGCCAAGATTGAGCCACTGCACGCCAACCTGGGTGACAGAGTGAGACTCTGTCTCAATAAAAACCAACCAACCAAACAAAATAACCCTAACGAGGACCCATAGTTCCAGCTACACTGGAGACTGAGGTGGGAGGATGGCTTAAGCTTGGGAGGTGGAGGTTGCAGTGAGCCAAGACCATGCCACCGCACTCCAGCTTGGGCGATAGAGCAAGACCCTGTCTCAAAGGAAAAAGAACAAAGGGGAGTCACAATACATACTTTGTTGCAACTTGTTTCTATTCATGCATGTAGAGCTGCCTTATTTATTTATTTATTTATTTATTTATTTATTTATTTATTTATTTTTGAGAGAGTCTAGCTTTGTTGCCCAGGCTGGAGTGCAGTGCGTGAATTTGGCTCACTGCAACCTCCGCCTCCCAAGGTTCAAGTGATTCTTGGGCCTCAGCCTCCGGAGTAGCTGGGACAACAGGCATGGGCCACCATGCTTGGCTAATTTTTGTAGTTTAGTGGAGACGGGGTTTCACCATGTTGGCCAGGCTGGTCTCAAACTCCTAACTTCAGGTGATCTGCCCACCTCAGCCTCCCGAAGTGTTGAGATTACAGGTGTGAGCCACCGCACCTGGCTATTCTTTTTTCGTTTGTTTGTTTTGAGACAGAATCTTGCTCTGTTGCCAGGCTGGAGTACAGTGGTGCAATCTCGTCTCACTGCAACCTCTGCCTCCCGGGTTCAAGCAATTCTCCTGCCTCAGCCTCCTGAGTAGCTGGGACTACAGGGGCGCCCCACCACACCCGGCTAATTTTTGTATTTTTAGTAGAGATATGGTTTCACTGTGTTGGCTAGGATGGTCTCGATCTCCTGACCTCGCGATCTGCCCACCTTGGCCTCCCAAAGTGCTGGGATTACAGGCATGAGCCACTGCGACCGGTCCTATTCTTTCTTAAAAAATATTCTTATGTATGTTTATGATATATAACATAGCATACATACAGATAGTAAAATGGTAACTGTAATGAAGCAGATTGACATCTGTTATCTCACAGTTACAAATTTTGTGTGTGGCAAGAGAAGCTAAAATCTCATTTAGCAGGAGCCCCAAATACATACCTGCCTTATTATTATTATTATTATTATTATTATTATTATTATTATTATTTTGAGACGGAGTCTCGCTCTGTCACCCAGGCTGGAGTGCAGTGGCGTTATCTGCTCTCACTGCAACCTCCACCTTTTGGGTTCAAGTGATTCTCCTGCCTCAGCCTCCCGAGTAGCTGGGATTACAGGCGCATGCCACCATACCCACCTAATTATTGTATTTTTAGTAGAGCCACCACACCCAGCCAGTTACATAGTTTTTTAAAAATAGAGATGGGGTCTTGCTTTGCTGCCCTGACTGGTCTTGAATTCCTGGCTTCAAGCAGTCCTTCCACCTTGCCCTCCCAAAGTGCTGGGATTACAGGTGTGAGCCACTGTGCCTAACCTTCATTATAATTTATTTAACCAGTTTCCTGTTGATGGACTTTGGGGTTTCCGGTTTTTGATAATACAACCCGTGCTGCCCTAGCCAGCCCTCTGCATCGATCTTGAGTGTTGAGTGAGTGTTTTCACTTAGGTTGCTAGATGAGAAATTGCTGAGGTAAAGGGACTGCTTAGAATTTTGATAGATGTCAAAAGTTCATACCATTTATCCTGGTCCTCTAGAGTGAGTGTGCCTATTACCTTATACAAAGCATTTCTATTCCCAGCTTCCATCTGATTAGCGAAAAATAGCATCTTATTTTCATTTGCCATTTTTTGCTGGTGACATTGAGCATCTTTTTAATTTTATTTTTTAGTTTTATAGAGATAGGATCTCATGTTTTGCCCAGGCCGGTCTTGAACTCCTGGGCCCAAGAAATCCTCAGCCTTGGCCTCCCAAAGTGCTGGGATTACAGGCGTGAGCCACTGTGTCCCTTCTCCTTTTTATATTTACTTGCCATTTGTATTTCTCCTGTGAATTGTGTGTTCTGGATTGTTGGTCATTTTCTTACTGATTTTCAAGAGCTTATTGAATATTTCTTTCTTTTTTTTTTTTTTTTTTTTGAGACCGAGTCTCAGTCTGTTGCCCAGGCTGGAGTGCAGTGGTGTGATCTCAGCTTGCTGCAACCTCTGCTTCCTGGGTTCAAGCGATTTTCCTGCCTCAGCCTCCCAAGTAGCTGAGACTACAGGTGCCTGCCACTATGCCTGGGTAATTTTTGTATTTTTGTAGAGAGGGGTTTCACTATGTTGGCCAGGCTGGTCTTGAACTCCTGACCATGTGATCCGCCTGCCTCAGCCTCTCAAAGTGTTGGATTACAGGCGTGAGCCATCACGCCCGGCCGAATATTTCTTTTTTCTTTCTTTTTTTCTTTCTTTCTTTCTTGGTTTTTTTTTTTTGAGACAGAGTCTTGCTCTGTTTCCCAGGCTGGAGTGCTGTGGTGTGATCTCAGCTCACTGCAACCTTTGCCTCCCAGATTCGAGCTATTCTTTTGCTTCAGCCTCCCAAGTAGCTGGGATTACAGGTCCGTGCCACCACTCCTGGCTAACATTTGTATTTTCAGTAGAGACGGGGTTTCACCATGTTGGCCAGGCTGGTCTTGAATACCTGACCTCAGGTGATCCACCTGCCTTGGCCTCTCAAAGTGCTGGGATTATAGGCGCGAGCCACCACGCCTGGCCTAGTTTTTTTTTTTTTTGAGATGGAGCCTCGCTGTGTCACCCAGGCTGGAGTGCAGTGGCGCGATCTCGGCTCACTGCGAGCTCCGCCTCCCGGGTTCACACCGTTCTCCTGCCTCAGCCTCCCAAGTAGCTGGGACTACAGGCGCCCGCCACCACGCCCAGCTAATTTTTTGCATTTTTTGTAGAGACGGGGTTTCACTGTGTTAGCCGGGATGGTCTCAATCTCCTGACCTCATGATCTGCCCGCCTCGGCCTCCCAAAGTGCTGGGATTACAGGCATGACCCACCATGCCCGGCCCGGCCTAGTTTATTGAATATTTCTGTCGAAGATATTTTCTGTGGTATATTTGGGCTTTGTGGGCTTTTTTTCCTTTTGGTACGTTAGTTTTTGATTTTTTATGTGGTAAAATTTATGAATGCTTTTTTTATGGTTTCTGGATTTCCCAATTCTGAGGTTATAAAAATATTCACTCATGTTGTGTTTTAGTACTGATGGTTTACTTTTATGCAACCTTTATGTTTTTATAATTTAATTTGATTTATGGATTGAGGTAGGGATCCATCAATATTTTATTTTGCCTTTTACCAAATGGCTACTCACTTGTCTTAAACCATTTATTGAACAATTCAGTCTTTTTCCTCACCAGTTAAAAATCCACCTTTATTACATGGCAAATTCCCATATTTACTTGGGTTTATTTTTCAGTCCTTTTTTTTTTTTGAGATGGAGTTTCGCTCTTGTTGCCCAGGCTGGAGTGCAATGGCGCAATCTCGGCTCACCACAACTTCCACCTCCTGGGTTCAAGCGATTCTCCTGTCTCATCCCCCTGACAGCTGGGATTACAGGCATGTGCCACCACGCCCGGCTAATTTTGTGTTTTTAGTAGAGACGGGGTTTCTCCGTGTTGGTCAGGCTGTTCTTGAACTGTCGACCTCAGGTGATCTGCCTGCCTTCGCCTCCCAAAGTGTTGGGATTATAGGTGTAAGCCACTGCACCCAGCCTCTCAACCCTGTTTTTTTTGCCATTGATTAATTTCGTTGAATAACTCTGTAGTGATACCACAATTCTAATTATTTTATAGTATTTGAAAAATATCTGATAAGGCAAGACCTTAATTCCTTTTAGAATTTTTCTCATGGTTCTCATGAAAAATAAATAAATAAATAATTTATAATTAACCATTATATTATAATTTATAATTATAAAATTATAAAATAATTATAAATTATAATTTATTAATAATTAATAATAATTTATTTTTTTTTGAGATGGAGTCTTGCTCTGTCGCCCAGGCTAGATTGCAGTGGCACGATCTTTGCTCACTTCAGCCTCCATCTCCCGGGTTCAGGCGATTCTCCTGCCTCAGCCTCCCAAGTAGCTGGGACTACAGGTGTGCACCACCACTCCCGGCTACTTTTTGTATTTTTAGTAGAGACGGGGTTTCACCACGTTGGCCAGGTTGGTCTTGATTTCGAAAATTTACTTAAAAAATTATTTGTATTTTAGTTGTTTTTTGAGACAGTCTTGCTCTGTCACCTAGGCTGGAGTGCAGTGCCACGATCTTAGCTCACTGCATCCTCCACCTCTTGGGTTCAAGTGATTCTTGTGCCTCAGCCATCTTAGTAGCTTGGATGACAGGCATGCACCACCATGCCTGGCTAATTTTTTTGTATTTTTTAGTAGAGATGGGGTTTCACCATCTTGGCCAGGCTGGTCTTCAACTCCGGGCCTCAGGTGATCTGCCTGCCTCGGTGTCCCATAGTGCTGGGATTACAGGCGTGAGCCACTGTAGCCAGCTTGAAAATTTATTTTTTTACATACAGAAAAGCACACAAATCATAAGAATAACACTTGATTGGCCAGGTGCAGTGGCTCATGCCTGTAATCTCAGCACTTTGGGAGGCCGATGCAGGCGGATCACCTGAGGTCAGGAGTTCGAGACCAGTCTGGCCAATATGGTGAAACCCTGTCTGTACTAAAAATACAAAAAATTAGCCGAGCATGGTGGTGCGCGCCTGTAGTCCCACTACTCAGAAGGCTGAGGCAGGAGAATCGCTTGAACCTGGGAGGCGGAGGTTGCAGTGAGCTGAGATCATGCCTCTGCACTCCAGCCTGGGCAACAGAGTGAGCTCTGTCTCAAAAAAAAAAAAAAAAAAAGACACTTGATTGACTAATTATCACAAAAGAAATTTATCTGTCCCATATCTACCACCAAGATCAAAACATTACTAACACTTCAAGACACCCTTATCTTCCATTTTTCTACTACCAGTTACTTCTGCCTCTTTTCCTTGAAGGGAACCACTTACCCTTAACTTTGAATTGAGCAGATTATTTTGCCTATGTTGGACTTTATGTATATTCATACATTGTCATTCCTTCTGCTTCTGTTTTCTTTCACTCAACTTTATAAGATTAATTTATGTGTAAGCAGTAGTGTGTTCAATTCTAGTGCTGTACAATTTTTTTTTTTTTTTGGTGGAGGACGAGGTCTCAATATGTTGCCCAGGCCAGTCTGGAACTCCTGGGCTCAAGCAATCTGCCCACCTCAGCCTCCCAAAGTGCTGGGATTATAAGCATGAGCCAATGGGACCAACAGTGCTGTACATTATTTCAGTGTGTGAGTATATACTATATATTATATTCCTTTCTACTAGTGATGGTCATTTTGATTTTTCCATGTATTTGGTCATTATGAATAAAGCTGCAGTGAACATTCTGCATATATATTTTAGTGTCCTTTTTTTTCTTTTCTTTTTGATACAGGATTTCACTTCATCACCCAGGCTGGAGTACATGATGTGATCACAGTTCACTGCAGCCTTGGCCTCTGGGGTCTGTCTAAGTGGTCCTTCCACTTCAGCTTCCCCAGTAGCTGAGACTGCAGATACTCACCACCATGTTTGGCTAATTCAAAATTTTTTTGTAGGCCCGGCGCAGTGGCTTACGCCTTTAATCCCAGCATTTTGGGAGGCTGAGGTAGGTGGACACTTGAGGCCAGGAGTTCAAGACCAGCCTGGGGAACATGGTGAAAACCCATCTGTATAAATATACAAAAATTAGCCAGACGTGGTGGTGCATGCCTGTAATCCCAGCTACTTGGGAAGCTGAGGTGGGAGAATTGCTTGAACCCAGGAGGCGGAGGTTGCAGTGAGCTGAGATCTTGGCACTGTACTCTAGCCTGGGTGACAGCGAGACCCTGCCTCAAAAAAAAAAAATTGTTTCTGCTCCCCTCCCTCCTCCCACCCTCCACCCCCAAGTAAGACCCCAACGTCTATTGTTCTTTGTGTTCGTAAGTTCTCTTTGTGTTCAGAAGTTCTCATCATGTAGCTCCCATAAGATAAAGATTTATCTTCCCCAGAGTCCTAAATATTCTCCTGTGTTATTTCTATAAGTTGTATTGCTTTATCTTTCATGCTTAGGTCTACAGTCAACCTGGAATTGATTATTCTCATCAGTTGGGAAGTAAGATCATGGAATAATTTGACGTTACTTGATCTCTATGACTTTAGCAAAGTAGCAGAGGATTGAATGACTGCTAATCATGAACATGTCTGATGTTAGCAAAAGCAACAACTCAAAGCAAAAGGGAGACATACATGGGGAAAACGAACACAAATACTTAAAATTAAATACATGACGAGACTGTGTGTGTGTTTTAAAAAATGATATTGGGCCAAGTGCAGTGGCTTAAGCTAGTAACCCCAGCAGTTTGGGAGGCAAAGACGGGAGGATCACTTGAGGCCAGGAAGACCAGGCTGCAGTGAGCTATGATTTTACTGCTGCACCACAGCCTGGGCAACAGAACAAGACCCTGCCTCAAAACACAAACCAAAACCAAAACGATACTGTTTTATTACTACTAGCAGGAGTGGCCTACACGGGTGGTGGGTATGCTGGGCTTAGGGTGTATGGGAGCCATGAGGAGAAGATGGTGACTGAGATCCTAGAAGGAAAGGGGGGGTGGGGCTTGAAAGGGGTGGGGCTTGAAGGCAAGACCCTCCTTAGATTTGCTTCTGGGAATAGGTAGCCATGATAAAACAGTCATGGCTTATGATGAACTAGGGCCATGCTGCCAATAAGATTAAGAAATTTTTCAGTCTGAGATGAGGGAAACAAAAAAGATTAAGCAATTCTTGGAAATCTAACTGCCTGTCACAGTTGAGGTCTAGTTTCTTCATCATGTGGTCAAGGACACCAGCGTCCTTGTGGTTCTGTGTGAGGGCAGCCAGTTCTGTATTCATGAAACTGAGGGGCTCCCCTCTTGGAGAGTTTGCGGTTGTGACATCCTTTCCAGCATCCTCCTGGAAAATAGCAATCAGGGACTTGATGCACTGCTCAGTCTCTGTAGGGCTGGAGAATTTTTCCATATTGGAGTTGAGTGAGGTACCTGCTGAGACTTTTCTATTTTGCAAACTCTTTTTTTTTTTTTGAGACGGAGTCTTGTTCTGTTGCCCAGGCTAGAGTGCAGTGGTGCAATCTCAGCTCACTGCAACCTCTGCCTCCCAGCTTCACGCCTTTCTCCTGCCTCAGCCTCCTGAGTAGCTGGGACTACAGGTACCCGCCACCATGCCCGGCTACTTTTTTATATTTTTAGTAGAGACGGGGTTTCACCATGTTAGCCAGGATGGTCTCGATCTCCTGACCTTGTGATCCACCCGCCTCGGCCTCCCAGAGTGCTGGGATTGCAGGCGTGAGCCACCATGCCTGACCTGTTTTTAGATTTGCTTATTTCTTGCATGTCTAATTTATGAGACCTTGATACAGTAATGCCATGAGGCATTACATGAAAATCACTGTAAAGTTTTTAGTAACTAGAACCTAGAATTTATATTATCATGGTTCTCCTTTATTTTCACTTTCAGGAAAATCTGTACTTTAGTGTTTTAAGTAAACTAGTTTCCTTCTTCAATGATTTTTCAAAAAATTTTTCTTTAAAAACAATTTATTTGTAAGCAGGCAACGTAGTGAGACCCTGTCTCTAGAAAAAAAAAAAAAGCTCTCTAAAAAGTCCTGGCCGGGTCGCGGTGGCTCATGCCTGTAATCCCAGCACTTTGGGAGGCCGAGGTGGGCAGGTCACGAGGTTAGGAGATCGAGACCAGCCTGGCCAACATAGTGAAACTCCATCTCTACTAAAAATACAAAAATTAGCCGGGCATGGTGACGCACACCTGGAGTCCCAGCTACTCGGGAGGCTGAGGCAGGAGAATCACTTGAAACCAGGAGGTGGAGGTTGCAGTGAGCTGAGATTGAGCCACTGCACCACTGCACTCTAGCCTGGGCAACAGAGCGAGACACCGTCTCAAAAAATAAAAATAAAAAAGGTCCCAGGCACAGTGGCTCATGCCTATAATCCTGAGTCAAGGAATTCTAGCCCAGCTTGCGCAATGAGGCTAAACCCCATCTCTACAAATGATACAAAAAAGCCGGGTGTGGTGGCGTATGCCTGTGGTCCCAGCTATTTGGAAGGCTGAGGTGGGAAGATCACCTGAGCCTGGGAGTAGAGTATTATACACCCTGAGTGCCCAGGAGGCCATGGATTTTGTTTGTTGTTGTTCTTGTTTTTTGTTTTTTTGAGGCAGAGTCTTGCTCTGTCACCCAGGCTGGAGTACAATGGCATGATCTTGGCTCACTGCAACCTCCGCCTCCTGGGTGCAGGCGATTCTCCTGCCTCAGCCTCCCAAGTAGCTGGGTTTATAGATGCCCGCCACCACGCCGGCTAATTTTTGTATTTGTAGTAGAGACGGGGTTTTGCCATGTTGGCCAGGCTGATCTGGAACTCCTGACCTCAAGTTATCCACTCGACTCAGCTTCCCAAAGTGCTGGGTTACAGGCATGAGTCTCAGGAGGCTCGGGCAGGAGAATGTCTTGAGCCCGTTAGGTAGAGGTTGCAGTGCACTCCAGCCTGGGCAACAGAACGACACTCCATCTCATAAATAAATAAATAAAAACTAAGAAACTAAGAGGTGATGAGGAAGAAGCAGAACCTCTGTAAATGACCATTTGGAGTGAAATCCCTACCCCCTTTCCCATTCAAAGGATGAATCTTTGAACTGCATAGCAACTGTGAAATCTTTGATTATAAATTTTCCACTCATCGTGTGTACTCTTAAATGACAGATCATTGGAGATCTACCAAAACAGAACTGAAAGTGTATCTCCTACCTATAGTCAATATATTATAGAAGGAACTTAGTCATTCATACCCTTTGATACCTAGCCTACTACTTTTCTACTCCCTGAACACAATTTTTGACTTGTGGAACATTGTTTTTTTTTGTGCTGTGTCACCTAGGCTAGGGTGCAGTGCCATGATCTCAGCTCACTGCAACCTCCGCCTCCCGGGTTCAAGTGATTCTCATGACAGCCTCTGGAGTAGCTGGGATTACAAGCATTCGCCACCAAACCCAGCTAATTTTTATATTCTTAGTAGAAGTTTAGTAGGGTTTTGCCACGTTGGCCAGGCTGGTCTTGAACTCCTAGCCTCAAGTGATCCTCCCGCCTCGGCCTTTCAGAGTGCTGGGACTACGGGTGTGAGCCACCACATCCAGCCTGGAAAATCTTTTTGTTACAATTTTGGGCATCATTCCAGATTTCTCCTTTCCTTTCTTGCCTGTTGCATCTTATTAGTCCCCAGTTCTATTGATTTCTTCCCATCAATATGCTTGAACTTCCTCCATTCCTATTCCCACTGAATTGCCTTTTTTTTTTTTTTTTTTTTTTTTTTTTTTTTTTTTGGAGATGGAGTCTCACTTTGTTGCCCAGGCCGGAGCACCATGGGATCTCGGCTAACTGCAACCTCGGCTTCGTAGTTTCAAACTATTCTCCTGTCTCAGGTGATCCACTCACCTCAGCCTTCCAAAGGGCTAGGATTACGGGTGTGAGCCACCACACCCGGCCTAAATTGGCTTTTTAAGACCTCATCTTCCACTAGAAAAATTGTTAGTTATGTCTCACACCTTGTTTAGCTTCGGAACGTCTCATGCCTTGTTCAGCTTCGGGCTGTCCCCCCCTTTTTTTTTTTGACAGAGTCTCGCTCTGTCACCCAGACTTGAGTGCAGTGGCGTGATCTCGGCTCACTGCAACCTCCGCCTCCCGGGTTCAAGCGAGCCTTCTGCCTCAGTCTCTGGAGTAGGTGGGACTACAGGCGCGTGCCACCATGCCTGGCACATTTTTGAATTTTTAGTAGAGAACGGGGTTTCACCATATTAGCCAGGCTGGTCTCAAACTCCTGACCTCAAGTGATCCGCCTGCCTCGACCTCCCAAAATGCTGGGATTACAGGCATGAGCTACCACACCCCGCCCGGTCTGTCCTGTTTACTGCTGCCAAAGTGTGTCCCTGGCCTAAAATCACAGCAGATGTCTGCTTAGTACGTCATAACCAAACCTTTTGGAACCTATCCTCTGCCTAACACGTTGGTGTTCTCATACAGTGCAGTCTTGGAACAAAGTACCCATTAAATTATCTGAATTCCTTATCGTACTATGGCATTGCCATTGTGCTGTTATTACTCAAGTTTGGTGGACCTGTGCCCAGAAGTAGAATTATTGAAACAAAAACATTGTTGTCATTTAACATTTTTGAGATGTTTTCTTTAGTTATTTTTCCTGCAGGGTTATATGATATTTTGATTTATAAGAAATATATGCTTAGTCTTTGTACTACTTCTGGCACAGCTCCTAAAACCTTTGGGATCTCTGAAGTGACTAAGTGTCTTTTTGTATGCTAATGAAATGACTGATGGCTGGGAGCTCTTGGTAGCCTCCACATGGGCTGGTTGCCAGGAGAACCAACCACGATGAGAGGTTTAGAACTTTTTAGTCTGACCTCTGGGAGGGGAGAGGACTAAAGGTTGCTAATCTCCAGTGGCCAGTGATTCAATCAGTCATGCCTATGTAATCAAGTCTTTTTTTTTTTTTTTTTTTGAGACGGAGTGCCACTCTGTCACCCAGGCTGGTGTGGGGTGGCACAATCACGATCTCGGCTCACTGCAACCTCCGCCTCCCGGGTTCAAGCAGTTCTCTGCCTCAGCCTCCAGAGTAGCTGGGATTACAAGCACCTGCCACCATACCTGGCTAAGTTTTGTATTTTTAGTAGAGTCAGGGTTTCACCATCTTGGCCAGGTTGGTCTTGAACTCCTGACCTCATAATCCACCAGCCTCGGCCTCCCACTGCGCCCAGGCTTTTTTTTTTTTTTGGAGACAGGGTCTCTCTCTGATGCCCAGGCTGGAGTGCAGTGGCGTGATCTCAGCTCACTGCAGCCTCTGCCTCCCGGGTTCAAGCAATTCTCTTGTCTCAGCTTCCTGAGCAGCTGGGACTATAGGCATATGCCACCACACCTGGCTAATTTTTTGTATTTTTAGTAAAGATGGGTTTTCGCCATATTGGCCTGGCTGGTGTCAAATTCCTGGCCTCAAGTGATCTGCCTGCCTCAGCCTTGCAAATTGCTGGGACTACAGGTGTGAACCACTGCTCCCAGACACTGTCTCATATTTTGTGAAACACTCAACCTCCTTGATCTGTTTTGATAGTTGATAGACACAGGTACACATAACTGTTTTTCTACTGTAAGGAAATTGGCACACACATGATGATAAATGATCCTTGATACCTGGGGCCTACTCCTAAGGAGGGATAAAATGGAGTTAGGGGCATTGGAGAATGACGAATGGGAGAGGCTACAGCCCTCTGTGGTTGGCATTCTGCTGTGCTGCTAAGGCTGGCTTTAGAAGTAACAGCTTATAATTAGAACTGTGATTTGTGTCTGCCTGTCCATCCGTCCTCCCTCCCTCCCTCCCTTCCTTCCTCCCTTCCTTTTCTTGAAACAGAGTTTCTCTCTAGTTACCAGGGTTGGAGTGCAATGGCATGATCTCGGCTCACCGCACCCTCTGCCTCCTGGGTTCAAGTGATTCTCCTGCCTCAGCCTCCTGAGTAGCTGGAATTACAGGCATGTGCCACCACGCCTGGCTAATTTTTTGTATTTTTAGTAGAGACGAGGTTTCTCTATGTCAGCCAGGCTGGTCTCGAACTCCCGACCTCAGGTGATCTGCCCGCCTTGGCCTCTCAAAGTGTTGGGATTATAGGCGTGAGCCACTGCGCCCAGCTGTTATTTGTGTTTGTTAAGTAGATTCTTTACCTCTCCAAGTAAGAGAACAAACACAACCCCGCCCCCCCATATTGGGCTATGTATGAAAGGCTTAGCAACAATTTAGAAGTTTAGAAAGCCCAAGCCCTTTTAATGCAAAGCACCGCCATTGGCTTTTTGGTTCCCACCTGAAGTGTGGCCATAGAGGCTCGGGAGCCATAGGTTTGGCCTGGGGTGGTAGTCTATCACAGGTCACCTGCACTTGGCATTCTGCTGTGGTGGTGTTCTAGCCGACTGAAGACGTATTCAGTGATACCTAGCAAGCAATTAATTTAAGAAAATTTAAAAAGAACAATGCCAGTGTTGTGGGGCCTAATAATACAGATTGCTCCCAGCTTCTCATAGTAGCTTTTGAAAGTCTTATTGTGGTAATATTTAGGCCATAGGTTGTGTTTGCCTTTTGATGCCAGCTTTAGAACCAGTTGAGTATGCATGATTTTTGGGTGGGGACAGGGAGAGCCTACCTTTTCTTCATTGTCTGAATTATTTTGCTATCAGGAACTGGAGACTAAAATCTAAACAGATCCAGTGGAACTATTTTCTGAGAATGATGTCTGTGTTTGACACATGGGAGTATCTGTTTCCCCAGCCAGGTCGTGTGAATTTTTTTTTTTTTTTTTTTTTTTGAGATGAAGTCTCGCTCTGTCGCCCAGGCTGGAGTGCAGTGGCGTGATCTCGGCTCACTGCAACCTCCGCCTCCCAGGTTCAAGCAATTCTCCTGCCTCAGCCTCCTGAGTAGCCAGGATTACAGGCGCCTGCCACCACGTCCAGCTAATTTTTGTATTTTTAGTAGAGATGGGGTTTCACCATGTTGGTCAGGCTGGTCTCAAACCCCTGACCTCGTGATCCACCCGCCTCCGCCTCCCAAAGTGCTGGGATTACAGGCGTGAGCCACCGCGCCCGGCCCGTGTGAAAAATTTTTACCACCCACTTGTCCAAGAGGAGGGAGTGAACAAACAAGACTTGATATTACACCTTTGAAAAGCAGAGTTGAAAGGATTGACAAAATAAGTGCCTACTTTGTTTTAGAGGTATATTTTCACCATGGTTACTGACACTATTTTTTCCTATCTGCCAAAGACCTTTGGGAGAGTCCATTGCCACTAGCTGTAATTTTCTTTCGAAAGAACCTTCCTAGTATATCCTTGTCACTGTTCCCAGGAGAGATTTTCTGTTACTTTTCTCAGTCTCAGAATCAGTTTTGTTTCTTCTTTTTTTTTTTGAGACGAGTCTCGCTCTGTTGCCCAGCCTGGCTGGAATGCACTGGTGCGATCACAGCTCACTGCAAACCCTGCCTTCCTGGTTCAAGCGGTTCTCTCACTTCAGCCTCCCAAGTAGCTGGGATTATAGGCACACGCCACCACGCTTGGCACATTTTTGTATTTTTAGTAGAGACGGGGTTTTGCCATGTTGGCCAGGCTGGTCTTGAACTTCTGGCCTCAAGTGATCTGCCCACCTCAGTCTCCCAAAGTGCTGGGGATTACAGGCAGGAGCCACTGCACCCGGCCAGTTTTGTTTCTTTAACTCTCTTATAGTAGACCTTTCCCATTAGAGATGAGTTATAAGCACTAAAACAAAACCCTAGCTTCTTCTCCCCACAGTGGATGGGTTCTACTTTATTTCATTAATAAGCTTTTTTCCCTCCTAGCTTTGATATAAGCTGACAAAACTGTTCTTAAATTGGTCGAACTTGTTTTCATTTTTATTTTTTCAAAAGTTTTAAAATAGAGACAGGGTCTCACTTTGTTGGCCAGGCTGTAGTGCAGTGGCTGTTCACAGGTGCAATCATAGTTCATTGCAGCCTCCAACTCCTAGGCTTAGGCCATCTTCTGCCTGAGCCTTCTGAATAGCTGGCACTATAAGCATGTGCCACCACACCCAGCTTCATTTTTATATTTTAGAAGACAGTATGTTTAAACTGAACATTAAAACAATTATTTACTTATTTTTGGAATATGTAACACATTTTATTGTTCAAAGTCTGAAAGGTATAAAAAGTGATGGGGTCAGCCTGGGGCAACATGGCAAGACCCTGTTTTTACAAAAAATAAAATAAAAAATTATCCAAGTATGGTGGCATGCACCTCCCAGCTACTCCAGAGGCTGAGGCTGGAGGATTACTTGAGTCCAGGATGTAGAGGCTGCAGTGAGCCATGAACATGCCACTTCAGTATGGGAGTCTCAAAAAAAAAAAAAAGGAAGTTCAGAGTGTTATTTACTTCTGACTTATAGCTGGCAAGTACAGAGATAATCTTTGCCGATAAGGTTGTTTCCAGTTTATAATGTACTCTTCTATCTAAACAAACGGGTGTGTTTACCCCATTTGTAAATAAAAAACATGGCAACATGATATGCAGTGTTTTGTACCTTCCTTTTTTTTTTTCTTTTTTTTCTTTTGAGACAAAGTTTCCACTTGTTGTCCAGGCTGGAGTGCGATGGCGTGATCTTGGCTCACCACAACCTTCACCCTGCTGGGCTCAAGCAGTTCTCCTGCCTCAGCCTCCCAACTAGCTGGGATTAACAGGCATGCGCCACCATGCCCGGCTAATTTTGTATTTTTAGTAGAGACAGGGTTTCTCCATGTTGGTCAGGCTGGTCTCGAAATCCCGACCTCAGGTGATCGCCTGCCTCAGCCTCCCAAAGTGCTGGGATTACAGGCGTGAGCCACTGTGCCTGGCCCACCTTCCTTTTTTCAACTAATGATATCGTTATATATCACAACATTAAAAGCTTTCCCTACCTTTTTTTAAATTTATTTTTATTTTTATTTTTTTTGAGATAGAGTTTTGTTCTTGTTGCCCAGGCTGGAGTGCAGTGGCACGATCTCGGCTCACTGCACCCTCCCGCCTTCCAGTTTCAAGTGATTTCTCCTGCCTCAGCCTCCTGGGTAGCTGGGATTACAGGCTCCCGCCACCACTCCTGGCGAATTTTTGTATTTTTAGTAGAGATGGGGTTTTACCATGTTGGCCAGGCTGGTCTCGAACTCCTGACTTTGTGATCCGCCCACCTGGGCCTCCCAAAATGCTGGGATTACAGGCGTGAGCCACTGTGCCCGGCCTACCTTTTTATTTTTTGACAGCAGTAGTTTTTGTTGTTTGGTTATATTGTAATTTATTTTGTTACTTCCATATAAATTTCCAGTCTTTTACTGTTATCAGTAATCCTTTAGTGGGTATCCTACAGAAATCTGCAGAACTTTGTCCTGTAATGTTCCTTTATAGCAAAAGAAAACCTAAGCTTATGTTACATTCAGTTGTGTCTCTTTGGTTTCCTTTAATCTGGAACTGTTAGTGAATCTTTCTTTGTATTTCATGACACTGACTTATTTTGTATAAAGTCCCTTGAGTTGGTTTGGTCTGATGTTTCCTCATGATTCAATTAAGGCCATGCATCTTTGGCCAGAACATCACAGAAGTGATTCTGTGTTGTGCATTATACCAGAAGGTGTGTGGTGTCAATTAGATTCATTACTGGGTGTGTTAAATTTAAGCATTTGGTTAAGGTGGTGTCTGTCAAGTTTCTCCACTGAAAGTTATTATCTTTCCCTTTGTAATTAACTTTTTCTGAGATACTTTGAGACATTGTAAATATTGTTATTTCTCCAACTTGCCTACGTTAGCATCCGTGATGATCCTTGCCTCATTCCTTTCTGAATCTGATGTATGCCAAATGGAGATTTTTAATTCTGTCATTCCTTCCACTTTGATAGTTGGTTTTCTTCTAAAGGGAAGAGATTTTTCTTCCATCCATCTCACCATGAAATGATGGATTCTTACTTTATTCAGTAGGTTATAATCCTATTACTCATTTTGTTGCTAAATTTTGTTGCCAAATTTGACCAGTGGGACCTCCCCTTCCAGCCAACTCTTGTGCTCTTTTGACATGTCTCCACCATCTTTCAGTACATCATTTTAGGGCACAGTAAGATGTAGGTTCGTTTTCTAATTTCACTGCCCTGGCCTTGGAATCAGCCAGTTATTTCTCCAAGGAGCACGGGATTCTTTTAGTGGGTAATATTTAGAAGTCAGGATCTGTGTTTCAGAATTATTAACCCATGTCTCTATGGAAAAGAAGCCTACTAATTAGAGTTGGCTGTTTGTTCCTTTTGTCTTTAGCCAGAGGGTACTAGTAAATGAGCTTGATAACTGTTTAAGTTACTTTGGTCAGTCACACCCCCTCCCTCTCCCTCCCCCACTCCTGCCTTCCCTTCAGTCTGGATCTTTTATTTAGTTGAAATATGTTTTCTCTGTTTTGAATTTAGGGTTCCTGTCATCCTTGTTGATTCCTTTTTTTTTTTTTTTTTTTTTTTTGAGACCGTGTCTCTCTCTGTTGCCCAGGCTGGAGTGCAGTGGCACGATCTTGGCTCACTGCAACCTCCGCCTCCTGGGTTCAAGCAATTCTCCTGCATCAGCCTCCAGTCTTCAGCCTGTAGCTGGAGTTACAAACGTGTACCACCACACCTGGCTAATTTTTGTATTTCTAGTAGAGACAGGGTTTCACCATGTTGGCCAGGCTGGTCTCAAAACTCCTAACCTCAAGTGATCCTCCTGCCTTGGCCTCCCAAAGGGCTAGGATTACAGGCGTGAACCACCACGCCTAGCCAGTTGATTTATTTTTGTTTGTGTGCATGCGTGAAGTAGTGTGAGAAACAGTCACATGGTCCCAAATTGTTCATTATATGAAAAGGTACATTTCCTTTTCATTCATTCATTCATTCATTCATTCATTCATTCATTTTTTCCAAGACAGAGTCTTGCTCTGTCGCCCAGGCCAGAGTGCAGTGGTGTAATCTCGGCTCCCTGCAACCTCCGTGTCCTGGGTTCAAGGGATTCTTCTGCCACAACCTCCCAAGTAGCTGGGATTACAGGCCCGCACCGCCACGCCCGGCTAATTTTTGTATTTTTAGTAGAGACAGGGTTTCAGGCTGGTCTCGAACTCCTGACCTTGTTATCCGCCTGCCTCAGCCTCCCAAAGTGCTGGGATTGCAGGTGTGAGCCACTGTGTCCGGCCGAAAAGGTGTATTTTCTTTTAACCTTATTCCCACTCATGCTCTGTAGGTAACCAATTTCATTAGTCTCTTGTTTTTCCTTTCTGTATTTCTTTTTGTACAAAATGAGCAGAAATATGTACATGTATATTTTCCTTATATATTTCTTACACATAACAGTATACTAGAGATACTCCTTTGCATTTTGCTTTTTTTACTTAATAATGTGTCCTGGATTTATAAATTACCTTATATCTGTTCATAGATATCTTTTTCATGCTGTGTGTGTGTGTGTGTGTGTGTGTGTGTGTGTGTGTGTTTTACAGTTGCATAGTACTCTGCCATATAGATGTACCATATTGTCTATTTTTGGGCATTTGGGTGGCTTCCAATATTTTGCAATTAACAGACAGTGCTGTAATGAATAACCTTATGAGTGAGATTTTGCATTGTTGGAGGTATAGCCTAAGGAACAGTAAATCCTCAGAAATGAGATTGCTAGGTCTAAAGGTAGTTGTCTATGTAGTTTTGTTAGTGACTGCATTTCTACCAGCAGTATATGCATGCTTTCTTCTCCACACCCTCACAAACTGAGTGTCTTATACTTTCTCAGTTTTGCTAATTTATAGATGAGAAGTGGTATCTCATTTTAGTTTTAATTTGTTTGTCTCTCATGAAACTATGGTCTTTTAAAAATTAAAGGTTTTTTTTTTCCCCTTAGACGAAACTGCAAAGGAAATCCGAATTGCTTGGTTGGTATTGGTGAGCATATTTGGTTAGGAGAAATAGATGAAAATAGTTTTCATAACATCGATGATCCCAACTGTGAGAGGAGAAAAAAGGTAAACCATCATTTTTTAAGCGATTGCTATATGCTGTTTTTTGTTTTTGTTTTTGCTTTTGTTTTGGGCCTGTGATCAGAAAACTCTACTGATTTCAGGTAACCTGTGCAGCTTTAAGATAAGCAGTAGAACTTAAGACTCTAAGCCACTTGAATTGGAACACTTCTTAATGATATGCTTTAAAACAGGCAGCTGCGTAATTCAGTAAGCCTTTAAATAATAGTTTTAGTTTGAATGCTGATTCTATGTTTGCTTTAACATTGCATGTTTTATTTTGAAATCTTAACGCCTCTTTAAAGGAGATGGTAATTCAAGGGAACAAACTCATGATGATAGCACTTTGCTTTCTAGGGCTTGTATTTTATATATAATTTTGCTTTTTAAAAATATACATTAAATTTTCTAGACATAAATCTTAGCATTCACGAAATATCCAAGTTTGTTATATATAGATATTTTAATAAAATAATAATTCTTTGTAAGGTCAGGAATTCCCAACCTTATCTTTGGAAAAAGTTGCAGCCAGTTCCCTCTACCACCGCCAATCTTTAAAATCTCTAGAATATAAAGGAAGTTTTCTGCATAAGTTTTACTTTGTCATTCTGCTGAATGCTGGCAGTTTAGAAATACAGAAAACATAAAACCTATATACGCTTGTTCAAAACCGATCTTTTCTAGAATCCACTGTTCTAATTTTAGATTTAAGTGGCTGGAGAAGACGATATGCTAGAGATGAGCAGTGATGCCGTCCGAAGTCTTTTTCACTCCTGTGGTCAACCCAAAATGGGGCTTTCATGAAAATTATGCCCCACCTCCAGCCAAGAGAAACTTAAGGTGGCTATACCATGTTGGTTGTGACGGTCTTACACATTTTTAATCTGAAAATTTAAGAATAATGCTTAGAAATTGGTTGTTTAAAGGAAAATGGGTTTTATAATTATGAATTTTGTATTTTTGTAGAACTCATTTGTGGGCCTGACTAACCTTGGAGCCACTTGTTATGTCAACACATTTCTTCAAGTGTGGTTTCTCAACTTGGAGCTTCGGCAGGCACTCTACTTATGTCCAAGCACTTGTAGTGACTACATGCTGGGAGACGGCATCCAAGAAGAAAAAGGTGGGTGGAAAGGGGTGGGGGAGAGCTCTCTTCCTGAACATTTTTTTAAACTTTTTTTTTTTTTTTTTTTTGAGTCTTCCTCTGTTTCCCAAGCCAGAGTGAAGTGGCGCCATCTCGGTTCACTGCAACGTCTGCCTCCTGGGCTGAAGCGATTCTCCTGCCTCAGCCTCTTGAGAAGCTGGGATTACAGGCGCCCGCCACCACGCCTGGCTAGTTTTTGTATTTTTAGTAGAGACAGCGTTTCACTATGTTGGCCAGGCTAGTCTCGAACTCCTGACCTCAAGTGATGTGGCTGCCTCGGCCTTCCAAAGTGCTGCGACTACAGGTGTGAGCCACTGTGTCTAGCCTAAACTTATTTTATTATTATTATTATTATTTTTTTAAGACAGTTTCACACTTGTTGCCCACGCTCTAGTGCAATGGCACAATCTCGGTTCACCACAACCTCCGCCTCTCAGGTTCAAGCAATTCTCCTGCCTCAGCCTCCCGAGTAGCTGGGATTACAGGCGTGCACCACCACGCCCGGCTAATTTTGTATTTTTAGTAGAGACGGGGTTTCTCCATGTTGGTCAGGCTGGTCTTGAACTCCCGACCTCAGGTGATCCACCCGCCTCGGCTTCCCAGAGTGCTGGGATTACAGGTGTGAGCCACTGTGCCTGGCCTAAACTTATTTTTTTTATAGAGACAGTGTCTTGCTCTGTTGCCCAGGCTGGTCTTGAACTTCTGGCCTTAAGCAGTCCTCCTGTCTCGGTCTCCAAAAGTGCTGGATTACAGGCATGAACCATGGTGCCAGGCCTTGAATAGCTTTTACCAGCCTGCAAAACCTTTGCACCCCAAGGAGTAATATTTTATCTTTATTTTACAGATGGTATATTGACTTGCTGAAAGCCACAATTGGTAGTAAGGATACAAATATTCAGAGTCTGATTAGAAGACAGAAGCTACACAATAATTTGAACAGAAAAGGTTTTTTTTTATTGTTTGTTTGTTTTTTGAGACAAGATCTCACTTTTTCGCCCAGGCTGGTGCGAGCACAGCTCACTGTAGCCTCAACCTCCCAGGCTCAAGCAATCCTCCTGCCAGAGCCCCCCCGAGTAGTTGGAACTACAGGCATGCACCACCACCTCTTGCTAATTTTTGTGTTTTTTTTGGAGACAGCATTTTACCATGTTGCCCAGGCTGGTCTCAAACTCCTGGGTTCAATCGATCCACCTTCCTTGGTCTCCCAGAGTGCTGGGATTACAGGCATGAGCCACAGCACCTGGCCTTGAATAGCTTTTACTGGCCTGCAATGCTTTTGCAGGCCAAGGAGTAATATTTTATCTTTATTTTGAAGATGATATATTGACTTGCTGAAAGCCACAGTTGGTAGTAAGGAGATAAATATAGTCCAGTTAGAAGACAGAAGCTACAGAATAATTTGAAAAGGGAAAGTTGAGAATTAATAACAGAATTAATTAGAGAAATGAGGAATTGATTAATAAGAGTTAAAGATTAAAGAGGATTTTAAAGAATACAAGGACAGCAGATACAGGGAACAACCTGTATCCCTGGGGCTGAAAGAGAACATCCAACGGATAGTCTGTCACCCCCATGGCCCAGGCTTGAGATCCAGACCTCTTTGGACACTGCTGGGATGCACTGGGTGGCTGAAAAGGTGCTGAGATGCCTCCCTGGGAATCCCTACTAGAAACTGTCCATGAGAAGGTGCTGGGCCCTGGAACCCCCTACAGAGTCACCTGAGAGAGTGTCCGGGAGGCCATTCACAGGGTGGTCATTCGAGAGGAAATGCCTCACTGGAGGCACTGTACTGTGAAGCTATCAGAAGAGGTGCTGGGTAAGCTGCTGACTACTGTTAGGGGCAGGAACCTGGAGCCCTGGAGGAAGCTGATCTGCAGCAGGCTGGTGACAGAGGCACAACCAAACCCTGCAGTGCCCTTCACTGAGAAGCCTTACCTTCTTGATAACTGGCAAAGGAGAAGTATTTGCAGAGCCCATCTCTCATCACTGAGCAGGCAAAGAAGGGTAGATTTGGAGCTGAGAAGCAATAAGTTAATAACTTAAAGAAGATAAGACTTCTGTCTTCTGGGCTCTCAATATCCATGCTTTCTGCTTCCATTCCCTGCACTAGCTCATTAAAACTTTCAACTCTAAAATTCTACGGTTTTGTATTCTTCACTTAAGTGTGAATTGCTGTGCTTGAGATCCCAAGTCCACATTAACTGGACTTTAAAAAATCATGACTAGACACTGTAGTCATGATTGCTGTTGTTGCTTTAATACAGGTAGGCTCTTGCCTTTGGGGAGTGTATATGGACAGTCCTGGCTGCCTCATGACTTCCACAAAACATGGTTGCTAATTCTATTTCTTTTTTTTTTTCCTCCCAGATGGAGTCTCACTCTGTTGCCCAGGCTGGAGTGCAGTGGCACAATCTTGGCTAACTACAACCTCCGCCTGTCGGGTTCAAGTGATTCTCCTGCCTCAGCCTCCCGAGTAGCTGGGATTACAGGCGTGTACTACCATGCCCCACTAATTTTTGTATTTTTAATAGAGACGGGGTTTCGCCATGTTGGCCAGGCTGGTCTGGAACTCCCGACCTTGTGATCCGCCAGCCATGGCCTCCCAAAGTGCTGGGATTACAGGCGTGAACCACTGCTTCCAGCCTTGAGCCACTGCGCCAGCCCTGTCTTTTAAAGTTTTTTTTTTTTTTTTTTTTTTTTTAAAGAGTCTCGCTCTGTCATCCAGGCTGGAGTGCAGTGGCATGATCTCTGCTCACCACAACCTCCACCTCCTGGGTTCAAGCTATCCTTGAACCCCAGCCTCCCAAGTAGCAGGGATTACAGGTGCTCGCCACCACACCCAGCTACTTTTTGTATTTTTAGTAGAGACAGGGTTTTACCATGTTGGCCAGGCTGGTCTTGAACTCCTGACCTCAGATTATTCGCCCGCCTCTGCCTCCCAAAGTGCGGGGATTACGAGTGTGAGCCACCGTGCCCAGCCTTGTTTTTTGTTTTTGAGAGTCTCACTTTGTTGGCGATCTCACCTCACTGCAGCCTCTTCCTCCCGCGCTCAATAGATGCTCGTGTCTCAGCCTCCCAAGTAGCTGGGATTACATGTGTGCACCACCACACCCGGCTAATATTTGTATTTTTTTTAGTGGAGACGGGGTTTCTCCATATTGGCCAGGCTTGTCTCAAGCTTCTGATCTCAAGTGATCTGCCTGCTTTGGCCTCCCAAAGTGCTGGGGTTACAGGCATGAGCCACCGTGCTCAGCCTATTTCTTTTAAAGTTTTAAAATGATAATAAAGTATTAATCTAGTTTGGATGTAGAGATGTTTATGTTCTCATGTGAAGAGGAAGTACCATTTTTTGGAAAGAAAAGTAGCACCTTAAAAAACCCCAAATCTATATTTTTGTTTTAATAGATTATGAGCCTCAAACAATTTGTGAGCATCTCCAGTACTTGTTTGCCTTGTTGCAAAACAGTAATAGGCGATACATTGATCCATCAGGATTTGTTAAAGCCTTGGGCCTGGACACTGGACAACAGCAGGTAAGAACTGAATTTTTTTTTTTTTTTAAATATTCAGAGGTACCCAAACATCCTAAGCATGTTTATAAAGGGAGATGAAGTAGAATGCTTTTTAAAAATTAAATTTTTTCTATTTTGAATGAAAACCTTTATTTACTGTCCAATAGTTTACACATTATACTTGATTCCATTTATGGAAATTCATATGGGGGCACAAACTGATTGAACATAGCTGTAGCCCCTGTTTGAAAATGCTAAGTTGAAAGTATAGGTAGTTTCTGGAATGTTGAATGTATTACTATTTGTAGTAGAAGTTGAAAAGCAAGATATGATTTTTCTTTTCATTAACCTAAACTTGTAGGATGCTCAAGAATTTTCAAAGCTCTTTATGTCTCTATTGGAAGATACTTTGTCTAAACAAAAGAATCCAGATGTGCGCAATATTGTTCAACAGCAGTTCTGTGGAGAATATGCCTATGTAACTGTGTAAGTCTGTTTCAACTTTTTCATGGTACATTTTATTCTAAGACAGTTGCTCATATGTTAACTATTTTTCAGTGCAGTTCCAGGTTGTAGCTTTAGTGGTTTATCATGGGACCTGAAATATTTATAGTAATACATTTCCATGGGAACATATAAACAAGTGAGTTGGTAATTGCAGTTGCACCCATCCAGGTGTTAGGAACGGTGTCTGGGTGAGCTCTTGCAGTCTGCTCTTGCTTTATGGCTGTGTGGTGTGAGCTAAAGAGTAAGATTGGAACTGGCTAGAATACTAAAAGTAAATGTAAAATGCCTGTTAAAAAAATGTGCATGAGTACAATATACAACATTTGGGTGATGGTTACATTAAAACCTAGACTTCACCACAGTGCGATATATTCATGTAACAAAACTGCACTTGTACCTCTTAACATTTATTTTAAGAAAGTTTCCCAACGAATGTTTAGCTTCACCAGGCACTTTGTTTTTATTTCTTTTCTTTTTTTTTTTTTTTTTGAGATGGACTCTTGCTCTGTTGCCCAGGATGAGTGCAGTGGCGTGATCTTGGCTCACTGCAACCTCTGCCTCCCAGGTTCAAGCGATTCTCCTGCCTCAGCCTCCCGAGTAGCTGAGATTACAGGAACGCGCCACCACATCCGGCTGATTTTTGTATTTTTAGTAGAGATGGGGTTTCACCGTGTTGGTCAGGCTGGTCTCGAATTCCTGACCTTGTGATCCACTCGCCTTGGTCTCCCAAAATGCTGGGATTATATTTCATTTTTAGTATACATAATTTCTGTGAAGGAGAACTAATGAAAGTTATAAATGCTTTTTTCCATCTTTCTAGGATGTAATACAATATAACTTTGTTGCTTTTCACACTCTGATCTGAATTTTGTCGTTCTGTTTTATTATAGTTGCAACCAGTGTGGCAGAGAGTCTAAGCTTTTGTCAAAATTTTATGAGCTGGAGTTAAATATCCAAGGCCACAAACAGTTAACAGATTGTATCTCGGAATTTTTGAAGGTATTCAAATTTTGGTGTATGTATTGTTCCTGCCCATTAACAGTTAAATGCTGTTCTGAATGCTATTCTGTTTTGATTTAGTGGCTAGAGCTTTTATTGTGTCAGCTTTTTCTACATAAGAAGCATCTGTAATGATCCAGAAGACACTTTATGAAGTACCAAAGCAGCCTGTGTCTTAAAAATAATTTTGCTTATTTCAAGTTATTTTATATGTAAAGTTATGTATGTGTGAGAAGATATTATTCTGTGATTGTGGGTAGTGGGGTATTGAAAGAACTCTATGCTGAGTTATCATAAAGGTATTTTACCTTGTTGTCTAATGAAAACGAGAATGTGCTAAATATGAAACTTTTTTACATTGATATGGTCATTCTGCTTTCTGTATATTTAGATTCATGTGGAGATAATTCAGTGATTCCTTTCTGTTCTGAGTGGAAAACTGCTAAGAGGAACCCTTTGTTGTCAAGCATGAATGTATACATAGTGTAATAGACAAGCTTATTATCTAGCTAGCTAGCTAGCTGTCTTCAGATATTTTTTGTGCTTTCTTACTTCCTCAGCTCATCCATGGGCATGCCTGAAGTAGTCATTGAATTCATTTCGCTGAATTTTTTTTTTTTTTTTGAGATGGAGTTTCTCTCTTGTTGCCCAGGCTGGAATGCAATGGCACAATCTTGGCTCATTGCAACCTCCGCCTCCCGGATTCAAGCGATTCTCCTGCCTCAGCCTCCTGAGTAGCTGGGATTATAGGCGCGGGCCACCATACCTGGCTAATTTTTTTTGTGTGTGTATTTTTAGTAGAAACAGGGTTTTACCATGTCGGTCAGGCTGGTCTCAAACTCCCAACCTCAGGTGATCCGCCTGCCTTGGCCTCCCAAAGTGCTGGGATTACACACGTGAACCACCGCGCCTGGCCAATGAATATTTATTGAATGCTTACTGTGTCAGGCAGTGTTTCAGCTGTTGGGGATTAGCCTTTATGGAGCCTACAAAGTAGTGGTGTAGGCACAAGGGAGGGACAGTAAAATAAAGTGCGAATATATAGTGGGTCAACTACAATAAGGGCTGTGGAGAAGAAGAAAGCAGGGAATGTGGCGCTGGGCAATGTGCTGGGGAGTAGGCTGGAGTCGGTGGAGTTTGAAATAAAATGATTGAAGGTGAAGGGGTGAGCCCCGTTAGAAACAAGGAGAAGAGTGTTCTGGGTAGATGAAACAGCAAGTGCAGAGCCCAAAATGAGAATGTGTCTTGCCTGGTGGATTGAGGAACAGCCTGGGTGGGGGGCGGTTAGTGTGGCCGAAGTGAGTAAATGATAGAAGATAAAGTCGTGGAGGTGACACAAGGGCCATATCAGAGAGGGCCTAGTAAACCTTTGTCAGAAGTTTGACTTTTACTCTGTGTGAGGTTGAGATGGCATCAGGGTCATATGCGTAGGAGTGGTACAGTCTGTTTTAAGGGATAACTATGGGTGCTGAGAATAGGCTGAAGATGGATTGAGGGCAGATGGGAGTGCATGGTGTCTTGGACCACGGGGTAACTGAAGAGGTGATAAGCACCATTTGGCTTTTAGATATATTTTCTAAGAGCAGATAAAATTTGCAGGCCGGAGCCAGATGTGGTGGCTCATGTCTATAATCCCAGCACTTTATGAGACTGAGACAGTAGGATCATTTGAGAACAGTAGTTTGAAACCAGCCTAGGCAACATAGTGATAGACCGTCTTTGCAAAAAATAAAAAAATTAACCAGGCTTGGTGTTGAACAGCCATAATCCCAGCTACTCAGGAGGCTGAGGCTGGAGAATTGCCTGAGCTCAGGAGTTTGAGGCTGTAGTTAGCTATGATTGGACCACTGCACCCCAGCCTTGGTGACAGAGCAAGACCCTGTCTGTAAAAATAAAATAATGAAAAAAAAATTTTTTTTTAATTTGCAGACTGGATGTGGAGAGTAAGAGTAAGAGGGGAGTCAAGGATTACTAAGGTTTTTGGCCTGATCAACTGAAAGAATGGAGTTGCTCTAACTGAGATAGGGAGGACCTGGGAGGAGCAGGGTTGAGAGGAATTAGGAGTTTGGCTTTGAGCATGTTACGTTTGAGAGGTATAGTTCCAGGAAGAAGTCGTGGCTGGATAAAATCCCCAAGGGAGTGGGAGAGAGACAAGGACTGAGGCCTGGGACATTCAAATGTTAGGGATCAGGGAGGTAGGAGCAGCTGGCACAGGAGTCCCTGGAGGAATGCCAGTGAATTAGGAGGCAAGTCAGTGAGTGTGGTATCCTGGAAGCCAAGTGAAGAGATGATGGTACCAGTATTGCATTACTTACAATATGGTAAGTACAATATGGTACAAAAGCTTGAGCTCAGGAGTTTGAGTCTTCGGTTAGCTATGATTGGCTGCAATTAGCTTTATAGAAATATAAAGGCAAATTTTAAAAAGAAACCACTATCAGCTAAAATGTTTGATTTTTCTACACGTCTCTTTTTAGCTTTGTCTCATGAATATGTTTCAGTAATTTTAAACAAATATGTATATAATTTTGTATTCTGGTGCCCATATATCGTTTTTACACTACCCTCCTCCCTCCTGTTTTTTTCTTCATTTTTTTGAGACAGAGTCTCGCTTTGTTTCCAGGCTGGAGTGCAGAGGTGTGATCTCAGCTTACTGCAAGCTCCACCTCCCGGGTTCAAGTGATTCTTGTGTCTCAGCCTCCCGAGTAGTTGGGACCACAGGTGTGTACCACCATGCCTGGCTAATTTTTGTATTTTTAGTAGAGACGGGGTTTCACCTGGGCAGCCAGGCCGGTCTCGAATTCCTGGCCTCAAGTGATCCACCCACCTCGGCCTCCCAAAGTGTTGGGATTACAGGCGTGAGCCATGTTGCCCAGCCTTTTTGCTGTCTTTAAATGAATGTTGCATCAAAATACATGTGACATTTCTTTTTAAAACTTACTTTAGAATTCCCAGAAGTGGGATTACCAGGACAAAGAACCTAAAACAAGTATTTTTAATATCATACATTTGGGAAATAGGCACATCAGTTTTAAATATCAGTGTATTCAAATTGATAATGTCACTGCTGAACAGTTCCCATTACTTTTGTGTGTCCATTATTTATAGTAGCTGTTTTTAAGTAGCTTAAGTGAGAGCTATTAACTGAAATGAAATTATACTTTACATCAAGGGTTTTATCACTTGTTTTAAACCCATCTTCTTTTTAAAATTAATATGTCTTATTCTTGATCAGGAAGAAAAATTAGAAGGAGACAATCGCTATTTTTGCGAGAACTGTCAAAGCAAACAGAATGCAACAAGAAAGATTCGACTTCTTAGCCTTCCTTGCACTCTGAACTTGCAGCTAATGCGTTTTGTCTTTGACAGGTAAATGTGTGCAAATATTAGTGTTTGTTGTTCATTGTGGTCTACTATGTACAGACTTTACCATAGATGAGATGATAAAATGGTTGTAATTTGAAACTCTAGATTTGAGGATGAAAGTTATAGATGGAGGCTGTCATTTTGAAATGTCGATATTTCATGATTTTATCATAAAAAATTTTAAAGAAGCCAACCATATATAAATGATAACTAGAAAAGTAAAAAATCCTTACTTTTTTTATTCTAAGAAAGTATTAAAAACTGCAAGGGCCGGGTGCGGTGGCTCACGCCTGTAATCCCAGCACTTTGGGAGGCTGAGGCAGGTGGATCACCTGAGGTCAGGAGTTCGAGATCAGCCGGGCCAACATGGTGAAACCCCGTCTCTACTAAAAATACAAAAATTAGCCGGGCGTGGTGGCAGGCGCCTGTAATCCCAGCTACTGGGGAGGCTGAGGCAGGAGAATCACTTGAACCCAGGAGGCGGAGGTTGCAGTGAGCCGAGATTGCACCATTGTACTCCGGCCTGGGCAACAAGAGTGAAACTCTGTCTTGGAAAAAAAAAAAGAAAGAAAAACTGCAAGTAATTGAATTACCCTGACCTTCTGTATTGTCCTTTATTTTAAATAGAATAAATTTTGTACTCATTACACCCCCGCCATGGGAATGTATTTTTCATTTTATAATTAAAATCAAGGCAATGTTTGCACATGTGCATGTCTTCTGTAAAGCAGGATAATCTGTTTTGTGATTAAGTTGAAACTTCTGGAAAATAAGCTGTGTTTGGAATCAGCACTTCGCATTCACATTTTTTAACCTCATATTTGTCCAGCTATAAAACAATATTCTGTTTACTTCTAATTGTACATGTTTTGGAGGAAGATTGTGAAGTGAAAGCTAGCTACTGTTGAGTTTATTAAAATAGCTAATAGAGCTTATATATTGTATTATGATTGTTTTAAATGTAAATATAATCAGCTTTCCTCTTGGTTAGGCAAACTGGACATAAGAAAAAGCTGAATACCTACATTGGCTTCTCAGAAATTTTGGATATGGAGCCTTATGTGGAACATAAAGGTAATATTTTTACTGAGGAGTAAACATTATAATGCTCAGAGACTCTAACTTGTGATCGGCTTGTGATTAATATAGAATAGCAGTCAATTGCCAATTTTTGTTTGCTAATCTCTCTCTGGGAACCTCTGTCTGGGAACAAAGACTTTTTTAGGAGAGCCAAGATGTTAATTCCATTTTGTGTGAGTAAGCATATAGCAAAGATGAGGTGGTTCATCGATATGTACAGAATTAAGGGTATAAAAATAATTTGTAAAAAATGAAAAAGGTATTTTACTGTTTCTGAACCCGCACTTGCCACCTTAGTTTCAATACTATTATTTATCATTTCTCAAAACTAACAGTCTCCAAGCGCCTCTATTCACTTTTTTAAAAACGTTGTCCCAGAAACATTAGGTGGCATAATTCCAGTATTTATGCTTTCATTTTTCATATCTGCAACTACTGATACGCCCTAGGATGCTATCATTGTTTTAACAAGAAATAAGTACTGCTTTTTTCTTTTGGTAGTCTTCATCCTACCAAACAGGTTGAGTCTTACTAGAGAAAGGACTGTTTTACTTCCCTTTAAGGTTGATTGTAGTACTTATAAAATATTATGTATGTATGTATGTATTTTTGAGACGGAGTCTTGCTCTGTTGCCTAGGCTGGAGTGCAGTGACACGATCTCAGCTCACTGCAACCTCAGCCTCCCTTGTAGCTGGGAGGCTACAAGGGAGCCCAGCTAATTTTTGCACTTTAGGGTTTTGCCGTGTTGGCCAAGCTGGTCTCAAACTCCTGGCCTCAAGTGGGACACCTGCCTTGACCTCCCTAAGTGCTGGGATTACAGGCGTGAGCCACTGCCCCCAACCTGAAATTTTTAATGTAGAAATTATTTTATAAACTCTATCTCTTTCCAAAAAAATAAAAAATTTCTAGAGGCAGCTTACAATGGAAGCAAGCTGTAAAAACCTTTAAGAGACATTTCTGGAGGCAGCTTACAATGGAAGCAAGCTGTAAAAACCTTTAAGAGACATGATTGGGAAAGTTGGGGAGGAATGTGCTAAATAAATATGTAAGCTTTCAAATGTATGATACTCTTCAGTACTGTACTTTAAAATTTGTACCTCTGTGGAACAAGGAAACTGTTTTCAACTTCAGTTTTGGACTTCAATGTTAGATTGTTAAATTTTGTTGAATAAATAAACTTAGCTATAGTTCACTTTATGTAGTAGTTTGCTTCCTGCCTCCTTTGTTCAGGCAATTGAAATTGAGGAAAATCTAATGGGTTAGTGGCTTCCCAGTCCAGAAACTTAGGAGATGTGAAATGAGCACTTTGCTTGACTTGACTGGATGAGTTTGAATTGTTACTATTACTACTTACTAAGTTTATTATATATTTGCCCAGTTTATGCTATAAAGAAAATATTTATCAAAAGGACGTGTTAGATCAAAACCTGTAGAAATACTTAATTTTGGTATGTTGGTTTACTAAATATAGTATTTTTTATTTTTTATTAATTTGTTTTTGAGACAGGGTCTGGCTCTGTCGCCCAGGCTATAAATTGCATTGATGTGATCACGGCTCATCACGGACTCAGCCTCCTGGGCTCAAGCTGGAACTACAGGCATATTCCACCAGGCCCAGCTAATTTTTAGTTATTTTTTTTTAGAGACGGGGTCTTGAACTCCTGGGCTCTAGTGATCCTCCTACTTCAGCCTCCCGAAAGTGCTGGGATTACAGGCATGAGCCACCATGTTTGTCTCCTTAATTTTTAAATAAATGAATGAATAAATAAATAAATAAATATTATCTACTCATTTTAGAATTGTTAGGACTGGTAAAAGCAATCTAGTGGTTTATAGTTATAGGCTTGTCTTTTACACGCTGTCGTAATGCTTGCTGTACCTTATATAGGTAGAAGACTAAAAACAATTAACTTTTGTTAATTGCATAGGATTTGTTCTAGATAATTTGGGAAATTCAGAAAGCATAAAGAAAAGAAATACAAACCATATGTAATTTTGTCATCCAGATAATTAGTATTTATATTTTCCCGTACCCACACATAACCACACAAATCTGTACACACATATCCATGCAAAGCTCAAAAGATGGATCCAAAAGAAGATCTGTTGTTAAAAGGAGAATCCACCTGTTTCTTTAAATGGTGAGACTGCAGATATGCAGACATCTTTAGAATGAGGGATCCTCATTTTTGAACATTAGCCCCTGACTCTCAAACTCAAGTCTTGCCATATTCCTTGGGGACTTAAAAGCTTAGCATTTTTTTTTTTTTTTTTTTTTTTTTAGAGATAGAGTTTCATTCTGTTGCCCAGGCTGGAGTGCAGTGGCATGATCTCGGCTCACTGCACCCTCCATCTCCTGGGTTCAAGCAATTCTCCTGCCTCAGCTTTCCGAGTAGCTGGGATTACAGGCGCCTGCCACCATGCCTGGCTAATTTTTTGTATTTTTAGTAGAGACGGGGTTTCACTGTGTTGACCAGGCTGGTCTTGAACTCCTGACCTCAAGTGATCTGCCCGCCTTGTCCTCCCAAAGTGCTGGAATTACAGGCGTGACCCACCGCACCTGGCCTAAAAACTATGTTAATTCTGAAGTTTTTTTCTTTTTCTGTTTTTTTTTTTGAGACAGAATTTTGCGTCGCCCAGGCTGGAGTGCAGTGGTGCAATTTCGACTCACTGCAGCCTCCACCTCCTGGGTTCAAGCAATTCTCTCTGCCTCAGTCTCTCGAGTAGCTGGGACTACAGACGCATGCCATCGTACCTGGCTAATTTTTGTATCTTTAGTAGAGATGGGATTTCGCCATATTGGCCAGGCTGGTCTCGAGAACTCCCAACCTCAGGTGATCTGCCCACCTCGGCCTCCCAAAGTGGTGGGATTACAGGTGTGAGCCACCACGCCTGGCCTTAATTTTAAAATTGATTAGTTCAATGAATTGATGAATATAAATCCAGGTTATCTGCAAGAATGGTAATGTCAACATTTTTAATGCTGTCTATTGGTAATAAAGACAGCTACTGCTGATACCTGTGGATTATTGTCTTCATTAATGATATAGGGAATACTATTAAGATTCTTTTGTAGACGCTCCTTCCAGCTGACCCAGTAGCAACTTCTTTTTTTTAGTGATCTTGCCTTCCACCCTCGCTCAGCCCTTACTCAGTGCCTTACCTTGCCTTGTCCTTCTATAGTTGAAGTTTCATGTATCTCAGCATATTTTAGTTTTTTCTTTTTAAATTTTGAAATATATCATATTCCTAAAAGTTCAAAACACAAAAATGCATGGCTTAGTGAATTATGAATTATGTGTACTCCCCAGATCAAGAAAGAAAAATATTTCTGGTACCCCGGAAGCCTCCTTTTGTGCCCCTCCCAGTTGCACAGTTAAAACCACCTTCCTCCCCTTAAGTGTAACCACTTATCTGACTTTCATGTGGAATGCTTCTTTTATTTTTTTTCTTCTTTAGCATTTTACTATATAAGCATGCATCCCTAAACATAGCTTAGTTTACTCTTTTTTCTCCTGGGATATTGCCAGCCACAGCGTAACCCATAATTAAATCTTACTCTGCTGCCCCTGCTTCTTCACCTGGGTTATTGAAGGTAGTGGGAGAGGAACCCCACTGGTGATGCCCCCAGATCCTGCTGAGTCCGTGATAGTTAACAACCTTATCATACTTTGTTCCTCCCAGACCCTGCAATGTCTTTGGACATTTATATGTTTTCAGCTGAGGTTTCATCCATTGGACACTCTTGTGTTTCTGAGAAGTAGGTCCCGCTGAGGTTGCTGGGACCCAATGTGCTCCCATACTCTGGAGGATGACGCATTTCTAGAGAATCCTGGGCTTTGGTTCCTCTTCAGCCTCCTTTCCTTTTCTCTTCCCCTCTTCCTTACCCACAGCCTGCAAAATGAGGTGCTTTTGACCAATTAGGGTCAATAGAGCCACAAAAAGAAATATATCACCTTTCTCAGTTATTGATATATTTAAAATGAGTTGTCATCAGTATTTGTTCATAAATGTATTAAAGGTATCCAGAATATTAAAAAAAAATTTTTAAACCACTTTAAACGTTAAAAACACCCAGTTTTTATAATCCATTACTGACCATGTTGGAATATTGTTCAGGCTGATCTCTCTACCCGAGCTGGTTATAGCAGTGTTGTTTTGTTGCTTCTGTTCATGGTTGTCTTTGACTGCATGCTGGTTATTGCACATAGAGAATTATTTATGGGGATTCCCCTAGGGCTAGGATACATGCCATCTCCTCCACAAAGCCCTTTAGGTTTATTTCTGTCAGGCATTTGGGGCCTCTGCTGGTTAGGTATGATTACAGAGTTCAAGGCTTGAGGTTCCCTGGCTTACACAGACTGGAAGAACCTGGTATGGGCAATCTAAGACCATCACATCTCCCTCCTTTTTATTTCTACCGCTCTGTTCAGGACTCAGGAGTTTTCTTTTTCTTTTTTTCTTTTCTTTTCTTTTCTTTTTCTTTTTCTTTTTCTTTTCTTTTCTTTTTTTTTTTGAGATAGAGTCTCGCTCTGTCACCCAGGCTGGAGTGCAGTGCCGCGATCTTGGCTCACCGCAACCTCCGCCTCCCAGGTTCAAGCGATTCTCATGCCTCAGCCTCTCGGGTAGCTGGGATTACAAGTGTGCACCACCACGGTTGGCTAATTTTGGTATTTTTAGTAGAGACAAGGTTTCACCATGTTGGCCAGGCTGGTCTCGAACTCCTGACCTCAGGTGATCCACCTGTCTCAGCCTCCAAAAGTGCTGGGATTACAGGCATGAATGAGCCACTGTGCCCAGCCAGGAGTTCTCTTTATGGTTCCCTGAGGTTAGGAAGATAGGCTTTTTCTGGCTCACCTTTAACATGAAGTAACGGGGAGAGTGCAGTGCAGTAGAAAGAACAGTGGAGGGTGATTCCAAGTAAACCCTAAAATTGGAGTATGAAAATGCCCCCTAGGGTAGCCTGGGCCAGCTAATACTAATAATTAACTAGAAATTATAACATGTATTCTTAACTCTCTAGATAACATCTTTACCCTCAATGATCTCAAAACATTAAGCAATCGACACTCTCCTAAATTATTTTAAGATGGTCTTGCTCTGTCACCGAGGCTGGAGTGCAGTGTAGCACGATCATGGCTCACTGCAGCCTTGACCTCCCAGACTCAAGCAATCCTCCCACCTCAGCCTCCTGAGTAGCTGGGACCACAGGTGTATAGTACCATGTCTGGTTAATTTTTTAAGTTTTTATAGACTGGGTCTCTCTGTGTTGCCCAGGCTGGTTTCGGACTTACGGCCTTAAGCAGTCCTCTTGCCTCGGCTCACAAAGTCCTGGGATTACAGGCGTGAACCACCACACCTGGCCTATTTTTCATATGTATTTTAGTTCTACCTTTTTTAAAAAAGAAACTTACAGACTATCTTATATAGGAATCTTGGTGTTTAGTTTACCCACCTCCTTTGTTTATCATTCTTTGCATTCTAGACCTTCCATCTGGAAGAGTTTTAAACTATTGAATTAGAGCTTACAAAATTCTTTTAGTAAGGGTCTGTGGGTGAAAGATTCTTTTCACATATTATTGTCTGAAAGTGTCTATTTTGTCCTTGCGAAATTCATTTTCTCTAAGCATGGGTGGTTACTTTCACTCATTGAAGATATCATTGAAGAAGATAGCATTCTGTTGCCTTGGGGCATCCGTTGTTGCTGTTGAAAAGTTGGTTGCAGTCTAATTCTTGTCTCTACAAGAGGCCTGTTTTGTTTTGTCTAATTTTAAGACCTCTTCTTTGGTTTTGGTATCTTGCAGTGTCACTGTGACCAATTTTGGTTTGGTTTCTTTTTTAATTTTGATTCTTTAAAAATCTTTTCTGGTTTTCTAGTAGGAAAACCTGCTAGACAAATTCTAAAAGAGCTGTAACACTTGGTTTGATTTTTAATTGATTTATTATTCTCACCTAGGGCATCTGAAAATTTTCCAACTATTACCTCTGAATGCTTTTTCTCTTCTCCCTTTCCTTCTGGAATGCCAGTTAGATATGTGTTAGATTTTCTTACTCTATGTTGCATGTCGCCCAACTCTTCATTCATTTGTCCTGCATTCTGCATAATTTCTTCAGCTCTACCTTGTACTTTATTCGTTCTCTGTTCAGGTCAACCTGATCTGAGGTTAAACCATTTATAGAGTTTTGACTGTCGGTGACTGTGATTTCCATTTCTCGGAGTTTGATTTGGTTCTTCGTCATTTGATTTTCATTTTCTGTAATCTCTATTCCTCTTAATTTCATCATTTATTTCTTTAAACATACTTAAAATTTTATTTATGTATTTGCTATTTCCACTGACTGAGGTGAAAATCTTCACCAGTTTGATTTTGTTGCTGTTTGCTGCCTTGCAGTTAGAGTGACTTGTGATGTGACATGTGTGTGTTTTGATGGTACTCATTCCTTAGGATTGTCACTCGTCCCAGGACCACATCAAACAAAACTCTTGGCTTGGGGTTTTTCTGACTTCATAGGTAGTGTGAAATCATAGTAAAGAAATCTTTTTGAGGGCTAGCTTCTTATGAAGTTGTAATGGAGATTTCCTTTTGGTTTTTGATTTTTACCCCTAGGTCCCAAAATATAAGTATAAGGCAGATAATTTTCTCTTACCATTTCCTGTGGAGAGCAGATTCATTTTGATAATCTTCTAAACCAAAGAATTCTAGTTTCAAAGAAAATGTGGTATATATACACAATGGAATACTATTCAGGCTTAAATGGAAAGGATACTCTATCATGTGTGATCACATGGATGAATCTGGAGGACATTGTGCTATGTGAAACAAGCCGGGCTCAGAAAGACAAATACTGGCCTGGGCGCAGTGGCTCATGCCTGTAATCCCAGCACTTTGGGAGGCCAAGGCGGGTGGATCACCCGAGTTTGGGAGTTCAAGACCAGCCTGACCAACATGGAGAAACGCCGTCTCTACTAAAAATACAAAATTAGCCAGGCATGGTGGCGCATGCCAGTAATCCCAGCTACTCGGGAAGCTGAGGCAAGGGAATCACTTGAACCTGGGAGGTGGAGGTTGCAGTGAGCCCAGACAGCGCCATTGCGCTCCAGCCTGGGCAACAAGACCAAACTCCATCTCAAAAAAAAGACAAATACTGCATGATCTCATCGATACTATATATAGAATCTAAAAAAGTCAAACACGTACAAACAGAGAAGAAAATGGTGGTTACCAGAACCCAGGGAGTGGAGGTGGTGGATGGCAGAGGCGATGAGGAATGGGGAGGTGATGTTCAAAGAGTACAAAGCTTCGGTTCAACAGGACGAGTAAGTTTTGGAGCTTTATTGCATAGCATGGTGACTGCAGTTAATAATGCGTTGTGCATTTTGAAATAGCTAAAATAACAGATTTTAAGTGTTCTCACCACAGAAAATGGATATATTAGCTTGATTTAATCATTCCATGATGTAAACATATCAAACATCATATTGTACCCATAAATATATGCAAATATTATTTGTCTTTTTTTTTTTTTTTTTTTTTTTTTTTGAGACGGAGTCTTGCCTTGTTTTCCAGGCCGGAGTGCAATGGCATGATCTCGGCTCACTGCAACCTCCGCCTCCCGGGTTCAAGCAGTTTTCCTGCCTCAGCTTCCTGAGTAGCTGGGATTACAGGCACTCAATACCATGCTTGACTAATTTTTGTATTTTTAGTAGAGAGGGGGTTTCACCATGCTGGCCAGGCTAGTCTCAAACTCCTGACCTCAGGTGATCTGCCTGCCTCAGCCTCACAAAGTGCTGGGATTTAGGTGTGAGCCACTGCGCCCAGCCTGTTTGTCAATTAAAAAAAAACCTTAGTTTCCTGGTGGGAGTCCCCTGTTAGACTCCTCACCTTTTATGAACCTTAGCTGTTGTCTCTGATCCCGTAAGCCCTTTGAGATACGGAAAAACAGAGTTCAAGTCGATCATAGTGTTCCCCTAACACTCGCAGAGGGAAACTCTGTTGTCCTTACTACATGGCTTATTGCCTTCACATGGTATTGGGCTTCTGATAATTCTTATTTTCTTGACAATGCATTTAGAAAGATTTAAAAATATTTTTATCTTACCCAGTATCTTCAGTGTTTTCAGCTGGGGTGAGTTCAGTGGGTTTTGGCCCAGGTATTAATCTGCATTACTGTTTCCCCATCTATGCTTCAAGAATGCAGGGACTCTGTTCCTTTAGTTAATTAACTGCTGTATCCTTCATGCCTGAAACCGTGTCCAGTATGTTTACTGTTTGTCTAATGAGTGATTGGCTATACTCTGCTGTGATGTACTCTTTTGCATTTTTAAGGAAATTATAGCAATGAAATAGTCAAATTCTAGCCTGGGCAAGACAATGAGACCCTGTCTATAAAAAAAAAAAATGGGCCGGGCGTGGTGGCTCACACCTGTAATCCCAGCACTTTGGGAGGCCGAGGCAGATGGACCACTTGAGGCCTGCAGTTTGAGACCAGCTTGGCCAACGTGGTGAAACCCCATCTCTACTAAAAATACAAAAACTTAGCCAGGCATGATGTTGGGTGCCTGTAATCTCAGCTACTTGGGAGGTTGAGGCAAGAGAATCGCATGACCCCAGGGGGGCGGAGGTTGCAGTGGGCCGAGATCACACCATTGCACTCTGGCCTGGGCAACAAGAGTGAAACTCCATCTCAAAAAAAAAAAAAAAGGCCAGGCGTGGTGGCTTATGCCTGTAATCCCAGCACTTTGGGAGGCCGAGGCAGATGGATCACCTGAGGTCAGGAGTTCGAGACTAGCCTGGCCAACATGGTGAAACCCCGTCTCTACTAAAAATACAAAAATTAGCCGGGTGTGGTGGTGTGTGCCTGTAACCCCAGCTGCTTGGGAGGCTGGGGCAGGAGAATCACTTGAACCCAGGAAGCAGAGGTTGCAGTGAGCCGAGATCACGCCATTGCACTCCAGCCTGGGCAACATGAGCAAAACTCCATCTCAAAATAAATAAATAAATAAATAAAAATGTACACCTGTCATCCCAGCTACTCCTGGAGGTTGAGGTGGGAGGATTGTTTAAGCCCAGGAGGTTGAAGCTGCAGTGAGCTATGATTGTGCCACTGCACCCTAGTCTGGTGACAGAACAAGACCCCGTCTCAGGGAAAAAAAAAAAAATTGTCAAAGATCTGTGCAAAGATTTGTACTGTAAAGATAATTATTATTGCTTATAAAGGCCCTCAAACATTACCAGTTTAAATAAGTGTTCATTAATGTGGATGTGGTTAGGCATATTATGGTAATTATATATAGTCATTATAAGTAATTTTTAGAAGAATAATGATGTGAAAAGATATTATTTGTTGGAAAAAAACTGTAGGTTTCAGTATTAATTGTGGTTATGTGGGTTTATTAATGAATTGTTTTGTTTTCCAGTAAATAACAGAACATGTATAGTGGAAGTGATCTTTTCTAACACATTTTCCCCATAATTGCTTTAAGTTGAGGATCTTTACAAGATGTTTCTCAAATTTTAAGACATTTTAGTTCACTTTGAAATGTAAATGTTCATTTATTGTCAATATTTTGATGTATGTATAAAGCCTTTTCTTTTTGAATACCGTGTAAAATATAGGCTATGATTTGTAGATTTTATTTAATTAAAATAGCATAGGAACTTAAAATACGAAGAAATCTGAGTGCAGTATCATTCTAGATTTTTTAAGTTTTCATCCCTATATTTTCCAACTGTTTGGCCTACACCTGTTTTTATTTTTATTTTTTTCCAGCTTTAATGAGGTAGACTTGGCAAATGAAACTTTGATCTGAAGGTGCTAATGTGATGATACATGTGTCTGTGAAATGGTGACCACAATTGTGAGTCTGCATGTGTCATCTCAACGCGCTGGGTGTTAGATCTCCAGATCAAAGTTTGTGCCCTTGGACAAATGCCTACACCTGTTTTGAGAGCAAATTTTCATGACTTGCCGTCAGTTTTTGCCAAAGCATTTATCTTCTCTTCTATAAACAATAGCCTTTTCATTTGACATTCGTGTCTCCCTGGTTTGTATAAGTTTTAAGTTTCGTAACACACAGAGAGTATGAACAGCCGATTCTTGGGAAGCGTGTGGCCTCGCTAGTGTGTGCTGAAGAGCACGGTGTGTAGTAGAGTAGCTTATATTCCCTGAGTGCCCAGGAGGCCGTAGTTTTTCATCCGTGTATTTTGCAGAGGCTTGGAGAATTAATACAGTGTGCTGTTCAGAGTGTGTCTAAGAGAGTGTTAAGGGAGTGTAATTATACATTATTTTGTAAAACTAATTTGTAAAAATTTTAGGTGACATGTTTTTAGTTATACCACATGTGTAAAGATTCGTAATCATTACAATTCAGGCTCAGGATATAAGAAATAACTGTTATCCAACGTTTCTTTTACTTTCTCCCTTTCTCTCCAGGTGGGTCCTACGTGTATGAACTCAGCGCAGTCCTCATACACAGAGGAGTGAGTGCTTATTCTGGCCACTACATCGC
This sequence comes from Homo sapiens, assembly GCF_000001405.40. Classification (NCBI taxonomy): domain Eukaryota; kingdom Metazoa; phylum Chordata; class Mammalia; order Primates; family Hominidae; genus Homo; species Homo sapiens. Next base: position 21,736,549 of record NC_000001.11, on the reverse strand, counting down.
CCACGTGAAAGATCCACAGTCTGGTGAATGGTATAAGTTTAATGATGAAGACATAGAAAAGATGGAGGGGAAGAAATTACAACTAGGGATTGAGGAAGATCTAGGTAAAACCTTTAAGTTGTGAGTGCCCTTTTAAAATATAAATTTATTTTACTAGAAATATTTGTGATAAATTATTATGGCTCAAGATTGTTATGTTACAGACTATCAAGGATATTTGCATTTCTTAAACACATGTAAAATCACTGAACATCTTGTATTAGCAATGCTTGTTTTTCGAGTCCGGTTCTTACTCTCTTGCCCAGGCTGGAATGCAGTGGTACAGTCATGGCTGACTGCAGCCTAAACCTGCTAGGCTCAAGTGATCTTCCTGCCTCAGCCTTCCCTTCCTAGTAGCTGGGCCTACAGATAAGTGCCACCACACCTGACAAAATTTTTTTTGTCAGGTAAAAATTTTGTCAAAATTTTTTTCAGTAAGAGAGAGTCTTACTCTGTCACTAAGGCTGGAGTGCAGTAACACCATCTTGGCTCACTGCAACCTCTGCCTCCTGGGTTCAAGCAGTTCTCGTGCCTCAGCCTCCTGAGTAGCTGGGATTACAGGCATGTGCCACAATGCTCAGCTAATTCTTCCTTTTCCTTCTCTTTCCTTTTTTTTTTTTTTTTTCCGCTCTTGTTGCCTTCTTGTCCAGGCTGGAGTGCAATGGCGAGATTTCGGCTCACTGTAAACTCTACCTTTCAAGTTCAAGTGATTCTCCTGCCTCAGCCTCCCAAGTAGCTGGGATTACAGGCATGTGTCACCACGGCTGGCTGATTTTGTATTTTTAGTAGAGACAAGGTTTCACAATGTTGGTCAGACTGGTCTCGAACTCCTGACCTCAGGTGATCCACCTGCCTTGGCCCCCCAAGGTGCTGGGATTACAGGCGTAAGCCACTGCACCTGGCCTTAATTTTTTCTATTTTTAATAGAGACAGGGTTTCACTGTGTTGGCCAGGCTGGTCTTGAGTTCCTGGCCTCCAGTGATCTGCCTGCCTTGAACTCCCAAAGTGCTGGGATTACAGGTGTGAACCATCATGCCCGGCCAACCTGGCAAAAATGTTTAAAACAATTTTTTTGTGGAGACGGGGTCTTACCTGGTTGCCCAGGCTAGTTTCGAACTCCTGAGTTTAACAGTCCTCCCGCCTTGGCCTCCCAAAGTGTTGGGATTACAAGGCATGAGCTACCACGCCCAGGTAGCAATGCTTGCTTTTTAAAATTTTAGTTAAAAAAATTTACAATTATTTTGTTCCAGAGATGGTTTTCATAATGTCATGTTTTCAGTAAAGCTTGAAGGCAAATGATCAGTTTTTAATTACCAGGTTTATTTAAGTGGGTAGGGGAGGATCATGGGCATTAAGTTAGTGATGATGAATAGTAGATTTAATGTAGTAGGATTTGTAATTATTTTCCTTGGGTCAGGAAATTTATTTTGGGGAACTAATTCTAGCAGGTAAACTTTGTTTCTCCTTCCTTTAAGTATCTTACCCAAATCCTTGAGCAGTGCTTCTGTGGAAAATGAGCTGGTTGCTACTGTGTAGTAGTGAGGTCTGCCATAAAGACTACTTCTTAAAATAGTATCCTAGTATGTACTTTCATCACCTCAGTTGTCTTGGGCCTAAGTACCCATTTATTTTCCAAAGGAATGGACAGTTTTTCTAGTTGGAGCCATCTCCTGAGCTCCATCTCCTGAGCTGTTTATCACTTTCTTCCCATTGTCTGTCAGACAGGTATAGGCAATTGTCCAAGGGCACATACTTTGTTCTGGAAATCTAACACACAGCACAGTGAGATGACACATGCAGACTCACAAGTGTGGTCATATCATTTCACAAGAAAGTGCTAAACAGCTTTGGATGAGGTTCAGACTATGGTATCTGAATTGGAGAAAAGAAATGGGAGTAAGTGTGTGTCTCCTGCCACTCTTCTTTCTTAATAGGTCAGAGACATTTATTCAAGGTGTCCAGTAGGCAGGAACATAGCAGTTGAGATTTGCTTTCGAGGCATATGCATCATCTCTACAGATAATCGTTTGTTAACTCCATTCATGTAGCTTGGAGAAGTCATTCTTTCACTTTTAAATTTTATTTTCTTTCCTTTTATTTATATATTTTTTTGAGACAGAGTCTTGCTCTGTTGCCCAGGCTGGAGTACAGTGGCATGAACATGGCTCACTGCAGCCTCGAACTCCTGGACTCAAATAATCCTCCTGCCTCAGCTTCCCAAGTAACTGAGACCACAGGTGTGATCCACCACACCTGGCTAATTTTGTAATTTGTTACAGAGACAGAGTCTCCCTGGGTTCCCCAGGTTGCTTTTGAATTCCTGCCCTTAGACGATCCTTGCACTTGGCCTCCCAAAAGTGTTGGCATTACAGACATGAGCTTCCGTGCCCAACCTGTTTTCTACTTTTAAATAACATTTCTGTGTTTATAGAACTTCAGCAATCTCGCTCCCATTTTACCTAAGTAAAACTCAAATTCTCAACATTTGCTTATACAGTGTATGTTTTCATTATGACATTCTTACTAGGAACAAAATTGAGATAGCACATTAACTGGGTTGAGCGAGGTGGCTTACATCTATAATCCCAACACTTTAGGAGGCTGAGGTAGGAGGATGCTTGAGCCCAGGAGATCAAGGCTTCAGTGAGCCATGATTGCACCACTGCACTCCAGCCTGGGCTACGGAGTGAGACCTTGTCTGAAAAAAAAGAAAAAAAAAAAGAACTTTAAATTGTGAAAAATTATGTCTTGGTTTTATTTGACTGTTTTTTACTGGGTTTTTTTAAAATCTATCTACATTCTAGGATTAAAAGCATTGTTAAGGCTGTCTTATATATGGGTAGTCCTAGATTTTAAAACAGTTCAAGAAAATACTTAACACCCATTGGTATCTCATTCCAGTGTTTTCATAACTCACTATTTTATGCAGCATATATTTTAGCTTTCATCTTTTAAATCAAAAATAGAAAATATTTTTAAATTTCATTAGACATTCATTATTATGTTGTATCCTGAAGTTTTATGAATCATTTTATATTCCATCTTATACAAAATCATTAACATCTTAAATCTTGGGTACTCTTTTTTTTGTTTTGAGACAGAGTCTTCCTCTGTCGGCCAGGCTGGAGTGCAATGGCGCGATCTCGGCTCACTACAACTTCCACCTCCCAGGTTCAAACGATTCTCCTGCTTCAGCCTCCTGAGTAACTAGGATTACAGGCACGTGCCACCACGCCTGACCAATTTTTTGTATTTTTAGTAGAGACGGGGTTTCACCATGTTGGCCAGGCTGGTTTCAAACTCCTGACCTCAAGTGATCCGCCTGCCTCGGCCTCCCAAAGTGCTAGGATTACAGGCGTGAGCCACCATGCCCAGCCTTGGGTACTCTTAATTAGGAATGGATGACTAACCTCCTCTTACCTGTGCATGTTCCTGGTATTTTAATTCCCTGTGACAGTACAGTGATCTTCCAACCTTTTTTGTTCAGGCGTTGTCTGTAAGAATGTTTAACATCCAAGCATAGGTGCAAGGGAAAACAAAAAAAGTTGAACAACTTTTTTTTTCTTTGCACATTTTAAAATCTAACAAATTTCATCATAAATTTTAAGTAGCTCCAAATGCTATAATTTATGACATAATGAATACTGAAACTTAAATTGTGACATCACTCTTTTAAGAATGTCCAGATTATATTAAATACCATAGAGGTTTTATATCCACCAGCATCCTTTTCAAGGATAACTGAACAGGTCTTGTTTTATAGTAGGCATTTTTAACAATTCTATTTTCTTCTGTACTACTATTTCCATTATGTTTACCCTACAGAATTTTATTCTAATGGAATATAGTAAGTTTTTTGTGACTGTAAAGCTCTAAATAGTTAAAAAGTACTTCTGGATAGAGTGCTGTTTTTAAAATTATGAATATTACTACATAATTGATAAAACTCATGAAAGTATGTTATAAATTTTATTAAACAGTAAAATTTTACTGTAAATGTACTTTTTTTGTAAATATATCTCAATGTGATAGATGAGACCTTTTTCTGTCACTGGCTGAGAGGTTATATCTTTCTTTTGTGACGTGGGAGTCAACTGATTGTGAAAAGAGAGGTAGAAACCATCGTGGGACCTCAGTGTTGAGGCAGATCCATTTTAGAAAAGCACGTGGTGAATTGAGGATCTGGTAACTGGATTTCCTTAGAACTGCCCATAACCTCTTTTTTTGTTTTTGAGACAGAGTCTCACTGTGTCGCCCAGGCTGGAGTGCAGTGGTGCTATCTTGGCCCACCACAATCTCCGCCTTCTGGGTTCAAGCAGTTCTCCTTCCTCAGCCTCCCAAGTAGCTAGGATTAGAGGGGCGCGTCACCATGCCTGGCTAATTATTTGTATTTTTAGTAGAGATGGGGTTTCACCACGTTGGCCAGACTGGTTTCGAATTCCTGATCTCAAATGATCCGCCGCTATAATCCCTTACCTCTCGGAAAGTTACCTGGAACGCTGAAACCCAATTTGAAAATCGTTTTCATGTGCTATAGTTGCCATCTGAAACACTTCATGTTTTCCAGTTGCTGTTTACGTCATAGAGATTAGTGGCTAATGTTTCTGGTTGTTAGCATTTCATTCCTTTTGTTTTTTCTTTTTGGAGACTGAGTCTCACTGTCACCCAGGCTGCAGTACAGTGGCGTGATCTTGGCTCACTGCAACCTCTGCCTCCTGGGTTCAACTGATTCTGCTGCATCAGCCTCCTGAGTAGCTGGGATTACAGACCCCTGGCTAATTTTTATAGTTTTAGTAGATACGGGCTTTTACTGTGTTGGCCAGGCTGGCCTCGAACTCCTGACCTCAGGTGATCTACCTGCCTCGGCCTCCCAAAGTGCTGGGATTACAGGCATGAGCCACCGCACCTGGCCCATTTCATTTCATTTTTAAAAATTATGCTATTTTAGGCTGGGTGGGGTGGCTCACTCCTGTAATCCCAGCACTTTGGGAGGCCGAGGAGGGAGGATCACCTGAGGTCAGGAGTTTGAGACCAGCCTGGCCAACGTGGTAAATCCTCATCTCCACTAAAAATGCAAAAATTACCCTGGCGTGGTGACACACGCCTGTAATCCTAGCTAATGGGGAGGCTAAGGCAGGAGAATCACTTGAACCTGGGAGGCAGAGATTGCAGTACACTGAGATCGTGCCATTCCACTCCAGCCTGGGAGACGAGCGAAATTCTGTCTCAAAAAAAGAAAAGAAAATATGCTATTTTATTTATTTGGGCAATTAAGTCTAGATTTATTTGTATTATTTTGACTAAATTGAAGAAAATCTGTTTACTAAAATGATTACTGAGCTAATTTTTATTTTTCAAACTGTACATATACATTTTATATATACTTTTATTAAAAAACAACATTAAAACAAATACTTGTGTACCAAGCAATCATTGAGAATAAAAATATTTCAGCCAGGTGCAGTGGCTCACGCCTGTAATCCCAACACTTTGGGAGGCTGAGGCGGGCAGATTGTGAGGTCAGTAGATCGAGACCATCCTGGCCAACATGGTGAAATCTTCTCTCTACTAAAAATACAAAAATTAGCTGGGTGTGGTGACACGTGCCTGTAATCCCAGCTACTTGAGAGGCTGAGGCATGAGAATCGCTTGAACCCAGGAGGTAGAGGTTGCAGTGAGCCAAGATCGCGCCACTGCACTCTAGCCTGCCGACAGAGCAAGACTGTCTCAAAAAAAAAAAAAAGAATAAAAATATTTCCAGTAGAGTTGAAGTCCCATATTCCCTTTAGTGATTGCATCAGTCTTGATTTTTATTTATTTATTTTTTTGAGGCAGAGTTTCACTCTGTCCCCCAGACAGGAGTGCAGTGACACACTGCAACCTCTGCCTCCTGGGTTCAAGCGATTCTCCTGCCTCAGGCTCCCGAATAGCTGGGATTACAGGCATGTGCCAACATGCCCGACTAATTTTTGTGTTTTTAGACAGATGGGTTTTCACCATGTTGGCCAGGTGTGAGCCACCGCACCTGGCCTGTTTTTATTTTTTAATTTAATTTAATTTAACTTTTTCTTTTTCATGAGACAGAGTCTTGCTCTGTCACCCAGGCTGGAGTGTGATCTCGGCTCACTGCAACCTCTGCCTCCTGGGTTCAATCGATTCACTTGTGTCAGCCTCCCAAGTAGGTGGACTGCAGGTGCGCACCACCACACCTGCTTAATTTTTGTATTATTAGTAGAGACAGGGCTTCTCCATGTTTTGGCCAGGCTGGTCTTGAACTTCTGGCTTCAAGTGATCTGCCCATCTTGGCCTCCTAGAGTGCTATGATTACAAGCATGAGCCACTGTGCCCGGCTTCAGTTAATTTTTGTAATTTAAGACTAACATAAAAATCAGCTTATGGCAATAGTGATTTTTTTGTTGTTGTTCTAGGTTTGTTCCCCAGAAAAATGTATTTTCTTTTTACCTTTAAAAAATAGAATGTGGCAGGCAATAGTGGTAGTAAACTTTTTTAAATATTAAAGCTAAAGAGCCTGCCAAATTTCTATGGCCTTTGAATGTTTTAGATTGGTGTTAATGTGTCTTGGGTGTATATTTTGGAAATTGTTTTCTATAGCCCCGCTAAAGAATAAACAAACTCTAGGCACTTAAGTTAAGGTACCTTTTGATTTCTCTATCTCAGCAGAACCTTCTAAGTCTCAGACACGTAAACCCAAGTGTGGCAAAGGAACTCATTGCTCTCGAAATGCATATATGTTGGTTTATAGACTGCAAACTCAAGAAAAGCCCAACACTACTGTTCAAGTTCCAGGTAAAGCAGTTTTCCAGGATTATAGCAGGCAAATGTTTTAGAATGCCATACTCAAAGATTAATGATAAGTAATGGATTGCTTTTAGTTACTATGATAAATTGATTCCATAAGGTGAATGTTGGTGAAAGTAAATATTAATTGCAAATTTACTTTTAAGAAAGGAGCTTCTGAAATAAAGCAATGCAATTATTAAAAAATCAGAAAGTAATCAAAACATGTATTTAAAGTATAATTTGGTTTTATTTTGTTCGGTTTATAGAGTATTTGTGAATTTTATTTAATTATCTATAGATATTCTAGACTTCATAATATAAAAGGTAGAGTTGTTGCTGCCCTGAAGACAGTCTGAGTCTGAATCATTTTACTCAGCACTTTTCTAAGCTTGGTGGCATCATCTATTCTTTCTTTTTTTTTTTTTTTTGAGGCGGAGTCTCATTCTTTCGCCCAGGCTGGAGTGCAGTGGTGCAGTCTCAGCTCACTGCAACCTCTGCCTCCTGGGTTTAAGCAGTTCTGTGCCTCAGCCTCCCGAGTAGCTGGGATTACAGGTGCGTGCCACCACGCCCAGCTAATTTTTGTATTTTTAGTAGAGATGGGGTTTCACCATCTTGGCCAGGCTGGTCTTGAATTCTTGACCTCACGATCCACCCGCCTCAGCCTTCCAAAGTGCTGGGATTACAGGTATGAGCCACTGCGCCCGCCTGGCGTCATCTATTCTAAAGTGGTGATTTTGAGCCATTCGATTGTTCTGGGAGGCTGATGATGTCATGGAGAGCTAGGTGGGGGGAATCAATTTAGGATTATTCCAGTGGCTGTCTTCACTTTTACTTCTGCCTTCAGTTTGGAGGTTTCTAGCAGACAGGGAGACCATAGTTGGAATTTCTGCCAATGTTTTAATCAGTATTTGATATGATTTAGAGATTAGCATGGTTCACTATATGTGAAAACAAGAATAAAGTTGTTTTTTGTCTTTCTGTTTTGAATAGCCTTTCTTCAAGAGCTGGTAGATCGGGATAATTCCAAATTTGAGGAGTGGTGTATTGAAATGGCTGAGATGCGTAAGCAAAGTGTGGATAAAGGAAAAGCAAAACACGAAGAGGTTAAGGAGCTGTACCAAAGGTTACCTGCTGGAGCTGGTCTGTAAGATATTCTGGGACAGCACTGTTGCCATTAAGTGCCTTGTTTTTTTATGTTCACAAATGTATATGAAGAAACTTTCTCAAACTTACTCTTTCTAATAACCCACTAAAGCCAGCTTAAACACTCTAAAAGTACTTTGTAAACCAACAATAACTTGATGTGTAGCATTCCATATTATTTCATTACGTTGTACTCCTAAAAATGGGAAGCTGTTAATAAATTATAACATTTAGGTCAGCACTCTGCATCCATGAGTATTGTAGATATTTATATTTTGTGAGATATTAACTTGTTTAAGAAAAATCCGATTGGATTACTATGGAAAAAGCAACTTGCCTGTTCTGTTTCTTTGCATACTTTGTGACCTAACAGTTTTAACAGACATTCTATTATATGAATACAGTTTTTTTGATACTATTAGATTAACTTGAAGTTTAATACCAAATATTATGCTAAGAGTAGAAAAGCTTTCTGCTGACCCCTGATTTCTTAGAAATATCCCACATAATCCAGCTTATCCCTTTTCTGTATATGTTTATTCAGGTTTACCTGATGTCTCAAAATGAAACCAAATTAAGCCTTTTTAAAGGCTGATGTGCCATTTGTATTAAGTTATCTTTGTCATTTTAAAGACATGAATTCCCCAAGCCTAATTCCTACTTAAGGAAGAGAGACAATTTAGTCCTTACTTTAGAAAATAAATACTTAAGCATAATTGTACTTGTGGTTTGTCTTTTTAATATCTTAATTTTCCATTACTAGTATAACTTTAAGCAAAATGTAAACAAAAATTGCCAAGTCTATAAGAATATATTTTAACTAAATTTTAATTCAATTCTGACCCTTCTTTGTAATCTGTTACTTTAACTCTGTCCAAGGGTTGGGATTACCCTAAATAATTAAACTGACCTTAATGTAACTGGAAATGATTTGGAAATGAACCCATGATTCAGATCTCTAAATTTATAGGTCTTTGTTCAAAGGTGTTGGGACCTAGAAATCTATTTTCCAAACTTTATTCACGGTTTCCTGTGTCCACTGGGCAAGAGAAAGGGACTTAACTGGGTCTAAAGTGAAATACTCATTTGAACCACTCTTTAGAACTATAGAGTTCAAAGATGTTATGTGTCAAGTTAGCACTGTGCTTCCTTTGGCTGTTTTCATTCAGCATATAGGAACCTTATGTTCTTAGAATATGCTTATGTTCTTAGAGTATTTCTCTGTGTTATTTATACTTTTACCAATTATGAGCTATATAATTCTTTTCCATTTGCAGTAAACTTATATTGTAGACAGTCCACGCTGTAAAATTATGTAGAATCTCAAAGTTAATGAGCATGGTTTTGTGCTGGCAAGAGAAGTCTTTTGTTATGCATTTTCTAAATCTTATTTTTGTGTGTGAACATATTTAAAAAAACAAAGATCACTTACCCTAAAATCTAAGCCTCAGTAGGAACGTGCTTTTGGCCCTTTTTATTTCCATTGAAATATACTTAAATTATCTCTAGGTAAAGTGTTTCAGATGTTTTTGATGCTGTGATTGTTCTAGACTTTATAACTTTCCAAAGAAAATGTGTCATGTTCAAAATCCAGGTTTTTTTTTTTCTTTTTAAAGAACTTTGAACCAAAATGTATATTTCCCTGTGGTAAATATTTTAATATTTTGCTTTCCTCATCAAATGCTGAGGTTTCATATAGTCCGGTATCTCCAGCTTGATAATAGGAGAGTTCTCCCTCATTTGGAGTTGATTATGTCCATGGCCTTTGGAAAGCAATGCTTGTAGTTTACTGAATCACAAATACTAGGGAATATATTTGAGGGGCCTACTTAGAGTCTTTTTCTAGTGCAGAAACATCTGTAGTGTAAAAACTTTGCCACAAACAGAATCTGCCTTAACTATGAGACTTGTGCTCCACTTGTATTCTCAGGCAAGCTCTTGGCAGAGTCAGTGCAACTCTTTATGATGATAGAGACTGAAAATGGAAAGAAAGACAGACTTCTGTGACCATAGTCACTCTTCCTTCATGGAGCCCACAGCGCACTAAAGTGAAATCTGGAGAACTTGCTGTTAGTAGTAAGCATGGTATTAGATTAGAATTATAGGCCTGTTCTCTGCTTTCTGTCTTCCTCCTCTTACTATAAAACCGTACATAGTTTTTCTAATCATTGTATCTTACATTAAATTTATATTGAACAATTCAAAAACCAAAACAACAAGCTTTCCTTGGAAGTTTTCTGTGAGATTGGAAAATGTTGTCTTGCCTTTGAGCCACATTGTTGCTGGACAGTCAGGGCCACAGTCACCCTAGGCTTTGAATTCCTGCAGACATCCCCTGGCAAGGAGGGCTTTGTGCATTTTGAGCTTTCCTAGATTCCTTTCATTGTGAGGGCCAGGATTCTTAGGGTGTTTTCTTTCAGTTAGCAATAACAGATACTGCTGTCTGTCCACTCCTCCCCAGCTGCTGGGGAAACTAGGATGCCTAGTGACTTATTCTTGAATGTTGCTCTTTATCACAATCCTGTTTTTTCTCCTTTGATAGCCTTCATATTGCTTACCATTTTAATCTAATTGACTGTCCTTGGGAAAAGATGAGAGTATGCTAAGACTTTGATCTTGCTTTCAGAAAGGGATCATTTATCTTTGCATTCCCCAGATACCCAGTGTACTCTATCCCTGGCAGATTAAGCTTGATAAATGGCAAATAAAGTCGGGAGGCATTTTGAATGTAATTAGCCATACCATGATATACTGTAAAGTGCTGCAGCTGTGTTACATATACTGCATCTTAAAGTCTCCTCTTTTTTTTTTTTGAGATGGAATTTCACTCTTGTTGCCCAGGCTAGAGCGCACTGGTGCAATGTCAGCTCACCACAACCTCCGCGTCCCGGGTTCAAGTGATTCTCCTGCCTCAGCCTCCCGAATAGCTGGTATTACAGTCGTGTGCCGCCATGCCCAGCTAATTTTTTGTATTTTTAGTACAGACGGGGTTTCTCCCTGTTGGTCAGGCTGGTCTCAAACTCTGGACCTCAGGTGATCTGCCCGCCTCGGCCTCCCAAAGTGCTAGGATTACAGGCGTGAGCCACCATGCCCAGCCAAGGTCTCCTCTTTTATATATTAAGTTTACGTAAATGTATAATTAACTTTTCCATATCTCTTTTCTTCCAAAAAGCTCAAAATGCTTCACATAGCTTATCTTTTATACTCAACAACATTCCCATGAGGTAGGTAGAAGGCAGGTATTATTACCTTCATTTTACAAATAAAAGACTGGAAACATAGAAAGTTTAAGTGACTTGTTCAGGTTCATTTTCTTGGTAGCAGAACTTGGATTAGACCGTGACCTCGACTCACAGTCCTGTGCTCTTCCTCTGGAGCCACATTCGACTTGACCAGTTAGAAGGCTCTTAGTTGATGATGTACAGTGCCAAATTTTGTTTTCATAAAAATTGAGATGGTTTACTGTAAAATTAAAATGGGAGTTAGTTTTCTAGACATGTAACTCTCTGGGGAGTATAAAACTGGTCACAATGGGCTTTGCGTTGAAGTATCTGTCCCTCAGATCTCATCAGAAGGAGTATATAATACAAAAATATAAATTCAACCTCTGTATGTTTTCTTCTATGTTTTATGCTGGGACTCACTGGAGATCTTTGTAAGTAATCAAAGCTGGCCCTTTATCTTTGATTTTGGCTTTTAGGGAATTCTAGGGACTTCCTTTCCCCAAATTAAAACTCATTTTGAGGTGTTTGGTTTTGTCTTTTAATTTTTGCAACTTCAAAATTGATGACTCAGTTCTAGTGTACTTTATCCTCGAACTTGTTTAAAATAGGTTACTTTCTTGAAATAAATAATAATATAATGAAGAGATCATGACTTGGATTTGGGTGGGGGAATTAAATACCTTTTCAAAATTGCCATCAGTATCATCTTGGATGAAGAAAGTTCAGTGGTTAAAAGCGTCTTCTGAAGTGTGGTCATAGTCGGTGAGGTTTATTTCAGTTTGGCTTCTCATTTTAATTTTCAGATGTATATCACATATATGTGAAAAGTACTGACAAAAATAATTTATGAAATAAACACAGTAGGGCATGAGGTTGTGTTATTTGTGAGGCAGCAATGGAGCATGACTTGTAGTCAACAAACATGGGTGTCCTGATCAAAGCTCTGCTGTGCTATTCGGCAAGACTCTATGTGGATGCCTCTTGTAGAATGTGGTTAATAATACCAGCCGATCTCATAGGGCACTGTGCAGACTCAGCATTATGGTGCACAGCTCCTTGAACTCATAGGAGTGGCACTTAACTGGAGCTTTGTGTCGTACTCATCAAACATCTTCCCCCAGACAATGATTCTTCTGATTCTGCTAACTCTGGACAGAGTTTGCATTGTCTTTTGAGAAAAATGAATGTATCACTTAGTCAAAAAACTGTAAAAATACATAGGCTCTTTCCGATGCTTGCTTTCTCAGAGCCCTATGAGTTTGTCTCTCTGGAATGGCTGCAAAAGTGGTTGGATGAATCAACACCTACCAAACCTATTGATAATCACGCTTGCCTGTGTTCCCATGACAAGCTTCACCCGGATAAAATATCAATTATGAAGAGGATATCTGAATATGCAGCTGACATTTTCTATAGTAGATATGGAGGAGGTCCAAGACTAACTGGTAATTCAAGATGTCCTCTCTGTTTAAAAAAGAGCAGCTCATTAAATCTTCATCTTATGGTCTTTATGAGTGTGGCTTATGATGATTTGACCCAAACTATGCTAGACCAAATATTCCTTACACTTTGCACAAAGGATTTGCTAAATAAAGTAGAAGTTAAGCAACTGATGCTATTCATAGAGGGTTGGTTGGGGTTTTTTGGTTTGTTTTTTTGGTTTGTTTCTTTTAACCCCTCTCAAAGCAGACAAAATAGGACCCTTTTAAGAAAACTGTCTGGTAGTAGTTTGTTACTCTGTGTAATACTGTTTAAGGTACTTGAGCCCTTGTCTGGTTAATTGCAAGTTTGTGCCTCCATGTTATGGTGACTTCTTTTTTTTTTTTTTTGAGATGGAGTCTCACTCTGTTACCCAGGCTGGCGTGCAGTGGCTCAATCTCGACTCACTGCAACCTTCGCCTCCTGGGTTCAAGTGATTCTCGAGCCTCCCGAGTAGCTGAGATTACAGGTGCGCACCACCATGCCCAGCTAATTTTTGTATTTTTAGTAGAGACGGGGTTTCACTGTGTTGCCCAGGCTGGTCTCAAACTCCTGGGCTCAAGTGATCCACTCAACCTCGCCCTCCCAAAGTGCTGGGATTACAGGCAAGAGCCACCACACCCGCCCAGCTATGGTGACTTCTAACAGTGTGTGAGCTGTAGATGGTTACTTAGTTTATGAATGGAAGCTACTTGATTCTCCCTTAAATATAGAGCTATATATGACCACATAGTACCCAACCATAGTATTTTGTTTTGGCTGCCTTTCTGTTGTGCCTCCTTGAAACATTTTTCTTTTTACATGAGTAGCTGCCAACACAATCCTCCCTCCAATTTTCAGATGAGGCTGTAGGAAATTACATGACACCTCCCTCCCCAATACACTTTTTCTGTAATTAAGTGCTGTTTTCTAATGGTATACAACTTATTGCATAAAACTTGATATTTAACTACATGCTGCAGGCCTTCTGTTAAACACGACTGGAGTTTTGCTTCCTAAATTTCTGGGAATTTTTGTTTTTGTTTTTTTGAGACAGTGTCTCACTCTGTTGCCCAGGCTGGAGTGCAGTGGTGCAATCACAGCTCACTGCAGCTTCAACCTCCTCAGGCTCCCGTCTCAGTCTTCCAAGTAGCTGGGACCACAGACATGCACCACCATGCCTGGTTAAGTTTTGTATTTTCTGTAGAGATGGTGTTTCATCATGTTGCCCAGGCTGGTCTTGAACTCCTAGGCTCAAGTGATTGACCTGCCTCGGCCTCCCAAAGTGCTGGGATTACAAGAATGGGCCACCATATCTGGCCCCTGTTTTTTTTTTTTTTTTCTCTGAGACAGAGTCTTATTCTGTTGCCCCAGCTGGAGTACAGTGGTGGAATCGTAGTGCACTACAGCCTAGAACTTCTAGGCTTAAGCAGTCCTCCCACCTCAGCTTCCCAAGTAGCTAGGACTACAGGCACACATCACCATGGCTTGCTAATTTTTACACTTTTTGTAGAGACAGGGTCTCACTATGTTGCCCAGGCTGGTCTCAAACTCCTGTCCTCAAGCTACCCTCCCTGCTTGGCTTCCCAAAGCTCTTGGTGGTATGAGCCACTATACCTGCCACTGTTCTTAATTCACAATGAATAAACCATGCAATAGGAAGAGCGTTCACATTTTAGATGATTCCTAAAACTTCTTTGTGTTTTAAACCAGGCCCTTCATTTTGCTTTTCCTTTTAGTGTGCTTTGAAGATCACTTTCACATGAAGATCATTATTTATAATTATCAGCTATATTTAACCCCCCCACCTTAGAACCTCAGTGATTTGATTATCATCTTGTAAAGATTGCATGTAAACCTTGTCAGATACTGTATTTAGATACTTTTAATGTAATACAACATTTTGTCTCTCATTGTTCTTTATTCAGATAACAGTATTGCCGTCTTGGTTTCTAATTGTCTTAGTAAAATAATTTAGGGTATATACCAATTTGCCATATTGCCAACATTTGTGACTTTGGTTTAGAATGTGTCTGTGTTTGTGAAGTGCTGAAAACATTTTCCTAACAGGAAGTCTGTTTGAATGAAATATATTTCCTTTCATTCTTTCTTGCCTGTAGTGAAAGCCCTGTGTAAGGAATGTGTAGTAGAACGTTGTCGCATATTGCGTCTGAAGAACCAACTAAATGAAGATTATAAAACTGTTAATAATCTGCTGAAAGCAGCAGTAAAGGGGTATGTTGCACAGTGTACATTGTTAATGATAAACTAAGAAGTTTTCAAGAGGTCATAACCAAGCATCTCGTTATTTATTAAAAATAGGAAGTTGGGATTTTTAGAAGAAGGGTGATAAAGTGGATGGTAGAGCCAGATCAAAAGTAAATTTTGCAATGACTGCCCCTGTGGCAACGATAAAGAAAACTGCTGAGTCAGATAGCCTTTGCCACTGTATTCCATCCTACCATTTGATTGGTGTGATTGGCTTGAAGGTAGGAAAAGCAGGATAATATTTAGAATGGAAACAAAATATTAGATCCCTGCAGTTCAATAGTGAACAGAGAAAATGACCGAAATTAGGAAGTGGGTTAAAATCAATTACATGTACAGTAGCTGATGTTGAGTGTTTGTAATTCACTTTAGTTGTTTTTACAGGCAAAGAAGGGAGGACAGTGTTTGGAAATATTACTTATATGATTTAACATTCTCTCTGTTCCACAGCAGCGATGGATTTTGGGTGGGGAAGTCCTCCTTGCGGAGTTGGCGCCAGCTAGCTCTTGAACAGCTGGATGAGCAAGATGGTGATGCAGAACAAAGCAACGGAAAGATGAACGGTAGCACCTTAAATAAAGGTAACACTTTAAACCTATGTGTAGATCATTGTGAAACTATACCATGAAAATATAAGTGGGCCAGGCACGGTGGCTCATTCGTGTAGTCCCAGCTACTTGGGAGGCTCAGACGGGCAGATCACTTGAGCCCAGCGGTTGTGCCAGCCCCACTGCACTCCAGTCTGGGTAACAGAGTGAGACCCTGTTTCCCTAAAAAACAATTTTAGTCTGGGTGCGGTGGTTCATGCCTATAATCCCAGCACTTTAGGAGGCCGAGGCAGGTTGATCACTTGAGGTCAGGTGTTCAAGACCAGCCTGAGCAACATGGTGAAACCCCGTCTCTACTAAAAATACAAAAATAATTAGCCAGGAGTGGTGTTGCACACCTGTGGTCCCAGCTACTCGGGAGGCTGAGGCAGTAGAATCGATTGAACCCAGGAGTTGTAGGTTACCATGACCCAAGATTGCGCCACTACACTGCAGCTTGGGCGGCAGAGCGAGACTCTGTCTCTTAAAAAAAAAAAAGAAAAAGAAAAACCCAAAAAATGAGCAAAATTGGTTTCATACCCATCCATGTAATTTTAAAGACAACTTTTATTAAACTACAAGCTCTCACAAGTAGCTCAGAGCAAATAAAAGATTTTTAAGCTATTGAAATTCAGCAAGGACTCAGCAACTCACATGTGAAATTTTCCTTTATAACCTATCATGCTTCGGGCTCAAGCTCTCTCTAGTTAATCACATGCAAAATTAATATTAATTCTGTTCTAGGCTAAGAGTTTCAAGAAAGGTTAAGTCTACTGCAAATTGGCATAATATATTGTATGCTCAGTACATTTTGGTTTTGGATTATCTGCCACACTGCCTTTGTCAAGTAAATGAGCTTGTACTTCTTTATCTTTCATCAAATAGAGAGGGCAGCTTTTAAATAGCTTTTTCCTTGTAAATTCCTCTGAGTTTCCTATGCTTTCAAATCAGAAATTATGTTGTTTTAAAGCAAACACTAAATTTAATTCTATAATCAGTGGTTCATAAGATGTCAAGGAAATTTATTACTTTAATGTTCTTGACCTTTATTGAAATATTCTGTATTTTCTGCATTCAAGCATTTCATATCATTTGTATCATTATTTTTTATTTTTTAAGTTTTTATTTTATTTATTTATTTATTTGAGATGGAGTTTTGCTCTTTTTGCTCAGGCTGGAGTGCAGTGACGCAGTCTCGGCTCCCTGCAATCTCCGCCTCACTGCAACCTCTGCCTCCTGGGTTCAAGCGGCTCTCCTGCCTCAGCCTCCCGAGTAGCTGGGATTACAGGTGCACACCACCACGCCCAGCTAATTTTGTATGTTTAGAAGAGACAGGGTTTCACCATGTTGGCCAGGCTAGTCTTGAACTCCTGACCTCCCAAAAGTGTTGGGATTACAGGCGTGAGCCACCGTGCCTGACCAGTTTTTATTTCTTTTAAATTCTAGAGATAAGGCCTCACTATGTTGCCCAGGCTAGTCTCCCAACTCCTGTGCTCAAGCGATCCTCCCACCTTGGCTTCCCAAAGTGCTGGGATTATAGGTGTGAGCCACTGAGCCTCGCCCATTTCTGTCACTTTATATTATATTTATTTTATTTGGTATTGATCTTCCTATCTCACTACCTTACTTTTTGGGAAAACCAACCCAGTATTAGTTTTAAACTCTTTGAGCTGTGATTAACATTTTCAAACTTGAAGAGTTTTTACTTTTATTTTCTTTTTTGAGACTTTTTTTTTTTTTACTTTTTTGAGATGGAATATCACTCTGTCCCCCAGGCTGGAGTGCAGTGGCATGATCTTGGCTCACTGCAACCTCTGCCCCCCCGCCCCCCGTCCCTCCGCCCAGTTCAAGTGATTTTCCTGCCTCAGCCTCCCAAGTAGCTGGGATTACACATGTGCCACCATGCCCGGCTAATTTTTGTATTTTAGTGGAGATGGGGTTTCACCATGTTGGCCAGCTGGTCTTGAACTCCTGAGCTCAAGTGATCTGCCCACCTTGGCCTCCCAAAGTGCTAGGATTACAGGTGTGAGCTACTGCACCCAGCTGAGTTTTTACTTTTGATTAAAATGTTTTATTGTGCTATATAATTCATGAACTTAACATCAATTTGAGTTCTAGTATCCTGTCATTTGAAAAACCGTACTATAATTTTAATGATAACATGTGACTTAGTGTTAAATATTTATTTACTGCTTTTTAAAACCTCTTTAATTTGGGAGGCCGAGGTGGGCAGATCACAAGGTCACAAGTTCGAGATCAGCCTGACCAACATGGTGAAACCCCTTCTCTACTAAAAATACAAAAATTATCCAGGCGTGGTGGCATGCACCTGTAATCCCAGCTACTCAGGAGGCTGAGGCAGGAGATCATTTGAATCCGGGAGGAGGAGGTTGCAGTGAGCTGAGATGGCACCACTGCATTCCAGCCTGGGCGACAGAGCACGACACCGTCTCAAAAAAAAAAAAGAAAAAGGCCTCTTTATATATCAGTGTCCCTTCATTTTTAGTAAAATTGGATGCCATAATAGAAAGTGCCTTCATGTTGGCATAGCTTAAAAGTATTTTTCATGTTGCTTTCAGAGTAATATGTCTCTATTCTCCTTCCCCCATTAAAACATTTCAAAAGCTTCAAGCAGCACAAATGTGACAAAGTAGAACTTCAAAGCCTTCCCACCAGATACAATCACTGTAAATAGTGGCTTTTTATAATACAGCTCATATGGGCACAGTTGTACATCTCTCCCTGTCAAAACATACAGCCCTTTTTATTGATTAATTGCATTTTGTTTTGTGGATCCATTATGTTTATCTGATTCTATTTTAATTTTTTACATGACTATGTACACACAGATGCAGTGAGGGTCCTTTTGTGTCCTGTACTTACATCATTACAGAATTTTCCGATTATTTCTGAGAAATAAGTTCCTAGAAATTGCTGGATCAGAGAATTATAAATACTTACAATTGCCACATACTGACACATATTGGTAAATTTTCTTCAATATATGCATATTAGGGGCTTCATTTTTGCATGCTTTTGTCAACATAAAGAATACATCCGTCACATCAGTTTTGTTTTGTTTTGTTTTGTTTTTGAGACGGAGTCTCCCTCTGTTGCCCAGTCTGGAGTGCAGTGGTGTGATCTCGGCTCACTCCAACCTCCACCTCCTGGGCTCAGCCTCCGGAGTAGCTGGGATTACAGGCATGCACCAGCACAGTGGGCTAATTTTTGTATTTTTAGCAGAGAGAGGTTTTTGCCATGTTGACCAGGCTGATCTTGAACTCCAGACCTTAATCTGCCCACCTCAGCCCTCCAAAGTGCTGGGATTACAGGCATGAGCCACCGTGCCCGGCAGTCACATCAGTTTTTATCAGCCTGATATAGGAAGTTAGACTTAGCAGTGTTGAGGCTTAATGTTTTTCAAAATGTCATTGAGGTTGACCATCTTCTTAGGCTTGAGAAGTTATTTGTGTGTGTGACAGAGAGAAAAAGAGGAGACAGAATTATCTGGTTGTATCCTTCCTTTGCCCATTTTTTTACTTGATTTTTGTGGGGTTTTTTTGTTTGTTTGGTTGGTTGGGTTTTTTTTTATTTGTTTTGTTTTTGTTTGTTTTGTTTTGTTTTTTTAGACAGGATCTCTCTCTTTCACCCTGGCTGGAGAGCAGTGACGCAATTGCAACTCAATGCAGCCTCCACCTCATGGGCTCAAACAGTCCTCTCACCTCAGCCTCCTGAGTAGCTGGGACCCCAGGTGCGTGCCACCACGCCCAGATAATTTTTGTACTTTTTGTAGAGATGGGGTTTCGCCATGTTGCTCAGGCTGGTCTTGAACTCCTGGGCTCATGTGATCTGCCTGCCTTTGTCTTCTCAAAGTGCTGGGATTACAAGCGTGAGCCACTGTGCCTGGCCTCTACTTCAGTTTTTGAATGATTAGTAGATATTTTTTGTATTAATTGTAGTAAAAATGTGTGAAGTTCTTAACCTGGAAAACCCATGGATAATTATTTTTTTTTTGAGACGGAGTCTCGCTCTGTCGTGCAGTGGCGCCATCTGGGCTCACCATAAGCTCTGCCTCCCGGGTTCCCGCCATTCTCCTGCCTCAGCCTCCTGAGTAGCTGGGACTACAGGGGCCCGCCACCATGCCTGGCTAATTTTTTGTATTTTTAGTAGAGACGAGGTTTCACTGTGTTAGCCAGGATGGTCTCGATCTCCTGATCTCGTGATCCACCCGCCTCAGCCTCCCAAAGTGCTGGTATTACAGGCGTGAGCCACCACGCCTGGCCCCCATGGATAATGATTTTAATCATACTTAAGGATTCTTCATTTGATCCTGTTCCCAGTATATACAACTATAAATTGATAGTGACACAGTGTAAAAAAGTAAGAAAAGCAGATACTGGAAGAGAAATGTTAACAGCAAAAGCAAAGTTTTTATTATATAGTGGTCCACCCTTATGCAAGGTTTTGCTTTTCATGATTTCAGTTAACCTGCAGTGAACTGCAGTCTGAAAATATTACATGGAAACTTCCAGAAGTAAACAATTCATAAGTTTTAAATTTCACACTGTTCTGAGTAGCATGATGATATTGTATCTCATACCCTCCTGCTTCATCCTGCCTGCGACATGAGTTTTCCCTGTGTCCAGCTTATCTGTGCTATACATGCTACTGACTGGTCACCTAGCAACCCTCTTGGTGCTCAGATTGACTGTAGGAGTGCCTGTGTTCAAGTTACCCTTATTTTACTTAATAATGATCTCAAAGTGGAAGAGTGGTAATGTTGGCAATTCAGGTATGTCAAAAAGAAGCCACAAAGTGCTTCCTTTAAGTGGAACGGTGGAAGTAAGTTCTTGATTTAAATAAGGAAAGAAAAAAAATCATATGCTGAGGTTACTAAGATCTATAGGAACAAATCTGTCTGTGAGATTAAGAAGGAAAAAAATTCATGCTAGTTTTGCTGTCACACTACAAACTGTAAGTTATGGCCACAGTGTGAGTTAAGATGGAAAAGGCATTAAACTTGTGGGTGGAAGACATGAACAGAAATGTGCCAATGGATGTTTATTGAGTTCGGTGGTAGGTTTTAGGCATCCATTGAGGGTCTTAGAACATATGCCCTGACTGATCAGCGGGGAGTACTCTGTTTGATGATAAAGGTTAAGTCCTTATTTAATTTGCCTTTAATGCTTTGTGTTCACCCCCAAAAAGTGTAGGTAGGTGAAAATGACATGCCATGACATGACATGTAGATGATTAACTTGGTTTATGACACAGTATTCTCGATACTTTGACTAGAATTAATAGAAGAATTCCATTTTTTGAATTTAAAAAAGCACATTTTCTTGCATAACCTAAATCTTTAAAAGTTAACTGTCATTGAGATGTTCCTCTTTCCTTTTAAGGGAAAGAAATATAACACTTTTTAGCAGAACTGTGTAGGAATCACATGGGTCTAATTTTCAGAGTTTTAAAGTTTTCTTTGTTCCAAATTGTGCAGAGTAGTATATCTGCTACTTTCAACTTTAAGTACACAATAACCACAGCAGATATCATTTGTATTTCTTTTGATTAGATGAATCAAAGGAAGAAAGAAAAGAAGAGGAGGAATTAAATTTTAATGAAGATATTCTGTGTCCACATGGTAAGCTAGAAGCATAAATGAATTCTGTTTTATTGTCCTTTTTTTTACTTTTAGCTTCTACTGCCTGGCTTTCATGCCAGTATCTCTCACATCTTACCTGGGAAAAATTTTTTTTAATAGAATTTCCCCATATTTAGAGGAAATCATTGGAAAAGAAACTTCTTGTCACTTGTTCCATTGAAGTGCTTTTGAATTTGAAGTATTGAATTTCAGTTGTTTCCCATGACTGTCATTGTCCAAGTTAAACACTTTGAGAATAGTGCTCGTATGTTTCTTCTTCTTCATCTTGTTAGGGCTATCTATGGTTTTTTATTTATTTTTTTATCTGTGCAACAAGATCTCTGACTGTCACTGTCCTAGCTTAGTGCAGCATCAACATCCTGGGCTCAAGTGTTCCTCCTGCCTTGGCCTCCTGAGTAGCTGGGACCATAGGCATGCGCCATCACACCCAGCTAATTTTTAAATTTGCCTCCCACCTTGGCCTTCCATAGTGGTGGGATTATAGGCACGAGCCACTGGGCTCGGCTTGGTTTAGTTTCTTGTTTGTGTATTGACCAGCTGCTGTGTACTATGTGCTAGATAATTTTTTAAAAAGCTAAATTCTAAATCCTTATTTAATCCTATGTATTGGTTCATGTATTTCTTTACTTGGTCTTGGTGAATGCTTACTTCTAACAAGTAGCTTTTACAAGATGATCGTGCAAGGGATTCATCATATATTAGGCATAATTTTCTATTCTAATAGCACCGTGAAAGTCAAGCAGGTGTCTGTTTCTCAAAGCTTTCTACTTCATAAGTTCCCCTTCCCACCTCCAAAGAGTCTGAGCACTGAGTGCTGTAGCTTGCACCTATAATCCCAGCTACTAGGAAGGCTCAGGTAGGAGGATCGCTTGAGCCCATGATTTTGAGACCAGTCTGGGCAACACAGCAAGACCCTGTCTCTAAAAAAATATTAAGTGGGTTTGGTGGTATGTGCCTGCAGTTTCAGTTTCTCAGGAGGGTGAGAGGATCACTTGACCCAGGAGTTTGAGGCTAGAGTGAGCTATGATCACGACGCTGCACTCCAGCCTGGACGACCGTGCGATACCCCATCTCTTTAAAATAAAATCAATAGGACAATAAATTTGACACAGAAAAGTTGGCTTGTCAGTGGTTCATTTTGTTAACCCATGTTCATGTGTTTCTTGTTATGTGGTAATTTATTGCTAATATTTAGGACTCCTGTTGATCCTAATGAATTCCTAACTGTAGTTCTTGTTTCATCAGTTCACTGTGAACCAGTGGATGATGTCTCATTCTTATCCCTGATGCACATTGGCACTTTTATATGAAGTGCCCTTGATGATACTAGTGATGGTGGTTGCCACTAGAGTAGTACTAGCATTCTGGATTATCTCACTGCACTTTAGCTTGCGAAGTGAGTGGCATTCCCATTTACAGGCCACACAACTAGGAAGGGGCCATCCTGGGGTGTGTGTTTGGGTCTTGGTCTCTGTGAGTCCCAAGTTCCTCTGTTCTTTCCATCGTATCACCCTATCTGTCTACTGGTTGGTCTTTTACACTACAGGTGCACAGCAGGAGAAGATGAGTTGACCTCGTGAGTGCTGAATAGCACGAGGAAATAAACAGGGGAAGGAAGTTTGGGTGAATAGCCAAAAGGAGTGTATTTTTCCAGTGATACTCTCATATCACCTTTTCTAACCTTCACAGCATAGATGTGGACATAGGATTGGTGCCTCCATATTGAGAGTTGAAGCATCTGTGGCAAAATACTGTGTCATGCTTGGTGCTACCACTTGAAACAGTGCTGGAACTTAGATTGCCCTCGTGCTCCTTAGCTCACTGACCTTTGCTCTGCCTTCCCACCTCTTATCATGTCATTTCAGTACTGACAGTTTTGAATACAAAGCATGGCAAAGCCGAATGTTGCTTCAGGACACATACTCCACTCCCCAGCCTATCAGAAATTGTACATAAGAGGCCGGGCACAGTGGCTTCACACCTGTAATCCCAGCACTTTGGGAAGCCAAGGTGGGAGGATCACTTGAGTCCAAGAGTTTGAGACTAGCCTTGGCATCATGGCAAGACCCCATCTCTACAGAAAGATCAAGAAATTAGCCAGGGGTGGTGATCGTATGCATCAGTTTTCCCAGCTACATGAAAGGCTACATTGAGAGGGTTACCTGAGCCCAGGAGGTCGAGGCTGCAGTGAGCCATATTCACGTGCCACTGTACTCCAGCCTGGGCGACCAAGCAAGACCTTGTCTCAAAACAAAACAAAAAAGAAAGAGAGAGTGAGAAAGAGAAAGAAAGAAAGGGAGGGAGGGAGGGAATGAGAAAGGGAGTGAGGGAGAGAGGAAGAAATTGTATACAAGGGTTATTTTTTTAGGCTGTTGTCTTGATCTGTAACTCTAGTGTTTTGATGCCATACTTTGTTCTCTAATATTTTAAAGGATAGTATGACTGGGTGTGGTGGCTCACGCCTGTAATCCCAGCACTTTGGGAGGCTGAGGCAGGCGGATCAGTTGAGGTCAGGAGTTTGAGACCAGCCTGGCCAACATGGTGAAACCCCATCTCTACAAAAATACAAAAATTAGCTGGATGTCATGGTGGACGCCTGTAATCCCACCTACTCGGGAGGCTGACCCAGGAGAATTGCTTGAACCCAGGAGGCGGAGGTTGCAGTGAGCCAAGATGGCACCCCTGCATTCTAGCCTAGGCAACAGAGCAAGACCCTGTCTCAAAAAAAAAAAAAAAAAAGGATAGTTTTCTACCTTTGTTTTTGTGTTACGTTATCTGCCAGCATACCATGCGTCCAGGGTAAAATGTTTCTGGTATAGGATACCCAGCCTTACTTAGAAATCCACTTTACTCATTAAGTTTCTGTTAAAACCACTTTCTGGAGGTGTGCTGATGATGTTGGTAAGAGGAGGATTATAGTGGGCAATTATTGAATGTTTACCATTTGCCTGTAGTTTTCCACATTTATAAATATTAACTCATTTTATCTATTTTGTTTTGGTTTTTTTTGAGATGGCGTCTCACTGTGTCGCCCAGGCTGGAGCGCAATGGTGCAGTCTCGGCTCACTACAACCTCCACCTTCTGGGTTTAAGTGATTCTCCTGCCTCAGCTTCCCAAGTATCTGGAACTATAGGCATGTGCCACCACTCCCAGTTAATTTTTGTATTTTTAGTAGATATGGGGTTTTGCCATGTTGGCCAGACTGGTCTCGAACTCCTGACCTCAGTTGATCTGCCTGTCTTGGCCTCCCAAAGTGCTGGGATTACAGGCGTCAGCCATCATGCCCATCCAACTCATTTAATCTTATAACAACTCTGTGCTATCAGTATATTATCACATCCATTCTACTGATGAGTAAGTAAACTGAGGCACAGAGAGGCAAGAGTCACCTGTCTAGGATCACCATACTGAATGGATAATTTTGCCTAGGTATTTAGTTGTCTGTTGGAAATATTTTTTCCGTGAAAATTTAAGAGACTTTTGTGGTAGTGCTCTGGACGTACCATTCAGAAGTCCAAAGCCATTGTTTCTTGGTAATTTTTCTCCACTTCAGTTTCTGGTAGGCTTGTAAGATCTTTGTCCCCAATGTTGTACGGGTTCATTTATTATGCTAGGCACTCTGTGGAAGCCAGGTGTGTTTTGGAGGGGCTTGGTGACTGAGCTTCACTAGTTCGGAGCCCCAGCTGGCTTGTTTCACTGGGAAATTCCCAATGGCACTGTCTGCTATTGGGCCACTAAGGTTTTTCCGTAAGTATCTTTTATTTGCCTGCCTGGAAAATTCAGACCTGCTGTCGCTCTTCGGAAGCTGTAGAAAGAAGAGGACTTAGGAGTCCCTGCATTGAAGAGTGGAAAGGTTTAATTATCCCTGTCTCAGCTTGTCACTTCATTTGTCTCTGTGTTTTGTGTCCCCTGTTCAGGGGCCTTAGGTTTTGTTGTCCTAGAATAAGCATCTAGTCTTTTGTGGCTAGAGGGGGCAGTGATCTCAAGGGCAGAGAAGGGGACTGAGCATCTAACTACATACTTCTTAAATAGACTTTCCATCCCTTCTCTCATTTTTTGTAAATCCCTACCTTTACTTCATGAGGACCCAGTTTTTGGGTCTGTGGGACAGTACTGCAGTGTAGCAAATCTGGCTACTTCTTGACTTTCGCCAACTTAGAGTTAATTTTTATTGTGTCTCATTAACCTTCTTTTAAACCCTTATAATTTTTATCCCTGTTGTTGCCTCTGTTGTCTTCATCATTATAACTGTATGTCTTTTATATATATATATAAATAATTCCTTTGGTGTGGTGGTTCACATCTATAACCTCAGCACTTCAAGAGGCTGAGGCATTTGAGAGCAGCCTGGGCAACATAGTGAGACCCCACCTCTATTTAAAAAATAAAATAAAAATTAGGCAAAGTGGCACACGGCTGTAGTCCTAGATGCCCAGGAAACTGAGGCAGGAGCATTGCTTGAGCCCAGGAGATTGTGGTTACAGTGAGCTATGATCACGCCACTGCACTCCAGCCTGGGTGACAGAGTGAGATCCTGTCTCTAAAAATAAAAGTTTTTTTTTTTTTAATTCTTTATTGTGATTTGATGATGTTTCATGAGGCACTTAAAGTAAATGCAGTTTTAAACATCATTTTAACCTGGAAAGTCCTTGATTTAAATTTTCATATTTTTATAACAAAACCCCTATATATTTCTAACGTGTTGTATGTATTTAATGTATCACAGGTTTTGTGTGAATTAGTCATTGGATTATATTCCATTGGAAGATTTACTATCCTAGAGTTCAGTATTTGTTGCAGATATTATATAACAAGCTTTATAATACAGATATTATATATATCAAGCTTTCTTACCCATTTTACTTTTTATTCCTTTAAGTGAATAACCTTCCTATAGCTTACCTTGTTTATTACACCTAGTTTGCTTAGACGATGGGCTGTGTTTTGTTTTGTTATTTTGAAAGTACTTCTTGAGATGTCCTGAGGCCCAAAGTATTATATACAGTTTGAACTAGATTGAGGGTGAGGGGTTGAGGGTCATTTATCCAGTATCTAAATTCATTGTTAACTAGATTTCTCTTTTTACCAAAGAATCTTTGAGTTTTAGATATTCTAGTTATGTTTACTGAATTGAATCTCTCTTGACTGCTTTGATCTTGTTTTGGGAGGTATTGCTCATAGAATGGATTTAGTTGATTGGCTTTCTCTTAAAATTTAAGAAATAACATGTTTCATTGCAGGATACAAGTTTAATTTCTAACAATTTATGTGTCCCAGTGAAAAGAGCAACCCAAATTTATTTAACTATTTTGAGGTCATAGACAATATTCAAGTATATTTACTTCATTATCATTCATTACATTAATTTAATTAATTGTATTAATATTCATAGTTAATATTAATGATATATTAACAACTACTATGGTAGTAATTATTAGAATAATAGGAAATTATATTTAGAAACTCAGCTAACAAGTAGAGTGAAGGACTATATATTTTTATTACCAACTAGACTACAGTAAAATGACTATTTAATATTATTCTGATCTCAGAAATGAATTTGGGTTGTTCTTTCCTTGTCATATGAAAAACACTCATCCCACTTAAAAGCCAGTCACTACCTAAAAGTACCCCCACATCAGAATGAAGCCGTGCACCCACAGTGTCTGTGGTCTCCTCTGCTCATTTAATAGTAAAGTTTGTGTGTGCATTCCCATTATTGTTTCCTCATAACCACATGGGGTTATACCACACACAAAGAAGCTCTCTTTTTTTTTTTTTAAAGCATAAAAAGGAAACCATTTAAATATTGTAGTTGCCGTGGAGTTCTTTCCAAATCAGGTCATGGAAATCTACCTTAATCTTTTTTATGGTTACGTTGTATTTCACATAAGGACTTACTAAGTTAAGGTTTGATAATCCAATTAACCTTTTTCTTTCATTTTTAAAAATAAATTCCCTAATTGTGTCTGAGGATGGGCACGTTAGAATAAGTTTTCATAGACTCACGGGAAATTTAAATTAACAGCCCACCCAGAAGGAAATACATGTTTACATTCTGACCCCATTTCTCTGGTAACAAGTCTGTTAAAGCAAAATAATCTTTTGGGGATTATTCAAAGATCCAGAAGAGGTGAGGGGTAGAAGTTAAGTTGCATTCTGAGGTATTATAAATTATAGGGACCAGGCATAGTGGCTCATGCTTATAATCCCAGCATTTCTGGAGGCTGAGGTAGGACGGTTGCTTAAAACCAGAAGTTCGAGAGACTCCCTCTCTACAAAATAAAATATTAGGCGGGCATGGTGGCTCATGCCTGTTAGCCAGACTACTCAGGAGGCTAAGGCAGGAGGATCGCTTGAGCCCAGGAGGTCGAGGCTGCAGTGAGCTATGATCGTGCCACTGTACTCCAGCCCAGGGGACAGAATGAGACTCTGTTTTCTTTTCTTTTCTTTTCTTTTCTTTCTTTTTTTTTTTTTTTTTTGAGACGGAGTCTTGCTCTGTCACCCAGGCTGGATTACAATGGTGCGATCTTGGCTCACTGCAACCTCTGCCTCCCGGGTTCAAGCGATTCTCCTGCCTCAGCCTCCCATGTAGCTGCAATTACAGGTGCACACCACCACTCCCGGCCAATTTGTTTTGTATTTTTAGTAGAGACAGGGTTTCACCATTTTGGTCAAGCTGGTCTTGAACTCCTGACCTTGTGATCCACTCACCTCAGCCTCCTAAAGTGCTGGGATTACAGGCGTGAGCCACTGCCCCCGGCCTGTTTTCTATTAAATAAATAAATAAATTTTAAAATATATTATGGGGTTCGAATGAGCTATAGACCTGGGTTTGTTTGTTTGTTTGTTTGTTTGTTTTTGTTTTTTGAGACAGAGTCTTGCTCCTCGCCCAGGCTGGAGTGGAATGGCACAATCTTGGCTCACTGCAACCTCTGCCTCTTGCATTCAAACGATTCTTCTGCCTCAGCCTCCTGAGTAGCTGAGATTACAGGTGCCTGCCACACACCTGGCTAATTTTTGTATTTTGAGTAGAGACGGGGTTTCGCCATGTTGGCCAGGCTGGTTTCAAACTCCTGACCTCGTGATCTGCTCCCCTCAGCCTCCCAAAGTGCTGGGCTTACAAGTGTGAACCACCAAGCCCAGCCTCAGACCTAGTTTTGTTTTGTTTGTTTTGTTTTGTGTTGTTTTGTTTTGTTTTTTTGAGATGGCGTCTCTCTCTGTTGCCCAGGCCAGAGTGCAATGGTGGTTATCTTGGCTCACTGCCACCTCTGCCTCCTAGGCTCAAGGAGTCCTCTTGCCTCAGCCTCTGGAGTAGCTGGGACTACAGGCAAGCACCACCATACCTGGCTGATGTTGGTATTTTTAGTAGACGCAGGGTTTCATCATGTTGGCCAGGCTGGTCTCAAACTCCTGACAAGTGATCCACCTGCTTCAGCCTCCGAAAGTGCTGGGGATTACAGGAGCAAGCCTCTGTGCCTGGCCTATAGACCTGGTTTCGTATCCCAGCTTTATTACTCACTAGCTGTACTCTGCCTGGTTATATTCATCTTTCTAAATTCATTTATTATGGAAAGTGTAGTATGTATTTAGAAAGCTCATGGCTTTATTACTCTTAATAAATCTGTAGGTACCTTGCCAATGGGTGCAGAAACAAACATATGACTTTAGAAATTTAAAGATAGTTTTCTGGGTAATGACCGATATGGGTAGATAAGTGAAGTTCACTAACTTACTGCTTGGGAACAGCTGAAACAACAGTAAGTATAACCACAAGTAGAGCCAGAGGAGAAAGGTCCTGGCAGGGTGGCGGTGACTAGTATTATTTTTTTATATCTTCTGGGATTTTTGAAGATTGAAGGGGATCTTCAAAATAAATTGCAAATAGCAAAGAAGTTGGTGCTTGACTGGAGATGGTTTTCAGATTGAGCAGTAGATTGCTTTATCTTCTGTTTGAATTGATAACTTTGAATTGATAACTTAAGGCAGTGGTCTTGTGATGGCTGGACACAGCTTACAAAATATTATTTTAATGCAGTGTGATTTCAAGATTAGTCAAATGGGAGGCAATAAAGTCTGCAGGAAATGATAACCTTTGAGTGTGGGAGTAGATGTAATTTTGTTAAGCAGCGCTTGCCATGGCACAGAGGTCCCAGGACTCCTGGAATCCCATTTTTGACTACTTCCTTCCTTGCAAGGAGAAAGAAAATGCACGGTTTTAGCTTTGTACGTTTGTTTTTATCTCATGATTTTTTTTTCAATCACAGACCTAGATTAAGGACGTAAAATTGAGGTTAATGGCTACCTCCTTTAGAATTAAAATGAAATCGGAAATTCAGAAGTTTTTGAAAACAAGAAAAGAGAGCTAGAAATACCAAACTTTAGCAAAGCAAGAAAAGCGTACCTGTGGATTTTTCTTAAGTTTAAGAAATAGGAAATAGATAATGACTTTTTTTCAGCTGTTTTTTTTTTTTCCAAATATATTTTTTTAAACTCAGGTGAGTTATGCATATCTGAAAATGAAAGAAGGCTTGTTTCTAAAGAGGCTTGGAGCAAACTGCAGCAGTACTTTCCAAAGGCTCCTGAGTTTCCAAGTTACAAAGAGTGCTGTTCACAGTGCAAGGTACTGAACGCTACTGACATCTGGGGAAATGGCATGCCACCTCCCTGGGTTGACTTCCCAGGGGAATTAACACTGTACTTCTGACGGGGGTGTAGGGAGGAGGCAGGTCATGTGCTGTCAGCAGGAGACAGTTGATTGCTTCATTCTCTTTCAGATTTTAGAAAGAGAAGGGGAAGAAAATGAAGCCTTACATAAGATGATTGCAAACGAGCAAAAGACTTCTCTCCCAAATTTGTTCCAGGATAAAAACAGACCGTGTCTCAGTAACTGGCCAGAGGTATAATGATTCCCACAAAAGAAAGAATGCATCTTTTCTTTTTAAAGCCCTTGCCAAATTCCCAGTGAGCTATTTCAGAACAACCCAGAACTTCTCATATTCTCATTTGTTTAGTTATCTAACCAGGGGATTTACTCCAGCCTGCTATTTTTTGGTAGAGGACTGTGTTTTCATTTTATTTATAAAACTTGAATAAGGACAACCAAAGTATATTATAAGGAATTTGTGTTAAGCAGGCGGTGAATTGACGGATACTGTTTTGTGATTTTTGTGTTCTAGGATACGGATGTCCTCTACATCGTGTCTCAGTTCTTTGTAGAAGAGTGGCGGAAATTTGTTAGGTAGAAACAAAATATGTTTTATTTCCTTTATTGTTACTGATTTGGTTGACTCTGGTATTTTTTAAGATATCGTGGATTCTGTTTGTTGTACCCTTCCTTCATGGTTACTTTCACCAGCATACACTGAAAGCTTTCTTTTCTATTAATTAAATGAATAAGCCTAAGAAACACATTGAATTACTAATATTTTCTTAAATATATCTCTGATTTTGAAATAATTATTTTAAAATCTTCTCTTTCGTCATGCAGTAATTAGGTATATTTCTCCTCCTTGTCTCATTTGAGTAGAAAGCCTACAAGATGCAGCCCTGTGTCATCAGTTGGGAACAGTGCTCTTTTGTGTCCCCACGGGGGCCTCATGTTTACATTTGCTTCCATGACCAAAGAAGATTCTAAACTGTGAGTTCCTTCTCTTCATGTGATTTTTTTTTCTTCTTTTCTCTTTTTGATGATTAATAAAATATGTTTAGGAAATTTCTCATCTGACATAGTCTGTTTTAAGAATTTAGTCCTTTGCTGAATTGTGGGGTTTTTTTTTCCCCTTTTAAAAGAGAAGAAGACTGCTTCTCCAGGAAAGACAAGAGGCTGCCCGAGGCTATTTGTCTTTTTGCTCTTTCCTTGTCCCTCTTGAAGACAACACAGCCACCCTTTCTCTTCCCCCGCTGCTGGTGACCAGTGCTGAGACCTCTTTTCCAGAATCACAGAATCAACATGGTCTTGGTTATAGGTTTTGTTCTGCCATGGCCAGGCTTCAGACAATTAAAGGAGGAGGCTAGCAGGGTGGCAGAGCAAAGCCACTGCACTGGTCATCTGGAATTCTAGGGTCTTAGAACCCAAATTTTATTCCATGCTTCAAGTACTTCCAGAGGTGTTCATCTGTGAATTTCTCCCGATTTTACCAAAAATCGTGATATACGAGAAGGTAGAATGCTTCCAACATTGTCAGAAAATCAGGAAAAGGAAATTGGAACACATAAATAAAAATGCCCTTGGGGTTAAGCTAGAGTTTTATTATTCATATTTCAGTACTTTAACATCATTTAAGGGAGTTCAAAGTTTATATATTCTCTACATTTTCTCCCTCCTCTTTCTCTCCCTCCCTCTCTGCATCCCGCCTTCCCTGTTGCTCTCTCACTCTCGCTGTGCATCTCTCTTCTCTTTCCTCCCTCCCTTTCTTCCTGTCGTTGTTATTGCAAATGTCAGACTTCCAGGAAAATACACCAGTAAGCAAATGTGTGTTACCATTCAGTTTAAAAGTTAAATGGTTCAAATATGATTAAAGGCCCCACAGTGCTTATCCTTCTGTTGCTACTTCTCTTTCTCCCACCCTTCCTCTCACACTAACCACTGTACTGAATTTAGAGTTTATCTGTCTCAGAAAGTATTCTGTAAAAAAAAAAAATGCACGCACATAATGTCTTGCATATTTAAAACTTTTTATATAAATGGCACCATACTGTATTTATACTTCTGCAACTAACTTATTTTACTCAATTATGTTTTTGAGATCTAACCATGTTGATTCATGTAATTTCAGTCCATTTAGTTTCGCTGCTGTGGTAACATTCCTTTGTATGAAAAACTATTCTTTGTTGATGATACGTATCTTTTCTCTCTAATTCCTTTGGATTAAATGTTAGTGTTAATGGTTTTGGTTTAGCAGACTAATGGATTATGTTAATTCTCTTAATTTCCATGTGTCTTAAGGCATGTTGTGTTTTTTTTTTGCACAGTATAGCTCTCATATGGCCCAGTGAGTGGCAAATGATACAAAAGCTCTTTGTTGTGGATCATGTAATTAAAATCACGAGAATTGAAGTGGGAGATGTAAACCCTTCAGAAACACAGTATATTTCTGAGCCCAGTAAGTTTTCATATTGCTTTCGGTTTCTATAGTTAAGAGCTGACATTTTAAGAAGAAAGGGTGTGTCAGTGTTGTCTGCTTAAAGTTAAAGATCATGCGGCGGTCCCAACTCCCTAGGTGGAAACTCTCATTATAATCATCCCATTATTTGTACGTTTATTTATGGACAGTAAATGGATTTCCTTATCATTTGCATGTAATAGAATATAGTGGTTAATAGAAAATATTATTAAGAGTTTGGGCCAGCACACTAGCTCATACCTATAATCCTAATACTTTGAGAGACTAGGGTGGAAGGATTGCTTAAGGCCAGGAGTTTCAGACCAGCCTGAGCAACATAACAAGACCTTCTCTCTACAAAATAATAAAAATGTAGCACATATCTGTAGTCTTGAGCTACTCGCTGAGAGGCTGAGTCAGGAGCATGGCTTGAGCCCAGAAGCTTGAGGCTACAGTGAGCTATGTTCATACCACTGTACCCCAGCCTGGGTGACACAGCAAAACCTTGTCTCAAAAAAAGAAAATGTTACTAAGAGTTTAATGAATATTCACTAGTAACTTTGACATATGTTTTTAGATCTTTGATTCTTTAACAATGATTCCTCAGCCACTTCTGTTTTCCCTTTTTTTTTTTCCCCCAAAGAACTCTGTCCAGAATGCAGAGAAGGCTTATTGTGTCAGCAGCAGAGGGACCTGCGTGAATACACTCAAGCCACCATCTATGTCCATAAAGTTGTGGATAATAAAAAGGTACTGGTCCCTCTTGTGGCAATGACTAGTAATGATCAAGCGTGCTCTTTGGCTTGATTTGCTGTTGTATTTGCACTGAGGGTCTGCCTAGGACTGCATTTTTGTTCCTTCAGAGCTGTTTGGCATCAGAATTGAAATTGGACAATAATTGAAAATGAACAGTTATGTGATTATATGAGAATTTAGTTTGTTATTAATTGATGCATAGATATTTACTGAATGTCAGCTGTGTTCCAGGAATGGTCCAGGTGCTGGGGATACAGTGATAAAGAAGGCAGGTATAATACCTTCTCTCAAAATTATAGGCACCTAGTGAGGAAGATCAGGAATAAAGTATAAATTCATATGATTTCACACAGAAATGATTGTTTTGAAGGAACTTTAGCAGGGTCAAGTGGAGGTTAGTGTGAGACAGGGAGTAGACAGGAGAGGCGTCTTGGAGAAGTTGTTTTTACCCAAGCCCTCACTGTCAGGGATGCAGCCTGGGAAGTGTTTTCCAGACAAAGGAAACAAAGGTCAAAAGGATAAGCCTAATGTGCTTATGCAACAGAGTGAAAACCATTGCACCTAGAACAGTGCTGTCCAATAGAGCTTCCTGTGGTGATAGACAGGTTCTAGGTTCTGTATCTGTGCTGCGCACTGCAGTAGTCACTGGCCATGTGTGGCTGTGGAGCATTCGATGTGGCTAGCGTGACTGAGGAATTTAGTTTTAGTTGATTTAAAATTAAATAGCTACATGTGGCTAATGGCTACCCTAGTGGCTATTGCTGGTCTAGAATGAAATTTATTCCAAGAAGGGATCATGATATGGAATGAACGACCATACACTATCAGGTTTTATACATCATACCAAGGATTTGGGTTTATTCCCAGTGTAGATATAAGCCCCTGGAGAGTTTCAAGCAAGGTCATGATATGATCTGATTTATAGTTTAAAAAAAATCACCCTGGCTATAGTGTTTGGAATTGCTGTGAGGGCATAACAGAAATAAGAGAGGTCAGTTAGAGCCTCTTCCATTGACCTGCAAGGATAGGTGAAATTGATTGGATATGTTTGGGAAGTGGAGGTGTTAATACTTGCTTGGATTGGATTTCCAAGCATTTTTATTATATTAGGGATGGCTCTTGGGTAGATCCTGACCCATATCTCTAGATATCTTATTAATTTATTTAATTCCATGCTTTCTGGGATTAAAGACAAAATGGAATACATTTTATTTGATGCTTGTTTCCAAACACATTTTTTAGAAGGGTAACTTATAATTATGCCCTGGAGGCCAAGGGTTCTGCTTTACAAGCTAAATAAACTAAGGCCTTCATTTCCTAATTTGCCGAGAAAATGAAGTTAATGAGTATAAATGTCTCTGTTTCTCCCTGTAAAATTTTCTTAAATCTTTTGTTCTCTGGTATAAAATATTATCCAATTTAGATGTAGTTTCATTATTCAGTTTAATAAGAGTATTTCATAGTGTTTGCAAGAGAGCGCTTCTTCCATCTTTCGTTTTCTCAATTCTTAAAGAGCATGTAACTCCTGCCACTTGAATAGTTTGAGAACTTGAAAAGGCTTGGCAATCAGTGTGCTCGGGAAGGTGTCAAGCACCTTCGAACTTCTGCAAAATAACATCATTGTACAAGACTGATAATAATAACTGCTCTGCAGAGACCTCTTAAATGTATGGTGAGCACATTAAATACTACAAGAATAAGTCATAGGGTAAAAAACTAACATGTTAAAAGAGCATAGAAAACCGTGAAGGCTTGATTCTTGATCCACTCTCCAGTCTATAATCCCACCATGATAAAGGTGTTCCTCGTCTTGATAAAGGTTGCCGGTCCCAGCCCCCACATCCTCCATAGCCTGCCTTCCTAGGGTCTGACCTACTTCTCTTTGTTGTCCTGGCACATTCAGGTGATGAAGGATTCGGCTCCGGAACTGAATGTGAGTAGTTCTGAAACAGAGGAGGACAAGGAAGAAGCTAAACCAGATGGAGAAAAAGATCCAGATTTTAATCAAGTATGTGTTGAAGCTGCTTTTCATTGTTATACTTTCTGCTGTTCTTATAGAGCAGCCACTCGAAGCCCCTGGCCATGTCTCTGTACCCTGTATGGGATATTGGTTCTTTTTTTTTCTTTTTTTTTTTTTTTTGAGATGGAGTCTCGCACTGTTGCCTGTGCTGGAGTGCAATGGCACTATCTCAGCTCACCACAATGTCCGCCTCCTGGGTTTAAATGATTCTCCTGCCCCAGCCTCCTAAGTAGCTGGGATTATAGGCGCCCACCACCACACCCGGCTAATTTTTTATATTTTTAGTAGAGACGGGGTTTCACTGTGTTGGCCAGGCTGGTCTCGAACTCCTGACCTCGTGATCCGCCCACCGCAGCCTCCCAAAGTGCTGAGATTACAGGCAGGAGCCACCGCACCCGGCCTTTTTTTTTTTTTTTTTTTTGAGATGGATCCTAGCCTTGTCAACCAGGCTGGAGTACAGTGGCACAATCTCGGCTCGCTGCAACCTCCACCTCCCAGGTTCAAGTGATTCTCCTGCCTCAGCCTCCCAAGTAGCTGGGATTACAGGCATGCGCCACCACTCCTGGCTAATTTTTTGTATCTTTAATGGAGACGGGGTTTCACCTAGGCTGGTCTTGAACTCCTGATGTCATGATCCTCCCGCCTTGGCCTTCCAAAGTGCTGGGATTATAGGCGTGAGCCACCGCATCCGGCCCATAAATTGTCTTTTGAGAACAGGAAATCGTGGGAATATGGTTGATGTAGGTGGAGATAAGTTTCAGCTTCTCAAAAAGTCAGACCCCCACATTGGAGGATATTTTGTACTTTAAACTCATGGATTTTCTACTCAAAGTTTTATTTTTAACAGATGAGATGTTTGTTTTCTTTCTTTACTACTAAAATAGTGTAGTGAAATTGTGGATGGTGTTCTCCCTGAAAGAATGAAAGTGTTACAATAGCCATCTGCAATATCTGTGACAGGGCAGAGGTATCTGGGCTTGTTGGCCTGTCTGCATGTTGATACTGTTACTTCATTTTTAACATTGATTGAGAGAGTCTGAAAAGCCGTCTTGATTTGAATCTTGGTGTGCCCAAAATAAATGTTACTTGTGGTTTCCCAACCGGTGTAAAGGGATGTCAGCATTTGTTTTCCGTGGCTTATTGGCGCTCATAAAATAACCTCAAAACACCTGTGAAGAAGCAAAATCATGCAGTTTGTGACAGTGATCAGCCACTCTTTAAGTTGTCCTTCCCAGTCTGTATTTCAGTCAGTCAACACTGGAGGGCCCTTTGCTTCAGTGCTAACCAAATCTGTACACTTGATGAGAATGCAGGTTTTCAGTTTAAAGGGGATATTTTTCTATAGTAAGTGATGCCCTTATTAAACTCTGTGTGCATATATACATCTTGTGCTCCTTGGCATAAGGAACAGGGTAAAGAAGGGCAGCAAAGTCATGTCTGCAAACGCTTGTGGAGACATATTAGTTGACTCTACTAATATGTCTCCACAAGCGTTTGCAGACATGACTTTGCTGCCGCCCTTTACCCTGTTGTCAACTCTGTTTTCATGTCCCCATCTCTGTGGCGGGGACATCTCTGTGGTCTATACAAGCCATCTTTCGAGCCACATTTGTGCAAACTCGATTGTGTGCTTTTCAGTTGATATATTAAAAGTGTGTGTGTGTGTGTGTGGCCAGGCGCAGTGGCTCACGCCTGTAATTCCAGCATTTTGGAAGGCCGAGGCGGGTGGATCACTTGAGGTTAAGAGTTCGACACCAGCCTGGCCAACATAGTGAAACCCGTCTCTACTAAAAATACAAAAAAAATTAGCCGGGCGTGGTGGCGGGCACTTGTAGTCCCAGCTACTCAGGAGGCTGAGGCAGAAGAATGGCATGAACCCAGGAGGCAGAACTTGCAGTGAGCTGAGATCACGCCACTGCACTCCAGCCTGGGTGACAGAGCGAGACTCCGTCTCAAAAATAAATAAATAAATAAAAATACAAAAATTAGGCCAGGCACGGTGGCTCATGCCTGTAATTCCAGCACTTTGGGAGGCTGAGGCGGGCAGATCACGAGGTCAGGAGATTGAGACCATCCTGGCTAACACAGTGAAACCCTGTCTCTACTAAAAATACAAAAAATTAGCCGGGCGTGGTGGCGGGCACCTGTAGTCCCAGCTACTCGAGAGGCTGAGGCAGGAGAATGGCGTGAACCCAGGAGGCGGAGCTTGCGGTGAGCCGTGATCTCGCCACTGCACTCCAGCCTGGGCGGCAGAGCAAGACTCAGCCTCAAAAAAAAAAAAAAAAAAAAAAAATTAGGTGTGGTGGTGTGGGCCTGTAATCCCAGGTACTGGGGAGGCTGAGGTATGAGAATTGCTTCAACCTGGGAGGTGGAGGTTGCAGTGAGCCGAGATTGTGCCACTGCACTCCAGCTTGGGCGACAGAGCAAGACTCTGTGCATGTACATGCATTTGGGTGTATGGGTGTACATATCCATCCCGATTCAGGACTCCATTCTCTTTTGTCTGTTTGGCTGGCAGTACCGTATGTTTTAGTTATTATCACTTGGTAGTATGGCTTAATAATCAGTTGGGAATCAAATTTTTTTATTTTGAGACCAAGTATTGCTCTGTCGTCCAGGCTGGAGTGCAGTGGTGCCATCTCGGCTCACTGCAAGCTCCGCCTCCGAGGTTCAAGCCATTCTCCTGCCTCAGGCTCCCCAGTAACGGGGACTACAGGCGCCCGCCACCACGCCCAGCTAATTTTTTGTATTTTTTAGTAGAGACGGGGTTTCACCGTGATATCCAGGATGGGGGAATCAAATCTTTTATTGCCTGCTGTCACTAATTATCTGTTCTCTGGTTAACTTTGTAAATTAGTTTGTTAAACTTGACACAATGTTCTTACTGTCTTTAGTTTGTTATTTTAAGCTTTGCTTTTCACCCTAAGAGTTATTTAGAAACTATCTACATTTTCAAGTGATTTAGATTTTAGAAAGCTAACTTTTTTTTGGTGGTCTAGTTTTATTCATTGTGGTCATGACCACAGCAATTTTTTCAAAGTGTATGTGGAATCACTCTCCTTAGTTGTGGATGACAACAGATTTCACGTTTATAAATATGATAGAGAATGTTGGGGAACATTGCTTTTTATACTGTAATTATTTTTTATACTTTATAATTTTCTTCTGTCTTCCTTTTCCTTCTTTGGATATTGTAATACTCTAAAATGTTTTACATTTTGCTTTCTCACAAAAAATTTTTGGCTCACAAAAAATCTCAAGTGTAACCTTCCTCTTTGGAAAAGAATAGATAGTCCCTGAAAAATGTTCAGCATTTTCAAAATGTCACCCTCCTCATCACATATCTCAGTACAAAGATAGCTTCTGTAATTGCTGCTTTAAATCCCTGTAATAAAAAATGATGCATTTCTGCTTGTCCTTAGTGGAGATAAACAAATCCCTTTTCCTCTTTTCTCTAAGCTAGATCAACCCAACTCCTTTGACTTCATCTAAAAATTTAGGTTAATAATATACTCGGTATTGGGTATCACTTAGGTAATTGAAAGCCTTCTAAAACCAGTGGGCTGGGTTTTTTTGTCAGTTAAGTTGGATTTAAATTCTCCAGATTAAGAAAGAAATAATTCCAGGAAAAGCCTTTAGATCCATTTAAAATCAGAGTTATTAAAAAATCTGTCTTGCTTGATGCTCAGGGTTTTGGTTTTTGGTTGTGTTTTGTACTTCTAAAATAAAATTATATGTTGATGTAGTTATTTTTCTTTATATTCCTGATTGTAGAATTTGGGTTCAATTTGACCTTTTCTTTTCTTTCTTTTTTTTTTTTTTTGAGATGGAGTCTTGCCCTGTTGCCCAGGCTGGAGTGCAGTGGTGCAATCTCAGCTCACTGCAAGCTCTGCCTCCCGGGTTCACGCCATTCTCCTGCCTCAGCCTCCCAAGTAGCTGGGACTACAGGCGCCCACCACCAAGCCCGGCTAATTTTTTGTATTTTTAGTAGAGACGGGGTTTCACCATGTTAGCCAGGATGGTCTCAATCTCCTGACCTTGTGATCCGCCCACCTTGGCCTCCCAAAGTGCTGGGATTACAGGCATGAGCCACCACGCCTGGCCTGACCTTTTCTTTCAACAGTCGAGACTGAGAAAAATGTTTCATCGGGTTTCATTTTTTTTTTTTCTTTTTAACTCACATGTGCACTTAACTTTTTCTCGTGAATCTTAGAATCACTCAGTTGCCTATGTAGATTCAGGGCTAGAGCTAAACTATCCTCAGGCAGTGTCTCGCCAGTGGTCGGCACCCTGAACAAATGCTCTTCTGTGTTTGGGTCTTGATCACCTTCTGCTTTGTAAACTGTGGAGCCCATGAGTAATGAGTATGTGGCATCTGTGTCTATAATGACCGTTAAACCACTTTGCTTATACACGGCTGACATTCAGTGACGACTGTGGAAACCAGAGCCAGGGCCTTGAGGTTACCTCATCCAGATTTAATTAAACCAGGGGAAAAGATTTTCTTAAAAATCCTGCTTCTTTTATTCCCTGGCCTGGTTAGCAGAAGAATCTCCCCTGCGCCTCTCACTCACCCCCCATCCCCCACCGCCCCCACCGGCCACCACCACCACCTTTGGTACAAAAAGCAAAAGAATCTTGATCATTAACCTCTGATCATTAACCTCTTGATGAGGGATTTATAGGAGTACTGTAGAGGACATTTGGTCCTCATCTATTTTTTTCTTGACTGGTACCGCATGTATCATGCACACCCAGGGGCATCCTTTTTACAGCACCTTTAGGTAGTCATGGCCATCATGACATTTCCCCTCTAAAAATAAAGACAGTGTCCTACCTAATACTAATAATGTGCTCATAAATAAGAAAACTAACGAAAACTCCCTAATGTCCTCTAATACCCATACTCAGATATGTCTTGAACAGTTTTTTCCTCTCAAATCAGTATGTAATTAGGATATGTGTTGTTTGTATCACTTTAGACTTAGAATTTGGAACAGTTACTCTGTCTCCGCACCCGCTTTCTTTCCCTTCTTCTTCTCTTTTTGAGACAGAGTTTCGCTCTTGTTGCCCAGGCTGGAGTGCAGTGGCGCAATCTCGGCTCACCGCAGCCTCCGCCTCCCAGGTTCAAGCAGTTCTCCTGCCTTGGCCCCCTAGTAGCTGGGATTACAGGCATGAGCCACCATGCCCGGCTAATTTTGCATTTTTAGTAGAGAGGGGGGTTTCTCCATTTTAGTCAGGCTGGTCTCGAACTCCTGACCTCAGGTGATCTGCCCACTTCGGCCTCCCAGAGTGTTGGGATTACAGGCGTGAGCCACCATGCCAGGCTCTTTGCCTTCTTGACATTGAACTTGGACCAGTTTGATTTCTTTTAGATTGTTCCATGTTCTGTATTTGGCTGATTGCTTCTTTATGTTACTTATTTTAATTTATTTATATATCCCCTATATTCCAATTTCTGTAAATTGAAAGGTGGGCGTAAATGTTTGATTACATTCCAGTATAACATTTTTGCAAGAATATTTTATGAGTGAGTCTGTATATTTTGCCATTAGGACAAGTGGTAAAGTCTTGTTTTTAGTCAAACTAAGTTTGATTTTTTTTTATTAATGTTCCATATTTTATTTTTAAATTCACAACAGTTTATACTTAGTTTCCATGTCATTCTCAAGAAGAGAAGAAAATGTTTAAAATTCAGGTTGTTCATGAACTAAGTTTTGTAATCCTCAAGATTTTCAGTTTATTATGTTTTTCTGATGTAAGGTCTTTTTTATAAAAGAGACAGAGTCTCACTCTGTCAGCAGACTGGAGTCCAGTGGTGCGATTGTAGCTCACTGCAGCCTGGAACCACTGGGCTCAAATGATCCTCCTGCCTCAGCCTCCAAGTAGCTGGGACTACAGGCTCATGCCACCACGCCTGGCTAATTTTTGGTTGAGATGGGTCTTAATATGTTGCCTAGGCTGGTCTTGAACTCCTGGGATTATAGGTGGGAGCCTCCTCACCAAACCTTAAATGTCTCTTGTAACAAACATTTAAACTGCTTACATGCACTTAGAGGTGTGTATTACTCATTATTTTCTTTTATCAATTTTATGTGAGCCTGCTAAGAAAGTCTCGTTAGTTTCTACTCATTGTTTACATTGAATTTCAAATAGTTAAGGGACCAATAAGGAAACAGCTTTTGTTTACCTGAAAAACTTCATGAGCAAGGGTCACATTGTGGTTAATTTCAGTGCTTTCTTCATTTCCAATCTTCATTATAGAGCAATGGTGGAACAAAGCGGCAAAAGATATCCCATCAAAATTATATAGCCTATCAAAAGCAAGTTATTCGCCGAAGTATGCGACATAGAAAAGTTCGTGGTGAGAAAGCACTTCTCGTTTCTGCTAATCAGACGTTAAAAGAATTGAAAATTCAGGTGAGGGAAACATTTGTTCAAGTTTGCTCTGGACTTAAAAGGGCCTTTATGAATTCCTGCTTTCCACCTGTATTTACATATATGTATGTATCTGTGTTTTTTTCCAGAAGACTTAAAGTTTTCAAAATAGCCAAAAATCTTTTTGTGAAGATGAAAGTGAATTTTGGGTTCTGGAAACTTGGGCTGGTTCTGCAATAGCTTTCCAATAATGAGAAACGCTGGGAACCACTTAATTTGTCACATGTTGAGGTTGTGCCAGGATAACTGTTCTCTCACTTTATTGTGCTGTATGCTTTTCTTTGACCACTTAATAGGTATTGGAGGCTGTTACCAGGAACTGCTGTGAAATTTAATGGGAGATAAAAGGCAGCTTATTATTAGCGATTAGTGATTGCTTATTCACTAGGCTGTCACAGTATTTTTGGTGGCAGATAAATCTATTTGATAGATAGAGGGGGTTTTTTTTTTTTTTTTTTTTTTTTTTTTTTTTTTTGGTGAGACAGAGCCTCACTCTGTCACC
Source organism: Homo sapiens (assembly GCF_000001405.40). Classification (NCBI taxonomy): domain Eukaryota; kingdom Metazoa; phylum Chordata; class Mammalia; order Primates; family Hominidae; genus Homo; species Homo sapiens. The sequence continues at coordinate 21,694,545 of NC_000001.11, read as the reverse complement.
CAGGCTGGAGTGCAGTGGTGCCATCTTGGCTCACTGCAACCTCCGCCTACCGGGTTCAAGCAGTTCTCTGCCTCAGCCTCCTGAGTAGCTGGGATTACAGGTGCGTGCCACCACACCCAGCTAATTTTTGTATTTTTAGTAGAGACAGGGTTTCACCATCTTGGCCAGGCTGGTCTTGAACTCCTTACCTCGTTTTCCACCCGCCTCAGCCTCCCAAAGTGCTGAGATTACAGGCGTGAGCCACCGCGCCCGGCCTTGATAGAGTTTTAAAATTATCTTTACCTTGATGTTTTCCAAATTGTTATATAGATTTATTTTAGATATGTCCTCTCCATCCCCCTCAAAGCATGCATTGCTTTACAAATCAGTTCCACGGCTGTAGTGCAGGCATTATGAAATGGTTTCATGATACTGTTATTTCTTGGTATCAATACTGAAGTACTATAAATAAGCATTCCAGTGGTAAATCTCAAACCCTAGGCAGAAGGAACTGATAAATTCAAGATGTCCATAAAAAATTCTGGCCCCTAATCTGTTTCAGTCACTGATAGATATCCAAAAAGTTGACCAAATTTCCTCCTTTGCTACTTTTATGTGGCATAGTTTACTGGTTACACATTTTTCTTGTTGCTGATATTTATCATTGTAATTGAGGCAAAAGTACAGGCCTTCCTTTGAGGGTGTTATGTATTCCAGATTGTCCTGACAACAGTATTTCCCTTGGTTGAACCCATGGCTCTGAAAATAAGTGTGTTGGCATAATATCTTTACTCTGTTATTGTACCTTTTACATCTAAGAAACCTTGTTTCTATCACTGGCTTTCTGCCTGTCATTGGGAAACCTCGAACATTCAAAACCTTTAAATTACAGAAAGAGCCCCTGTGCCTAAAGACATTTTTAAAAGCCTGTGCTGCTTTTATTATGGACTACAATTTTTGAAGAATAAACCAGAAGTCAGCAGAAATAACCCTTCCATCTGAGAGCATGTACCTGCCCGAATGAGCTGCTAGAAGATGGCAGCTGTTCACACAGCCCCCAGAGGTGCTCTTCCTGAATGTCTGTCTCATCTCCCACTCTTGCTTCAGGGACCACTGCGGGCCAAACAGAGTCAAAGAAAAGGCAGTAGAAGGTCTTTCCCCTCACTACATAGTGGTGGGAGCTTGTGAAGCTTCAACTAGATGTGAGCCTATTTGCCTGGCAGTGTGGATAGCATCAGAGTTTGTAAGGTTTGCTTGAAACATTACAAAGCTTGCTGTGTCTAATCAGTAATTCATCCACCTTTGATCCCATGAGGTTAATGAAGTACAATTTGTTCATTTCCTTTCTCAAAAGATGTGCAGTGTTTAGTTGTATTATTTCATTTTCCCAAAGATAGATCTTTAGTGGGTGGGTGGTATTGCCTGCCTGAGAAAGTAGAATATTTTGGCACAGAAGTGAAATGGCTGGCAGCTGAGGCGATCGCTTCTATATTTTCTTTTTTCAGCCCCACACAGCATCGCAAGCAGAGGAGAGCCACTCCCTGATAGCAACAGGGTTTTCATGGTTCCTGTTAAGTTCCATAGACCAGGAATGCCACATCTACTTGTTAAGCAGACCTCTATCGTGTTCTTTATACTGAAGCATTCTCCTAGCACTTAGAGTTTAAGGATTATTTTACCGTAGGCCTCCCTGCCTTGGTTGGCCTGTTCCATCTTCTCTCTAGAAGCGTGTGTTCATCTTTCATATTGACCCTTCTGTGAAACCTGTCTTGGCCCCTTTCATGGAACTGACTGTCCCCCTGTGCTCGCTAGATCCTGCACATACCTTCTGCTACCATCCTCACAACTTTGTTTTGACCTCACTCCTGGAAACCCCTCTAGGGCGGGATTATTCACTTTTATATTATCAACACCTAAAACAGTACTTGACACACGGTAGCTTCTTATTAAATGCTTCATTAGTTGTTGACAGCATCTCAGTGCCCTTGTCCGTTCTCAGAATATAATGTGTGAACGTCAGCCCCTTAGTTGTGGCACTTGTGTCTAGAGGTATTTGCTGTTTGTCCAGTTTCATAGGGTAGTACAAAAACACTTAGCATTTAGGGGCATGAACAAGCATTTTTACAGTCCAGCAGCTGTGACATTATCCATGTTAAGTTAGCATCACACACATCCACCGTAGCTCTGCTCAATCTTCATGGTTCCGGAACATTTGCTGGTGTAGGGCTGGATATGCCTCTGCTTGATGTTTGCATGCTGAGCTGGCTTGGATAGAACTGTCCTGTCAGTACTCCTGCTTATTGCTTCATGAAGACCATTGATGATGCCAGTGCACTTTTCATTGCTAGCCACAGATCTCTGGCTAGTCCATCCCTGCCTGCTTTTCAGGCGCTGATGTTCTTTTGAAAAATCCAGGTAAGATTCTGTCCCAGCAGTTAGGGAGGAGGCCAGTGCTGTTATCCTTGTTCTTATTTGTCTTTGGTGCGATTATTAAAATCACTTTTCTGGTCCCCATCACACTGGCCTGTCAAGCTCTTGGGCCCTGTTACACACACAGTTCAAGGTTGATTTGTGAGGCTCGTTTTGTCTTTCCACATCCAAAGAATAGAGTGCAGGAAAGGGCAGAATGGTTTTCCCATGACATCATGGGTGTTGGTGTAATATAAGATACATGTAATAGCATGCATTTTATGGGTAAGTTAAAAAGCATACTAATATGAATATTCTTGAACTTGTCTACCGAGTTAAGAATTAAAACAGTGTCATTGAAGGTTACCTGTGTTTGCCTGTCTGAGCCCAACTTCTTCTTGCCCTCCAGAGGTAAACATGACCCAGAAATGATAAAATTTAAAAAACAAACCTTTCTGAATTTGTAAAAACATTTAAATATTATGTATACCAGTATTTTGGAATGTATGTATGATTTATTTTTGAGATAGTGTCTTGCTCTTTCGCCCAGACTGGAGTGCAGTGGCGCAATCTCGGCTTACTGCAACTTCTGCTTCCTGGGTTCAAGTGATTCTCCTCCCTCAGCCTCCCAAGTAGCTAAGATCACAGGTGCATGGCACTATTCCCAGCTAAATTTTTGTATTTTTAGTAGAGATAGGGTTTTGCCATGATGGCCAGGCTGGTCTTGAACTCCTGACCTCAGGTGATCCACCTGCCTCAGCCTCTCAAAGTGCTGGTATTACAAGCATGAGCCACCACACTCATCTGGAAAGTATTTAATTTTTTTTTTTTTTTTTTTTTTGGAGATGGGAGTTTCGCTCTTGTTGTATAGGCTGGAGTGCAATGGCGTGGTCTCAGCTCACCACAACCTCCATCTCCTGGGTTCAAGCAATTCTCTGGCCTCAGCCTCCCGAGTAGCTGAGATTACAGGCATGTGCCACCATACTCAGCTAATTTTGTATTTTTAGTGGAGACAGGGTTTCACCATGTTGGTCAGGCTGGTCTCGAACTCCTGACGTGAGGTGATCCGTCCACCTCGGCCTCCCAAAGTGTTGGGATTACAGGCGAGAGCCACTGCACCCGGCTGTATTTAATTTTTAACACTTGGCCAGAACTGGGGTGGGGCATATGGTCCCTACCCTTCAGAAATTCATATTTTGCTTCCTAGAGACAAAACTCAGTCTAAGAATATGTGACAGTTCCAAAGGCTGAATTACATACCCCAGGCCATTTGCTAAAGGAATAAGAACAAAAGAGAGAATTTAAAGATGGTTTTAAGAAAGAATTTTGGGCCAGATGCAGTGGCTCATGCCTGTAATCTCTGCACTTCGGGAGGCTAAGCTGGGAGGATTGCTTGAGTCTAAGAATTCGAGACCAGCCTGGGCAACATAGCAAGACCTCATGTCTACAAAAATAAAAAATAAAAAATCCGCCAGACATGGTAGCACACATCTGTAGTCTCAGCCACTCAGAAGCCTTAGGTGGGAGGATCCCTTGAGCCTGGGAGTTCAAGGCTGCAATGAGCCATGATCGCGCCACTGCACTCCAGCCTGGGTGACAGAGTGAGACCCTGTCTCAACAACAACAAAAAAAAAAGAAAAAGAAAAAAGAAAGAATTTGGACTTGACTTGTTGATGAAAGGATATGGGGCCTGGGAAAGATGAGGTGACAGTGATGACCTTGCCCAAGCCTCAGAATAGCCATCAGCCCAGCCCCACTTTTTATTCATTTTATTTCCCCACACCTCCATCCTTGGGAAGCTGGTAAGGTAAGGAACAAACGCATCTATATGTGTAATTGTTTCCTAATACTCTACCAGACCTCTTAAGGATGTTCCCGGATATATAGGGACGATAGCCTCAGTAGGAGTATAACAAGTAGGCTGACTGTAAACAATAGTGGTTTTGTACTCTGAAGCCTTTTTTTTTTTTTTAAGAATCCATGCATAATTTATTTAAATAGGGTATAAGTCTTAGTATTTTGCATTATACGGACTTTCTCTCTTTTATATTGGCACAGATCATGCATGCATTTTCAGTTGCTCCTTTTGACCAGAATTTGTCAATTGATGGAAAGATTTTAAGTGATGACTGTGCCACCCTAGGCACCCTTGGCGTCATTCCTGAATCTGTCATTTTATTGAAGGTAAGTAAACAGCTCCTTAGCTGAAGAACTCAAGGTTTTACATGTTACATAACTATGTGTAAACTGTGTGAAATGGTGGTTAAAGGATGCCTTGGGTCTTTAGCAGAGGGTAGTGATAAATGACTGCTGTGGGTTTTTGCAGCTCAGCCCAACTCTGGCTGAGCCCCAGGAGACTTAGAGGAGGTCAGGACATCATCTATCTTGTTCTTGTGTGTTATAGTAGGTGATGTTACGCCACAGCATCAGCAACTGCTGGTACCCTGAGAAGGTGAAAGTGAAGGCTTTCCTTGGCCTTTCCTGGATCACCTAGATCAGTTTCTATGCCTTTGTGGGATCAGGGTACATCATTACTTTCCTGTTCCCTGGTAGGGCAGGGCAGTGGTATAAATCCCACTCACCCAACTGCTAAGCTCCACGCCTGATTTTTCCCATTTGATTTTCTGTCACAAGGGCCCCCATTCTTCTCCAGATACAGATCTAGTTTTCATTCCCCTCAGACTGGGAGGAAGGGAGTGATATTGGGTTGTGGCCCTCTGAGCACTGAGGATTGACTGTCATTCCAAAGGGGCAAGCTGAGTGATCTGGTCTCAGGTCACAAAGTTTCTGTGGTGTCCCCTCCCCAATGCCCTCCAACCCCCCGCCCCCCGCTTTTTTTTTTTTCCTTTTTTTGGACTAGATGGATCTGTTCTTAAAACCACACTAATGATACTGATGTCTGCAACTTAATTTGAAATGCTGCCCCCACAAAAAAAAAAAGCAAAAAATGGGTAGAAGATAGACTTGTGACCAATGCAAATAGTAACTTATTTTATACTTTAAAATCTATCTCTGCTGAGATTTTCATAGTTTTTCTTAGTTAAAAGTAGATTCAGCCTCCTCTGTAACTTTTTCCCTAACTTCCGGTTCAGCAGAATTACTTAACCATACGTCATAGTATTAAAGTATCTCCTCTTTTCCTTTTGGTTCAAAAGGACTAGCCAGCCAAGCTAGGAAACAAGGGTAAAACACAAGGTTCTGTCACAACAGTCAAAATACACGACTTAATGGGATTCTGTCCAAGGCATGGAAATTGGTTTTGGATTTAGTAGATGTAGAAAGTAGGGGCTTCTTCTTTTTTTTTTTTTTTTTTTTGAGATGGAGTCTCGCTGTGTTGCCCAGGCTGGAGTGCAGTGGCACAATCTCGGCTCACTGCAACCTCCACCTCCCAGATTCAAGCAGTTCTCCTGCCGCGGCCTCCCGAGTATCTGGGATTACAGGCGTGTGCCACCACACCCGGCCAATTTTTTGTATTTTTAGTAGAGACAGGGTTTCACCGTGTTGGCCAAGCTGGTCTCAAACTCCTGACCTCAGGTGATCTGCCCGCCTCACCTCCCAAAGTGCTGGGATTACAGGTGTGAGCCACTGCGCCAGGCCTCAGTGACTTTTCTTTGACAGTGTCTTAGAAGCCCCTACTTTCACTGGGCGCAGTGGCTCACCCCTGTAATCCTAACACTTTGGGAGGTTGAGGTGGGTGGATCATGAGGTCAGGAGTTCAAGACCAGCGTGGCCAGCATGGTGAAACCCCATCTCTACTAAATATACAAGAAAATTGGCCAAGCGTGGTGGTGGGCACCTGTGATCCCAGCTACTCGGGAGGCTGAGACAGGAGAATGGCGTGAACTCGGGAGGTGGAAGTTGCAGTGAGCCGAGATTGCGCCACTGCACTCCAGCCTGGGCAACAGAGGGAGACTCCGTCTCAAAAAGAAAGAAAGAAAAGTCATTGAACCAGCCTCATTTGCCCAATTCTACCCTCCCTAAGGGCCTAACTTAGTCGCTTCCCATTGCCTCTTTTGTTTCTTCTTGGCCAAAAGAATCCCTACTGTGCCGAATACCACCACATCATGTGGTAGAATCATTGTTCAGGTTTTTTATTTTGAACTGTGAAATGTATGCTTTTCAAACCTTGGAGCCCCCGTTCTGGTGTGATAAAGTTAGGCCCTGGAATGATGAGGCAGACCCATATCTACCCCATCCATGCACACACACCCCTCATCCCACCACCTAACCCCTCCCTCTGTTTAACATTCTGCATTTCCTGGAAGTATAGGTTCTGTGAAATGGTTTTGAAAACACATTGAGTTGCTAGATCCTAATGATCCTGTCTAAAGTCCTAAAACAGCCTGTATTGTTGAACGGTTTGTACTTCACATGGGCAGCTAGAGTCTGTACTGGTCATTGGCTTCATTATCCTTGCAGCTAACCTTATCATAAGCTCAGACATCATAAGCTTCCTCCTAAAAAGGAAATGGGTATCTTGTTCTTGCTGGTGAAGTGGGACAAAAGTATAATTTTAACCTAATTGGTATTCTGAGAGGACCAGTATAACTTTTTATTTGTACCCCTCACTGCCACTACGAGTATCTTAGCTCACATTGGTTTAATCAGTCTTTAGTAACCCCAGGGTGTCTAAACATTTCCATGTCTAAAGGTGTCTTTAAGAATGGGAAAATAGTCCCCCCTGCCTTTCCTCTTCACACACACAGTATACCACTTCTGCAGTGTTGACTCTAGACCCATAGCCAGCAGGGCATCTGCTGTTAAACCTGGACGCTGCTGGCTGTGGCTGAAACTGAGTTATCTACTGGACAGTGTGTTTGTGTCTTATAGCAATATCAGTAGTTGAATCATGGGCCATACTTCAAATTTCAGACTCCCTCTCCCTTGTGGTTTTGAATTGTCTTCATTTGTTTTCTAGGCTGATGAACCAATTGCAGATTATGCTGCAATGGATGATGTCATGCAAGGTAAAGATGAATTTGTTTTAGGAATCTGCTGATTAGGTTTTAGACGGAGGTGGGATTTTAGATATTGAAGCTTTAGTGTACAGTGCTTTTACTTTGAACCTTGAAAAAAGCTTCCACATATTGTTACAGTAGAATACATTATCTTAAAAGATCATAGAAAGGAGGGAAAGATATCTACAAAAACTTGGAAAGCTAACCTGAGGAAACTGAAATAAATGTGAGCTCTGCCTGTGGAGGAGGTCAACAAGAAGCAAAACTAAGTCAGATTGCAGTGCCCCAGACAGGCACACACAAATTAGAGGCCTAGGTACCTCTGAAGGTGGGAATGAATTGTGAGCCTAAAAAGAAGATAACATGATACTTGTTTGGAAAACTGTATAAGAAGCAGTTAGACAACTCTCTACCTTTCACATCCTTGTCACTTCCCCATCTCCACCTGGACCTCAGATGGGCACCCAGAATTATGTGTTTCCACACTTGGAAAAATTAAACTAGAAAGGTGGGAACGAAGCCTATACCAAATAGGAGACCATCTCTTAGCCCTTTGCTCAAATTCGGGCAGCCCATTACTTACCCTCCCCCAGGTGGGAAGGGATTTCTCTCCAGGGAAACTAGTCAAGAAAATAACCAGTGGATGTAAAAAGTCTGGTTCTGTATGATCAAGTGAGATTTCTCCCAGGGATGCAAGGATGTTCAACATATGCAAACCAATACATCACATCAGCAGAATGAAGGACAAAAATCATATGATCATCTTAATAGACAAAGAAAAAGCATTTGATAAAATTCAACATCCCTTCGTGGTAAAAACTCTCAAAAAACCAAGTACAGAAGGAACATACCTCAATATAATAAAGGCCATATGTGAGACCCACAGCTGACATCATACCTAATGGCGAAAAGCTTAAAGCCTTTCCTCTAAGAACTGGAATAGACAAGGACGGCCATTTTCACCACTCTTATTCAACATAGTATTGGAAGTCCTAGCAAGAGCAATTAGGCAAGATAAATAAGTAAAAAGCATGCAAAATTGGAAAAGAGGAAGTCAAATGGTCCCTCTTTGCAGATGACATGCTTTTTTTTTAGAGTCTTTGTTGCCCAGACTGGAGTGCAGTGGCACCATCTCAGCTCACTGCAGCCACCACTCCTGGGTTCAAGCAATTCTTGTGCCTCAGACTCCTGAGTAGCTGGGACTACAGGCATGTGCCATGACACCCAGCTAATTTTTGTATTTTTACTAGAGATGAGGATTTCCCATATTGGCCAGGCTGGTCCCGAACTCCTGGCCCCCTGTGATCTGGCCACCTGGGCCTCCCAAAATGCTAGAATTACAGGCATGAGCCACCATGCCAGGCTGACATGATCTTATATATGTAGAAAAACCTAAAGACGCCACCAAAACACTCTTAAACAACTGATGAACATTCAGTAAAATTGCAGGATACAAAAATCAGTGTACAAAGTGAGTTTCTGTAGTGTAGTGATTATCATGTTTACCTAACAAAAATCAACATACAAAAATTAGCAGCATTACTATACATCAATAAGAACTAGCTGAAAAAGAAATCAAGAAAGCGGCTGGGCGCAGTGGCTCATGCCTGTAATCCCAGCACTTTGGGAGGGTGAGGCAAGTGGAGCAGTTGAAGTCAGGAGTTTGTGACCAGCCTGGCCAACATGGCGAAACCCCATCTCTACTAAAATTACAAAAATTAACCAGGCGTAGTAGCGCATGCCTGTAATCCCAGTTACTAGGGAGGCTGAGGCAGGAGAATTGCTTGAACCCAGTGGATGCAGTGAGCCAAGATCGCAGCACTGCACTCTCTAGCCTGGATGACAGACTCCATCTCAAAAAAAAAAAAAAGAAAAGAAAGCAATTCCAATAATAATAGCTACAAAAAAAAATAAGATTAAATACTTAGGAATAAATTTAACCAAGAAGGTGAAAGACCTCTACAAGGAAAACTACAAAACACTAATGTAAGAAATTGAAAGATGCAAACAAATGGAAAGATATCCTGTGCTCATGGATCAGAAGAATTAATATTGTTAAAATGACCATATTACCCAAAATAACCTGCAGATTAAATGCAATTCCTATCAAAATACCAATGACATTCCTCACAGAAATAGAAAAACACAATCCTAAAATTCATATGGAACCACAAAAGACCCTGAATAGCCAAATCAATCCTCAGCAAAAAGAACAAAGCTGGAGGCATCATGCTACCTGGTTTCAAAATATACTACAAAGCTATGGTAACCTAAACAGCATGGTATTGGTATAAAACATAGGACAATGGAACAGAATAAAGAACCCAAAAATAAATTCACGTATTTACAGCCAACTAATTTATGACAAAGGCACCAAGAACATACACTGGGGAAAGGGCACCCTCTTCACTAGATTTTGCTGGGAAAACTGGATATCGATATGCAGAAAAATGAGACTAGACCTCTGTCTCTCACTATATATTAAAATCAACTCAAAATGGATTAAAGACTTAAATGTAAGACTTGAAACTATGAAATTGCTAGAATTCAATATGGGGGAAATGCTGTCAAACATTGGTCTAGACAGAGATTTTAGCTGAGACCTCAAAGCACAGGGAACAAAACCAAAAATAACCAAATGGACTATATTAAACTAAAAAGCTTCTGCACAGCAAAGGAAATAATCTGCAGAGTTGAAGAGACAACCTGTAGAATGGGAGAAAATATAATCTCATTAAACAGTAGGCAACGGACCTGAACAGACATTTCTCAAAAGAAGACATAAACATGGCCAATAGGTGTATGAAAGATGCTCAGCATCACTAATCATCAGGGAAATGCAAATCAAAATCACAGTGAGATACCATCTTATCAGTTAGCATGGCTATTATCAAAAAGACAATAACATGTAACTAGGATGCAGAGAAAAGGGAACTCTTATACGGACTTTTGGTGGGAATGTAAATTAGTACAGCCATTATGGAAAACAGTATGGAAGTTTCTCAGAAAACTAAAAATATAACTACCATATGATCCAGCAATCCCACTAGTGGTATTTATCCAAAGGAAAAGAAATCAGTGTATCGAAAGGATATTTGCACTCTCATGTTTATTGCAGCACTGTTCACAACAGCCAAGGTATGGAATCAACCTACATGTCCATCAGTAGATGCCTTGATATGTTATATTTATATGTAGACATACAATGGGATACTATTATTCAGCCATTAAAAAAATGAAATCCTGTCATTTGCAGCAACATGGGTGGAACTGGAGGACATTATGTTAAGTGAAATAAGCCAGGCTCAGAAAGACAATACTGTATTTTCTCACTCATACGTAGGAGCTAAAAAAGCTGATCTTTTGGCTGTAGAATGGTAGTTATGAGTGGATGGGAAAGGGGCCATATGAAGGGAGGTTGGTTAATGGGTACAAACATACAATTTGATAGAAAGAATAAGTTCTGGTATTCAGTAGTACAGTAGGGTGATATGTTGTATATTTCAAAAGAGCTAGAAGAAAAGATAATGCAATGTTCCCAACACAAAGAAATGATAGGCCGGGCGCAGTGGATCACTTGAACCCAAGAGTTCAGGACCAACCTGGGCAACATAGTGAGACCCTGTCTCTACTACAAATTTTAAAAAAAGAGCCAGGCATGGTGGCTCGCACCTGTGGTCTCAGATACTTGGGAGGCTGAGGTGGGTGGATTGCTTGAGCCGGGGAGTTGGAGGCTGCAGTGAGCTGTCATCATGCCACTACACTCAAGCCTGGGTGACAGATTGAGACCCTGTCTCAAAAAAGAAGAAATAATAAATATTCAAGGTGATGGAGATAACTAAATACCCTGATGTGATCATTATACACTGTATGCATGTATCAAAATATAAGCTGTTCCCCATAAATATGTACAAATATTATGTTTGGCTTTTATTTTTTATTTTTTATTTTTTTGAGATGGAGTCTCAAAAGGCTGAAGTGCAGTATGGCTCACTGCAACCTCCGCCTCTGGGCTTCAAGTGATTCTCCTGGCTCAGCCTCCTGAGTAGTAGCTGGGACTATAGGCATGCAACACCATGCCTGGCTAACTTTTGTATTTTTGGTAGAGACGGGGTTTCACTATATTCGCCAGGCTGGTCTCAAATTCCTGTCGTCAGGTGATCTGCCCATCTCGGCCTCCCGAAGTGTTTGGATTACAGATGTGAGCTATTGCACCTGGCCTTGTTTGTATTTTTTTTAAAGCTGGTTCATGTCCCAGGCACCCTTTAGTCAATCCCACCAGTGCCCACTGAACAGAGCTTTCAGACATCTTTTTTTTTTTTTTTCTGAGATGGAGTCTCACAGTTGCCCAAGCTGGAGTGCAGTGGCATGATCTTGGCTCACTACAATCTCCCCGTCCTGGGTTCAAGCGATTCTTCTGCCTCAGCCTCCCAAGTAGCTGGGACTACAGGCGCCTGCCACCATGCCCAGCTAATTTTTGTATTTTTAGTAGGGACAGAGTTTCACTATGTTGTCCAGGCTGCTCTGGAACTCGTGACCTCATGATCCGCCTGCCTCGGCCTCCCAGTGTGCTGAGATTACAGGCGTGAGCCACTACGCCTGGCCCACAAATCTTTTTAGTACCTCATACTTAAGTAAATATGAGCAGTCAGATAGTTGAGGAATGAGAGCCTGGGACCAAGATATGTCGAGGAAATAGCATAGGAAGCATAAGAAAGCTGGAAAATAACCTATAAATAATGGCAAAAAAAAAAAGCAAACAATAGGAAGAGGAACTATATAAAAGGAACATTTGGAGCATAGAAGAGAGTTCATGGAAATGTAAAAAATGATGGTACCCTGGGTTTGATATAGTAAGTAAAAAACTAAGGGTAAGAGGGTCATGAAAGCATCTAGAAGTAGGAGGGAAAGCCAGTCAAATTCACAGGATGAAGTCAGGAAGATAATAGAGCAGTGCCCGCAAGATCCTGAGGGAAAGCAAGTTCCAATCTATAAGTCTGTAACCCTCACACCTGATGGCCCCTTGAACATATTCAGGGCTTCAAAAGATTGATCTGTCATGCACCGTCTGCCATGATACTGTGTGAGGATGTGTTCTTCTTCTTAAACATTAAATCAAGAAAGAATCAACAGTGGACCCAGTAAATAGCAGATCAGCCTAGGATAAGATGCCCTAGAAGATGGTGAAGGGAAGTCTCAGAACTACTGTTCTTCAGCAGGCAGCGAAGACACCTGATCCATATTGGAGTGGTGGGATGCGAGCTTCAGGAAGGGATGCCACAAGGAAAAGTGGAAGGGATGATGACTGTCTTCAAGAGGTTACAGGTCTTTAAGAATTTACACGTGAATTGGAGATAAATACAGAGAAAATGAAACACATCAGTAATTCAGTAGTTACCAAGCCCAGAAAGACCAAGTCATACCATGTAGTAAATATAACCAAGGTGCACCAAGGCATTCAACTGTGACTAGTATTAATGGCGTAAAAAGTAATGCCAGCGCTGGAGACTGGCTTAACAACAACAAACACCACTTCATCAGGAGGATGGGTCGGGGCAGGTGCTATGTAAGTGGTAAAACAGCTGTTTGTATCCTTCACTGAAGAATTTATTAGATTTTTATCTAAAATTATGAAGTAGGCCAGGCACGATGGCCCACTCCTGTAATCCCATCACTTTGGGAGGCTGTGGCGGGCGGATCACTTGAGGTCAAGAGTTCGAGACGAGCCTGGCCAACGTGGTGAAACCCTGTCTCTACTACAAATACAAAAATTAGCCAAGTGTGGTGGTGGGTGCCTGTAATCCCAGCTACTTGGGAAGCTGAGGCAGGAGAATTGCTTGAACCCAGGAAGCAGAGGTTGCAGTGAGCCGAGATCATGCCACTGCACTCCATTCTGGGTGACAGAGCTGGACACCCTCTCAAAAAAAAAAAGTAAATAAAATTATGAAAAGCATGTTATTTAGAAATAGGCTAAATACCAGAAGAAGCTGCTGTGTGAGTCAAAAGTGACTCCTTCCAGAACTTGGGAATGGGAGGAGGAAGGGGAGAGAGACAGCTCCAGAGGAGTCAGTTACATGGCTTCCTCCCAGGCCACTCCTAGAGTCGTGCACTAGGTGTGCCCTAGTTACAAACCTTGTCCTGTCAGTATTTGACTTTTTAAATGATGCATACGTATTGCTTTGATAAAAACAGAAACAAAGATTGTTCTGAAATTAGTAACATCCGTAACTTCAAAGATGATTATTACAGGTGACAAAGGTAATCAAAAGTTATTTTAAACTTTTGTCTTTAAGCATTGAAATGATATTACTGTCTGTCACGACAATCTTTTCAATTTGGAATTCTTCTTTTTTTCTTTTTTTCAGTTTGTATGCCAGAAGAAGGGTTTAAAGGTAAGTTACATTTGTCATGTTTTGTTCATGAATGTCAGAGTCATCCTGTAATTTTCTGTTAAAGCGAAGGCTATAATTTGATTTTAAATTTTAATCCAATCTGAGTCTCATGACTGAAATTAATTTTAGTTAAATGCATTTCTTACTCAAGCTTCTTCATTATCTTTTTCAACACTCAGGCCTCAAATGGGGCCTCAGCTGGGGCTTTTGTGTTAGAACTGTTTCTTGCCAGATGTCCATTTGGCCTTCCCTTTCTCATTTTATGGGAGGTTGGGAAATTAGCTAGTGGCATTTCAAGATTTATTTTTAACCTTTTCCCAGTTCTTCCTATCAAGTCCCCTCCTAGAGCAAAACAGTGTGTAACTATTAAGAATTAGTGGCACAAGAATTTGTCAGGTTTTATCAAGTCCAGTGAAAAGATTTAATTAATCACTTAGCATTAAGGCATTTGTTGGATTATTACTTCAAGAGGAGACACGGTGGTGCTCGTACTACATCTGGGCCATGTAGTTGTGCACACCGATAATATTCAAGAAGTCATCAAATACAGACCTCTGACGTTTTCGGATTTTCCTGTTGCTGTCTTGATTCTTTGCTGGCCACTCCAGAAGCCCCTGGCAGGTTGTGATTTTCTAAGGAATGACTTTGAATCACATACCAGCTATTCCTTGCTAAAGCAAATGAGAGACAAATCTACTGGCCAAAATAAAGTCTTCCTCTTGCTGCAGCTGTGTTGTCTGCATGCTACCATTACAAAGGGACTCCTGATGGGGTCAAAACAAAGCAAAAAACGTCTTTATGAAAAATGGTCATTGGCCGGGCATGGTGGCTCACGCCTGTAATCCCAGCACTTTTGGAGGTTGAGACGGGTGGGTCACTTGAGGTCAGGAGTTCGAGACCAGTCTGGCCAACATGGTGAAACCCCATCTCTACTAAAAATACAAAAATTAGCCGGGCATGGTGGCGTGCGCCTGTAATCTCAGCTACTTGGGAGGCTGAGGCAGGAGAATGCTTGAACCTGGGAGATAAGGTTGCAGTGAGCCAGGATTGCACCACTGCACTCCAGCCTGGGCGACAAGAGTGAAACTCTCAGAAAAGAAGAATGGTCATTAAATGAAAGAATCAATAAAATCTGGTTAGTTTGTGTGAAGATACACTTAGGAAGCACATGGCTTTCAACAAAAATGTGATTTAGCGGAGAGCCTGGAGTCTGCTGGTATTTTGTCTTATCCTCCCACACCAAGGTGCGACTGTGTTCATTTATTAAATTTGATGCTCCCTGTTGATGATGTGTTCTTGGTAAATGGAATCCATGAACTTTTAATCTGTAGTTCACAACTATCCCTCCACGTGTGTTTCTTTTCCCAGGTACTGGTCTTCTTGGACATTAATCTTTGAATACTTGCTGACTGCTAAGAAATGACCAGAGGGGAAGAGGAGTTTGACATGTTAGGGCATTAAAGCAAAGGTGGATTTAAGAATTAAACCATTACATGCCCCTTCCAAAAGGCAGAAATCCATTCAAACGTGACTGTCCCAAATGCCTTATGTCAAATAAAGCAGATTGCACTGATGGACATCAGACTTGAAGGAAATGTTTCCAATTTTATATTTAAGGGGGGTGGTGGGTGGGAGGGGGCAAGTAAAGACGGAACAAGTTTAGTAGCAGTAATAGTAAATCATGTTTACATATGAGATTTATAGTCGTGGGAGGGGAATAAAGTTCTGTTATATTTCCTTGCTCGAGTTTCATACCAGATGCGTTGGTCCATAAAGGATTGTATCAAGTAGATGGGACAACATTCTGCTCTGAACGAAAAGTAATTTTAGAGACATAACCTGCTTACCAATGCCTGTCTTTGATTCATATTCTACTTTCAATAAAGCATGAAAGTGAAGAACTTGTCCTAAGTGTGGAAAAGTGTCTTCAGATTTAGACTCTTCTCCATGTCAGCTGCAGCGCCACCCGCCTTACACCTGCCCGGCCGTCTGTCTCTTGGTATTGGGTAAAGGAGGGGGCACCTGCATGTCTCCTGCAATGAGCAAGGAATTATGTCTCATGTTTTGACTTCAGAGGCTTTTTGCTTTGGTGCATTTCAGAAAGGATGGAGAACATTTATTATGTGTGAAAGCATCCTCTTCCGGTTTTGCTGTTATTCAAAAGTGGGAAATGTACCTGGCACGTTTGAAAATAAAAAATCTGACTACCTATCAGAAGAGTAAATCAGACTGAAGTACATTTGGATAACACAAGGTTTCTATAAAATTTGTTCTTCCTGTCCTCCATGTCACTGTTTCTTGGACCTCAGTTCTCTTTTTGAAAGCATTATTCCAA
The DNA here is from genome assembly GCF_000001405.40 of Homo sapiens. Classification (NCBI taxonomy): domain Eukaryota; kingdom Metazoa; phylum Chordata; class Mammalia; order Primates; family Hominidae; genus Homo; species Homo sapiens. Next base: position 21,678,472 of record NC_000001.11, on the reverse strand, counting down.
AATGCCCTGAGAGGGTCTCTTAGATCATTGTTTAAAAAAGGAAAAAAGTATATGGATGTGCTGTCCATCCAACTCAGGATTATCATTCTTAGCAACACGTAACCGAAGCAATATTCTTAAGAATATTGAAGGGGTTTTTTTAATTGAACTTAAGACTGGAGTTTTTCCTTTGAAAAAAAAAAAAAAGTTTTCTCTGTTGAGTCCGTCTGTGTAAGTTTGTGGCTGAGATGCTAGCTTAGGCATCTCTCTTGTTAACACTTTTCTTGGCCTTGGGTTTGTGCAAGGCTTTTTCCCCCTTTCATGAAAATGTGAACTCAGATCATGGATGGGGAAGGCAGATTTTGATTTGAGACCCGATAACCTTGGCAGCATCCCTTTTGAATAGCTCCTTTTGTCAGAGTAATTACGGCCATTTGGTAAAATTCTAACTTCGTGTTTGTGTTTCCCCTCTGTGTTTCTAATGTCTTCAGTCTGTGTCCCCTGAGGAGGCAGGGGGTCTCTAATGAGCCTATCTATGGGGGAAGGTGAGAGCTGCACACAGCCCCCTGAGAAACCATCCTAGGAGTGGAACCAAGGGACCAACTGTTCTGGCCTTGAGGTTGGCACAGGGGAAGGACTTGAAGTTGAGCTGATGGATCCTGATTTTTAGATCTCATTGTTTTATTAGCTCCAAAGAAATGAATGCAGGAGCCTAAAACTAATAACACAAACTTCTTCTTTCCCAAGGTAAAGACTTTTATAAAAGTTCGCACAATGCTTGATTGAAGCCACTTCCTTTTCCTTACAAAGAAGCTTGTTGGCCAGAGAAGGTTCTTTTTGGGGATTGACATAAACATGTTAGCAGCCCCCAGAAATCTGATATATTTTCCCCAATTTGCTGTTGATAACAGTTTTGAAATTTGTTACTTGGGTATTTTTTCCTCCTGCAATGCTACGAAATAACAGCCTTTTGTAAATCTTTCAGGCTGGTGGTACCTGCTCTGAGTACTGGCTTCTTTATTATCTCTGTCCAGGGGTGGGGTGGGCACCGAGTGAGCAGGTGATGCTGCAAGAGTCTGCCCTTGGCTCAGGGTCATCTTCCTCCTGCTCTGACAACTTGCCTTGTTCTGCCAGCACTGCTGAAAGTAACTGCAGCCCAGCGGCTCCAGTGACACTGTGAAGCTTTATTACCAAGGCAGGAGCTCAGGCCCTAGACCCGCTGAATCGGAATCTGCATCCACAGGCCACTCCTGTACTCTTTGAAACCCTGGGCTTGGGGCCTCTCCCACCCATAGTAGGCAGAGTTGCAAAGAAACGTATGCTTGTATTGAATGGTTTTGCATTGCCACCCTTCTCACTTGGTACAGGGAAAAACAGGTAAAGGGTATGACCTAAAGCCCGATTCTCGTTTCGTCTGTAATTATGAATAGATGGAGTCCATTTGCCTTCTGGACTGTGAAAAGTTCAGAGACTCTTTGTGTTGGGGTTCTAATGCCATGCATGTGTACTTTTTTATATTAGATCAGTCTCCGGTATAAGGTATTATGAAGCTTGGGTCTTTTCCCCTTGATATTTCTGACCATTCTTTAATCTGAAACGAATGTGTTCAGCATACTACACTGGTACAGATTGTCACCACGAACTGAAATATAGGCTGCATTTGGGTGTCTTCATTTCCTGGGGAGTAAGTATCTTTCTGTGTATTTATGAACTCTATTGTTTAGAATTACTGTTACCTTCCTGCCAAATTTAAAAGATATGAGTGTCCCTTTATTTCTGTGGGAGCATAATCCATAGTGAATTTTTTGGTTATTTTAAATGTGCTTTTGGTTGGTCTATGTGGTCATAGATCTGTTCATCAGACTCTGGTTAATATTGGAATCTAATGCTCAGGTTGAATAACCTGTTTTAAAAACCCAAGGGATGATTTATCTCTGTCTAAACAAACCGCTGAAGCGAAATGAGCAAGAAAGCCTGTCTTTCCTGTTACCGAATCATGGGGCAGAATCATATCCTTTCTCTTGGGTACTTTAGTCCTCAGCTCATTCAGTGTTAATAGGGGACTGCGAACAGAGTGCATGCAGATTAAAAGCCAGCGTTTTCATTTTAAGAAGATTTTCCCAGCCTGAGAAACATAGTGAGACTTCATCTCTATAAAAAAGCAAAAATTAGCCAGGTATGCCGGTGGTCCCAGCTACTCTGGAGGCTGAGGCAGGATAATTGCTTGACCCCAGGAGGTCGAGGCTGCGGTGAGCTGTGATCACACCACTGCACTCAGCTTGGGCGACAGAGTGAGACCTTGTCACAAAAAAAAAATGTGCATGTCTGTGATAACGCCCCATACTCCCACCCCCACCCCAGAGTACAGGGTTTTGTCAACAACATTTCTACTTCTGAAAGCTGGCATCACCACCCCCACCCAAAACACACACACACGCGCGCGCGCACACACACACACACACACACACACCCATCTCCTAGACATTCTGTAGGCAGAAATACTGGCTGGGGATTTATCAACATTATTCGAACCCTCTATTTTTCATTAAAGTACAAATTATAAACATTTGTAAAATGGTAGGTAGCACTTTGTTGATTTCCCTGAGCAACATTTCTGTGTCAGGTAGTGTGTGCCAGGTAGACAGTCTCATTGGCAGACAAAACCACTTCTCCATCCCATATATCTCAAACCTTGGATTTTTTTTTTTTTTTTTTTTCCATTCTGGCTGTTAATTGGGCTAAGGAGTCTGCTAGCTATCCAGATAGCACATAAACATACAGGCAAGTGTTGAAAGTGTGGAGTTGTAGAAGTTGGGCCACCTGTGTTACAGATAATTTCACCATTTACCTTGTAACCAAGAAAAGTGACTTAATCTTGCTTTACCTTAATTTCTTCATCTCTCAAAATAGCAGTATTTGCTATTTTTGTTTACTACACTCAGAGGATTAAACAGTAATAAATATTGTTGAGGTAAAAGGCTTTGTATTTTTCTTTGCATTTAGAAGAACTGTTGCCTTTCTGAGGAAATGCTGTTGGAATCTCTTTTGCAAGTCTTCAAAAAGAGGCCTTGTAACCACCTAGCAAAGCTACCTGGAGCATCTTCTCTGAGAACTTTAGAAACTACCTTTTACTTCAAGCCCTTCCAACTAAAATGATAACTAGACAGGTGTTCGACCATCCTGTCACATAAATCTTTTCTCCTGGCCCATAAGAATAATGAAGCCAATGGCCAAACTGCAAGCCTTCTCAATTCGGTGTTTTTTTTGCAGGGTCATGTCGAAAGGTATTTGAAACACGCTTAGAATGCATGTTGAAGATTTATGTCTCCGTGATGGGCAGTTTCTGCCCCAAAGGGGCAGCTTCAGTTGTTTTGATTGTCATTGCTAAGAACATCAGGAACAGATGTCTCGAGCTGCCGAGGCATGGCTCTGCGGGCACTGGGAAGCAAAGCCATGCGGAGGCCTGTGGCTGGTGCTCAGAGGTCACTTCCTGGTCTGAGAATTGCGTTTTTCATTATTTACCTGGTGATACTTAGTGAATAATATCGTTCAAGGGTAGAGTACACGAAACAGGTATTTCTTACGTCTCCCCTCCCCCAACAAATGACAGAACCAGTTATCAAATAAATACAAGATACTAACCATGTGAGATTTCTGCATGTGGTAAGGTTTAATATCTCTTTGAGCCTCACTAGATTTTAGGAAGGAGGAGGTTGCAGAATTGTGGCTTGCCAGGAGTTGTATGACCTCTTCAAAGTGACATTAGTTTAACTTTGTTTTATTTTATTTTAATTTTTGAGACTGAGTCTTGTTCTCTCACCCAGGCTGGAGTACAGTGGCACAATCTCGGCTCACTGCAATCTCCGCCTCCTAGGTCCAAGCGATTCTTGTGCCTCAGCCTCCCGAGTAGCTGGGATTACAGGTGCCTGCCACCACGCCCTGCTAGTTTTTTTGTTTTGTTTTGTTTTTGTTTTTTGTTTTTTTTTTTGAGGTGAAGTCTTGCTTTGTCACCAGGCTGGATTGGCTCACTGCAACCTCCACCTCCAGGGTTCAAGCGATTCTCCTTCCTCAACCTCCCAAGTAGCTGGGACTACAGGCACGTGCTACCACGCCCAGCTAATTTTTGTATTTTTAGTAGAGACGGGATTTCACCATGTAGGCCAGGATGGTGTCGATCTCTTGACCTTGTGATCCGCCCGCCTCAGCCTCCCAAAGTGCTGGGATTACAGGCATGAGCCACCGCGCCCAGCATTTTTGTATTTTTAGTAGAGATGGGGTTTCACCATGTTGACCAGGCTGGTCTCGAACTCCTGATCTCAAGTGATCTGCCCACCTTGGCCTCCCAATGTGCTGGGATTACAGGCATGAACCACCGCGCCTGGCCTGGTTTGACTTTAGAATTGGGACCTGCACCAGCTTGTAGTGGATTGGGCCTCTGCTGTGTCTCACCCAGCAGAGACCAGACCAAGGTTGCTGCAGAAGGGGATCCTACTGCGGAATGGGCTGCATCCCACAAGCAAAACACGGGTGGCAGGCTGGTCCTTCTCATTCCATGAGCTTTCACGCTTGTCATTCATGAGGCTGTGAATTCCCCCTCAAGTTAGCCCTAAGAGCTTGTCCAACATAATTACTGTATTGATCTCAAATAGAGGGCATCATCTGTTTCTCCCCAACATGCTTTAAAAAAAAGGGAAAAAAACCCTGCTTTCAAGGACTTGGAGGGCCTTTGAAGTGAAATTGCTCTCGGACAGGGAGGGAGGCAGCCTTATAACAGCAGCTGGAATGGCTGCTTGAATTCCAAATCTGCGTTAGTGCTGCCAGGCGAGGCAGGCCCTCAGCCACAGGAAGTGGGGCACGCACTCCAGGGAGGCCAGGAGGCCGACGCAGCCACTGCCTGGGTTGGATTGTTGCCTGCTGGCACACTGGCCTCTGCACAATTCTATCTGGGTTTTCCTTTCCCTGGTGCTCTGGTGTTTTGTAACCAAGGGAATGCTAAGCTGCAACCAGTTCCTTTTATGATCCTGGACAAGTCTGTTCCCCTTTGAGCCTCGGCGTTCTCTCTGAAAGGAAGTGGGATGTGTAGAAGTTGTCAAACATGAACTCCGTGGAAGTAGATAGTGGGGCCTCCTCCCACACCCACCTACTCCCTTGAGGAAGCTCCAGGCAGTACATTTGGAAAGCTACCAAACAGGACTACCTCTCAGGACTTCTCTTGTTTTATTAGTCTCTGAGCTGCCTCTTTGGTTGGTTTATCTGGAGTTTTTGTAGCATCTTCTCACTCATCCACAGCATGTCACTTGTTCTCTGGATGAAGGAGGCTCCAAGTCATGCTAGACTGTGGAGTTCTGGAACTAGAGTATACTGTTTATTTCCTGTACTGGAAGCCAGAGTTAGGGCCAGGCTGGATTTTATGTCTGCACCTAAAACCATTCAGTCCCCCACAAATGAATCAACCTAATTAGTGCTAGACTGTTGTAGCTCCCTGAGAGCAGGGCTCTGGCCATCTTACCACTGTATTCCCACAGCGGCCCGCATGATACATCCTCAGTAAGGAAAAATGAATGACTACTTTGGAATCTGTTAGAAGTTTTCCCGTGGCCCCTTGGGGGAGAGCTCTTTTTACTACTTTGGTTTGACCAGTACTGTCCCTACCTTCAGGCTTTTCTTCTTTGTCCTCAAAACAGGGACTTCCTAACTATTCATGATCCAAAGTCCTCTAACCCCAGGGGTAGTCTCTGTCATGTCTGCTGCACCAGGTTGGCAGCCTCCCACCCAGACGGGGGCCGCTGGCCCTTCCCTGATGCGTGTGCCCTGGCGCCGACTGCCACTCTTCATCCTGCCTTGCTGTGGTTAGAGTGGAACTGTCCTCTGCTCCAAGCCGCCCCTGAAGCCCACCCTCCTTGCCGGCCTTTCCTAGACCTTACCTGTGGCTCTGTGGACAGCACACCTTGAGGACTTGCTGCTTTGGGGTTTTCTTCCCCTACTTGCTCTGGTGGGCAGTTCCTATCTCAGTTTTTCTCCCATTTGATCTGACTGGGAAGGAGTGGGCGGGCAGAGATGGGGAGTTATTTCCAAGAGGCATCATTCCCATTTTAGGACTGTTCCCCCCTCCCTCACCTGCAGTCTCATGCATTATTTGGAGTTTACCGTGGTGCCACCCATGTTTTCGTTCTCCAGCCTTTTTGGATGCCAGATTTTTAAAGCCAGCTTTCATTTCTCAGTGATAGGGAGCACAGAGATGGTGGCTGGGTCGCAATGTATTAAGTGTCTGAGACAAGGCTTGTGCCCAGAGGCAGCCATGCGTGAGTGGTCAGTCCTGAGTGGTTTGGATTGAAATAGGACAGGGAAAGCAAAGCTCCGGGGCCTTTGTCCAATCTTCCCCCTCAGTAGCTAGGCTGCATGCCAAGCTCTGTGCCCAGCCCCCTACGGCACGTGCTGCCTCCTCGCCAGGGGCCCTGACAGTCTCAGAATGGTGCCCCCCAGGACACATGGGAGATTATAAGCCTCTTGCATTGAGGGAGGTTTTCTGTAAAGGGGAAAATGCTGTAATTGAAAAGCTCCTTGATTATAAAGAAGAAATAGAGACGCCTGGCATAGAAGAGACTTCGTTCTTTGGTCTGCTCAGCCAGGGTCGGGGACATTCAGTACCCCCAGGCTAATAGGCTCTTGAGCTCTTAAGGACCTTGGAGTCTGCAGGTCCAGACTCCAGAAGGTTATGGGACCATGAAGAGGTCACACAGCTGTACCCCTTGGCTTGCTGCATTTCTGCATCTCCAGTGCCTCCATCTGCCCCCTCCCTCCAGCTCAGGTGGGACACCTTTGTCTCCACTCAGCACTCTGGGATGTACCATCAGCAATGCCTGGCCAGAATTGAGGGTCTCTGTCTTAAAGCGTGGAGGAGAAAGGGGCCCTTTTGGAACAGGAGTTAGGGAAGCAAGAAGCATGAAGATTGTGCTCAGAATTGAATTCAGGGAGCAATGCATAAAAAAGCGAGAGGATGGGTAGAGAGATGGTGCTTAAAAGGATCCTGGAATCCATGTACTTCTGAGATCTGTGAGCCCCGCCCCTGCTGAAGATGAGCCAGCCCCACCCAGTACATGCTGCCCTTGAAGGTCTATAGGCATTCTGCTGGCATTTCCTAAGTAGGATGTATTTGACCAAGCATCTCCCAGGACCAGAGCCCTGCAGGACATACCTGTCTAGGGCAGTTGCTATGCCCCACAGTCCCTTCACCATCATCCCCAGAAGCGCCTCGGCCAGCCTCATTCAACTTCTTGCCTTTTTATTACAGTGTTTGAGCCAACTATATAGTCCTGGTGTATTCCTAGGCAGGAGATCAAAGGGCCCCCCGGGTTGGGTGGTCCATGAGTGAGCATGTGATACCGCAGGAGTCTTCCTCCTGCCCTGACAACTTGCCTTGTACTACCAGTGCTGCTCAGGATGTCTGCAGCCACGAAGCTTCATTATAAATGCAGGAGCTCAGGCTCCAGGCCCACTGAATCTGAATCTGAGTCTACAGACCGCTCCTGCACTCTTAGAAGTTTGAGAAACCCCCCTGGGCTGGGGTCTCTTTCCCATATACAGCTAGGGAAGCTTGCTGGAGGGAGGACTGAAAAGAACAAGTGCCTGATCTACCTTCCCCTCTGCCCTTTCACAGGTGGGTGGATGCGTGGGAAGAGGGTGGGGCATTTCCTGCTATTCCCCCTTATTCACCTTTTCTCCACGGGGATTAGAGTCTTGACCGGAAAACATGGCTCTGGTCCCCAGCCCCTATGGGACTGAAAACCCGGAGGCTTGCATGTCTCAGATCCTCCAGAGGCTGATGTAAGAGTTGCTGAAGACCTCGGATCTTTCCTTTTGTGAAATGCAGCCCATGTGGCCGGGAAAATAGTGGGAGCTGGAAGTAACAGTTGTGGTTTTAAGCACACAGTAGATGCTCAAGAAATATATTGAGTACATGTCTTGGACTTTCCCCTCCCTAAATATTATCTGTCAAGTGGGCCTATTGGACTTGTTGACCTTGGAGGGCCCTGTCGGCTTGACCCACCAATTCGAAATGGTTGAGAAAGAGGTCTGTCTTTGTACCTTTTGCAGCCTGTTTTCCCAGTTCTTAGAACATTGGGGTGAGATCCAGAGATTTCAGAGATCCCCCTGGAACACGAGTGTTCTGTGACGAGTTCATGACCTTGGAGCCACCAACCATACCCCTCACCCGTTGTCCCCAGTTCTGGCCTTGCCGACCCACTGCGTGTTTCTTTGCTTCATGTGGGCTGTTCCCCGGGGAGGGAGCTCAGTGGAGAACAGAAAGAGGTGTGGGTGAGGGCTCCCCCTTGGTGGGGAGTGGGGCACAGGAGCCTCAGGCTCTGTTGACCATCAAAGAAGGGACTCGAGTGGGCAGGCCGCTCACTTGCTGTGGACCTTGGGCAAGTCTCTAACTCTCCCTGGGCCTTGGAAGTCAGGCCGAGGTGATCTCTGCCGCCCCCTCCCTGCCTGGGTTTTCACTCTTGTTCTGATCCCACTCTCTTCCGGGTGCCTCCCTTCCACTTCTCCGTAGCCTGTGGCTCCCCTCCCCACACCCGCCCTGGGCCCGGGTTAGGCTGGGGCGGGGGCGAGCTGCCCAGTCCAGAGACAAAGTCCAAGAGCCGCGAATGGGCTGGCGAGGGTCAACCGCGTGGCCTCTGCCAGGAAGCGCGCCGAGCGCCCGGGTGAGGAGGGCGTCAGCCAGGGCACAGCAGCTTTCTCGCCCAGCGAAGCCTGTGCGCCTTCCTCCCGCGCCTGCAGACAAGCGGAGCCCATGGGGGCCGTGGGCCCCACCTATCCCGACGTCTCCACTTGATCCAGAAGTTGTCCCAGTCCCCTTGGAGCATGAGCTGTTGCCTGGACAGCTGGGCTGTCGCCCAGGTTCTGCCACTGTCTAGCTGTGTAACCTTGAGCCAGTCCCTGCCCCTCTCTGGTCCTCAGTTTCCCCACCTGTAAAATGGGGGCACCGAGAACCCTCCTCCAGGACCTGCGGCGGGGCGGGGCGGCAGGGCGGGGGCCTCCCCGCCGCTCCCGCGCCCGCGGCTTGGGCTCCGCAGTGAGTGGGGAGCGGCGCCGGGGAAGGAGCGCTCCGCGGTCATGTGACGTCCCCCTCCCCGAACTGCGGCGGCGGCGAGCGCCGGCCGCATCTGAGCAGAGCTGCAGCGGCGGCCGCGGGCACCAGAGTGCCGAGCCCAGGACGCCCCCGGCCCAGGCCCTTGGGTGAGTGCGCCCCGCCAGGGCTGCGGCCCTGGAAAGGGGAAGGGGACAGAGGTGTCCAGACTCCCGTCGGCTCGCAGCGAAGACCCCGCGCGGGCGGGCGGGGACGGAGGGTGGGGGCGAACGCGTGGGGGACCCGGGTCTCCAGGGGCGAGGGGTGGGCGCAGCTGGGCTCGCGCAGCCCGGTCTTGACAGCAGCTGGAGAAGTGGGGGGAGGCCTGGACTGAGCCGGCTGAACCCCCAGCCTGTTGGACTTGGTCCAGGCCGCGGCCAGGGGGCTTTGGTCCCACCCCCCTGGGTGGGTGGGGAGTCCAGTTTTCCGCCCACCTCGAGGTGGGGGCGCCTGGGGTTTAGAGGAGGGACTGTGGGAAGTGGGCGCGTTTCCTCCATCCCTGGGGAGGGGCCCAAGCCCTAGCGCCCCCCAGAGGGTGGCGCTCCTGTCCTCAGAGGAGGGAAGTGGGGGCCTCAGATCAAGGACCCTGAGCGGGGAGGGCGGTGATGTCCTTGCATCCCCAGAGACAGGACGCATTCCCCTGTCCCTGACCCCCGCGGCAGAGCGGGGCACACGCGTCACGAAGTTGGGCGCCCCCTCGTCGCCTCCCCTGGCTCGGCAGGATCTGAGGACTCGGTGGGAATTCACGGGGCGGTTTCCGTGCCCTGCAGGGTTTGGTGCCAGCTGCGGGGCGCCTGGGCTTGGGGAAGAAACCTTGTGTACGCACACCTGCACACACACACAGTCTCCGGAGGTGAGCGGCCCCCTCCCTACCATAACAGACCCCAGCCTGTGCATGCCCTCGGAGTCCTTGTTGGGGTCATAGCACAGGCCCGGTGGTGGGGTCAGGAAGAACATCCACTGTTCTCAGGGCTCATTGGCCTCTGTCCCCGGGCTCCATTCCCCTCCCTGCCAAGTCAGAGGTCAGGCCCCTGGGGCGGCAGGCAGGAAGGACACTGAGGGAAGGGGCACTGAGGCAGGAGGGGCACTGAGGGAAGCTGGCCAGGTGGAAGTAGGAGAGAAAGGCAATGGGGGTGAGATGGTACCACTTCCTCCCCATATGAGGCTCTCAGGAGGCTCCTGGCCCCCCCTGCACAGGTAGTGGTCCCTCCTTCCTGAGGGTGTTTGGGGGAAAACGCTATGGTTGGGGCACTGGGGAAGGTTGCCTCGCAGATGAAACAGAACATTGGCCAAAGGTGTCCCTGAATGGGCTTCTGGACTGGCACAGGGCCCTGAGGGCTGTGGCTGAGTGGGGAGGCAGTGATCAGGTCCAGCTGGCCATGGGGGCCCCCCATTCCCTTCTCCATGACCTCAGCCTCACTCTGAGAGCCCCCAGCAGCTGGAAGGTCTGGTAAGGGGTGCGTGTTCCTTGATGGCCTTGGGAAGGGTTCCAGGGTAATGATTAATCCTCAGGTGGCACGAGCAATTTCCCCCTTCACAGCAATATTTCAGGGCAGGCGCTGAAGCCTCCATTGCACAGGTGAGGAAACTGAGGCTCGGAGAGGCTAAATGAACTGCCTGAGGTCACCTAGTCACCTTCAGCAAGGTCTAGAATCGTGGTACTCTGACTCTTGATGGGAGAAGATCTCCACAGCGGTGGAGAGGAGGAAGGGTGAACGCCGTGGTGGAGTGGTCCATGTGGACCTGCTCCCCTTTGCTGCCAGGAGGTGAGGGTGCCTGTGGCTGGAAGCTGGGTCAGGTTGAGGAGAGGGTCCAGAGTCCTAGGCTTGCCTTGCCACCCCTTCCCATGGAGGGAGGGTTGTCCCGTGGAGCACCATAATGGTGCTTTCACCCTGGGACCTTCCCAGCTTGCTTGGGCAAAGCCCTCTCCTCTTCTCTTCTTCCCAAGGTGCCTGCCTGGCAGGGGTCTCAGGAGGCCCCTCTCCTGGCTCTAACTACCTTCCACCCTTAGGAGACAAGAAGGATTCTTCCTTTGGCCTCTTGGAGGGCAGCAGGGAGAGAGGTCTCTGCCACTTAGGCCTCAGGCTCCCACAGCAGGGCCTCCACCTCCCTCTCACCTGGCCCTGCCCCTGCCCTGCTGTCAAATTCTGGGGCCAAGAGGCCCTTTGAGGACTCCTCGGGCAGATCTGTCCTCCATGCTGCCATCTGTCTACGGAGGCCTTTGTCCTGGCTGTCAGAGGCTGCTGAGCAGCCGCATGTGCTGTGCAAACAACCGAGACCTGAGCACGGCCAGACACAAACGCAAATACAGTTAGACTGACAGATACCCTGAGACCCAGACACAGGAACACACGGGCACACCCAGGCCAAGACCCCTGCCCCCGACTCTGCCTGACACACAAGCACTGAGAGTCACACCATCCAGATGCTGGCACGTGTGTACACACAGAGAGACGGAGGTTGTCAGCAAGGAGAAGAGCCTTTTCAGAAGCCCTCGTCTTCTGTCGTCTGCCTCCATTATCTCCTCCAGGGTGCACACATGGTACACGCGCATGCAGGAAGAACACGAGGATGCCCTACGCCCTTAAAAATGAACCTGGCAGACACGCACATGCACCCACCCACACCCAGGCCATCATGGGTGCACACACGCATGAATTACATCAGCTTCCTGCGTGTGGGATGTTAATGCTTCATCACCCGGGGAGGGGAGTGGAGGCCCCCGACCGTCCCCAGCAAAGCCTCCCCTTCCTCCCTCTTTTCTGATTCATGTGGACCCAGCTTGACTGGCCCCAAGAATCCTGGGAAACTGCCTGGTGCTTCCCACTCAGTGGACCCTCCTCTCCTGCCTCCCCTCTGTGTACATACCCAGCGGGTTGCCACGGGAGCCTCTCCCCAGGCTGCTCCTTTGCTGTCTCTGAAGGTGTTGTTCTGCAGGTCCTTCCCAAGACAGGACAGGACCCAGTGCAGGCTCCAAGCGGCTCTGGGGTTCCCTTTCCTTTCCACTTTTGCTAGAGGCATTACCAGGCCCCAGTTTCTGCTTTGTCCTCCCAGCAAGGCTGGGGGCCAGCTGGTGTGAAGGGAAGGGAGCCCTCAGCACTCTCTGCTCACCTCCTTGCATGCCAGGACCTCTGCCAGGCTGGCCCTGGCACCCTGTGCCTCTGAGAGACTGGCGCTGTGGAGAGGTGCTTCTGTGGGCTTAGGTGAGGCCTCCAGGGCAGACATGCTAGATGGGGAGGGGCTCCCAGCTCCACCATGCTCCCTCGGCACTCACACCAAGCCTGCCAGAGTGCTGATTCCCTGTCCAAGCCTGGCCCTGCCTCTTGCTGGCTGTGTGGCCCGGACAAGTCATTTTCCCTCTCTGGGCCCAGCTCCAGCTCTGGGAGGCAGCTCAGCCTGGCTGGGGGATGAGGAAAGTCAGAGGTGTGAGGTGGCAGCCCTGTGCCAATAAGGAAAGGAAGTTGGGCTCTGGTGGCAGTGTGGGCCCATGGGGCCCCAGGCTGATGACTTCCTGCAGAGTGCAGCCTCTGGATCCACACTAGGGCCAAGCAGGGGTCGCCAGTCTCAGGGCTTCTTGGGGCGGCCACCCTGGGGTCAGCCCAGGAGGAGGGTACCCAAGGGCAGTGGGCTGCAGCTATGTTGCTCACATTTGTGGACATTTTATGCCTCAAAATGTGCTCTATATTTAGGGCTAAAGACCAGCACTGTCAGGCAGGTGGTGACTCAGAGAGGAAGAAGGGAAAAGAGGCAGAGGAGTGCTGGTGGGGAGACACCCCAAAACAGAAAGGTCCCACTGGGATTCCAGCCTTTCCTACTGCAAGAAAGGAAGCAAAACATGATACTCCTGCTTTGCACCAGCACAATGGGAGCAGCCTCGTGTGCCTACTCACTAAGCATTTAATGAGCATGTAGTGGATCCCAGGGACTGTGACAGGCACTGGGGCACAGAGATGAGCTGGGTCCTGTGGTCCCTGCCACAGCCCGGTGCTTTGTGTCAGATGAGGAGGTGAGGCTCAAAGAGAGAAAGTGACTTGCCCACTCTACAGGTTAATACCTCTGCCAACCGAGGCCACCCTCCCTCGGACCCCCATTCGGAGGAAGCAGACCCAAGTTCGAATTCTGACATTGCCACTGAGCAGCCGTACAACTTTTGGTGAGTTCCTCTCTCCCTCTGAGTCTGTTTCTTGATCTAGGAAGTGGGAATCATAGCACTTGCCTGATGAGTATGTTTCAAGGGATAAGAAGGTGAATGCAAGCAAACACTGAGGGCAGTGCCCAGCTTATCCTAGGCATTCTGCTGGGTCTAAAAGGACATAGATTGGGAGTCCTCAGAATGCCAAATCCAGTCTCTGCTGTGTGACTTTGGAAAAATCACCTGCCTTCTCTGTGCCTCATTTCTTTCTCCCTAGAACGGGGATGACGAGCTTTTATTTGCCTGCCTCCCTGGGGATGTTGTTTGCGAGGCCAGACATACTGGCTGGGAACTGCTTTGAAAAATATAAAGCTGCACTCAGAGAAACACAGAGAGACACACTGAAGGAAAAGCAAACACAAATCTGGAGAAAAATCTTTTCTAAAAACATCCAATACTTCTCTACAGCCAGAAAAAAAAAATAATAAGCCTTTTCTTCAGTGTTTTGAGAGTAGTGAGAATTTTTTCCGTAACTTCGCATTTCCAAAGTAGTTGGCATGGCTATCACCAGGTGAGCTGGGTAAGTTTCCTCCTTGAGGAGTCCTTGCCTGGCACATATTAGGTGTTCAGTAAGTGATAATGTTAGTAGTAGAATTACCAGTTGCACAGCAAGAGGAGAAGTGGAGGCGCTCCTGGAGGCGAGACCAGCTACGGCGTGGGCAAGGGCTGGGGGTGGCAATGTGGACACTGGGTTGGATTCATGGAAGGTGGGGGTAGGGACAAATCGGGGTCAGTCTATTAAGGGCCTTGAATGGCAGGCCGAGGAGTCTGCATTTCCCCAAAATCAATGCAGGATACACGGGAGGGGCAGGCTGAGCCCACTAGCCTGGAATGAGGAACCACCTGGCGTAGTTCTCTGCCCTGCCACTGCTGTGTAAGGATGGCCCCCTCGCCTGTTTCCCTGGGCCTCATTTTCTCCCAGTGTGCAAAGGAGAGGATTCCAGCCTCTTCCATCCCAGGGGCAGGCAAGAGGATCAAGGCACCAAGCCACCCGGGAACTAGGTTGCTATGAGAGCTGGAGAGCCGGGGGCTGTCATTGGTTCAGGAAGTCAGGAACCTTGTGTTCCGCTTCTGGCCCCACCCCACTAGCTGGGTGAGCTCAGGCAAGCCGCCCGGCCTCTTTGAGCCTCCCTTTCCATCTGTGGAATGGGAGGATGTAGTTTCTGTCTTTGCAGTACAGCTCCCATGAGTTGAAGCTGGTGACTGTGTTGTGTGAGCCTCAAGTGTGTTGTTGTATCTCTGGGGGAATTGCAGTATTTCTTGAAACTACAGTACCTGTTCCTCAGACTCCCCTGAGACGGTGGATCTGCTGGCAAGGCTGGGGTTTGGGGGCAGTGGGTGAGGATCAGATGCCTGAGCCACCTCAGAGGCTGTGACCTTCTCAAGGCCACGGGAGCCATGTGTCTGCCGCAGCCAGGCTGTGGGGGCAGCAGAGGGAAGGTGGAGGTGGGGCAGATGGGTCCAGCCCTCTGCTTGGCTCCTGAACTCTGGGCCCCAGTTCTGCGAGGGAAAGCCACCCCAGTACCCTGCTCAGAGGACAGCCCTCTCCAAGGCCTCACTCCTTGATTCAGGGCTCGAGGGGTAGGGTGGAGGTGGCTGATGGAGGGTGACCTTGGGAACTTCTTCCTGCCTGCAAGCTCGGTGCCAGAACTGCCAGGGCAGCCCTGATTCTTCTTGCTCAAAAGTTGGCAGCGTCAGGGACCCTCGAGAGGCTGCCAGGACAAGGCCTGAGCTGATGTCACCATCACCAGCCTCTTGCGTCTTCCCCTGTGTTGGAGGTCCAGAGAGAGGCCATCCACCCGCTGGCAGACTGCTGTAGGCACTGTGCCCACCCGGGCAGCAGGCTCAGGATGCCATGGGACTGAAGACTCTAGCCTTGCCTCATTCACCACTTGCCTTTCACTTGAGGTGTGGGAGCTCTGCCAGGGATAGAGGGTTGCCCTTACAGCCCCTCTCCCAGGGCTCCCTGCCTCTAGAAACAGGACTGGGCAGAGCCGCTGGGACAAAGACCTCACCTGTCCGAGTCCCCAAAGCCCACAGCCCTCCCTGGCTGGAGAGGTGTGGGCTCTGTAGTCCTCCGAAGGGCAGAGAAGCCTGGGTCCTGCACAAACTCTACAATGCTGGGCCCACCCAATGGCAGTCAGGGTGGGAAGTGGGCAGCTAGCTCAGGAATTCTAGGAAGATTCTGGATGGGGGGAGGCATGATGGGGCCTGAGCAATTGGATGCAGGTGGGGGCATTCATTGAGCACTTGCAGTGTGCTGGGCCCTATGTAAGCACTTTTCATGGATCTATCTCATTTAATCCTCTTAGCAACCCTCAAGGGCTCAGAGAGGTTAAATAGCCTGCCCCAGGTCACCCAGCTGGTGAGTGGCTGGGGCTGAGATTTGAATTGAGGGTTGTGTGACTCTACTTTTAGCCATTTCTGTGTACTGCATGCAGAATGAGAAGGGGTTGGGGAGGGCGCCATACAGAATCTGTGCTCTGGGTAATGGGAGCAATTCTGGGCAGGGGCAGGAGCAGGGGTGGGGCTGAGACTTGGAGGCTCACACCTGCAGGACGTGGCCCTGAAGCTTCCAGGCCCTAAAGCTTCCAGCTCCCCCTCCCCATGGCCTATCCCTGGGGCCCAGTGCCCCAGGCTGGCTTGGGGGAAAAGGATGAATGGGGACAACTTTTCAGGGGTTCCTGTGGACACACAGTCCCACAGACCCTGACTTCTCCTGGCCCCCTACGTCTGTGTAAATTCCCAGCTTGGAAACCCAAGAAATCCCCAGCTTCAGAGCTGGGAAGGAGCCCACAGAGATCAGCTGGTCCAACCCCCTCGTTTTACAGATAGTAATTATCATGATTATGCCTGATGGGAGCAATTCACAAAGGACTTTCACATCTGGGTTGCTGCTGAGTGTGCCGGAGCCCTTGGGGCCAGCAAGATTCATCCACATTTTGTGGGTGAGGAAACTGAGGTTCATAGAGGCAAGGAGATGGACCTAGGGGCACACAGTTGACCTTGGTACAGGTCTCTTCCTTCTGAGACCCAGCACCTGTGTGACGTGGCTCTGGGGCTGCACCCTGCATTGGAGTGGGGCTGGTCCTGAGAGGTCTGTATGGGGCCAGGGCAAGTATCAGATGAGGTTCTGAGATTCCCAGTGATGCCTGCCTCCTCCCTGTCACGGGAACACCACGCCCTTCAGTGGCGTGGTCTGGAAGAGACAGACTGGTGGGCAGAGCTGTTTCCAAGAGACTTCTCTGCCCACCATGCACATGGGGGCTATGCTGCCCCAGAAAATCAGATTGAGAAGGGCCCTTGGAGGGGCCTCATTATTCAGAGAAGAAAACTGGGGAGCTGCCCACAGTCACATTGTGAGCCATTGGTGGCACTAGGCTTAGAACACAGATTTCCTGGCTCAGCTCACAGCTGTCCTTGCACGTGTCCAGTAATAGTACTAAAGACAGTCTCCATTTATTGTGTGCCTACTATGTGCCAGGGGTGAGCAGTTTACACTGAATCCTAAGAACAATCCTATGCGGTAAGTACTTTTATTATCATTGCCATCCTCTTTTACAGATGAAGAAGCTGAGGCTTTGAGAGGTTATGAAAATGGACCAAAGTCACAAGCCAGGAAGTGGCAGAGCAGGAATTTAAGCACAGGTCCATGTGATTCCAAACCCATACTGATGCCAGGCCTTATGTATATTATGATAGGACTAAAGTTGACTTTCTGTTTCTTTATGTTCATAGTCAACGTAGGCCATCATTCATTCATTGAACATTTATGGAGTGCTCACTAAAACAAGGAGACTATAGAGCTGATCAGGGTTGAGGGTCAGAGATTAGGTCATGAGGCAGGGAGTCTCAGACACTGCTAAGCTCTCTGCCTCCACCAAGAATGGCTGCGTCTCCCTCCTTTTTTTTTTTTTTTGGAGACAGAGTCTTGCTCTGTTGCCCAGACTGGAGTGCAGTGGTGCGATCTCAGCTCAGTGCAACCTCGGCCTCCTGGATTCAAGCGATTCTTGTGCCTCAGCCTGCTGAGTAGCCAGGACTACAGGCATGCACCACTACGCCCAGCTAATTTTTGTATTTTTACTAGAGATGGGGTTTTGCCATATTGGCCAGGCTGTTCTCGAACTCCTGACCTCAGGCGATCCACCTGCCTCAGTCTCTCAAAGTGCTGGGATTATTACAAGCATGAGCCACCGCGCCCCAGCCATCTCCCTCCTCCTCCTGTCCCCAGCTCAGCCCAACTACATTTGCAGCCTCTTCCTCTGCTTCTCCTGCCCACCTGATTTACCCCTGGGGTAAATGAAGGCATGACTCAGCTAGGGCTCCTGGGCTTTGTGTATCCCAAAGAAGACCCTACTGGCAACAGTGTTAACAGCCACCACCGTGCAAGCCGTTCGTGAGCACAAGGCACCATGCTAAGGTGTCTGTGTGCATCACCTTGTTTAACACGCCATCACTCTGTGAGCTAAGAGCTAGTATCATCTCCATTTTCCAGATTGGAAACTAAGGCTGACGGTCACAGCTCAAGACTGAGTCGGGGCTGGGTGCAGTGGCTCTTGCCTGTAATCCTGGCACTTTGGGAGGCTGAGGCGGGAGGACCACTTGAGGTTGGGAGTTGAAGACCAGCCTGGCCAAAATGGTGAAACCCCATCTCTACTAAAAATACAAAAATCAGCCGGGCATGGTGGCGGGTGCCTGTAGTCCCGGCTACTCAGGAGGCTGAAGCGAGAGAATCGCTTGAACCCTGGAGGCAGAGGTTGCAGTGAGCCAAGATCGTGCCATTGCACTCCAGCCTGGGTGACAGAGCGAGACTGTCTCAATAAATATATATAGCTGAGTTGGAACCCACTCTGTCCAGCCCTCTTGAGCCTGTGCCCTTCCTCACTGGCTCACACTGCCCTGCTCTGTATCCAGGCTGTGTAGTTATGCATTTAGAGCCCTGGTTCCTGGAAGGCAGGGCTTCAGCCAAGCAACGGGTTATTAAGCACCTACTGTGTGTCTTGGGGAGGTGCTTTGTGAGGCTAAAGCTTGTGAGGATGGGGAGATTGGGTTCCTCTGTGAGAGATCTTGAGGCTCCATGCCCGCATCCTATCCCAGAAGGCATTCAAGCCCGAGGATACCAGGACAGAGCAGCCAGGGCAGGGCAGTGTGTACTGTTGGAAGGACTTTTTCCCTGGCAGGAGCGTCCCTCACAGTGACTCAGAGCAGTGTGAAGACCTCAGAGAGGTTTTGTAGCCATATCTGCATCCACTGATCCTTAGGCAAGCCACTCAGCCTCTGGGACCTTGGCTTCCTGATCTGTGAAATGGGGAAGATGATTGTACCTAATTTACAGGGTGGGTTTAAGGACTGGATGAAAGCACTTGGCACAGGGCCTCGGGAACTAGAAGGGGCTGTGCCACTGAGCTGCAGCGCACGGGTGATAGGGACTGAGGTCCCGAAGAGCTCGGAAGAGCTGGATCTGCTCTGTTTGCACACCTCAATTTCCCCCGTCAGCCATGGCAGACATGTAACTCTTGCAGGATCAGCCTCACGGGGCTGTTGTCAGGATCACAGAGATCCCGGAACGCGTAGGTGCGGCCCCGTGATCTGCGCACCGAGAGAACGGGTCCCGCGGGAGGGGGCGGCGAGAGCACAGTGGGCGGGCGCAGGTGCGCCCTTGTGAGCTGGGAGACGTGCGGCGGCGCCTGGCGCCGGGGAGAGGGCGAGGACGGGCGCTGGGGCCGCCTCCATGTAAGGGAGGGGTGAGGAAGTGCGGGGGGTGGCGAGCGCGCGGCCGGTGACTGGGGGCGCTGTCCCGGCGGCTCCGGGTCCCCACCCTTCTCTGAGATGCTCCCGGGGCGCTGTCCCTGGTCCTGGAGCCCGGGCGGCCGTCGCCTGCAGTTCTTATGACGGCCAATTGGTGGCGCCCGAGACCGCGGCGGACTCCCGGACCCATTAGAGAACACGTTTTAAAAAGCGTTCTTCGGCCGGGCACTGTGGTTCACGCCTGTTATCCCAACACTTTGGGAGGCTAAGGCGGGCGCATCACCTGAGGTCGGGAGTTCGAGGCCAGCCTGACCAACATGGAAAAACCCCGACTCTACTAAAAATACAAAAATTAGCTGGGCCTGATGGTGCATGCCTGTAATCCCAGCTACTGAGGTGGAGGTTGCGGTGAGCCGAGATCGCGCCATTGCACTCCAGCCTGGGCGACAAGGGCAAAACTCCGTCTCAAAAAAAAAAAAAAAGCGTTCTTCATTTTCCTGTCATGATATTCCTAGGAAATAAGCCTGCCTACACACCTGACTTCAAAAACCAACTATATACTGGCATAAGAGATGAAAAAGGCCCTCCACCTCCCTACATGAATGCTGTGGCATGACCACACCACAAGAGCCAAAGAAGTAACCAGCCTTGGGCACCTATTTATTAAAAATATACCCTTAGATTTAAAAAAATTAAAATTATCGTAATAGAGATGGAGTCTTGCTTTGTTACCAGGCCGGTCTCGAACTTCTGGGCTTAAGCAGTCCTCTCACCTCAGCCTCTCAAGGTGCTGGGATTACAGGTGTGAACCACCTTGCCCAGCCTACCCTTAGATTTTTTGTTTTTGTTTTTGTTTTTTGAGACAGAGTCTCAAAAACTCCAGGCTAGAGTGTAGTGCTGTGATCTTAGCTCACTGCAACCTCCGCCTCCTGGGTTCATGCAATTCTCCTGTCTCAGCCTCCTGAGTAGCTGAGACTACAGGCGCATGCCACCACACCTGGCTAATTTTTGTATTTTTAGTAGAGACAAGGTTTCACCATATTGGTCAGGCTGGTCTCGAACTCCTGGCCTCAGGTGATCTACCCGCCTCAGCCTCCCAAAGTGCTGGGATTACAGATGTGAGCCACTGAGCCCGGCCTACCCTTAGATTTAAGAGCAGAAAGTCATGTCGCTGTACCTGACCTCTAGTTCAGAATGACTTCAGTAGCTGCACCTTTGAAAAATGTATTATGGATTAAAGCCACACCAAAAAATATTCATTTGTAAACCAGAGTTAGGTTCTAGGATGGGTTACCCGGGCTTTTTACCCACTTGAATATCTAGGAGGATATCTGATGAACAACAAATCTCCTGAAGTGGGACTCTCACCAGCGTAGCTTTCCTGTCCCCCACCCACTGAATGACAGTGGCGACCCCGTCATTTCTGAGGACTGAAACCACCCTGGCGCCCTCTGGGGGGCAGAGCCACCCTTGTTGAGAGCCACTGCCTCAATGAGGGCCTTGTCGGGGTGGAGAGGGGCTCTCAGAGTCCCAGACTGGTTGGCCTCCTGGGAGGGTGGTATCATAAGGAACTGTTGGGAAACTCTCTCCCCCCATTATAGATGAACCAGCAGAGGCCAGAAGTGGGAAGGCACTTGTGATGAGAAATGGTGGGTTGCCAGCAGAGCTGGGGCCACAGGCAGGTCTCCCCAGGTCAGGACTCCGCCAGCCCAGCTTCCTGAGGGGAGCTCTGGGCCTCAAGCAGTCTCCCAGCTTTGTCCAACTGCCCCGAAAATGGGCTGGGAGGGCCACGCCCATAGCAGTGGAGGTAGGAGATGGGGGCTGGCCGGCTAGACACCAGCCTGTAATACATGAGAGGTGTCTTGGCCTCCACTCTGCAATCCTGGAGATGCAGCAATTGCACTCTTCTCTGACCCCCAAAGAGCCATTCTGTCTCCTACCTTTATTTCTTCCCAGTAGTTAGCTGGATGCTCCATGCGTGTTTGTGAGGTGTGTACACATCTGTCTGTGTATATTGTATGAACATAAATAATGTGATTTGAGTAAGGATGTGTGGGCCTGAGATTCCTGTGCCTGTATGTGCTGTCATCAGTGTGTATTTACATGCATGTACTAACGCAGCCGGAGTCAGTAGGTGCATGTGCACTGATGGGGGACCTAAGGGTGGGAGCTGGAGTTGACCTTTGCATGTGCACGTACTTGTGGGTTTGCAGCATGGGGGCTGATGTTCATGTGAGCCTGTCTGCATGCATTTGATCTTGATGTGATCTCTACAGGCATGAGTTAGATGACTCTTTGCATGTGCGTGGCACGGTACTAGGCCAAGTGCATGTGTGACCTGGGAAAGTTTGTGTGCAGTTGTGCACACAGGTCTACCAGAGACCTTGTCTGTCTTGTTCAGACTCTATCGCCAGTGTCTGAATAGTGTCAGCCACACAGTGGGTGCTCAATACAGTGTCAGCCACACAGTGGGTGCTCAATACTGAATGAATGGGGGAAGGAATGAAAGACCGTACACCTGGGTGCTGCCTCCAGAAGGGCTTTGCTTCCAGGGCCTTTCAAGCCACATGATCTGCATGGAGATGAGAAACACATCCTCAGGGGTAGGGCCTGAGTGGGGGCAGGTATTCTGGCCAGGCCAGATTTTCCTGGTCCCTGATGGGGTCCCTTTAAGTAGGCAGGGGTTTCAGAAACCCATTGAATAGAGCAGGAGTCTCAGAGCCAGGGCAGAGGCTGGCTCAGTAACCTCACTGGCCAGCTGCCTAGGGAAGGGCTGTGAGCCAAGTCACACCCACTCTTCCCTCCCTTCCCAGGGGCTGGGGAACCCCCAGGAGACTCTTTTTCCAGAAGCTTCCTGGGATTGGGTTGGTGTGGCTTGGCTAGAAAGGCCACAGGCAAAGTAAGGATAATGATACTTTCAGAGCTAGCAGAATTCTCTCAAGGCAAATGTATCTTTCCGTTGTTAGGTCTTTTTTTTTTTTTTTTTTTTTTTTTTTTTTTTTTTTTAGATGGAGTCTTGCTATGTCACCCAGGCTGCAGTGCAGTGGTGTGATCTTTGGTCACTGCAACTTCTGCCTCCTGGGTTCAAGCGATTCTCCTGCCTCAGCCTCCTGAGTAGCTGGGTGCCACCACGCCCAGCTAATTTTTGTATTTTTAATAGAGACGGGGTTTCACCATGTTGATCAGGCTGATCTCGAACTCCTGACCTCATGATTCACCTGCCTCAGCCTCCCAAAATGCTGGGATCACAGGCGTGAGCCACCGCGCCCAGCCCACTGTTAGGTCTTTAACCCAGCAAAGTGAGAATAGGGGTTTAACATATGAGCAAACTGAGGCCCAGCGAGGAAAACTGATTAATGCAAAGCCACACAAGAGGCTGCCTGGGCCAGGGCAGGAAGCCCAGACGCCTCCTCTCCTGCCCAAGAGGCCTGGGGCAGATATCCTGAATGAGTATGACTCGGGGAGGGGAGGAGGCTATTGGAGGCCCTGGCAAGTGTTGGCTCCACCAGCCCCACCTAGAGCCCAGACCTGAGATCTTCCCAGGGTTTGCTCCTCCCTCTCCCCTTCCATCTCCCTGGAAAGGGGGAGCTGGAGGTAGGTAGGTGGAACACCCAGAGTTCAACAAGAGGTGAACTTGGAAAGGCAGCTCTGCAACCCTCCACCCGGTGCTCTTCTCTCTTCCTCTACAGTCTGGCAGCTGTTTGAACAACTTGGGTACAAATCTAGGAGGCCCAAAGGGGAGGCTTCCTCTCAGAGGGAGGGCCTGGACCCTGGAAAGCAGCCTGGCACTGTTTTCTAGGTAAGAGGCTGGAGGCCAAGGAAGAAGGGGGCTCAAACTCCTTCAACGATGGCAGTGACTTCCCAGTGCCAGTCAGCAAGCACCCCGTGCTGACTGCGGAGCAGTGATGTCCCTGTCACAGTGGGCCAGTGAGGCCAGTGTCATGGGATGTTACTAATGTGTTTGACATCACACAGCTAGGAAGCATCAGAGCCTGGTCCAGCCCTGGTCCCTGTCACACTGCCTCTGTGTGTGTGTGTCAGTCCTGGAGGCTGTTCCACATGCCCACACACAGATCTTCCCCAGTCTGTCCCATAGCTGCATGGCACCGCATAGCATACATGGACCATAATTTATCAAATTTCCTCTGGGTGGCCATTTAGTTTTAGAATTCTTACTAATAAATCTTTGCTAGCCCTACAAAAATGGCAACTTCATATAGTTTAGCCTAATAAAAATGATGCTGCTACAACAATTTTTTTTCTTTTCTTCTTTTTTTTTTTTTTCAGACAGAGTCTTGCTTTGTCACCCAGGGTGGAATGCAGTGGCCTGATGTTGGCTCACTGCAACCTCCACCTCCTGGGTTCAAGCAATTCTCCTGTCTCAGCCTCCCAAGTAGCTGGGACTACAGGTGCCAACCACCATGCCCGGCTGATTTTTGTGTTTTAGTAGAGATGGGGCTTCACCATGTTGGCCAGGCTGGTCTTGAACTCCTGACTTCAAGTGATCTACCCGACTTGGCCTCCCAGAGTGCTGGGATTACAGGTGTGAGCCACCGTGCCTAGCCTTTCTTTTTCTTTTTTCTTTTCTTTTTAAGACAGGGTCTTGCTCTGTCACCCAGGCTGGAGTGCAGTGGTGCAGTCAGGGCTCACTGCAGCCTCAACCTCCCAGGCTTGAGCAATCCTCCCACCTCAGCCTCTCAAATCACTGGGACTACATATGTGCACCATCACACCTGGCTAATTTTTAGAGTTTTTGTAGAGACAGGTCTCACTATGTTGCCTAAGCTGTTCTCCAACTCCTACTCTCAAGTGATCCTCCCTATTCGGCCTCCCAAAGTGCTGGGATTACAGATGTGAGCCACCGTGCTCAGTCAGCAAATGTTTTACTTAACAAACACATGTTAAGTGACAAATACTCTACTCTTCTCAGTGCTTTATCATTAGTAACTTATGTAATCCTTGGCAAAACCCTTTGAAGTAGATACGGTTATTTTCATCATAAATCCCATCTTGCAGATGAAAAAACTGAGGCTCAGAAAGCTTAAGTAACTTGACCAAGGTCGCACAGGTGACAAGCGGGAGAGCTGAGATTTTAGCCTTCAACGGTGAGGATATAAGCACATGCCTCAATGTCCATTGTCCTTGCCATTCATCTACAGGCTCACATGCTATGATGCAGAAGATAAATTCTTGGAAGTGGTCTTGCAGGTTAACAGGATGCATTTAAATTCAGCCGTCACCAAAGGACCAGGAGCTGGTCAGGGACTGTCCTGCTGCAACCCTGGCCAAGGGAACGTGACCCCCCACTAACCACCCCCACTCCCACCCCCACCCCCATCCCTTGCCAATGAGGCAGCTGCAGCTGGTCAGAGCAGAGAGGCTGGAGCCCACACTGGGCTCTTTGTCTTCGGTGGGAACCCTTCAGCCCCCATGGCCCCTCTCAAGGGCCCACTGTCCCAGTACCAGTGGGGCCTCCCGGGGGCCAGGCCTGGCTGGGAAACTTGCCACGTTGGCGGCCCCTTGGCTACTCTGCCAACTGGGCATGCAGAAACCACTCAGGAATCATTCCCACTGAAAAGACTGGCGAGGTATAGGTCCATGTCGAAGGGGATGCAGCAGCCCAGATGTGGCTGGAGTCCAGGCCCCAGCCCAAGCACTGTGCACATCCTCATAGCCCAGGCCTAGCTCTTCAGTCCTCTGCCCCAACCGCCTCCCACCTCTCTGAGAGGCCCTGCTGCTGCTGCTGCTACTACTTAGGAAGGAGGGAGGGAGGAAGGGAGGGAGGAAGGTTGTTGCTGCTACTACTTAGGAAGGAGGGAGGGAGGGAGGGAGGAAGGAAGGAAGGAAGGAAGGAAGGAAGGAAGGAAGGAAGGAAGGAAGTTCCTCCCTTCTCAGGCAAACTTCAGTGCTCTCAGGACCCACCCCTCAGGAGCCTGCCCTGGTGTGATTCCTCCCCCCAGGACTCTACAGCACTGCCCAGAGCAGAAGGGGCCCAGTCCAGGCTCCAGAGCACCTTGCAAGGGGAAGCCACACCCTCCTCTGAGGACTGAAAACCAAGGGACATAGTTCTAGGAATGAGGAAATAATGTTTGCCCTGTCCAGGCTCTGAACCCTGCAAGGGGCTCTTGAGGGCTCCTGCACCCACCAGAATGTGCAGAGAAGAGGTCCCAGGTGGGAGCCGAGAGGGGGCTGAGGGCAGATCCCCAAGAGAGAAGTAATTGGTGTGAGAGAGGATCTCAATTTCTTCGTGTCTAAAATGGGGAAACTGCAGCGCCACTTACCCTGCCTAGGTGAGACAAACCGTAGACCCTGGTACCCAGACTCGTCATTTCCCAGGGGATGCTGGAGCTCACCAAGCCCAGGCCCGGGTCCCAGGTGGAACAGCTCCGGAAAGGCGTCTGCAGAATCCCTGCTGCCCTGTCCTTGTGCCCTTGGTCATCCTTCCTCCCTCATCCCCGGCTGCATCTGTGCCCTGCAGTTTGTTTAAACAGAAAATCCCATAGCAAACCTTGAGACTGTGGGGGCCTCCTTGGGTGCAGGGCCTGGGGGAAGGATCTCTCCCTCTATGGGGGGAAGACTGGGTGTTGGGCTGGAGGGCAGTGTGCTCTGGGGTCAGGGCTAGTAACCCGGTGTCTGCTGACACAGCTCCACTTGGGTGGGGGAAACAGCTTACTCTGAGGAAGAGCGCTGGACTGTGAGCTCTGGGCGAGCTGGGTGCAGAAGAGCGACTTGGAGTGTTTAGTGAGCGAATGAGTACCTGCTGCAGAACTCAGAGCCCAGTTCCCTCTAAAGGTTGGGACCTGGACTGCATGACTTTTCAAGAGGGGAGTGGAGGGGGGCGTCTCCACTCCTCCCCTTTGCTCTTCCTCCTCACCAGGGCAAAGGGGAAGGGGACTCCTGGGAGAAGGGGAGACAGGTGGGCAAGGAGGGGCTATTGGAGGCTCTGTTCATTCACTCATTCGTTCGCGGGAAGGGTAGAACGCTGTCCCCCTGCGGAACTCTTGTACCCGGCATTTATTAAGCATCTGCTGTACGCCAGGGCCTGGGCCGAGCGCTTTACGTGCGTGAACTCATTTCGTCATCCCCAGGTCCTAGGAGGCCGGCGGGAGGAATCCCACTTTACAGATGAGAAAGTCGAGGGACAGGGAGGGGCGGGACATGCCCGCCGTGCAGACCCAGGCTTCTGGGAGGGAGCTCCCAGCTCGTGATGATGGGGACGGATCCGCCGAGGAGCGCGGCGGCTCGAGGGGGCGGGAGGAGGGCGTCCCTCCAACAGAGGGTCTGCGGCCTGGACGGGGGGCGGCGGCCGGGAAGGGGGTGGGGGAGGGGCTGCCCCGGGCCCCGGGCCCCGCAATCCCCGCCCGGCTGGGCCCGGCTCGGAAAGTCCCGCGAAGCCCCCGCCCGGCCGGCCCAGGGCGGCGCGAACAAGCGGCCCTTTCTGCGCCGGCGGCCCCCGGCAGCTGGACCGCGGCCCGCTGGGGCGCGGACGTATCCGAGCTGGGGCGGGGGCGGGGGCGGGGCGGCCGCGTTGCCAAGGTGACCCGGGCGCGGGAAGGCGGCTCCGGCTCGCGCGGGCCGGGCCGGGCGGCGGCGGCGGCACCATGAGCGGCCGGAAGCGCAGCTTCACCTTCGGGGCCTACGGCGGGTAGGGCGTGGCGCGGCGCGGGGCGGGGCGCGTGCGCGCGTGTGCGTGTGCACGCGTGGGGGGGAGCCCGTGCGGGGTGTGCTCGCGTTTGGGCGGGTGGGCCTGGGCTATGACTGCTGTGGGGGCTGAGCGTTTGACCTCAGTGCGCGCATGGCTGTCGTGCTGTGGCGCCTGTGTGTGTGTGTTTCTGTTTCTGTGTCTGTGTGTGTTCCCATTGCGTGTCCATGTGCATGTGTGGGGAGGTGAGTGCAGGGTGGACATTGCTGTGTTTGTGTCTAAGCACATGATAGTGGCGCTTATGCATGTGACTGGGGCTGCGGGGCTACTCCGCCTGTGTGTGCGCGCGTGTGTGTGCATGCGTGTGTGCGCAACTGCTCACATGTATAGGTATGTGGGAGTAGGGGCAGGCAGGTCAGGGGGAGGTTCTGCTGGACCTCCCACTTTGCCTCTGCAGCTGTTGGGCCCCTCAGTGACGCTCTGGATAAAGGGACTCTAGAAGCCCTTAGCAGGTCCTGCCCACCCTGGGCACCAGGCTGCCCTCCTTCCTGCATCCTGGCTCTCAGGAACCTCCTCCTCCCTGGGCCACTGGCTGCCTGGGCTTGGAGGCCTGGAGGAGGTCAGAGTGGCAGCAGGTTCATCTTGGGGTCAAGGGGTGCAGAGGTGGGATGGGGATTTATGCCTGTTGCGGAGATTTGGCAAATTGGAGGGACGATGGGTTAGACAGAGTGGGCTCAGAGCCCCTGCCCAGCCAGACAAGCGGCTCCATGACCTTCACCAGGCCCTACCTCCCAGTGGTCATAGGGACCCATGGGACCCACCTTGGGGTGTGGAGCGCTGGGGCTTGTGTGTGGGCATGGTCAGTGTTCTCTGAGCTATGGGGATTGTGTCCAAGCTGCCTTCCCCTTGTGGACGCTCAACTTCTGAGGTGACCCCAGCAGAGGGTGGGGTGGGGTGGGAGGCCAGAGGCTACCCTTCCATATGGGGTCTTGCTAGCTGTCAGGTGATGAGAGGAGCCTGGGCTAGGCCCTGAGCTTCCTGGCCAGCCAACACGGGCAGCTCACAGGCTGGGTCCTGTTCTATGACCTTGGGCAAGTCCTGGCTTCTCTGACCTCACTGTCTGCAGAGTCGGCCTTCCCCATCAGCTGTCCCTGGGAGCCCCCAGCCCTGCCCTGCGGAGGACGTCCTCTTGCTGGCAGAGTTGGGCTGGGCTCCCTCCTCATCCCCTTCTTACCTCTGGGCAGGAGGCGAGTTGTTTGTTGTCCCAACAGCTGCTCAGCCCCTGCCCCCAGCGGCACCAAGGTGCCCTCAGAGGGCAGTAGGAGAATCTGGGCGGGGCGGGAGTGCTACCCACACATGCGTCCTGGGGCTGGATCTGGGTGGATTTGGGGGAGACAAAGTCTGGGGTACCCCTGAAGTCTTAGGGAGCAGGGTACGTGTGTTGGGGTGAGGGTGGGGGGAAGCTCCTCCTAGATCTCCTCCCAGATTCGCAGACATTTGCTTCCTGGGTGGATATGAGTGAACAGCTTCAGGATTGAGGCAGGCTACGGGCCTTGGGGGTGATGTTCTTTCTGCCCACCATAAACCATAGATATCCAGCAAACTTCCATCCTGCCTAGAAAGGCTCTAAGCTAGCCCCAGCCGCACCCCTACATCCTTGCCATGATCCAAGCTGCTGTAGTCACTGTCCTACTCCACCTGTCCCCCCACCCCTGCTAACACCCCACAGCCCTGCCCCCTGCCCCACTGCCCCCAGTCCTGCCTCTTTTCCTGGCTCTTTAACCCCTATGCCTTCCCATGTCCCTAATCTGACAGTCAGGCGACTGCAGCCTAAGGGTGATAGTGACTGCATCAGGCATCCTTAGAAACAGGACCTTCTCCAGCCCCTCTGGGAGGGTGGTGCAGTGCAGGTGGGTGTGATATGCTGGGCCAAGCTGGTGAGAAGGGATGTCCCCTCACCTATGGCCCCTCTTGTTGTGTTTCAGGGTGGACAAGTCCTTCACTTCTCGCCGGAGTGTGTGGTGAGTACTGGGGACTCTCAGGAGGGCCTGGGTTTCCTTGGCTGGTCCCTGCAGATACCCCCAATCCATTCCTACCCCTGCGATGCCAGGCCAGACCTTACCAAGCTTCCAACCATCCTCTCAGGGCAAGGGGGTGGGCAGACCCTCTTACTGTCCCCAGAGTACTTTTTTAGAGAGCCTTGGAGGCAGGCAAAGCAGGTTTACATCTTCACTCTGCCACTGCCTGTGTGAACTTCAGCAATTCCTTAATGTCTCTGAACCTCAATTTTCTCATCTGTGAAATGGGGATTAAAATGCCTATTCATAGGGTGTAAGGTAAAAAGAACAAAACCAAAAACTGGCCCTGGCATATTTTAGGCCCTTTTTGCTTAAATGCTTCCTTCCTTTTTTTTCTTCTCTATTTCTTCCCACCTCAGGGTGGCCCCTCGCTGGGCTGGGGCTCCCTTAGCCTTTACTGACCCCCAAATCCTCTAGTTACTCCCCCCGACAGCCCTCAGAACCCCTTCCTCCCATATTTCCTGTGTCTGGGGCTGCCCTCTCTTTGGAGGAGGAGGGAACGAGGCAACTGTATGTGCAGCTTCTCAACACCAAGAGGCAATGGGTGGAGGTGCAGCCTCACCTCGGGATACATCGTGGCACCCTGATGCCCCAGCAGGCAGGTGCCTCCGGGCTTCCCTGGCATCAGCATCACGTGGGCCTGGCTGGCTGCTCCTGCTGCTGCTTCACCTCCAGCAGGAGAGCCCCCCGACGGCTCTGGCTGCTGCTTCCTGCCCCTGCTCAGGGCTGTCTGGGGTCCGTGGGTCCTGCAGTACCCCCCAGCTGCTGGGCGACTCCCATCTGGCACCATCGTCCCCGCAGAGCCCTCCTGGGAAGCCAGGCCTGGGGTGGGAGGCACACAGGGTGCCTCAGCTAAGCTCCCAGCCTGCCTTTCTATTTCCCTTTGATGCTCTCCATGCAACCTCAGGCTGCTTCCTCTCCCTTTCTGGGCATCATCTCCTGCTGCTGTGCCTAGTCCATTTGAGCCCCTCCTTCTGCAAGATGGTGTGCTATGCTCAGAGCAGGGGTAGACTGAGGGGGGATAAAAGCAGAGGTGAGGAAGATGCCATCCTTTCCTTCAGGGAGTTCAGTAATAACACCACTGACAACTGCCACTTGTTGGGCACCTGCTATGCACTGGGTACTGTAGTAGACGCCTGACGTGTTATCTCATGTAACTCTGGCCACACCTCAGAGTTAGGGACTATTATCTCTAATTACAGATGAGAACAATGAAGCCCGGAGTGGGGAAATGAGTTGCCCAAGGTCACACAAGCAGTTGGGATTTGAACCTTGATCTTCCAGACTCTGTGCAGAGCCCAAAACCTCGCCTACTCTGTCCCAGGGCCACCAGGCCACAGGGAGGGTCTGAACGAAGGATGCGCTTGAGGGAAGACTCAGAGACAGGGGCCACCCAGAAGGCCCACCCCAGGGAGCCCTAAGCCAAGAGTTAGAGACGAGGGCCCAGGACTGATTGTAACTGGCCAGCTGTGTGACTTTGGGCGAGTCCCATCCCCTCTCTGGGCTTCAGTTGACCCGTCTATCAAGTAAAGATCGGCCATTCCCCAGGACACGCCCCATTACCCAAAATGCCTTGCCCGTGCTCGCCTAGCTGGAGCCGCTGTCCAAGGTGCTAACCCTAGGCCCTCCCTTCCCAGCTGCCAAAGGCCATCGCTTAACTCCAGCCCATGCGTCAGTGGTGGCCATTTTGACCATTAATCATGATCTCCTGGCATTCAAGGGCTGTCTCCACCTCCTTTTCTAGTTTGGGGCTTGCTTCTCCCGTGCTCTGTGTTTCTGATCAACGGGAACATGGCCCAGTCAGCATCACCTCCCCTTGATGTCCCTCCACTTCCATTTCCACAGGCCCTCGCCACACCTCCAGCCCAACTTTGTCACCATTTGTTGGGTGTTTTCTTTCTTGATCCCCACACCCCCATTCCCTCTTTAGAATGCCTCCTCTGCTGCTACAGAGCATGCATTCGTGAATGTTCCTGGGGTAGGGGAAAGAGCATGGCAGGTGTGGACTTGAGTCTGACAGGTGTGGACTTGAATCTGCCTCTGCCACATT
This sequence comes from Homo sapiens, assembly GCF_000001405.40. NCBI lineage: Eukaryota > Metazoa > Chordata > Mammalia > Primates > Hominidae > Homo > Homo sapiens. The sequence continues at coordinate 21,647,653 of NC_000001.11, read as the reverse complement.
CTAGTTGTGTGACTTTGGCAAGTCATTTTCCCTCTCTGGGCTGCACTTGCTGCTCAACATGTGCTTGTTGAATAGGGCATTTCCGGGAGCTGACTTCAGGTGAGCTGCATGTGTTCACATAACCCTGCAGTGCAAAGCAGGCTCTGAACTCCTTGAAAGGAGAGGTGCTTGGTCGCTTTTTGTTTTTTTGGAGACAGGGTCTCACTCTGTCGCCCAGGCTGTAGTGTAGTTGTGCAGTCTCGGCTCACTGCAACCTTCACCTCCTGGGTTCAAGTGAATCTCTTGCCTCAGCCTCCTGAGTAGTTGGGACCACAGGTGCATGCCATCACTCCTGGGTAATTATTTTTGTATTTTTAGTAGAGACAAGGTCTCACCATGTTGGCCAGTCAGGTCTCGAACTCCTGAGCTCAAGTGATCCTCCCATCTCGGCCTCCCATTGAGTCACATTTGAGCTCAACTTAGCCCCCACTTTCTCCCATAAAGGCCAGGCTGTACTTTTCTCATGTCTCTGTCCTCCACATGGTCTTGTGCAACTACCATGCCCATAAATGCTTAATGCTTGTGGAATTGAATTGAGTGTGTTCAGGGAGGGGAATAAGTAAAACCTTGTCAGTAGGCTGGGAAGGCTTCCTAGAGGAGGTGATTTTCCCCCACCCCTTTACAAAACAGGATTAAGAGGTTAGGACTTGGATTAAAGGAGCAGTGAGTCCTGGTAGAGGCCAGATGTGATCATGGCTGAGTTCCCCTACACATCCCTAACCCCTCTCAGCAGGTTGTCTGCAGTGGAGGACCTCAGAGTAGGTGTGCAGATGCAAGAGGAAGGAGGCCCAGTGTGAGGGTTGGGAGCCAGTGGGACAGTGGGTGACTGATTATGCAGCCCTAAGGGACCCAGATATCCTAGAATGGGGGCTGGACATTTAAAGTGTATTCAAATGGATGGTGGGAGGTAGAGAGGTGTCAGGGTAGAGGAATGGTCAAGTGGACTTGTGCAAGGTAGGAGCGTTCTGAAAATACCTCTGGGAAGAGGAGAGTCAACTTTGGCCTTAAAACTAGGAGCCTGGGAGGTGGAGGCAGAACCCAGAAAGGATTAAGAGCTGACAGCATGCCAGGCATTTTACTCTGAAGGTCTCATTAAATCATGGCATCAGTCCTGCAATTTGGCCTGTTGTTGCCAGTTTAGAGGCCAAAACCAGGACTGAGAGTGGTGGAGGCTCTGGCTCAAAGTCACAGCTGGTGAAGGCTGGATTTGAATCCAGCTCTTCTGCTGAGGAAGGGACCTAGGTCAGAGACAGTGAAGCTGCAGAAATGGGGAAGGTCTTGGTTATGAGTTAAGGGAGGAGCGGGGAGTGATGTAGCCCTGAATGCCACCCAAACGGGAGTCACTGCTCAGTCCATGTGTCCTGCTGGGAAGGCCCATCTGGGTGCTGAGATGTTTCCTCTTGACAGAATTGGTACCAGTCTCTCCCATATATGGAGCACTTCCTGTATCCCAGGCCCTGGGCCCAGCACTTCCCCTGAATCATTTCATTCCATCCTGACACCAGCCTTACAGATGACTGTTTGTCCCTTACTACTGTCCATCCCCATTTTACAGATGAGGGAACTGACGCTCAGAGAGGGGAAGTGGTGGCCCAGGGGCATGCAGTCAGTGAGGGGTGAACCAAGACTGACAGTAATGCCACTCTGAGCCCATGCCTTTAGCCCTCGATCTCCTGGATGCTGCTTGTGCTGAGTGGTGGGCTGGGGTGGGTGGCCCTGTCCTCAGGTGGCTCCTTATGGCAGTCACTGAGCCAGAGGCCCTGGGGCCTGTGTGCTGCTGCAGGAAGCACAAGGCTGGCCTCATTAGTGGCTCTGAAATGCCAAGCAGGCACAGCCCGCTGGGCCTCCTCATCTATTATGCATCTGGTGGGCAGGCCCCCGACGGGCAGCTGGCAGTGTATGGGATGGGGGAGCTAGCAGCTGCTTCCTGAGCCCATGGCCGCCACTATACCTCTGGGCAGGGATCTCCCAAGGCAAATGCCAAGGCCTCCTGCCTCATCCCCTTGGCCAAGCCAGGGTGAGGGGGTTCTACTGGGGACAGGGGCATGGATGCTAGTCCCCAGCTCATTAGCCTGGCTATCCTAGCAGCCACTTCTCTTTATTTTATTTTATTTTTATTTTTATTTTTATTTTTTGAGACAGGGTCTCACTCTGTCACCCATGCTGGAGTGCAGTGGGGCAATCTCAGCTCACTACAGCCTCGACCTCCTGGGCTCAAGCGATCCTCCTCCCTCAGCCTCCCAAAGTGCTAGGATTACAAGCGTGAGCCACCATGCCCAGCCCCTGGCAGCCACTTCTAAGAGAGGCTGAGACTTCGATTGAGCTGGGGGTCATTTGGGACCAGAATGGGCAGAGGTGGGCTGAAATAGAATCTTAGATGCCCAAGCTCCTGGCTGTACAGAGCCTCAGAGCGATAGAGCTGTGGTCATTTGTTCATCATTTATTCATCCAGCCACAGTAACCACTGAACACGTACTGTAGGCCAGGCATGGTTTTAGTTACTGCAGATTCAGCAGAAAATGAGACAGGCCTAGCCGCTATACTCAGAGAGCTTGGTTTGGGCAGTACTTCACCTCACTGAGCCTGGATTTCCTCAACTGTAAAATTGGGAATGGCGGAGGCAGACTATAAGTAAATAGACAAGGAAACAACCTCTGATGGGTACACTGAATTTCTTTCTTTCTTTCTTTTCTCTTTTTTTTTTTTTTTTTTTTGAGACAGGGTCTCACTCTGTTACCCAGGCTGGGGTGCAGTGGCGCGATCTCGGTTCACTGCAACCTCCACCTCCGTGGTTCAAGCAATTCTCTGCCTCAGCCTCCTGAGTAGCTGGGATTACAGGCGCCTGCCACCACACCCGGCTAATTTTTTTGTGTATTTTTAGTAGAGATGGGGTTTCACCATCTTGGCCAGGCTGGTTTCGAGCTCCTGACCTTGTGATCCTCCTGCCTTGGCCTCCCAAAGTGCTGGGATTATAGACGTGAGCCACCGCGCCCGGCCAGGTCCACTGAATTTCAAAGCAAGGTTACATGCTAACAAGAGCTGGTCCTTGCCGAGAGCTGAGCGCGTGCCAGGCTGTGTTTCAGAGCACTTTGCCCACGTTCATGGGTTTGATCTTCACAACAGCCCTGTGAGGCAAGACCGTTATGAACCCTGGTTTAGGGCTGGGGAGGCTGAGGCAAAGAGAGGTTAAGTAACCTGTTCAAGGTCCCTTGGCAAAGCTGAGATTGGAGCTTAAGTAGCCAGGCTCCAGTTTGCTTGTCACCCTGCGCTGTATGGCTGGAAAATGAAGGAGTCCTGGAAAGCCTTTCTGAAGAGGGGGTGTTTGAACCAAAACCTGAAGGATGAGAGGAGCTGGCCATGGGGGAGCTGGCAGGGTGTCCAGACAGAGGGAGCAGCAGGTGCAAAGGCTCTGAGGCAGGGATGAGCCTAGTGCCAGAGAGACGCCCTGCTTCCAGGAAGGATCCTCTATAGCTTCAGGAGACAAGAGAAAAATCCCCTCCACATGCGTTGTGGCTCTGGGACTGCCACTGTTTGGCTGTGTGATCTTGAGAAATGGGTCCCCATCTCACTTGTGCACAACTCTGCTATCCCACGTCTATCCTCAGCATCATGAAGAGAGGACTCTTGCCGCCCTGAGGTCCCTGGTCTGGTTGGCCCTGTGTGCCCCTATCTCCTGGTGATGCTCAAACTCTGGTCTATTTGTCTGAGATGCATGGGAATATTTGAGTTCTGTTAGGTAGACCTGAGTTCAAATACCCAGTTCAACTTCCACTTACTTGCTGTGTGGCCTTACCCCAACTACTCTGCCTCTCTGAACCCCAGATTGTCCATAACAATGGAAACAGTATTGCTTCGAATGAAATGAGTGCAGAGTGTATGCGCAGGGGGATGTTCTCCCTTCTAACTAAGCATTTGCATTTTGAGAGGAAAGACTCATTCATCCAAAGAGAGATTCTCTAGTGATAGAATTTTAGGCACTGTCGTGGCCACAGGGGGTGAGTAGATGGCTAAGGAGGGGATTTTCTTTTTTTCTTTTTTCTTTTTTTTTTTTTTTTTTTGAGACGGAGTCTTGCTGTCTCGCCCAGGCTGGAGTGCAGTGGCACGATCTTGGCTCACTGCAACCTCCACCTGCCAGGTTCAAGCATTCTCCTGCCTCAGCCTCCTGAGTAGCTGGGATTACAGGCGTGTGCCACCATGCCCAGCTAATTTTTGTATTTTTAGTAGAGATGGGGTTTCACCATGTTGGTCAGGCTGGTCTCGAACTCCTGACCTCATGATCCGCCCGTCTCGGCCTCCCAAGGTGCTAGGATTACAGGCGTGAGCCACCACACCCAGCCTCGGAGGGGATTTTCTGATAGCCCAGATCCTGGAAAGGCCTTCTGAGTTCAGGATCTTCCCCAAAATTCATTCATTCAGCAAACTAATTCAATAAGCATTTAGTGTGGGGACACCCTCCTAGGGCCAAACCCTGTGCTGGGCGTTGGGGACTTGGTGGAGAAAATAGATGAGGCCACTTCTTCTGGGTTCAGAGTCTAGAGAGGGTCATAAGGAAAGAGGTGGTTTGATGGGAATGACATGTGCTGACTAGGGAGATGTGAGGGTTGCTGAGATCTCAGAGAAGGGACTCCTGCCCACATCTGGGAATCAAGGAGGGCTTCCTGGAGGAGGTGACTCAAAAGTTGAAGTGGGCCAAGTGGCAGTGTGTGTGTGTGTGTGTGTGTGTGTGTGTGTGTGTGTGTAGTGGGGAAGGGAGGTGCACTGTGCGAGAATGTTCCAGGGACAGGAGGTGGCAGGTCAGCAATGTGGAGGAGAAAAGTGTGTGGTGGCACATGCTGGATTCAAGACTGAGTTGGGCCTGACAGGTGAAGGGAAGAGAGACAGCCACCAGATCATGTCCCTGTAGGCCCTGCTGGGACTTCTGTGGGCTACGCTGGAAGGCTCTGAACCCCCCAGCCACCATGGGAAGAGGCCTGCTAGGGTGCCAGTCGCCCATCCTCCTCCCTGCTCCAAGGAGCTGCTGTGTGAGACTGAGTCAGCCGCAGCTCAGGGAGGCCCTGACTGTGCTCTTAGTGCAGGGCTGTGGAAGCCCTGGAGCCAGAGTCTGGGCTGGGACCGCAGATGCTGTCTCGGCCACCAGCTGGCTGGGTGACTTCTCTGGATCTCAGTTTCCTCACCTGTAACATGAGGGCAATAAAAGTACTACCTGGAAGATTGGTGGGGGGATTAAATGAGATAATGGGTGCCAAGGCCTGAAACCAGGGCCTGGCACAGAGCACGTACTCCGTCGATGCCAGCTATTGCGGTTACTGCCATCATCGCGGTCATGGTTACCTGCTGCGCCTGCAGTGGGTGCGGAATTGCGCTTGGTGTGTAGACTCTGTCCTCTGGAAGCTTGCTGCCTGCCAGGGGGTGACCTGACTGCCTACACGTGACTGTACACCCCAGCCGTGGGCACTGGCCTTAGGCACTGGCCCTGAGAACACTGGCTTTGGAGTCTGATGGGCCTGGTGCCAGGTCCTGGCCAGTGACCTTGAGGAGTCCGTCACCTTGCTGAGCCTTGGCTCATTCCTTTGTGCAGTGGGGGTGTTCATGGCCCCTGCCTCACGGTGAGTGAGAGGCAGTGAGGAGGTGCTTTTAAAGGGCCGGCCGGTGTAACAATGCAGCTGTTTCTGACCCCATGCTGCAGGAGGGAAGAAACACATGCCTCGGACCCAAGTGACCTAGAGAAACATCACCCTCCCTCTCAGAGGCTCATTTTCATACCTATGAAATGGGAAGGTTGGCTGTGATACACTCTGATGTGCTGGGGTTCTAGTGGAGTTAGCTTGTCCCTAAGTTTGACCTGGTCCAGCTGTTTGCTGTGTGACATTGGGCTAGAGACTTAACCTCTCTGAACCTCAGTTTCCATGCCTGCAAACGGGCAATGTTCACCTCCTGGGATCTTTCAGGGCTTCCATTAGCCACTCGTTAATTCAACAAATACTTACGGAGTTCCTACCACATGCCAGGTACTAGTCTAAGAACTGGGGATGCAGCAGTGAACCTGACAGACACGGTCCTTGCTTCACGCATGTTATCCTCCAGTGCAGGAGACAGACAGCTAAGGTAGCTTCAGATGGGTAATGTGTAGTACGGATGGGGTGGGTGCAAGGCCTGGCTTTGCCAAGGGTATCAGGGAGGGGCCTCTCTGAGGCCTGAATGGGAAGGAGCTGGCTGTGGGAAGAGTAGTCCAGGCAGAGGGTAGAGAAAATGTAAAGGATTGGGGGCAGGAATAGGACTCCTTCCCCCGCCCCAAAGCTGGAACATTCCAGATCATCTCCTGGCAACAGGTGGAGGTGGCTGAGAAGGCAGAGAGGCTGGAAGCCCACTTCTTTCAGATCAGGAACTGCTCCCCAGTCAGGTGTGGTGGCTCATGCCTGTAATCCTAGCACTCTGGGGAGGCCGAGGTGGGTGGATCACCAGAGGTCAGGAGTTTGAGACCAGCCTGGCCAACATGGTGAAACCCTATCTTTACTAAAAATACAAAAAAAAAAAAAAAAATTAGCTGGGCGTAGTGGTGCATGCCTGTGATCCCAGCTACTCAGGAGACTGAGGCAGGAGAATCGCTTGAACCCAGGAGGTGGAGATTACCATGAGCCGAGATCACACCACCGCACTCCAGCCTGGCCAACAGAGCAAGGCTCCATCCCACACACACACAAAAAATAACTGCTGCCCACAAGACAGGCCCGGTGGGGTGGTGGGGAGTGTGGGCAGCCATGGAAGACCAGGCTTGGCTTGAGTCTCAAGTGAGCTGGGCTGTGCAGGCAGGAGGCTGGGCTCCAACCTGTAGGAGCAGGCAGGGGTGGAGCTCACTGCAGGGCAGAGTCAGGCCTCCAGCCTGGAGCCCACCTGACTGGATCTACCTGGCGCAAAGACCCTGGACCTATTTTAGTCGGGGGTAAGGGAACTGCTGCTTGTTCTCCCCTCACCCCAGCCAGCCTAGGCACTGGCCCCAGGTTGCCTTGGCCTTTCCCAGCCCAGCTGCCTGCAGGCTGAGGAAAGGTTCTTTGAGATGACCCATTACATGTACACACACACATATTTCCCTACTCACACTCATAGACTTGACCCTTGTAGAGACAGCTTCATCATGAACATAGAGGCACAGACATACACATTCATTCATGCAGCAGATCAGACCCAAACAGACCCAGGCATGACCTGAAGAAACCCCATTTCTAGCAGGAGAGACTGACAGTGGCTTAATGGTCACACCATGAAATGTGCAAACGCAACAGGTAAATCCATGAAGGCCCAAGACAGGCTTCTGGGAAAGCTGGTCAGGTTCGGAGCAGCTTCTCCTGGTCTGGGGAGGGGGCTCTGGAAGACTGAATACAGACATAGCACCTGAAATGTGATCCAAGCGGACGGGAAGGGGGTAACAGGCAGGGGGCACAGCGTGTGCAGTGGCCTGGAGGTGGGAAGGAGCACCTCGGGTTTGAGGAGCGGAAAGGAGTCTGGAGAAGGAGGAAAGAAGCCCTGGATGAGGCCAGAGACAGTGGGCGGGTGGGAGGGGGGCCGGGGATGGGGAGCAGACACGCAGGGCCTCGTGGGCCACGTGAGGCGGGCGTCTGGATCCTGCTTGCGGCGGGAAGCCATTGGGGCCTTCTAGGCAGGTGGGTGGTGTGATCAGATCCAAACATGCGACACAAGCGCTTTCCCTCCCACACCCATTCACGCTCCTGCCGGGGCCTCCCATCTCCATTCTCACCCACAGAGTCACACACACCCTCTCGCACCACCAGGCAGAGCTGCGGAACACCCGGTGCCGACTCCCAGGAAAAGTGTCAGACGCTGCCCCGCCCACCGGCTGAGTCTGTGCGGCAGGGCCCTGGGGTCCAGCCAGGGTGGATCCTTGCTCACTCCACATCCGCACAGATGTGCCTGTGCCCCCCGCCTGCCCCCACAGGAGTGAGGTCATAACTCTTCTCTACACGTGCAAGGTGGCTTCTAGCTTAGGACGTACTTTCACGTGCATTCTCTCATTTAATGCTCTCAGCAGCCCTGCAGGGAGAAATTCTCAACACCATTTTATAGCCGAGGAAACAGAGGCTGAGAGAGGTGAAGGGACTCTCCCTAGGCCACACAGCTAGAGCTTGGCACAGGCAGGATTTGAACTCAGTTCCGTTTGACTTTCAGGTCTTGTTCTCTGGCCCATCCAGACTCAGACACACTCAGGTGTGACTGTCACCTTTCCAGGCTGTCACTGAGAAGGTGACAAGTGACCTTCAATGCCAAATCCATCCACAAACAGGTTGATCAACACAGAAAGTTATTTAGAGCTCCAGGGAAGGGCCTGGGCTGGGACGTGCCCACCTGCCTGGTGACCCTGAGGCTTCTGGGGGTAGTGCCAGGGGTGGGGCTGGGCACCTGCCAGCCTGGGGCAGCTCAGGGCATGGAGCCCGCGCTAGGAGCAGAGCCTACATTTGCATTTACAAATGAAGTAGACAGCCCTGTCCCCACACATGCTAACCCGGCTGGCCTGGCTTGCAGGACGTGACAGCTGAAGTCACAGGGCACATCCCTGGGCCCAGCTGCCTGGGCCACTTCTGTGCTGCCTCTGCTCTTCCCTGACCCTCGGAGCAGGTTGTCTAATGCCTAATGTAGGGGAAAGAGTGTGGGCTTGGGAGCCAGCCAGAATGGGGGTGCAACCCAGCTCTGTGACGCCTGGCTCAGGGACATTGGTCATGGTGTTTAGTCTCTTTTCGTGTCAGCTTCTCCCCCTTGGAATAAGGGGTGAGTCATACCTCCCTCTCAAGGTGATGGAAAAGGGTAAAGCAGTCAGGTGCTCAGGGAGCTGAGTCATAGTGAGTGCTCAGCTCTCTAAAATCTTTAATTTTTTTCTGATTACACAAATACTAAGTGTTCATTATAAACATCCAAACCGTGCAGAAAAGTATTTGCCACAGAAAGCAGAAGTTCCTAGTGGTCCTGCTTCTCAGAGATAAGCCATGTAAACTTTCTTTTTGTTTTTGTTTTTGTTTAAAGAGAAAGAGGACGGACAGACAGACACAGCCCAACTGGGCTTCATCCCACTCAAAATTCTGAGGGCTTTTGGGCCTCAGGGTCCCATACGCAGCAAGCCCCTTTTCTCTCTCTCTTTTTTTTTTTTTTTTGAGACAGAGTCTTGCTCTGTCGCCCAGGCTGGAGTGCAGTGGTGCAATCTTGGTTCACTGCAACCTCTGCCTCCTGGGTTCAAGCGATTCTCCTGCCTCAGCCTCTTGAGTAGCTGGGATTACAAGCATGCGCTACCATGTCCGGCTGATTTTGTATTTTTAATAGAGATGGGGTTTCACCATGTTGGTCAGGCTGGTCTGAAACTCCTGACCTCAAGTGATCCACCTGACTTGGCCTCCCAAAGTGCTGAGATTATAGGTGTGAGCCACCATGCCCGGCCTTTTTTTCTTTTCTTTTTTTTTTTTTTAATAGGATCTTGCTCTGTTACTCAGGCTGAAGTACAGTGGTGCAATGTTGGCCCACTGAAGCCTCAACCTCTCAGGCTCAATCAGTCTTCCCACCTCAGCCTCCTGAGTAGCTGGGACTACAGGCATGCACCACCATACCCGGCTAATTTTTGTGGTTTTTTTTTTTTTTTTTTTTGGTAGAGATGGGGTTTTGCTATGTTGCCCAGGATGGTCTTGAACTCCTGGCTCCAAGAGATCCGCCTGCCTTGGCCTCCCAAAGTGCTAGGATTACAGGCGTGAACCACCACTCCCGGCCAGCCATGTAAACTTTGACATGTAATTTTAAATTTTTACAAATGAGATTTTTGTTGTGTGCAGCCCGCTTTATTCACTTAACAATATGCCTCAAACCCCCTTTTCCATCAAGACTAAAGACCTTCTTTGTCATTGCTGTATAGTATTCCATGGTTTGATATATTTAACTAATCTCCTTGTAATGGACATTGAAGTGGCGTCCAGATGTTTGCGGTTGCAAACCCTGCTTCATGACTTTTTTGTTCATATATCTTTATGCATTGGTGTTATATTTCTGGAGAATAAATGCCTAGAAATGGGGTTGCTGGACCAAAGAATATGCACATTTTAACATCCATTGCCTCTGCCCTCAGTTACAGGGATCCTAGAGTCATCAAGAGGCAAAGAATTCCAGATGTGGGGCTGGATGCAGTGGCTCACTCCTGTAATCCCAGCACTTTGGGAGGCTGAGGCAGGTGGATCACTTGGATCCAGGAGTTCAGACCAGCTTGGGCAACATGGTGAAACCCTGTCTCTACAAAAAAAAAAAATTAGCCGGATGTGGTGGCATGCACCTGTGGTCCCAGCTACTTGGGAGGCTGAGGTGGGAGGCTTGCTGGAGCCCAGGAGGCAGAAGTTGGAATGAGCTGAGATCTCACCACTGCACTCCACCCTGGGCGACAAAGTGAGACCCTGCCCCCAACCACCACCAAAAAAAAAAAAAAAAAAGAAAAAAAAGAATTTCAAATGTGGGAGGCACCTTGAGGTCCTCCAGTCAAACCCCCCACCGCTCCTCCCGTTCCCACACCTTCAGATCTCCCTGGCTGCACCTCTGAGAAGCTCACTCTGCCTTTGCTTGATGCAGAGCTCGGTACCTTACATGGCAGGTTGCTCAGGTTGCTTTCCCTTCCTCCCTCCCTCCCTCCCTTCCTCCCTCCCTCCCTCCCTCCCTCCCTCCCTTCCTTCCTTCCCTCCTTCCTTCCTTCTTTCCTTCCTTCCTTTTCCCTCCTCCTCCTCCTCCTCCTTCTTCTTCTTCTTCCTTTCTCTCTCTTTCTTTCTTTCTATTTGAGATGGAATTTTGCTCTTGTTGCCCAGGCTGGAGTGCAATGGCATGATCTCGGCTCACTGCAACCTCCATCTCCCGGGTTCAAGTGATTCTCCTGCCTCAGCCTCCCGGGTAGCTGGGATTACAGGCGTGCGCTACCACACCCGGCTAATTTTTGTATTTTTAGTAGAGATGGGGTTTCTCCACGTTGGTCAGGCTGGTCTCAAACTCCCGACCTCAGGTGATCCGCCTGCCTCAGCCTCCCAGAGTGCTGGGATTATAGGCATGAGCCACCATGCCCTGCCTAGGTTGCTTTACTCTTGGGCAGCTGTGTTTGTCCCATCGTTTCTACCTTCTCACAACTTCCACCTAGGAGTCTTGTCTCAGTCCTCAGGCACCTACAGAGGAAGGAAGAAAGGAAGGAAGAGAAGGGAAGGCCAAGAAATGCTCATGGTGAATGTTAAGCACTTTACACCAATGAACTCATTTAACCCTCAGAGGTCAGCACTGCTATCCCCATTTTATAGATGAGGAAGCTGAGGTTCATAGTGGTTAAGTAACTTGTCCAAGGTCACACAGCTGTTATGTGGCAGAGTTAGGATTCGCACTCAAGGATCTGGCTCCAGAGCCCACACTGACGCTACACTGCCTCTCTAGGCAGGAGCCTGTAATTTATTGAGCACCTACTGTGTCCTCAGCTCTAGGCTAGTCAGGTTGTCCATATAATACCTAATTTATTCCACACAACAACCCTGCAAAGTTGGTGTTACTCTCCCATTTTGTAGCTGAGGAAACTGAGGCTCAGAGAAGAGAAGCGACTTAGAAGAGTCTAAGGTCCTCTCCACTGGGAAAGCCCTCCTTCAGGGTTCTGCTTCCAACCAATCCTTGGTGAACTCAGTTTCCAGTTTCTCATCCTCCCATTCGTCCTCTGTAGGATGAGAGAGCCGGCCTGAGACCCAATTTTTAGTAGAGAAACTGAGGCTTGGAGAGGTTATGGTGACTTAATCCTGCACACACTGTGATCTGGGGGCAGAGCTAGGGCTTCCCCATGTCACCTTTGGTTAGGAGATGGTGACCTTGTCTATCCCCGTGGGGGTTTCGCCTTGGCCTGGGTGGTCACCCCGCCTGGGGAGTTGTGAGGGGCAGGGACTTCTGCTCACCAGACTGGCCTGGAGCCTATGAGGCAGCAACCCCAGCCCCAGCTAGGGCTGGTGCAGAGCGGGAGGAAAGGATTAAGCAAGGCCTCAGTGCTGGGGGACTCACTGTCTAGGCAGTGAAGCCAGAGGCTCCTCAGGAACAGTCCAGGCAGGTATCTTTGGGGCTCTGCTTTGGGACTGGGGAGGCCTGGTTCACCCCACTCTGATCCCAGCACCCAGCACCATTGTCCACTCCAGAGCAGACCTCAGGACATGTGTTCTGAATGAATGACTGAGCAGAGGAATGAAGGGCAGATGGGGGAGTGGGTAGATGACCGAGTGGGTGAGTGAGCGAAGGAATGCCTGGAGCTCAGAGAAGGGAGACCCCCTGGGCTGCGGAGGCTGGGGAGGGACAATGAGGTCAATGTAGGGAGTGAGGAGAGACAGAAAGCATAGGCGGCTGTAATACCATGTATGGGCTGACGGGTGCTGGGAAGGTCACCCTGGCCCAGACTTGCCCATCAGTGGGAGCTGTGTCCTGCGTGGACGTGGGCAGGGGGCAGAGCAGCTGGGGCTGAGCTTCGGGGTGGAAGCTTGGAAGTCACCATCTCCATCCAGGCTCCAGTTTTCTTCCAGGCAGAATGGAGATTAGCATTACTGCTCTGTGTTCCTCAGGAGGCTGTTGAGAGGGTTGATGGCAAAGGCAGTTTGTAAACTGGAAAGTGCCAGGCTAGGGAAGCAGATGATGTTGTTGCCCGGCAGGAAGAGGCCCTGCGGCCGGGTCATCTCAGAGTCACTCCTCCTCCTTACCCCAGTGCAGGGGAGGAGTCAGTCCACACTGAAGTCCTCGGTGGGGTGGGAAGGGTCAGGTTTTGGCCACAGTGGGGCTCAGGCCACCTGAGCAAGGGAGACAGATGCTGGATAGACAGCAGGTAAATGGGTGGCCTGGTTCCCAGATGCTGTGCCCTGGGCAGGGACCGGTCCCGTGACCACCTCTCTAGGCTGCCAACCTGTTATTTGTTCAGGAGGCCTCTGCCTGGCCCAGCTCCGGGATCCGGGTGTCTCGGCATGCAGCCAGCATGGGGCGAGGGTGGCGGCCCCATGTGCCACCTTCCTGCCCATCCCTCTGCCCAGCTTGGGGCCTGAGTCTCCCACCCACACCCCCAGGGGGACCCTGCCAGCTCTGTCACTTGGTAGCTGTTGAGGCCCTTGGCCCATCATAAACCTCACTAAGCCTCTGCCTCCTTATCTCTGAAATGGGTGAAGATAGCATCCTGAGGTCAGGGTTGTTGTCATAAGGATTGAATGACATCACAGTGCCCGCATGGCAAATAGTCCCCCTGCCGCTCCTCTACCCCATCGCCACGCTCCCTCTAGAGTCCTAGGAGAGGTCAACGGTGCCCAGGGAAAGGGGACACAGGAGCCTCCCGTGCCTGTGCCTGTCTGCTTAGGCTCCCAGTGGGCTGGGGAAGAGGGGGCCAGCCTCTCCAGACCTAGCTTTGGAAACCTGCTCAACTGGCTGCCCCGGCCACCTTCCCTGGCACTTTGGCAGGGACAGGGGCAAGCCAAGGGGAGGGCAGTGCCGGCTGGTTGAGCTCAGAAAACAATGGGCTTCTGTGGCCCCCCCCCCCCCCCGGGAGGGGGCAGTTCTGGGGCAGCCACTTGGTTCTGGTTTCAGGAGATTCGAGTCCCCTCAGACCCGATGCCCAGGGCTAGGAGACCCGGCTCTGGCAGCCCCCCAGCCCTCATCCAAAGGAGCCTCTCTCAGGGTTGCCCTCCACAGCCCTCTTCTCACTGGGAGGTCTGTGCCCTTGTCCTCATCCTCCACCCCACATGGGTGGTAGAACTTGGTAGAACCAGGTTGATCTCCTGGAAACCAGGAAGACCCCAGGGAACTGGACCCAGGCCTTCCCCTCCTGACTTCTGATGACCAGTGCTGGACTGGCCGGAACCCCTCAGGCCCCTGTTCCAGGCTGCTGCCCCCAAAAAATTCTTCTCTGCCCTGTATTCATTGGCTCCCTGAACCCCTCCCCCGCCCTTCCAGACCACTCCCTCTTTCCGTGTCCGGTCTCCCAGCCTGTGTGCAGTGGGTGGCTGTCCTCAGGGTGGGCTCCTCCTGCTCTTGCTCCAGGCACTGTCACCTGTCCAGATCCCCATTCCCCTGCTCCCGGTCCCAGCCTTCTTGCCTTGATGGTCCTGTACCACCTGCCCTGGCCACCAGAGTTTCACCTGGTTGAGTTGAATTTCAAAGCATCAATGGTTCACTAGGCAGAAAAGCAGGAGAAGGCACCCCCAGCAGAGGGGGGGTGCCTGTGAACAGTGTGGCTGGTTAGGAAAGCTGCCTGCAGCCTGGGGAGGTTAGGACAGAGCCAGGACAGGCGGCTGGGGCAGGACAGGAAAGGGGAGGTATGAGGTTGAGGCTGGAGGGAGTCAGCAGGGGCTGGACCCACTGGGAGACCACCATCCAGGGCAGCTATCTCCGGGGGGCCAAAGGGCCAAGCCCACCACCCAGGACAGCCCCACCACACTTCTGGTGCCCTGAAAAGGTTGGGCTCTCCAGGAGAGTGGCCAGTAATAATAATTACAAGCACTTTATAGCAACTCTATGAGGTGGGTACATTATCTCTCATTTTGCAGATGAGAGAAAAAGACAGGACCCTCTCACCACCCCTCCAGCTGGTTAACAGTTGAGAATCACCCTAGGAAGGCATCTGGCCACCTGTGCTTGGTCTCCCCCTCTGCCCAACCATTCCTGAGTCTGACCCTGATGTTTTGTTGGTCTGTTTCCATTGTATAGATGGGGTCTTGCTCTGTCGCCAGGGCTGGAATGCAGTGGTACCATCATGGCTCACTGTAGCCTGGAACTTCTGGCTCAAGTGATCCTCCCACCTCAGCCTCCTGAGTGCCTGAGACTATAGGTGTGAGCCACTGCAGTGGGCTGGGTTTTTAATTTTTTTGTAAAGATGAGGGCTCACTTTGCTGCCCAGGCTGGTCTCGAACCCCTGGCTTCAAGTGTTCCTCCCACCTCAGCCTACCAAAGTGCTGGGATTACAGACATGAACCACTGAGCCTGGGCTGACCCTGCTGTTTTGCAGAGTATGGAACTCTCTTGAGATCTTCCCACCCTGGACTGGTGGAAGGCCTGTGTTCTTATCCCTGATCTGCTGCTCACGGCCTTATTGGCTGACTTTGAGGTCGTGTTTTCACCTCTCCAAGCCTCAGTTTGCCCTGCTGGCAATTGGGGATCCTAGTGACTGCCTTATCTCCATTCCAGTTCCGGTGAGAGTCCCAGGAGTGAGCAGATAAAGAAGGCTTTTGAAAAGTACAAAGAACTGCACTCACGATGGTGCGATTATTATTGTTACCTCGATGCAGAGATAAGGGAGGGGGAGGAGGTGCAGTGACAGTTGCCAAGAAACCGGGGAGCTGTCAGCAGCGGCTTCCGGCCGGGCCCATCCCACTTAGGAGCTGGGCCCTTCCCCCACACCCTTGCTTCACCCTTTCCCTGGAAAAGATGGGTGCTCTCCCCGAGAGGGAGAGATAGCTGCCACACAGACACAGGGGCTGAAGGTGACCCCGGAATGTGCCTGGCCCAGACTCCAGGTTGGCTCCAGCTTTCCATGTGACCTTGGGCGGGTCACCTCCTCTCTGGCTGCTCCCATTTCATGTGTCAGAGGAGGCAGCGTGCAGGTGTCCAGGCCAGACAGAGCAGAGCCGGAGCTGGGCCTAGGGAAGGCGCTTGGCGGTGGCTGCAGGAGCCAGGGCCGTGATGGGAGGTCATGGGGCAGGAGGCCAGGTGACGGGACTGAGGGCCTGGGCTGAGGACAGTGGGATGCACGCTGTGGAAGGGACACTGGACTGGAGTCACATCTCAGCCCTGCCCTTTCCCATTGTGCGACCTGGGGCTTGTCACTGAACCTCTCTGAGCCTCAGTTTTCTCATCTGGAAAAAAGGTTTATATCTCATCTGGATTTCTTTTTTGTTTTTTGTTTTTGTTTTTGTTTTTTGAGACAGAGTTTTGCTCTTGTTGCCCAGGCTGGAGTGCAATGGCGCAATCTCGGCTCACTGCAACCTCCGCCTCCTGGGTTCAAGCGATTCTCCTGCCTCAGCCTCCCAAGTAGCTAGGATTACAGGCGCGTGGCACTACTCTCAGCTAATTTTTGTATTTTTAGCAGAGATGGGGTTTCGCCATGTAGGCCAGGTTGGTCACGAACTCCTGGCCTCAGGCGATCCACCCGCCTCAGCCTCCCAAAGTGCTGGGATTACAGGTGTGAGCCACCGTGCCCAGCCTCATCTGGATTTTTAATAAGTTGCTGTGGCTCTGGAATGAGACAATGCCAGTGTAAGCTCCAGGGTGCTGCACAGATGTGACCACGGTCATGGCAGGGGGAAGGAGGAGAGGGGAGAGCGCCCCATGTCCCGGCATGCTCTGGGCTCCCCGCAGCTGCTGCCGCCCAGGAGGAATGCAAAGCATTTTAAGCTGAGCCAGGCCAGGGGGTTGGATGGTTTTTGGAGACGTGGGGAAGGGATAGAGACCAGGGGGACATCCATGATGTGAACTGAATGGAGAAGACCAGGAGGAGACCAGGGTGGGATAGGAGAGAGAAGGGGAGGGACAGAGAGGTTCGGGTTCGTGAAGTGGGAGGAAACGACCACATTGTGGGTGGTCTGCAGAGGCCAGAGGAAGAAGGGGATTGGAGGGGTGCTGGGAAAGGTGGGGCAGAGATGGGCGAGCTGGTGAGGAAGGCTGAGCAGGAAAGGACGTGAAGCAGAGAAGGGCAGAGGGCTGGTGAGGAGGGAAGAGGCTTTCATTCATTGCTTCAAAAGTATTTATTGGGGCCAGGTGCAGTGGCTTATGCCTGTAATCCTAGTGCTTTGGGAGGCCAAGGTGGGAGGCTTATTTGAGGCCAGGAGTTCCAGACCAGCCTGGGCAACACAGCAAGACACCCATCTCAACAACAACAACAAAAAATTTATTTTTAATTAGCCGAGCACACACCTGTAGTCCCAGCTACTAGGAGGCCGAGGGGGAAGGATCACTTGAGCCCAGCAGTTCAAGGCTGCAGTGAGCCATGATCATGCCACTGCACTCCAGCTTGGGTGACAGAGCAAGACCCCATTTCTTAACAACAACAAAAGGTCAGGGGCAGTGGTTCATTCCTGTGATCGCAGCACTTTGGGAGGCTGAGGTGGGAGGATCTCTTGAGCCCGGAAGTTCCAGACCAGCCTGGGTAACATAGGGAGACCTCATCTCTACTAAAATTAGCTGGGCATGGTGGTGCCTGTAGTCCCAGCAACTTGGGAGGCTGAGGAGGGAGGATGGCTTGAGCCTAGGAGTTTAAGGCTGCAGTGAGCTTTGATCACGCCACTGCACACCAGCCTGGGCAGCAAGAGCAAGATCCTGTCTCAAAAAACAAAAAAAAAAAAGGGAAAAAGAAAAAAGTATTTATTGAGCAACTACTATTTACTAAGTGTCAGTGGTATAGTGTTAAGGGCACTGCAACCAGATGTTGGGGGAGGTCAAATCTTCAGACTTTCATTTACTGTGTGTGACCTTGGACAAGTTACTTAACCTCTCTGTGTCTTAGTTCCCTCCTTTGAAAAATGCAAATTAAATGAGTTAATACAATAAAGTAGAGCAGAGCCTGCACATAGTAAGCTCTGTATCAGCTGTGTCGGCCGTTGCTGTTGTTACTATTACCTTTCCGACTTGACTTGAGGTGCTGGATCGTGTTCCTGAGCTGGAAGTCGTAAGGCTCTGTGGGGAGGTCCACAGGATTGGACGTACATGTTATAAAGTTCAGATCTTGGGCTCTGAAGTCAACAAACCTGTGTCCAAATGCCTGGCCTGCCTCATTGCCTGTGTGAGCTTGGGCAAGTTAACGCACCTTTCTGAGCTTCGTGTGGAAAGCAGGAGGTTTCTGAACATCTGCCTCTTTGGGGAACTGTGAGGATTAAATTAGATTATGCAAGACGCCCGGCAGGACGTGGCTTTGTCATTCCTGTCCCTCTTCTACCCCTTCAGGTCTGGGGATGGATGGACAGGCAGTGCCCAGAGCCTCCAGTTTCCTTCTCTGTCCCCATCCTGGAGCCCCTCCCTTCCCCTGCCCCTTACGGCCTCAGCAGTGGCTTTTTAGGTGGAGTTGCCTTCGGGGGACAGGACTGTGGCCAGCCAGGAACTGGAGAGCCAAGGGCCCTGGGATGGGGTCCCAGGTGCAAGCCAGAGCACCCTGGCCTTCAGAGGCCGCTCTGGTTCTGCACCCACATGAGCAATCCTGAGTGAAATGGACACCTACACATGGGGAGACTGAGGCAGAGAGGGTTCTGGAAGGGGGTTTGTCAGGGACTGCTGCATGGCTATCATATGAGCCTAGGGGAAGACAGAAGGGCACCGCTGGACTAGCCTGATCACAAGCAACAGCCGCCACTGGGCAGCCACGGCCGCACCCAGCACTCCAGCTTTACCGGGCTTCTACCCCAGGACTTCCTGACCCCCAGGCAGCCTCTGCCCTCCACCCCACTGCAGGATCCCTACTTCCTCTAGGGCATGTACTTTAAATTCCAGCTCCATCCCCCATTCGCTAGGGGAAGTGGCTTCACCTCTCTGAGCTTCAGCTTCTCCATCTGTGAAAATGGAGAGAAATAACACCAACCTTCCTGCACAGTAGTTGGGGGAGAGTATATGCTTGACGCAGTCCCAGTCACATAGTAGGTCTCACTAAAGAGTCCCCATGGGAGCCTCAGTGGAATTGCCTGGAAGCCACCCTCCCTCCCTTCCTCCCTTCCCCCCTCCTTTTTTTTTTTCTGAGGTGGAGTCTCCCTCTGGAGCCCAGGCTGGAGTGCAGTGGTGTGATCTCAGCTCACTGCAAACTCTGCCTCCCAGGTTCAAGCAATTCTCCTGCCTCAGCCTCCCAAGTAGCTGGGGTTATAGGTGCCCACCACTGTGCCCAGCTAATTTTTGTATTTTTTTTATTTGAGATGGAGTCTCACTCTGTCGCCAGGCTGGAGTGCAGTGGCGCAATTTCAGCTCACTGCAACCTCCGCCTCCCGGGTTCAAGCGATTCTCCTGCCTCAGCCTCCCAAGTAGCTGGGACTATAGGCGTGCACCACCATGCCCAGTTAATTTTTGCATTTTTAGTAGAGACGGGGTTTCACCATGTTGGCCAGGATGTTCTCGGGATCTCTTGACCTCATGATCTGCCCACCTCGGCCTCCCAAAGTGCTGGGATTACAGGTGTGAGCCACCACGCCCAGCCTGTATTTTTTTTTTTTTTTTTTTTTTTTTTTTTTTTTAGTAGAGATGGGGTTTCACCATATTGGCCATGGTTGGCCAGGCTGGTCTTGAACTGCTGACCTCAGGTGATCTGCCCGCCTTGGCCTCCCAAAGTGCTGGGATTACAGGTGTGAGCCATCACGCCCAGCCTGCCGGTAACTATTTCTATGGACCTCTCTTTAGTCCCCACCCTCCCACTCCAGACTCTCCCCATGTCAGTGTACCCTGCAATATGCAGGAACCTGTGCGTAGGGATGTTCCTTTGCTCACAACCCTTCAGTGACTCCCAACCTTCATTCATTCATTCAGTCATTCAACAAATAGTGAAACTTGGGGAGCCAGAGTTTACCATGAACAAATGATGTGAAAGTTTTCATTGAGTGAATTCCCATGAGCTGCCCAGGCTCTGCGATGAATGTTTTTGGAAACTGAGGCTGAGAGAGGCTGTGTCACTAACCCAAGCTCACCTAGCCAGTCAGTGTCTGAGACTATCTCCCCCACACTGATGCCACAGGCTTGAAATGCCACTGCCACCATATCTGTCCTTTTGGGTCAAGCATTGCCCAGCGCAGACCCCTCTTGTAAGATGCCATCACTCCTGGGAGGTGGAGAGGCCTCCAGTGCATAAGTGGGGCTGTGGATGGTTCCTCCGGGCCATTTCTCCTGCTGGAGTAGCTGGGCTGAGTGGAATTAGAAGGGAGGCTCAGACTGGGCGCAGTGGCTCACACC
This sequence comes from Homo sapiens, assembly GCF_000001405.40. Taxonomy (NCBI): domain Eukaryota; kingdom Metazoa; phylum Chordata; class Mammalia; order Primates; family Hominidae; genus Homo; species Homo sapiens. The sequence goes on along the minus strand of NC_000001.11, from coordinate 21,627,691 downwards.
TATAATCTCAGCACTTTGGGAGGCTGAGGCGGGCAGATCACCTGAGGTCGGGAGTTCGAGACCAGCCTGACCAACATGGAGAAACCCCGTCTCTACTAAAAATACAAAATTAGCCAGGCATGGTGGCGCATGCCTGCAATCCTAGCTATTCAGGAGGCTGAGGCAGGAGAATCGCTCGAACTCGGGAGACAGAGGTTGCAGTGAGCCGAGATCAAGCCATTTGCACGCCAGCCTGGGGAATAAGAGCGAAACTCTGTCATAAAAAAAAAAAAAAAAAAAAAAGAAGAAGGGAGGCTCACAGCTTTCTCAGTCTTCTTCCTGGGCCAGACTTTTTCGGGTCCTTCCCCTCTTGGGGTGTGGCAGCCCCGGCTCTGCCTGACTCAAGCCTGCTGTAGGCCACCAGCGATCATCTGAGTCACCCTCGAGGGACCAGCCTCTCTTGATGGGACCTGAGCAGAGGTGCAGCCACGTCAGGGTGGCCCTAGGCAGCAGCGGAAGCCAGGCCTGCTTGCCCAGCCCCAGGATCCCGGGAACCACTGGGCATTTCCTCTCCCTGCCCCAGAGGTGGCCTCGGCAGGCTTTTTAGGGTGATAGGAGCTGACTTCACCCTCGCCAGACCTGCTTTCTTTCCTCAGGGAAGGGTGTGGTGTGGGCAGAGAGTCCGGGCTTAGACTCAGGCAGGTCTCATGCAGATGCTAGCTTTGCTGCCGGCCAGCCGTGTGACCTCTGTGCACAGCTGGGTCCTGTCTGTAAAGTGGGAATACCAGTGTGGTGAGGAGGCCATGCCCTCGGGCCTAGAACGAGGGCTCAGCACAGGGCCTGGCATGTGGTAGGCCCAATGAGCGTCAGTTATGGTCACGGTCACTGTCATTCGTAATAGCGGTAGCCCTGGTAGCCCCTCAATGCCAAGGCGGCTACTCCCAGAGGCTCAGGGAGGGGTCCATTGTAGAGGCGGGGGCACCCTGCTTAGTCCAGAAAGCTCACCCTCCACAGCAACCCTCAGTGCCCCTGCCTCAGTCTACTCATCTTCAGAGTAGGTCACTGCTTGGCTGGAGGCCTAATGGAGAGCTTGGGGAGAGACCCTGTCCACGTCTCTGATCTCCGGGGAAGGAGAAGCCTGTGTGGTAGCCCTGCTAATGAAGCCCCTCCTCTCCCTCCTCTTGGGGAACCCATGACCCTCTCCTCCGTGAAGTCTATCCTCCCTCACATCCCCCAGCTCTGAGAGTGACTCTCCCAGAGTTCCCAAATTTCCTGGCTTGGGGCTCTCCCTGACCTCAGACTCTTTCTCTTCCAGGAGGAGCGATGGGCAGAACCAGCACTTCCCTCAGGCACTAGACCTGTCACGAGTGAACTTAGTTCCCTCCTATACTCCTTCACTCTACCCTAAGGTAAGTGTCCCCCTCCATACCTACGGCCCCTGGTCTGCCCCCTACCTCCGACACATGCCCAGGGCTGGGAAAGGCCCAAGAATGACTTTTGGGCAAAGGTAAAATGTTCAGGCAGATGCTGATGGGGTTTAGCTCCTAAGGGGTTGCCACTCCTGAGCCCGGGGTGAGGCTGGTGCAGTCACAAACGTTGAACCTAGGTCTGTAGACTGTGGCAGGGAGGGGCTTAGGGCGAATCTAAGCAAAACAGCTGGGAATAAACCAGCCCCCCAGCTATCTTCATCATCTCCACAATCAACGTCACCATCAGTCTCCTTATCTGTAAACCAGGTGCAATGAGAGGACCCACTTCACAGGGTCATTGTGAAGATTGCTGCAAAGTACAGACAGGGCGGCCCAGGCACAGCATCCGGCACAGAGCAAGAGCCCTGTCAACGAGCCTCTATCATTATCGTTAAAATCAAACGTTTGCCCAGTACCTGCTTCATGCCAAGCCTTGTGCTGGGTGCCAAGCGACCAGAAACCAATCTGATACAGATCCTGCTCTCAAGGAGCCACAGTCCAGTAAAGCAATAGATAACTGAACAATGTATGCAGGACATCAAATAGCAGAAATAACCTCTAATATTTATTGAGACTTACTGTGTACTAAGAGAGTACTTAATGCTTTATTTGCAGTATTTCATCTCATCCTTGGACTATGTGATAGCTACTATAATCAGTCCCATTTTGCAGATGAGAAAATTGAGGCTCAGAGAGGTTCAGTCACTTGCCCGAAGTCACTCAGGTTGGATGTGGTGGGGCCACGACCGGATGCAAGCTGTCTGACCAGAGGGCCTGGTGTTAGGGCCTCTCTGATGCAGGGGTGACAAGCTCTCACTTTTGCAGTACTTTTTGCAGTTTCTAAAGCACACCCACAGACATCATGCCACCTGGTCCTTTTAGTAAACCTTGGGTAGTAGGCATTATCTAGTTGAGGATGCAGGAGATCAGAGAAGTAAAGTGGTCTTCCCAAGGTCACACAGCCAGAAAATAGCAGAGGCAAAATCCACCAGGCTCCTCCCTGAGAGCTCTGGCCTGGAATAAAGGCCACGTACCTTGCCTAGGCTGGGAGGGCAGATGGCCAAGGAATGGTGTCCATATGTGGGGCCACCACCTTCATGGGGGTGCCACGTGGGGCTGCTGGGAGCAGCAGCAGGAGATTCCTGAGACTGACTCCTGTTTTCTCTGTCTGGGCAACAGCCCAAGACTGGGGCATGTGGATCCGGGGCTTGGCAGGAAGGGAGAGACTCAATGGCAGCCCTCACTTGACAGCTGGGTTCATGAATGAAGCTCCCAGTCCCTCTTCCCCTGAGCATCTCAGGAGGAGCCCTGGGTTCTCACCAAGGGCTGTATGCCCTCGGACCACAGCTTCCCCTCCCTGGGCCTCAGTCTTCCCATCAGGAGACGAGAGAGAGAGAGAGCAGCCCATAGCCCTGGGCCCTGCGTGCTAGACAGCCTGGGGTTGGCCTTCTCGGATTATTGAAAAGCTGCCTCCCCTCGGGCTTCCTGGCTTCCACCCAGTCTGGCTAGAAGCCTCCGTTTGTGCCAACACAGCTCAGACAGCGGGCTCTGAACCTTCCCTTCCCGACAGCCCACCCCCACCTCAGAATCAAGAGTCTGTGGACCATCCTCCTTTGACAGGAGAGGAAACCAGGGGCTAGAGAGACTGAATGATTCATCTGGGGTCTCCAGCAAGCCAGTGCTGGGCTGAGGGAACACAGGCCTGTGACATATTCTCCATTCCCCTCCCCTGGTGCCCCTAGCTCTGTGCACATTTATAACATGGATGGCATCCATCTGAAGGGCAGGTGACCTTCCTCTGCCAGTGGGCAAATCCCTGCCCGTCTCTGGGCCTCAGGTTCCTCATCTGTAAAACAGAGGTGACAGTTTCTTCTCTACCTGCCTTGCCAGCTTGCAATTGGGTGAAAGTACTTTGGAAAGTAGAAATTAGGAAGCTGAGCTCTTATCAGCGTCATTACATTCCCAGGGCTGGACAGGGCACCCAGAAGGGACATTCTCCTCCCTTCAGGCCCCACATTTGTACAGGCATCGAGCTACCCAGGACCCTCCTTCCCTCCTCCCTACAGGGGTTTCTCCACTCGGGGATTCAGAAACCTGCACACACGTACATACACAGCCTACCCACACCTACATATGGGGACAGAGTCACAGACACAAAACACACAGCCACAGCCACTGGTCTGTAAATATATTCAGAGACTTGCACATGCATGAGATACACATGTACAAACACAAATTCCCATACCAAGGCATTCCCATACACACAGAAAGACAGTATGCCCACATACATACAGCCACATCCGGTCGTGGAGTCTCACACACACGCACACATGGCTGCACGCATATGTGCACACACCTTCCATGCCACCTGGCACACAGCCATCTCCAGTGCTGTGAGCAGGTCTCGCCTCCCCCGGGGGCAGTGTGGGAATGGATGTTTCTCTGGCTGGATTTCGATGGGTGCCCGGAAGCATTCAGGCCTGGAAGTGGCTGCATAAATCAATATTTGCTGTTGTTAATTATTAAAACCAAAGCTACACCGTGTCTGGAACACCCATCTCCAGAGTTCCTGCTGGCTCTCCAGGCCCAAACCTGATTCAAGGCCAGGTCTAGGGGGAAAGGGAGGGCACAGTGCTTTCCTTCCAGGAGCCCTTAGTTCTGGGGCTGGAGGGTGGTGGGCAGCCACTGGCAGCTCTTTCAGGAAGCTGAACAGAGGTATGGCTCTGAGCTGGTGGGCAGCCCTGCCCCCGCAACATCCAAAGCAGCTGTGTCTGCTTGGCCACAGTTCAGGAAGCATTTGCTGTGTTCCCAACATCTGTCTGGAGGAAGTGGTAGCAAGGCCCTGTCCCTGTCCCTGCTGTACAGTGGCTATACCAGGCCAGGGACACACTGCAGAGCCAGCTGGAAGGGCCTACAGAGTCCTTATATTTTAAAGATGGGGAAACTGAGGTCCAGAGAGGAGGCAGGGACTCACTCAAGGCCACTCAGCAAGTTGTAGCTAGAATCCACATGTCCCAAAATCTACTTGGGTCCTTTCCTCCATACCACGGGCCTGGCAGCCCCTCCCTAGGTGCTGTGGCCATCTCCCCCAGGATCTGGGGCAGCTAGGGCGGGGGAAGGGACGGAGCAGGCCAGCCACTGTGAGGCATGGGAAGCAGGATGGAGGAGAGGAGGAGGAAAAGGGACAGACCCCAAAGAGTAGCACCAGGCCTTTCTCTGGATTCCACTTTGACTTCTTCCTGACTGTGTGGTCTCGGGCAAGCTATTTCACCTCTTGGAACCGGCTTCTCATCTGTATAATGGAGATGACATTTGTACCTCCTGGGCTGTGACGAGATTACGACACATGCGAAGGGCCCAGCATTAAGTAGGTGCTCAAGAAAAGCCCTCTGTCTGCAAGGTAACCCAACCCTGTCCTTGATGCCGAGGCGGGGTACCCAGAGCCTGGGAAGATGGAGAAAGTGAGGTGGGGGCGCGCTGGGGAGAACCGAGTGGGGGGCCCCCTCGGGGAGCCCGACGCACCCAAAGCTTCTAGCGCTCGGGCCGGAACGCGCAGGCGCGGTGTCCCGGGGCCGCGGGCCGGGCCGCCCGGGGGGCGTGGCTTCAGCGCCCCCGCCCCGCCCCGCCCCGCGCCGTGCCGCCCGTACCTGGCGCCCCGCCCCCTCCGGGCCCCGCCGTGGGGCGAGCCCATCGCAGGCAGCGCCGCCGCCGGGAGCCGGGAGCGCGGAGCTCAGCGCTGCGGGGCCCGGACCCGGGCGCGCGCGGGCCAGGAGCCGGCTGGGCCAGCTGAAGTGCCGCCCCGGCGGGGGCCGGGCCGGGCCGCGCTCAGGATGGCACAGCTGCGGCCCGCGGTGCCACCCGGCCGTCCGCGGAGGGGCTCGCTGCCCGCGGGGGCCAGCTGGCAGGTGAGGACCCGGGCGGGGCGGCATGGCGGAGGGACCCCGGGGCTGGGTCACCCCGACTGCTGGGGAGCCCGGCCGGCTCTGCCCCAGCCAGGGCGGGCGGACAAGGCTCCGTCATGGTGGGCGTGTGAGCTTCTGGGCTGACACTGGCCACGGGGCGCACCCCTACCCTGGGGTCCCGGACCCTGGGGCTCTTGCTGTGGCCTCCCGGGTGGCACTGTGGCTCTGGGCTGCAGCGGCAGGGTGTGTGTGGGTGCGTGCTACCGTCGGGACCACTTTACCCTGCCCCTGCCCCGTTTGGGGGGCTCTGAATGCTCCAGGGCCACTTTGTGGTGGTGCTTTCATGTGGGGCACCCCCCATCTGGACCCCATCTCTCAGAGCCCTCGCGTGTGTCAGGGCGTCTGCTGCTCCCTCTGAGGCTGTAGCTGTGGGTGTTGCTTGTTGCTGTGTGTACACTCTGGGTGACAGGACCATGTGTCAGTGTTTATGTGACTGATTCCCAATGCAACAAGGTGTATTAGAGTGTTCCTGGCTACGTTTGGTCACCCTGAGTGGGGTGTCTTAATGGGGGACATTAATGCACCCATCATCAGTGTGACTCTTTGGGGTCATGCCCAGCTGAGGTTGTGTGGCTGACCTGGGCACAGAAGCCAAAGTTGCTGTCATACAGTGTGTTGTGTTGACAGGCATGTTTGTCTGCCTGGACTTCAGGTGTGTGTCTGTGGTTTCTGCAGTAACTGCCTGCGGAATTGTCTCTTTCAAATGCAGAGGTGTTGGGTGTGACCATAGGTGACCATGGGTCAAGGTGTCCTATGGACTCCTGTGGTGGGTTTTACAAGGTGGGCCTTGCCTCTATGGGCAGGCCTCACAGTGTGCACATTTATATGGGCTTGTGACCCTTCCCAGAGCTCTGTGTGTGTGTGCGGGTGAGGGCTGTGTGAGGTTTAGACCGTGGCCCTCATCCTTGGGGATTAGCTACCCCTGCAGTTGCTGGATACCTTTTGAGTCTCATTTACTGTTGTTATGTGACCCTGCCGGGGCAGGCAGGGCTTGTAGCCATGAGTGGGGCTGCATCTGGGTCTCCCTGGACACACCTGCCCGCCTCTGTGGCTGCGTGTTGTCATGCCTCTTGTTCTCACACGAGAGTGGTTTGTGGTGTTACCATAGCTTTGTGTGCAGTTACTGGTGTGCAGACCTGCACAGGTGTGGGTTTGCATTTGTGTGTGTATCTCTCCTGGTACTTGGACCTGCATGTGTTTGAGTGGGTGTGCTCCTGTGTAACTCAGAACGCCAATGTGTATATTTGTGTGTTAGTATATAGCTCTAAGAATCACTGTGCACAGTCCCCATCATATGTGTTTGTGTGTGTTGTTTTCTTGGTACACGAAACATATACGTGGTGCAGTGGGACTTTAAATATTGGTGTGCAGGCTTCTGTGTGTGTGAGCAGGAGGGGAGGGAGAAAGATGGAGAGAGAGAGAGAGAGAGTGTGCGTGCTTCCTGGTGTACAACTCCATAGCACATGTGTCAGCAGGAGCCGCCTGAGCTGAGCCTTGGAGGGGCAGGGGGAGGGTCACCATCCTGGAGGCTCTGGGGGCTTCCCAGGCCCAGCCCCGAGCCGGGCCAGCCGGCAGGGATGCCGCCTTCCAGGAAGGCTCGCAGGGAGTTGGCGCTGGAGAGGCCGGGGCTGCCAAGCGCAGCTGGCAGACACCGGATTAACTCTGCGTGTGCCCTGGCTCACCCGGGAGAGGGTAGCTCGAGTGTGCGAGGGTTCAGGTGGCTCATGCAAGGTGCTGGGCCGCTGGGCATCCCAGTGTCCTCTTCCCTGAAGCACCCCCAGCTCACTCCCCTTGGAGAGGGGTGGGCTGTCTGAGCAGTGGGCTGTGGCCTGAGCCTGGTTGACTGAGCCTTGCCCCCTTCCGGGAGAGGTGGGGAGAAGCATAGACCCCTCCTGGGGATCCAGGATGGGCTCATCTCTGCAGCTGGGACTTGGGGACGATCTGTCCCTCCCCAAGGGTAGCAGCCCGTCAGGGAGCAGGACTGAGTGGGTGGGTGGCTCTGGCCCTGGGCCCTAGGCTCTGGGTTCACCTCACTTGGCAATCGGCCAGACCCTGTGGTTCTCCCACACAGAACCCCCTCCCACGATGCTCCCGTCACTCCCGCTTGCTACTCAGACAGGTGCCTCGGTCACTGATCAGAGCTGGTGGGACCCGGAGGGCCGGGGCGGGTGGAGACTCCTCTGGGGCTTGGCGGGATCAGCTGACCTCGCTCTCCCCTGTCTCTGTTGCAGAACACAGATCTATTTGAGATGATTGAGAAGATGCAGGTGAGGATGGCTCTGTGGCCTGTTCTGGGGAGCCACAGAGCTGGCTGGGCTGGGGCTGGGGGGCCCTTGCTGCATCTCCAGCCCTTCACCTCCCTGAGGACAGGCCACGCCAGTAGAAGATGGTGGCTATTGGTTGTCCAGGGTCCTCTGTCTGGAGGTCAGGGTAGAGGATGCCCAACCCCATCTCTGATGCCGGAGTCCATCTAGGCTCCCAGCTCCCATCCCTGTGTGGAACTGCAACAGGGCTGGGGTCAGTTCATCAACCCACCCCACAGACATACACTGCCTCTCACCCAGTGAGAGACACCGCAGGCTTTGTGGTGGGGGGCCCAGGTGGAATGGAACTGGAGGAGGGGACAGATGCTGGGGGCCTGTCAGCCAGAGACTGTGCTGCAGGAGTGGGAGGTATTACCCCTCCACCCTCCACCCCACAGCCCCGTCTGCGTTTCACATAGGTATGCATGGGAGGTGGGCCGGGGGTGCTGGGATGGGAGTGCCTTGAATACCCTCTGATCTTTGATGCCTCCTGTTTCTCTTTCTGTCTCTCTCTCCAATGCCTCCTATTTCTCTGTCTTTCTGTCTCGTCTCTGCCTCTCCCTCCCCCTCTCTCCCTCAACACATATCTGTGTAGATAACAGTCCCCCCACCCGCCAGCTCGCACACCGGCATGTGCACCTCCCCTGCCCCCACTCCCAGCGGCACGTGCGTTCCCGCAGAGTCCCCAGCCCTCCCTGAGGCTGCCAGCCTCCAGCCCCGGTCACTACCGGGACAGCCAGCCCTTCAGACAGGCCCAGGGCCCCCAGCCAGCTAGCACCCTGCCCTGGGAGTACCCCTACCTTCGCGGGCCGCCTCCTAGGGCTTTCCCCTTGCACGCCTTGGGGAGGGGAGGCAGCGCCTGGCGGCAGGCCTGGGAGGGTGTAACAGTGCTGCCTTCTCTTACAGGGAAGCAGGATGGATGAACAACGCTGCTCCTTCCCGCCGCCCCTCAAAGTAGGTGGGCCTGGCAGTCTGCCTCCCTCTCTAGGGGGTGGAGGGGGTCCGGGAAGTGCTGCCACCACTGCCCATCAAGCAGGAAATCCATCCCCTTTCAGCAAGTAGTCTTACAGTGTGCCAGGTGCGGGGGTAGGGGGGGAGGCACAGCTTCTAGCAGGGTAGACCCAGCCCCTGCCCTCTAGGAGTTCTGTGATGGGGAGAACCCCTCTCTTGCTAGAGGGCTGGGGCCTCTATTCTAGCTCCTCCTCTCGGTCTTCACTGCTGCAGACTCCCCCTGCCTCTCCAGGCGTCCCCACCCCAAACTCAAAGCCCTCCTCTCTCAAAGACAGCTGCTGCCAAATGTTTTCCCTGAAACCAGTGATGACCAGCAGTTGCAGGAAGACTCCAACTCAGGCCCTAGGAGACTTATGAGCTCCTGCTCCATAAGCTGCTGTCTGGATGGGGAGGGAGTGATAGGGAGGCAGGCCTGGGTGCCCCCCAGCCACTGGTGAGGAGACTGACCGGAGGCAGGGGACTCAGCGAGATGAGGGGGAGGCTCTTGTTTTTGACCCACTTTTCTTAGCATATGGTTCTTGGTGAGAGATCCCAGAGACCCTAGAAGACCAGGCCTGGTGGAGTGGGCCCAGGGCTACAGGGTGAGGGTTAGAGGAGGGTGCATGGGCAGTAAGCCTGATGCTCTCTTTGGGGCAGAGGCCCTCACACCAGCAGCGTCGGTGCCACCTGGGAGCCTGTGAGGAATGTACATTCTCAGACCCCGCCCAGACCGCTGCATCCAAAGCTCTAGGGTGGGGTGCAGCAAGCCCTCCAGGCAGTCCAGCGGTTTCTTCTGGGGAGGCAGTGAGCCCTCCTTTCTCCAGGCAAGGAGAGCCCCAGAAGATGCCAGCACTCAGCACGCTAAGCCTGCCTCAGCCCCTGCCCATCTGTAAGAGGTGATGAGGCCAGGGCCCCATCCGCACTCTCAGCCCTGAGGCTGGCCAAGCAGAGGCCAGCTCTGGGGGCACTGGAGGATGGACAGATGGAGAGACCCTTGCCCTGTTTGTGTTTTGCAGACAGAGGAGGACTACATTCCATACCCGAGCGTGCACGAGGTACTCAGCTAGAACCCCGCGCCCACCCTTACTCAAGCCCAGGAGGCACTTACACAGGGCTTCTGGATACCAGGTCCTCCTCCTTAGGAGCCTGACCTGCAGGCCTTGCTGCGGGCTGGAGACTTAATTTGCAGGCCCAAGGCCTCAGAGCCCATTTGAACCCTTAGGCCTTCTGAGCCAAATGTTCCAGCCTCCTGGGCCAAGGTCATGCTCCAGCTCTACCTGCCCCCACACCCCCTGTTAGAGACTTGGGTCTCGGCGCTGTCTGGGTCTGGCTGAGGGAAAGGGCTGGAGCAGAACCCTGGGGCCCACACAGGCTCTGGCCTGTCCCCTCATACCCCTTAGCCACGACAGAAGCGGCTCCAGGTCTGAGTTGGGAGGGTGTCCTGGGGCGCCCAGTGGGGTACAGTGTGGGGTGGCTCTCAGCTGAGTCCCTCTTCAGGTCTTGGGGCGAGAAGGACCCTTCCCCCTCATCCTGCTGCCCCAGTTTGGGGGCTACTGGATTGAGGGCACCAACCACGAAATCACCAGCATCCCCGAGACAGAGCCACTGCAGTCGCCCACAACCAAGGTGAAGCTCGAGTGCAACCCCACAGCCCGCATCTACCGGAAGCACTTTCTCGGCAAGGTGGGTGGCCGGCTGGTGCAGCGGGGCTGGCTGGGGTGGGTCACAGTTCAGCCCCATTCGAGGTGGGCCTGGGAGGGAGCAGAACCCATGGGCCAGGGCTGGGTGACAGTCCTAGAGCCCTGAGTGAATGTGCTCCCACCACACACACTCCCAGTCCCCAGGGAACATGCATGGCAGAATCACTTGTTCATTCAACATTGATTGCAAAGGCAGCATTATGGCATGGTGGTTCATGGCAGAGACTCTACCAGGGCTTGAATCCTGGCTCTGCCACCCACTACACAGGACATCGGGTAAATCGCTTAACTTCTCTGTGCCTCATTTCCTAATCTGTGAAAATGGTGGTTGGTGGTAATGATACCCACCTCCTGAGGTTGCTGTGAGGCTTTAGTGAGCTGATATCTGTAAGGTCTTTACAGTGGTGTCTGGGACAAAGTAAGTGCTCAGTCAGGGGTGGCAAATAATGAGCACTAGCTGTGTGCCTGGCCCTGTTCTAGGCACCAGGTATACAGCAGCCAACACAATAGACCCAGGCCCTCCCTTTGGGCAGCTTGGAGTTAGGAGAACAGTAATGTCATGGGTTGATGCAGCCCCTGCCCCACCACCAGCACAGAGCAGGGACCCTGCCCAGCAACAACTTGTCAGAGTGTTGTGGGAGCCAAGGGGAGGTCCCATGCCGGGAATGTGTGTGTCAGGTTGCAGGCCGGGTGCTGTCTCTTCGTCAGCATAGAGCCAAAATGGGGAAGTGTGTCGTGGGCTCTGGAGCCTCGTGGCATGTGTGGGAATCTTGGCTCTTCCATTAACTGTTTGTGTGACCTTGGGCAAGTTATTTAACTTTCCTCGTCGGTGAAAACAGGGATAATAAAAGTACACGCAAAGCTTCTAGAACCACACCTGGCACATGGTAAATACTCAGTTAATGTTAGCTGTTTTCATGTCTTCATAATTACTTGGTGATATCAGGATTATTCTGTTTTTGCAGAAGAGGAAACCGAAGCTCAGATAGGTAAATGATTTAGTCAAGGTCACACAATGACTAAGCCTGGGAATTGAACCAGCTTTGGCTGACCTTCCATTAAGGTGCATGGGAGAGATCATGCTCCTAGTCATTGTATGTGTGTGTGTGTGTGTGTGTGTGTGTGTGTGTGTGTGTGTGTGTGTGTGTGTGTTGGGAAGAGGGGGTGACTCCTTGGGGGTTCGGAAGATGTGTGACCTCAGTCTGGGCCTGGCCATTGGCCTAACTCTGGGAGACACCGGTGCTAACCAATGGAGTTAGGGGAGGATCCACTGTGACTGGGACTAAACCAGCAAGCCCAGGTTCAGGAGCCTTTGCCTGGGAACAAACCCAGAACCCAGCATGGAATTCCACTTCCCAGCTGAGCCCTAGAGGTGGAGCGAGACCTGCATCCTAGGCACCTGCTGTCCAGAGGTTCCCAGCTGGGTCTGGCAGGTGGTAGGATCTGAGGGTACTGTATATGCCAAACACATGGTTGGTACTCAGAAAAGTTTGTTGAAAGAGTGACAAGTGACAGATGAAGGTAGGAACAGATGAAGGTAGTGGACCTCGAGTGCAGCAGGCTCTGAAGAAGTGCAGACTGGAGGGTCAGAAGAGGCAGCTGGGCGCCCTGGCTTATACCTGTAATCCCAGCACTTTGGGAGGCCGAGGTGGGCAGATCACTTGAGGTCAGAAGTTCAAGACCAGCCTGAGCAACATGGCAGAACCCCATCTCTAACAAAAATACAAAAATTAGCCAGGTGTGGTGCTGGGCGCCTGTAATCCCAGCTACTCAGGAGGCTGAGGCAGGAGAATCGCTTGAACCTGGGAGGTGGAGATTGCAGTGAGCTGAGATGGTGCCACTGTACTCCAGCCTGGGCGACAGAGCAAGACTCCATCTCAAAAAAAAAAGAAGAGGCTTCATGTCCAGGATCAGATTAGCAGTAATGAGGGAGAAGCCCCAGGGCTGGCAGAATGGCAGGGCCCCTTCCTGACTCCAGGTGGGGTAATGGGGGAAGCAGCCAGGTGCTCAGGCACTGGGCCCTATCCTGGCAGAGAGGGGAGGTTAGGATGACTTTGGGCGTTGACTTCCTGGGACCCTGAGCCCGCTCTCCCACTGTGTCCCGGGGGCTCCTCTGGGCTTGGGGGTGTCCAAGGAACCTCCCCACTCTCTGGACTTCCCTGCCAGGGGCCTCCTTATCAAGTGCCTGCCACTCCCTCTCTGCTGGATGATGTCAAGCATTTGGGGGTTTCTGCCACTCTGTGCCCAGGCAGAGCTGGGGGACTCTGCCCCAGGTCCATTGAGAATGCCCCTGAGCTGCGGATTCGTGGGGCACATTCACTGGTCCCTGCCTCTATCTGCTCCTGGCCTCTGAGCACAGGTGTTCATGTTTGAACAGGATTTACTTCTAGGATGATTCCTGGGGCGGGTGTGGCCGGGCAGCCAGCTCCACTCCCAGAACTTGGGCTAGGGCTGGGGCTGAGGTTGGCAGGAGGAGCCCGGGGCCAGGCTGGGTGGTGTCTCCCTGAACTTCCAGCCCTCGGCTTTGGGACTTCCCCACCCGGAGGTGCCAGCCCTGGGCTCCTCTCTGGGGGTGCCATCCCTGCCGCAGCCACCCCTGATACTCCCCAGGGTGTCTTCCCAACCCTGTGCCCTCTCCTCCAGGTGAGACAGGAGGGTGGAAACCTGCCTGGCCAGCCACCCTGTGTGTTGTGAGATGTTTCGCTTCCTGTTTCTCATGGGCCCTGGCTTCAGGGGCCACAGAGTCACAGGTTGGGCAATCAGCTTTTGCTCATTGAGCACCTGCTGGGTGCCCAGCCCTGAGAAGGACCAGGGCTGAAGACAGGCATGCAGGTCCGAATATGGTCCAGACTCGATGAGCACCCAGAGATCCAGCGTTACTACCCACCTTCACTGAACTGAGCCAAGCACTTCATCCCTTTCAGTCCTGGCTGCCACCAAAGTACAGGGTTCCCTCCTATTTGGCAGACTAGGAAAGTGAGGCACAGAGCGGCCAAGTGACCTCCTCAGGCTGCCCAGCTGGTCAGTGGCAGAGTGGGGCTTTGAGTGCAGGTCTGTCTGATGTGGGGTCTGCTATCAGCCGTGACACCTGCTATCGGCGAAGGACCTGCATCTGGGAGTGGGTTGGCTTTCTGGCCTTGTTTCCAAAAGCCCCATGCTCAGCCTCACCCACTCCCCTGGCCCCCACCTCCCACTGCAGGAGCATTTCAATTACTACTCACTGGACGCTGCCCTCGGCCACCTTGTCTTCTCACTCAAGTACGATGTCATCGGGGACCAAGAGCACCTGCGGCTGCTGCTCAGGTGAGGGTGGTGGGGGAGTCCTGAGATGGCAGGAAGGGCTGAGGTCTTACAATCTCAGAGCCCATCTCATTTGACCCACTCTCTTCATCAAGGCCCATAGAGGGGCAGGGATTTGCTTGAGGTTGCACAGCAAGTTAGTACCCGAGTCAGCCTGACACCCATCATCACCTCTGGTCCTCGCTGTGGTCCACCCCCTTCTGGCCTTACTTTGTGGGGGGTGGGGTTCCCATTTTCCTGTCCTGCTGCCCAGGCCTTCATCGTGTGACTTTCTCTTCTCAGGACCAAGTGCCGGACATACCATGATGTCATCCCCATCTCCTGCCTCACCGAGTTCCCTAATGTTGTCCAGATGGCAAAGGTGAGGTCTCCGCTCCGCTGAGCTTCCCGGGCTGGCTCCGCAGATGGGCACCTGTGGGGCTTCAGCTTGCCTTGGCGCGTCCCCTTCAGCTGTAGGCCCTAGCCCTGGCCTGCCGCCCTATCCTGAGGCTGTCTCTCACTTGTTCCCATCGTGTCTTGGGCTGCCACGTGTTCTCCTAGGCCCCCGTCCCCTGCCTGTGTGCTTTTGGTTTTCTCTATAGCACCTTCAGATCTCAGGGGACCTCCGTTCCCTGAGCAACAGTGAACCCCGAGTCCTGCTTTAGCCTTGGCCATTCCCAGCATGGCTCCTCCCCAGACCTTGACCAGGGAGGCCCAGGCAGCCCCATCCTCTCCTCCCTGGCCCCACACCTCACACCCCTCCCTTATCTCCTCCTGCAGTTGGTGTGTGAAGACGTCAATGTGGATCGGTTCTATCCTGTGCTCTACCCCAAGGTATGGCTGGATCTGGGCACAGCTCACTGAGGGTGGGTGAGTAACTGGAAGACTGAGCATTTATTAAGCACCTTCTGTGTGCCAGATACTTTCCCAAGGTTCTCTCATTTAATCCTCACAATAACCCTGTGAAGTCCACAATTTGCAGAAGAGGAGCCACCGAAAGGGCCTGTGCCTTCCCCCAGGGTGCACAGCAGATAGGAGGGCCTGCGTTTAAGCCTCGGTTTGTCTGCCTTAGAGGCTGGCCTCACATCTGGAACCTCTGTGATGTTTGGGGACCCTCCTGAGAGCAAGCTGTGCCATAGTCCTCCCCTGGAATGGGTGTCTTTTCTACCGGCCTTGCCTTTTTATCCCAGAGGAGACCTATAGAGAGAGAATAGCCCTGGCACTTCCTGCTCGGATGCTGGTAGCTGGGCTCTAGGCACTGTGACAGTGTGGGGATAGGGGCACGGGCTTCTGCCTTGGATGAGCCAGGGGCACCTCCTGGAAGAGGACAGACAGGTAAACCCTTGGGTCCCTGACTGAATTCTGGAGCAGTGTGAGGTGGTGTGGTCCAGGAAAGGTATCCTGAAGGGGCTTCAGAAATCAGGGCCCCCCTCCTGCTTATGGGAGAGGAAACTGAGGCCTAAGGTGAGGAGGAGAACTTGCTCAATGCCCACAGCAAATTGGTGGGACGTGTCCTGTTCTGGGAGGATGATGTGGGTTTACAGAGGAGCCGAGGAGTGAGTTGGGAGTTAGAGTGGAGTAGGGGTGGGCTTGGCATGGCAGGACTGGGGCTCACAGCAAAACTCAGGAGCGATGAACTTAAGCTTTGGAATCCAACAGACCTGGGGTCAAATCCCAAGCCTGCATGTGCTTGCAAGCCATTGACCCTAGGTGAGTCACTTAAGGTCTCTGAACCTGAGTTTCAGAGGGGACAGCTGGACTGTCTCCCTCCCAGGCTTGTTCTGAGAATCACATGACGTGACGTGTGTAGAGCGCCTGGCTCAGTGCTTGGCACGGGGGAAGAGCACGTCGAATGGCAGCTTGCACACGCAGCCTCTTCACCCGGCGTCCTCTCCTGCAGGCTTCCCGGCTCATCGTCACCTTTGACGAGCATGTCATCAGCAATAACTTCAAGTTTGGCGTCATTTATCAGAAGCTTGGGCAGGTGTGCTCACCTCCTCCCTGCCGCCCCTCCCCACCTGGCCCCATATCTGGAGCCTCACACCTTTTCCAGGGCAGCACACCGGCCAAGGGACTCAGGAGCCCAGGGGCTGCCAGAGGTCCTCCCTCCGGCCCTCTCTGGGTCCAAGTAGGGACAGAGGGCAGGGGCTTCTCAGGAACTCCAGCTCAATGACCTTGGCCCCTCATCCCCAGACCTCCGAGGAAGAACTCTTCAGCACCAATGAGGAAAGTCCCGCTTTCGTGGAGTTCCTTGAATTTCTTGGCCAGAAGGTCAAACTGCAGGACTTTAAGGGGTGAGTATTAGGGTGGGCTGAGCAGAGTGTAATCTGACTTGTGCTCCTGGGCAGGGAGGGAGCCCCTGTCCTGGCCCCATGGAGGCCTGGCCAGGGCTGGAGACTGAGGCGTGGCCTGGGGGGCCCCGGGGCAGGTTCCGAGGAGGCCTGGACGTGACCCACGGGCAGACGGGGACCGAATCTGTGTACTGCAACTTCCGCAACAAGGAGATCATGTTTCACGTGTCCACCAAGCTGCCATACACGGAAGGGGACGCCCAGCAGGTAGCCTGGGCACCCCCACCTGCCTCCTGTCTTCCACCTGTCCTCCCCCTCCACCTGTCTGTTCAGCCTCCATCACGCCAGGCTCAGCGCTGGGCCCTGGGATGGAGATGGAAATGATCAGCGCCCCCACTTGTGGGGTCTCGTTGGGTCAGGGGAGACAGAAAGCCTTGGTTTCTACAGTCAGAATGGCACCCACTTCCTAGGTGAGCATAAATGCGTGGGTGCATAGAGGGACTAGAACAGTGCCTAGTACATTGCAAGAGTTCAGCAGATCTGAGCTGGTGTTTTATGGGGAGTGGAGAGCATCATGGGGTCATGTGGGGACATGTAGTCTTGGCAGAGGTGGGAGTCAGGAAAAGCTTTCAAGAGAAAGTGACTTTTAGTCCGTGAAGGAGCTGGGAGAAGGAAGGGAAATGTTCCAGGTGGCGAGAACAGCTTCTACAAAGGCCTGGACTCGAGGACATGCAAGGCATGTGCCAGGAACTGAACTCAGAAGCGTGTCCCCTTGTCCTGAGCCTCCTACAGGGCTATCTGCCTTCCCAGTCAGGTCCCCAGCCCAGGGGGATAAAAGGAAATGTGAGAAAAATGGAAATAGCTATTCCTTATTTTTAGTGTCTTTTGACTTTCGTTTACTAAGGGTCTGTGTTCATTTTAGCAACATGAATGTATACCAAGTTGAGCTTGTTTATTCAATTGGGGGCCATGTTTGGGGCATTGAGATAGGAGAAGGGCTGAGAGGTAGGGTCTGGGGACCAAGAGACCTGGGCTCGAGTCCCCAAGCTCATTATAGCTCATTATAGCACCTTCCAAGTCACTTCTCTCGGCCTTGATATCATCATCTGCCACAGCATCCCAAGAAAACTAAAATAATTTTTCTTGTAATTTCAATAGATATCCAGGTACAAGTGGGTTTTGGTTACATGGATGAATTGAATAGTGGTGAGGTCTGGGATATTAGTGTACCCTCATCACCTAAAGAGTGTACGTTGTTCCAAACAGGCCATTTTTCAACTAAAATAGTTTTAAGACAAGTTTTTTTGCTACATTATTTTGGGGAAAGCAAATCCTTAGATGTGCCCTCTGACTACCCCAAACCCTCCTAAACCCCCGTGGGCACCCCTCTCCCCCATGGGCCCCCTCTGGCCAGACCACGAAGGCCCGTGGCTTTGTGCTCAGTTGCAGCGGAAGCGGCACATCGGGAACGACATCGTGGCTGTGGTCTTCCAGGATGAGAACACTCCTTTCGTGCCCGACATGATCGCGTCCAACTTCCTGCATGCCTACGTCGTGGTGCAGGCTGAGGGCGGGGGCCCTGATGGCCCCCTCTACAAGGTGGGCGCTCTTGGAGCCTCCCAGGGGCATCAGCAAGGGCCCTGGCTGCAGCTCTGCCCTCCCTGGGATGCCCCTCTGAGCCTCACTTTTTCCAGCTATAATGGGGGGACCATGGAAGGCTTCAATGGTGCACTGTTCACACCACGCCCCCTGTCGTCCCCAAAGCTCACCCCCTCAGAGAGGACAGTTTCCCTCCTCTGCCTCCTGGCCTGGTATCACTGTCCTCCACCTCCCGTAGCCTCCTCTGCCTTCACCATCCCGATGATTCCTAAGGCCCCTACCCATCTCCACCACTAAAATTCAGGGCAAAAGATAGAGGGCAGAAATCTCTGGAAGAAAGATTCATCCAGCCCACAGTCACTGGGTCTCCCCGACCAAGGGGCAGTCCAGGGAGGCACAGTAGGGGTTTCTGGCTGGGTGGGGCAGAGCAGACCCCAGGCTCCACAGGAACAGACAGCTGCCCTCCCTTCCAGGTCTCTGTCACTGCAAGAGATGATGTGCCCTTCTTTGGACCCCCCCTCCCGGACCCCGCTGTGTTCAGGAAGGTGAGGGGCACCCCCCCAGTCATGGGCAGAGCAGGACAAATGGGTGGGGGCCTGGGGGGTGCATACACATTCTGCCTTATGAGGTCCCAAAGTCTCATTGTATGCCAGGGCAGCTGGGCTCCCCTAACTGCAACCGGGGCCTGGCTTTTCCATTCATCTTGAAAACACCTTTTTTTTTTTTTTCACAAGGTCACAGGATAAACTACACGATTGTTTTACACTTTCCATAGTAGACTGGCCTCTCCTCATTTCTGTTCTCTTTCTGACAGTTCCAGTCTCTTTCTTTCTTCTAAAATGTTTGGGGAGGGGCACACTTCAAGCCTGGGCTTCAGCTCTGTACGTAGCGTGTTCTGCTACCCTAGACTGAAGCAGTAGGTTGAGACCCCAACCCAGACCCTAACATCTGTGGAGTTTGCTCTCCCGAAGGCGTGGGCAGCCATGAAGGGCACTGGGGCCCCTTGAAGGTACCTGGGGAGCTGAGCCCAGGGAGATACCCTTTTGGGAGTGAAGAGGGTGACCCCAGGCCCCAGCAGAGCATGGTTCAGGAGCTGCAGCCTCTGCCTCGTTGGGGTTCCGACCCTTGTTTATGTGTCATCTCAACTTCCCTTCCTTATCTCCTCCACACTGGGAGTTTCCAGGGGCCTGAGTTCCAGGAATTTTTGCTGACAAAGCTGATCAATGCTGAATATGCCTGCTACAAGGCAGAGAAGTTTGCCAAACTGGAGGTGAGGATGGGCTGTGAGGGCTGGGTGACCCTCTTCTCACCTTCCAACCTATAACTTCAGCCCTGTCCCTGGGAAGGGAAAAGCCATGTTCAGACCTTGGCCTTAGCGGGGACACCTGGGGCTGGATGGATTGATGGACGAGTAGGAGGTCGGGGAGAGGAAGCCGGAGGGATACTGAGGAGTTCCCAGGAGATGCTGGGAGGCGGTTAGGCTGACAGGGACACCTTGGGACCTGTCAGGTGGGGGGGTGGACCTGGGGGGTGGGGACATGAAGCCAGATCTTGAAGGGGCTTTGAGGGGCCCTTCATATGAGGGTCCCTGGGGGATGCTTGAGCTGTGGAGTGGCCTGGGGGAAGGCGGTGCAGGAGCCCTCCGCCCTCCCCACTCCCCACTCATTCAGAGAAGGTGGCCCGTGCCTCAGAAGGTGGCCAGGATTTGAACTGTGGGCCGAAGGGCTGATCCTTGGGGTCCCTCCTGACGGCCCGGGCCTGGCCCACAGGAGCGGACGCGGGCCGCCCTCCTGGAGACGCTCTATGAGGAACTACACATCCACAGCCAGTCCATGATGGGCTTGGGCGGCGACGAGGACAAGATGGAGAATGGCAGTGGGGGCGGCGGCTTCTTTGAGTCTTTCAAGGTGAAGGGCCCCAGGTCTAACTGGCCGGGGAGCAGGGACGTGGCTAGGGCGGAATCCCGGGCTGAGGCTGATAGACTGATGGACACGGCGTGGGGGTGGAGTCTGGCAGAAGGGGCGTGGCTGAGGGGGTGGAGTCCCGGACTGGGGGATTGACACAGCATGGGGAGTGCAGCTAGAGGCCGTTCGCATTGGAGTCTGAGAGGGGGCGTGGCTGGGGCGAAGTCCCGGACTGGGGCTGATTGACATGGTGTGGAGGTGTGGCTAGAGGCCGCTCGCCTGCGGGTAGAGTCTGGGATGGGACGTGGCTGGGGGTGGAGTCAGGGGCCGGGGCTAATGGACATGGCGTGGGGGTGTGGCTAGAGGAGGCTCTAGTCTGGGATGAGGGCGGGGCTCGAAGTGGACTTGGGCTTTAGAATGGGCTTACACTTGGGGACATAGTCTGCCTTGGGTAGAGTTTGAAGGAGCAGCATGTAAGGTGGGGCCCTGGCTTGGGGAGGAGTAACTGTTGGAGGTGGGGCCTAGGTGGGGAATTCACCTGGGAATTCTGCTGAAGGGTGGAGGATTCTGGGAGACAGCAAGGGCTGCTGGTACAAAGGCTGCTAGGTCAGCAGGAAGAGAAGAGAGGAAGAGGCTCTGTCTTGACTGAGGGAAAGAAATAGAGTTCTCAGAAGAGGTGTGTGAACCATGATCATTGGAGAGGGACTTGGCCTGTGTGACCTACCCTGCCTGTCCCTGGTTTAGCTTAGCATTAAGAGCACGGACACTTCAAATTTCAGCTCTGTTACTTACCAGCTTGGGCATTCTGTGAGCATCAGTTTCTTTATCTGTTGAGTAGGGTAATGGCAACTTGCCTCATACAGTTATTGTTATCTGTAAAAGAGTTAGGTTAGTGCAATACAAGTTTAAAAGCAAAATGCAAAACCTTGCCTGTCTGCCTCAGCAAATGTTGTCTGAAATGAGAAGTGTGGGGAGTGGAGTAGTTCCTGGACAGGGTCTGGACTCACTCAGGCCACAGGGCCCCAGGTGGTAGCCTTTTTGCCACCGTCTCCTCCACCCACAGGAGGATAACTGCCCATCCTCCAGCTTCCCGGCCGGCTGGTCACACCTCACCCTCAACCCAGGACAGGTCACACAGCTGGAGCTATGGGTTGGAATAAGGGAATTAGCCCGGCTGCCCAGGCCTGCCCAGGAACTGAGGTGAACAGATCGTCTTTGAGAAAGAGGCTTGGGGACTGGAGACAGGACAGGTGGGGTCAATATGGATCTGGGGTGTCTCCTTTGAGGAGGGCTCCGATGGTCCCACATCTGGTAGGTGCTGGACGGTGGACCTAGATTAGGTCAAAGAATTTCTCAGAAGCAGCGGAGTCCAGAGTTGAGGGCATGGGTCCTGGCATGCCGGGCTCACCCCTGCCTCAGTTGGCATGAAATGGGCATGATTGCTAGTCCCCATCTTGCAGGGGGATCCAGTGATAGAGTGATTGTAAAGCGCTGGTCCCATAGCAAGCATTTGGTGTAGATTGGTCTGAAAAAAACAAGGAAAGAGGGTGGGAGGGAAGAAAAGAAAGAAGGCAGGAGAGCTCTAAGAGGCCCTAACAGGAATGAAACTGAGGTGTCAAGAGGGCTCTCTGTGCACACTTTTGGCCATGACCCAGTGTCTTCTGCAGTCCTTACGCAGCCACATGAGGACACTCAGCACAGAGCAGCCTGTGTGTCCCAGAGAGTGAGAGAACTGAAGTGGTGTCCCCAAGGCCACCCGGCAAGTTGGTGGCAGAGCCAATACCTGAGCTACCCTTAGGCCCCGTATGTACCTGCTTCTCATGTGACGCACAGGGAAATTGAGGCCTGGCCCCACCTCCCTCTGTTGCCCTGCTGGCCACATGCCCAGGGGAAGGGATTTCCAGGGCTTACCCAGAGTGGCATTGCTGGGGAGAGACCAGATGCCTGGGCTCCTGGGTTTCCCCAAGGGGACGGCCCTTAGGAATCCTGTGCCTCCTCCACTGCCACCCCCTTCACAGCGGGTCATCCGGAGCCGCAGCCAGTCCATGGATGCCATGGGGCTGAGCAACAAGAAGCCCAACACCGTGTCCACCAGCCACAGCGGGAGCTTCGCGCCCAACAACCCCGACCTGGCCAAGGCGGCTGGAATAGTGAGTGCCCTCCCCCTCCCCAGGCCCCGGCCCCTCCCTGGGGGGCCCTCAGCTCTCCTCTGCCTCCTGAGGCCTGACTCCAACTCTCTCTGTTGCCCTGCTGCCCACATGCCCATCCTAGGCTCTGGATTTGGTCTAGCCACTACTTTCCATGGGAGGGGGGTGAAGTGCCCAGGCCAGGACACTGCGGTGCTGACAGCTTGCAGCCTGCAGCCCCTTCCCAAGCTCCTTGGCCCTCCCCTCCTCCTGGCCCTTTATGCATTGAGGTGTGACTTCCTGCAGGTCAGCCCTGGGACAGCCTCTGTGTCTCATTCCTTATTGAGTATCTATCTGTTTGCTGGGGACTGGGCTGCTGTGTGGGCACCTACTGTCAAGCCTTGGGTTTCTGGGAGCACCTACTGTGTGTCGGGCTGTGGGCACCCACTGTGTGTCAGGCCCTGGGCTGCTGTGTGGACATGCACTCTGTGAGCATCTACTGTGGGCCTGGCCCTGAGTACCTGTGAGCACCCACTGTGTGTCAGGTCCTGGGCTGCTGTGTGGGCATCAACTCTGTGAGCGCCTACTGTGTGCGCAGCCCTGGGCTGCTGTGTGAGAACCTACTGTGTGTCAGAAAATGGACTGCTATGTGAGCACATCGTGTGTGATAAGCCCTAGATGTCAGTGAACACCTACTGTGTGTCAGGAAGTGAGCTGTTGTGTGGGTACTTTCTCTGTGAGCACCTCCTACTGTGTGTCCGCAGCAGCCAGGGCCTCTGTGGTGTGGCTGCCTATTGTGTGTCGGGAATCTGGCTTCTGTGTGAGCATCTCCAGAGGGAGCACCTCCTGTGTGATCACTGACTGTTGTCCAGGTTCTGGGATTCTGCTGCTCACACTCAGGAGTGCTGGGCACATGGATGAATACGGCCTATGGCTGTGGGCCTCACTGCTGTCCACTGCCTAGTGGCCACCCCAGGACACTGCACCCACTGCTGTGCTCCCCACCCATCCATCCAGCCACCCATCCATCCACCCACCCATCCATCCATCCACCCACCCATCCACCCATCTAGCTATCCACCCACCCACCCATCCACCCACCTACCCATCTACCCATCCACCCACCCACCCACTCATCCATCCACCCACCCATCCACCCACCCATCCACCCATCAATCCATCCATCCACCCACCCATCCACCCATCCATCCATCCATCCATCCATCCATCCATCCATCCATCCATCTCTATCCATCCCTCTATCTCCATCCATCCATCCACCCACCCACCGATCCATCCATCCATCCATCCATCCTTTATTGACTGTCTACTGCATGCCAAGCCCTGCGCTCAGTGCTGTGAGGCTATGTCACGTGGCAGGAGGGAATTCCCCGACCTCTGCTGTCCAGCAGTCACCAAGCACACTGTCATGCGAGGAGCAGGCCCAACCTCCCCCAACCCAGTTTTATCAACCACTCCCTTCCTCTCCACCAGAGTGACCCAGCCTCCTGTGGGTGGCCGAGAGGGGCCCCAGGGACAGGACCAGGCCAGCAGCACCCACCATGGCAGTAACCGGACCCATTTCTGTTTTGTTTTTGCACAACTCTCCCTCTCTCTGTGTTTCCTCCTTTCATTCTACTCTCTCTCCTTGTTTTTTTGTTCCCTCCTCCCTTCCCTTTCCCCGTCCTGTGGCCTCTCTGCCCTTTGGCTCTCTGTTTCTCCTTCCTTCTTGCACCTGTCTTTTTTGCTCCCTCTCCTCCTTCCCTTCTCCGCTCTTCTCACCCTCGCTTTTTCCTTTCGGCCTTCCCCTGGCTTCCTTCTCTGTCTCTGACCCTCCCTGGGCCTGTGTCTGTGTCCTTGCGTCCCTGTCTCTCTGGATTTCCCTCTGTGCCCATCTGGTGTGCCCTCGCTGGCTCACGCGTGTCCCTGTCTCCGGGTAACTGTCTGTCCATCTCTCCCCCGTCTCCCTTGTCCTCTGTCTCTCCTTGTGCTTCTCGCCTTCCTTTCCCCGGCCCTATCTCTCCCATTGCCTCCTGCACCGTTCTCTTCCTTTTTCTGTCTGTCTTCCTCCTTTCCCTGCCTCTCCTCCTCTCTGTGTCTCCCTCCCACCATCTCTCTTGCTCTCTGACTCTCTCTCTGTCTCTCTCTCTCTGCCCCCGCCCTCTGCTGCTTGCCAGTCATTGCTTATTCCTGGGAAAAGTGCGAGTAGATTCGGACGCCGGGGCAGTGCCATAGGCATAGGAACCGTGGAAGAGGTTGTCGTCCGCGGGGCCGCCGGCTCTGGAGGCTGCCTGCACGCGCTGTTCTCTGCTCGCTCTCAGGACGGAGGCCATATTGGGGACGTTGCCCCTCTGCCCCCGGGACAGGCCCCAGGGCGTGCGGGATGGAGTGGCGGCAGCTCCGATGGCACTCAGCACCTGCTTTGGGGCCTGGTACCTGTGCCAGAGCCAGTGCCCCTCACCAGGGGCTTCTGGCCCTGCCTTGGCCCCTGGGACCCTGGCCCAGTCCCTGCCAGGATCCGGTACCCAAAGGCCCTACACCCAGCCGCACGTCCCCCAATATCGCCGGTCTGCATGGAGCGCCATCCCTCTCCTCTGCCCTGACTCCTCCTCCCCGCCACGAAGTGACCTGGGGTCCTACCCCTTCCTGCCTCCAGAGAAGCTGGGGGCGGGCTTCTGGGGCCTGGGGCATCCCAGCACAGTGTGTGGGAAGCTGGGGGAGTCTTCCAGCTGCTGGGCCAGAACCTCCCCCAGCCAATTTGGAGGTTCCGGGGAGGGGCCCTAGCTGGCACGGGGTGGGACTTGGGTTGCTACACTGCCCTCTGACCACTGCCCTTAGGCTGCAGATCCCACAGAGCCCTGGGGGGCGGGGAGCGGTAGCCATTCTGAGGACTCGGCCTCCTCCCACCCTAGCCCCCTCAGGATGCTGTCCTAATCCTGGGCCAGTATTGACGTGCAGTCCTGCCGTGTGAGCTCGGGAGAGCCCCTTGCCCTCCTGGGGACTGTTTCCCTTTCGTAAACTGGGAGGCTGTCTCTGGGAATGGATATCTTCTCTCGTTCTTTCTTGCTCATCAACTCTGCTTCAGGGCCTGGGGCAGCAGGATCCCCAGAGGGGATGTGGGGGGGGCACTGGGGCTCCCAGGTAAGGTGGCACTGAGTTGGGGCCTCTCCCCACAGTCACTGATTGTCCCTGGGAAGAGCCCCACGAGGAAGAAGTCGGGCCCGTTCGGCTCCCGCCGCAGCAGCGCCATTGGCATCGAGAACATACAGGAGGTGCAGGAGAAGAGGTGGGTGAGTGGGGGACAGTGCCCCATTCCCCTGCATCCCCATCCCTGAGCCCCATTCGGTGGCAAAGCAAGGCAGGCAGAAGGGAGTGCCCGCCCCTCTGCCTCTCCATCCCCACTAGTGACAGCTGTGTGGTCAAGTCCCTGCTGCGTGTCGGGCACCAGGGCCAGCACGTCACCTAACGTGCCACATGCAGATCAAGAAGCGGTAGGTCAGAGGAGTCAAGGGGCTTGCCCAGATCACACAGCCAGTGATGGGCAGAGCTAGGATCTGAGCCCTGATCTGTCTAGGGCCAGCATCCGTGCTCTTCCCACGGCCCCAGCGCATGTGGGAGGGCCTAGTGCTGGTTTTCAGGGTGGCCACAGATGGGCCTGGGGGGTCCATGAGTGTGGGCAGCATGAGGGCAGTGAGCCCAGGCCAGCAGCAGGGCTGCCCCCGGACATCAGAGGCTAGCTCCCGGCTGCCTCCCCGATATTAACCATGTGTGACCTTGGGCGAGTCACTGACCTCCTCTGAGCCTTACTGTCCCAACCTGGAAAAGGGACAAGAACACAACCCATGGCATGGGGCTGCTGTGGGGACTCAGGGCACTGCGTGTGAGGCCAGGGCCAGGTCCCCTGAGAGGGCTCCAGGACGGGAGTGGGCATTGTCCTTGCTGCTGCCAGAGCTCCGCATGCTGTGAGTCCTGGGTTCAGGTCTTGGCACTGCCACGTCCTAGCTGTGCGTCCCTGGGCAGGTTCCTTATCCATAATGGGACAGCTATACCTGCTCCTGTGGAGAGGACCTGGGAGGAGTCCCATCCTGTCCCATATAGCCCCATCAGTGCCAACCCCATCACTGGCCAGGCTAGCCAGGGAGCCCACAAGACTGCTCCAGGGCTGGCCCTGAGTATAGGGGCGTGGGTATGAGGCAGGAGGCACCGTGACTCCCCTCACCGCCTGGGCCTCACGCTACGCCTGATGCCAGGCCTGGTGCTGAATCCCCCCGCTGCCCCCGTGTGCCCCGCAGGGAGAGCCCTCCGGCTGGTCAGAAGACCCCAGACAGCGGGCACGTCTCACAGGAGCCCAAGTCGGAGAACTCATCCACTCAGAGCTCCCCAGAGATGCCCACGACCAAGAACAGGTTGGGGCTCAGGGCACGTGGGGCTTGGGGGCTTGGGAGTGGTGAACCGTCCTTCCCCTCCCCTGCCTGGGCCCGGGACAGCACAGGAGCCTTGACTGTGCCACAGCAGGGTGTCAGGGGGACCTGGGCATTCTCTGGGGCCCTCCTTTGACATATACCCAGCGAGCACTTTGTGCACGCCCAGCCCCGCGCCCGGCTCTGGAGCACAGAGGTGCCCTGCGCATAGGTCCCCGCCTCACGGCCGCAGGTCCATCAGAACGCGGCCTCATAGGCTGTTGCCGGATCATGGTGATAGGAGGAACCCGAAGCAGGGTTGGGGGGATGAAGAGGGACTGGGGGCAGAGGTGTTTTAGATGGGTCCTCGGGGAGACACCTCCATGGGGTGACATTTGAATTGGGAACTGAACCAGCCCTGCTAGGACTGGCATGGCAGAGGAGCTCGGCCAGTGCAGAGGCCTGGGGCACACTCCAGGGACAGAAAGAAGGGTGGCTGGGAGTGGTGACGTATGCCTGGAGTCCACCTACCTGGGAGGCTGAAGCAGGAGGATGATTTTAGCCCAGGAGTTGGAGGCTGCAGTGAGCTATGATCATGCCTGTGAATAGCCACTGCACTCTAGCCTGGACATCATAGCAAGACTCCATTGCTTAAAAAAAAAAAAAAGAGTATCTGAGGGGCTGGGCCTGGACAGACATTGTGACATTGTGCTGGGTGGTGGCGGGAAGGAGGTTGGAGAGGTGGGCAGACACTGGCTTATAGCTTAGCAGGCTGTACAAGAGCTTTGACTTTTTTTTTTTTTTTGAGACAGAGTCTTGCTCTGTCTCCCAGGCTGGAGTGCAGTGGCACAATCTCGGCTCACTGCAAGCTCCACCTCCCGGGTTCACGCCATTCTCCTGCCTCAGCCCCCCAAGTAGCTGGGACTACAGGTGCCCGCCACCATGCCCATCTAATTTTTGTATTTTTAGTAGATACGGGGTTTCACCGTGTTAGCCAGGATGGTCTTGATCTCCCGATCTCGTGATCCGCCCGCCTCAGCCTCCCAAAGTGCTGGGATTACAGGCGTGAGCCACTGCGCCCAGCCTAAGAGCTTTGACTTTTATCCTAAGTGTGACAGGGAACCTTGGGAGGATTTTAATTACGAGGGCGATGCTTTAAGAAGCTGACTTCGGTTGCTGTACAAAGAGGCTGGAGTGGGGTGGGATGGAAGCAGAGAGGCCAGTGAGGAAACTGTCCCTGCATTTGGTGTCCGTTGGCTGAGCTGCCTCTGTGTTGGGCTCTGTGGGAATCAAGAGGACTCAGCCCAGGCTAAAGAGCCGGGTAGGTGAACAGAGAGGCAGGAAAGGGTGGCAGGGACCAGGGAGACGCAGTATGCAGGAGCCAGAGTGGGGAGGGTCATTCTCACCTTGGGAGGAGGAATCAGGGAAGGACTCCTGGAGCGAGAGCCCTAGGCTGATTTTTTAAAGGCACATTTGCTTTTCGGGATTTGAGAGGACTGAGACTCCAGGCAGGAGGCATAGAGGCCCTGAGCATGAAAACCTTGTGGGATTAAGAGAGTAGACTGTGGAGTTGCCTGGACCTCAACCCCTGCCCTCCCACCTGTGCTGAGTGACCCTGGGCTGTGTGCCTGTCCCCTCTGTGCCTGGTGTCATCTCATCTGGAAGATGGGTATAATAATCATAGCGATAAGATAATTCAGGTAAAGGCACGTAGAGCAGTGCCCGGTGCAGAGTGAACGTGCACCCGATGATGTTAGTGTCGCTAACCGCTGCTGTTTTTGAACACCACGCCAAGGATATTGTGCTTTACCTGGGGAAATGGGAGGCCAGGAGAGGGTTTTGAGCAGGGGAGGGACGTGGTCAGATTTATGGATTAGGAAGGACAATGCGGGTAGGAGGAGGCTGCAGGGGGAGTCTGGGGGGCTCAGAGGCCCAAGGATCTGTAAGGGGTCCTCAAAGGTGCTTGGCTGCTACCAGCTGGGCCTCCCGGGTTGGGGAGGGCAAGGGAGTGAGGGCCTGGCCCAGGAGGGGCTCGGGGTGGACACCGGCTAATGGGGCACTGTCTGTGGCAGAGCGGAGACCGCAGCGCAGAGAGCAGAGGCGCTCAAGGACTTCTCCCGCTCCTCGTCCAGTGCCAGCAGCTTCGCCAGCGTGGTGGAGGAGACGGAGGGTGTGGACGGAGAGGACACAGGCCTGGTGAGAGGCTCAGGGGGGTCAGGGGCCCCACAGGAGCTTGGAAGGGGGCTCTTTGGTCCCTGGAGATGCCCTGAGTAGAACCACGAGCCTGGGCGTGGCTGAGATGTGATCAGGGGACCCGGCCCAAAGGAGCAGTGCAGACGAACCCTCCCCTGCTCAGAAGCCTTCCACGGCTCCCCAGCACTGTCCACAGGAAGCTCAGTCTCTGGAGCTCTTGGAGATCTGGTCACTCCCTTCCTCTCTAGTCTCCTCTCTTACCACTTCAGACATTCTGTACTCCGTTGCAGTCCCCCAAGCCTCCCAGGCTCACTGCACCCCTGGCCCTTTGCGCATGTGCCATCTCTTCTGTCTGGAACACTCTTCCTGCCGCCTCCTCCTTTCTTTGCCAGGCTGGCTCTGACTCATCCTTTTTGACTGAGTCTCACACACCTCCTCCTGAAAGCCTTCCCTGATTTCCTAATCTCGGGGTAGGTTAGGAAGCCCCTTTACGTTCTCACAGTCCTCGGGCTTTGCCCGGAACACCCTTTATCATTCTTCATTCTGCAAACCATCAGTGGGCCCCTGTTCCTTGCCAAGCGCTGCCCCAGATACAACAGATACAGCTGGGAACAGTGCAGACCCAGGCCCTGCCTGCTGGGGCACAGAGTCTAGAATTGCAATGGTCTCTTCACAGCCTGCCTTGCCTCCCAGATATCAGGCTCCTGAGGGCAGGGCCCATGCCTGATTTATGTCAGTGGCAAGCCCTGGAGAACATCAGTGAATGTTTGTTGAGTGAGTGAGTGGCAGTGGGTGGCGTGTGCCTGGGTCTGTGCCTGCCCTGACTCTGCCCTCCTGTGGTCTCCCTGGGGCAGACATGGCTAGGCCCGTCCTCCTCGCAGAGGGTACGGGTGGGGGGTTGTGGAATGCAGTGAGGGAGAGGGGCTGGGAGGGAGCCCTAGCCAGTGCCAAGGGCATAGGCTAACCTCCCTCCCTCTTTCCACCCCCTCCCCAGGAGAGCGTGTCATCCTCAGGAACACCCCACAAGCGGGACTCCTTCATCTATAGCACGTGGCTGGAGGACAGTGTCAGCACCACTAGTGGGGGCAGCTCCCCAGGTACCAGGACAAGGCAGCTTCCCCACAAAGCAGGGCTACCTTGGGGTAGGAGGGGGACAGGGCTGGGCACCAGTTCCCATGCCCCATGCAGTGGATGTGATGTGACTGCCCCTGACTTGGAGGACAGCGGGCAGGTCATTGTCCAGCCTAGGGTGGCTGGGTGGATTGGAGGGCTGGTTTCTTCCGGAAGGGTCTCGGAGGATAATGGGGGATGGCAAGGAAGAAAGTTAAGGGTGGGGTTGGAGCGCACTGGTGCCGACCGCCCACCTATGCCCCCGTCTCCCTGGTGCCTCCCCGCGGCCAGTGAGGTGGCTCCCTCCTGCCCCCCTCCCCAGGCCCCTCTCGATCACCCCACCCAGACGCCGGCAAGTTGGGGGACCCTGCGTGTCCCGAGATCAAGATCCAGCTGGAAGCATCTGAGCAGCACATGCCCCAGCTGGTACGTGCAGCCTCCTGGGGCTGGTGCTGAGGGAGCCCCACCCGGGAGGGGATGAGCTGGCGGGGAGGCTGGGAGCTGAGGCTCGACCAAGAGGTCCCCCTAGGCCCCGCTAGGCCAGGAGGGGTGGGGCTTGCCCGGCCTGGACACAGCCAGTGACTTTGTGCACCTGTGTCTCCCGCCCCGTTGCTTCTCCCGTCTTGCCACCTGCCTCACCACCACTGTCTGTCTGCAGGGCTGTTAGCCGGGCCACCCCCTCTGAAGGTGAAACTGAGCAGGTTAGACCCAGCCCCTCAGCTTGTGTTTGGTGGGAGAGGGTGGGGGTGTGTAGAGGGCTGAGCTGATTCCTCCCTGTTCTTCTGTCACCTCTCTGGGGTGGGAGCTATGTATCTGGGTTTGAGCCCCCTGGTCCTCAGTTGCTGGGTGACTTGGGCAGGCCACGGCCCTTCCCCGTGACCTCTGCCCTTGCATTGTTGGAGGATTTGATGGGAGTGTGAAAGGGACTTGGCAGTTGCCAGGTGGGGAGAAGTTTCAGGGGTTCCCAATGGGATGGAAAGACCTGGAGCCTGGAATTCCAAGGGTGGGCCCCTCCCAGGGTGGGGTTCTCTGAGGCAGGGACTTGGCAGAGTTGGGGCACACTGGTGCCAGCCACCCACCATGCCATGTTTCATGGTGTCTCCATCCCCCTTTGCCCTGCAGATGAGGCCACAGAAGCACAAGGGGAAGGTGCCGTGTCAAGCCCAGGCAGACGAGACCTCTGCCCTGAAGACCAACACCAGCCCGTGGGCTGCCCCCTGCCTCCCCACCCTCCCCATGGCCCACCCATCTGGGCTGTCTCTGCAGGGCAGAGCCGTCCAGACCTGGGATCAGGGAAGCTGCTGGCATCGTCCCCACCCCCAGCCTGGGGGTCTGGGCTGGGGCAGGGATTGCTCAGTGGAAGCAGGACTGGGGGTCTGGCTTGCCCCCTCCCTGGGCCTCCATCACCCCTGAGCATCCCTCTGGACTCAGAGGGAACAAGGTGGGAGAGAGAGTTTGAGACAGCTCCGTGTGGAGAGCTTAG
This sequence comes from Homo sapiens, assembly GCF_000001405.40. NCBI lineage: Eukaryota > Metazoa > Chordata > Mammalia > Primates > Hominidae > Homo > Homo sapiens. The sequence continues at coordinate 21,596,903 of NC_000001.11, read as the reverse complement.
CCCCTGGAGGCAGCACAAGGAGGATGTGATATGTGGGGGAGTGAGCACTGGGTTGGGAGCCGGGTCCTGGTTTCCAATTTGGGTTCTGCTGTGTGACTCTGGGCAAGTCACTCTCCCTCTCTGGGCATGTCTGCTACAAATGGACAAGATTATTTCAGAGGTCACTGAAGACTGTGATTACATGCACCTGCCTTAGAAGGTAGGATTTTCTTCCCAGGGACCTCCTATCACCCTACCCTGCTTCTTGAGGTCCCTGGAGCCCCAGGTGGGCTGAGGGGCAGGGAGCCGGCTGTGCCCAGTATGCCTCCTGGACCCTCCAGTTCTGCCACAGGTCTGCCGATGCCCTGTCCACTGCCTACACATGACAGACAAGTAACCCCCTCATGGGGGATGGGGACCTACCTGGCTCCTCAGCCAGCACCCAGCTTAACCCCTGCCATCCCATGCTGGGCCCTCCAGGCCAAGAGTCTCAGCTGGCCGAGAGTCCAGGCCTTGCCTCCCCCGACCGCCATGGAGGGGGCAGCCCGGCACAGCTGCTGGGAGCCCTTGTGTGTCTGGTCACACTTTTTAGGCGTCACGCCAAAGGCCAGCCTCCTGGCCCCAATACCCATTTTGGAAGCCCCTGTGGCCGTGTGGATGTCGGTAACAGTTGTATAAAATAAATTCTATTTATCGCTATTGTACCCAGAGTTGGGCCTGGCTTTGTGTGAACCGTGGCCAGATTGACCCCAGACAGATGTCCAGGGATGTCAAGGTGGCAGGGAGCAAGCCTGTCCCCATCAGAGCTGCTGGGCCTGGGGACACCTCCAAAGCCAAGCCACCAGCTCTGTGAGCACCGCCCGTGGTTTCCTCCCCGGGGTGCTGTCCTTCCCTGCATCCTGGGCCCCTTCCCCACTGCAGGAAGAACATGGCTGTGCTGTCAGGCAGACCTAGGTTTGAGTCCTGGGACCGTCTCTTGTTAGCTGGGTGGGTGGCGTTGAGAAACTTACTAGCTTCCGTGAGCCTCAGTGTTTCCTTTTGTAAAATAGGAGTGGTAGTGTTTCTCCCAAGGGTTTGTTGTGAGGATTCAATGAGCTGGTGCGTATCAAACATACAGCACAGTGTCTGGCACACATTAGGTGCTCAATTAATTACTTCCTTCTCCCTGTTCTCATATTCAGTGAATCCCCTGATATGGCCACAAGGCGGCGCCAAGGGACCACTTACGGGACCCGATGGGGACCCAGGAGACGGGGATGAGTCCAAGTCCCTCTACCAGGATCTCACAGCTGGGACAGTAGGACGAAGGGTGATGAGGGGCAGCCGGGGACAGGAGAGGTGTGCACAAGCAGGGCCTGGGGAGAGAGGCGTCAGGGAAAGTTCCTGGAGTTGCTCCCCGTTCCTGAGAAGGCCTAGGGAGGAGGGACGCTGCAGGAGGGGGCCTCGAGTAAAGGGCGGGGAGGCAGAGCACCCCTGGAACCAGGAAGGTGGCAGCCAGCTCTGAATGGTGGGAAGGTGACAATGGAGGGGACAGGGAGATGGGCAGGGATGAGGCCAGAGGCAATGTGGCCTTGAACTCCCGACGGAGAGGCCAGGGCTCTGCGCCAAGGGCAGGGGGAGCCCCAGGCAGGAGCGGTAGTTGCTGGTGGAGGCTGCACCAGTGGAGGGAGGAGGGGACCAACGAGGTTGTTGCTGGGGTAAGAGGGTGGCCAGGAGGACGCTGAGAAGGACACCAGGTGGGCCTGAGCAGGGGGACCAAGCGCCTGATGGGCTGTGGGGCTAAGGGGGGAATCGGGTGGCTCCCGGGGGTACAGGCTGGGTGTTGGGTGAATGAGGGGACTCTCCCTCTGGGGCAGGACCACGGAGGAGAGCAGGTCTGCGGGGTGGCTTTGGGGACATTTGGGAGTAGGCACCAAATTGGGCCCCGAAGGGATGAGCCGTGCCTTGGCCTCCCTGACAGCTTGGCAGTGCCCCCTATCCCCTGCTGGCCCTGCCCCCTTCCCAGGATGATGCTGAAGGAACCCCAGGGGTTTGTCCAGGGAGTGCCACACTTTTCCCGACAGGGCCCTTCTGTGACCCTCTGATGCCTCAGGCCACCCATGGGTGGTGACTCACACCCAAACCCCAGCCCCACCCAACTCGGTTTGGCTCTAGGCTGCTCTGGGCCCAGTGAGTCCCCTGTGAACTGCCCACCCATCAGCCGCACCCCTGCTCCCTATCCCTCCGCCGCAGTCCTCTGCCCTCTCTCCTCCTGCCCCACCTCCACAGGGCCGGCATCACAGTTCAGCACCACGGTTAAGAGCTTCTTCAGAATCAGCTCTGAGCTGCTTCGCCTCCTCGCGCTATGACCATGCAGACACGATTTTGGCTCCCTGGGCCTCAGTTTCCTCATCTGTGCAGTGGGGGTGCTAACAGCCCTGCCCTCGCTGGCACCCTGGCATGAGGATTAAATGAGGTGACACCTCATAAAGTTCTGGGTGCAGCCCCAGCACGTGGTGGGCTCAAAGAAGAGAGTGTGCATACCGCAGGAAGGGATCAATGACGTCCGTAATTCAGAACACGTGGGGTCCGCTCAGTGCGTGGAGGACGCCCACCTGCCACTGGGCCCAGCACAGGTGCCTAGATGTGAGGCTTTGGGAATGGACGGCGTCAGGTGCTTCCCTGGGCCTCAGCTTGCCAGGTTTACCTGGGGTGACGATGCTGCCATAACAGAGCTGGGGGAGGTCTCCGGCTTGTCTCCCTGTACTTAGCAATGCACCCCCACTCCACTCTATCCCACAGCTGAGACAGAGCAGCAGGGGCTGCTGTGGCAGAGCAGGTGGGCAGCTTGGTGGGCAGAACCTGCCTTTGCCCCATCCCTGTCCAGCTGGTGCCAGGCCGTCTGCGGGAAGGAAGGCCTTGGGGCTGGGTTTCACCCTACCGCATCCCTCCAAGCTCCGAGGTGGGGTCAGGGGAGGCTGGCAACGGATCGGGCCTCTGGGATCAAAGTGTCCGGTGCTATTTCTCTTGTGCCCGCGCCAGCTCTGTGCTCACCCTGGGCTGTGAGGTGGGAGGGCGAGCCGGGACACTCTGACTCGAGGCTGGAATTAGAACTTGGGCGGGGGGTACCAGGCTCCGGGAAGCGCTGGACTCTGCTTAGAAATTACTCTGGTAGTGGAAACAGCAGCCGGGGGGTTCCTCCAGACACAGGAGGGAAGAGGCCTCCCGTGGAGGGACCTGGGTGCCTGGAAGACGTGCCCTCCCCCATCTCCCCTACCTCACAGCAGGGGCCTCCTGTCTCCAGGAGTCTGTTTCCTTACCTGGAGAATGAGGACAAGGCCCCTACCTATTGCTCTGAAGAGGCTGTCTTGGCCTCTAAGGTACCTGGGATGGCTGCTGGCACAGAACCCGTGCCCAATACAAGGGGGTCCTCCCCTACCCACCCCCAGCTGGGGTGTTCTTGGACCTCCATGGCCAACCCTGGGGCAACTTTGCCAAGGAGATGACCGCAGGCCCGGGCCGGCCGTGCCAGGGGACTGGGAGCTGGACGTTCTCTGCTGCTCAGGCCACAGGGGGTGCTCAGCCAGGGACCCTGGAATGTGGAGGTCCCTCCCTTCTTCCCTGCTCCCGCCTTGCCAAGGGGATGGAGCCTCCTGAAATAACCAGATCTGGTTAGCGAGGCTAATTTTAAAAGCCACTCTGGCTGCCCCATAGGCCGTTCTGGGAAGCCATGAATGTCCCTGTGTTTGCCCCTGGGAGGCAGGGCGAGGGGAGAGCCCTGGGGCTGAGGCCGGCCTCTGAATGGACTCCCACCCCTGCCTCCCAGGGCCGGCCAGTCTGGGGCCCAACGTTGGGGCTCAGGGACCCCACCTCTCCTCCACCCCAATCCACTCAGGCAAATCCTAGTGGGCTTTCAGGACCCTCCACCCGCTTCACTGGTCTCCTGAAGCAGCTCTGGGCAGGGATCCGGAAGCTCTCTGTCTCCCTCTCAGCTGTCTCCCCCTCTGTCTCCAGTGCTCAGTCTCTGTGGTGTCCCTTTATCTCTGTGTCTCTGCCTCTCTCTGTCTCTGAGTCTCGTGGTCCCTCTCTGCAGCTGTGGCTCTCTCCCCCTCTCTCCCTGGACCCATCACACAGGAGGCGGGATGCAGTGTTCCTAAGGGTCCATACGCTGGGCTCTGTGCACTGGGTGGTGGGCGGCTGTGCCCACCTAGGAGCTGGGGTTTCAGGTGCGGCCCAGCGAGGGAGGGAACTAGTCCTGGGGACCAACAGGAGCTATAACTGGGCAGGCAGGAGCCAAGTCCAGACACGACCTGGGCCATCTGGCCAGGCCCACTTCCAGCAGGAGGAAAGAGCTCCAGGTCTAGGGTTGCCAGATTTAGCAAATAGAAACCCACGGTGCCCAGTTAAATTTGAATTTCAGATAAACAAGGAAGAATTTTTAGTTTAAGTATACCTTGTGCGATATTTGGGACATACTTATACTAAAAAATTATTCTTTGTTTGTCTGAGATTCAAATTTAACTGAGCGTCCTGTATTTTATCTGGCAACCGTCTCCAGGGAGGCTCTTGGAGTGAAGGGAGAGGTTTCTCAGGAAAGGCAGGTTGCACAGGCCAGTCTGATGGCAGTGTCACAACCATGCCCTGGAGAAATCCCAGTCTGATGAGGGAGGCACAGCTACAGACCACCAGGAGTTGGTGTGGGGACAGTCCTTGGGAACGTGGTGGGGAGGCACGTGACACACAGTCTTCTTAATGGAACCAGAGACATCAGAAGGAAGGGTCTGTGTGTGCATGAATGGCTGAGCCCAGCACCTTGCACACAGTAGGGGCTCCATAAATATTTGCTGAATGAATGAAGAATCCGGGGAATGGAGGGGGATGCGCATCCGGGGAATGGAGGGGCAGTAGTACCCTACTGCCCAAGCTCCTAGGAACCAAGTGTGTGCCACCCCCAACCCAGGGACTCCCCAATATGAGCTGCAAAGGGGACGGGAGGGGGCAGAGTGGGTAAAGAGAGATCAGCTTTTCCCTTATTTTGGCCCCTCCCCAGACCCCAATCCTATGTGGGAATTCAGCCCTGGGCAAGGGTGCAGGTGGTGGTGGGGACTAGGGCAGGTGATCTACCCTTGTGGCATTTGGGGATGGCTGGGATGAAGGTGGGGGGGCGCAGGCCAGAGGGCACTGCTCAGTGACGCTGCTGTTTCTCAGGGGCCTCCCGTGTGCAGTGCCCTGTGCCCTAGCGGGGTGTTGGACGAGACAGGGGACCCCTGGAACCCGGGAAGTGAGGGGTCCTTGTTTCTGGGCAGGTGAGACTTGGGCCTTTGTCTGTGGCCCATTAATCTCAGGGGTCTCCCTGGAGGTGGCGGGGGGAGGCAACTAGGGAGAGACCTGTGGCCCTTTCATGCCTCCCCAGGGGCAGAATTCCTTAAACAGCCTTTTTATTCGTTCACTCATTCATTCACTTGCTAACAGGCTCGCTTACTCACTCATTGTTGCCATTCACTGAGATGACCCCCCGACCGCCCCCTGAACTCTGCCCCCTGCTCAGGATCTCAGGCGCTTGTCCAATCCCAGCAGGAACATACCACTGGCTCCTGGCATGACACTGGGCAAGTCATTGACCCTTCGGAGCCTTGGTTTCCCCAGCCCTGCAATGGGGCTACACTAGCAGCTCCCTGGCAGGATTATTGCGAGAATGCGTGAGATGTTGCCTGCCCCCCGGGAGCACTTCCAAAGGGAGCCACGGCTGCTGCTGGCACCATTATCATCATCATTATTATTATTAATCATTGCAAGGCCCCCATGGGTTGGGCAAGGAGCAGCCGCCTGGCTCCATGTCCAGGTCATGCCGAGGCTGTTCTGGGAAGCGCCCGCTTCCCCTTGGGGCGTCAATCATCTCAGTTCCCAGCCCTCCTTTTCAAGGGGTGTCAGCGTTTTGGCTTCTAGATGCAGCATGAAATCCTGTAGAGAAAAGTGAGAGGTGGGGATGGAGCCGAAGCCTCGCCCCCTCTTCACCTGCAGTGTGAATTCCGGGCCTTGGTTTCCCCAGTCGTGCAGCCGGGGGCTGGGCTGGGCATCCTGCCAGAGCCCAGAAGGGGCCTCTCCATGTGTCATCCTGTTAGAAACGGTTTAGCTCCGAGCCTATAATCACATCTACCCGGGGAGGAACTAACACAGCGTTTCTTTAAATTGGGCTCTAATTGCAGCTTTTAGTGGAGTCACATGCACCCCATCCCCCAGCCGGTCTGAATTAGGGCGGCTGTCCCAGCCTGCCCTGCCAAGTACAGGAATCCCCCAGGATTGCTGTGGCTCCCACTGAGCCAGCGGTGGATGAGTCCAGGGCTGCTGTTTCTCAGGGGCCTCCCGTGTGCAGTGCCCTGTGCTGGGCGCTTCCGTCTGGGGAACTCCTTGTCATTTCACCACCTGAGGATCAGGCACTTCTGGGACCTGCTTGCCACCAGGCCTCCTTTCTATTCACCCAGAAGTGGGGAGCCAGGCCTGGAGAGTGGGGTGTTGGCGGGCAAGGCCAGAGGCCGTGCCCCTCCTTGGGGGCGTGGTGGGGGAGCCTGTGGTTTCCCTGTTTGTTCTGGAGATCCCAGCCGCTTCCCCGAGGAGACAGCTGACGGTTCCCAGGCCACAGCCCCTCAGGCGGGGCCAGACCACGGCTGGCCAGCCTGGGAGCACTGCCCGCCAGCCACCCGGGCTCCGCCAGGCCCTGGCGCTGGGTGGTCTGGGCAAGGGCCAGGGGGGGGCCTTGGTCCTGGCCACAGGGCAGGAACCGTGACCAGAGCCAGGCATGGGGCTGCCCTGCCAGGGACCTAGAGGGGTCCTGAAGGCCACGGCGGGGCCAGGCCAGGGGCAGAGGCCAGCATGGGCAAACACTGCCTTGGGGAGACCCAGGAGGGGAAGACTCCAGGCCCCAGGTCCATCTACAGGAGGACCTCCAGAGAGACACTCACCCCCTTCAGGAATGTCCCAGTTGGAAGGTTTCAACCCAGCCATTGAGTTGGCTCAGACAGGAGTCCACCTTAGAGGCTGGCAGAAGAGTCGGGGTTGGCAGACAGAAGACCTAGACCCCAGCCCTGCCTTCCTTCAGACCTCAGTTTCCCCATCTGTACAATGGGCAGGGGACACAACCTCGTGCTTGACATGGGCTCTTCCAGCTGACCAGGCTGTGGATGGGAGGTGGGCAGCCCAGGCTGGAAGGATCTCAGTCATTCCCACATTCATTCTCAGGGACTTGTCTTTCTATTTATTATTTGTTTTTGAGATAGTGTCCCACTCTGGCGCCAAGACCGGAGCACAGTGGCACGATCATAGCTCACTGTAGCCTTCAATTCCTGGGCTCAAGCTATCTTCCCATCTCACCACCACACCCGGGACTAGAATTGGGGCCTCATTTTGTTGCTGAGGCTGGTCTCGAACTTCTGGGCTCAAGTGATCCTCCTGCCTTAGCCTCCCAAGGTGCTGGGATTACAGGCATGAACCACCACATCTGGCCTGACCAATAGGATTTTGATTAGGATTACATTCACTTTACTTCTTTCTTTGGTTTTGTTTTTTCCTCAGGGGCTTCTCCTTGCCCCACCCCTGAGTCCTGCGGCACCCCCTGTACCTTGGATGAAGCCCTCTCTGTTCCCAGCTGTCCGGGAAAGAGCCCCTGTGGGTTTCAGAGCCTAGCAGACCCCAGTTCAAATCCTGACCACTGGCTGTCTGTAACCCTGGGCAAGTCACTTGCTCTCTCCAGCCCATAACTATAAATACCATCCTGACCCTCATCTTTCTATTTCCTCCCTCGAACTCCAGACTCTTTTCCTCCTACCTACCCAGCCAGCGTCTCCACTCCAAGGTCCAGTGGGCACCTCCAGCCCAATGTGATCCAAACCCAACTGTCTGTTTTCTCCCCACTTCTGGTTCCCCATACCCGTAAACAGCACCTCCATCAACCCAGGTGCCCAGCCCCGATTCCCCTGTTCCCTCCCCTCCCGACGTGCAGTCCACCAGGGAGCTCTGCTGGCCCTCCCTCCCAGCATGTCTGGGATCCAACTCCTTCCCGCCACCACCACACTTAGCCTGGTCCAAGCCACCACCACCTCCAACCCAGACAGGGAAAGCTCCAGACTGAGCTCTGGGCTCAGCTCCTGGAGCTCCCCAGCCTCCTCTGCTCCCCAGCCACTCGAGTAATCAAAGCACAAGCCAGTCACTTGTCTCCCCTGCTTCTTTTTTTTTTTTTTTTTTTTGAGACGGAGTCTCGCTCTCGCTCTGTCGCCCAGGCTGGAGTGCAATGGCGTGATCTCAGCTCACTGCAACCTCCATCTCCCGGCTCCAGGCAATTCTCCTGCCTCAGCCTCCTGAGTAGCTGGGATTACAGGCACGCACCACCACACCCGGCTAATTTTTGTATTTTTAGTAGAGACGGGGTTTCATCATATTGGTCAGGCTGGTCTCGAACTCCTGACCTCATGATTCACCTGCCTCGGCCTCCCAAAGTGCTGGGATTACAGGCGTGAGCCACCACGCCCAGCTGTCTCCCCTGCTTCTAACCCTCCAGTGGCTTCCTCTCTGCGACCAGAAGAAGATGCCAGCTCTTTTCATGCCACATCCCATAATGCAGCCTCTGTCCCACTCACTGATCCCCGTTTCTCTGGGTTCCAGCCACATCACCTTATTTCTGGTCCTCATTTCTGCCCCAGGTGGTTGCACTTGATCTATTGCCTGCCTGGAGCCGTTGTTCCTCCAGGTCTTTGCAAGGCATTGTCCTTGCAAATGTCACTCCCTCAGACAGGCCTTCCCTGACCACCAGCTACAGCAGTGCCCCAGTCACTCTCTGGCTTTTGGTTTTCCTATCTGTAAAATGGGGCCGGCACCGGTGTTGTTAAGAGGGTGGGAAGAGACCGTTGGGACTGGGGGCTGAAGTGCCAGAGTCAGACAGGCACTGGGTACCTGTGAGTCCCTCCTTCTCACAGGCCGGACCCAGGGTCAGAAGGCTGTGAGAACCCTTTGCTGGAGATGGAAGCTGGGCTCCTCTGCCCATTTTACTGTGCGGCTGCAACTTGGTGCTGACCCTTCCTGGGCCGCCTTCCTCCCTGGACCATAGCGAGGCCATTCCAGGCTGAGCTTTGTCTGGGAACCTGTGGAAAGAGGCCTTTGCCCCAGGAGAATCTTCGACAGTGGAGGGCTCAGAGCACAAAGGGCCCATCTGGCACCAAAACTCTCCTGATGCTGGTTGTCATGACGGCACCTGTCACAACCTGAGAGGAGGCAGCAGCTAGCCAGGCCTTGGCCCAGGGCTCTGGGAGGCCAAGAGGGGCAATGATCACACCTCAAGGCCTCCAGACCCTGCCCCAGGCCCCTTCTCTCACCCTGACCCAGCACTCTGCCCCTTCACTGCCATTTTTCCCCAACCAGGTGACCTGAGTGGGCTGGAGGCCGATGACACACCTGCAGGCAGCGTGGTCAAGCCCGGGCTGACTTGGGGATCCAGAAACCCTGGAGCTGCCCCCTGGCATGGGTGGGTGGAAGCTGCTGGGCACTCCCCACAGGTCAAAGGCACAGCCATGGGTGCCCTGTTTACAGTCCAGGAGGACAGAATTCCCAGCCACTGAACCCCCACCTCCACCGCCACCCCCACACCTCAACCCTTGCAGTTAGATTCCTGAGTCGTCCTCGTTACTCCTCCCCACCCACGGCCTCCGAGCCCTCCCCGCACCCTGCCTGCCCACACCACAGCACATGGGAGGCGGCGGCTTCAAGATCAAGGAGTCCGCAGATGAGGGCGCTGGACTGCAGCCAGTGGGTGGCAGTGACCAGCCAGGCCCCGACCCTAGGAGCAGAGAATCGGCACGTGGTGACTCACCCCTAGACGTTGGGCCCTCCTCTCCGCCTGCAGTCACAGCACAGGAAACTTAGACTCCAGGAGGAGACACGACGTGGGTGCAGCTGGGAACGGGGAAAACCCAGCCTGAAGTCCAGCCCTGCCCGACGCCAGAGGATGCAACGGGTGATTAAAATCCTGTACTCTGCAGCCACACTGCATGGCTAGAGTCCTGGCTCCAGCCCTTGTTAGTGGTGTATCTTCCCATAAGTTTAAACATTTCTGCTTCTGTTTCTTCATCTGTAAAATGGGGAAAATCACAGTCCCTGCCCTCCAGGGCTGGTTGCGGGGAAGATGAGTTAATGTGTGCTGTGAGGCACGTGAGAACAGCGCCTGGTCAGCAGGGAACGCCGTAGAAATGTCCACTCTTGTGCCCACAGCTATGTTCCCACCGCCTCAGTGATTCTAAGCCTCGGTTCCAGTGGCAGGAGGGAGAGGTGACACTGGAGGACCGAGTCCGGCCCGTCCCCTGCTTGGCTGGGGGTGCCACGTGTGCCCACCCCATCTGAAGGTTCACACAGACTGCTGAGAAGCCAGAAAAGGCCCTGGCGCTGTGATCAAGGCAGAGTCCCTGCGAGGCTCAGAGGAAGCCACACAGGCACTCGGGAGCCCAAATCCTCTTCTGAGAACTTAATCCCCACCCGCCTTCCCCAGAGACGGGCTCTGGCTGGATCCTGGTGGGAGGTCTTCGGTTCAGCCACGGGGCTAATTACAAACGCTGCTGTCTCATCACCCCCCATGGTCACTTTTGGGCTTCTGGGGGGCCCAGGGAGCCCATGGTTCTGTGGCTCATGGGGCTGGGGTTGTTTTCCTTGGAGAGATTAGAGCCCCAGAGACAAGGAGAAGAACATGAGCTGGGAGCCAGGGAGACCTGGGTTCAACTTTCGGCTGTCACCTACAAGCCATGGGCCCAGGAGCAGGTCACTATATCCTGCCGAGCCTCGATTTTCCCATCTGTGAAATGGAGGGTGCCCACTTCAGACGATGGGGAGATATAGAACATGTACCCCCAAGGTGACAACTTCACTGCTAGGTCACAGCACTCAGTAGGGTATGTGGCACACAGTAGGCACCTTACTGCCTCCTGCTCTCCACCCCAGAGCGTTAGATTTGCTCATAATCCTTTTATTCACCTACTGGGCCGGCTTCCTTCTGATAAACAGGAGCTGGGATTCACAGGGTCAAATTTGGGGCTTGTCCCTCCCCTCTCCATTTCCACAGCTCCAGTTTCTCCTGCCTGGTCTATTATAGCAGTGTCTGGGCGGGTCTCCTGGCCTCCAGTTTCTCTGCTTGAAGCGCCCTTGAAACTGATGGCCAGGATGATAGTTATTTATTTGAGACAGAGTCTCTCTCTGTCACCCAGGCTGGAGTGCAGTGGCGTGATCTCGGCTCACTGCTAGCTCCACCTCCCAGGTTCAAGAAATTCTCCTGCCTCAGCCTCCCATACCTGGCTAATTTTTGTATTTTAATAGAGACGGTGTTTCACCATGTTGGCCAGGCTGGTCTTGAACTCCTGACCTCAGGTGATCCACCTGCCTCAGCCTCCCAAAGTGCTGGGATTACAGGCGTGAGCTACCACGCCCAGCCAGGATGATCTTTCAAAAACAATGCTGACTCCCTAGCTCCAGAGCCTTCCATGCCTCCCCAGGGTCTTCACGGTCAACCCCAGCTTCTCCAAATGGCATTTGAGGCCCTTCTGCCCACCTCTCCCCACAGCGTTTCCCTCTGAATTCCCCTCAGTAGCCTCACGCCCTGGTTCCTCCTCCCTTTGTTAAGCCTCAGCTTACTCACTGCCCTCTGTTCCCTGTGCACCCGCCCCCACCATGTTCCCTTCCTGTCCCCACAGCTCCTGGCTTCGACACACACTGGGATGGTCTCTGTAAGTCTCTGTCATGAGATATGAACTTGAGGACAGCCTTGGACTTGTCCATGGCCGGGCAAGATTGCGGCACGGGGCGTGGTACTCAATAAGGCAGGGGCCACAGGCTGTCTCTACCATGACCAGACAGGTGACATACATCTGAAGGCCCAGTGTCTGTCAGAATACAGGACACGCTGGGGGCTGTGGCATCGAGAATAGTGTAGTTCCCTGACAGCTTGTCGCTCAGCTCCAACTGACCGTTGCCCTGCAGAAATGTGGGGTCCACTGCTAGCTGGATCTCCCTTTTTTTTTTTTTTTTGTATTTTTAGTAAAGACAGGGTTTCACCGTGTTAGCCAGGATGGTCTCGATCTCCTGACCTCGTGATCCACCCGCCTCGGCCTCCCAAAGTGCTGGGATTACAGGCGTGAGCCACTGCGCTCAGCCTCCCTTTTTTTTTTTAAGCCAGAATCCCAGATCTTATAGAGAATTTCCCAATTTTTTTTTTTTTTTTTTTTTGAGACAGGGTTACACTGTCACCCAGGCTGGAGTACAGTGGCATGATCTCGGCTCACTGCACCCTCCTCCTTCTGGGTTCAAGTGATCCTCCCACCTCAGTCTCCTGAGTGCAGGGACTACAGGCTTGCGCCACCATGCCCAGCTAATTGTTCATTTTTGGGTAGAGAGGAGGTCTCACTATGTTGCCAGGCTGGTCTCCAACTCCTAGGCTCAAGCGATCCACCCACCTGAGCCTTCCAAAGTGCTGGGATTACAGGTCTGAGCTACTGTGCCTGGCCCTCAGTGTTTTAAAACACGGCACCCGTGCTCAGCAATGGCTGGGGAGTGTGTGAGTTGGAGGATGTCTCCAGCCTGAGCCAAGTTGACCATCCCAGTCTCCCACGCCTCTTCCTTCCTACAGAGCAGAGGTTTTCAACTGATGTGGGGGTGATTCTGCCCCCAGGATGAGAACCTGCTGTGTTGGTGTTGGTGGCAGCGGTAGCCCAAGCGAAGACGGCATTTCCTAGCTTTCCTCGCATCCAGGAAGGATCACAGGACCGGTTCTTGCCAATGCACTAAGGGCGGAAGTGATGTATGTCACTTCCAGGATTAAGTGGTTAAAAAGCAGGCGTGGTTCCCACCATCAAGGTGCTGGCCAGATAGGAAGGACATCCAGAACTTACAGGGGGTGGCAGAGCCACCCCTGGAAAGATCCTGGGTCCCAGTCACCTGAGCAGGGGCGCTGATGTTGGAGGTAAGAATACATCCTCAGGTGTCAAGTTATTGAGCTTTCTGAATTTACCTTTAACAGAAGGCAGGGTTATCTCAGTGAATACAAGAGGGCATGTCAGCTCATCTTTGTTCTTCCTCCGGGAGAAGGCATCTGAGGGCAAAAGAAATCCCTGTGCTGTGGGTCTGGACTGTCATCCTTAGGGTCTAGGTCCATGGCTACCGGCCCTAGTTGTGAATGGAGCTGGGACCTATGCCTGAACCCCGGCTCCAATTAGGACTCAGGGCCCACAGCAGTTAAAATATAAGGTGATGAGTGACCCAGGGCCCAGCCTGAGCGTGGGGAGACCCTGAAGCCATGGGTGCCTGAGCACCTCAATCTCTGCTTCTTGAAGGACACGTCATCCCACAGCCTGGAGTGTGGGCAGGAGGAACTCCTGGCTCCTAATGGGGTACTCAGTCCTCACTACGTGCTGGGCATCGCTAGGCACAGGGCGTCAGAGAAGCTGAATCCCTTGCCCAAGTTCGTAGAACTGAGAAAGTGATGGAGCAGAGATGTGGACCTCCATCTCTCGGACTCACAGCCTGCGCTTTCTACCCCAGCAGTGTATCCCAAAGTTCAACAGAAGCTGCTGGTTTGTGTCCTTTGAGCAGTTGATGTTCCAGCACCAGGCCTGGAGGCTTTCTCTCAGAACTTCATGGGGAAGGTCAGGAGTGCCAGTGTTAATTTCCCCAGGAGCAGCCCTCGGCCAATGAGAGGTGAGAGTTGAAGAATAAATACCCCTGCTCCCTCGCCCCTTGGGTGAGATATCTCTGAAGTGTCGCTCCCACACCATCTCCCAGAGGTCCTTCGTGGGGTTGAGCCCTGGCCAGCCTCAGTGGCAACCTGTTTAAAAACACATCTTTCTCAACATCCTTCCCTTTCCTGTCTTGCTTCCTCATTCCCCAATTTGTGCAGCTTTCTGGGTTCTTCTAATAAACAAACTGCTTGTGCTGAGTTCTGTCTCAGGTTCTGTCTCCGTGGAAACCCAATGCAAGATAACAAAGTGTGGTTTGTCAGACAACCCACAGGGAGAAAATCTTCACAATCTATACATCCAACAAAGGATAAATACACAGAATCTACAAGGAACTCAAACAAATTAGCAATAAAAAAACAAACGGCCAGGCGCGGTGGCTCACGCCTATAATCCCAGCACTTTGGGAGGCCAAGGTGGGCAGATCACAAGGTCAGGAGATCGAGACCATCCTGGCTAACACGGTGAAATCCCGTCTCTACTAAAAATACAAAAAATTAGCTGGGCGTGGTGGCGGGCGCCTGTAGTCCCAGCTACTCTGGAGGCTGAGGCAGGAGAATGGTGTGAACCCAGGAGGCGGAGCTTGCAGTGAGCCGAGATCGCGCCACTGCACTCCAGCCTGGGTGACAGAGCAAGACTCCGTCTCAAAAAAAATAAAATAAAATCCCGTCAAAAAGTGGGCTAAGGACATGAACAGACAATTCTCAAAAGAAGATACACAAATGGCCAACAGACATATGAAAAAATGCTCAACATCACTAATGATCAGGGAAATGCAAATCAAGGTGGTATCACAATGCGATACCACCTTACTCCCGCAAGAATGGCCATAATCAAAAAATCAAAAAAATAATAGATGTCGCATGGATGCAGTGAACAGGGAACACTTCTGCACTGCTGTTGGGAATGTAAACTAGTACAACCACTATGGAAAACAGTGTGGAGATTCCTTAAAGAACTAAAAGTAGAACTACCATTTGATCCAGCAATCCTGCTACTGGGTATCTACCCAGAGGAAAAGAAGTCATTCAACGGAAAAGATTCTTGCACACGCATGTTTATGGCGGCACAATTCGCAATTACAAAAATATGGAACCAGTCCAAATCTCCATCAATCAATGAGTGGATAAAGAAACTGTGGTGTATGTGTATATACTGTGTGTATGTGTGTATACATGTATATGTGTATGTGTATATATATATATATGAATATGATGGAATACTACTCATTCAGAAGGAATGAATTAATGGCATTTGCAGCAATGGGATTAGAGACTACTATTCTAAGTGAAGTAACTCAGGAATGGAAAATCAAACATCGTATGTTCTCACTCATAATTGGGAGCTAAGCTATGAGGATGCAAAGGCATAGAAATGATACAATGGACTTTGGGGACTCTGGGGGAAAGGGTGGCAAGGGAATGAGAGATAAAAGATTACAAATTAGATTCAGTGTATACTGCTCAGGTGATGGATACACCAAAATCTCACAACTCACCACTAAAGAACTTACTAATGTAACCAAACACCACCTGTTCCCCCAAAACCTATGGAAATAAAAACAAAACAAAACAAAGTGTGGTTTGCACACCCTGGAGACATGTAAATTGACTTCAGGTGGTACTGGGAACATTTAAAAACTGACTGCTTAAATGTCAATTTAAAGGAGTGTTTAGGAAATAATAGTATATGGCCGGGCACGGTGGCTCACGCCTGTAATCCCAGCACTTTGGGAGGCCGAGGTGGGTGGATCATGAGGTCAGGAGATCGAGACCATCCTGGCTAACACGGTGAAACCCCGTCTCTACTAAAAATGCAAAAAATTAGCCGGGCACGGTGGTGGTGCCTGCGGTCCCAGCTACTTGGGAGGCTGAGGCAGGAGAATGGCATGAACCCGGGAGGCAGAGCTTGCAGTGAGCCGAGATCGCGCCACTGCAGTCCAGCCTGGGCGAAAGAGCGAGACTCTGTCTCAAAAGAAAAAAAAAAGGAAATAATAGTATGGATACGGCAACAATTGTGAAGGTGGTGTGAAAATAACACCTGGAAAACACTGCATTGTACAGTTCAAGATGAGGCGCTTCCTCTTGGTCCTGGCCAGAATGTATGCATATAGTTTCTTTTCTTTTTCTATGTATTATTTTTTGAGACAGGGTCTCACTTTGTTGCCCAGGCTGGAGTGCAGTGGCACCATCTCGACTCATTGCGACCCCTGTCTCCCAGGCTCAAGTGATCCTCCCCCTCAGCCCTCCAAGTAGCTGGGACTATAGGTGCCTGCCACCATGCCCCCGTAATTATTGTATTTTTCATAAAGATGGGTTTTGCCATGTTGCTCAGGCTGGTCTCAAACTCTTGGGCTCAAGGGATCCTCCGGCCTCAGCCTCCCAAAGTAGTTTGATTACAGGTGTGAGCTACCACTCCTGGCAGTTTCTTTTCTTTTCTTTCTTTTTTTTTTTTTTTTGAGACGGAGTCTCGCTCTGTCACCCAGGCTGGAGTGAGTGCAGTGGCACGACCTTGGCTCACTGCAAGCTCCACCTCCCAGGTTCACGCCATTCTCCTGCCTCAGCCTCCCGAGTAGCTGGGACTACAGGCGCCTGCTACCAAGCCCGGCTAATTTTTTTTTGTATTTTTAGTAGAGACGGGGTTTCACAGTGTTACCCAGGATGGTCTCGATCTCCTGACCTCGTGATCCACCCGCCTCAGCCTCCCAAAGTGCTGGGATTACAGGCATGAGCCACCACGCCCAGCCCTGTTTATTTTCTTTTTAACTAGAGACAAGGTCTTGCTCCTTCACCCAGCCTGGAGTGCAGTGGCATGATCATAGCTCACTGCAGCCTCTAACTCCTGGGCTCTAGTGATCCTCCCGCCTCAGCCTCCCAAGTAGCTAGATTACAGGCACATATCACCATACCTGGCTAATTTTTTTATTTTTTGTAGAGACAGGGTCTCGCTATGTTGCCCAGGTTGGTATTGAACTCCTGCCCTCAAGCAATCCTCCCACCTCAGCTTTTCGAAGTGCTGGGATTACAGGTATGCACCGTTGTGCCTGGCCTATAGTTTCATCTTTTATCCCAGTGTCAGCTTGGCTGTGCTTCCCTTTTTTTTGTCAGGACTGCTAGGAAGCTCAGAGACAAATCTGCTTAGTTTGCATTTTCAATCCTGAAGAAGTCCACTTCTGACATACGGTTTCTCATCTTCCTGAGTTTATATTTAACTGGTGTATGTCATGAGTCATTAGTATTGTCTGCTTCAGGACCTGGTTGACAAGAGGTTTGAAGTGTGTTATAACCAAATAAAGGATGGTATTAAGTACAGGAGCTTTGGAATAGGACACACCTGGCTTCAAATACCAGCTCCACAGCTTGGGGGCATTTGGGCAATCACCTCACTTCCCAAACCCTCAGGGTCCTCACCTATACATGTGGATGATGGGGGCCTATTTCCTAATGAGGATTAAATGCAATGAATCCACATAAAGCGTCAAGCACAGACCTGGCATGTTGTAAATGATCAGTGTTAATTGTCATGATTGTTATCCTTATTAAAGGAATTTTCATTTCAATGAAGCAAGAGGAGCAAACTTGGACAAGTCTGTATCCCAACAAGGTCGGCTGCAGGCCTGAGTGTAGTACCAAGGTGTGAATATGAGAAATGGAAAGATCACAGTTGCTAAGCTGGGCTGACGCTCTGTGAGGGCAAGGAGCCCTCTGTCTGTTCAGCCTTCTGTCTGTCATGTTCACCACTAAATTCTTTTTTTTTTTTTTTTTTTCTGAGATGGAATTTCACTCTTGTTGCCCAGGCTGGAGTGCAATGGCACAATCTCGGCTCACCGCAACCTCTGCCTCCCAGGTTCAATCGATTCTCCTGCCTCAGCCTCCCGAGTAGCTGGGATTACAGGCACACCTAATTTTGTATTTTTAGTAGAGACGGGGTTTCTCCATGTTGCCCAGGCTGGTCTCGAACTCCCAACCTCAGATGATCCACCCGCCTCAGCTTCCCGAAGTTCTGGGATTACAGGCATGAGCCACAGCACCCGGCCAACAATTCTTAAGACTTAATACCATGCCTAGCACGTAGTCTGTATTTGTTGAATGAATGAAATGGGCCAAGGTATGTAGTGCTGTTTGTGGGTATCATGCAGCCGGGCTGCCACTGGGCCCCTGAAGTCCTCCTTGCTGTGGGTTTCTGGGCATACAGGCACTCCTCTTTTATCTTGTTTTTTTTTGTTTGTTTGGTTTTGTTTTGTTTTGTTTTTCTGAGACAGAGTCTCACTCCATCACCCAGGCTGGAGTGCAGTGGCGCTGTCTCGGCTCACTACAACCTCTGCTTCTTGGGTTCAAGCGATTCTCCTGCCTCAGTGTCCAGAGGAGCTGGGACTACAGGTGTGCGCGCCACCATGCCTGGCTAATTTCTGTATTTTTTGTAGAGACAGGGTTTCACCATGTTGGCCAGGATGGTCTTGAACTGCTGACCTCAAATGATCCACCTGCCCCAGCCTCCCAAAGTGCTGGGATTACAGGTGTGAGCCATTGCACCCAGCCTCCTCTTTAATCCTCACAATAACCCAGAAGGGGGTTGTCTCCCATTTCACAGACAAGAAAACTGAGACACAAACCTATGTGTCCAAAGTGGCACAGGTAGGGAGTGTGAAGCCCCCAGGACAGCAGAAGGCCTTTCCACCCTGTCCAACCCACCTGTACCCCGGGCCCTGAGGCCAGTTCTTCCCAGAGAAATAAGCTTCTTTCAGTCTTTTTCTCACTGACCACAAAGACTCAGCTCTGTCCTCGGAAATATTTGGAAAGTTTTATTTAAATGTTTTGTGTTCCCTTTTAACCACCACCAAAAAGAGAAAAAAAAATTTTTTTTTGCCGTTCCAAACAGGAGAGTCGCTTCAGAGAGGAGCTGGCGTGTGTGTTCAGAGCCCAGGAGTGTGAGCCCTGCCAGGTGGCTCTTCCCGGCCTGGGCCACGCTGGGTAGGATGGCCACCCAGGCACCGGCTTCCTGGGACCCTGGTGGTCTTGGAGTGAGTGAGTGAGCAAGGCCTTGTCCTGAGGAGAAAGACCTCAACTCCCCTGAAGGAGGGCTGGGCCTGGGGACAGGGACATGAGCATTGTAGGGCCTGGGGGGTTCCAGAGGTAAGGAGATGGGAGTGGGAGGGTCAGGAGATGAGACTGGGAGGGTCAGATCCAGAATGTTCCACGGAGGCTTCAGGGCCTCTGGGTCTGGAGAAATACGTTCGCTAGAAAAATAAGAGGCTTTGAGAATGTCTGCAGTCTGTACTCTCTGCCTGCCCAAGAGAAATCTACCCTGTTGGCCAAAGGGCAGCGGGGAGGGAGCAAAGGCTGGAGGCCAGAAGTGGGTTTGGCCCTTGGGGAAGATTCCAGAGGGGAGCGAGGTGGGCGGCAGACTTTGGTTTCTTGGGTCCCCTTTCTTGCAGTTGCAGAGGCTGAGGAGGCCCCCACCTCCCTGCCCCTTGAGGGGGGGGCTGCCGTGTGGGAAGTTGGCATCTGTCACGGGCTTGTGGGTGCCCGGGCCCTGGGCCCTCAGAACAGGACGCTCAGGGGGTAGAGGGCCAGCGCGAGCAGCAGGGGGCCTGCAGCAAGGCTGCCTGCCGAGCTGGCAGGAGCACAGTGGCCGAGGTTGGCCCCGATGCAGGCTGCATACGCCATCACGTGGGGGACGTAGTTCTGCTCGTGGACGCCGTGCAGCAGGTGCGCCATGGGGCCCTTGGAGAAGACGGCCACGTCCTCCCCGCCGTGGGTCTCGTGGCGCAGGGGCACAGCAGACTGCGCCTGGTAGTTGTTGTGAGCTGTGGGCCAGGGGAAACACCTGCTGAGAGCCTGCCAGGGGCCTGGCGCTGCGCACGCAGCTTTTCCATCTCCCTTCCAGGCTGGCTTGAATGCTCCCATTTCACAGAAGAGGAAAAGGAGGCTCAATGTGGGAAAGTCATTTTGCCTAAGGCCACGGGATTTGAACCTGAGCCTGTTCTGACACAGGAGTCTGCATTCTCAACCCCCAACAGAGAAAATTAACCTCATTTGGGCTGCTTGGATTAGCAGGGAGAGTTGACGGGGAGACTCTTACCATTGCTGCATCTTTAGACCCCCTAGAACCACTGGGAGTATCAAGAACGAATGAATGATATGGGATGGGATGAACTAACTGCAAAGTCTCGTATACTGGAATATTATAGGGCCAAGAAAAATGAGTATAAAATATTGAGCACCTACTTGTGCCAGGCACTATGCTAAGCTCATCAGACCCATTTGGTCATTCAGACAACCGTCAAAGGTAGAACCCTTTTAGAGAGGAAACTGAAGCAGAGAAAGATGAAGTCACATGCCCAAAGTCTCAGAGCTGCTAGATTGTAGAAGGCGATTCAAACTGAGGTTGTTTGAATCAAACAACCTGGGACTCAACAATCAAACTGGGACTCAAGCCCCAGTCATTCTGAGACCCCTGACCTTGACCACAAGCTGACACCCTATTCCCAAGCCCATCCCCGAGGGGTGCCCTGTCCCCTCCCAGCCCTGGGTCCTGGAGGTCTCACCATAGTCCACCATGGAGACATTCTCTCGTTCACCGCCCACCACCTTGTAGCCAGGCCCATTGCCATACAGGATGGCAGTGAAGGGCTTCTTGTCTGTGTCACTCAGCATGGGGGCCAGACCTGCACAGGGAGGGGGTGTTCAGGGGTCATGCTGGGGCCCCAGGAGTACAGTCCCCAGCCCCCAGATTAGGCTCCTTGGTGGCTTGGTAACCCCTGGGATCTTCTTTGAAGGGCCCTGCAATGCCTCCAAGAAGCCACCTTCTAAACCTTATTATTTCCAACTAACCATTCCCCAGTTTTCATTGTACCCATGTCCCTCCCATTCATCCATCCACCCATCCATCCATCCATCCACCCATCCATCCATCCACCCATCCATCCATCCATCATCCATCCATCCATCCATCCATCCATCCATCCATCATCCATCCATCATCCAGCCAGCCATCCTCTCTCATTCATCTATCCACGTTCTCGCCCAGCCATGGTCAACGTGGCCATCCATCCACCCACCTGCCTGTCTACCCGACCACCACTCAACTCACTCCCCTGCCTCACCCTGCATTTTCTCCCCATCCCCAGTAACTCTTCCTCCCCACCCAGTTGTCATTGAGTCCCCACCATGCTCTGGGCTTGCTGGCTCTCCCACCCACTCCTGCTCCCAGGTGGGTAGACAGGAGACCCCAGGAGTGTCCACCCCAAAGAAGGCCCACCTACCAAAGATAGAGTTGCCACGGGGGGTGTATCCACCAAATGTGAAGACGTGGGAATGGTCCGCAGTGACCACGGTCAGAGTGTCTTCCGAGGAGGTCAAGCTGCCTGCCTGCCCGATGGCCCGGTCCATCTCCACCGCCTCATGCAGGGCCTGCTTGGCTTTTCCTTCATGGTGCCCGTGGTCAATTCTGCCTCCTTGGGACACCAAGGCAAAGGCCTCGGTGAGGGAGGAGGGGAGGAAGATCTGCTCCCCAGCCCCACAACACTGCTGCTGGATTAACCTTTGTTAGCTAGGGAAGGACAGGAACCTTCGCCGGGCACCACTCTGAGCTAGCACCACAGCCTAGGCATTTTACGCAGCCATTCAACCTGACGGAGGCCAGAGAGGGACAGCCCCGGTGCCAAAGGCACATGCATGGGGGCTGCAAAGTCCAGATGTGTAATCAAATTCACCAGGCCGGGAAGCTGTACTCCTCCCACCGCCCCTCCCAGCACTGTCTCTAGCTGCTTGAAGGAGGCACTGAAGCCTTTGGGAGGTAGGGAAGGGGGCACGCTGGAATCCCTACAATGTGCCAGGCACGACACACCCATGTCTCTTTTCCCCTGAACAGCAATGCTGGGCAGAGAGGAATATGATCAGTCCTGTTTACAGATGGAGCAACTGAGGCCTAGTGTGGGGAAGCCCACGGTGGGATTTGCCAGGATGTGAATTCAGGTGTGACTCGTCCTAACCCCGTTTTTCATCTCTACCTCAAATCATCCCCTCTAAAAAGAAAGCACGGAGCTCCCAGAGGTAGTGAAAGTCCCCAGTGCCTGGGCAGTGCCTGTGGCAGGTTCCACAAAGCCCTGCCGAAGCCTGAACCCTCGCAGCCTCCGCCCCCGCTTCCCACCTCCGGGTGAGTGCAGGGGCCTGGCTGGAGGCTTGGCCCAGCAGCCGAGGGCTCTGTGACCTTAAAGGAACACTTCCCTTGCTAACAGGAGGGCGCTGCCTGGTGGACACTCCCAGCTTGGAGGGTCCTGGGCGCCAGGCAGCCCTCTGTTCCCACCAGTCTGAGCCTCGCGGTGGCCCGGCAGGCTGGCAGGGCGTGTCCTCCCTTTGTTGTGGCTCTGGGAGCAGCTAGCCTGGGCGGCCCATCCTGGCCTTGCTCACAAAGGAAACCGCTCCCGGGGGAGCCCGTGCTCACCACCGCTGGTTTCTGGCTGGCTCCTTGGCGTCAGAGGCCTGTTCGGGGCCAGGCCAAGACCGCTGTGCTCGAGTGGGAACCCCGGGGTTTGGCAAGAAAGCAGCCAAGCTGGGCTGGCGGACGCTCACCTCTGGAAGGCGGAGGCGCTGAGCATGTGTGTATGCGTGGGGAGCATATGTGCAAACATGTTCACGTGTGTGCATGTGTGTGTATACATACCGATGTTAGCAGGGCAACATGAGGAACTGCGGTGGGCAAGGGCTGTTAGCACTGGAAGGTTTCTGGAATCTTTATCACTTCCTCACACTTCCTATTGTTCCCGCCTTAACTATTGTGTAGCCATAACAAGGCTAATAATAGAAACACGGTTTATTCTTTACTGGGCCCCGTTCCAAGTACTTTATGTCTCTGAACACAATGGAGGCGAATCACTCTCCAGGAGACAGATGCTATTTTTGGCTTCACATAACAGAAGTGCACAGGTAGAGGTCACACCGCCAGCAGATGGCAGCGCCAGGCCAAGAATTCAGGTCTGTCTGCAAGGCCCCTGGCCGGCGCTGAAAGAGCCTGGGAACATCAGCACACAGCGTGGGAAAGCCGGGGCCTGCGGATTTGCTTTTCTGGGCAGTGAGGCTGAGGGGCTGCTTGCCCCTTCAGGGCCAGGTCCCCAAGAAAGACTACCAAAGGGGAGAAATCTGCCTCCTCTCCCAGGAAGCCTTCCTGGATTGCTGAACCTAACTTGCATCTCCATGCCCAAAGGAGAGCAGCTTGCTGGGCTGGGAGTGTCTACAGTGCCACCCGTCTCCTTCCACAACCTATTCTCCTAAAGGGACCTCTCCCTTCACCCCCAAACCAGTCAGTTCCCTTTAAGAGCTGGACTTCTCCATCCTGACACCAGGGCCGTGTTTCCAGCAGCCCCCTCTCAGCAGACCCGGGGTCCCTACCTTCCACCAGCAAGAAGAAGCCTTTGGGGTTCTTCCGCAGGATCTGGATGGCCACCACCACCATCTCGGAGAGTGACGGGTCCGTCACGTTGTTCCTGTTCAGCTCGTACTGCATGTCCCCTGGCTCGAAGAGACCTGAGGAGGACGCCAGGAGGATGTGGATGCTGAGAGGCTGTGACCCGGCTAGGAGGACTCCAAGGAAGCTGGGGTGTCTCAGGGAATGCAGGCTCCCCACAGCCAGCTTGGGGTAGAGTATGGTGGCTGGGAGGATCCTTATCTGGGTGATTTTTGTGGGCCCAGAATTAGGCCCCCAATTCCTTTTTTTTTCTTTTTTCTTTTTCTTTTCTTTTCTTTTTTTTTTTTGAGACAGAGTCTCACTCTGTTGTCCAGGCTGGAGTGCAGTGGTGCGATCTCGGCTCCCTGCAACCTCTGCCTCCCGGGTTCAAGTGATTCTCCTGCCTTAGCCTCCTGAATAGCTGGGATTACAGACATGCATCACCACACCCAGCTAATTTTTGTTGTATTTTAAGTAGAGACAGGGTTTCACCATGTTAGCCAGGCTGGTCTCGAACTCCTGACCTCAGGTCATCCGCCCACCTCGGCCTCCCAAAGTGTTGGGATTACAGGCGTGAGCCTCCGCACCCAGCCCCAATTCCTTTCATTTTCATTCCCACCACTATGGCGCGGTGGGATCACCATGCCCGTTTCACAGATGAGGAGCACTGAGGCCCAGAGGTGTTCCATAACTTGCTATTGTCAGCTGAGAAGTGGCAGATCTGGGGTTCAAATCCATCAGTCAGTCTGCCTCCAGCCTGCAGGGCTCAGCACACAGCACTGTGGCCCCAAGGCAGAGGGTCACAGCCTGGACTCGATGGGGCCGCTAGAGTGTGTGTGCATTTACATGTTGGATTTGAAGGGCACGGTGGCCTGTGCAGCGAAACAGCAGAAGGTTTGGAATCATTGTCCCTCCTGCTCACTGGGCTCCGTTTTCTCACTTGTGACATAAGGAGAATGATCCATTCCTTGCCCATGGCACAAAGTTCCATGTGTCCCATGCTGGTGCTTCTGATTCTGGTGTCCTTCCAATTCTGGTGTCCTTCCAGAACACCCTGCCCCTCTGTGAGTGGGTACACAGCCGAACAATAGCTCCCATGCACACAGGGTTCACTTGGTGCCACATGCTGTTAGCGCTTTGGAAGCAGGCAAAAGCCAGCCTCCAAGATGGTGCCCAATAACCCCTGCCCCCTGGAATTCACGCGCTTGTGTGGTCTCCTCCCACACTAGCCTTTGTATGCCATAGAATGCCACCGAAATGATGGTGTGTGATTTCGAAGGCTGGGGCATAAAATGTTGTAGCTTCTGTTTATATACTCTTGGATCTCTGTGGGAAGCCAGCCACCATGTAATGAGGACACTCAAGCTGCTCTATAGAGAGCAATGTGCCAAGGAACTGAGGCCTCCTGCCAACAGCCAAGACCAACTCGCCAGCCATGTGAGTGAACCATCCTGGAAGCACCAGCCCCAGTCAAGCCTTCAGATGACTGTGACCTCATGGGAGACCCAGCTAAGCTGTCCCCAGATTCCTGACCCAAAGAAATTGAGTGAGGCAATAAATGTTTACTCTTGTTTTAAACTGTTAAGTTTTGTTTTGTGACAGGGTCTCACTCTGTTGCCCAAACTGGTGCAGTGGCATGATCATAGCTCACTGCAGCCTCAAACTCTTGGGCTCAAGCAAGCCTCCCACGTCAGCTTCCTGAGTGGCTGGCACCACCACACCTGGCTAATGTTTTCTTTCTTTCTTTTTTTTAAGATAGGGTCTTGCTCTGTCACCCAGGCTGGAGTGCAGTGGCATAATCACAACTCACTGCAGCCTCAACCTCCTGGGCTCAGGTGGATCCTCCTACCTCAGCCTCCTGAGTAGCTGGGACTAAAGGTGTGCGCCACCACACCTGGCCAGTTTTTAAAAAATTTTTGTAGAATTGAGGTCTCGCTATGTTTCCCAGGCTGGTCTCAAACTCCTGGGCTCAAGTGATCAACCTGCCTTGGCCTCCCAAAGTGCTAGGATTACAGGCGCGAGCCATTGCACCTGGCCTAAGTTTTTTCGTGTTTGTTCTTTGTTTTTTGTTTTTAGACGGAGTCTTGCTCTGTCACCCAGGCTGGAGTGCAGTGGTGCGATCTTGGCTCACTGTAACCTCCGCCTCCCGGGTTCATACCATTCTCCTGCCTCAGCCTCCTGAGTAGCTGGGACTACAGGCGCCCGCCACCACGCCAGGCTAATTTTTTGTATTTTTAGTAGAGATGGGGTTTCACCTCGTTAGCCAGGATGGTCTCAATCTCCTGACCTTGTGCTCCGCCCACCTCGGCCTCCCAAAGTGCTGGGATTACAGGCATGAGCCACTGCACCCGGCCTGCACCTGGCCTAAGTTTTGAGATAATTTGTTATACAGCAACAGATAACTTATACAACACAAGTTCATGTCATGCTCATGACAACCCAGGGGTTGTCTCCAGCCCCATCACTATCTCCATTTTATGGGAGCATCATTATCCCTACTTTATAGAAGAGGAAACTGAGGCAGAAAGAGGAGAAATCACTTGCCCAAGGTCACACAGCTTAGAGGTGGTAGAGCTGGATTTGAACCCAGCACTCTGGCTCTAAGATCCATGAGCAAAACCAGCATGATACACGGGTGCATGCACAGCCCATGTGGTACTGGGTGTGTGCCATGTGACCCAGGCAAGCAAGAGGCTGTGTGCATGTGTCTGGAGGACCCACCAGGTGCACAGCTCTGAGCCCATAACCTCTAATGACACCCAGGACGCGGAGCTGTGTTCCTTGGGAAATGTCTGCAGGAGATTTTGCCACCACTTGCTTGGCACTACAGACAGCTGGAAAAGAAAACCCGGATAGCTGCATGGTGGTGCTCAGGGCTGCATCCCACCAGACCTGAAGCTGCCCCTGGGCCCTCACCACATGCTCCCCACTGCCTGGGGAGGAGGGCAATCGTCAGGATGGGCAGAGATAACTTGGCTGGCTTCTGCCCTGGCCATGCACACAGTAGAGCTGACTCCAGGTCCCAGGCTCCATAGCCCAGGAGCTGTTAAGTCCCAGTTCCCAGCCAGGGCTCAAACTTGCCTGGGCCGTACCGCTGTCACTTGTGCCACATGCCGCGGGCCACTCCCCTCTCTGAGCTTCAGTTTCTTCTTGTGCCCAATGAGGCTAATCCCCCTGCACAGCCAGCAGATTTCAGGCCTAATTCCAGGAACCAGAACCCCCTTCCTTGCCTCTCCCAGGTCCTGAAGCCCAAGAGCAGAGGCCCCTAAGTGGGCGTCAGGCTAGGGCCTTGTCCCCAGGTGCTGGCCACACGCAGCTCCGGCCACCAGGCTCCGAGCCATGCATCCTCCCCTCCACCCCCTCCACTTACCCAATAGGTAGTCCACATTGTGGGGGTCAAGGGTCAGGAGTTCCGTGCGGTTCCAGATGAAGTGGGAGTGCTAGGAGGAAGGGCTGTGTCAGCACATGCCGGGGGCTAGGGAGAGTCGGAAGGACTGACCCCAGCAGCTATCAGAGTCTGAGGCCTTTACTTGTTTCCTTCCCTCACTTAAAAATCTCTCCCTGAGGACCCACCATCCCTGACCTCAAGAAATGATGAATCAATAGCCCATTATAATGTATAATGCAAGGGGATGAGAATTCTGATAGAGCCCAGGGAGGCCGTGAGCCCAGACACAGGACCAGGGAGGGCTTCCTGGTGGAGGTGATGTTCTAATGGGTCCCTGGAGGACAAGTGGGAATTGAACAGCCTAGGGTCAGGAAGGCTATTCCAGGGAGGAGGGATCATGGGGCAAAGAAGAGCCAGGCACAGGTCTCCAGGGGCCTTGAGTGCTGACAGGTGTGGGCTGTTTTCTGGAGGCCGTGGAGGGCCAGGGAGGAAGCAAAGCCCCAGCTCTGCTTTGGGGACCCCATCTGGGAGGGGAGATAAAGGCGTGGCTGTTTCCCCAGGGAATAAAGTCCACAGAAAGAAGCCAGCTAGGCCAGGCCTGGAGAGGGCACCATGTGGGCCTGGACCAGGGGTCCCAGCACTACCAAGGATCTGCTGTGTGCCCTTAGAAGACCCCCTGCCTTCTCTTAGCAATGACAGTGGGATCAGTGGCTTTGCAAGCCTCAGGGGCTGTTGTGGGGAGGAGGGCAGAGAGGCTCAGAAAGTGGGGCTCCGCACCCCCCCTCCCAGCCCCTGCTTCCTGGAGGTGGCTCTCCTGTGCTCTCTCCCTCCAGGGTTGTTCCTGTTATTCCCTCTTTACAGATGAGGGCACCGAGGCACACAGACCACGTAGCCACTGAATGGTAAAGGTGAAACTGACTCTAAAACCCACTCTTAAGGCATGATTTTCTAGGGATGTGGGGCCTACACGGGACCTGATACCCAATGTGGCCAGGCTCGGGGCCATGGTGTAGACGCTCTCTCCCCGTCTTAGAGGTCTAGACCGAGTTCCTGGGTAAGCACCCTGCCTGGGCAAGGAGGATGAAGCTCTGGCCCCATGTGCCACGTAGAGAAACTGAGGCTGGTGTCTCTCTGGCTTGAGCTTGGAGGGGGCTCTGGCCCAGCCTGAGCTGACTCAGAAGGGATGGAAAGGGTTCAAAGCCACTCAGTTCCACACCCCCACCATCCCCACGGGGGCCCTTCCCTAGTCCCTACCCCCACCTCGTTCTTGGCCCAGCCTCATCCCACGAGGCCTCCCCAGGGGCCAGTCCTGGAACTTGCAGAAACCCAACCCCAGAGTGACATCAAAGTGGCTGCCAGGCTACTCCCCACTGTCTTCAGCCCTGACCACAGTCATTTCCAGACCCCAGCTGCCCCAGGCCCGCAGGCCAGCAGCTCAGATTTAAAGGGCCAGAGGCCACTCCAAGGAGCTGGAGCTTGGGGTCCTTCCAGAGGTCCCTCCAGCCTCCCTTCCCCAATCTATTCCGTCCTCCAGCCTCCCTTCCCCAATCTATTCCATCCCCCAGCCAAGGGGGACTCACTGTGGAGGGCTTCTCCGCTCCCTCCATGGCTTGCACACTGGGGCCAACCATGTCCTCCCCTGATCCATCCAGCGCTGCCTCCTCCCTCCATCCTCCTACTTGCCCAGAGCTTCTTGGCTCCTCCCTGTCATCTGTCCCCCCAGGGCGCCTGCAGAGCCAGGCGTCCCCCATGCAGGCACACAGCATTCCATGTTTCCTTGGCCATCTGACTCAGCCTCTGTGCCTCACGCATGCCCCGCCAGGTGCCTACATACAATAGGTGCTCAGGGTGACTCAATGTCCACGCAGGTTATTCCCTGGCCCAGCCTCCTCCTCACCATCCGCCTCTCTCTGGTATCCCCTCCAAGGGAAGGAAATGATTAGTCACTGACTATCTACTGCTTGTATATCTCTTAGGCCATTTGAGCCCATGGAGGAAAGATTTCCGATGCCCTTTCTACAGAGGACAACAGAACTTCAGAGCAGGGGTCACACAGCCTCTCCCCATCACAGGCCACCTCTGCAGCCACATGGCCCCAGCACAGGCTACCTTGTATCTCGGTTTGAAGCTCTTCCAGGTGTCAACGAGGTCCAGGCCGTCCAGCCTCGTGCCCCTGGCTTTCTCGTCACTCTCATACTCCACATCAGTTTTATTCTTGGGGTACATGTATTTCCGGCCACCCCCCATGATCACCTAAAAGAGACAGGAGCCATCACTTCTGCAGGGTTCCAAGATGCCCAGAAGCCCCAGTGACCTCGGCTTGGAACCTGGACTCCTGGAGTCCCTGGAGATGGTGTGGACACTTTCCCAGCCTGGTGAGCCAGGCCTCAGTCATCTCTGGGCCTTACTTGTCCAGCGTGGGGAGATGAAATCACGAGTCTATTGGGACGGTGGTTTGGCGCTTCTAGGGATATTGGAGGAGCTGATAACTTACCTTACTTGGCTTCCCGGAATCCACAGAACTCCCACTCGAATAAGAATCAGACCATTTACAGAGCGTTCCCTGTGTGTCAGGCACTAAGCATTTAAGATACATTCTGACTCAACTTCATACCAAGGCTGCAATAAACCCTGGCCACCTGTTTTCCAACTAAAAAAATGGGCACAGAAATTGGTTTTTTCCCCCGAAGGCCACAGAGCCAGGAAGTGGCAGCATCAGGATTCAAACCCAGGGCTTTTCCGGCTGTGGCACTAGGGCCCTGCTGTATTCGTGCAGCTAAGGGCAGGGACTCCCAGAGCCTCCTCTCCCACGGTGGAAGGCTGAATGCGTGCAGGGAGAGGCTCCAGCCAGGGAGGTCTTTGGGGCAGCCCACAGCTGGGAGCCAGCCCACCGCAGCCTGGGCAAACAGCGGGGCCGGGCCTCACGGCTCTGTAGTCACCACCAGGCTAATTTTACCCACCAGCTGGTGTGTGCGGGCAGACGGACGCGGGACTGTTTGTTTTCCTTGGGAGTCCATGTTTGAAGTTCTGACTATTTTTAAAGTAGGGCCAAGAGCATAACAGCAGCCGCCTGCGGTGACCACCACACTAGTGTTCTCTTGTCACCGCGGGTGCCAGCCCGGGCCACTGCCCCTGGCTGACACCTTGGGAGTGCAGAGCCTGGCTGACACTGGCCCCAGATCCACCATTCCAGGCCTGCATCTCATAGGTCCCTTGCTCTATCCTCCACTCTGTCTCCCACCTTAGATCCTAGGTTTTGTGGAATGCACAGGGGGCCAGGAACACAGGATGGCTGGAGAGGTGGGAAAGGTGCCCCAGGACCAGCCTGGGTCCAGGCCATGGTCATGGCCGTGAGCTTTGAAGTCAGACTTGGGTTTGAACCCTGACTCTATCGACTACTGACCAAGGGCCTGCCACCTAAACTCTGTGAGCCCAGTTTTCCTATCCATAAAATGCGACTGGCCAGGCGCGGTGGCTCATGCCTGTAATCCCAGCACTTTGGGAGGCTGAGGCGGGAGGATCACTTGATGCCAGGAGTTTGAGACCAGCCTGGACAACATGGCAAGACCCTGTCTATACAAATAAAATTTGTTTCGAAACTTAGCCGGGCATGGTGGTACAGGCTTGTGCTCCTAGCTATTCAAGGGACTGAGCCAGGAGGAGCACTTGAGCCCAGGAGGCTGAGACTGAAGTGAGCCATGATCACGCCACTGCACTCCAGCCTGGGCAACAGAGTGAGACCCTGTCTCAAAAATAAAATAAAATAGGCCGGGCGCGATGGCTCACGCCTATAATGCCAGCACTTTGGGAGGCCAAAACGGGCGGATCACCTGAGGTCCAGAGTTTGAGACCAGCCTGGCCAACATGGCGAAACCCCGTCTCTACTAAAAATTTAAAAAAAAAAAATTAGCCGGGCGTGGTGATGTGCGCCTATAATCCCAGCTACTCAGGAGGCTGAGGCAGGACAATCGCTTGAACCCGGGAGGTGAAGGCTGCAGTGAGCCAAGATCGCACCACTACACTCCAGCCTTAGAGACAGAATGAGACTCCGTCTCAAAATAATAATAATAAATAAAATGCAACTAACATCCATCCACAGACCCATCACAGGAGGAAAGGCAGTCACCCAGGGAAGTCCCCAGCACCCAGGGGGTGGCTGCCACTGGAAGGCATTTCTATTGCCAGAAGGAGTGGGGAAACAAGTGGTTCAGAGAGGCAGAGTCCTTGCTCTCAGCTGCAGCCAGGAGCTCAGGGGGCAGGGTGGGCTGGGAGAAGAAGGAGAAGGGGACCCCAGGTCACGGGTCCCTTGCCCCGCCCCCCACAACTGTTCCCACAGAACCTGACCTCTTGGCATCTTCAGAGTGGAAAACGAAGCCCCCAATCTTCCTGCAGGGAGCCTCATCGTTTCCAGCCCGGCAGCGACTTCACACGGGCTCATTAAACTCCCAAATAACAGACTTGCTGTTTGGCTTTGGGGTTTAGGTTTGTGTCTTTCTTTCTTTCTTTCTCTTCTTTCTTTTTTTTTTTTAAGCAACAGTATTTATTTTCAGGGTGGACACCAGGATTTTTGTTTCATGTACAGTCTGGGGACTGGGAGGCTTTTGGGGGGGTGGTGACGGAGAGGCAGGTGGGGCTGGGAGAGAAAGGAAGAGGAGGAAAGAAAGGGATCCTCACACAGGTCCTCCGTCCTCACTCACTCCCTGGCTTGTGCCCCTTGACGTGGCCCCTGCGGCCCCCCCTCCTCATCTCCCACCCCCTCACCTGAAACATCTTCCCTCCCCTCGAATTTCCTTCAAGTTCCTGTCCCCTGCTCAGGCTGTCCCTGACAAACCCCTCTGAGGAGCAGTCCCCATGTAATTATACCCTGTGCCTGTACAACAAATGTTCTCACATCCATGACCTCATCACGGCCTCCCACGGCCCTGGGAGCAAGCAAGTGTGGCTCTCTGTTTCTGCTGCACAGGTGGGGAAACTGAGGCATAGGGAGGGGAAGGAACTCGCCCCAGGCCACATGTCGGGTGAAGGCAAGCCAGGATGAGTGGCTTGGCCTCAGATGTCTGTTCAGTGAAAGGGGCCAACAGCACTGTGTGTCCTGAAAGCGGGTACTTAATCCACCATGCTGGGAAAAGGGCAGACGTGGGTCTCTACTGTGGAGGGGCCAAGTAGCCCCCAGAAATTTGTGGGGGGCAGTGCATGGAGGGCTGAAGGCAGGTGAGTTTGTCTGGTGGTGGAGAGAAAGAGGTGAGGTGTAGCTGGGCAGGGGGGCTTTCTCTGCCCCTCACCGAATCCCCATTCCAGGCTCAAGGGGCAGAAGTCCCCAGATCGCCTCAGCAGTCCCCCACAGTAGGCAATAAAAGCCTGAAAAGGAACGAGCCGGGCATTCTCACTTAAGAACAGAGAGTAAGCGTCACATGGATGACTTCTGTCTCCATGAGTCAGCTCAGTTTGTTGAAGTGTGTTTCAGGGCAAGGACATGTGGCTCCTGCGTAAGTGCCACCACCTTCTGGGCACTCGCTAGGCCTCGGGTCCTGTGCTGAGCTCCACAGGGATTATCTTAATCAGTTCTTGGCATAAGCTTATGAGGCAGGTACAGTTCACAAAGGAGTTGTGAAAGGGAAGCCTCAGAGAGGTTAAGTAACTGACCCAAGGTCACACAGCTAGCAACACGCAGGGCAAGGTCTGGAACTCGGAAGTTTAAACACGAGAGCTGGCACTAGCCAACCACTGTACACACCAGCTCTTTGCCGGGCATGCTGGTGGTTGAGTGTACAGATATGTACCCATCTGTGACCATGTGAATACGCAGGGCAGGCAGACGACACTTGGCCATCACCACCTCCCGTGTAGTGGGGGGCAGAGGAGGGCACAGCACCAGGTTTCAATTTATGGAATCATCCCTGGATGCCTGGTTCTTGGGGTGTGGTGGCGGTCACATGAGGGTTCACCCCGCAGCCCCACCGCAGAGAAATCCCACAGTGCCTGCCTGCCCAACCGCAAATCCCCTAATGGGCTGGGAGCCTCCCAGGTGTGTGGGGAGCCAGGCCAGGCTGCTTTCTCCGGGCCAGCCTGGGCCTGAGGCCTCCTGCCCACCAGAGGCCCCGCCTCACCCCGTCCCTGCCCGGCTGCCCCCGAGCACTCACGTCAATGTCCCTGATGTTATGCATGAGCTGGTAGGCGATGTCCTTACAGCCCTGGCTCAAGGCCTCAGGGGGCATCTCGTTGTCTGAGTACCAGTCCCGGTCAGCCGAGTGGGCGTAGGCGGCGCTGGGGGTGGCATGGTTCACTCTCGTGGTGGTCACAATGCCCACAGATTTCCCTGGGGTGCAGGAGGGGCGGGTTTGGCTTTATCCACAGATCGGGGTGTCCCAGAGGCCTCCTCCCTCCCTTCCCCCTCCCCGCTAAAGACAGGCCCCCGCTTCAGTTCTGAGGATTGCCCGGGTCTCAGTCTCCCCATCCACAGCAGCAGGTGTCTGGCAGTGGCTTCCAAGTAGCCGAGCAGCCAGAACACTGCCTCTGGAACCCTCTCCCCTCACCCCGAAGGCCCTTGAGATGTGAGCACCTGGGCTGGAGTCCTCCCCTTCATCAAGGCGCCCACAGGACCCCTGAGGGATCTCAAGTGGACTGTGGCTCTGTCACCTGTATGTTGGCCTTGTCACCTGTGTTTTGGCCTTGGCCCCTGACTAAAGCTTCTGGGGGCACAGGCTGGGCCTCCCAATTCTGAGGAGGGAAGGGGCGTGGCCATGGACTGCACCCCACAGGCTAGCCCTGGGCTGACTTCTCCCTCCTCACACCAACCCTATGAGGGGGCTACGTTCCCACCCGTTTTATAGTCAAATGAAGAATCGACTCAGAGAAATGAACTGGGACCAGAACCCACCACTGAGTGAACCCCAAACCCTCAGCTTCCCCTGTCACGGAAGGAATCCCATGGATATTACAGACTCCCAGCATATCAGAGCTGGGAGCCCCACAGAGAAGCCTTTTCTAGCCCCTTCCCATGACACAGTCAGAAAGACTGAGGCCTGGACAGGCCACGAAGCTGGCCCTGCTCCCCACTGCTCCCCCGACTCACCAGCGTCCTTGGCCCAGCGCAGGATGGAGGTGACCTCGTTCCCCTGGGTGGTGTTGCACCGGGAACGCTCAGTGGCTGCGCTTACCCCCACGGTGCCCTCATTGGCCTTCACCCCACACAGGTAGGCGGTGGCGGTGCCGGCACTGTCAGGGACCTGGGCATTGGTGTTGTACGTCTGCAGGTGGGAGAGGAGGGTCAGGAGATGGCCAGGCCTTCGCCCCAGTGGCACCCACCCCGCCTACACTCACACCATGGGGACTGGGGCGTGAGGGACCAGAGAGGACCCCATAGCCTTGACCAGGCCCACTGCCCACTGAAGCCCCCCAGAGCCACAGGACTACCTAGCTGCCTGCTTCCTGCCATCATTCCCTGCACCCTGGCAGCACTGGGGCAGGACCTTAGCTCTCCAAAGTACAGAGAAGTGTCCGGCGGAAGATTGGGGCTCAGGTGGGGTCAGCGGAGGCCTCTCTCCGGGCCTGGGGCTGCAGGAGCCAGCAAGGGGTTGGGGAGCAGGGGAGTCCTGGAGAAGGGAGAGGGAGGGGCCTTCTTGAAGGAGTGGGGGGTCTGGGGATAGGGTAGTGAAAGTGAGGGGGAAGGGGACTGGGGAAGGGAAGGGTGGGGCCAAGACCAGCGCTGACTTCTCTGCCACCTGCCCTGCGGCCACCATCACAGGGTTGCCCTACATCCGGATGTTTAGCAGAGACCCCAAAACTATTTGCCTGTCTCCCTTCCCCACCAGCCTGAGAGCACCTTGAAGGCACAGAAGGCACCATAGTCCCCACTACTCCCCCAGAAGTGAGCCTGGGGCCTGACCCAGGGTCTGGAGGTTATTACATAACACCACTATCACCACCACCAATAGCAATAGCTACCCGGCAGTGCACACTGCCTTGAACAACCTAGGTCAGTACAGGCACACCTCATTTTAGTGTACTCCACAGACACTGTGTTTGTTACAAATTGAAGATCTGTGGCAACCCTGTGTCAAGCAAGTCTATCAGCATCATTTTTTCCAAAAACATGAGCTCACTTCATTAGCGTTTTTTAGCAATAGCATATTTTTAAATTAAGGTATATACATTTTTTTAGACATAATGCTATCCCACACTTAAAAGACTACTGTAGGGTGCAAACATAACTTTTATATGCACTGGGAAACCAAAAAATGTGTGACTTGCTTCATTGCAATATTTGCTTTATTACAGTGGCCTGGAACCAAACCCGAAGTATAGCTGAGGTATGCCTATAGTCTAATTAACTTCACGAACTGCCTCGGGAAAGAATGAATGAACTGGAACTTCATGCAAAAGTGTATACAGGCCAGGCACGGTGGCTCATGCCTGTAATCCTAGCACTTTGGGAGGCCAAGGTGGGCAGATCACCTGGGGTCAGGAGTTCGAGACCAGCCTGGCCAACAGGGTGAAACCTTGTCTCTACTAAAAATAAAAAAATTAGCTGGGCATGGTGGCGCATGCCTGTAATCCCAGCTACTTGGGAGGCTGAGGCAGAAGAATCACTTGAACTCGGGAGGCAGAGGTTGCAGTGAGCTGATGTCATGCTACTGTACTCCAGCCTGGAAGACAGAGTAAGACTGTCTCAAAAAAAAAAAAAAAAAAAAGGCATATATAGGCCGTGCATGGTGGCTCACGCCTGTAATCCCAAGACTGGGAGGCCAAGGCTGTAGGATCGCTTAAGCCCAAGAATTAGAGACCTTGGGGGGGTCTCTAATTATCCATATGTGGTGGTACACACCTGTAGTCCCAGCTACTCGGGAGGCTAACGTGGGAGGATGGCTTGAGCCCAGGAGTTGGAGGCTGCAGTGAGCTATGACTGCACCACTGCACTGCAGCCTGGGCAACAGAGCAAGACCCTCTCTCTAAACACACACCCGCAAGCAGGTACAGTGATGCTATGGTGTCAGAAGTCAGGGCAGTGGCTGCTCCAGGTGGGGAGTGGGCTTGGGCATGGAGGGGGCTCAGGGGGTCAGGGGACCTCTGGCTGCTGTCATGTTCAGATGCTCGACCTGGATACTGGATATACAGACCTGAACTGGGCTTGGGGATGGGGCTCACCTTGGAGAGGGCCACGAAGGGGAACTTGTCCATCTCCAGCCTGGTCTCCTCCCCAGGGTTGTGGTGGAGCTGACCCTTGAGGATGCGGGCAGCCGTCACTGTGGAGACACCCATCCCTGCAGTGGGGAGTGGGGGCCTCAGTCTCTCGTGCTCCTGCCTCTCCAATCAGCCTGCTTGGGTACCCAGAAGCTCTCTAGTTCGGTACCAAGGCAGGCTCGGGCAGTTGGCACTGGGCATGGCTCTGTAAATGTCAGTGAGCAGCCCCTCTCTCCCTTCACCCCCAGATCCTCAGGGGGCTGTCTGGCAGAGCAGGCCTCTTGAATCCACAGCCTGGCCCCTCATCCTTTTAAACACCCTTCCTCCAGAGCCCTAGCCCCTTCAACACAGCCCCCTTCAACTCAGCCTGGCTCCCGGGGCTCCTAGCTAGGTGTCCTGTTCCACCCCTCCCACAGGCCCCTGGGCCTCACCATCTCCCAGGAACATGATGACATTCTTAGCCACGTTGGTGTTGAGCTTCTGAAGCTCCAGGGCATATTTCAGTGTCTCTTGCGCTTGGTCTCGCCAGTACTTGGGGTCTTTCTCTTTCTCTAAACACAGAGAGAGGCAGTTACTTGGCGGGGTAAGGATAGCCTCCTATCTCCAGACGTACAGATCCCCCCACTTCTGATTGCTCAGGCTGGAATGCCTGAACTTGGAGGTGGGTGCAATAGTTGCCCACCCAGACAACACATCTGTGGTTTATAAATATGTGCCATCCAGATCCTCCAGAAAAGCCTGTGGACCCTGGGGTCTTCTCCTCACATCTCAGAATGAAGAAACCAAGGCTCAGAGACAACGAGCAACTTGCCTAAGGCCACACAGCACAGGCAGACACTGGCAGGGCTGGGTTTCGCTCCAAAGCCCATGCTCATTCCTTCTACCCAGTAGGGAGATGAGCTGCTAAGGCAGCAAATGAATTGTGCTAGCACAATTAAGAGAGTAATGTTTAACCTATTCAACAAACTCCTTCCAGCAGAAGGGGTCCCCTGATATAGCCAGCCATCAATTATCAACTCTGCTTAGCTTATTCATTAAAGTAGGCTCAGCAGGAACCTGACTTGGTTTAATAGCAGTGCTGGAAAGCGAAGCTTGCCTTTTGCTTAATATGTCAAATTTAAAGGAGCCAGGTGATCTCACTCTTGTTAGGATTAGTTATCAAGGACGACATTCTGCATCTCTCATCGCCCCCTCCATCCCTCTTGGCTGATAGTGACTTCTGGCTGGGGCTTTATGGTTTTGAGATAAAATGAGAACTAAGAACACTTCTTTCTCTCTCCCTCTTTCTCATGTGTGTGTGTGTCCAGCAACCAATCCACAGCTTTAGTGCCAGACAGACCTCAATTAAAACCCCAGCTGCTGGGCATGGTGGCTCATGCCTGTAATCCCAGCACTTTGGAAGGCCGAGGCAGGCAGATCACCTGAGCTCAGGAGTTCGCGACCAACTTGGGCAACACGGTGATATCCCGTCTCTACTGAAATATGAAAAATTAGCTGGGCGTGGCAGTGTGCACCTGTAGTCCCAGCTACTCAGGAGGCTGAGGCAGGAGAACTGCTTGAACCCGGGAGGCGGAGGTTGCAGTGAGCTGAGATCATACCACTGCACTCCAGCCTGGGTGACAGAGCTAGACTCCGTCTCAAAAACAAACAAACAAAAAACCCCCAGCTGCTCCAAGTACTAGCTCTGTCACCTCCCTCAGCCTCAGTCTCTTCCCCTGTTAAATGACATTGCTGGCATCATCCCCTCAGGGTCGCTCTAAGGACTGGGCCGGATAAGGCAAGTGACACACCTGACCCACAGGAGAGGCTCAAAAGTTGCCTCCCATCCCCATTATCCCGTCTCCAGGGCTGGACCAGGACCCTGGCTATGGGAGCTGGAGTCCCTCCCAGAGTCTGCGGGGCTCCCCTCTGTCCCAGGGCCCTATCAGATCTGCTCAGAAGCCTAGAGAGGAGGCTCCCTAGCGGTTTCCTCTTTCAAGGCCTCCCACTGCACAGAACGGGAGGAGAGATCAGGAATGGGAGGGTCTTGTCCAAGGCCGTGTAGCATGTTCGTGGGCTGGGGACACAATTCTCATCTTTTGGCCCAGCTCCGACGCGTGCCTGGCTCTCGGAGTGGCCGTGGGTAAAGAACAGCCCTCCTTCCTCACACACGCACTGGCTCTGGGCGAGATGCCAGGGACCCCCCACACAGCTTCTCTTATTCCTCTCAACTGCCTTGGCAGGTGGGCACCAGTGTCTCCTCCACATTAGGAAATGGAGAGCCTGAGATTAGGGCCCCAAGTGGGAGAACCGGAAACTCACGCGTCGCCGTGGCTCTGCCCCAGCCTAGCATAGGCGCAGAGCACAGGCGAGGAGCCGCCAGGGTGCTGCAGTGCACCTCTAGCTTTGGACCCAAGCACACCCCACGCCCCTCCCCAAGAGGCCTCCCCTTACGTCACCACCACCCCAATCCCTCAGCCCACTACCCTCATCCCGACAGCCCCAGGTCCACCCTCTCTCTTCTGGAAGTGTCTGCTGAGGGCATCAATTTCAGATGTCCCCACGCAGTCCCCACTGGGAATTGGGAGCACCTTGGCCCTTCTGCCCGACAGGGTGCCTTTGGACAAGAGTTTCTGCCCCAGGAAATGGGACACCCGTAGCTATCCACAGGCAGTTCTAGGATGACATGAGATAAAGTCTGGGCAAGGCCGGGGCCAGAGGTTTTCCTCAGAGGTCCCCCAGGCCCAGGCTGGTTCCAGCCTCCCTCCTGCCTTCCTCAAAACACACCACGGTGCTGTTGGTCATAGAGCCTCTTTGGCCAGTTGGGTGCCACTGGGTGGTGAAGACCTTCTACCCACCCTGACCCGCTACAACCTGTACCTGACTTAACAGCTTGGAGGTCCCAGGGCTGGGCTGACATCAGCCCGCCCCACACCTGTTGCCCTTGTTCAGCCCAGCCTCTGCCACCGGGTCCCCTGCTCCGTTGAGTGCTTGTTCTCTCTAGACTGGAGTCCCACAAGGGCAGAGTCCTTGTCTTTTTCACCAGAGCCACCCAGGGCCTGTCCCTGAGAAGGGTTTGGAGTCTGGTTTAAGCAACAATG
Organism: Homo sapiens; assembly: GCF_000001405.40. Classification (NCBI taxonomy): domain Eukaryota; kingdom Metazoa; phylum Chordata; class Mammalia; order Primates; family Hominidae; genus Homo; species Homo sapiens. The sequence goes on along the minus strand of NC_000001.11, from coordinate 21,558,096 downwards.
GCTCTGGACAACTGGATTCCAAGAGGCTATTGTTTTTGGAGACTACTAAATGATATGTGCTAATGCTCACGATAGAATGCCAGGGAAAGGGCACTGATCGGTACATACTATATGATTCCATTTATATGAGGCTCAAAACAGGCAAAGCAAGTCTCTGGTGGCCAATGTAAGCCTGGGCATCTCCTCTGGCTTTGGGAGGGGGTTGGCACAGGGAAGCCCACAGATGCCTCACAACCAGAAATGTTCTGTCTTGATCTGGGTGGCGGTTACATGGGTATAAATATATGTCAAAATTTTTTCAGGCTATGTATTTAAGATCGGTGCCCTTTTCTGTAAGTTATATCTAATTGAAGAAAAAAAAGAAGGCTGAAGAAGTGGCTCATCCTGTAATCCCAGCACTTTTGGAGGCCATGGTGGGAGGACTGCTTGAGGCCAGGAGTTTGAGGCTACAGTAAGCCATGATTGTGCCACTGCACTCCAGCCTGGCAACAGCAGATACAAAAAGTTGAACTGCTGAACGTTTGAAGATTTTTCATGTTGTCACTTTTTCACCTTTTCCCTTTTCATCCATTAGTTCATCTTTCACCCAGGTGGGCTGTAAGTGCTGAGAAGGCAGGGACCCCGTCCCAGAGTGACCTTGGTCCCCCAGGGATGCAAATGGCACCACGAGGTCTCAGACGCAGCAATGGCCTGAGAGCTCAGCAGCTCAGGCTCAGTGCCCCACTGCACCCCATCTCCTCATCTGCTGAAATACAGCCGTCCTAAGAGAAGAGACCAACATTCACTGAGCATCCACTCCTTGCCAGACACTGTGACTATCCCATGTGATTCCCATGATGACCCTAAGCGGGAGGAACTCATCCCCACTGGACAGATGGAGACACTGGAGTGTGGGGAAGGCAAGTGGGGACTTCTAGCCACATAATGGACTGAGCCGAGGAAGGCTCTCTTCTCCAGCTCCAGATACAGAAATGCTGGGGAAAAAAAAATAGCACATAGCTTGAAAAAGGAAGAAAAGGGGGAAGGAAAATCCTCAGGAGGCAGCATTGATGAGGGAATCTAAAACCAGAGGGGCCCACAGGAGCTGATGCAGAGAGGAACGCCTGCGACGGCAAGCCAGGTACAGGTTCAGGCTGAAGCTGGTTTCTTTTCTTTTTTGAGATGGAGTCTTGCTCTGTTGCCCAGGCTGAAGTACAGTGGCGCAATCTCAGCTCACTGCAACCTCCGCCTCCTGGGTTCAAGTGATTCTCCTGCCTCAGCCTCCCAAGTAGCTGGCATTACAGGAGTGCGCCACCATGCCCAGCTAATTTTTGTATTTTTAGTAGAGAGGAGTTTTTGCCATGTTGGATAGGCTGGTCTCAAACTCCTGACCTCAAGTGATCCACCTACCTCGGCCTCCCAAAGTGCTGGGATTACAGGCGTGAGCCACCATTCCCGGCCAGAAGCTGGTTTCTTTTTATGAGACAGAGTCTTACTCTGTCACCCAGACTGGAGTGGTTTGATTATAGCTCACCGTAATCTTGAAATCCTGGGCTCAAGTGATTCTCCCACCTTAGCCTCCCAAGTAGCTAGGACTACAAGCATGCAGCACTATGCCCAGCTAATTGTTTGTTTGTTTCTAGAGATGGAGGTCTCACTATGTTGCCCAGGCTGTCCTCAAACTCCTGGACTCAAGCGATCCTCCCACCTCAGCCTCCCAACGCACTGGGATTACAGGCGTGAGCCACCATACCAGGCCTGCTAAAGCCACCACACCAGGTCTGCTGAAGCTGTTTTAAGGTACACATTTTGCCTTGGAGCTATGGAAGGGATAGAGAAAGACAGTCATTCATAAGAAATGTGAATTCAAGTCAAATCTGAGCCAGGTCTAAGTGGGGATCTGAATTTATAGTATAAGAATTGTAAACCAAGAAATCAACATAAAAACTGGCCTAGAATTAGTTGAACCCCTAGTGTCCTGAAAACACCATGCCATGCTGTGGAAACACTTCCGCGTGAATCTCCAACAGAAAAACAAAAAACTCGGCCGGGTGCGGTGGCTCATGCCTGTAATCCCAGCACTTTAGGAGGCCAAGGCAGGCGGATCACCTGAGGTCAGGAGATCGAGACCATCCTGGCTAACATGGTGAAACCCCGTCTCTACTAAAAGTACAAAAAAATTAGCTGCGCGTGGTGGCGGGCACCTGTAGTCCCAGCTACTTGGGAGGCTGAGGCAGGAGAATGGCGTGAACCCGGGAGATGGAGCTTGCAGTGAGCCAAGATTGCGCCACTGCACTCCAGCCTGGGCGACAGAGAGAGACACTGTCTCAAAAAAAAGAAAAACAAAAAACTCCTGTTGAAGATGAGTTCACTAGTGAGAACTACAAATGACAAGAAAAAGGCTGGGCACAGTGGCTCACACCTGTAATCCCAGCACTTTGGGAGGCCAAGGCGGGTGGATCACTTGAGGTCAGGAGTTCGAGATCAGCCTGGCCAACATGATGAAACCCCGTCTCTAATAAGAATACAAAAAATTAGCCGGGTGTTGCGGCGCACGCCTGTAATCCCAGCTACTCAGGAGGCTGAGGCAGGAGGATCACTTGAACCTGGGTGGCGAAGGTTGCAGTGAGCTGAGATCACGTCACTGCACTCCATCCTGGGCAAACAGAGTGAGAGTCTGTCTCTGTCTCAAAAAGAAAGTGTCAGGCGTCTGAGCCCAAGCTAAGCCATCATATCCCCTGTGACCTGCACATATACATCCAGACGGCCTGAAGTAACTGAAGAATCACAAAAGAAGTGAAATTTAAATGGTCTGTTCCTACCTTAACTGATGACATTCCACCACAAAAGAAGTGAAAATGGCCGGTCCTTGCCTTAACTGACGACATTACCTTGTGAAATTCCTTCTCCTGGCTCATCCTGGCTCAAAAAGCTCCCCCACTGAGCACCTTGTGACCCCCACTCCTGCCCGCCAGAGAACCCCCCTTTGACTGTAATTTTTCCTTTACCTACCCCTATCTTATAAAACGGCCCCACCCATATCTCCCTTGGCTGACTCTCTTTTTGGACTTAGCCCGCCTGCACCCAGGTGAAATAAACAGCCTTGTTGCTCACTCAAAGCCTGTTTGGTGGTCTCTTCACTCGGATGCGAGAGAAAAGAAAGGAAAGAAAGGAAAGAAAAAGAAAAGAAAGAAAGAAAGAAAGAAAAGAGAAAGAAAGAAAGAAAGAAAAAGAAAGAAAGAGAGAAAGAAAGAAAGAAAGAAAGAAAGAAAGAAAGAAAGAAAGAAAGAAAGAAAGAAAGACAGACAGACAGACAGACAGACAGACAGGCCAGGCGCGGTGGCTCACGCCTGTAATCCCAGCACTTTGGGAGGCCGAGGCAGGCGGATCATGAGGTCAGGAGATCGAGACCATCCTGGCTAACACGGTGAAACCCCATCTCTACTAAAAATACAAAAAATTAGCCTGGCGCGGTGGCGGGCACCTGTAGTCCCAGCTACTTGGGAGGCTGAGGCAGGAGAATGGCGTGAACCCAGGAGGCAGAGCTTGCAGTGAGCCAAGATGGCGCCACTGCACTCTAGCTTGGGCAACAGAGCGAAACCCTGTCTCAAAAAAAAAAAAATTAAGAAAGAATATATATAATATATATGAAATATATATATGGAAAAATATATATATGAAATATATATATGGAAAAATATATATGTGGAAAATATATATTTCCTTGTATATATATATTTTCCTTGTATATATATATTTCATATATGTGTATGTGTGTATATATATATATATGGGAAAAGAGTGACCTATCCAACTAACACATGCAAGTAGCAGGGCTGAGGTTTCCTGCTCTGAACACTGTTTTCAGCTCTTAAATACTTTGGATGGTTCTGGGACCTTAAAACATAGACACTGCCCTCATCATACCCCATCTGCACCACCTTTTTATGCCTCCACCTGTGTCCCCAAGCATACCTGGCACTAAGGAGTTAGTAAGGCAGGTGCCAATGGCCAGTACTAAGAATGGTGAAATCATGGTGCACCCCAAGACCTGCTTTATCCCTGGAGCCCAGAGATGCAATCGACGTGGGTGGGAGGGGGTGGGCTGGCAGTGGTCAGATGTTAACTGATGTTCCAATCCTAGAAATTAAAAAAAGAGAAAAAGAGGCATGTGGGGCACAGCTCTAGAGATCCTTTTTCACTCACTTATTCATTCCTTGATTCATTCAACAAGTATTCGGTGAGCACCTATTACAGACCAGGCATGGGGCTCAACATTGGGATGCCAAACCCAGCTGGTCCCTGTCTCAGGAAGCTTAACCACACAAACAGCTGTGTCAGTGTCAATGAGTTCCATGCTGCAAAGCAGTTCCGTCCCATTTCCTAAGTGAATTTCCACTTTCAATTCATCTGAAGCCCCCTACCTCCCAGAGTCCAATCTTTTGGTGCAGTGTTTCTCAAACTGTAAGGAGAGCAAGCATCTGAATCCCCCAAGGGCTTGTTACAACAGATTCCCGGCCCACTGGTGAGGCTCCGATTGTATTTCTAATAAGCTCCCAGGAGAAGCTGCTGCTTTGCTGCTTTGCGGACCACACCTTGAGAAGCCCTGTTCTACAGCACTCGGTCTTCAGCCTTTTAATTACCTGTGTCCCAGGAACATCAGGGACAAAACAGAGTGCACCCCTTCTTTCAGGACCCCTACATTTGCTACATTCTCTTCTAGAGCTTGTCGTTTATGGTAAGAGATATAAAAATGGTAGGAGTCACATATGTGAAAAAACTGGCTGGTAAGTGTGGCCATTTCTGGGTGGTGACATCACAGACAACTGATTTTTCTTTTCCATTGTCTTTTCTGCATTTCCAAAATTTTCTTTTGTGCTGAGATACAGTATTATCTTTACAATTTTTAAAAAATATATATATATTTAAAGTCGGATGTAATTGAAGAGTTTAGGTGGAAAAAAAAACTGGAAGGAAATACACCAAAACATTAACTGTGGTTTTCTCTGGGTGGTAGGACTATGAATGATTATTTCCTCTTTATTTTTTTGAATTTTCCAAGTAGCCTAAAACAAGCATGTATTAATGGCATAAGAATGTTTTTACACTGTGGTCTTCCTGTTAAATCACAAAGAACAACCCCACTGGCAGCTGAGAAATGTACTAACCCTGTTGCACATGAGTTACAAGACAAAGAATTTTAAGTGGCAAGAGTTTCACTGGGAAATGTTATTGCTTCAGCCAAAACCAAGATATGACACCATTTGTTGTGGGAAACAGCAGTAATACACACTCTACCGTTAGAAAAGTGTTGTGACAGATAAGACACCACTCTAGTCCAATTATTATATGTTAAGTAAAAACAAAATAAAACATTTTTTAAAAGTTGTTTAAAGAAAAAAAGCCAGGCATGGTGGTAACATGCCTGTAATCCCAGCTACTTGGGAAGCTGAGGCTGGAGGAAGTTCGCTTCAGGCCTGGAGTTGGAGACCAGCCTGGGCAACACAGCGAGACCCTGTCTCTAAGAAAAATTTTTGTATTTTAATTTTTTAAAAGTTTCTTTTCTTTTTAAAAATTCTTCTCTTTGCAGCTCCAGCTCAAAGGAAAAAGATTTTTTCTTTTTCTTTTTTTTTTTTTTGAGACGGAGTTTTGTTCTTGTTGCCCAGGCTGGAGTGCAATGGCACAACCTCGGCTCACTGCAACCTCCGCCCCCCGGGTTCAAGCAATTTTCCTGCCTCAGCCTCCCGAGTGGCTGGGATTACAGGCTTGCGCCACCATGCCCGGCCAATTTTGTATTTTTAGTAGAGATGGGGTCCATGTTGGTCAGGCTGGTCTCGAACTCCCGACCTCAGGTGATCTGCCCACCTTGGCCTCCCAAAGTGCTGGGATTACAGGTGTGAGCTGCCGCGCCCATCCAAGATTTTTTTTTTTAATTTAAAAATAGAGAAAAAGAAAAGGAGAAAAGGAAGGAGGGAGGGGAGGGGAGGGGAGGGAGGAAAGGGAAGGGGAGGAAAGGGAAGGGAAGGGAAGGGAGAAAAAGAAACCACTACCACCAGAAGAAGGATCTTGATTCAACCTTAAAAACACGCAAATGGCCGGGCGCGGTGGCTCACGCCTGTAATCCCAGCACTTTGGGAGGCCGAGGCGGGCGGATCACGAAGTCAGGAGATCGAGACCATCCTGGCTAACACAGTGAAACCCCGTCTCTACTAAAAATACAAAAAATTAGCCGGGAGAGGTAGCGGGCGCCTGTAGTCCCAGCTACTCAGGAGGCTGAGGCAGGAGAATGGCGTGAACCCGGGAGGCGGAGCTTGCAGTGAGCCGAGATCGCGCCACTGCACTCCAGCCTGGGCGACAGCGAGACTCTGTCTCAAAAAAAAAAAAAAAAAAAAAAAAAACCACGCAAGCTGCGCTCCAGTGCCAGAAGTGACGGCTCTGGGGTAGGGGCTGGGGGTAGCGGCGCAGAGTGGAAATTAAAAGGCAATATCCCACATCTAACATCTAACAACACTTAACTGTGAGTGGTAGAATTTGGAATTTCAGATGATTCCTACATTTTTTTTTTTGTTCTACTTTACGGTTTCCAAATATTTCTATAGCAAATCCTAAAATCAGAAAAATGTTATTAACTGAATACGAAATACTAATTCATTAAACTATTATTTAAAATCACTTAAAAATGAAGTCACCTCTTTCAGGAAGGCTCCAGGATGGTCACTCACTCATTCCAATATAACACCACTGAGCTTCATGCCACCTCAAACATCGCATGTACCTCTCTTTTTGAAGGTAATATAGTTCTTTCCTGGGCCATCTCAGCTGCCACACCGGGAGTTTCTAAGTGTGAGGACTTTGTCTTGTTTGTCTCTGCCCTCCTAGTGCTTGGCATAGTAAATATTTACATCAGTTGAAAGCCAGTGCCCTAAGGAAGGTTGTGGGGGGAAGGGAAGAGCCATCCAAAATTATCTTCTCTGTGTGTGCAGGAAAGTCCAAGAGTTCGTGAAGATGTTTAACTACCGGAAGGTCCGCTCGCCGTTGGTGGAGTGCAGACAGGCACAGCGCATGGGAAAACCGGCAGGATCTACCGAAGCTGATCATCCTACCTGTACCCTGGGACCCGTTTCTCTCCAGCAGAATGTGCACATCAGCCCTGTTTATAATGGCTTCAAAACTGCCTCCATCTACGGCAGGCTGGATAATACATTGTGTGTGTTCACAACACAGAAACCACCACAGACAGCAAGGAGAATGGATGATCCACAGCTCCTCACAACAACATGAATGAATCGCACAAGGTAAGCTTGAGCAAAGGAAGCTAAACCCAAGAGCACTTACAGTGTGATTCCGATGACAGAAAGTATAAAAACTAACCCAGGGCGTTGGGAGACAGAACGGAGGCTCCACGTGGAGGGTACGGAAACGGGAACGGGCTGCTGGGGTGCTGGTGCGGTTCGGTTTATGATTGATCTGGGTGGGTGGGTGCTGGTTACACGGTGGGTTCAGCTGTCAATGTATGATACACACATTTTTCTCTACGTGCATTTTATTTCAATAAAATAAATACTACTCTTTGGGAGCTTACATGAACAATCTATAAAGGATACTGACAAAATGAAAGCAAGTCTATGTGCTGCACTCCATAGTTCATAAAGAATTTCACCATGATGTTTCACTAATCAGCTATGCAGTGGACAGAAAAGGACCTATCATCTCCTTTTACAGATGAGAAAACCAAGGCTCTGGACGGAGACTTGCCCAAGGTTACCAACAGGAAGTTGCAGAGCAGAAACCTGACCACAGGGCTCCTGATTCCAGAATTAGCAATCAGGTTACCATCAGTCACCCCCTCCAGAGGGAGGGATTTCTGTTGCCCCCAAGTGTAAAATGAGTGTTCTGACGTTTGACACATGGATAGATTTATGTAACCACCACCGCCACCGTCAGGACCCAGAACAGCTCTGCCACCCCAAAAATCTCTCTTGCGTTCTTTATAGTTACACAATCCCCCCATCCCTAAACCTGGCGATCCCTGATCTGTCCTCCACCACTGTGTTTTTGATAGGTATGGTATTAAATCCACAGATCAATGTGGGAGGGTTTACGTCTATACCACATGGAGTTGCCCAGTCATGAAGACACCACGTCTCTCCACTCATTCAGTCAGAGTTCTTCGGTTTTATCAGCACTCTGTAGTCTTCAGCCTGTAGATCTTGGATATGTTTTCTTAGATTTATACCTACGGGTTCCATCGTGTAATGGTTAGCATTCTGGACTCTGAATCCAGATTTATACCTAAGAATTTTGCTTTTTGGGGAACTATTGTAAATGGCAATGTTTCTGAGCCATATACTACCGAGCCAAGTGCGATGGCTCACACCTGTAATCCCAGCACTTTGAGAGGCTGAGGCGGGTGGATCCCTTAAGGTCAGGTGTTTGAGACCAGCCTGGCCAACATGGTGAAACTCTCTCTACAAAAATTAGCTGGGCATGGTGGTGTGCACCTGTAGTCCCAGCTACCTGAGAGGCTGAGGCAGGAGAATCACTTGAACCCAGGAAGCAGAGTTTGCAGTGAGCTGAGATCGCATCACTGCAGTCCAGCCTGGGCAACAGAGTGAGACTCCATCTCAGAAAAAAAAAAAAAAGAAAAAGAAAAAAGCATTCAGCCTTTCGGCGTTTGGGGTGGTCTTTTGAGGCGTGAGGTGGAGACAATCAGGAACTTGTTTTTGGATATGTTGAGTTGGAGATGTCTTTTAGAAGTGGAGACACTAAGGAGGCAGCTGAATATTTGGCTCTGGCATTTGAAAAAGAAGTCTGGGTTAGAGTATAAATTTGGGAATCATAGGCACAGGGGTGGCAGTTAACACCCTGATCAAACTTGACGTGCTCACCTAGGGAGAGGGAATGGGGTCACAGAAAACGATGTGACAGAAGCCCTCAGCAAACCAGGTATTGAAAAGAATTTCCTTAATCTGATAAAGGCTTTATGCCAAGAACCTGCAGAAACCATCATACTCGCTGGAGAAAGCTTTGGCAAACTCCTTTTAACACTGGCTTATGATGGTGAGGAGCCGGGGCAGTCTCGTCCACAACTAGGGAAATGAATTAGTAAGGAGTGGTGGAGGCAATGTCTGCGTGGCAGTGGTATTAAAACTAGATGTCCAAACAGCAGCGTGGTGGGGTCTAAAGGCAGAGGACTGAGTGATGAATGTAAAGAATCAAACGCAGTGTATGTAAGTGCAAACCACCCCCACGGACAGAATGCTGTGTAACGTACAAGGACACTTACAACTCCAAGGCCATATTAAGTACATTAGCATAGGGACTTCGGTGAGCTGTGGGAATGGCAGTGGGGAGGCAGGGAGCAGGGACAAAGGAAAAAATGAATAAACAAAACAAGAACTGAGAGCTTATTTGGGTATGTCATGTGCTAAGTGAGATAACGTATCCCACTCTCTCTGCACTGAGGGTCCAAAACAGGTGAGCGAATAAAGAAAAATAAAAGTGTAGTGACCCGGGAGCACTGAAAGGCTCATCCAGCCCCACATGATTATTCTTCCGGTTATTGGTCTGTCTCTCCTCCCTGCTAGCCTGAAGCTCTGTGAACGTAAAGACCAACATCTTACCCATCTCTGCATCCCGAGCCCTTGCACATGGTAGCAGTTCCATAAGTGCCACCAGTTCAGGCTGGGATGCTCTGAATTTTGGCCCCAGGGATAGGCATTGAGATAGGCTTGGCCTGGAGGCAGGTGCCTTCTCCCATAGCCTCCGCTCAGGACAAGGAGAGGGTGGGGACCTGGGAAAGCCTTCAGAACCCAGAGCCTCCCTGCTGGCCCCACCCCTAGGACCCCTCCCCCTCGCAGAGGCTCCTGGCTGCTCTGTGGCAGCCCTGGAAGCGGAGGGGCCCAGTTTGGGGCTGTGGGGGCCCCGGCTGCCCACCACCCTCTGCCAATGTCTGCCAGCTTAAAATGGGGCCTCCGGGTGTGTGTCAGCCCCATCGCCACCCCCTCCCTCCCTTCTCTGCCAGGCTCCCGGCTCCTCCGTAGCCTGATTACGCATGGCCAGTGCAGAAGCCCCGGCTAGGCTGTGGCGCCAGAGGAGCAGCTACTTGGCAGTTCAGTGCAGGGGGCTGAGGAGCCAGGCAGGCCTTAGCTCTGAGGACTGATTCAGCAACCCAGGCAGAGGGCCCGGGAGCATCCTGGAGTGGGGCAAAAAGCCAGCCTTGGGCTGGGTCTCAGAAGATCTGGGGCAAATGATAGAAGAATGGGACAAACGTGTCACTACCATTTCTTAGGCCCTCATGTTCCACTCAGCCCCATGCTGTTTACATCCCTGATCTCACAATATGGATGAAGAGCCCCCGTTTTGTAGCTTAGGAAACCCAACAGAGGGTTTGGCTAGTCTTCGACTATGCGCCATTTAAGCCCAGGCTGACGCCAGGGCTCAACCTCTCCGGGCCTTGGTTTCCCCACCATGAAGAGTAAGAGAAATGAGTGCCCCGCTTGCTCCATCTCACGAGAACAAATGGAAGCTGAACGAGCTTAGGGCAGGGAATTTGGCGGGATGCAGGGGGAGTCAGGCCAGCTGAGTTCCCCTACCTGAGCGGCCTGGCCAGGCGGCAAGTGAAGAAACAAAGGAGGCCCAGGATCAGCCCCAGGAGGAGGAGGCTGAGGGCCACCGTGAGGACCACATCCAGGATGGGGGACAGGAGGGCCATCTTGGGGCAAAGAGGGCCCCTGGGAGCAGCCACCACGCCCTGCACACACTCGGTCACACTAGCTCCAAAGCCCTGGGTCAGTGGCCGTGACCCGCTTTATCCCTGGGTTAATCTTTGTGGATTAGTCAGAAGGGATGAAACGGGGTGCTGGGGTGGGAGGGGGAGCAGGCTACGAAGCTCCTCTCTCCCATTTGAGCCCCGGGGGAGGGCCCGATGCTTGTTCATTCAACTTTGTTCATTCATTCCTCACTCCCAAACACCTACAGAGCACCTGCTGAGTATCTCTGTGCTAGGTTCTATGGAAACAGTCGGGAACGGGACAGAGTTTCTGTCAGCTTGGAGGTAACTGACCAGCCAGTGTGGACAAAGCACCTACTGTATGCTAGACATTGTGCCAGGTGCCCTGTGGGGCAAAAACATGGAAGGGAACCCCTTGGCTAGTAACACAGTAGGTTTTCCCCTAACAGCAGCAGCTGTTCCAGCCCATCTATGGGCCTAGAAATCTGAGTTGGTGCTTACCCCAGCCAGAGGGATGCACCCATGCTCAGAAGAAGACGAACTGCTCTTATTGAGCACCAACTGTGTACCAGGCCCCATCTGGGCTAGGGACTAGTATCCCCATTTGCAGAGAAACAGAGGCTCAGAGGTGCAATGGTGGAGTTGGGATTTAAGCCCAAATCTGGGGGTCTCCACGGCCCGTACCTCAGAACTGAGATAGCAGCAGCCTACGGAGGCTTTAGTGAAGCCCTGCCAGGCGCTGGCCTAAAGCCAGCAGTCACCCAGGAGGCAGCACACACAGGCTGGAGGTGGACGAGCTGTTGCCAGCACGGAGGGGCCTTTTCTGCTTCCAAAATTGTCTCCCCAACCCAGATCCAATCTCTCCTAAAACATCCTGTGAAGTCAGGAGAGTGGTTATGATTCCCATCTCACAGATTCAGAAACGGCCCAGAGAGGTCAAGCCACTTGGATATGCACAGCTGTGCACCATTAGACCAGGCCTTTTCTGATCACACTTCCTGTCTCCTGGTACACCTCAGATCCCATGGTCCAAAATACCCAAGGTCAGGAGGAGACACTTTTACCCTCTTGGTGCCAAGGAAAGTCCCCTCTTCTTGACCCCAGAAAGGCCACTGACCTCACCATAACAGGAAAACTAATCTCGTTACTCCATTACGCCCTTTTCTTTCTCAACATTCCCGTAACTCAAATTGCGTCAGATCCTCACAACATCCTAGTGATACTGGCAGGGTGGGGATTATTAGCCCTATTGATAAAAGAAAAACTTCAGCTGAATTAAATTTAAAAGAATTGCCTGCAATCCCAGCACTTTGGGAGGCTGAGGTGGGTGGATCACGAGGTCAGGAAATCGAGACCATCCTGGCCAACATGATGAAACCCCGTGTCTACTAAAAATACAAAAATTAGCTGGGCATGGTGGTGTGTGCCTATAATCCCAGCTACTCGGGAGGCTGAGGCAGGATAATCGCTTGAACTAGAGAGTTAGAGGTTGCAGTGAGCTGAGATCGTGCCACTGTACTCCAGCCTGGCAACAGAGCGAGACTCTGTCTCAAAATAAAATAAAATAAAATATAAAAAAATAAATTTAAAAGAGTTTAATTGAGCAATGAACGATCTGCAAATTAGGCAGCCTCCTGAGCCGGAGTAGGAACCAGCGCAGCCACTTAGTAGAAGAAGATTTATGAACAGAAAAGGAAAGTGAGGTGCAGTCAGATTGGTTACAGCTTAGCACTTGTCATTTGAACACGGTTTGAACAGTTGGCGACATTTGATTGGCTAAAACTTGGTAATTGGTGGCTGGGCATGGTGGCTCACTCCTGTAATCCCAGCACTTTGGGAGGCTGAGGAGGGTGGATCACCTGAGGTCAGGAGTTCGAGACCGGCCTGGCCAACATGATGAAACCCTGTCTCTACTAAAAATACAAAAATTAGCTGGGCATGGTGGCAGGCGCCTGTAATCCTAGCTACTTGGGTGGCTGAGGCAGGAGAATCGCTTGAACCCGGGTGGCGGAGGTTGTAGTGAGCTGAGATTACAATGCTGTACTCCAGCCTGGGCGACAGAGTGAGACTCTGTCTTAAAAAAAAACAAAAACAAAAACAAAAACAAAAAAACCCCCAAAACTTGGTGATTGGCACAAGTGTAGGCTATAGTCTGTTTACACCTCTATTTCTTATAGTTTACAATGTAGAGAAACTGCTAGGCTGAACTTAAAATATGTAAGAAGGCAGCATTAGGCTAGATTTGATTTAATAATTCCCTTCTTTTAGTTATTTTTTAAATTTTGAGACATTGACCAAAACGAGTCACTGATGTCACTATCACCATTGTAAATGTACTTATTTGGTCTCGAAACCCACTGGGAAACAGTAGGACAGTGGGTTTTGTAAGGTGGGAATAAAGACTTTAGGTTATTTTTTTTAAGGGTTAGAGGGTATTTTTTTTAATGTTGGAATGTCCTGTTTACAAGAAAAAAAAACAAAACAAAACCTGGTTTTAGCATTTATGTGTTCTTTTTAAAGTTTTAGTTTGATGATATCACATTTAGCACAAGTGACTCTATTTAGGTTTCGTCTGGTCTCTTGGGGCCTAGTGTATGCATTTAGTCCAAAACAACAGCCTCTCATAATTTTGTTTTTGTTTTGAGACAGTTTCACTTTGTCGCCCAGGCTGGCATGCAGTGGCACGGTCTTAGCTCACTGCAACCTCCGCCTTCCAGGTTCAAGCAATTCTCGTGCCTCAGCCTCCTGAGTAGCTGGGACTACAGGCGCATGCCACCATGCCCAGCTGATTTTTTTGTATTTTTTAGTAGAGACGGGGTTTCACCATGTTGCCCAGGCTATTCTTGAACTCCTGAGCTCAGGCAATCCACATGCCTCGGCCTCCCAAAGTGCTAGGATTACAGGTGTGAGCTACCACGCCCAGCTCATAATTTTGTTTTAAAATTCCCCCTTTTTGGTCAGGTTCTCACTTAGGTGAGAGTGTGACCCAAACTTAGGGCCTTAGCACCACTCTCAGTCACCACATTTTGAAACCAAGGCCTAGCAATGAAGTCACTGGGTGAGCTGTCACACAGCCAGCAAATCTGATCCAAGCCCAAGCTCCACCACTTCCCAGGTGTGTGTTGCTGGGTCAGTCCCTGCACCTCCGAAACTGTTTCCTTTGGCGTCTAACATTGGTTTCCCATTCAAGAACTACGGTGCACCAGGTGCTGACTGTGACACACCTGACCTGCTGTGTCCTCATTAACAACCCTGAGAGTGAGACAGAGCTGTCCCCCTTTACAGGTGAGAAAATGGAGGTCCACTTGGCCATGGTGAAGAGGTCACATCGATGGCAGGTACTGGGCCAGGCCCTGCACAGGCCTCCATGTGGGACCTACCCAGGGACACCCCTGTGCCAAGCTCTCTCCACCTCAGCTCAGCCGGGGGCCTTCCCCATCCAAGCCCACCCAGCTCCCAGGCCTGCTCCAAGGACACCCTCCAAGGCTCTACCAAGCAGCCTAATAAACTGATGTGCCTCCAGGGAGCATCAGCTGGTATGCCCCAGCTTGTACCTGGCAGGACTCACAGGGTCAGGTATTTGCCCTTAGGGAGCCCCCGGTCTAGAGCACGCAGCCCCAGACTGTCCAGGCTGGGAAGGTCTTTTGCGATTTCCCAAATGCCCCGAGCCACAAAAATCACTTGAGGTGCTTATGGAAAAAGTCTTATTCCCAAGTGGTTACCTTGGGAGGAGGATTGACTAGGCGGTGCATGAAGGAACTTCCTGGGGCAATGGAAATGTTTTGTTTTGTTTTTTTTCAGATGGAGTTTCACTCTTGTCGCCAAGGCTGTAGTGCAATGGCGTGATCTCGGCTCATGGCAACCTCCACCTCCCAGGTTCAAGTGATTCTCATGCCTCAGGCTCCCGAGTAGCTGGGATTACAGTGTTTCTGCCCGGCCGGTCTTTATCATGACCTGAGAAGTAGTTAAACGTGTGTATATTTGTGAAAAGTTGTCGAGGGGCTAATCGTCCCTACCCTGTCTATATCGTGAGGTTTTTGGGGAGGAGCTGATGAGATTTCAATAAAGGGAGTGTTGGGGAAAAAAAGGGTTTAGTGGAGGGATGTGACTATATGCAAGTTTAAAAGGACAGATTAGAAAGACATAACAGCCCCCTAAATAAATTCCTACTTCTCCTATTCCAGACCTACTCGGTCAGAATCTCCCAGGTCAGGGCCTGGGAAGCTGTTTTTTTATTTTTTGTTTTGAGACAGGGTCTTACTCTGTCGCCCAGGCTGGAGTGCAGTGGCACGATCATAGTTCACTGCAGCCTTAAGCGATCCTCCTGCCTCAGCCTCCCAAGTAGCTGGGACTACAGGCACACATTACCACATTTGGTTAATGTTTACATTTTTAAAATAGAGGTGGGGTCTCACTATGCTGCCCAGGCTAGTCTCGAACTCCTGGGTTCAAGTGATCCTCCTGCCTCAGCCTCCCAAAATGCTTGGATTACAGGTATAAGCCGCTGTGCCCAGCTGGAAGCTGTATTTTTTTGGTGGGGGGATTGGGGGGATGGAGTCTTGCTCTGTCACCCAAGCTGGAGTGCAGTAGCGCAATCTCGGCTCACTGCAACCTCCGCCTTCAGAGTTCAAGCGATTCTCATGCCTTAGCCTCCCTAGTAGCTGGGATTGCAGGCCCACCACCATGCCCGGCTAATTTTTGTTTTTAGTAGAGACAGGGTTTCACCATGTTGGCCAGGCTGATCTTGAACTCCTGGCCTCACGTGATCCGCCCGCCTCGGCCTCCCAAAGCACCGGGATTACAGGCGTGAGCCACTGCGCCTGGCTGGAAGCTATATTTTTAACAAGTCATTTTCTGAGCAGATTCATTTGGGAAACTTTGTCTTAGAGATCATCCCATTGTCCAAATGGGAAGACTGAGGCCTAAAGAGGAGGAAAGCCTTGCCCGGTGAGAGGAACCACTATAAGCAGACCCTGCATCTCTCAGCTGCTCCCCACCAGAGGCACACATAGGGAACTGAGTCAGCTTGGAGCCAGCATCCCCTAGCCTGTCAGCTGGGCCTTCTGGGCTCTTCCAAGGAGCTGTGGCTAGAGAGGAGTGCTGAGTTGCCCTTGTGTCCCTGGTGGGCATGAGGAATGAGGCAGGGGCTGGGGGGCACCTGCATAGCTGCCTAGGGAGGGAGCCCTGCTGAAGACCAGCCCAGTAACATTTCAGCTGCAGAGTCATAGGGAAGGGACATGGAATTCCTCTCTCCGCCAAGCCCAGCATCTCTGGCAAGCCTTGCTGGCCAGGACTGTATTCATTACTGGAGGAAGTTATTTATGGCTGTCATGAAGAGCTGGATGAAGTGCTTGCGCAGGAATGTGTGGTGGTTTCAGAGTGGGCTGCAGGTCAGATCCAAGGAAGGACTTCCCTAGAGGGCAGTGGGCCAGTGCTGGGGATTATAGTAAGGCTCAGACTTCTAGCCATTGACAGCACCCCATCCTGGCAGGAAACAGACGTGGAAGTACCCCAGAGGCCTGGTGCCAAGCCACTGCATCTTTAGGGCTTTGATGAGAACCCAGCTGTCCCCTGAGCGCTCCCAGCCTCAACACCTCTGCACTCTGTGCTTCCCAGACTAGAATGTCCCATGCTGTCCAACCAATGAATCCCTCCCCCTGCCCTCTCCCTACCCTACCCCAGCCCAGACAGCAGTTTCGGCTCCTCCCCAAGCTCCCAGCACCCAGTGCCATGA
The DNA here is from genome assembly GCF_000001405.40 of Homo sapiens. Classification (NCBI taxonomy): domain Eukaryota; kingdom Metazoa; phylum Chordata; class Mammalia; order Primates; family Hominidae; genus Homo; species Homo sapiens. The sequence goes on along the minus strand of NC_000001.11, from coordinate 21,541,651 downwards.
AGCCCTTGGTGAAATTAATCAGAGCCTTAGAGAATCATAGGTTGTCACCCTCTCACCGTGGTGAGCTCCTAGGGAGCTGGAATCCTGCTCTGCTGATGGCAGCAGCCCCGTGGCTGGCAGAGGCCGGCACAGGCCGGGTGGCCAGGGAATGTCGCTAGGTGGAAGGATGATGGGGTCAGAGGGTGGGTGGCTGAAGAGACAGCTCAGCAGCAGTGAAGATGGATGCTGGAGCCAGGCTGCCTGGATTCTGATCCTGCCTCTGCCCCTCACCAGCTGGGCAGCTCAGAGCAGGTGACCTCACCCCTCCACACCTAATAGAAGCCACTGCGTTGTTGTAAGGATGCCTTCATACACACAAGGGTGTAAAACGGAGGCTGGGATGTGGTAGGTGCTGAGTGAATGTCAGTCAGGAGCTAGGGTTATGGGGAGGGGGAGCAAATGAGGTGGATGGACTGCGGGGCAGAGATGGGCAAGTGGGGCAGATGAGGGGCTGGAGCAGAGAACGGATGGACCCTTCCCCGCCCACTCGATCAAGCCACCATATGCTTTGGGATTTCCCAGAGACCTGTTCACCTGGATGGCTGCAGACAGTCCTTCCAGCTCTGAGACTCTAGAACCCAGAAGCTCACCTGCCTGCTGAGTACTTTCCCTTCAAAGGGCCTGTTCTTAAGCGGCAGAGGTCCTATTCTTACAGTCAAAGGGCTCCCATCTCCAAAGAGAACCAGATCTCTCTCTCCCTCACACACTCACTTGGGAAGAAAGGAGTAACCTGCCAGGTAGCCTGACACTTCCTTTCCATCTTGAAGGGGAGAGAGAGAAAGTCTAGGACAGGGTATGGGCCAGAAGTGTCCGTGGGGGTGGGTCGAGCACCAGGCTGGAAGGATGATGGGGTTGAGATGAGCAGAGAGAGAGAGAGGACACTCCCAACAGGACCTGAGTGTTTAAAGGCAAGGAGGCAGGAATGTGTGGAGTTTGGGGTTCAGGGAGAAAGGCACGAGCAGGCGGCTTGCATTCAGGACAGAGGGGCAGCCTGGACCCACCACAAAGGGCTCTGCTCCCCAAGCACGGCCTGGTGGAGAGCAGGCCCTCTGCATGCCTCATCTCACTACATGCCCCATTGCCAGCTCCATTTTACAGGTGAGGAGGGTGAGGCTCTGACTGTCACTTACTCAAGGCCACACAGCAGAGCTGGAATCAGAAACCCTGAGGGTCTGGGTTCAGAGAAGCCAAAGCTTCTCTGGGGGTCCCTGAGGCTCCAGGACGGTCATGATGCCCCAAACCAACTCTGTGGGCAGAGGACTGAAGCCAGAGGACTAGTGGCAGGAGAGAAGCAGCAGGGAGGCGCAGTAGGGAGATCGCAGGGGAGGGAGATAGCAGGGCCCAGAGACACCATGCCTGGGGCCTGCAGTGCCCAGGCAGGGGTCGGGGGCGGAGCATGGCTGCTTTGCAGGCACACAGCCTTCTGCCATGCCATGGAAAGGACATGTTCTGCCCCAGGCCACCTCACTCTGTGCCAAGCCTAGATGCCAAGTACAGAAAGCGGTGGGGGAGGGTGGCGCACGCACTACATCTGCGGTGTTCGCCAACCACCTCCTCCAGCACTTCCCTCAGCCCTCTGCAGGGGGAGCCTCCCTGGTACTAGGAGACATGGCCGGCCCATCCTTGCTCTCACAAACAACAAGAAAAGGAAGGCACAGGCCGGGCGCGGTGGCTCAAGCCTGTAATCCCAGCACTTTGGGAGGCAGAGGTGGGCAGATCACGAGGTCAGGAGATCGAGACCATCCTGACTAACACGGTGAAACCCTGTCTCTACTAAAAATATACAAAAAATTAGCTGGGCTGGGTGGCGGGCACCTGTAGTCCCAGCTACTCGGGAGGCTGAGGCAGGAGAATGGTGTGAACTCGGGAGGTGGAGCTTGCAATGAGCTGTGATCGTGCCACTGCACTCCAGCCTGGGTGACAGAGTGAGACTCCATCTCAAAAAAAAAAAAAAAAGGAAAAAGAAAAGGAAGACACAGAGAGGGTACACAACCTCCCCAGTGTCACACAGCACATCAGGGGCAGGGATAGGTCTCCCCACTAACCAGCTGAGGATTTGGGGGGCAATTACTGGAAAGGCAAGGCAGTGTTCAAGGCGCAGCTTGGATGCCAATGTCTTGGACTTCCGTACATTAGTGATTTGCGGCAACTGATGAAAATATTTCAAACTGAGACTATTTTAGAAAAATCCTATTTTACATATTTTGTCATCGTATTCATAAGATTAATAATAACAAACCTTTTCATAGACCTTATTATGTGCCAGGCATTGTTCTAAACACTTTACCTATATTAACTCACTTGATCCCCACAACAACCTTCAAGGTAAGCACTATTATTATCCCCATTTTACAGATGACAAAACAGAAGCACAGAGAGATTAAGGAGCATGCCCAAGGTCACACAGCCAGTAAGTGAGCGAGCCAGAATTCAGCCTTACTTGGGGATGTTTCTGTCTCCCAGGACTAAGCATAAACTCCTCAAACAGGAGGCAAGACTGGAAACAAACCACCATTTGCCCTCTCTGCAATATGTACATTACACAGACACATTATACTTTTGCAGATGAAGGGATTGCGTGCAGCTGCTATTTGATTCACACTCACTACACTCTGTTCCCAAATGTTATTTCATTGTATCTGCACCACGGTTCCCAGTGGGAGGGCTTCCTATAATCATAACTTTACAGGAGAGGTGAGGTGACTTGCCAGAGGTCACACAGCAAGAGAATGTCACATCTAGGGTCCAAGTCTCTTCTGATCTTTGCACGGTATCTTGTAGCCAGCCCTGCAGTGCAACTCACTTGGGGCTTGCAGTGGCAGGGAGGGGAGGATCCCAGATTCAAGACCTGGCATTCAAGACCTGGCTCTGCCCCCGGCCAGGTGGGCGCACCCTGGCCACCCCCACCCATAATCCCCTCCTTCAACTCATCCTCAAGACAGGGCATTGGCCAATCCCGGCTCTCCCCACTCCCCTCCCCCTAGCAGAGGATGTGTCCATTGTGCAGATGGCCCCACGCAGGCCCTGTGAGAGGAGGCTGAGGAGGCGCCGGGCTGTGGGAAAAGGGACAATGAACTTGTAGCTTGCTGGGCAGCGGCCAGCACAAGCCGAATCCCTGGGTGGCGGGCGCAGAGGGCTCAGATCAGAGGAGGAAGGACGCGGGTGTTCCCAGAGACAGTGCTCAGGGCAGCTGGGCTCCAGATAACAGCGTTCCTCGCATTCCCAGAGGACGCTCCAGCCGGCCACAGAAGGCTCCGGTGGCTTTTGCGTTTGATCTCCGCGGCGACCTTGGGACATAGTAGGGCAGGGCTGACGCCGAGAGCCCCAGACAGGAAACTGGGGCCTATGGAGGTGAGGTCCCACCCAAGGGCATGCAGCTCAGCAGGCCCCCATTGACCTTGGGCACACCACCTCACCCGTCAAATGGGGACCATCCTGGTGAGAGCCTACGTCACTGGAGGAACAAGAATTCAGTGAGACAATAAACAAGGAGAGAAAGACCCAGGGCCTGGTACGCATTAAACAATAGGTGTTAGCCAGAAGTAACAGTGATCACGAGTGTGCCGGGCACTGCTCTAAGCACTTTACACGCAAAGCCATCTGGTCCTCACACCAACGCCCTCATTGCTCCCAGTGTACAGAAAAGTCAAGGAACTGGGCCAAGGTCACATAGCTACTAACAGGACCCAAAGAGGAAGAGGGAGAAACTCTATGGAGCAACTACTACGCGCCGGGGGCTTTTCACCCAGTCTTCGAATTCCAGTGAAGTGCAAATGATCAGCTCCGGCTCAGGAGGAAAAACCAAGGCTCAGAACAGGAGGGAGGTTCAGGGTCACAAAGCAACCACGTGGGAGCGCTGGGATTCAGGCCAGGTCCGTCCAGCTCCATGTCCAGTGTACGTGCCACCCCCATCTCAGTCACATGCCAGGACAACCTCGGTCACCAATGGCAGAGCTCGTGCCTCAGCCATCCCAGGCACAGGGAGCCCTGCCTCAGTGGGGCTGCATGAGCTCACTCTGCTGGGGTGTAGGGGGATGGCGGTGGGGGGGGTGGTTCTGGCAATGAGAGCTGCAGGAAGCCATGCCTGGCTGCTGCCCTGTGGCTGGTCCTCATGTCATGCTGCTCTCTCAGCTCCCTGTGTACTTTCCCGTGATCGCAGCTTCCTGGGGGCCTCTTGTATCTAGACAGAGTGCCCGCTCCACAAAGTGAGGGGCTTCAGTCACGTTGGCCTCTCCCTCCTGGGTCAGCTCCTCTGGGCTTATAATTTTGCACAGAGAGGCTGAGATCAGTGGGGGCAGCCCAGGGTTACAAGTCAGAGTCCTCGCTGAATATTCAAGGGCTGTTTCCTTGGCTGTAGAGCAGGGATAATAAACTCCATTCTGCCTCCAGTATCAGCGTCTTAGAAGGGAAGGAACCTGGCCGGGCACGGTGGCTCACGCCTTTAATCCCAGCATTTTGGGAGGCCGAGGCGGGCAGATCACAAGGTCAGGAGATCAAGACCATCCTGGCTAACACAGTGAAACCCTGTCTCTACTAAAAATACAAAAAATTAGCCAGGCGTGGTGGCGGGCGCCAATAATCCCAGCTACTCAGGAGGCTAAGGCAGGAGAATCGCTTGAACCTGGGAGGTGGAGGTTGTAGTGAGCCAAGATCGCGCCACTGCACTCCAGCCTGGGTGACAGAGCAAGACTCCGTCTCAAAAAAAAAAAAAAAAAAAAAAAGGGAAGGAACCTTGCAAATCAAAAGGTACAATGCAGAAGTTTCTACGGCTCTCCACTGCACTCCCTCTGGTGAGTGGAGTGGACATCTACTGTCATTTTTGGCCACCCAGAGTCTGTTTCCCCTTCCTAACAATACCACCAAGTTTCCTTGGGAAGTGACCCTCCCCCTTTCAGCCTGGTTTGGGTGGGACTGATCCCGCCTCCAGCTCCAGGTGGACCCTGACTGGCTCCAGCTGGAAGACTCTGTCTGCTTGCTGGGTTATGAGGGTGTGAAGTGGTGGGGAAGGGCACTTTGTATAGCCTGAAGAGGAAGCAACCTCTCAGAGATGGACTAGAGAAAGGTAGAGACCTTGAGTCTTTGATAGCATCACTTGGGCTCCTAGATGCAGCCATGCCTGAAGCCTTCCTCTGAACATCCTGGCTACATGAGCCAATTAATTTCCCCATTGTGCGTCTTGGCTTTTCTGTTACTTGGAACACAGAGTCTGACCTCAGAACTGCAGCTCAGCCAGTTTTTCTCAGCGCTTTAGATTGTGAGCAACCAAATCAGGTCATTCATATTCTGCCAGCTGTTTCTGCCAGAGGAAAAATCTTGCAAACAAGCTAAAGCTGACAAGTTTCAAGTATGTGGTAATGTAAGAGTCCAACTTCCTACAAGTCACTTTCTACTTGGAATCTATAAACTTCTAGAATTACAGAAAGTTTTGGGGCTGGACTTGTCTAATAGCCCTGCAGGACTCAGATCCTCACTTTCTGACAGGTTGTTGTCCATTGAAGTTTACAACCCTTTGACCACCAGGTTCCATGCATCTATTGTGTGCCAGCCCTGTGACAGGACTTGCAGGTACAAGCTCTGCCTTCCAGGCCCTTCAGTTTGGTAATGACTGGTTATAATTCACCTTTCTAGTAGGTTTTACACAAAAGGCCTCGGAGGGAGAATACCACTACACCCATTTCAGAGGAGAAAGTAGAGACTCAGCAAGGTGAAGTGACTTGCCCTAGGTCCCTCTGCTAAACAGGGGCAGGGCCAAGCCATGTCTCCAGATCTGCCTGGGCCCAGTGCTACTGCTTTTTCTCCTAGTCATTGGAGTGGAGTGGGCTGAGGCTATCATTTCTTTGAGAGTTTGTTCCACTCAGGAGCAGTCAGAGTGGTTTAAAAAGCTAAAGAAAACGAGAAAGCTAAGTGTCATGAGCTTCCTGTCTGCCTGAAGGTCTTGACTTCTTCAGAAGCCCCAGTATTTGGCCCATCCAGCTTCACTCTCCTTTCTTTTTTTTTTGAGACAGGGTCTTGCTCTGTCATTCAGGCTGAAGTGCAGTGACACGATCATAGCTCACTGCAGCCTCAACCTCCCGAGCTCAAACGATCCTCTTGCCTCAGCAAGAGACCAAGTAGCTGGGACCACCGGCGCACAGCACCACGTTCGGCTGGTGATTTTATTTTTAGTAGAGACAAGGTCTCGCTATGTTGCCCAGACTCTCAACCTCCTAAGCTCCAGCAATCCTCCTGCCTCAGCCTCCCAAAGTGCTGGGACTCCCGGGTGAGGCCCCACACCCAGCCAAACTTTCCTCTCCTATATGGCTCGCTGCTTGCAGGCTGTGGCCAGAGAGGAAACCAGCACTGCCCTGAAATCCAGACCCCAAATGCTTTCATGGGAGACCTCGTCACCCCAAGTGAGCTGTCCCAGCCTTTCTCAGGCGTCTGCCCTATGTCTCTAAGATCCAGCTGATCTTGACTAAACACCTTCTATGCCTAGGGCTTTCCCTATATGTTATTCAACCAACATTCGCTGGAACACTGTTTATTGAGCAGCCACAATATGCCAGGGGCTGTTCTAGGTGCTGAACATAACAGCCCAAATCCCTGTCAGTGTGGCAGGCAGACAACAAGGAAGTAAGTAAAAGCAATAGAACGCCAGGTGGCGGTAAGTACAGCGGGGAAAAAGAAGGCAGGGAGGAGGACAGGGAGGTTTGCAGTTTTAAATAGAAAGATCAGAGAAGGTCTCACCAAGAAATCATTTCACTGTGGCCTTGCAATGATCCCACACAGGCCAGAACGTGATTCCCAAATCACAGATAAGGAGGGATAGGGTTTCAGGATAACTCTCAAGTCCATGCATGTCAATACAACCAGCGCAACTGGATTCTTGCCCAGGGCCTCCTGTCTCCCTCGTGCCCTCTCCCCTAACTCTACCAAGGGGTACTAGCAGCCCTTTTGCAGAGGAAGAAACTGAAACCACAAACCCAGACCCTCAAGAGTACACCAGGGTGAGGGACAGCGGTGGGGGGCTAGAGTTCAGCCCCAGAGCTGCCCTCTGGGCCTATCTCTTGGCAAAGCCCACATCCACTACCCTAGGCTTCAGTCTGAAGCTTCAGCTCTGGGTTTGTTGAAACTCAATCCTCCTCTTCGCTGACTCCGTGTCCTCCCAGAATCCTCCTCCCTTTCCCAGAGCCCCTGTGGCTCTCTATCTCAGGTCTTATGAGCCCCAAATTGTCCAACCCACCTTTGTTCTGCCTCCTCAATTAACTTCTGGCTTATCACTAAGCCCACATTTGCATGAAACTACAAAAGGCATCTTGCATATGGCCAAGGGCGGACAGTCAGAATATACATGTAGGATCCAGGTGTGGTGGCTGACACGTGTAATCCCAGCACTTTGGGAGGCCAAGGCAGGAGGACTGCTTGAGCCCAGGATTTCAAGACCAGCCTGGGGAACATGGCGAAATCCTGTCTCTACAAAAATTAGCCAGGCATGGTGGCACACACCTGTAGGCCCAGCCACTCAGGAGGCTGAGACTGGAGGATCGCTTCAGCCCAGGAGGTCTAGGCTGCAGTGATCCGAGATTGCGCCACTGCACTCCAGCCTGGGAGACTTCTCACTGTGCTTTCCCATCTGCCTGTATTTGGTAATCTCCCAAGTCCCAGTCTAATCTTCTTCTTCTTCTTCTTCTTCTTCTTTTTTTTTTTTTGAGACAAGAGTTTTACTCTTGTCACCCAGGCCAGAGTGAAATGGCACGATCTCGGCTCACTGCAAACTCCACCTCCGAGGTTCAGGCGATTCTCCTGCCTCAGCCTCCCGAGTAGCCAGGATTACAGGCGCCCACGACCACACCTGGCTAATTTTTGTATTATTAGTAGAGATGGGCGGTTTCACCATGTTGGCCAGGCTGATCTCGAACTCCTGACCTCAGGTAATCCACCCACCTCAGCCTCCCAAAGTGCTGGGATTACAGGCGTGAGCCACCGTGCCCAGACCCAGTCTAATCTTCTGAATAGTGTGGCATGGTGGAAAGACCTTGGTCTTGTGGGAAGTGGACCTGGGGTTAAGTCCTGGCTGTGTAGCTTTGAAAGCAACTTTGGGGTTTCAGGTTCCTTATCCATAAAACAAGGTTGGTCATCCTCACCTTGCAGGGTTGTTTTACAGATAAAATGCAGTGGAGAGCATCCGTTAAAAGTTAAAATTCAACAGAGAGTGTATTTGGAAAGCAGAGCCCGGCAGATAATCATCAAGAATCTACCAAACTGAAAGGAGATGTCTGTATAGTGGTGAAACAACTGTCACCAGCAGAATGACAGCTGCATTCACTGTGCTCCTACACTTTGAGGTAGGTACTCTTAGTATCATTCACATTTTATGAAGAGGAAAAAAGCACAGAAAGGTTAAGTAACTTGCCTGAGGTCACACAGCAGACCTGCAGCAGAGCTGGGATTCTGAGCCCAAATTGTCCAACTCCAAACTACAAGCTCTTAACCCATATATTAGGGTAAGTAAACGGTGGCTTTCCATGTTGAAAGAACTGCTCCATGATACATAGCGTTAAGTGCTGACCCAGGAAGGGCTGGTGGGCAGCCCCACTCCAAAGCTTGTGCTCCCCACCATGGTATCACAACAAACTGAAAGGGACTCTAGGAATACTCTAACCCAACACCTTCATCTTTTTCTCCAAGAGAAGCCTGAGGTCCAGAGAGGTAGCATGACCTGCCCAAAGTCACACAGCCAATTAGTTGAAGAATCAGGACAGGCACCCTGGTGTCCTGACTCCAGAACCCTATGCCATCACTGAGTGTCACCTTGACCATGAGGCATGGTCAGGGAAGGAGTCTTGAGGATGTGCTGAAGTGTTTCAGCAGAAGTGGAGGGAAGGAAGTCTAAGCTGCTGGAACAGCCCATGCCAAGGTCCAGAAGCCGTGAACGTCTTTCCTGGAGAACAGGGAGCTGTAAGGTGCACGCAGAGGTTTGGGTGGGGCAGAGAATGAGGCTGCTTTCTCATATTGAATATTTGCTTTCAGCTCTTTTATTTTTTACACTCTCTCATTCTACTTTATGCTGCAAATGTTTTTCCTTATTTCTCTTGTTTCCTTATTTCTCATGTTTCTGATGTTTATTTAAAATATTGGTCTTGGGCTGGGCGCAGTAGCTCACGCCTGTAATCCCAGCACTTCAGGAGGCTGAGGCGGGCGGATCACATGAGGTCAGGAGTTCGAGATCAGCCTGGCCAACATGGTGAAACCCCATCTCTACAAAAATACAAAAATTAGCAGGGCATGATGGCAGGTGCCTGTAATCCCAGCTACTCGGGAGGCTCAGGTGGGAGAATCGCTTGAACCTGGGAGGCAGAGGTTGCAGCAAGCTGAGATCACACCATTGCACTCCAGCCTGGGTGACAAAGCAAGACTCCATTTCAAAAAATAAAAAATTAAAAAAAAAATCTTGGTCTTTTTATTCTAATACCACTGACTCTGGGTTGTCTCTAATCAGTTTATGGTTTTACTTTTGAATTCATTGTGCTCTGGCTGGTGGTGGGACAGGGGATTGGGGAATCCACACGCTCCTTGCCCCAACAGAGAGAGAAGACATATGGCTCCTGGGTCCTCCTTCTCAACATCAATCCCAAGTAACAACAGAACAAAATACCACTAAGCCTAGGCAACAATGGGGAAACAGAATCTCCTGGGAGATGGAAGAGAGTTTAAACTAGTGTGTGTAGGGTGGCGGGGAGGGGTTGCTGCAGCCAGGAGAAAAGGCAGGGCATGGTCTTTAGGGTGGAGAGAATATTACAGAAAAGAAAACAGGGTTTGAGTTCTCCTCTTGCCTCTCTGTTCCAAGCCCAGGCCCCCATACACACACCCACTGTCCTGGAACAACTAAGGTCAGAGCTGGGTGTGGGGTTGGAGTTCAGCCCCACAGCCACCCTCTGGACCTGCCTCCTGGCAAAGCCCACATCTGCTACCCTAGACCTCAGTCTCCAACTTCAGCTCTGGGCTTGTTGAAACTCCATCCTCCTCTCTGCTGACTCCGTGTCCTCCCAGAATCCTCCTCCCTTTCCCAGAGCCCCTTTGGCTCTCTATCCCAGGACATGTGAGCCCCAAATTGTCCAACCCACCTTTGTTCTGCCCCTCAATTAACTTATGGCTTATCACTAAGCCCACATTTTCATGAAACCCACAAAAAGTATCTTGCATAAAGCAGCCCAGGAGGATGGCACAAGTGTCTACTGAGATAAAGTCAAAGCATGGGCTGGGCCATAATTCCAGCACTTTGGGAGCCAAGGCAGGAGGCTCGCTTGAGCCCAGGACCTTGAGACAGCCTGGGCAACAAAGTGAGACCCTGTCTCTTACAAAAAAATCAAAAAATTGGCCGGGCGCCGTGGCTCACACCTGTAATCCCGCACTTTGGGAGGCCAAGGCGGGTGGATCACTTGAGACCAGGAGTTCGAGACCAGCCTGGCCAACATGGTGAAACCCCATCTCATCTCTACTAAAAATACAAAAATTAGCCGGGTGTGGTGGTGGGTGCCTGTAATCCCAGCTACTCGGGAGGCTGAGGCACGAGAATTGCTTGAACCTGAGAGACAGAGGTTGAGCCAAGATTGCACCACTGCACTCCAGCCTGGGTGACAGAGCAAGACTCTGTCTCCAAAAAAAAAAAAAAAAAAAAATCAAAAATGATCTGGATGTGGTGGTGCACGCCTGTGGTCCCAGCTACTTAGGAGACTGAGGCAGGAGGTGTGCTTGAACCCAGGATGTCGAGGCTCCAGTGAGCCATGTTCATGCCACTGCTCTCCAGTCTGGGTGACAGAGTGAGACCATGTCTCAAAAAAAAAAAAAAAAAAAAATTCAAAGCTTGCCAGCAAACAATGTGGAACTGCAGGAATTGGGAGGGGACCGACAGTCACTACAGGGGGCCTCTACAGTCACTCCACCACCCCTTCCTTTCCAGACCCCAGTCTGAAGAATTCTGACCTAGGCATATAGCCCCTTCTCCTCACTGTTTCTCCCTGGGGTCTGAAAGAGAGGCCCAATCCTGTGGAGTGAGTCACTGGGGGAGGGAGAATGGTGATGTCACACCTAGTGAGAAACCAAGTGGTTCTGATGTCCAGGGATTCCCGTCCTGGCAATGTCGTCTCCTTGGACTCATTGGAACTGGGCGACTAGGGTCAGCCTTAGACTCTTACCAAAGACACAGCATCAAACAGAATAGCTGAAATCCCCCACGGAGTAAGCTCACAAGTTAAAGAACAGAGTATCCAAGGAGCACAATGACTTCAAAAGAAACCCAAACTGATTAGAGATACCGCTGGAATCATCCGTATTAGATCAGATTTACTGAGAATTTAAAATAAGCAAAAATCGTAATTGCCTAGGTTTAGTGATGTTTTGCTTTTCAGTATTTGGGACTGATTTGAGAGGGAGGATCCAGGAGCCATACGTTTTCCCTGGCTGCTAGTTTTAAGGGCAAGAAGTGCATGGCTCCCCGAATCCCACCCCACGCCACTACCAGCCATAGCACAATGAATTCTAAAGAAAAACCATTAACAGGACCAGATGCGGTGGCTCACACCTGTAATCCCAGCACTCTAGGAAGCCAAGGCGGGTGGATTACTTGAGCCCAAGAGTTTGAGACCAGCCTGGGCAACACAATGAAACTCCATCTCTACAAAAAATACAAAAAAAATTAGCTGGCCGTGGTGGTGCACAACTATAGTCCCAGTTACTCAGGAGGCTGAAGTGGGAGGATCACTTGAGCTCGGGAGGTCGAGGCTGCAGTGAGCAGAGATCACGCCACTGCACTCCAGCCTGGGCAACAGTGGAGACCCTGTCTCAAAAAAACGAAACAAAATGAAGCAAACAAAAAGTCTCCATAAACTGTGAGAAACATGCAAAAGAAATGAGCAAAGATGTTAGCAAAACAGAAAGAGGAATGGTTAAAAGACCCCAGTGGAAACACTCTATGTGAAAAACCAGTTGAAATAACAAACACATAAGTAGAATAAATTACAGAGTGTATCCAGCTGCTGAACGATGGAGGAGAGAGCTAAGTTATTAGCTTGAGGACGCTTCCAGGAGGAAGCAGGGAAGGATTAAGAAACAGAAAATTGGCCAGGCTTGGTGGCTCATGACTGGAATTCCAACACTTTGGAAGGTCCAGGAAACATGGCAAGAACCTCATCTCTACAAAAAAAATTATTTTTTAATTAGCCAAGTGTGGTGTGCACCTGTGGTCCCTGCTATTTGGGAGGCTGGGGTGGGAGCGTTGCTTAAGGCCAGGGGTTGAGACTGAAGTGAGCCATGTTCATGCCACTGCACTCCAGCCTGGGTGACAAAGTAAGACCCTGTCTCAGAAAAAAAAAAAGAAACAGAACATTGAAAGAAAAGTTAAAAGAACATTAACCCCAATCTTACTGCATTAATTTGAGATTAACCATAAACCTAATTGTAAGTCAGAATCACAAAGCTTCTAGAAGAAAATATAAAAGGATATCTTCATGACTTTGGGGTAGGCAAAGAATACTGACTCCATAATATTTTCTTTTTTTTTTTTTTGAGATGGAGTCTCGCTCTTGTCACCCAGGCTGGAGTGCAGTGGCATAATCTTGGCTCACTGCAACCTCCACCTCCTGGGTTCAAGCAATTCTCTGCCTCAGCCTCCTGAGTAGCTGGGATTACAGGCGCCCACCACCACACCCAGCTAATTTTTGTACTTTTAGTAGAGACGGGGTTTCGCCATGTTGACCAGGCTGGTCTCGAACTCCTGACCTCAGGTGATCCGCCCACCTCGGCCTCCCAAAGTGCTGGGATTACATGTATGAGCCACGACGCCCGGCCCTGACTCCATAATATTTTCATGACTTTGGGTTAGGCAAAGAATACTAATTCCATAAAAGAAAAAAAAGGTAAATTGGACTTCATCAAAATTGAAAACCTCTTGTTATCAAAACATACCATTAAGAAACTGAATAGGTCGGCCGGGAGCGGAGGCTCACGTCTGTAATCCCAGCATTTTGGGAGGTCAAGGTGGGTGGATCACAAGGTCAGGAGTCCGAGACCAGTCTGGCCAATATGGTGAAATCTCATCTCTACTAAAAATACAAAAAAAAATTAGCCAGGCATGGTGGCACATGCCCGTAATCCCAGCTACTTGGGAGGCTGAGGCAGGAGAATTGCTTGAATCCAGGAGGCAGAGGTTGCGGTGAGCTGAGATCACACCACTGCACTCCAGCCTGGGTGACAGAGCGAGATTCCGCCTCAAAAAAAAAAAAAAAAAAAAAAACTGAATAGGTCAGGCATGTAATCTCATGCCTGAATAGGTCACTCCTGTAAATCTCAGCACCTTGGGAGGCCACGGCAGGAGGATCGCTTAAGCCCAGGAGTTCGAGACCAGCCTGGGCAACATAAGGAAACCCCATCTCTACAAAAAATACAAAAATTACCTGGGTGTGGTGTTGTGCACCTGCAGTCCCAGCTACTTAGGGGGCTGAGGTGGGAGGATCACTTTATTTGGGGAGGTTGAGGCTGTATGAGCAGTGATCGTGCCACTACACTCCAGCCTGGGTGACAGAGCAAGACTGTCTCAAAAAAAACAAAAAAACAAAAAAACAAAAAAAAAAAAAACACGTACACACAATGAAAACATCCTAAAGGTTTAGCAAAAAACAGAACACTTACAAATGGAATAAATGTCGAATTGACCAAACTACAGAAGGAAAAAAAGATTGAGCTGGGAATTTTCTATCCAGCTAAACAGCCATTCAAATGTTAAAGGCTGGCCGGGCGTGGTGGTCATGCCTATAATCCTAGCACTTTGGGAGGCCGAGGTGGACGGATCACTTCAGGTTGGGAGTTTGAGACCAGCCTAGCCAACAAGGTAAAACCTTGTCCCTACTGAAAATACAAAAATTAGCCAGGTGTGGTGGCAGGTGCCACTAATCCCAGCTATTCAGGAAGCTGAGGCAGGAGAATCGCCTAAACCCAGGAGGCAGAGCTTGTGGTGAGCCAAGATCACACCACCACACTTGAGCCTGAGCAACAGAGCCAAAACTCCACCTCAAAAAAAAAAAAAAAAAGTTAAAGGCTAATAAAAGTTACAGCATCAAGGGCTCAGGTTTGTACAAAAAGACAGCCCCTCGCCCCCTCCAAAAAAAGAATCAAATAATTTTAAAGGAATGATTTAATTAGGAGCAAATTCCACAGATTGTATTCAAGATATCTGAAGACTGAGCAAATAATTTAGTAAAGTTTAGTTTTTCAAAACAAATTCAAGTTCAAAGAAAAGAACAAGAAGGGCCGGGCGTGGTGGCTCACACCTGTAATCCCAGCACTTTGGGTGGCTGAGGCAGGCAGATCACCTGAGGTCGGGAGTTCGAGACCAGCCTGACCAACACGGAGAAACCCCGTCTCTACTAAAAATACAAAATTAGCTGGGTGTGGTGGTGCATGCCTGTAATCCCAGCTACTCGGGAGGCTGAGACAGGAGAATCGCTTGAACCCGGGAGGCAGAGGTTGTGGAGAGCTGAGATCGCACCATTGCACTCCAGCCTGGGCAACAAGAGTGAAACTCCATCTCAAGAAAGAAAAGAAAAGAAAAGAAAAGAAAAGAACAAGAATAACATAGATCTGTAACTCAGAATTAGACAATTTTTTAAAAATCTAGACAATTTTCATGTGACATCATGGGGGCTGAGGGGAGCATGTCAGTGAAGGGTGTGGAAACTGAAGAGAGGCAGGGGAGCAAGGGACATGAGAAAATGCTAATCTTGTCTTTGTAGGGAAAAGCCACAGATAATTTTTTAAAGTGATAAAACAGAAAAAGCAGAACAAATTGAAATAAAAATGTAGGATGGTAGAAACAAAATACATAAACACACTTTCTTTTCAGGAACATGCAAACATTTAAATAATTCATCACCTACCAGGCCAAAAAGTAAGTCTCACAGTTCAAATAATAAGTTTTCACATAGACCACATCCTGTGACCATCAATTAAGTGAGAAGCTAAGCGTTTACAAGTATAAATCATTACCCCTACACTTAGAAATGAAAAAAAGTCCCTAAAAATTTCAAGGATCAAAGAAAAGTCATAGTAGAAACTTAAAATTACTTAGAACTGAATGATTAAAAACACCACATATCAAAAATTATATAATGCAGCAAAAAAGGTTAAAAATTAATAAAGTAGGCCGGGCGTGGTAGCTCACACCTGTAATCCCAGCACTTTGGGAGGCCGAGGCAGGCAGATCACCTGAGGTCAGGAGTTTGAGACCAGCCTGGCCAACATGGTGAAACCCCATTTCTACTAAAAATACAAAAATTAGCCAGGTATGGTGGTACATGCCTGTAGTCCCAGCTACTCCAGAGGCTGATGCAGGAGAATAGCTTGAACCTGGGAGGCGGAGGTTGCAGTGAGCCGAGATGGCGCTATGGCACTCCAGCCTGGGAGACAGAGACTCCATCTCAAAAAAAATAAATAAATGAAATCTGCTGTCTCCAGAAATCCTTTGCGGCCATTCTGCCCAAGGCTTAGCTAGGTGGCCTCTCATGCTTTCCCTCATCCTCTACCACCTAGGGCTCTGTGGGGGAGTCTGCTTACAAGACCATTTCTGTACACACTCTTTTTGTTCGTTTGTTTGAGACAGAGTTTTGCTCTTGTTGCCCAGGCTGGAGTGCAATGGTGCCATCTTGGCTCACTGCCACCTCTGCCTCCCAGGTTCAAGCAATTCTCCTGCCTCAGCCTCCGGAGTAGCTGGGATTACAGGCACGCGCCACCATGCCCGGCTAATTTTTGTATTTTTAGTAGAGACGAGGTTTCACCATGTTGGTCAGGCTGGTCTCGAACTCCTGACCTCAGGTGATCCACTGGCCTTGGCCTCCCAAAGTGCTGGGACTACAGGCGTGAGCCGCGGAGCCCAGCCTACACACACTCTTTGAAGGCAAAATCCAGGGCAGATCCATCTGTGATTCCAGCACCTAACCCTGGGCCTCACAGGCAGTTGGGCTAATGAGATGTTTGTTGAATCAGTGAATGTCCTCCCGCACCCGTCTTTCCCCTTCTTGACTGGCTTCCTCCTCTCTCCACCCTGACAAGTGCCAAGACGCCAGCACCCAGGTGAGCACGCCAGGAGAGGCCGCTCCATCAGGAATTTCCTGAGCAGGGGCAGCCTTTTTCTTCCTCCACTCAGCTTTCTCCAGGTAGATGGGACAAAGCCCAAGACAAGCGCTGCCTCCATCACAGGAATAGTCTGGGGCCTGGCCCAGCCAAGTCTATGGGCCATGCATTTTTCCTGTATTTTACCCTCGGTGGCTGGAGCGTGTGGCGGGATGAGGAGGTTGGCAGGCTTGCCTCAGTGCCCCAACTGGGGGCCTTGCCCAGCTGAGCTCCGTTTGGCCAGAGGCCAGCTGGGAAACACTTGATTATTCAAATCATGTGGCCGCCCAAGAGGAAAGCATCCGTTTCCTCCAAGAGGGGGAAGTGGGGCAGGCAGGCCAGCCCAGGGATTTGGTTGTTGAAAAGGGAAATTTCAGAACAAAGTTCTCACACAAACCAGCACTCTGAGATTCACTGCCCCAGGAAGACTCTGGAAGCCTCAGATAGAAACTCAGGAGGGTCAGGCTCGAGGCCAGAGCCCTGGAGTGAGGCCTGGACCAATCCCCCACTTACGTTTCTGAGTTAGCAGAGGCCTCAGCCAGGCTAATTGCTCTGGCCTCCCCCTGACCCTGGTCCTGGAGACACCAGGACTGCCCCGCCATGCCCCTTCGCCTGTCCTTCCCTTCCCCCAGGAATCGCGCAGGGGATAGATAAACTCCGCACTTCTAAGCTCAGGGAGCTGGAGCCTCGGAGCCTCCCAGCAAGTGTCACACAGTCTGTTCCTGCTATTTGCTCAACTCCTGCCTTGCTCCCCCTCCCCAGATCTGGCTCCAAAAGAACTAGCAGGTTCAAGAAGAGTGTACCCATCTGACATGCAGAGAATTATCTAGTACTCATTAAGTGAGACCGGACTCTGGAGCAAGGCTGCCCGGGTTCCAATTCTGGATTAACCCATGTATGAGCTATAGGACCTTGGGTGATCCCTTCCCTTCCTTTGTGCTTCTATTCATTTTTTTTTCTTATATTTTTTATTTTTAGAGATGGGATCTTGCTATGTTGCCCAGGCTGGAGTGCGGTAGCTATTCACAGGTGCAATGATATCTCACTGCAGCCTTGAAGTCCTTGGCTCAAGCAATCCTCCTGCCTCAGTCTCCCAAGTAGCTAGGACACAGGCATGTGCCACCACTCCCAGCCTGTGCTTCCATTCTTTACCTGTAAAAGCAGAGATTTGGGCCGGGCGCAGTAGCTCATGCCTGTAATTCCAGCACTTTGGGAGGCTGAGGCGGGCAGATCATGAGGTCAGGAGTTTGAGACCAGCCTGAGCAACATGGTGAAACCCCGTCTCTACTAAAAATACAAAAATTAGCCAGGTGTGGTGGCACGCGCCTGTAATCCCAGCTACTCAGTAGGCTGAGGCAGGAGAATTGCTTGAACCTGGGAGGTGGAGGTGGCAGTGAGCCGAGATCACGCCACTGCACTCCAGCCTGGGCGACAGAGCGAGACTCCATGTCAAAAAAAAAAAAAAAAAAAAAAGCAGAGATTTGAGTATCTACCCTTTGGGGAGGTTAGATTCAGGAAATGACAACTCTTGCTATTATCAGTGAACAAATTAAGGTTTCATAAAAGAGCTAGGCCTGGATCTCTGGACCAGACAACCCCATGGCAGACACATCCCCCCTCACCAGAGCCAAGCCCTGGGTCCAAATCCCAGCTCAACCACCCACTAGCTCCACGAGCTGCTGGGTGGTAAGTTGCTACCTCCCTGAGCCTCCTTCTGCCCCAGAGCTGTTGCAGGCCTCCCCATGTTGGAGGGTGGTTGTCCCTGTTACTGCTTGTCCTGGGCAGTACCCGGGGATTAGGGGGCTGACACATGCTGGGCTGCCCCAGGCAGGGGTGAGGTGACAGATCAGTTTCCTTTCCTGAATACCGGTCTGGGCCCAGCCTCAGGGTGTGACATAGGGGAGGCCCCTGAGGAGATGGGGATACTCCCCTCCGCCCCACGGATCATATAGCGCCAGCATGCACCCTGGCACAGGCCTGCTGCCAGTGGCCAACCTGGAGCAGAGGTACCAGGAACTACCCAGCAGGAAGCTTCACGAGTCTTTACAGAAGGAGGCAGGACAGCAAGATGCCACAGCCTGAGTGCTGGTGTTCACACTCCAGAGCTATCATTTACTAGCCATTTACTGGACAAATGAGCTTATTCCCCATTTTTGTTTTTGTTTTTTGTTTTTGAGATGGAGTCTCGCTCTGTCGCCCAGTCTGGAGTACAGTGGGACAATCTCAGCTGGCTGCAACCTCCGCCTCCCGGGTTCAAGTGATTCTCCTGTCTCATCCTCCTGAGTACCTGTAATCTTGAGGGATTACAGGCACCTGCCACCACATCTGGCTATAATGTTTTGTATTTTTAGTAAAGATAGGGTTTCATCATGTTGGCCATGCTGGTCTCAAACTCCTGACCTCAGGTGATCCACCCACCTCGGCCTCCCAAAGTGCTGGGATTACAGGCAGGGGCCACTGCGCCCAGCCCAAATGAGCTTATTTCTGAGCCTGGCTCCCCATCCGTGAGTGGGGACAATGACAATAATATCTACCTCCTAGGGCTGATATGAGGATTAAATGATTAATGTATCTGACTTGCTTGAACAGTGCCTGCCACTCAGTTAATATGAGCTGTTACTGTTACAATGATTTATGACCGCTGTCATTTCTTCTCTAAAGTCCCCCCAGCACCGAGTTTCCTCCAGCAGATTCGGGGCTCCCTCCTGCCAGCTTCTGCTCAGATCATGATTGGCGCCTATCCCACAGATGGTGATCAGAAGACCTATTGTGTGCCCGACACTGGATGAGGCATTTTATAGTCAGGGACAACATGACCGCTTGACTCGCCTACTACTGTTCCCGTTTGTTCTAAGCCTAGGATCTGGGGCGTGAGGTGTGTGTTATGGGAGGAGGCTGGTAGGGGAGGTGGTTCCCATATTATGTTATTTGGAACACACATGTCCTGGGAGATATTAAAATATTTGCACGTGACACCAACCAGGTGACCTAGGAGACATGAACATAATCTCTCTGAGCCTCAGGTGCAAGGATAAATGAAAAAATACATGTGAGCTGCTTAGAACACAGCCTGGTTCATGATATATTTTAAACAAACCTGGCCGGGTGCAGTGGCTCACGCCTGTAATCCCAGCACTTTGGGAGGCCAAGGCGGGCGGATCATGAAGTCAGGAGATGGAGACCATCCTGGCTAACATGGTGAAACCCTGTCTCTACTAAAAAATACAACAAAAATTAGCTGGGCGTGGTGGTGTGTGCCTGTAGTCCCAGCTACTGGGGAGGTTGAGGCAGGAGAATGGCGTGAACCCAGGAGGTGGAGCTTGTAGTGAGCCGAGATTGCGCCACTGCACTCCAGCCTGGGCGACAGAGCGAGACTCCATCTCAAAAAAAAAAAAAAAAATGGACATATGTATTGGTTACTCCTCTGAGTACCTCTCACGGAGTCGACACATGAAACTGAGGCACAGAGGTCATGCAAGTGACCTTTCACTTAGGGACTCTCAGTCTCTAAGAAATGTTAACTCGCTGCGAGTATTCATTCATTCAACAAATATGTATTAAGTGCCTACTATGCACCAGGAAGCATGGTACATGCAGATTCAGCAAATTTACAGCTATGACTATTATTATTATTAAAGAAATTAAGGCTGTTTGGGATTGGGGGTACATCTGTGAACAAAATGGACAAAGACATTGGCCAGAGGTATGACACTGGGCACCTCATACCTGAGTGAGACTAAAGGCCTGAACTGCCAACAGGAAAACTGGACCCAGAGACACTGGCTTGTCCTGCTGCCAATCACTAACCATTTATGAGCTGGTGGCATTCGTGCAAGGACACCAGTGAAGGTCTGGGGAGGGTGGCCAGGCTTCGCATTGAGTGGCTCAAGAGTCACACCCAGTGGGGCATCCCTCCCAGGCTTCCCCATGGTAACAAAGCCAGGCCAGCTGTGGAAACCCTTGCCGAGTGGGGCAGCCTTTCATGAACTCAAAAGTCATTAAATGGGCTGTTGTAATCCCAGCACTTTGGGAGGCCAAGGCAAGTGGATCACCTGAGGTCAGGAGTTTGAGACCAGCCTGGCCAACATGATGAAACCCTGTCTCTCCTAAAAATACAAAAATTAGCCAGGCGTGCTGTCAGGCACCTGTAATCCCAGCTACTCAGGAGGCCAAGGCAGGAGAATCGCTTGAACCCGGGAGGCGCAGGTTGCAGTGAGCCGAGATCGCGCCGTTGTACTACAGCCTGGGCGACAGAGCAGACTCCGTCTCAAAAAAAAAAAAGTCATTAAACGCTTGCTGAAAGCAGGCATCTTATTAGGCATGGGAATTCACGAGTGACTCAGATGGGGCTCCTACCCTCCAGGAACTGAAACTCAGAGCCAGATGCTATGTGGATGATCAGATTACAAAGGGTTCAAGATATCCAAAGCAAGCTCTAGAAAAACAGCCATGATGCCAACTGGCAACACAAACAGGGAGAGGTTGCTGCAGGGGAGGGGATGGCAGGTACAAAGGCAACGATGAGAGAGACTGGAGACACAGCTGGGGAAAGACCTTCAGCCTGGGATCCTGACCTGAGTTTGAGGCCTGGTTTTACCATCAATTTTACCTCAGGCAAGTTGCTTGCCTCCCCAAGCCTCAGTCTCCCACTTTGCAAAATGATGTGAATACTTTATTGGGTTGCTTTGATGGTTCGGTGAGTTCATGAATAAGAAATGGCTTTCGGCCGGGCACCGTGGCTCCCAGCACTTTGGAAGGCTAAGGTGGGCGGATCACAAGGTCAGGAGATCGAGAACATCCTGGCTAACACGGTGAAACCCCGTGTCTACTATAAGTACAAAAAATTAGCCGGGCGTGGTGGCACACCCCTGTAGTCCCAGCTACTCCAGAGGCTGAGGCAGGAGAATCACTTGAACCTGGGAGGCTGCAGTGAGCCAAGATCAAGCCACTGCACTCCATCCTGGGCGACAGGGCGAGACTCCGTCTCAAAAAAAAAAAAAAAAAAAGAGAAAAAAGAAATGGCTTTAAAAACTGAAAAATATGCCAGGCCTGGTGGCTCACCGCCTGTTAATCCCAACATTTTGGGAAGCTGAGGTGGGAGGATTGCCTGAGCCCAGGAGTTCAAGACCAGCCTCATCAACATAAGCAAGACCTCATCTCACAAAATAAAAAATAAAAAAAATTAGCTGGGCATGGTGGCACAAGCCTGCAGTTCCAGCTACTCGGGAGGCTGAGGCAGGAGATCACTTGAGCCCAGGAAGTCAAGGCCGCAGTCAACTATGATCGTGCCTGAACTCCAGCCTGGGTGACAGGGCAAGACCTTGTCTCAAAAAACAAACAAACAACAACAACAAAAAAAACCTGAAAAATAGAATAAGTGCCTGGAAACTGAGGTTGGCAGTGTTAAAGTGACTTGTCCAAGGTCAATGGCTGATTAAAACAGGATAGGGTGTATCTGGGTGGGATGCGGGGGGCAGCACAACCCCTGCCTCTGCTGAGCCACCACTCCTGCGTTCCCAGCACTGACCTCAGGTTCCCCTAGGCAATTTGTTCCAGAAGGCCTAGGGAACAGGTGGGGTACCTAATTCCTTGGTGCAGGGTTTACCGTTTATTCGCTGTGTGGTCCGGGGCCCACCACCCTCCCTCCCTGAGCCTCAATCTTCTTTTTGTTTTCTTGAAATGCAGTCTCACTCTGTCACTCAGGTTGGAGTGCAGTGGCACGATCTCTGCTCACTGCAACCTCCGCCTCCCGGATTCAAGTGATTCTCATGCCTCAGCCTCCCACATAGCTGGAATTACAGGCATACACCACCACGCCCAGCTAGTTTTTGTATTCTTAGTACAGATAGGGTTTCACCATGTTGGCCAGGCTGTTCTTGAACTCCTGACCTTAAGTGATCTGCCCGCCTTGGCCTCCCAAAGTGCTGGGATTACATGCGTGAGCCCTTGTGCCCAGCCTCTGAGCTTCAGTTTTCTCCCTTTTAAAAAGAGATGCCCTTTGCTGTGCTGCGCATGTGTAAACGTGGAAGGCTCTGCCGATGGTAAAGCACTTTCCACGGGCAAAGACGTATCGCACTCATCAATGAGAAATGATCATGGTAAGCTGAGAGAAAGACGCAGAGGCCGCGGGCCCCGCACTGAGCCTGCGGTGGAGGAAAGCAGGAGGAACTAAGCTAGACTGTACCAGGGCCCACCCCAGGTGTGGGGTAGGAACCTTTTATGAGGCACAGAGCTGTGCCCATGTTCAGTCCCAAGGGAGAGGCAGGTTTCTGGGCCTCATCACTGCCTAGGCTTAAAGTAAGAGTGACGAGAAAGAGGCCAGTTTCAGCCTTTGTGAGCGAAGTGCTTTGGCGAGGCAGGGGTCTCCCTCAGCAAGGCTGGGCTACACTACAGCCCCTTTCCCTGTGTCCCACTGGATCTGAGCTGAGTAGCGCTTGTTGCATTACAAAGAAAAAGACTTGTGCAGGAAATAGGGTAGAGGACAGGCTCTCTAGTCAGATGCAACTTGATCTGTGGCAAAACCAAGTGGGGTCTTTCAGCTTCAGTGTGTTAGCATCTCAACACCTGGGATGGAGTTTGTGGGCGGGTCGGTTTTGCCACACTGTAGGGCCCAGGTGGTCCCACTGTCACAGTGAAGCCAAGTTCTAGCCCAAGTCTGGCAGAGCAGTCAGGCAGCTAGTTTTCAGGGGAGAAAAAAGGGGTGGGACGGGGGACTTCAGTGGCCTATTACGGAGCCCTCTCCCCAAACCAAATTCATAGCTGAGAGCTTGGGGATGGTACAGTTACAATTTAAAGTAATTGTCTAAATTCTGTATTTGGGTATTAATGTTTAAATGGTAATCTGACAACAGTTTATAAAGTGATGTTCTGAATACCATAAAAAAAAGAAAGAGCTCAGTTTCAGGTCCTCCTGGAAAGAGTTAGGCTGGCCCCTCCCCATCCTTTGTAATAATATCCATCGTAGTAATAAGAGTTATTTATTCGGGGTTTGACAGATATGAATTCAAATCGTAGCTCCGACACTTACCAGCTGGGCAAACCCAGGCTAATTACTCTGAGTCATTCTCCTCACCTGAAAAATGGGCTGGTATAAGGATTAAATGTGTAAATGTATACAAAGCATTTCGCAGAGTGGCTTGGTGCGTAACAAGTGGTCCGTCAGTGTCGAGAACTCTTATTACTACTATGGATGTTATTACAAAGGGTGGAGAGGGGCAGGCCTAACTCTTTCCAGGAGGACCTGAAACCAGCCTCTTTCTCGTCACTCTTACTTTAAGCCTAGACAGTGATGAGGCCCAGAAACCTGCCTCTCCCTTGGGACTGAACACGGGCACAGCTCTGTGCCTCATAAAAGGTTCCTACCCCACACCTGGGGTGGGCCCTGGTACAGTCTAGCTTAGTTCCTCCAAAGACAAGGAAAAGAAGACCAAGGAGCACCGTGACACTGAACTGGGTGCCACCTGGGCCTATCCCTTCCCTACCCCCACCCACACAATGACCAAATCTAATCTGGTTCTGGGATGTCCTTTTATCTTGTGTGCCAACTCTATATTAGTTGCTAATGGCTGTCTGGAGCACTGTACTTAGAAGGAATCTGGGAAGGAAAGCAAGCAGTGGTTGACTAGTGATGTCTGATGTGGGTGCAGGGCAGGAGAGAGGAAGGAGACATGCTGGCTATTCGCCATCCACAAATCGAAAAATCCTAAGGCCTTGCCTCATTCAAATAAACCATGCGTGGTAGGGAGGGTAGCCAGAAGCTAAGAGAGGGAAAGGGACTTGGCGAAGGTCACACAGCTTGAAATGGCAGGGCTGGGATTCAAACCCAGGCCCCTCTGGGTTTCTCAGGATGCTTCCTTCTAGGCTTGTCATTTCCTATGAGGGGGTGAACAGGCTAAGAAACACTGTCTGGGAGAACAGACGCTGGTGCCCCACCAGGTGTGTCTATGTTCTGTCTCCTCCCCCTGGGGCCTCCCACCCCCATGTCATTTGCAAACACTCACTGAAAAACAAATGTGTACCACAAGGTGCCCTGAGAGCTCTTCTCCAAACATGCAAATTTGAATCCAGATGCCAATCTGATTGGGCAACCCTGGATTTGAGTCTCACCTGCACTTTCCAAACTTTGAGAACATTACTCAATCTCTCTGAGCTTCCGTTTCCTTGTTTGCAAAATGGAAAGAATTATGAGCTCAATACAATAAGGTCATTCAAAGTGATTAGCTCAGTTTCTGACACAGAGTAAGCCCTTAAATGTTCATTACAGACTGTCCCCAACTTACACTTAAGATTTTTTTCTTTACGATGATGCAAAAGCTACAGTGTTCAGTGGAAACCACACCTCGAGTACCCAACCAGCCATTCTGTTTTTCACATTCAATACAGTATAGCCAAGAAATTGACATGAGATAGTCAACACTTTATTATGAAATAGGCCTCGTGTTAGATGATTTGCCCAACTATAGGCTAATGTAACTGTTCTGAACACATTTAGGGTAAGTCAGGCTAAGCTACCATGTTTGACAGGTTAGGTGTTATAACCATTTTCTACTTATGATATTTTTCAACTTACAATTCCAGGACAAAAACCTTTGGTAAATCAAGGAGCATCTGTATAAGGATTAGGTCATGGGGAAAAGCAAAAAAACAGCATTTTCACACACAAAAAAATCACTTAGGTGATTAAGGGCTTGGACAAGCTGTTGAGAGGAAACCTGCTTATCTCTGATATCTTGATAGGCTAACAGACCTAGAATATGAATTTCTATATTGGATGGTTTTAAGATAAATAGGGAACTGACTCTTCTAGGAAGATGGGTTATGTCATTTGCATTACGGAGAAAGCAGTAGCCTTGAATGGATGGATGGGTCACCGCAGGGAACAAACATGTCTACTTCTCACTTCCCAGCTGGGGGAGTTTGTGTTTCCGTTTCCTCATCTGTAATGTGGGGATAATAGCACCTGCCACCCAGCGCTGCTGTAGGACCAAATAGTAATTACAGGCAAGGCACTGAGCACCATGCCTAGTACGTGCATGTTGGGCTTATAGTCTATGGACTTTTAGTTAGTAGTGGCATGGCAGGGACCAGCGGAATGAGGCAGAGAAAGAAGAGGAGCTATAGAAGGGCTCAGAAGGAGTGGAGGAGGGGAAATGGGCCTCAGATGAGACATTTTCTCACCAGAATGGCGGCAGACGGGTCAGTTAGTAACTCCTGTATGCTGAGAGACAGGTAAGTCAAGGTGGAGACAGGTGGAGACAGGTGGAGGGGGATGAGATCCTCCAAAAGGCCAGGCTGGCCAGATGCAGTGGCTCACACCTGTAATCCCAGCACTTTGGGAGGATGAGGTGGGAGGATCACTTGAGCCCAGGAGTTCGAAACCAGCCTGGGCAACATTGCAAGACCTCATCTCTACAAGTAATAAAAAAAATTAGCGGGGCGTGGTGGCGAATGCCTGTGGTCCCAGCTACTTGAGAGGTTGGGGTAGGAGGATTGCTTGAGTCCAGGAAGTCAAGGCTGCACTGTAGTGAGCCATGATCGTGCCACTGCACTCCAGCCTGGGCAACAGAGCCACTAGACCCTGTCTCAAAAAACAACAACAACAAAACAAACAAACAAAACAGACAAACAAACAAAAAAACAACAAGCCTGAGACACTTCAGTGACAGCCAGCAAGAGGCCTGAGAACGTCAGCCTGAGAGCTAAGTGGTACCCACCCTGTGGCTTTACTGACCTAGTAAAGGTGCACTAAAGAAGGCAAGAGGTTGACCCAACAAAAAGTCACTGGGGCCAGGTGTGGTGGCCCATGCCTGTAATCCCAGCACTTTGCGAGGCCGAGGAGGGTGGATCACCTGAGGTCAGGAGTTCAAGATCAACCTGGCCGACATGGCAAAACCATGTCTCTACTAAAAATACAAAAATTAGCTGGGTGTGGTGGCATGTGCCTGTAATCCCAGCTACATGGGAGGCTGAGGCAGGAGAATCTCTGGAACCCGGGAGGCGGAGGTTGTAGTGAGCCGAGATCACGCCACTGCACTCCAGCCTGGGGAACAGAGCGATACTCAGTCTAAAAAAGGGTCACCTGGTAGATCTTTTTAAAGGGTGCACTTGTGGGCCAGGCACAATGGTTCATGCCTATAATCTCAGCACTTTCAGGGGCCAAGGTGGGTAGACTTCTTGAACCCAGGCTGAGCAACATAGCAGGGCCCCATCTCTGCAAAAATAAAATAAAGGTCACACTTCTGGTTTTTCCAGTAAAAGCAATTTGCTTCAGCCACCTAAAAACTTTTTTAAAGAACATAAAATATTTGCTGAGCTCTGCCCAGCAGTTTGCAGACCTGGCCAGGTAAAGTTCATGCACCTGAATGACAAACTGAGCTCTGGAAGGATGAAGAAGCATCTCTGAAACAAGCTGGAGTGGAGGAGGAGGGGGTGGCTTAGAAAGTCTGGAGGGTCAGGGCCTCACTACAGGGTCTCCACGGCCTTATTTCCAGAAATGACCTTCCAGCCTGTCCTCTCCTCCCTTCCCTGGGTCAAAGCAGAGAGGCATAGAGACCTAGGGGAGGAGTAATCCTAAGGTGTCTGCCCTCTGAGCCTCAGTCTCCTTAACTGCAAAATGCTGGAGAGTAGGGGGTAGGTGAGTATCAAAGGTAATGTGCGAAAGTGCCTGGTACCCAATGGTGCTCACAAAATGCCACTTCCCACACAGGGCACATTTCTGAAGTCGTCTGCAGGTGTAAGGACCAGGGGATGTGAGGTTAGTATCAGCAATCGACAATCAATCAGTCTCCCTTGTCCATCTCATAACCCCTGGAGCAGTTGATTCGTGGAGACCTAGAATCTCACATCACAGCAGCTGCCTCCAGAGCCCCCCGCATGTAACCATCAGGCTTCACAGCCTCCTGTGCTACCCTCTGGCTCAGACATGGCGATTCTAAGATGCTTGCTGCAGCCACCATGGTACCTGCCTGTCATCACCAGGCCCTGGCTCCCAGCAAAGGGGGTGGAACAGAGAGCTGTGGGTTCAGAGTGCAAGATCGTGTTTCCTGTCTGAGAAGTGGTTATGCACTGATGCACAGGGCTGTTAGGGAGCACAGGGTGAAGTGGCGCACCAATGCACAGGGCTCTTGGGGAGCAAGGGGTAAGGTGGAAGCTGTCAAGGGAGTCTCTTCCCTGCAGGGGCTGTGCAATCTTTAGAATGAAGTACCCAGCGATGCCTGTCCCCAGCTAGACCCTGGGCTCAACTCGCTGAGCCTTGACAGGTAGATGCTCTATCACCCCCAAACCTCCAGAGCCCTCAGACTCTTCCTGAGGACCACCGAAGCAGGAAAAAAGCTCCTTCGCCTAGCTGACATGTTTTGTAGATGTTGCCAGGCTATGGAAGAGGGGCTAGTGTCCACGTGTCCCATATTCTCACCCTGAGCCCCCTGAGGGCTGGCCCAAGCCCCACACAATCATTCAAGTGGAATTTGAGCCCCTCTTACATGGCCTCACTGCATCTAGCCCAGAAACCGCAAGCTCAGAAGGTAGGTAGGTAATGTCAGGGAGGCAGGTGGGCAAGTGTGAGGCAGTGGGGCGTGGTGGAGACTGTGGTAAAGTGGATGGAGCAGCTGCTAATCAGCTCCAGCCACTGTGGCCAGGCAGGGACATAGCCCCATATGGCCACATCTTCTGATCTTTCAAGAGAAGCCAGAAATCCTTATCTTTATATAAAATGAAATTGCCTGGTTTAAAAACACCAGCAACTAAATAAAAGTTGTTTAATCACCGCAAAAGTCAACAATCCCCCACCCCCTGCAGCCTTAGGAAGGCAGTTTGTGATGGATCTCCCATAACCCAGCACACAGCAGGCTATAAATATCTGAGGACCAGTTGAATACATTAGACCCATTCCAAGTCTTAGGGAAGTCTCATCTCTCCACTCCTACTCCTCAGATATATTGGTTTACAGATGAAGAATCTGAGACTCAGACAGGGGAAGTGACTTGCCCAAGGTCACAGAGGTATTCAAGGACTTCAGCTCAGCTCTCCTGAGCTTAATATCTTTTTCCACCAACCCACATCATCTGCATCCTCCCTTAAACAATGATTTTCAAAAAACAGATATGCTAAGAATATACTGTAGAAATGAAACACACCAAATTCAGGAGAGTGGTTGCCTTTGGAAAGATCATGTAGCTTAAGGCCAGGAGACTGAATTCCCAGTCCACTCTGCCCTAAGCAATTGTGTGACCCTGGGCAAGCCTCTTCTCCTCTCTGGGCCTCAGTCTCCCTGGTGCACCAAGAGCCCAGTTGACCGAGCCAGCTTCTAAAGGCCTTCCAACTGAAATTCTGGGGATCTATGTCTCCTCTCTGGCCAGTACTCTGTGGCCTCAGATGAATACAAAATAGTAATAATAATAATAATAATAATAATAGAGAGGGCGAGTCCACACCAGCCAGGAAAGAACACTACGACTTTTTGTGAAACCTGACTCCTGGTTACTGGAATTCAGAAAGAACGATGGTAATACTTGAGCAGCTTAACCACCATCCTACAATTAAACAAAAGCACATCTGGTTTAACTTCGTCCTCATCTCCTCCCTAACCCCCTACTCTCATCTCAAATTTTACCCCTTAATTTGAGAAGTCAAATTCAATGCAAACAATTGATTTCATGCCACAGTGAGGCTGAGAATTTAAGCATGGAAAACTTTAAGCATAGAGTTTTTCTGGGAGCAATTAACGAAGTGTTGGCGGGGGGGTTGGGAGCTGGTACAAGGAGGCAGAAAAATACGGAGACTATGTTCTTCAGACACTGAGCATCATATCTTGATGTTGGGGGCCTCCTATGAGCTTGACACTCAGAGAGGTAAAGTGACTTGCCTCAGGTCACACAGCTGGCGATTGGAATCCAAGACACCAGCCCCCAAACCAGTGTTTTCCCTGCTGTGTAGGCTTTTGTGACCTAAACGTGGACTTCCCTCAGGCCCTCAGGATCACCTGGTAGGGATAAAGTTAACTGCTTTTGAAATTGCTCCACAGGAAATATGAATGTCTTAATAACATCAATGCTGGTTCAGCCCAAAGTTGGAAAACCATTTATGATCTTGCGACCCTGCAAAGTATATAATTTTAACCCATATTGCAGATGAGAAAACTGAGGCTTCGAAAGGGAAGGTGACTTGTCCAGGGTCGCATGGCAGTGCTGGGAATGAACCTTCAGTCTACTGCCCCTAACTGCCCTCTGAAAGTGAGGACATCTCCAGAAGAAAAAAAACAAATCTAACATACCACAAAGCCCAGCTCCAGCCTGCCAAGGACGACGACATGGTGCTGGGAAGCCAAGTCAGCATTCCTGTGGCCACATGGAGATTTCTGAGTGCTGGTTCTCAGCCCAGCTTGCTCACTCTCCCAGCAATGTTCTCTCAGAGCTCTGGGTTTTGTATTAAAAAGCCAAGTCAGACTGATTTCAAGGTGAGAACTCGGGCTCTGCTACTGGATCCTACTCCCTGGATTAAAAGGCCTCATATGCCCAGAGATGGGTACAGCATGGAGATTGCTAGATTTGGAATTCTAGATACGCAGGCTCCAGCCCCAGCTCCTCAGGTAGCATCTGTGTGCCTCTGGGCAACTCACTTCCCCTTTCCAAGATCATATCCAGCTTGCAGGGAATGTTGGGTATGTAAGTCATGGGACAGAACAGGGCTGAGTTTGGTCCTGAGCTAGGACACGGTGAGGCACAAGAACAGGCAGAGGGCAGGAAGCGCTGCAGAGATGATGGCTCCAGGGCTGATCTCATCATGGAGCTCTGCGCTCCCAGCCCAGGCTGTGTTTAGGATGGCGACAGAAGGTGGCATCTGAGTGTGAGCAAAGAGGGCACCATGCCACCCCACATGTGTAGCCCAACAGGATGGGAAGGGCCTGGGCAGAAGTGGGTAACAGGTTCAGAGGCAGGGTAGGCACATAACCCAACTTCCAGTCTCCGCATTGCATTTTCTGCTGAGAAGAGAGCTGAGGATAGCCAGGATTTTCTTAAGCACAGGTACCAGCTTAAACCCTTCGCAAGCATTCATCATATCTAGACCTCACCACTGGTAGGCACTATTGATCTCCACAGCTTATGGGAGGAGGCCGAGGCACAGAGAGGGAACAGAACTGATCCCAGGTCCCACAGCAAGGCTGCCTTTGCTAAAGTGAGGGCCAAAGGTTGGCCAATCCATTTTACAGGTGATTGCGTCTTAATCTCCTTCCTTATGAATAGCTTGATTTCAAGTCTACACTGTGAATTCTGACAGTTTCAAAGCCTGAAAGAATTTTGTTATGCAAACATCCAATCCAGAAGAGGGCTTTTGGCTGATTTACTGTGGCATTCCCGGCACCTAGAACAGAGCTTGGCACACGGCGGATGCTTAAGTATTTGCTGAATGAAGATAGCATCTTGTTCTGGCCTCAGTTCAGTTTTATTCCTCACAATAGTCCCGAAAGGGGAATACACCCCTTTTTACAAATGGGCACATGGACCGGGAT
The DNA here is from genome assembly GCF_000001405.40 of Homo sapiens. Taxonomy (NCBI): domain Eukaryota; kingdom Metazoa; phylum Chordata; class Mammalia; order Primates; family Hominidae; genus Homo; species Homo sapiens. The sequence goes on along the minus strand of NC_000001.11, from coordinate 21,510,966 downwards.
CATCACTCAGCCTAGTCTTCACCAGTTGGGATGTTGAGAAGCTGTGTCCAGGGGCCTCTTCTGAGGGAATTCACAGGTATTCAGTTAAAGAAAGAAAAAGGTGACACAGGAACAAGATGCATGGGGCCAGGGAGTGGGATGGCTGGGGCAGGACAGCGTGGGGACACCCACAGGTGGGGAGGACTAAACAGTTGGAAAGAGCAAGACTGGAGAGTGGAGGAAGAGCGGGCTGAGCCCAGGAGGAGCCGGAAGACAAAACCAAGGCTCAGCCCCCTATCTCTTAGGCAACACAGTGGGAGCAGGACGCTAGGGCTGCAGAGTTTGGAGTCTGGATTCAAACCCTGGTCCCACCACTTACTTAAATTGTCTAAGCCTCAGTTTCCCCATTTGTAAAATGAAATGATGTACATGAGATGTCAGAGCAGGTCCCTCTACGCACGGTAGGCCTTCAAAAAACAGTTGCAGTATCTACACTGAGGCTGGGACCCAACCCCTGCCTCCCTGGGCAGCTGGGCCCACCTGAGCGGTCTGACTTTTTCCCAGGGCCCAAAGCCCTTCCTGGCCCAAGAATCGCCCCCTCTTTTGATCTCAAGGAATTTCACCCTCCACCCAGAGGCCTTTGTAAAGGCCCCGCCTTCGACCCCATTATGTGTTGAAAAAGAGTCATAAGGCACAATGGGGAGTGGGGGAGGCTTTCCTCGGCCTCCTGCCTTTCTGCTGAGACCTGCGTTTAACCCTTTCTTACCAAGACTGGGCAGGGAAGCAGCCCTGGGAGGCCCACCTCGCAAAGCCTAAAGGGGGCGGCAGGCTCCTTCGGCTTCGCGGGCTCCAGAGCTTTGCCCCACAGCTGCGGTGCCCACAGTGGGTGCCCACACTTTGACACCCACGCGGGTGTCCTCTGTCTCCTCCCGCCACGCCCCCCATTCCAAGCGCCTCCTGCCCTCTCCTCCTCCCAAACCAAACTGCTTTAGACCCCACCGGGTCAGGTGGGACGCCTGGGAGGGCGCCAGGCCACGAGGCCTTGGGGTTGGCAGCCCAGGTCTCTAGAGCTACGGCTAAGGAGGCACCAGGAGGGGCTCAGTCACGGGGCACCAAGGGCAGGTGCCCAGACAGAGCGCAGGGTCCCAGGCAGCGGCTCGGGAGGTAGGAGACCCTGGGACTGCAGGGCGGTCCCGAGCGCGGTCCCCTGAGTTCGCCGGCTCCGCGGGCGCCACGTCCAATCTCCTGTCCCGCCCAGAGCGCGCGCCGGGAGCTTGGGATGCGCGGGAGGACAGGGGCAGGACCAATTGCAGGGCGTCCCGAATGGGCTGCTGTGGGCGGCGTGGCGCTGGAGACCCCGGCCCTGCCATTAAAGTTCAACCACGGGGCCAGCGGAGGATGCAGAAGGGGATGGACCACGTCCGCTGGGGCCCTGGGGAACCAGGGCGCGGGGCAGCGTCGAATCCTTACCTGCGCAGAGCACTGGCGAGGGTCCGTCCAGGCACAAGCGCGTGGGAGCACGGAGCCAGGATAGCGGGCGCGGAGTGGCGGGAGCGCAACGCGGCCCGGGCCACCACCCCCGCCGCCTTATAAAGGCGGCCGCGGGGCCCGAGTGAGGCCCGGGCAGCCCGCCCCCTCCCCCGCCCCCGGCCCCAACCCCTCCCCAGCCCGGCCCCGGCCCCGCCCCCGGCCCGAGCCCCGCGCCCCGCGGGCCGGTCGTGCCACGAGGCCAGGGCGCCCCCTGCCGGGAGCGGAGCTAGGAACGGGCTGGGGTGACGCGGCCCTGGCGTCCCTCGCCCGCCCCGCACTCTCGGTCTCTCTGCCTCCGGGCTGCCCCAGCCCAGCCCTTCCTCTCTCAGCGAGCCTGGGCTCTGACCTGCTCCTTGCGCGCGTCTCCTGTTTTGTCTTTACCGTCGGCATCTTCCTTCTGCGTCTCTTGGTGGGAGTCTTTGTCTCCACCCGTCTCTTTGTCTGCCTTCCTCTCTGGCGTCTGTCTCTGTGTCTGTCAACATATCTGGCTTTCTCTGGGTCTCTGTCTTTATCCGTCTCTGCCCACGTGTCCCTGTCTCTCTGTCTCTGTCCACGTGCACCTCTGACTCTGCACCCCCACCCCCGCTTCCCTGCCCGTGGGCTGCCTCCCTGGCTACCGCAAGAAGAAGCAGAAGGGGACCTCGGAGGGGTGGCATCTGGAGGGAAACCACCCCCTAGACAGGGGCCCTTCCCTCTTTCTCTCTTTAGAGACGTAAAGGGCCCGCAGGTGTCCGGCTATGTCCCAGCCAGAGCCCCAGGACATGCTCCCTGGATGCCAGAGGAGGGGCAGGCACTTCCCAGGCAGTTGAGTCAGACAGCTCAAGTTCAAAACTCTGCTCTGGTGACCTTGGCCAAGTCACTTGACCTATGTGGACCAGCCTGCCCCTCTTTAACAGGCAGACACCATCTCCCCTGGCCTCTCGCTGGTGCGAGAGTCATATGAGACAGTGCTTGAAAACTACAGAGGAAACGCTAAAATCCCGGATAGACGGGAGCCAGGGACAGAGGCTGGGTGCTACAGGCCCTGCTCCCGCTCCTGGGGAACCAGCTCTGATGGAATAACCACTCCCTTTCCTCTGAGCACTGAATTCTCTGGGCAACTTCGCAGTGAGAAGTCCGCAGGCTCTGTTTGAATGCCTCCAGCGACAGAGCTCACTGACTCCTAACAGGAGGGTCTTCTCAGTGGCCCTTGGGAAAATGTCTGCCCAGAGAACCAATTTTAGCCAGGTCAGGCAACCTCTCTTCCACTCACTCCATGCCAGTCTCAGGGCCAGGCACTGTGCATGCATTAACTTCCAAAAGCTCCATTTTCCAGAGGAGAAAACTGAGGCCCAGAGAGATCATGTGACTTCTCAGTAAGGTTGGAGCCAGAACTGGGGCCTGGTGCCAGAAACCAAGAATGTCTTTGTATTTATTTTTGTTTCTTTTGTATTTTTGGTTGATACTGTTTATTTAGAGGCGTGACATAGGTTCCCTTTTCAGATAAGTTTATGTTTTTTAAAAGTGAGTCAAAATATTGAGTAAATACTATTTATTTATGTATTTCATGGGTTGGGTGATATGGCAAAAATCATGGAGGTAGCAAATGAATGGAGTTTAGGAAATACCATCCTCTGTAAGAAATTGCAGGTGAAAGCACCCAGCACTGGGCCTAAAACATGGGAGGGGCTCAATACTTGCTCACAAATGCCAAGGAAGGGTTTAAGGATTCCAGGAGACTTAAGATGGTATCATCATCAGTGAGCCAGGGGCAAGTCCCCAGGCATGGAAAATCTGCCTGTTGCTTGGACAGAGGCTGGGAGGCAGAGCCAGAGGGAATTGGAGGCACCCATTGCACCTATCATGGGGCCAGCACCCCTGACTTTTTTTTTTTTTTTTTTTTGAGACAGGGTCCCACTCTATTGCCTAGGCTGGAATGCAGTAGCATGATGTCAGCTCACTGCAGCCTCGACCTCCCGGGCTCAAGTGATCTTCCCACCTCAGCCTCCCCAGCAGCCAGGACTACAGGTGTGCACCACCACGCCCGGCTAATTTTTGTATTTTTTTGTAAAGAACAGGGTTTTGCTATGTTGCTCAGGCTGGTCTCGAACTCCTAAGCTCAAGTGATCCCCCTGCCTCCTTATCCCAAAGTGATGGGATTACAGGCATGAGCCACCACACCCGACCCTATCCCTGACTTCTGATCTCCCCAAAGCTATGAGGGACGGGCACTTCTGGTTGAGCCACATGGCCAGCATTAGGTCCCCCATGTCTGTGATTTGCCCTCAAGTCCCTCCACCTCGGGATTTCAGGGATTGGTTATCAGCAGCAGGGACTATACTGCTTGGCCAGCCCTGCCACCTTCCACCCTCAAACCCTCTTACTCTGCTCCTGGGCTGGGTCCCTCAAGGAGAATTCAACTGAGATGGGGCATCCAGCAGCCCTTGCCTCCCCTGCTCCCCGGGTGCCCCTCCTCCTGGCTCTGTCAACACAGCGGAAAGAAGTCCTGGACCTGGAACCAGGAGACTCCAGTCCATCCTCCAGCTCTGCCCTGGCTTGCTGGGGAGCTGAGCAAGTCACTTTTCCCATCGAGGTTCAGATTCCTTCTGGCCTTTTGAACTGGACAATCTCTAAGTGCAACCCAGATGCCATGATTTCAGGACCACTCAGCTGGTGGCAACAGCTCATTACATTCGATTTCTCTCCATCATTGTCCCTGGGGCACCACTTCCTTGTTGAAAACTAAACAAATTGGATTTAACCTCCAAGCTCCCTGTGCCTAAGAGCTAATGATGTCTTTTGAGTCTCACAGCAGTATCATAAGGTGGGCAGGGCAGGTGTTTACAATCCCCACTATACATGGGGTACACCAAGGCCAGAGATAGTAGTTACTTACAGGTCAGGGTCAGAGCTGGGTTTGGTTACCAGGTTTACTATTCCCAGTCCAGGGCTTTTTCCATTCATCCATTTATTCCGTATCTGTTAAGTGCATGCCATGAGCCTGTGCCGCAAGCTAGACCTTCAAGTTCACTAGGCAGGCCAGGCATGGTGGCTCACGCCTGTAATCCCAGCACTTTGGGAGGCCAAGATGGGAGGGTCTCTTGTGTCCAGGAGTTAGAGTCTGCAGTGAGCTATGATCACACCCCTGCACTCCAGCCTGGCCAACAGAGTGAGACTTTGTCTTGGGAAAAAAAAATTTAAGAGGTTCACCAGGCATTAGAATTAGAAGCTAAGTTAGGCCGGGCGTGGTGGCTCATGCCTGTAATCCCAGCACTTTGGGAGGCTAGGCAGGTGGATCACCTGAGGTCCGGAGTTTGAGACCAGCCTGGCCAACACGGTGAAACCCCGTCTCTACTGAAAACATAAAAATTAGCCGAGCAAGGTGACGCACACCTGTAGTCCCAGCTACTTGGGAGGCTGAGGCACGAGAAACGCTTGAACCCTGGAGGCAGAGGTTGCAGTGAGCTGAGATCACGCCACTACACTCCAGCCTGGGTGACAGAGTGAGACTCTGTTTCAAAAAAAGAAAGGAAAAGAAGAGAAAAAATTAGAAGCTAAGTTAGAGATGAGGCCAGAAGCCCAAGAGCATAGGGTAGGGTGGGGCAGGGGGACAGCCAGGACCTCAGTAGACAGAGATAAAGGAGAAAGAAAGGAGAGAGACAGAGAAAACAAAACTCTGAGGTCTGTTCGTGGAGAGGCGGTGAGGAGTCAGCTGTGGTCTAGGGCTGGAGAAAATAATCCCTGAAATCTATTTAAAGGCAAGGGGGCCTGAAACCTTGGTCTGTTTTGATGCTTGGACTAAAGGGGTCATTTTATCTCAAGCCCAGGCCTGAGCACAAGTTCAGCCATTTGATTCCCAGTGCCACCTACAGCCCCACCTTTAACTCAGTTAAAAAATGAACCAAAAGGCATGAGGTGGAAGAGACTACGACAGCCGAAGCAGCATCATTAAACCGACAATGCTGCCGTGGCCAGGGCAATTGGACGCTAATAAAAGTAGGGACTTTTATTCTCTCTTCACGGATGAGGAAACTGAAGCATATATGAGCTATTGTTGCTGGGGACTCCCTCTGTGTCTGCAGCCTGATGGAAAGATCTTTATAGGTGAGATTTAACTTGCTCCTCCCTGCAACACCAAAGCACCATCACTGTTGTCATCGTCACCTTTCCAGTGAGCAGGCTGTTATCCCAGGCAGACTTGGCAACCTTATTCATTCAACAAATGTTTATTGGATGCCTGCTCTGCAGCAGGCACCCTTCTAGGAACTGGACATACCAGTGAACAAAACAGAATGTTTATCCTCACGGAACTGACACTTTAGTTGGGAAGGTAGATAATAAACAACAAACATTAATAAGTAAGTTAGTAAGATAACAGGGGCCGGGCACAGTGGCACACGCCTGTAATCCCAGTACTTTGGGAGGCCAAGGTGCGCAGATCACTTGAGGTCAGGAGTTCGAGACCAGCCTGGCCAACGTAGAGAAACCCCGTATCTACTAAAAATACCAAAAAAAAAAAAAAAAATTAGCTGGGGTTGGTGGTGCACACCTATATTCCCAGCTACTCAGGAGGCTGAGGCGGGAGAATCACTTGAACCTGGGAGGCAGAGGTTGCAGTGAGCCGAGATGGTGCCACTACACTCCAGCCTGGGCAACAGAGGGAGACTCTGTCTCTAAATAAATAAATAAATAAATAAATAGGCCGGGCGAGGGTGTTCACGCCTGTAATCCCAGCACTTTTGGAGACCGAGGTGGGCGGATCACGAGGTCAAGAGATCCAGATCATCCTGGCTAACATGGTGAAACCCTGTCTCTACTAAAAATACAAAAAAATTAGCTGGGCATGGTGGCGCGCCCCTGTAGTCCCAGCTACTCGGGAGTCTGAGGCAGGAGAATTGCTTGAACTCAGGAGGTGGAGGTTGCAGTGAGCTGAGATTCTGCCACTGCACTCCAGCCTGGGTGACAGAGCGAGACTCTGTTGTCTTAAAAATAAACAAATAAATAAATAAAAAAATTTAAAAAGACAATAAGAGTATGGATAAGGAGTTGGAGCAGATAAGGGGGACAGGAGCACCAAAGCGGAGCAGACTGTGGCATTAAATAGGGTGTTCAGTGGAGCGAAGGTGAGGGGATTGAAGATGAGGGAAGTAGGGGCTGAGATGAAGACCACCCAGATAGCCAGGGAAGAAGGAGGGATGGAACCCGGGCTGCCTGTGTCTGATGCCTGGGCTCCTGAGCAGTGTGTGACATGCCCCCCCAGGACCAGTTCTGACCCTCAAGCCTTCTCCCAGTCCCGGGCTTGTTCCTCTAATACTGCCCCAGCTCCTGACCTCATCCTATCTTGACTCCAGTCTTTGCTCCAGCCTCATCTTCTCTATCTCAGTCAGTCTCCTGTTCCAATCCACCGTGTCCCTTCACACCCACAGCTCCATCCCCAGGCCCCAGGTCCCTCCTAGCAGTCAGCTCTGAGCTCAGTACCCTAACAGCCGGCCAGCCCCTGGCCCGGGTTGTCTTCCAGCTCCAGCTGCCCTTAAAGGAAGTCCTCCTAACAAAGGCCTGCGGAGCCTGCCCTGTGAGAAAACCCCATTGTCTGGCAAACAGTGTCCTCTCTAAAGGGACTTGTGAAGAAGTACCAAGCTCAGAGAGAGCATGTTGCTTCCTATTCTCAGCCCTGGAGAAGGCAGCAAGCCAAGAGGAAGGGTCAAGGCAATGTGCTGGGGGCTGGATTCCAGAGGCCAAAACAGATTCAGGCAGGCCCAGCCTTAGCAGTCCATGGTATTTTCCAGAACGGAGGCAGGAAAGAAGCTATCCCTGCCAGGTGCAGTGGCACATGCATGTAATTCCAGCTACTCAGGAGGCTGATGATGTGAGAGTATTGCTTTTGATCCCAGGAGTTTGAGACCAGCCTGGGCAACATAGTGAGACCCCATTTCAAAAAAAACAAACAAAAAAAGCCCTCGCCCTCCCCCTCCCCCTCCCCCCCCCACGGTCTCCCTCTCCCTCTCCCCACGGTCTCCCTCTCCCTCTCTTTCCACGGTCTCCCTCTGATGCCGAGCCGAAGCTGGACTGTACTGCCGCCATCTCGGCTCACTGCAACCTCCCTGCCTGATTCTCCCGCCTCAGCCTGCCGAGTGCCTGCGATTGCAGGCGCGCGCCGCCACGCCTGACTGGTTCTCGTATTTTTTTGGTGGAGACGGGGTTTCGCTGTGTTGGCCGGGCTGGTCTCCAGCTCCTAACCGCGAGTGATCCGCCAGCCTCGGCCTCCCGAGGTGCCGGGATGGCAGACGGAGTCTTGTTCACTCAGTGCTCAATGGTGCCCAGGCTGGAGTGCAGTGGCGTGATCTCGCTAGCTACAACCTCCACCTCCCAGCCGCCCGCCTTGGCCTCCCAAAGTGCCGAGATTGTAGCCTCAGCCCGACTGCCACCCCGTCTGGGAAGTGAGGAGCGTCTCTGCCTGGCTGCCCATCGTCTGGGATGTGAGGAGCCCCTCTGCCCGGCTGCCCAGTCTGGGAAGTGAGGAGCGTCTCTGCCCGGCCGCCATCCCATCTAGGAAGTGAGGAGCGTCTCTGCCCGGCCGCCCATCGTCTGAGATGTGGGGAGTGCCTCTGCCCCGCCGCGACCCCGTCTGGGAGGTGAGGAGCGTCTCTGCCCAGCCGCCCCGTCTGAGAAGTGAGGAGCCCCTCCGCCCGGCAGCCACCCCGTCTGGGAAGTGAGGAGCGTCTCCGCCCGGCAGCCACCCCGTCTGGGAGGGAGGTGGGAGTCAGCCCCCGCCCGGCCAGCCGCCCCGTCCGGGAGGGAGGTGGGGGGTCAGCCCCCGCCCGGCCAGCCGCCCCGTCCGGGAGGGAGATGGGGGGCGCCTCTGCCTGGCCACCCCTTCTGGGAAGTGAGGAGCCCCTCTGCCCGGCCACCACCCTGTCTGGGAGGTGTACCCAACAGCTCATTGAGAATGGGCCATGATGACGATGGTGGTTTTGTGGAATAGAAAAGGGGGAAAGGTGGGGAAAAGATAGAGAAATCAGATTGTTGCTGTGTCTGTGTAGAAAGAAGTAGACATGGGAGACTTCATTTTGTTCTGTACTGGGAGGGGTTCTTCTGCCTTGGGATGCTGTTGATCTGTGACCTTGCCCCCAGCCCTGTGCTCTCTGGGGCATGTGCGGTGTCCACTCAGGGTTAAATGGATTAAGGGCGGTGCAAGATGTGCTTTGTTAAACAGATGCTTGAAGGCAGCATGCTCCTTAAGAGTCATCACCACTCCCTAATCTCAAGTACCCAGGGACACAAACACTGCGGAAGGCCGCAGGGTCCTCTACCTAGGAAAACCAGAGACCTTTGTTCACTTGTTTATCTGCTGATCTTCCCTCCACTATTGTCCTATGACCCTGCCAAATCCCCCTCTGCGAGAAACACCCAAGAATGATCAATAAAAAAAAAAAAAAAAAAAAGTATGGATAACACAATCCTAAAACGAAGGGCAGTCCTCCCAATTAACCAATTAACGTAGATAAAAGACTCATTACACTGACCTTCATTGAAAAAATGGCTATCATGAAATGACACTATTTGAGGACAAGCATTTGGGAAGAACTGGTACCAGTGTAAACAGATTTCCAAGGACAAACACCCAGGGAATGCTCATCTTTAAGTGCTCATCAGAGAAGAGTCTACCAAAGAGACTTAAAAGCAGTAAATGGAGAATTAGAAAGTAAATCTAGGGAAGTATGACATCCTAAAGCCAGAAAAATGTTTCAAGAAGCATGCAGTCAACAATTCAGATGTCACTGAAAGCCAACAGACATATTAACAGAGAGTCTGCTGATATCCTAAGTAAGAACAGTTTTATACTAAAATAATATGATGTGAAGACTTCACTTCTGGGCTGACTCAGGCAATATAACAAATTTTGTTGAGACTTCTAAATTCAGATCAATAAGTATTTGCTGAGCACTTAGTGTGCCCTGAACTATTTAACAAAGCCCCTGAGCGGTTCAAAGATTAGTGACATATTTCCTGTCCTCAAGAAACTTGTAGTCTCAGGAGAGAGATAAGAAAGTAACTCCATGAGCTTGTCCTTAAGGTACTTCATATAAATGAAATCACACAATGTTTGCCCTTTTGAAATTGATTCATAATAGATATGCATATTTTGGGGTAAAAACAAAACAAAACAAAACAAAAAAAAACAGAAAAGAAGCCATCCTTAGTAAGTAGGACAAAAGCTTGGCTACACCCAGGACGTCAGAGAGATCTCCTTCACCCCTGACACAGGGCTTTCATCAACTCTGATAAAATCTTCTTAAAGATTCATCCATCTTCCTGCCTGTACCTCAGCCTGCCTGTCCATCTCCTTGTCTTCTTCTTCTTTTTTTTTGTTTTTTATTTTTTAAGACCCAGTCTCGCTCTGTCTCCCAGGCTGGAATGCAGTGGTGTGATCTCGGCTCACTGCAACCTCTGCCTCCTGGTGATTCTCCTGTCTCAGCCTCCGGAGTAGCTGGGATTACAGGTGCGCACCACCAGGCCCAGCTAATTTTTGTATTTTTAGTAGAGATGGGGTTTTGCCATGTTGACCAGGCTGGTCTCGAACTCCTGACTTCAAGAGATCCACCCACCTTGGCCTCCCAAAGTGCTGGATTACAGGCATGAGCCACTGAGCCCAGCCATCATCTCCCTGTCTTCTGTGGATACAGCTGATATAAGCCTTGGAGATGCTTCCCCTGGGATGCTGTACCATTTTAGCATCCCGCTTCCTGTTAGATGCAAATTCAGGGACCTAAGGAGGCTTTAGGGCCTGGGCAGTGGCAGGCTGGTGTTGGCCACATTGGGGATTCTTTTAGCAATATTCTTTTTTTGTTTGTTTGTTTGTTTTTGAGATGGAGTCTCGCTCTGTAGCCTGGGCTGGAGTGCAGTGGCATGATCTCAGCTCACTGCAACCTCTGCCTCCAGGTTCAAGCAATTCTCCTGCCTCCTTCTCCCGAGTAGCTAGGATTACAGGTGCATGCCACCACGTCCAGGTAATTTTTTTTTTTTTTGTATTTTTAGTAGAGACAGTGTTTCACCATGTTGGCCAGGCTGGTCTCAAACTCCTGACCTCAAGTGATCTGCCTGCCTCGGCCTCCCAAAATGCTGGGACTACAGGTATGACCCACCACACCAAGCCAACAATATTTTTAAAGGCTTACTCTGTGTCCTGTCTATTTGCTTCCACTGAAATGCACGGACCAGTAGCCCAACCCAGAGACCTTCGACGTCTCTGTGTCCAGAACACAACCTGGAAGTACGTATCTCCTGACAACTGACCTTGAGCTCTATGCATTCCTCCAGGCCTTGTTTTAATGGATGACCTCTATCTTGGCAGGTTAAAGCCATGGACAGGGGCAGAGAGGTACCAGTAATTGGCCTCTTGTTTACTGTCTACATCCCAGCAAGAACATGAGAAGAGGAGCTGGGTCTGCTTGTCAAACAAAGAATACTTAACAGGCTGTGTTTAGGAGGGGCCTGAAGATTCTTCAGTTTTATCTCCTGCTCTCTCCTACCTCCTGGCCTCCCCTTACACTAAACATGGCTTGAAGTAGAGAATTAAGCTTTTTGGCTGGACTCCTGGACTCTCCATCAACTTGAATGGCAGGACTCAAGTCCAAAGGGCCTCTCTTAGCAAAGCTGTAGTTCTTCCCTCTCTTCTTTCAAGCAGCCCTGTTTCAAAAGAAGTATATTTCTTTCTTGTAGGAATTTACTAAAAACCACAAGAAGTGGCCAGCCAAACATTTCAAAATGCTAAAATTTTCCCACAAGTCTCCTAAAGAAGTAGCCTTATGTAGGCACATGGTTTAAATTCCAAGATTCAGCAGGCTGTGGAGTAACCAATTCTTTAATTACCAACTATTTGAGAGTTGCCACCTTCCCAGCCAAGAGCCTCAGGTCCAGGTCTCCTGCACCTACCTTGTCAGCTCTACAAGTCCCACTGTGCAAGGCCTGTTACTTGCAACATCCCACTTCTGGTACCAGTTTCATCACCAGTTAGAAAGCTCCAAGTAACAGAAAATACAACTTCTCAAACTGGTTTTGAAAATAATGGAATGTATGGGCTCACTAAAATGAAAAGTCTATAACCAGAGGCAGGGCACGATGGCTCATGCCTGTAATCCTAGCACTTTGGGAGGCCAAGGCAGGAGGATGGCTTGAGCCCAGGACTTGGAGACCAGCCTGGGCAATGTGGCAAAATCCCATCTCTACAAAAAAACAAACACTACAACAACAATAACAAAACCCCACAAAAAGTAGTTGAGCATTATGGCACGTACCTGTAGTCCCAGCTACTTTGGAGGCTGAGGTGGGAGGATGGCTTGAGCTGGTGGTGGAGGGGGTATGGGGGTGTCGAGGCTGCAGCGGGTAGTGATCACACCACTGCATTCCAGCCTGGATGACAGAGTGAGATCCTGTCTCAAAAAAAAAAAAAAAAAAAAAAGTCTACATCCAGAGCGTCTTCCCAGTGGTTCAGTGATATAATCAGGACCTTGCTTTTCTGTCTTTCCATTCTCAGCTCCTCTTCCTCCCTCTTGGGCCCATTCTCACCCAAGCAGAGGTTCCCAGGTGATATATGGAAGTCACTGTTAATATATTAAAAAAAAAAAAGAAGAAGAAAAAAAGAAAGAAAAGAAAGAAAGAAAATCTATTTCCCCAAACAAACACAAGTCTTGGAATTGCATCTCCTGGACCCAGCCTCCACGATGAGCTCCCTAAGCCTGTCACAACAGTGATTGATTTAAGCCAATCCAGGCCCACCCTTGGAGATGGAGTGGAGTTCAACCCACCCAATCTGCCCTGAAAAGAGAAGAGGGGAGTGGGTGCTGGAGAGGCAACTCACAAGTGTCCCACACACAATAGCTTTAGGATTTAGGCAAGCACTTGAAGTAAATAATAATAAAAATATTGTATATGTGTAAAGTCCAATATGTTTTAAAATATATAAATCATCTAGGTTCATGCTAGGAAGTGTAAATGCAAAAAGTCAAGTAAACTAAAATGCCTGGTAATCTTATCACACAGAGATATCCCATTTAACACCTTGGTTTTTATCTTTCCAAATCTAATTTTTAAAAAAACTTTAAAAGGATAGGCGCGTAGGATGATACATATTGAGAGTCCCTGCTTTTCTCCCATCATACGCCAACATTTTCCTAATCCTGTCCAAGTTTTTAAGCCCTTTGGATGCATTATCTCATTTACTCCTCTGGGTAGGGGTTATTATGATCCCCATTCAACAGAGAATGAAAACGGAGGCTTGGAGGCTAAACCAAGATCAGGCACCCAGCATGTGGCTCCCAGCCTAGGCCCCCTAACCACGGGGCCTCACAGTCTCTGTCAGGGGAGAGAGAGGGCATGCCCACAAGCCCTTCTGGAAGGTGAGAGTGACTGTGTGGCACACCTCCAGGACAGTCCAGTCTCCTTGACAGCCTCCTTCTACGTGGTCCCAGGTGTTTCTGGGCACTCAGAGTAAGGAAGACTAGTGGGTTTAATGTTTATCACCTCAAAGTGCAGTGTCAGGAATCCCAGGGATTCTGGACTCTTCACATACCTCCAGGGGGCGGGAGTGGTTAGGGCAGCGGGGGACAGAGGGCAAACATCCCTCCTCAGATTTCAACTCCTCCAGTTTTCTGTGTGCTTGCAGGGCTAGAGTGAGCGCGTGATGGGGTGGGCTCCGAAGGCCTGAGCCCTCATCTCCTAGCAGTTGCAAATGAAAAGGTCTATAGTGATGGACTGTGGCCCAGGCTCTGAAGTCAGACTACCTGGGCTCAAATCTGGCTCCAGTAGCTGCTTGACCTTGAGCAAGTGAGGCTCTCCGTGCCTCAGTTCTTCATCTGTGAAATGGGAATGTTAACAACTTCCACAGAGGGTTGTTGGGAAGTTTATGTAAAATAATACCTGTAAGTCCCTTGGAAGAGATATACCTGCTCTTATGAGCATTATTTTATTGGATATCTATATTAATGAAAAATTTAGTTGCAGGTAATGGAAAACCTCTCCACTGGCATAACCAAAGAGAATAGTTTATTAAAAGGGGGGTTCGTCCATGACAGCCAAGGGCAGGAAGGCAGCCAATACTCCAGAAGAGACTGGAAGCAGAGATTTGATCAGTTACCAGTCCAACCCATTTCCTATCTCTGAGTTTCTTCTCTCTGTGCCTGCTTTGTTCGTCTGTGCTTGTAGACCCATTTTCTCCTCCTCCTTGTTGTTGCAGCAGGACCTTGCCTCCCCAGGGCTCCCCAAGCAAGTGCATTGCAATCCCAGTGCCCAGGAGAGACAATTGGATTGGCCCAGCTGGGTCCTCTCCTGGTCCAATCAACCACAGATGGGGGCTGAATCATGCGATGCCAACATGGCAGCTCCCAAAGACATTGGATTGGCCCAGCTTGGTCCACTCCTGGTCCAATCAACCATGGATAGGGGCGGGATCATGCAGTGCCAACATGGCAGCTCCCAAAGAAGAGGGGACTGGCCTGTGAATGGGATGAGACACCCCCAATCCCCCGCCCCCAGATGATGAAATTCAGTTATCCTACTTCCCTCTGCCACAAACTACTTTTGCTCCTTGGTTCTACAACTAAGAGGACACACGCTGCTCCGGTTTGAATGTCCCCTCCAAGATTAAGGTTGACAATCCTGCATGTGGCAGTATTGAGGGGTGGTGCCTTTAAGAAGTGCTCATAAGGGGCTCGCTCTGCTCTCGTGAACAGATTAATCCATTTATGGATTAATGAGTTATCATACAAGTGGAACTGATGTCTTTATAAGAAGAAGAAGATGAATTCAGATGTAGTTGTCAGCTCCTGTAGTCTCAGCTACTTGGGAGGCTGAGGCAGAAGGATCTCTAGAGCCCAGGAGTTTGAGGCTACAGTGAGCTATGATCACACCACTGCACTCCAACTTGGGTGACAGAGCGAGACTCTGTCTCTTAAAGAAGAGAAGAGGAAAGAGAGACTTGAACTAGCATGCTCAGCCCCCTCGCCGTGTGATACCCTGCACTGCCTCAGGATTCCACCAGCAAGAAGGCCCTTACCAGATGCAACCCCGTGACCTTGCACTTCTCAGCCTCCATAACTGTAAGGTATAAATTATTTTTCCTTATAAATTACTCAGCTTCAGATATTCTATTATAAGCAACAAAAAACAAACTTAGACACACCTAGAGGCCCTGCTTGCAGGTTCCCTGATGCTGGGGAAGCTACCACAACACCTGTTGCACTAAGCAGCCATCCCAGGACACCACACATACACACATACACACACACACACACACACACTCCTCTAGCCACAGCTGACTAGATGGGGTTCAGCCAATCCCTGGTCTTGTCTCCTGATTCAAAAGGAGGAGCTGAGCCAATCAGATTCACAATCAGAATCTGAACTAAGAAAGTCAGGGAAGGGCAGTTGTTGGCCATGAGGGATGAAAGATCAGATTCTCCTGGGTCTTGAGGGTCAAGGTTAGCTGGTGGAATCTGAGGAGCTGAGAGAGAAGAGAGCAGTTACTGAGAGAGAAACTGAGGTAAGAGACACCTGCAGCCCAAGACACCAGGCAAATAGCTTCAGTCTCTGACTTTCCAGTTCCCGCTTCCAGTACGGGAGAAGCCTGACCGAATGGAGCTTTCCTAAGCCAATGGAGATCCCCGGAATTTCCAGTCATAGTCTCACAATTTCCCCCATCCAAATATTAGTTTTGTGTTACTAAAAAATGTTCTACCCCAAAAATTCACTTCCTTATTTCTCTGTAACATGAGCCACAATCATCCAACTTTTTTATTTCTCCATGGAGAGAAGACACAACCCACCCACCCCCGTACCTCTCCTGCTTCAAGCCCTGTGGGCATGTGAGTGGGCATGTGCCCATGTGTGCGCCTGGAGCGTGCACAGAATCATCTCCATTTAAGGATGGTTCACACTCAAATATTCTCCGTGTCCCAGTATCACCTGACCTCCCCCTAGGAGAGAGGGGACAGAAAGCAACTTGCTCAACATGGTCTGTAGAGACAACCATTATGGCCACCAGCTCCAGAGTGTGGGCACTGCATCCCTGAGGGCAGAAAGGGACATTCCCCAGAATTGGGCAGGCAGAAGGGAGCTCTCTCCAGGCCTCAGAGCTGGGCTGGTCACGGCACGTCAAAATATTTCCTCCAAAGGAGTACCAATCTCAGTGCTTCTGTACTTGCTTAGATAGAGGCTGCTTATAGACCAAGCAGCCATTTGCATGAACAGAGGTGGGTCAGAATCCACCACAGGTACCCGCTCCCCAGCTCTTTCCACCCCACGGTCTCTGCACCATGCCTAAGTAGCTCAACCAGACCTGGTTCCAACCTCTTCTCTGCTCCAGCAAACTTACAACAAAGTTCTATTCTGATTCAATGAAGATTTTTTCATCCGTAATTCAATGACACATGCACACACACCCCGGCCCTCCTTTGTGTGAGCCACTAGTAACACTGAACTCTTACTTCCTTATTTGTAAAATGACAAGGTTGGAGGAGGCATGGTCTGGGGCCCAGCCCTGCTCTGCCAGTCTGGGAATGTGTCTTTCATTGCTACTGTGTGTCATGACAATGGATGAGAGACTTTTTTTTTTTTTTTTTTTTTTTTTTTGAGATGGAGTCTTGCTTTGTCGCCCAGGCTGGAGTGCAGAGGTGCAATCTTGGCTCACTGCAACCTCCACCTCCTGGGTTCAAGCAATTCTCCTGCCTCAGCCTCCTGAGTAGCTGGGACTACAGGCACGTGCCACCATGCCAGGCTAATTTTTGTATTTTTAGTAGAGACGGGGTTTCACCATATTGGCCAGGCCGGTCTCGAACTCCTGACCTCAGGTGATCCGTCTGTCTTGGCCTCCCAAAGTGCTGGGATTACAGATGTGAGCCAGCATGCCCAGCCGATGAGAGACTACTTTGTTCCCTATTATTGGGCCGTTTTCTGCACCTGTGAGGTCAGTCACTGTTTCCTGATTTTCCAGTATCCCCAGTGCAGGGGCTCTGTGGGGAGAAAACTCTGATGATTATTGCCTGCGTGGGAATCTACCTGGTGCCAAAGAGGCGGGACAGGCTACTGACTGACTGGCTAACAGACCAGCAGGGGACTGACAGCAGAGTGAGCCTGCAGTTGATACGTTCACACTCTGAGCCTGGGTACAGCGGCAGCCCCTGAGCTGGGCCAGGTCATAGCCCCACCCTTCCTTAGGAACCAGTGTTTACTATTAAAAAGTGAGGGCAGGAAAGTGGGAGAACCCCCAAATCTATACAAAACCCAAGAACAAAAGTCCATTCAACCATCTTATGCAAAATTTTGCATTCAGTAAGTTAGCAATCCCGAAGTATAAACTACTTTCAATGTTGGCATACATGTTAGGTGTTTGTGGGTGAGTGTCGTTGACATTTCTAATTACATAGAAGAGGTGGGTGACGGGGTCTCACCATGCTCTGGGAGTCTAAGGTCTAAAGCGGACCTTGGTGCTGGGAGTTGAGTCTTCAACAATGGAACTGGTGGCCCCAAGTCCTCACCTCTCTCTTTCTCTTTCTCTCTCTCTCTCTCTCTCTGGGTAGAAGACCTTTTCTGTTTTACCACTGCCCCTTGAATTATCTTAAAACTTAGTTTCGGCCAGGCGCAGTGGCTCACGCCTGTAATCTTAGCACTTTGGGAGACCGAGGCAGGTGGATCACGAGGTCAGAAATTCGAGACCAGCCTGACCAATATGGTGAAACCCCGTATCTACTAAAAATACAAAAATTAGCTGGGCGTGGTGGCACGCGCCTGTAATCCCAGCTACTCGGGAGGCTGAGGCAGGAGAATCACCTGAACCCAGGAGGTGGAGGTTGCAGTGAGTTGAGATCAAACCATTGCACTCCAGCCTGGGCGACAGAGCGAGACTCTGTCTCAAAAAAAACAAAACAAAACTTTAGTTTCGAAACAATGTTCAGCTCACCCAGTGTTAACTGAATCCAAGTGCTTTTGTTTATGTTAATTTTTTTCCCAGGGAGTGGAGTTGGTGGAGGGAGGGAAGCATCCTCACGGAAAACAATACCAAACTTGTTCATGGCTCTCCTATCCCAAGGAGGTCCTTTACCAGTTGATCCTGGGCCAAAACAAAAGTCCTCGAATCTTTAGCATATTTTGGAAATACGTGGGACAGGGATTCCACAGGATACTTGTGAGTCGCTGGTGCTGGGTGGGGGCAGTGAGTTCCCCTTCTAGAGAGTTCTCTCACATTCTAGATAGCTGCTTACCTCTTTCTTAGTTGTTGGCACGTCCAAAGGTCACCACTTGTACTATTACTTAGTGGGTATACTTCTTCAATTGGATGCACCTTTTCTCCCCTTCCCCTTCCCTTCCCCTTCCATTCCCTTCTCTTCTCTTTTTGAGACGGAGTCTTGTTCTGTTGCCCAGGCTGGAGTGCAGTGGCACAATCACAGCTCACTGCAGCCTTGACCTCCCAGGCTCAAGCCAATCTCCTGCCTCAGCCTCCTAAGTAGCTGAGACTACAGGTGTGCACCACCACACCTAGCTAATTTTTTTTTTTTCTTGCAGAGATAGGGTGTCACTATATTGCCCAGGCTAGTCTCGAACTCCTGGGCTCAAGCAATCCTCCTGCCTCAGCCTCCCAAAATGCTGGGATTACAGAAGTGAGCTGCAGCATCCAGCCACCTTTTCTTTTTTTAACTGCAATAGATTTATTTTATAATTAAATCGCCATTATAAATGGAAAACCAATCTCATTTGCCTGCCACAGACTTTTAGCCAGTGGTAGGGAAGTGTTGAAGATGTAGTGGCTCTGATAGATGGAAACAAAACTGAAAAAGGAAAACCTTCCTAATCTGTGGTTGGGGTTATTTAAGACCACGTCGGATTACCACCCTGGAGAGTTTTCTACTCTGGGCAAGGAGTAGAGCTTCTATGAGGCTGTGAGCTCCCTGGGGACAAGAGATGGATCTAACCTCTGTTCCCTGCAAAGCACTAGCAGAATGTCTTCCACACATTAAGTGCTCAGTAAACCTTTCCTGCAGCCAGGTGTCCTATACACAATGGCAGCCTGCTGTGGACACAGCAACCCAGGGACCAACAGGCTCTCTTGGGCCACGACCGGTGAGGTTTAGGGAGCCTGTGGATAAAAGTGTTGCAGGCAGAACCTCACTGATGTGAACTGCTACTGGGTCCTAGGGTCCTAACAGCAGGGATAGGAGATGGCGAAGGGCCTCACTGGCATCACTCTCATCTAACCTAGAGGGCTCTGGAGAGGAAGGCAAGGCAGACCTCTTCTCTGGAAGAAAACCACTGCTGTTGAAACTCGCAGTTCTAAACAATAATCTGTTGCCACTTCTCCCAGGGGCCCTACTCAGCCTTTGCTCTCCCCTATTTTCAGCATTCAATGCTAATTACCCTCTGGGGCAGGTTGCCAAGTATTTGAGTGAAATGTAATCACTTCCCCCTGCTTGGGAATTTTGTCTCCTCCCCACTCTCAAGGGGTGCAGCAGGGAGGTGCTTAGGAAATTGAAATTGAACTCTGCCAGTTACACCAGCATCAATTTTACTTTTCCAAATTTCTGAACCCTGGGGAGCTTCAGAACCAACCTTGACCTCTTTGACCCAATACTTAGTTCTTTTCCTGCCTGCAGCAGAAAGGGTTCAAGCTGAGGAGTTGGACAGACAGGAGTTGGAACCTCACCCCTGTCACTTGCTGCCTGTGTCCACTCGACCAAAAGTATTCCCCTCTGAACCTCAGTTTCCTTATCTATAAAAATGGGAATGTGACTCATGCCTGTAATCCCGGCACGCTGGGAGGCCAAGATAGGAGGATTGCTTGAGGTCAGGAGTTCAAGACCAGCCCAGGCAACATAGTGAGACTCCCATCTCTACAAAAAGTCAAAAAACTTAGCTGGGCATGGTGGTGCGCACTTGCAGTCCCAGTTACTCAGGAGGCTGATGTGGGAGGGGGATCACTGGAGCCCGGGAGGTCGAGACTGCAGTGAGCTATTGGCGCAGGATTTTTTTTGCTCCCTTTGTCAGGCTCACAGCAGGAGATGCCCCGTCAACTTGGCCCGCTGGGCTGTGCTTGAAGGCAAGCTTCCAGTGTGGATCCTGTGGCCCCTGTGACTGTGCACTCAGTCCCAGGAGGGAGGGGGTGTGTGAGTAAGTGATTGTGGGGTCTGGCTGGCTGTTCTGAGCGCTGAGCCCCAACACAGGAGCAGGCTCCGTGCAAGGCTGGTGGCTGGACCAGGCGTGTTGCCCAGAAGGGAACACAGTGGTGCCCAGGCAGGGGTGTTTTCAATGCCAAAGCCCCAGAGGGGGTGTTACAGTATGCTAATTAGCTCTCAGTTCCACCATCTGCAGCCTGATGGACAGCAGTGTGTTAGCAGCTCACTCAGCTCCTTGCCCTGCTCTGGCCCAGGGCTCCAGGACTGGCTCAGCCTCACCACTGCTTCTGTCAGATGGAGCGGCTGCCCTCCACCAGCAGAGGGCAGAGGGCCACAGTGCTACAGCCTTCTGGGTACTCACATTCGGTAGGTCCCTAGCTCTTGTCCCTCGTCCAAGAAAAATGAAGTCATGCCGACGATTGAAGGGTGATGAGGGCTGAGAATGTTATTGAGCTACAAAACAGCTCTTGGAGGAAAGGGGATGGGTAGGTGGTGTCTCACCCAAAGTCAGGTCATCTCCCTCAGTGTGGCTGAGTCTGGGATTTTTACAGGCATAGCATTAGGGAGGGGCAGGCTGTAAGTAGTATTGAAAAAGGCAACATTTGATTGGTTAAAGAGCATTATTCAGAAAGAGCCAGTCAGTAAAGGGTAGGCAAACAGGAACAGAAGTTCTCACTCCTCTGGAACCAGCAGTCCAGCTGTTTTTGGCTTGAAGCTGTGGTTTCACCGGGGACCCGCCCCTATCTACCTAGGCATTTGTCTGCCTCCTGCTGCTATCAATATGATCGCACCACTGCACTCCAGCCTGGGTGACAGAACAAGACCCTGTCTCTAAAAAAATAAAAATAAAAAGTAAATGGAAATTAATTTACTCTTAAATCAATCTAGTAATTAAATCTTCAGAATAGGTGTAAAGACCAGCATTGTCCCTGTCATGCAGTAGGTTTTCTTTTTCTTTTTTTTTTTGAGACAGAGTCTTACTCTGTCACCCAGGCTAGAGTGCAGTGTCCTGATCTTAGCTCAGTGCAACCTCCACCTCTGAGATTCAAGTGATTCTTGTGCCTCAGCCTCCCAAGTAGCTGGGATTACAGGCGTGTGTCACCAAGCCCAGCTAATTTTTTTTGTATTTTTAGTTGATACGGGGTTTCACCATTTTGACCAGGCTGGTCTCGAGCTCCTGAACTCAAGTGATCTGCCCACCTTAGCCTCCCAAAGTATTGGGATTACAGGCATGAGCCACTGTGCCCAGCCATAGGTTTTCAAAAACATTCACCCTCTCTTTTTTTGTCCTAGCACCTGGGCTTTCCAGGTAGGGGAAGGGGTTACTATTCTTTTTTTTTTTTTTTTTTTTTTGAGACGGAGTCTTGCTCTATTGCCCAGACTGGAGTGCAGTGGCACGATCTCGGGTCACTGCAAGCTCCACCTCCTGGGTTCACGCCATTCTCCTGCCTCAGCCTCCCGAGTAGCTGGGATTGCAGGCACCCACCACCATGCCCGGCTAATTTTTTGTATTTTTAGCAGAGACGGGGTTTCACCATGTTAGCCAGGATGGTCTCGATCTCCTGAACTCGTGATCTGCCTGCCTCGGCCTCCCAGAGTGCTGGGATTACAGGTGTGAGCCACCGCACCCGGCCAGGGGTTACTATTCTTGATTGACCCCGAAATCTGAGGTAGCCAAGAGGTGGGTGAGAAGGAGTGGGCAGAGCAGTCGCCCCAACGGCCCCTAGGCTTCAGGTGCTGGGCCAGCCTCAGCAGAGTGTCGTGGGCCATTGAGCGCCTACTGTGTGCCACGTACCACGTGCTGTTAGTGGGGCAGCTGCTGCCCAGGATATTTTTGTGCTCCCAGGAAACGGTTTCTTGGCTCCATTCTTGCTAGCTCCGTCTTCCATATGAGGTGCGAAGTTTTCTTCCAGAATGCCCAGACGTGGATGATCCCAGACCTTCAGCAACAGAGCATTTCTTACCACCACCCCCGTTCCCCGGCTGGAAGTCCCGGAGCAGCAGGTGTTCACAACAGCATCATTGCCACCACCCCCGCCCCCCTCGAACTCTCTGGCCATGTTCAGTCTTTTTACCTCACAGAACCTTGGCTTTTTCAACTCAAGAGGAGGATAATGGTACCCAACTCCTCTCCAGCCCTCAGTCCTTCTCCAGCTGTAACTCCTCACACCTGAGACTTGGTCCTCCTCCTTGTCCCTTCCTCCCTGTGTCCAGACCATCTCCAAGTCCTGTGAGTTTTACCAATGATCCCTAAATATTTCCAAAATCTGACCATCTCCTCGTCTCCATCACTACCATCCTGGTCCAGGCAACTAGTTCCTCCCCAGGATGGCTGCAAGGCGTCCCCGTGGTCTCAGGAAGTGACACTGCTTTCTCTTCCCAGGGCAGGTCTGATCACGTCACACCCCTAACCACACCCCTGCTGAAAAGCCACCCACAGCGCCTCCTTGCTGTTGTGTGACCTGATTTCCAACTAGTGTTGGCTGGGCCCTGCAAAGCTTGGTCCTTACCAGCTTCAGCCACATCTTGCTTCTTGCTGTAGCTACCTGAGCCTTTTAGTTCTTTGAATGCACCATACTCTCTCCTGCCACAGGACATTTGCACACCCTGTCTCATCTTCCTGGAGAGCCCTGCTCTATCCTTTAAAAGCCTTGCCTCATTCTATCCTGTTTCCTTTGTTCTCTGATAAAGGTTCACCTCCTCCTGGATGCCATGCCCTTCCTGATCAGCAGCCCTGAGAGAGTCAGAACCCCCATTATACCCTCTAAGGGCACTGGGTACTTCCGTTTTGTTTGTTTGTGTGTTTGTTCATTTTGTATACTTTATTTTTTTGAGACAGTGTCTTGCTCTGTTGCCCAGGCTGGAGTGCAGTGATGTGCTCACAGCAGCTTCAACCTCTTGGGCTCAGGAAATCCTCCCACCTCAGCTTCCTGAGTAGCTGGGACCACAGGCACGTGCCACCATGCCTGGATAATTTTTTTTTTTTTGAGGCGCAGTCTCGCTCTGTTGCCCAGGCTGGAGTGCAATGGCGCTATCTCGGCTCACTGCAAGCTCTGCCTCCCGGGTTCACACCATTCTCCTGCTTCAGCCTGCCGAGTAGCTGGGGCTACAGGCGTCCGCCACTACACCCAGCTAATTTTTTTTTGTATTTTTAGTAGAGATGGGGTTTCACCGTGTTAGCCAGGATGGTCTCGATCTCCTGACCTCGTGATCCACCCGTCTCAGCCTCCCAAAGTGCTGGGATTATAGGCATGAGCCACTGCACCCGGCCTGGATAATTTTTTAATTTTTGTAGAGACAGGGTCTCCCTATGTTGCCCAGGCTGATCTCAAACTCCTGGGTTTAAGTGGTCCTCCTACCTCGGCCTCCCAAAGTGCTGGGATTACAGGCACGAGCCACAGGGCCTGCCTAACAAATTCTTATGGAGTATCTACTGTATGTCAGATGCTTAGCTCACAAGAAACAATATGAGTAAAAATAGCCACAGGCCAGGTGTGGGTGGCTCATGCCTATAATCCCAGCACTTTGGGAGGCTCAGGTGGGAGGATCACTTTAACTCAGGAGTTTGAGACCAGCCTGGGCAACACAGGGGGACCCTGTCTCTACAAAAAAAAATTAGTCGGGCACGTGGCACATGCCTGTGGTCCCAGCAACTCAGAAGGCTGAGGGAAGATCACTTGAGCCTGGGAGGTCGAGGCTGCAGTGAGCCATGATTGTGCCACTGCACTCCAGCCTGAGCGACTGAGACCCTGCCTCAAAAAAAAAAAAAAGAATTTGTTGCATAAATGATTGAATGAAGATTATTTTGAGTATCAAATAAAGAGAAAGAGGGAAATGGGGAGGGAATCAATGTTTGGTGAGTTCTCACGTGCTTGACATATGTTGTGCTAATTTTTACAAATGACCCATTTTACATGTGGAAAAAAACTGAAATTCAGAGATGTTAGGTAACCTGTCCATAGTACACAGCTAATAAGGTAAAATTAGGATAAGAGCAGAGTCTGGGCTGGGTGCAGTGGCTCACACCTATAATCCCAACATTTTCGGAGGCCGAGGCGGGCGGATCACTTGAAGTCAGGAGTTTGAGACCAGCCTGGCCAACATGGTGAAACCCCAGCTCTACTAAAAATACAAAAAAAAGTACCCGGATGCGGTAGCACATGCCTGTAATCCCAGCTACTCGGGAGGCTGAGGCTGGAGAATCGCTTGGACCTGGGAGACGGAGGTTGCAGTGAACTGAGATCGCGCCATTGCACTCCAGCATGGCGACAGAGCGAGACTCCATCTCGGGGGGAAAAAAAGGCAGGGTCTGTTTAGCTCCAGTACTCACCATATCCCCCTTTCTCCAGTCTACCTCCATTTAAAAAGGTGAAGGGGATATGTTTTGCAAATTCTAAAGTTGTAGATGAATCAATCATCCCCAGAACTACTTACCACAATAATAAAAGATGTTGAGGGGAAAGGGGAGGGACTGGAAGGAGAAACTTTTGGGGCAATGGAAATGTCCTGTATCAACATATAGAGATGATGGTAGAAGAGTATATATTTAGTGCAAGTCATTGAAATGTACACCTAAGATCTATGAATTTCACTGTATGCAAAGTTTCTCCTTTGAAAATTTTCCCTTTCAAAAACAGCTATACAAGGCATTATTGGTACAAATGGGGAAAGCTGAATATATCTACATTGGATAATATTATTGTATTAGTGCTAAATTCTTGGATGTCAAATTCTTGGATGTTCCAGAGAGTGTTTCGCATGTGATTAAGATCGGGATGGGCAGACTAAGTGAAGCAGATTGCCCCCTTAACGGGGGTGGGACTCATACAATCAATCAAAGGCCAGGAGAGAATTAAGAGGCCTAATAGGAAACAAATGCTTTCCTGGGTATCCATCCAGCTTTCCTTCCATCTTGGGAATTTCAGCCTCCATAATCTCAGAAGCAAATTCACATATGTATACACACACATATACATTTCATAGGTATGTGGCTAAGAGTGTATTTTTAAAAGTTCAGCCATGAGATGATTGGTGAAGCCAGCCAATGAATAAGGGTGTGTTCTGTTATATGACTCGGTCTTCTTTTGTACACGATTGAAGTTCTGCATTTGAAGTAGGAGGACAGGAGAGAGCAAGACCACCTAGGATGATAACAGCTGAATTTCTCAACAGACACTTCAAAGCCCTAGGGGTTAACTTAGAGAGTCAAAAATCCCACCCATAACCCTGTCCCTAAACGCCAGGGCTAGGGAACACTGTGGCCCTCAGGTGATTTTCTTTCACTTGGTCTGGGAGCCACACAAGGGCAGAGGGAGCAGGAAACACTAAGCAAATCGAGGCCAGGACAGCAGGGAGGGCCTGTTCATGACAGAACACAGGTAAAACTATCCTCAGAAAGAGCATGTGGAGAAACACAGATCATGCCTGAGACCTGGTGGATTAGAGCACTGGCTACTGGGGAATTGAAAGGAAGGGGCTTCACCATGCAGAGGACCAGAGGTGCCAGTCCTGGAAACGCAGAATTGCTGGGAGATGGGGAGGCATGGACAAAGGAAGCATCCGCTGGAGACTCATGGTGAAGAGAACAAATGAAGTAACTGGCAGAAATTATAGGTCCTGGTAGAACAAAATAGAATCCCACAACGAGAACATACACCATGTATGTCCCGCAAGGAAGACAATAGCTCCTAAAAACACAAGAAAAATCATTTTGGGCAAACACCTTATATCCAGTAATGCGATCCATGTATCAAGACCGTGAGGAAGATTATTAAACATGCTAAACTCAGCGAGACCTGATTCCCTCATGAGGACTCTGTTAGGATGAGTACCACTCAGCAAGTGATGACTGTGACATTCACTTTTGAACAGCTCATGAGCATTAATATATTTAATTGTGGATCTAAACCAAAAACCAAGGTGTGGGCAAGATGACAACCACAGAATGTCACTGGTGTATGTTTAGGTTCAAATACGATTATGAGAAGTGGCAGGTAAAGGAGGTAGGAAAAAGAAAACACATCATGTAATTGACTGTCATATGGAAATATGTGATGTTGAAAGTCATAATTTAAAACGTATAAACCAAATATTAGAAGTGTGTCTAGTTCAAAGGGGGGAAAACTATGAAACATTTTTAGTCAATATCAAACATGAGCTACACAACCCTTCCTAAATGCCAGAGGCACACGCAGACACACACACACACACTCTCACAAAGAATATAAATATCTAGAACCAAGAAATGGAGTACATGCATTCTGCTACATATGGTAAACATAGCCTACAAGGTGGAAGAGATTAGAAAATAAACAGGGAAATGAAAATGTTTTTATTAATTCGCATCAGTACCCACCAAAACCAATCAGCATAACAAAAGATTATAACGCTGAATGTAAAAAACAATCCAACAGTCCAGAGTGATAGGCAAAAGTTTTTAATTGTATAGATTAAAATAACTTTGGACAAAAATTAAAACTCAGGCAGAGAATGTTTTTTTTTCAACAACACACACTAGCAAAAACAAAGGCACAGTAAACATTGAGGCAGCAAATTTCCAGCGTAGAGATATGAATATAATAATAGACACAGGCAGGGATGATTAATAAATGATAAAACGTTTAGAGGATGATCACTGGAATACAGGACATTTCTACTTTGAAAAACCACTCTCCCAAATACTTCATCATAAGTAAGGTGTCTCTAAAAGGGACAGATCTCCTAGACCCCTCCTTAACCAAGTAACCAGTCCTGATATCATGATAATGCTGATGGACAAACTAGACCTTCTCTGCCCACAGATGGGCTGAGGTTGGAAACTCACAGTATCGACTCTGTAGTGTTCTTGATGAAACGTTTAGGCTGAATTTAATCATGAAGACATTTTCAGACAACTTCAGAATGTAGACCATTGAGCCAGACAGCTGACCTGTCCTCTACAAACAAGTCCATGTCACCAAAATCAATGACAACAACAAAAAGATGAGGAAATATTTGGGGTTCAAAATAACTAAAGAAATGTAGCTACATTATCATTTACTTCTTCTGAACCCAAAATATCTCTCCTCCTTTTTGTTGTGTGATTCGTGGTGACGTGGACTGTGTGAAGGAGACAGGTCAGTTGTCCTGCTCAGTGTTCTACATTCTGCAGTTGTCTGGTGATTACCTCCTATGAAACTCAGGCTAAGCATTTTCTGCAAGAACATGGCATTGTTCATATTCTGCACTGGCAGAGTCCCAGGTGACATGCTGTCTCTTGCCAGCGGCTCCTGACTCCTGTTCTTTACAGGATGGAATTGAAAGGAGCAGGACTAAGGCCTCCCAATGCTGTTTGTCCGTCTAGCTGTGGTCTTCCTAAGTATTGATATCAATTGGAGGCTGAAGGACTATGGCTTCTCTACTCAAAGGAGCCTAGTGGGTTAACAACTGTCAAGAGCAGTCAGTGGTTCTGAAATACAATCCTCAGCCAAGGATCCCTCCTGTGTTACAGATGGATCAGCTAAAACAAACCAACACTGAAGATACAAAGAATGGGGTTAGGTTCAATGAAACCAGGGTAACACCTTTGGATGAGCTAAACACAAAGATGACACTGACCTTGAGCAGGTATAGAAGCTCAGAGACATGCCTGCAAAATGAAACCCCTGAGGAACTTTGTAGCTACCCAGAGATATCTGGTTCAAATTAGAATGTCTGGCAGATCACTCCCGGCATGTGCTACATAGTCGTGTGAACGTGTCACACCTAACTTGGGTCCAACGTCTTCAGACTGAGCACAGGTGGCCACTGGCATGGTCTGAGAATAGGAATAGAGCCATGCCCACTTTCCCATCCTATGACTGGGCTTCCAAAGGGAACTACAGTTTCATTCAAACCTACATGTGCCTATACGTCCTGCCTGCAGCAATGACATCTCTCAGCTTAGTAAGGGCTGCTTAGTGTGGGAATATGACTCCCATCTGGAAGGCCAGGTGGTGCCTTATCACTGTCAAAGTAAAAAACCTATTGTCCACGTCAAGGGCCAAGCTGACGTCCTGTTCCTCAAATGAGTAAAAGGCACTTCTATACTGCTGGAATGAGGCATGTAGTTGAAAGTAAGTTGAAGTAGTCGAATAACATCTATCCAGTGAGTCCTGCAAGACTTCAGGCTCTTCTGCTTCCATCAGCACCTCGTTGAGCCTGGAAAAGGAGACAAAACTAAAGAAGCAGCCAGGGAAAATCAGACACCACAGAGCCCCAACTAGATTTCAGGGGTAACATAAGGAAGTGGTCAAAAAAGGAAAAGGATAGTTCCATTAATGAGGTAAAAAAATTATTGCCTTTATGTTGGGATAGAACAGGGCCAAGTAGAAAACAATGAAAGAGAAAGACAGAGAGTGAGAGAGAGAGACAGAGAGAGAGAGAAAGTGAGCTCAGTGAATTGGCCAGGTGACACATTGATGAGGGAGTAAAAGGACACTGTGAGTTAGTGCCCTCAGGACACACAGCAAACAGTGATCATGAGAAGAGTGAGCTCAATAGTTTTCCATCAAGTGTGCTTAAAATTCCATGCAGTCGCCATAAGGGTACAACTTCTGAGGTATGGTCAACCTATGGTACATTAGTAAATGATAAGGGGAGGAAGAAATGAAAACCTAAACGTCTACTGCAATGAAAACCAATAGCAATGTCAGCAGGAGTAATTCAGCCTTCATTGAAAACATGAAATCAAACACACTGTTTTCCCTGGATCTGTTGTCTCCAGGTGTTAACACAGAATTAAGCGACCACAATTGCTGAAAGTTACCTGGGGCATGGTGGCTTTTGATCTTCTTCCCCTTCTTGGTACTTTTCAATTTCTGCAATAAATTCAGACATGGACAGACACATTAAGCTGATTCCCCTACACACATAACATTCCACTGTCTAATCCTCACACAGGGACCTCAGGCTCCTCAGCATAAGAATAGGACACTGTGAGAGATATATTTCAGGAGGCCTGAAGGATGGTCATGATAGAGATTCCTTGGTTTTTGTCCCAGAAACTAAGGGTAAAATGTCCCTATTCTGGTAGATCATTATCCCAATATCATTTGTCCCAAGTTTGTGCAAACGGTTATGCCATATCTTTCCAATCAATTTAAAGCAAATGCCCTCAAACGATTTCTAGGAGAAAAACTGCAATATTCAGCCCTGTCTCATCAAATACTCAGATTGTTCATAGTTGTGAGGATTTTAGACACTGAAATTAGAGTGAGAAAGGAAATCTACAAACCCTTGAGTCAAAATCATAGTTCTCTGAATTTGTCCCATCTGCCCAGGTCCAATGCCTTGAGAGTAGAATCAGAGTGCCACAGGCATGGCCTGAGACTAGGAAGAGAGCCACGCTCACTGACCCATCCCATGTTTGGGCTTCCAGGTAGAACTAGAGTTTCGTTCAACCTATATGTGCCTATAGGTCCTCAGTGCAGCAATGACATCTCTCAGCTCAGTAACGGCCTCTTAGAGCAGGAATAGGATCTCTATACGGAAAACTCAGTGGATCCTTATCACCCTCATAGAAAGGTACTCACCATCCACGTCAAGAGAAAAGCCAACGTGTTCTTCCTCCAATGAGTAAAAGCAACTTCCGTAGGGCTGGCATGAATCAGGCAGTTCTGGATAACTGAAAGGAGTCGAATACCATCTATCCAGTGAGTCCTGCAAGTCCTCAGGCTCTACTACCTCCGGCAGCTCTCTGCTGAGCCTGGAAAAGTAGAAAAAGTAAAGAATAAGCCAGGGGAAATCAGACACCACAGAGCCCCAACTAGATTTCATGGGTAGCATTAGGAAGTGGTTAAAAAAGAAAAAGGATACATCCATTAATGAGGTAACAAATTATTGCCCTCAGTTGGGATGGCACAGGGCCAAACAGAAAAGAATGAAAGAGAAAGACAGAGAGACAGAGAGACAGAGGCAGAGAGAGAGAGAGTGAGCGCTCACTGAATTGTCCAGGTGACACACTGAGGAGGGAGTACAGGACACTCTGAGTTAGTGCCCTCAGGGCACACAGCATACAGTGATCATGAAAAGACTGTGCTCAATAATTTTCCATAAAATGTGCTCAAGTTTCCATGCAGTCACCATGAGGATACAGCTTTTGAAGTATGGTCGACCTACAGTAGGTTAGTAAGTGATAAGGGGAGGAAGAAACGGAAACCTAAATATCTACTGCAATGAAAACCAATAGCAATGTGAGTAGGAATAATTCAGGCTTGGTTGAAAACATGTAATCGATAATGTCGGCCTGCTCTGCTTTCCCTGAACCAGGAGTCTCCAGGTGTCAACACAGAATTAGCTGTTGACAATTGCTCAAACTTACCTGGGGCATGGTGGGCCTTGGTCTTCTTCCTCTTCTTGGTCCTTTTTCATTCCTGCAATAAATTCAGACAGGGACAGACAAGATAAGCCAATTCACCTACACCCATTAACAGTCCACTGTCTAATCCCCACACAGGGACCTCAGGCTCCTCAGCATGAGAACAGGACAATGTGAGAGATATACTTCAGGAGGCCTCAAAGCTGGTCATGATAGAGATTCTTTGGTTTGCATCTCAGAACCAAGGGTGAAATGTCCCTATTCTGGTAGACAGTTATCCCAAAATCATTTATCCCAAGTTTGTGCAAACAGTTATGCCTTATTGCTCCCATCAATTCAAAGAAAATGCCCCAGATGATTTCTAGGAGGAAAACTGCAGTATTCAGCCCTGTCTCATCAAATGCCCAGCTCATTCGTGGTTGCAAGACACTGAAATTTGAATGAAGGAGGAAATCTACAAACCCTTGAGTCCAAATCATGGTTCTGTGAATTTTTTACACCTGCCTGGGTCCAATGTGCTGAGAGTGGGCTCAGGTTGCCACAGGCATGGCTGGAGACTAGGAATAGAGCCATGCTCACTGACCCATTTCATGTCTGGGCTTCCAACTGAAACTACAATTTCATTACAACCTCTATGCGCCCACGGGTCCTGCCTGTGGCAATGACATCTCTCGGGTCAATAAGGGCCACTTGGAACAGGAATATCACCCATATCTGGAGGACCAGGTGGAGTCTTATCACCTTCATAGTAAGGTACTCACTGTCCAAGTCAAGAGCCAAGCCAAGGTGTTGTTCCTGCAATGAGTAAAAGTCACTTCTGTAGGGCTGGCATAAGTCAGGCAGTTCCAGGTACTCAAAAGGAGTTGAATAAAATCTATCCAGTGAGTCCTGCAAGACTTCAGGCTCTTTCTCATCCAGCAGCTCCCTGCTGAGCCTGGAAAAGTAGGAAAAGTAAAGAATAAGCCAGGGGGAATCAGAAACCACACAGCCCCAGCTAGATTTCATGGGTAACATAAGGAACTGTTTGAAAAGAAAAAGGACAGATCTATTAATGAGGTAACAAATTATTGCCTTCATGTTGGGACAGACCAGGGCCAGGTAGAAAAGGATGAAAGAGAAAGACATACACATACACACACACACACACACACACACACACACACAGAGAGAGAGAGAGAGAGAGAGAGAGAGATAGTGAGCTCAGTGAATTGGCCAGGTGACACACTGATGAGAGAGTCAAAGAACACTCTATATTTGTGCCTTCAGGACACACAATGAACAGTGATCATGAAAAGAGTGGGCTCAACAATTTTGCATAAAATGTGCTCAAGCTTCCCTGCAGTCACCATGAGAATACAGCTTTTGAAGTATGGTCAACCTTCACTAGGTTAGTAAATGAGAAGGATAGGAAGAAATGGAAACCTAAACATTTACTGTAATGAGAACCAAAAGCAATGTTAGTAGACATAATTCAGACTTGTCTGACAAGATGAAATCATCATTTTCAGCATGTACTGCTTTCCCCGGACTTGGCATCTCCAGGTGTCAACATCAAATTAACTGTCCATAATTTCTCAGACTCACCTGGGACTTGTGGCCTCTTGGTCCTCCTTTTTCACTTGATCACACCAATGTCCTGCAAATAAATTCAGACAGGGCCTCTTACATGAAGCAGTTCTTCCTTGCACACGGAAACATTCCTCTGTCCAATCCTAACACAGGGACATCAGTCTTCTCAGTGTGAGAATAGGAGACTTTGAGAGAAATATACCAGGAGGCCTGAGGGCAAGTCTTGAGAGAACTGACTTGGTTCCTTTCATGAGCCTTGGGCAAAATGCCCCTGTTTTGGAATGTGATCTTCCCAGTGTGCTCTGTCCTAGGTTTGTGTACACAAATGAGCAATGTTTTTCCCAATAGATTTGAGGCAAATCATTCTAATGCCTCATAGGAGAGATACTGCAATATTCAGGCTTCTCTCTTCAAATACCCAGATTTGATAGTTTATGAGATTGTGGACACTGAGATTTGATGGAGGGGTGCAATGTACCAGCTCTTGAGTCAAAGTGACACTTGGTTCTACACAGAAGCATCAGCTATCATGGCTTTTGTGGGTGAAAAGTCAGCCATTTATCTAGAAAACATACCAGCAAGATGATGGACAGATGAGCTATGACAAGCCAACTTAGAAGACACAGAAAAGGGGGAAAAATTCAGTGAAACCTGGGTCACATCTTCCACGGAGAGGTAGACAAGGGTGACACTGGCCTTGGGCAGGTAAAGCACTGCACAGACATGCTTTGGGAACAAAACTCATAAAGAACTTTGTAGCTGGCAAGAGACGTTTAACTCAGGTGAGCTGATCTGACAGACAACTCCTGGACATATGCTGCACAGCTTGGTGTGAGTTTGCCACGCCCGTCTTGTGTTCAGTGTCCTGACAGTCAGTCCAGGGTGGCACAGGCATGGCCTGAGACTAGGAAGAGAGCAAAGCTCACTGACCCACCCCACGCCTGTGCTTCAGACTCGATTCCAGAGTGATTGAAATCTACATTGATATATAGGTTCCACCCACAGTGATGGCAACTCTCAGCCCAACCAGGGTCACAAGGCCCAAAGATTATGGGGTCTACCTGGGACATGAACTGGAGCTTTATCACCTTCAAAATGGAGTACTCACTGCCTATGTCAAGAGCCAAGCCGACTTGCTGTTCCTCTACTGAGTGAAAGGTGCTCCTGTCAGACTGGTATGAGGCAGACATGTCAGGAGGAATTGAGAGAGTCCAATCACCTTCATCCCAGGACTCCTGGGGGGCTTCCTCCTCTTCAGACTCCTGCAGATTCCTGATGAGCCAGGCAGGACAGGGATGACAGAAGATATAACCAACAGAGATTAGACAACAAAACCTTCCAGATGATCTGATGGGAGACAGAATGGAGTGCTCACAGAAACCAAAGGCATTTTTCCTTCAAGAGAAATAAAACTATCCTTCTAAATGCAGGCTGGAGGGTGACTGCTCTGAGGACCGAACAAAAATGGGCAGCACGTGCTCAGTACATTTGCCACAGATCAGCCAATGCAGGGCACCCAGACTCTCTCTGTAAACTACCATCATGACTTGCAGCACAGAGAACTAACACAGGGCTTCAACTACTTCGTCTAAATTGGGATGAATTTTACATGCAGCATTCAAGTGAACAGAGCTCTTGAGGCAGTGCAGACACAGATCTTGTGTATTAAGGGTCCCCTTTTTACAATATTTTGATATAATATGTTTATTTTTTCAATTTCTTTGCTTACACAAATACTAGCAAACACACTAATAAAAAATAAGCAGAAAGCATTTATACATTCTCTCCCTGGATTTAAACACATGGGAGAGAACAGGTGACACCAAGAAATCCCTGTTTGAAGGTCTGGAGTGGACCTCCAGCAAACTCCACCAGACCTGCTGCTGAGGGACCTCACTGTTAAAAGGAAAACTAACAAACAGAAAGGAATCAACGTCAACAAAAGGACATCCACACCAAAACCCCATCTGTAGGTCACCAGCATCAAAGACCAAAGGTAGATAAAACCACGAAGATGTGGACAAACTGGAGCAGAAAAGCTGAAAATTCTAAAAACCAGAGCGCCCCTTCTCCTCCAAAGGATCAGAGCTCCTCACCAGCAATGGAACAAAGCAGGACGGAGAATAACTTTGATGAGCTGACAGAAGTAGGCTTCAGAAGTCGGTAATAAACTTTTCCGAGCTAAAGGAGGATGTGCAAACCCATCACAAGGAAGCTAAAAACCTTGAACAAAGATTGGACGAATGGCTAACTAGAATAAACAATGTAGAGGAGACCTGAAATGACCTGATGGAGCTGAAAACCATGGCACGAGAACTACGTGACACATGCACAAGCTTCAGTAGCCGATTCGATCAAGTGGAAGAAAGGGTATTAGTGATTGAAGATCAAATTAATGAAATGAAGTGAGAAGAGCAGTTTAGAGAAAAAAGAGTAAAAAGAAATGAACAAAGCCTCCAATAAATATGGGACTATGTGAAAAGACCAAATCTACATTTGATTGGTGTACCTGAAAGTGACGGGGAGAATGGAACCAAGTTGGAAAACACTCTTCAGGATATTATCCAGGAGAACTTCCCCAACCTAGCAAAGCAGGCCAACATTCAAATTCAGGAAATACAGAGAACACCACAAAGATACTCCTCGAGAAGAGCAACTCCAAGACACATAATTGTCAGATTCACCAAGGTTGAAAGAAGGAAAAAATGTTAAGGGCAGCCAGAGAGAATGGTCGAGTTACCCACTAAGGGAAGCCCACCAGACTAACAGTGGATCTCTCTGCAGAAACCCTACAAGCCAGAAGAGAGTGGAGGCCAATATTCGACATTCATAAACAAAAGAATTTTCAACCCAGAATTTCATACTCAGCGAAACTAAGCTTCAAAAGTGAAGGAGAAATAAAATCCTTTACAGACAAGCAAATGCTGAGAGGTTTTGTCACCACCAGGCCTGCCTTGCAAGAGCTCCTGAAGGAAGCACTAAACATGGAAAGGAACAACCAGTACCAGCCAGCCACTGCAAAAACGTGCCAAATTGTAAAGACCATCAATGCTAGGAAGAAAGTGCATCAACTAACAGGCAAAATAACCAGCTCACATCATCATGACAGGATCAAATTCACACATAACAATAGTAACCTGAAATGTAAATAGGCTAAATGCCCCAATTAAAAGACACAGACTGGCAAATTGGATAAGGAGTCAAGACCCATCAGTGTGCTGTACGCAGGAGACCCATCTCACGTGCAGAGACACACATAGGCTCAAAATAAAGGGATGGAGGAAGATCTACCAAGCAAATGGAGAGCAAAAAAAAGCAGGGGTTGCAATCCTAGTCTTTGATAAAACAGACTTTAAACCAAGAAAGATCAAAAGAGACAAAGAAGGCCATTACATAATTGCAAAGGGATCAATTCAACATGAAAAGCTAACTATCCTAAATGTACATATATCCAATACGGGAGCACCCAGATTCATAAAGCAAGTCCTGAGAGACCTAAAAAGAGACTTAGACTCCCACACAATAATCATGGGGGACTTTAACACCCCACTGTCAATATTTGACAGATCAATGAGACAGAAGGTTCACAAGGATATCCAGGACTTGAACTCAGCTCTGCACCAAGCAGACCTAATAGACATCTACGAACTCTCCACCCCAAACCAACAGAATATTCATTCTTCTCAGCATCACATCACACTTATTCCAAAATTGACCACATAGTTGGAGGTAAAGCACTCCTCAGCAAGCACTCCTCAGCAAATGTAAAAGAACAGAAATCACAACAAACTGTCTCTCAGACCACAGTGCTATCAAATTAGAGCTCAGGATTAAGAAACTCACTCAAAACTGCACAACTACATGGAAACTGAACAACCTGCTCCTGAATGACTACTGGGTAAATAACGAAATGAAGGCAGAAATTAAGATGTTCTTTGAAACCAATGAGAACAAAGACACAACATACCAGAATCTCTGGGACACATTTAAAGCAGTGTGGAGAGGGAAATTTCTAGCACTAAATGCCCACAAGGAAGGGAAAGATCTAAAATCAACACCTTAACATCACAATTAAAAGAACTAGAGAAGCAAGAGCAAACAAATTCAAAAGCTAGCAGAAGGCAAGAAATAACTAAGATCAGAGCAGAACTGAAGGAGATAGAGACACAAAAAACCCTTCAAAAAAATCAGTGAATCCAGGAGCTGGTTTTTTGAAAAGATCAACAAGAAATCCCTGTTTGGCTAGTTCACCTGGCTCATCTGATTGCAAGTTCCTATCTTGAGAGGACTACGAAATTAAAACCAACACAAGGGCCACAAATAATGTACAACATTGTTAATAAGGACAACTTGTAGCTGGGTGAATGGAATAAAAAGTTCTATTCATTGCTTCCTCATTTTCTCTAAATCTACAAA
This sequence comes from Homo sapiens, assembly GCF_000001405.40. Lineage (NCBI taxonomy): Eukaryota > Metazoa > Chordata > Mammalia > Primates > Hominidae > Homo > Homo sapiens. The sequence goes on along the minus strand of NC_000001.11, from coordinate 21,474,999 downwards.
CTCCAGCTGCCACTATTGAATTAACAGCCCACAATTCCATGGCATTACCTGGGAGACACTGGCCCTTTTTCTTCCTCTTGCTCATGATCACTTTCATTTTCTGGAAATAAATTCAGAGAAGCAGGTCACATTAAGCAATTCACACTCCACATATGACCAAATCAGTGTCCAGTCATAGGACAAGGACATAACTATTCTCAGTGCAAGAATATGGATTCTGACAGGAGCACTCCAGGGTGCCCTAGATTAACTCTGGTGAGAAGTAGATGACCCTGCTTTCCAGACCCACAGGCCAAAATTTCCCTCTATGGGTAGACCATAATGCCATATTCCCTGCCTGAGTCTATGCAAAGTTAAACAAAATTTTCCCCCCAAAGTCGCCAATAATTGGTCAAACAATTTTCTAGGAGTGTTGTTGCAATACTGACTTATATCACCAGGTAACATGGACATTAAATGTTTAGAGGGATCTACACATGAAACTCGACTGATAGATAAATTCTAACAACTCTTGCATTAAAAAGAATCTGTGATTTGGGAGGTCAAGGAAGGTGAATCATTTGAGGTCATGAGTTCAAGACCAGCCTGGCCAACATGGGGGAACCCCGTCTCTAATAAAAATACAAAAATTAGCCAGATGTGGTGCTGAGCACCTGTGGTACCAGCGACTCAGGAGGCTGAGGCAGGAGAATCACTTGAACCTGGGAGGTGGAAGTTGCAGCAAGCCAAAATGGAGCCATTGCACTCCAGCCTGGGTGACAGAGCCAGACTCCATCACAAAAAAAAAAAGAAAAAGAAAAAGAAAAGAAAAGAAAAAGAGAGAGAGAATCTATGATGCTACAAAACATTGCATCAGCCATTGCATTGATGGGGTGGAGAACCAGGGTCCAGCCTTGCTTTATGGAACTATATCAGCAAAGTAAAAAAGAAAAGTTTCTGTCCTGATTTCAAGGTGACTGTGCAGCTAACCAAGCAGACTCAAAGGAGATCAAGATTAAAGCTGAGAGCAGTGAAGCCTGGGGAACAATATTTCCAAACACAAAGGCAAGGCTGCCAGTCGCCTTAAAAAGGCAGAGAAATTTCATGGACATTGTTCAGGGACAGACGACTTAATCACAGGTGACAAGAGATACTGAATCAAAGGTACGAGGCCTCACAGATACTTCCTGTGTACCTCCTGCACTCAGGTGACTATGAGATTGTCACACTTGTCTGGGGTCCAGTAACTTGACACTGGGGACTGTGAGACAAAGGCATGACATGAGCTGAGAAGGACAGAAAACCTCCTTGATATCTCTGTTAAGAATACCATAATAGATTTTATTAAAACCAATCTGTGTGTATAGAGCCTGTCTTCAGAGTTTATATTCCTCAGCATAGGAAAAGGTGTGAGACACAGGAAAATAGAGGCTACCTGGGATAATGCATACAGCATCCAACCATTCATCATGAGAGGATGAGTCAATGAGAGTTGAGTCGACTTGGTCTTCCTCAAATGTGATTCTGGTGTTCCCGTAAGGCTGGTTGGACTCACAAGGGTGGTGGCTATTTGAACAAGTGATGGCACACTCCTCCAGTGAGTCCTCAGGGACTTCCTTTTCTTCAGCCTTCTGCACCTCCCTGATGAGCCAGGTGGGATAGAGATGACAGAAGACTAAACACAGAGGGATTGGACACCAGGGAGTGCTAGCTGGTTTCGACAGGAGGCATTAAGAGAGTGGTCCAAGAAAGCAAACAGGAGGATCCCTTTAAGAGGGAACAGGCAATCCTCTTCTCTCTGCAACAGAGCATGGCAGCCATGGGAGCCAGAGAGGAAGACAGCAACTGGTGTTCATTGCACTGGACAGATAGGAGCCGAGGAGGATGAAAACTCAGCTATCCCTGTACGGTACAGACATGACACCCACCACACACAGAGAAACACAACAGCTGCCACACCCTGTGTCCAAGCTGGCTTGAGTTTCTCATACTGTGGCCAAGGGAATGCAGGCTTTCGGCCCATCATAGATGCCAGAGAGGGTGTGCCTCCTAGACCTTTTTCATATGTTACCACCCATTACTTGCTCCCGATTATTCAGCGTTACCTGGGGGCATATAATTCCTGTACTTTCTCAGCCTCCTCAACTTTAACATCTTCATCCTCATCGTCATCATTTTCTGTAAATACAGAAGTGTTCATTCAGATATTTCCCAATTCACACTCTGCAAGCACAGTCAGCCGAATGTGCACACAGACATGAACATCTAGGCATGGTCACTGTTCAGCTGAAAGCTCTCATGTTTTATCGTTAACAAAATGCCCTGGCATGGTTTCCCGATCCATCAGGCAATGCATTTCTGATCTGGAGGGCCACCATCAAGATGTGGCCAAATACTGAAAAGACCTTTTGCTCCCCATATCATGGAGGCTCCTACAGCCTCTCTCTGAACTTTGGCAGCTGTCTCCCCCATCTGGCTACAGGTCTGATTCCCAGGCACGGGCTTGGTGTCCTGTCACAGTTCACATTTCAAACCTAATTCTTTCTCTTAGGAGAGGACAAACTTGCCCTACAGTCCTCTATGCATCAGGAGACTGCACAGGCCCTCCATGTGGCTTCTGCCCTGTTATTCAGGGACATTCTCTCCATGAAGAGTGCTCCAGTATCAAGCACTTCCTACCACCAAATGCCCCCACATCAAGTGCCTTCTCTAACACCACATGGCGAGGGGCTTTATCTCATTTTGAAAAGCAGTCCTAAGTGTTCCCACATTTGGATGCTTCAGACTCTTGCAAGAGACAATTTGCCTGCCTTTGCAGATGGAGACAGAGAAACTCAGGAAGGATAAATCACTCACTCACCGACAGTTACTAAGAACATTGCCAAAGAGACAGCCTGGGAACCTGCCTTCTGAGTCCAGAGCTCTTTTCACTCTAAAAAGCGCCCTCCCGTCACAGCCTCCTTCCTGTCCTTTAAAACTAGAAACGTGCAGCTTCTTGCTCCAAAGACCACCTTCCATCAAGGGAGGAGGGACATTTGAAATACTGTGACCTCCAACCCAATCGGTTTCCCACCTCTGTTCTTACCCAGGAAGTCCTGGTTATGTCACTTATGTCACGGCCACATACGTTTAGTGGGAAAAAACACCACCGATACAAATGTCATTGTGAAAGTATGGAGGTCTGAAGTCTCTCATAAGCCTGGGGTTTTGGGTCATCAGGGCCTATGGCCACCTCACCTGGGCTGAGCTTTTGGACGAGGTGCTGTGCCAGCCTACATCCCTCAGCCAGCTGTTCTCGGAGGTCCCGTCCCTGGGAGTTGTCCGGCTCATCCGGAGTGAGGAGGGCCTGGAGATGCTGATTCAATGAGCGGGAGGCATCTCTCCCTTCCTGTAACTTCTCCCTTAACTGGGTCAGCTCTCGTTCCTGAGAGTGAACCAGGACTTTATATTGCCTAAGGTGAGATAGTAGAGAAAATTTAACAGTGGAAAGGGATGAGTGATCAGTTCTAATATTTTGCAACACAGATTTCTGAGACAATGTCCTCAAGGAGACCTCCAAGCAGAAGGTCAGCACATGTTTAAAGAAATGTCTGTGCCCAAGAGAAAGAATAAAAAATGGTTCACAGGCTTCCTCTGTATGAGAGAGGGCTCCTGGAAGACCCTCCATGATGTTCCATTCATCTTTCTCTTCTGTCAACAAAAGTAGGTGTCTTCCTCATTCAGTTTCAAAAAGACATCCATCCTTTCAGTTCCTCACTCTGGCCATGGACATTTCCACGTGCATATACACATAGTGCATCTTGCAGCGACTAGATACAAAGCCATGGACAGAAATGAGGCCAGGTGCAGATGGGGCCAATTGAAAAGATGAAAGAAAGGAATGACAGGCTCGAGAAGGTAACATTGAGTGAAAGCATGAGAAGCCGCAGTCAGTCAGGAGCTGATTCTGACTAAGGGTGAGTGGGGTGGTGATGGCACATCACTTTGAGTATGCCGAATGCTGCTCGGTGGTTCCCACTCCTTCGGTTAATTTTGTGTTATGCGCATTTCACCTCAACAATTACTTGTTTGAAAAACAGAAAATAAGGCTCTGAAAAACAACTGCAACCCATAACTTATTATTATCCTTGTTCTCTGCTTGATAAATCTTTGTGTGTCGTGAGCCTGCCATGGCAATTCCTGCCCTTCCCCTGGCCCAGTTCAGCTCTTAGTTCTCCCTGCCGAGCTGCTGTACTTCAGATATTTACACACCTGCCCACCTGCCTGACCCCAGGGGGCCCACTCACCTGAGCTCCTCAGCTTGCCCGAGCTCCTCTGCAAGCTTCTCTTCTGTGAGCAGCCGCTCATCCCTCAGCATAGATTTTATGAGGTCTTTGCAGTCTTCATAGTCTGAGAAAAGACACACACGCCTGCCTCAGTGAAAGGCTGGACATGCTGCTCTGGTCACTGCCTACAGGGCAGGAGCCAGGTCCATCCCAAGGACAAAACTGTCCCCACTGCCAGGCTCTACGTAGGGATTTCCACATCTTTACTCTTCAGTCTCCCGACTTACTGGCAGCTGATCCTCCAAAATTTAGAGACGAAGAGAAACTCAAGGCACATCAAGGAAGTTGACAAGATGATTCAACCACAATGAAGTGGAGTCAGAATTCACAGCCCCTGAGGTCTGACTCTGAATGCGGGGCCACTTTCCCAAGCCTTGCAGCCTCTCCTCTAAAGCACTGCACTGGGGCATGAAGTAGTGATTTCTTGTACAGTTGGGAAGGCCCCTAGGACTATGGGACTGATGGTTTCCCTTTCACTGGGAAGTTCAAGGACAAATATGTCAAAGATCTTAAACATCTTTGATTTTTACATCATAGCTTTAGATGTGATTTTAAGAATCACATCTGAAGCATAAAGGATGAGACGTAAGACCATAAGGCCATGAAGGAAATCTGCCCGAATACTAAGGTTTGTGTTAATTTAGAAACAGTAGAATGAAGAACTAACAGAGTGTTAACTCTGTGCCAATAAAAGTTCTAGGAGATTGACAAGAAACAGCTCATGTAACTCATTGCAGCAATTTACAGAGGTAGGTATTTCTGTAGTACCCTATGTACAGATGAGGAAACTGAGGGACAGACAAGACAAGCAACTTGGATGGAGCCCAGGAGACAGGCCCAGAGTCCCTGGTCTGCACACTGCACTGCTACTTCCACACAATCTCGGGTGCGATCCTTCTTCCTCTTTAGGAACAAGAGCCTGTGCCCCAGGAAGCAGGACTTCCCTCTCACCGGGTACTCTCTGCTTTTCTTTTGACGAGTCTTGCCCTATCGCCCAGGCTGGAGTGCAATGGCGTGTTCTTGGCTCACTGCAACCTCTGCCTCCTGGATGCAAGGGATTCTCCTGCCTCAGCCTCCTGAGTAGCTGGGATTACAGGCGCCCGCCACCACGCCCAGCTAATGTTTGTATTTTTAGAAGAGATGGGGTTTCTCCACGTTGCCCAGGCTGGTCTCAAACTCCTGACCTCGTGCTCTACCCGCCTCAGCCTCCCAAAGTGCTTGGATTACAGGAGTGAGCCACCGTGCACGGCCCCTACTCCCTGCTCTTGATGCTGTCACTTACAGATACCACAGGTTCTATTAGGAGCAGACTCCCCTTGAAGCCCCTCAGAGCGGGTACTGTGTACTATCACCAAGTTTTCCTCAGGGTCCCCAGAACAGAGCTTTGCCTATTGGGCCTCAACAGAAGCTTGAACACAATAAGGGTTCACTAGTCCCACACATTTAGAACAACAGACTAGATGTTATTTGTCTGCCGGATCTTATATGGTACAGAGAGGATTCTTGAAAACACGATTTAGCCTCTTGGAGAAAACAGGTCGTTCTGTGCCTGTGTCCCAAATGAATAACTGCGATTTTAACTCTAGGCCCACCCCCACCTGACTGCAAACATGGAAAGTTGCTAAATACTTTGGTACCTCTGACTTCCCAATTTAACAAAATGTGAAAATGCCCATTTCTATTTTCCTAGAAGTATGGGAGGGTTGAACTTATTTTTGATGGAGAGAGCATTTAGTTTCTCAGCGAGAAGACAGGACATCATTCATCGCTTTTGTGATGGTGAGCCTATAGAACTTACCGTAATTATTTTGCCGGTTGGCCAGGAAGTAGGCCACTTGAGTTACAAGACATTTCTGTTTGAGGTTTCTGAACTGCTGTTTGTTCTCTGCCAGCTGGGGGCGCGATTTCTTGTTGATTTCTAGAATGTTCATCTCTGCCTTCTCACCGGACCAAGGGCCGGCAGATACCACCATGCTGACGTTTGTGGCAGAAGAGGTGGGGCCAGGGACTGGGGAGAAGACACCCAAACACACGATGGGTTAAAAACTGGTGAAATCAAATAGGTTTAATCAGGACTGAGGGATGTCAGTAACTGAAATTCTTAACTTACTGTTGAGAAAAATGTGATCAGTCCCCGCAGCACTTTAGGATCCTTAACGACAAAAACAATGTTCGAGGTGCCTGAGCTCAGAGCTGAAGGCACTGCCAATAGCTCAGTCTCCGACAAGAGTGAGGCCAGTGTGCCAGGTAACGGTCTGCAGTTGCAATAACAGAATTAGAAGGTGGGGGTGTCATGGAATCTTAGGAGCCCTGCATTCCAATTGCCCAGGCTTTGCTGAAACACAGGCACCCTCGTCTCACCTGAGGGTCACCACCAATGGGGATCATTCCTCTAAAATTCACTCTCAGTGTTCGTGTACCCTTGTGACAATGCCACAGACCCATCTCTTTCCCAATACATCTAAGCACATTCCTCATTGTTTATCGCTTGTTTGTACAACACCATCCAGGCAGAACCAGTTTCCCAACAGGTTATATTTTCTTAACGGTAGTCATGAAGTCACCCCACCTGCTCTCAGTTAAAACAGATCTTAAGGCTTTTCCACAAGTGTAAGATATCAAACTTTTAGCCTGCCCTGATTTCCTCTGGGTCTTCTGCAGTTTTGTCTGTATCCACTAGAAAGTGAATGAATAACTCATTTGTAAAAAATGTTGTCTTTCCTGTCTCAGTATTCTTCTTGCTGATTCCCATTGTTACGTTGATTTCTTTTTTCTCACTGGGGCACCATCTTTGCTTTTCATTACACTCTAGACCAGTTTGACATCCCTATGTCCAGAGCTCTTCCTCTATGTGGGTTGATTTGGTTTTTGATGTCACTGAGCGCTACATTTTATACTCGTCACTTATGGATGTCATTCTAGTATCACAAGAGCTCTTTTCAAGGTATCAAGTGACCAAAATCATTTATATAGAGATCTCCTGAACACATGTGTGACCATCTATCTTGGGAAGTTTCATAAACCTGATGCTATTTTGTTGTTTCCATTTTGTTTTCCCATATACTGAAAAGAACAGGGCCATGAGCGGCGGTTCTTATGGAATGTGGTTTGATATCTATTTCGTTGGGTTGGACTAACACCATTGATTTTTGGTTTCATTCCACTAACAGAACATGGCAAGATCAAGGTTATGGTCACGGTTGGTTGGTGATCCTCAGTGTTGCAGTAGAGGGTGAGTTTGAGATGAGAGGAATGAGTAGGAAAGAGTGATCCCCTGAACCACCTCCTCACTTTCTCAGCTTTCATCCCCACCTAGGTTTTGTGAGCCTGGAACTTGGGAGACTGTTCTGTAGCCCAGGTCTCCTAAGATTGGCTGCTGGACTTGCCTGAGTTGAGGGTGCAGTGAGTGTGATCCTGGGCTGCCCAGCATTCATGTGGTAGTGAAGGAAGGAGGACTGGATCAATCCCATTTCAAAGCATGTCTCTCTGCACTCCACGCTGTCCTCCAATGACACTGTAAGGAAACCGCTTTAAGACGTATCAACGGCTTTAAGTAAATGTATTTTCTGGCATCTGGGAGACCTGACATTCTGTGTCATAATGAAAATCTGTCATGTTTCTTTATTTTAAAAATGATAAAACTGCAGGTTCACAGAGTTACGTGGCTTACTTGAGGTCACACAGGGGTGAGTTTTCAGCACTGCCAATAAAAGCAATCACAGTAATTATTCAGTAATTATTCATAGGATCCATATAATTCAGTAAATATTCACATAATTATTTACCAGTTGTTCACTGACCAATTCGTACAAGGCATTTTGCTCAAAACTGTGCTTACATTTGGACATTGTATCTTCATCATAATCCTGTGGTAATGCTATTATCCGTAAGTAACAGGTAAGAAACTTGAAGAGGAGGGATAGCAAATCATGTATTTGGACATATTTCCTTTTTTTTTTTGGTTTTTGTGATGCTGGAAGAATGACCAGAATGAGTCATAGGAAGAGTATACATTCCTGTAGTATTGTCCAGGACAGAGGTGTGACCTCCTAGAGTACTGGGACCAAAATTCCCAAGTGTCTGCAACCTTGCTTTAACAGTATGGGAGATCACCTCTATCACCTGGAATTCCCCTGGAACTCTGGAATATACAAGAGAAGTATGAGACTTGGGTCTTCCCTTGGCTGTGTTTAATTCACTCTTCTATGGAATACCAATGATTCTCACTAAGACTTTGGCCTTTTCATAAGCACAATGTGCATTTTATGGAGAAGATTTTACACTTTGCTCTATTTAGAAAGAATAAATATGAGCAGTGGTTTAGGTTTTATGCCCTGGACTTAATATATTTCTGATTCCTGTTTTGAGATTAAATTCTCATGTAAATAGAAAAATACTTATTATTTCTCATAAGGCCAAGTGTGTTATTAGTTTGGATTTTTGAAGATGAAGCACAAACTTTTGATTTTATCTTTGTCTGTCTCTTGTCAGCGCCACTCGTTGTCTCTCAGTATGACCTGGACTTGCCCCTGCACTTACCCTCGTCCTGCTGAACCATCTCCATGCACTGTCCGATTCCATCAGTGATTCGGGCTCCTCCCAAGGCTCCCTGAAAAGGGCATGGAGGTCAGGACGTTAGGCACATTCCGGACACAAAGGCAACCCATACTGTAGAGTGGGCAGCTGTGTTTCCACTTCCCTAATATTCCAGTGGTGTCCTAAAACTGAAAGGAACACTTTCCCTTTTTAGGGGTCTGTTCTTCATGTCTCAGTGCCTCTGATCTAGTGAACACAACTGTCCTGAATGTGAAAGAACTTGCTAAATTTCTAGTTTCTTGTTAGGTGGCTAAAATACATTTATAAGACTTCCTTACTCACCCATGACTGCTGAAGTTTGAATTCTTAGCAGTACGATTCTTTTTCTTGTAAGGTCAGCAGCTTAGGAAAGATTGGCCATCTTCCTGTGCAAAAAGAGGCAAACTTCATTTCTACTCAAAGCATGCTTGAATTTGGAATTAGGGCTTCCACTCTTCCGAAGTTGGAGTGTCACTGCGACAGGCATGTGTCCCGAAGGGCTCGTGTCTCTGCTATACTCAAAGTTTAAATGGAGCCCAGCAAGCCAGATGTCCTTTACTTCTAGGTTCCCTCAAAAGTTTCTCCTCTGCTTCAGAGACTGCATTGAAAATATTCTTGTTCTGCTGTTGTGTTTTGGCTTTGGAATGATGTGATGCAGCTCAATGGGTCCCACCCCCAAGTTGATCAAAGTAAGAAACAGCTGGGAAAGTCAGTGCAAATACAAGTTCATTGTCCTCCTTGCAGGGATTCTGATTCAGAGGGCTCAGGTGGGGCCTGGAATGTGTTTGTTAATATGACTCAGATGTGCAGTCAATTTGGGGACTCACTGACAGCATTGACCTTACAGTTTATGGGATGATTCTTTCTGTTTTGCTGATGAAGAAATGGAGGCACACAGAGTCTGTAACTTGCCCAAGTTCCCCTTGTTGTAAGTCCTGGAGCCAGATCTCAGGTGGACCAGTGCTTCTCTCCCCTATACCTCATTTCTGAAAAAAGGAAATCTTCTGGAATTTAACTTCTTTCATCTAACACATTTCCTCACAACATGCAGCCAGCATCATATTTTGGCCACTTACTATTAAAGTGAGATGCTTTTTTTTTTTTTTTTTTTTTTTTGAGACAGGGTCTTATTCTGTCACCCAGGCTGGAGTGCACTGGTGATTATAGATCACGGCAACCTTGAACTTCTGGGCTCAAGCGATCCTCCTGCCTCAGCTTTCCAAGTAGTTGGAACTCTAGGCACACATCACCATTTCTGGCTAATTTTTTATTTTTCATAGAGACAAGGTCTTGCTATGTTGCTCAGGCTGGTTTTGAACTTCTGGCCTCAAGCGATCCTTCCACCTAGTTCTCCAAAAGTGCTGGGATTACAGAAGTTAGCCACTGAACCTGGCCCTGAAATGCTTTTACTTTCTTTTTTTTTTTTAATGAAAATACTGGACATGGAGATGTGGAAAGACACCTTGCTTTATTACTTTTGTTGTTATTATTATTTCTACAGTAGAATTTATACATCACAAAATTCACCATTTTTAAGCATACATTTCAGTGTCTTTTACCATATTCCAAAACTTTCACAACCATCGCCACTACCTAATTCCAGAATATTTTCATAATGCCAAAAAGCATGCCTGTACCTATGGGCAGACACTCTCCAATTCCCCCCCTCTTGTGCTCTCTGACAACCACTAATCTACCTTCTCTATATATTGATGTACTTGTTCTGGGCACTTCCTCTATATGGAATAACAAAGTGTGGTATTTTCTATCTGCTTCTTAGAATATTGTTCTCAAGTTTCATCCTTTCTAGCCTGCATCAGTACTTCAACTTTTTATGGCCAGATAATATTCCACTATATGGTTATACCACATTTTGTTTATTCATCAACTGATGGTGGTTAAAGATGTTTCCACTTTTTAACTATTATGAATAATGCTGCTGTGAACAGCTTTGTACAGGTTTTTGAGTGAACACCTGTTTTTCATTTTCTTGGTTATAAACCTAGGAGTGCAATTGCTGCATCATATGTCACTTTATGTTTAACTTTTTTTATGTTTAACTTTTTGAGGAACTCACACACTGTTTACTAACTTCAGTAGCTACATCATTTTAGATTCCCAATAGTAATATATGAGAATTCGATATTCTCCATCACTTTTGAAACATGTGTTGTCTTTATTTTTTTCTTAAGTCATACTGCTGGGTGTGAAGTGGTATCTCATTTTGGTTTAAATTTACATTTTCCTAATGACGAAAAACATTGAACATCTTTGCATGTGCTTCTTGGCCATTTGAGTGTTTCCTTTAGAGAAACCTCTACTCACAGCTTTTTTCCCCATTGTTAAATGTGGTTGTCGTTTATTGCTCAGTTATATGAATTCCTTATATACTCTAGGTACTAGACCTGTGTCAAACATATAATTTGGAAATAGTTCTCCCATTATGTGGATTATCTTTTCACTTCCTTGACAGTGTCCTTTGAAGCATATAAGTTTTTTATTTTAATGAAGTCCATTTATCTATTTTTCGGTTGTTTGTGCCTACTTAAAAAATGTCTAATCCAAAGTCACAAAGATTTGTACCTATGTTTCCTTCAAGACATCGTCTTTTGAATGAGAACTTTCCTGGGTTTTAGAGGACGGTGGACATTGTTTATTTATGCCTCCTGTCCATTACCGATGTTTCTCCTGATTCTTATTCATATGCTCACCACCCCTCCATGGAGCATCCATGGCCTGTGACAGAGCTCTGGGGACTGATATCCTTCCACTGACTTTGGCGCTGGTGAGAGCCCTGGTCATGTGATTCAGCTTGGCCTTAACCCGACCCAGTTGCACATATTCCTCAGGCCCTTTAGAGTTGAAGTCGAGACCTCTCTGAGAACGCTTGCCAGCCCATGCTGTTCTAAGGCTGGAGCAAACTTCCTCCATCTATTCCAGACAGAGGGGACTGCAGGGGTTGGACTCACTCAAGATACCTCTGGTGTTAGAAAGAAGACCTGTTTCAGGGTTTGGGGAAGATTGCTCAATATGAACTAGGTCCTCTCTAATTATTTTTACTGTATGTGTGACTTCTTTCTAGAAACAAGGGAAGAATATTTATGTTAGAATATTTTGTCTATTCTTTGTCAATTGTTGTTTATCTACAATTTTAACATGGATAAAGGAGAGTTCAGTGTCAATATATTCTTAGCAACTAATTATGGCTCATGTCCACTGCCATGCGATCATATTTAAATCTATCAACTATCCTGTTACTTAGGTAGTATCCTGTTCCTGATGAGAAAACAAACTCAGAAAGATTGCAAAATTTCCCTAGGTCACAAAACTAGTGAGGAGAGGAATAAGAATTAGAAACCAGTTCCTTTTGGCCTTCAAAGCTAACCTTGTACCATTAGATCAAACTGATTCACATATTTTTGCTGGAATTAGTCTCAGAGTTGTGGTTCTCACTTGATTTTCCCAAGGAAACAGTGTGTCACTTGAATATCATTTCAAACTTTGAAATTTAAAACTCTTTTTATTATACTTTTTTGTCTTTGTTCTATTCCATTGCTTTTGGTTTCTTCTCAATGGATCCCTCTTATTTCTAGGCTAAATATTTGTTATCTACTTTCCATCAATTTTCAATTTTTGAGTGTTTGTTATCTCTCTGTTGTATGCTAACAGTTCTTCACTGAGGTAAAATTTGCATAGAGTATACTGCAAAAAACCTAAAGGCACAGCTTAATAAATTTTAATATAATTATAATTGTAAAGTAACACCCAGTTAAAGACAGAGAACATTTTCCCCCATGCCACAGAGTTCTGATGTGGTCCTTGCCAGTCAATACTCATTCCCCAAATGAAGAATATATTCTGAATGTTGTCACCGCCTTAGCCCCTTTGTGTTGCTGGAAAGGAATACCGGCGGCTGCGTAATTTATCAAGACAAGAGGTGCCTTTTGCTCATAGTTCTGCAGGCTGTACAAGAAGCATGGCCCCCGCATCTGCTCCTAATGAGGGCCTGAGGCTGCTTCCACTTGCAGCAGAAGGTGAAAAGGAACCAGGGTGTGCAGAGATCATATGGCGAGAGAGGAAGCAAAAGAGAGCAAGGAAAGGTGAGAGGCACTTTTTAATAACCAGCTCCTACAGGAACTAAGAGAGTGAGAATTCACTCACTACCTTCTCCCAGGGTGGGGATTCATCTATTCATGAGGGATCCACTCCCATGACCCAAACACCTCCCATTTACCCCCACCTCCGACACTGGGGACCACATTTAAACATGTGATTTGGAGGGGACCAATATTTAAACTTAGCAGCCACCATAGATTCATTTTGCTTGATCATGTGCTTCATAAACATGGAATCATTTTGGCTGGGCCTGGTGGCTCATGCCTGTAATCCCAAGACTTTGCAAGGCTGAGGCGGGCAGATCACCTGAGGTCAGGCGTTCAAGACCAGCCTGGCCAACATGGTAAAACCCTGCCTCTACTGAAAATACAAAAAATTAGCCAGGCATGGTGGCAGGTGCCTGTAATCCCAGCTACTTGGAAGGCTGAGGCAGGGAAAATTTTTTGAACCTGGGAGGCAGAGCCGAGATCGTGCCACTGCACTCCAGACTGGGGGACAGAGTGAGACTCCATCTCAAAAAAATTAAAAAAAGGAATCATTTAGTACTTCCTCTTGTTTTGACTTCTCCTACTCAGGTGCTTATATATGCCACTAATTTGTTTGACTGTGTTTTTCCCTTGTTTCGTTTTGTTTGGCCAAGTAATATCCTATTGTTTGTATGATTATCACACAATTTGATATCCATTTTTCTGACGGGAGACAGGTTTACTTGTTGGCTACTGTGCGTAAGTAACTATGAATATTCTCATATAATTATTTCTGTGAATGGACATACTGATTTTCCTGGGTCTCTATAGCTACGGATGGAGTTGCTTGGTGAATGGGAAGAAAATGGACACAGAGCTTTGCAAAGTCATTGTATTATTTTACATTTCTATGAAAGATGTAGGCCATTTCCAGTTGCTCTACATTCCCACACACTTAATATTTTCAGTCTTTTAAATTATAGCCATTCTACTAGGTGGGTAGTGATATCCTGTTTTGGTTTTCTCATGCCTAATGTTCAGTAAGATATCTTCTTATGGAAAATATCTTCTCAAAATTTTATGTTCATTGAAACACTGGTGTGTTTGTCATTTTCTTGTAACCTATAGGAGTTCTTTATATATTTTGAATGCATCCATTTATATATACACATTTTTTGCTATATTATATAGCAAATAATTATTTGCTATTCCTGGTCTACAGATAGCTTTTAAGTTGTTAAACAACAACATAATAAGCAGAAGGTTTTTAAAAATGAAGGGCAATTTGCTTGATTTCTTATTGTGGTGAGTGTTACAGTATCTAGTCTAAGAAACATTTTCCTGTGTCAAGTCCACGAAATTAGTTCCTATTTTTCCTTTACAAGGTTTCTAATTTTAACTTTCACATCTTAAGTTAATTTCAGTGTATGATGAAGAGTGGTTAATATTAACTTTTTAAAACCACAAATATTATTTCACTCAAAATCCTTTTACTTAAAAGTCTTCCATTTCCTCAATGAAGAGCATTGGTGTCTTTGTTTTTAAAACATTTAGAAGTAGCAGCGTGAGCACGTTCTCACTCATGGATGGGAACTGAACAATGAGAACACTTGGACACAGGGCGGGGAACATCACACACCACGGCCTGTCCCTGGGGTTGGGGGCTGGAGGAGGGATAGCATTAGGAGAAATACCGAATGTAAATGACGAGTTAATGGGTGCAGCAAACCAACATGGCACATGTACACCTATGTAACAAACCTGCACGTTGTGCACAAGTATCCTAGAACTTAAAGTATAATAAATATATATATATGGCGGTGCGAGGGCCACTGCACAGCCAGCAGAGCCGTGGTGAGGACGGCAGTGCCTGCACGCAGCTCTCCGCCTCCCCTGCCCGCCAGCCCAGGCGGCCCCAGCAGCAGCGACCAGAGGAGCCCCCGCAGCCGCGCAACGGCCAGGTGGACGCCTCTATCTACAGCCTCGTGGCGGATGGGACCTGTTAGGTTCGCGGCCATCGTGGGCAACAAGGACTCACCCTCCATCTGGGCCGCCGTCCCAGGGAAAAACCTTCGTGAACATCACGCCAGCTAAGGTTGGTGTCCTGGTTGGCAAAGACTGGTCAAGCTTTTTCGTGAATAGGCTGACACTGCGGGGCCAGAAATGTACTGTGGTCCTGGACTCACTGCTGCAGGATGGGGAACTGACCGTGCATCTTCAAACGAAGAGCATCGGTGGAGCCCCCACCTTCAATGTCACTGTCACCATGATTGCCAAGACACTGGGCCTGCTGATGAGCAAAGAAGCTGTCCATGGCAGTTTCATCAACAAGAAATGTTATGAAATGGCCTCCCATCTTCAGCGTTCCCAGTACTGACCTCCTTTGTTCCTTCCCCTCAACCGTTCCCCACAGCTTTGCCCCCCTTTCCTTCTCATACACACATATACCATTTTAATTTTGGGGGACATTACCCCACACCCCTATTGCTGCCAAAACCACATGGGCTGGGGGCCAGGGATAGATGGACAGACACCTTCCTCTACCCATAGCCCTCCTGTGTGTTCTTGGAAAACGTTTTGGAGGGATTTTTTATGAATAAAAAAGATTCTACTAAAATAAATAACTACATATGTGGTCATATTGTTTGAATCTGTATTCTTTTACTTTGATATATTTATGAATACTTACACCAGTACTACCATTTTAAATTACTGTAGCTTTTAAATCAGGTTTGAAGTCTAGCAGAGTAAGTCCTCCAACTTACTGCTTCTTCAAGACCGACTTGCCTATTCTAGGTTCTTGGATTTTCAAATATATTTTGAAATTAGCTTTTACATTTCTCTAAAATCTCCTACTAGAAATATTAATCAGAATTCTGTTGAGGTAATATGCTAACAAAATTGAATCTTCCAATCAATGAACATGATATATATTTCTCTATTTAGTCTTCTTTAATTTTTCTCACCAATTGCTTTTACGGGCCTTGTACCCGCTTCATTGCATGTATTCTTAAGCATGTAATGATTCTGACTATTAATCTCGATTATGTTTTACTGAATTTCATTTTCTAGCTGCTAATTGCTAGTATGGAGAAATTAAGATGATGAAATCAATGTTATAAAGGCATCATTTAGGTACAACAGACTGCACCACTTTAAAATGTGTAATTCAATGCATGTTTACAAATGTATACACTAATGGAACTACTGCCACAACCAAGATAGAGGAATTTCCCTACGCCCCAAAGTTTCTTGTACCCCTTTGCAGTTCATCAGTCTTTCAGCCCTCGGCCTCAAGGAGCCGCTGTCACTTCAGGTCTGTTTCCATTTTTAACCATTTTCTATAAATGAAATTGTACCCGTATTCTTTTGTGTCTGCCTTCTTTCATGCATCAACATAATTTTAAAATCCATCCATATGAGTATTTGCATCAACGGTTAATGCCTTGTAATTGCTGAGTAGTATTCCTTTGTGTGGCTATACTGTGTTTGTTCATACTTTCACTTGTTATTGGACATTTCTATCATTCCACGTTTGGGCTATTATGAAGAAACTATCATGAGCATCCATACGTGGCAGGCCAGGTCTCACTAACACAGGCCTCCCTAACAACTGTTTCAGTACCGACTGAGTGGTTCAGTTAAATATTAAGAGGAAAAAAAAAAAAAAAAAGCCCATGCCCTTATTACAAAGGCTGGAATGTAACCAAAGCCCACCAAGAGCTTTGCCTGGGCTTTTCCTGGGCCTTAAAGCATGACAAAATAACGAAGACATTCTTAACAGGAGTCATTTAGTATTAAACAAGTTTTATTGGGGGTCTGAAGAAACTCCCCAGGCCTCCACAAACAAGTTTATTGGAGGTCTGAAGGAACTCCCCAAACCTCTGTGATTTAGCAGGAGACAAGATAAGGGTGCCCAGCACCTAGACCCATTTAGATTAAGTGAATTTACTGAGGCTCCAGAGGAAGGTCTTCAGGACTCAGACCTTAGTTATAGATTAGAAGAACTTAATCACTTCTGTATTTAGATGAATGCACACTTCCACATACACATATAGCTTAGAAGGTATATAAGCTCAGGAAAACTTTGTAATTTTGACTTGGTCTGGTGATAATTTCCAGGCCTTTTCCCTGTAATCAGTTGCAGAAGTAAAAACTCTCTTCCTCCCCAGTTCATCTGCATCTCGTTACTGGGCCACAAGAAATAGCAGTCCACCCCTCAGTCTGGTCTGGAAATACACATACAGATCATGTGCACACATAGTGTGTACATTCCTAGGAATGGAAGACTGTCCATCTGATTTGCATATGTTTAACCTTTAAGACATTGTTAGATTTTCAAAGGAGTCCTACCATTTTTCATTCCAAGTATAAGACTTCCAAGTGCTTTATATCCTCACCAACATGTGCTATTTTCAGCCTTTTTAATTTTAGCCATCCTCTTGGATATGTACTGCTATCAAGTTGTATTCATTGATCTCCCTGATGACTAAACAGTAGAGCATCTTTTCCTATGCTAATTGACCATTTATGTATCTTCTTTACTGAAGTATCTATTCAAGTCTTTTGAGAAATTGTTTCATTGTGTTGTTTCTTATTAGACATATATAAACACACATATATATACACATGCATATATATACATACATATATATACATACATATATATACATACATATATATATATATACACACACACACTCTAAAAACCCTTTGTTGGAAATAAATATGATATCTCCTATATTGTGGTTTCTTTTTATGTTCTCTTAATGTTCCCTGTTTGGAGATAACGATAGATAATCTTCAAAAAGGTGAATATACACACCCACACCCACCCACACACATACATACACACACACACACACACACACGTGAGCCACCAGACCCAGCCTGTTGAATTTATTTATAAGCACATGTATTTAGAAGTTACTTGAAATGAAATTGTATTTTTATTTCATTTTCCAAATGCTCATTGCTAATACACAGAAATACAAAAGACTACTTCTATTGAGCTTATACTCTGCAACATTACCAAACTCACTAATTAGCTTTGGCAGATTTTTGCAGATTTCTAGGATTATTAACATACACAGTCATTATCTGTGAATAAAGACAGCCTCAATTCTTTCTTTTCAATCTTTTCAATACTTTTATTTTTCTTACTTTATTGCACTGATTTAGATCTCTAGTATAATGCTGAATTGAAAGAATAACAACAGATATTCTACTTTTTTATCTGATTTAATAGAAAAGCATTCAATCCCATGCCATTTAATATAATGTTACCTGTGAGTTTTTTTCAAATCTACCCTTAATAGGGTTGGAAGTGTTGCCTTCTCTTCTTATCATGCTGAGTTTTCTGGGGTTTGTTTTTATAAATCATGAAAAATTTTTCAATTTTGCCAAATGCTTTTACTGTGTATGACAAGGTAATCATACGGTTTTTCTCTTTTGCCCTGATAATATATAACATTACATTTTCTAAAATATAAAAAAGATTTCTGGAATCAAGCTAGGACAGTTTTTTTAATTATAAACTTTTAACAAATATATTGAAATATAACTTACATGCAATTGAGATGCATGAAAGTGTATAATCATTAAAGTATATAATTAAAGTGTATAATTTTAAGAGTTTGAGCACAGTATACACGAGTCAAAGAGAAAGGACAGAAAATACTAAGGATGGCTCAGCATATGTGGTCTATCTTGGTGAATGCTCTATGTGAGTTTGAGGAGAGTTATTTGTTAGCTGTTCTTAGATGTATTTTGCTTAAATGTCGACTTGGCTAACTTGTGTCATTGATTGTGTGAATTAATTTTGCTCTAGTGGGCGTAAAATTACTGTCTGATCGATCACTTTGGACTTATGTGGACTGGTTTATGTTTTATTACAACGGATTCATGGAAAGCCCACAGAATTTCCCAAGACCCTCTAATTTGGCAGGACTCAATCACCAATCCACCCCTTTGTGGATTTTGTCAGGGTTTGGCTTTAGGCTTTACCAGGTTGGTGAACAATAGGCCTTATTGAAAAGTGTGACACTTATTCCTAAAGCACATCCATTCTAGTGTCTCAGTTGGATACCTGGGTGCTAATGAGGTGTGCATGAGTTCTTCCCACCGTGGATGGCAGAAACTCCATCATACATTCCCCAACCCTCCTCCGCCTCAAGTACCTCTGGTCCAAACTCAATTTTATAGCAGCCACCCCTCTGTTAAATCTGTTAGTCTTTTCCTTGTGCAGGTACAGTCCAGTCCTTGATAAGGATGCATATGGAACCCCACATAGACTTTGAGAGCTGCACCTTTGATCAGCTGTCTCCTCATTGGTGCCCTGCCCTGCAGATTGCAGTTGCTTCAATGGTCTTGAACTCTGATCTCTGCCTTCTCAGCTCAGTGGGCTGCCCTGCCCTGAGTGGACTCTAGCCCACTATGCAGCTGCTGAGAAATTCTCCCCAAAGAACTAGGAAATCATGGGGCTTCCCCCTTAAGTTTTCTGTTGTACTGCCTGTCGTACACTGCTGAAAACAATTTTACGGTTGTTTATGGAGGCAGGGTTAGTCTGATATGATTTATTCTAACAGACAGAAGCAGAAATCTGTTATACTCTTTTAATTACTGTGTCTTTATAATATTATGGTAGACAGAATCCTAAGATGACCCTCAGTGATCTTTGCTCTTATATAATCACTTCTTCCTGAGTGTAGACAAAGCCACTGAGGAGATGTCACTCCTGCGATTGTGTTACAATTTATGGCAAAAACAAGTTAACAGATGTAATCGAGATCCCAAATCGGTCAAATTTAAGATAGACAGATTATCTGATGAGCTTGACCTAGTGAAGGTGAGTTCCTTGGAGGGACTGAGGACTTCCTGGAGAGATGTGAAGTGCAGGAGGGTTTCCATGCAGGGCGATCCTCCTCTGCTGGCTGGAGGAAGCATGCAGTGGGAACATGGGAGGCCTCTAGGAGCAGCGAGAGGCCCCTGGCTGACAGCCAGCAAGAAAACAGAGATCTCAGTCCTACAGTCACAAGGAACTGAACTCAGCTGACAACCTGAGGAAACTTGAGAGGATGTTCTTCCCCAGAACCTCCAGAAAGAAACCCAGCCTAATTTCAGCCTGTGAGGCCCTGAGAAGAAGACCCAGCGAATCCAGGCCTGAACTTCTGATCTGTGGACACTGCAAGAAAATAAATCATTCTTATTTTACGCCGCTAATGCTTGCAGTAATTTAGTATGCAGCAATAGAAAGTTAATACAAATAAAATGGAGAAGGCTTTGGAGTGGGGACAAGAAGGAAACGGTGGGAGAGGGATGCCTGTATGCTGATATGGTTGACGCCTGTATGGTTGAATTGGGTCTACCATTCCTCATCTAATTAGCTATGGTCTATTAAGGTGCATAGCTACACACAAATATTGGTACTACGTTCAATTCAGAGGAAGAAGATATTGCATTCTTGAGAGTAGACAAGAACACCCTGAATTTGGGGTCACTGTATCATAAGTCATATTATCAGGTCTCTCTAGGAAGGCTTAGAGGAAGATTTCCAGGATACACTTGTGACAACATTGAAGGCTTCCTTCTTCCCCAAAGGGACCCGATCTCCCCTCAGTCAAGAAGCTCCAAGTCTCTGAACTGGATGCCAGGTTATAAATTCCCCCTATACTGACTCCATCAGGCTTCCGTCCTCAGAACTATTGAGTTTATCAGTAAAAGATAGACTCATGGGAGTCTAGGCATTTATTCTCTTATTTGATATAAATCAGTTAATGTGCAGGAACAAAACAGACTTTGAAGAAAGAAAGTCACAGTTGACACAGGAAAACACTTTCAACATCCTCATGAGTCATCATGGGTGTTCTGCTGGGAGGACTTGATAGGAGGCTTTCCTCCTCATGGGCTAGTGCAGATCCAGGGGAAATGTCATCAAGTCCTCCATTCGGAGTGTAGCAGCTGGGGCTGCTGATTCGTTAGGCCTCCTGCAGCTGGAGATGCAAGTAGTGCATTTTCATGGCCACCACAGGTGCCCTTAGTTTAGCATTCTTCAGAGCCAGAATCCAACAAGCCACAGAAGCTCTGAGTATTTCCCTTTCCTCAGTCACCCACATAAATGGCTTCAGGGCCTTCTGGGGAAGGCCTGGAGGAAGATTTACAGCATACACTGGTGGCAGCATTGAAGGCTTCACTCTTCCTCAAGGGATCCAATCTTCCCTCACTCAAGAAGCTCCAGGTATCTGAACCGGATGCCAGGTCATAAATTCCCACTATGGTGACTCCATCAGGTCTCTGTCCTCAGAACTAGAGCTTTTCTAATTATTACTAAGTTGATTTCTTAGTAGATTTCCCATCCATTACATTCCCAGACACCTCACAATGATTCGAATGATTAGTAACCACCACATATCCCTGCCTCTCAAGGAAATCCCTCCCGCCTTATCTCTAGATGGCCAAGTCCCATGGCCTGTCCTCTACTCTTCCAGAACCCTGTTGTTCTCACTGACAGCGGGGAGGGCAAATCCATGCAGCATCTCCCGCCATGACCTCCAGCCTGCAGAGGATGGGTGCCACAGGACCTTTACACGCATGCCGCTGTTCTCCTCACCTGTGCATTTCTTAACGTCTTGGTAAGGAGAATGTCTCTGGATCTTCCTTGATGGGAGCTAAAGGAACAAAGGTAAATAATGCTATGGGACCCACTGAGAACTGGGGCTGTGGAAGAGTGGCCACTGAAGTAATAGACAGATGCAGCTATTGCCAGATACTCAGTGCCAGAGCAGGGAGGGAGAGGGAAGAAATACAGACCTCACCTTCCTCTCACTTCCAGGCTCCATCAGGTGCCCTCCATTGCTAAACCTAACTGGAAGTGTGCATGCAGGGGAGCCAGGAATGCATTCTAGAAGGGACGAGCCCCGAGTGGCATGAGACAGGATGGAAATGAGCGGACAGTGGATCTGTGGGAAGAAGGAGGGGATGTCATGGGGAAACAAAAGGAGAATACTAGCTAATAACGCTAGGTGACACTAATATTCCAAAGTCTGTGCTCATATTCAGAAAAAAAAGCTCAGCATAAAGCACTAACCCAGGAGTCAAGATATTGTACTTTCAACTGTGGTTCCAACAGCTGTATTATAAAGGGCCAGTTTATTTCATGCCTTCCTAATTTGACCTAAAGTGCCAGGTGGCATTGGGGCTGGCACAGCCTTGCTCGATTATGTGTTGAAGATTATACAGAGACTGCCAGGCTGAGGGAAGATGCAAGAGAATAGAAGAGATGCTCTCAGGGAACAAGAGACCACATGGTCCCAGAGTCAGGGGCAGCATCAGCCACTGTCAGCTGCTCATTTTCCCAAAGCCCACAAGCCTCAGCCACGCTTTGCTTCTGCAAGACGCTTCTTCACCTTTTCAATAAACCTGCCTGAATTTAAACTGACGGGGATTTAATTCTCCTTCATCATAAATGAAATTCTTCACCGCAATAATCTCCAATGAATTTTGGGCACAGCAGGCAGGCCCATTTCTGCTTCTGTTCCACTATCTCCCCTGTAGGTTGAAAAGGAGGAGGTACTGAATTACCTCCAAATGTTCCTCTGGCTCTGATATTCTGTTATTCTGGTTCCTTTTCAGCTACTTTGTTTTTGGTAGCATGTATCCTAAGGCATCCAGTTGAACAACCTTTGTCTACTGTGTCCAGGCATTCCTCGTGGTATTTCAGATAAGACACTCTTGGGTTGCTGAACTCACAACCACTGAACCAATTCTATGACCATCTGTTTCATGGCCACATGTTTGCTCATTTTATATGTATATAAAGGGAGGGGACAGACAGCAAACTTGCGTGTTATAAATTGTATCATCTTAAAAAGGAAGCAAGGCAACACTTTGCAATAAAACCTTAAGATGCATGAAATTTAAGCCTAATGCAATAAAGAATGCCCATTAAATTCTTATCTAAAGAATGTTTAGAAAATTGTTGTACAAGGACATCATCATTTAAAGTGATATGAAGAAACCTTCTCAGCTAGCATATGGGCTAGATTAGAGAGAGAAATAAACGACCCATCTCTGCCCTGGAAAAACTACTGGTGGCATCTTTCAAAAAAGCTCTCTGTGTTTGAGTATGCACCTTGATCCATAGGCTCACATTTGATCCCAACTGGCGGCTGCTTCATGGCATTAACACTGGATTCCCAACTAGTAAATCTTACCAAGATCTGAGTTTTTACAGATATAATATTATTTTATTTGACCATCCTTATCTACAAGGGCTACCAAGAAGGAACCAAGAATTTATTTACCTCCCCAAGGGAAAAGGTTTTACCAAAGAGACACTTTCTCACCATGACCCCAGGACCCACTATGCCCTGTTCACTTGAGTGCCCTTTGTGGCCTGACAGAAGCTCATGCTGGTCACAGGATTCCTTATATGATTAACCTCCTTCCTGAATCCCAACTTCATGGTGGTGGTGATGACAGGTGTCCTGTATCCCATGTTCATGTCCCTGAAGTCATCAGCCTGTCTCCAGTTAGAAAAAATTACATGTATATAGACAGGCCTCTTTGGAAGGGGCAAAAGCTTTCTCATCTTCGTACATTAATGCATGGAATGTACAATAGTATAAACACTTTGGGGAAAATATCTGGCATATTCTTACAGAACCAAACAACTGCCTATTCTATGACTCAGTCATTCCTAAGCATTTATCCAAGAGAAACTAAAACATATGTCCAGAAAATGATTTATACAAGAATGTTCATAGCAGTTTTATTCATAATATGAAAAACTGGAAACATTCAAGTATCTGTCAATACAAGAATGGACCAATAAACTGTGATACATTCATTCCATGGAATGGCTAAAGGAACAAACTGTTGACACATAAAACAACATGGATGAATCTCAAAAACATTTTGAGTGCAACAGAAGCCATATGCAAAAGAGTGTGAGAAAAAAGATAAATAATAATGGTTTCAAGAAATGCAGAGCAGGGAGCCCAGAGGCAAAGACCCATAGGACGGCGGGCCGGTCCCAGGCTGTCGATCCTAATTAAGAAACTTCTGCTGGATTTTGCCCAGTTCCATTTCCAAACTATTTTGGGTCATTGACTTCTTTATCCCTTCCATGTTCCCTCATTTTGAACTAGAATCACTGTAGCTGTTATTCTATGTCTGTCCCGTCATTTCACGTTAGGGGCAGATAAGCTGTTTGTTCAGTTTCACAGGTCGACGGAGGTAAGGGAATTATGTCAAAGACCTGTACTTTGTGGACACCCTCAGAAGCCTCACCACACCTGGTGTGGATGTTTTAGATGGAATTTTAAACTTTTGATCTGATGTGATCTACATGACATTTTTCATGTTGAACTAATGCTTTAAATGACATGAAATTTGGGAACCTTAGGGGAGACGGTGAATGCATTTTGCAGTTGGGGGAATGTGAGTGTCCTACTGTGGTAGATGGAATTTCTGAAATGGTCCCCACATATGTCACACCCTTGTCTCTAAAGCCTGTTAAGGTGATGAGACAGCATTCCTGTGATTATGATGTTATATGCCAGTTATATGACTTTGAGCTGGTGAGGTTACCTGCATGAACTGGATCTAATCACACCACTCCATACATGACAGAGCTTTCTGTGGCTGGTTGGAGAAGATGAAGCCACAGAAGGCAGGAGCTTGAGAAGGACTCCATGAGTTGTTATTGGTTGATGATGGAAAAGACAGGTAAGGAGGAAAGCAGGTTGCCTCTGGAGTCAGAGTGTCTCCTGGCTGACAGTCAGCAAAGACAAAGGGCCCTCAGTCCCCCACAAACAAGAATAGGAACTCTTTCAATATCTGTAGTGAACTTGGAAAAATAGCTTGAGCTCTAGAAAAAAAACACAGCCAGCCCATTTCTGAATTTTAGCCTCACATGACTCTGATCAGAGAACCCAGCCGCTTCATTCCAGACTTCTGTGGTTTCAAACCACTGGTTTGTGGTAATGTGATAATTGGCAGCAAGAGAAAACTAGTACAGGTGCCTGTCTCTCCTCTTGAATTTCAATTTCAGATACATGGATGCTAATTCCTCTCAGAGAAAAAATCAATCAATCCATCAATCAATCAATCAATCAATGAAAGAACTACAGTAAAAATATTGCCCTCAACTTTATGTGGCTGTTTCAGAGCCCTTGCCACCTGAAGAAGACAATGAGGGGTATTTCAGGCATGCGAGGAGTGTGGCTTTACTGTTATCAATCACATTTCTGAAAGAATAAAAATGGTTCAGGTCAGGCCGTGGTTCATGTCTGTAATCCTAGCACTTTGGGAGGCTAAGGCAGGTGGATCACTTGAGGTCAAGAGTTAGAGACCAACCTGGCCAACATGGAGAAACCATGTCTCTACTAAAAATACAAAAATTAGCCAGGCGTGGTGGCAGGTGCCTGTAATCGCAGCTACTCAGGAGGCTGAGGCAGGAGAATCACTTGAACTCAGGAGGTGGAGGTTGCAGTGAGCTAGATCACGCCATTACATTCCAGCCTGAGGAACAGAGCAAAATCTCCATCTCAAAAAATAAATAAATAAATAAATAAATAAAGATGGTTCGTTACTTAACTCCACATATTATTATGTGAAAATGTATCATCTCGATTTTCATAGCAGATTTTTAAAAATTCATTTTCTTGTGCTCACCAGACAAGGTTTGGTAGCAAATACCAGTCACCAGCACAGATGAACCAATTTCAAGGAGAGCCATAAACAAGACTACTGTTATGTTCCCCAAAAAACATCCCTAGAATGCAATCTCTTCTCTGCTTGTCACAAAACAAACACAATAGTCCACTATATAAAGTCCCAAACACATGAAAATGTAAATATAATGAAGTCTGCTTTCCAAATATTTATTCTATTCAGACCCAGTCATGGGGACCAGGGATTAGGAAATGACTACAAAGAGGTTCAAGGGAATTTGGGGAAGCGATAAAATGTGCTAAAGTAGAACTCTGCTGATGGCTGCACAATTCTATATATCACCTTAAGTCATTGAGTTGTACGTGGACAATGGCTGACTTTTATAACAAGTAATTCTTTAAACGAACTTTTGGGTTTCTATTCCAACATGGAAAGAGCTAGGCAGTCATCACTTGTCCTCACAGCTAGAAAAAAGCTGAACAAACTGAAAGTCAACCCTTCTAGGGTGGACCAGAGAATTGAGGTCACAGGGAAAACGGCCACCCTAAAAATGAGAAAGACAGGCTAACACACAAGGAGTCAGAGCTCACAGGGAAGAGAAGCTACTGGGGACAGCAAGTGGGAGGAGCACTTAAATGGTATTGACAGATTACTAGAAGCTGAGGGTGGCCTGGCTAGAGCATTAAAAACTCCTTGAAAACCAGACTAAGGGGGAATCTCACACGTTTCCAAGTTTTACTACAATGGTCTCAACCAGGTTCTCATGATGAAGTTCCGAAAACCCCCCTGACGTCTGGCACTATCAACTTCAGGACTTACATTAAGCTACAGTAACCCAAATAGTGTGAAGTTGGTGAAAAGAGAAAACACACACAAATAGATTCGTGGAAAAGGAATACAGAGCCCAGAAACAGGCCTACAGACAGTCCACTGATCGTCCATGAAGGTTTAGAGACAATTTAAAACAGCAAAGACAGCCTTTCCAACTAGTGGTGCTAGAACAGCTGGACAAACACATGCAAAAAAAAAAAATAATAATAAATCCAGGTATGCATGTTATACCCTTTATAAAATAAATCTTACATGTAAATGTAAGATGCAAAACCATAAGAATCCTAGGAGATAACATAAGAGAAAATCTTGGGGATCTTGGGTTGGATGATGGCTTCTTAGATACAAAACCAAAAGCACAATCTACTAATGAAAAAAATTAAGTTGAGCCTCATTAAAATTAAAAACTTCTGCTCTGTGAAAGACACTGTCAAGAGAATGGAAAAAGCAAGTCACAGACTGGCAGAAAATATTTACAAAATAATCTGATGGAAAAACTGCTGTCCAAAATATATGAAGAATTCTGAGAACTAAACAACACAAAGAAAAAAAAATAGGTGAAAGATCTGAACACCTCATTAATAAGATATACAGATGGCAAATATGCATATGAAAAAGACACTCAAAATCATTTGTCGTTAGGGAATTGCATATTAAAACAACAATGAGATATCACTGTATTAGAATGGCTAAAATTCAAAAAGGTGAACACACCAAATGCTGTCAAAGATGAGGAGCAACCAGAACTTTCCATCGCTAGTGGAAATCAAAAGGGTACTGTCACTTTGGAAAACAAGTTCACTCAAAATCCTGCACAGAAGTACTTACAGCAATTTTATTCATAATTGCCAAAACTTGGAAGTACCCAAGATGTCTTTCACCAAGTGAATGAATAAAGAAACTGTTGTAGCCATACAACGAAATATGATTCACTGATTTTAAAAAACAAGCTATCAAGCCATGAAAAGACATGGAGGAACTTAAAGTACATAATGCTAGAAAGAAGCCAGTCTGGAAACCCACATCCTGTACCATTCCAACTCTAGGACATTCTTGGAAAGTCAAAAAGAAGCAGTAAAATGATGAGTGGTTGTCAGGGGTGGAGGAGAGGAGGACGCATGAAATGGTGACGCACAGGGAATTTTCAGCAGTGAAACTATTTCGCATGACGCTGTATTGGGGATTTAGGACATTATGTAATTGCCAAAACCCATAATCTGTGAAACTCAAAGAATGAACTCTAATGTAAACTATGGACTTTAGGGGATAATGATGTATCAACAGTGGTTCATCAATTGTAACCAATGGACCACACTCATAAAACATACTAATAGGAGAAATTGTGTGGAGGACAGGGGAGCCTAGGAGAACCCTCTGTACTATCCACTCAAGTTTTCCACAAACCTAGAACTGTTCTAAAAAAAATTCTATTAATTTGTTTTAATTAGGATGCAGCAGCCCCATATCAAGGTTTTGGTGGCATCCTGTAACTGGGTGGTTAGTACTTGGCATTGAAGTGCACCAACCTGGAGTCAGAGCAGTTGGAGATTTCAAGGCCTGTGCCATTTACCTCTAACCCTGCGGTGCCCCTGGAATACAGATAGCAGATCGGTTAAGGAGAAGCAGCCTCAGCAATCTAGACAGTGCAGGTTTCTGGTAAGGAGAGGTAAAAACCATCTGGGTGGGCAGAACTTGGTGAAGACTAGAAACCACTGAGACTCAGCAGCTGCCCCAGTGGCACCCACAAATCAAAGGAGGGGGCTGGGAAGAGCTAAGGGCTACTGGATGAGCTCTCTGCCTGCAAGACAGAAGCAGATCTGGAGATTTTGGTAAATAATGTAGGTTTCAGTACAGTGTGATCTCTTCAAAAAAGTAGAGAGAACAAAAAGGAAAGAAAAAGAGCATGAGAGAGAAAGGAAAAGAAGAAAGGAAGAAAGGAAAGAAGGGAGGGAGGGAGGGAAGGAGGAAGAAAGGGAGGGAGGGTGGGTGGGAGGGAGGCAGGGAAAGAATAAAGAGAAAGAGAGTTGGAGGGAAGTAGGGAAGGAAGGAAGGAAGGAAGGAAGGAAGGAAGGAAGGAAGGAAGGAAATGAACAAATTTACATGAAGATGAGAACAGTGGGGAAACTTACACCACCAATATTTTCCATTAACAGGAACACACTAACCAGTTATTAGAGAAAGATGCGCTACTGTAAAACCATATACTGTTTCCATGGGGTACAACCCCTTCCTCCTCCTCTGAAATTCACACATTCTGTCTCTGGCCCACTGTTGCCAGAGACACTGAGTCTTGTCTTTGGATAAGTTCTGGTGCTCACAAGAACGAGATGAGACAATGCATCCCAGAACACCAGGCCACGAACTTCCCTGTTGCTCCCTGTCCACTCCAGAAGCTACCCAGCTGCAGCTGGGGACCTCAGCCCCTGGGTCTGATGTCATCCATTTGCCTTTCTCACTGGACTTCTCTCCTTGCACTGGCTCCTACTCCCCCAGGACCTGTGGGCGACCACATGAGGAGAACACAAACGGGCCATGCCCCTTTCTTTCTCCCCCTCTCAATGCCTGCAGTGGTGGGTTCCGTGGGGTACTGACCTGAGATTTACTCATTGTGGGGCCTCTAGCCCAGAGCAGGGCCTGGTACCTAATAGTCACCCCATGAATGCTCAGTGAAAGAAGGTGTCCACCACAAGGTCCTGGGAAACCAAGAATTCCACTGTGGCCCATAAATTCTAAGTCCTACAGGATTCTGGAATGGGAGGTGGGAAAGGCCTTCAAAAGTGGCCACTTTTAACCCATTATACTGGCAACTGAGCCATGTTTCCCCATCCTAGACACATCCAGAGGGCACTGCCTAAAACGAGACACATCTCCCCACCCAGGACAGTGTAGGAGCCTTAGCCTGGGGGATGCAGGTGGACAGGGAGGGGGTGAGCCATCAAAGCTGAAGAGCAGAAAGCAGGTGAAAGGGGACAGTAGGGTGGAAACAGAGAGAAATGGGGGCAGAGAATGGGGGGTGAGAGGGGAAGAGCGGGGAGAGGGATGCAGATCTAGCTAGTAAGGAAAAGTCCTGGAGAGAACACTGTCCTCTCCTGAAGTAAAATCACTTCCACCTGACCACGGCACTGCAGGCCATGGGCGGCACAGGCTGTGGATATTTGTTCATTCATTTAACAAATACGTATTTAATATCTGTTTCATGCCAGGCAAGGCCCTGCAATGTTTAGGGACCTTGACATCTTCCCTTCACATCTGAGTTATAATAGAAAGAGGACTCTCTGACCCCACCGAGCTGGCAATGCCTCGGGATTTTTACCTGTTGGATCTCGCAGCTCTTGATGTCGGCCCACACCATGTGAGGCTGCTCTTGGTGCACCGAATGGGGAAGTTTCTACATCAGGGCCTCGGAGAGTCCACTGGAAGCCCTGGACAGTGGGAGTCAGTGGCATCCCCAGTGTGGAGGCCAAGAGCACACAGCACTGAAGCTCCAGATACCCTCAGGAGGACGGCAAGGGACAATTGGCTGGTGAGAGCCTGGGTCACCAGGAACCTTCGCCTGGGTCTAAACAGGATTTGCCTTCAGATTGCCTGTGAGATAAAAGAGAGAAATCAAGGTTAACATTGAGATTTGGGGCTTCGGCAACTTGAAGGATGGAGCTGCCATTTACGGAGACTGGGAAGACCCAGGGAAGAGCAGGTTGAAAGGTGGTGGGAACTAGAGGTGGTTGGGTTTCTGTCATATGTAATCAACAGTCCTGACCAGCCTGGGCAACATAGTAAGACCCCGTCTTGGAAAATAAAAAATGAAAAATAAGCTGAGCATGGTGGCACACACTTGTAGTCCCAGCTACTCGGGAGGCTGAGGCAGGAGGATTCCTTAGGCTGAGGCAGGAGGATTCCTTGAGCCTTGAGTTAGAGGTTAGTGAGCTATGATGGCACCACTGTACTCCAGCCCGGCGGGAAAAAAAATAGAGTCCTGACTAAATACTAGAGTAGCCAGGGAAGTTTTCACAAAGTAATATTTGAGGCAGATCTTAGTGAACAAGAATTCCATTATTTTTGTTAGGGAATTAAGAGAGTGTGGGTGTTGTTAGTTAATGCTTATTGAACTATCTTTGGAATCTCATCTACTGGTCTAGCTGGTCTATCTGTACACATATATTGTATATGCTGCCTCACTGAGCTTTCGCTAGGTTATACTACAGTAACAAAAGCCCCAAAATCTTAGCAGCTACACATACGAAGGTTTATTTTTCATTGACATTTCCTTTCATGGCAGGTTGACTGTGACTCTACTCTATACAGCTATTTTATTTGTTAGATGGTGAAAACTGTGATACTTGGAGATTGTTGAATATGGTATTAGTATGTTCATTCATTCATTCTTTTAAGAAATATTTATTCAATATCTGTTTCATGCCAGGCAAGGTCAAGTACTGAGAATACAGTGGTGAATAAAAGAGACAAAATCTCTAATTGCCGGTAGCTTATATTGAAAATCAGATTGAACACATACAAAATCATCATAATAACAACAATGAATACTATATTCATAAATAACAGCCGTAAGAGATTTTAGTAAATCTTTTAAATTAGAAAAACATAAAAATTATTAAAACTAAAATGGCCAGGTGTGATGGCTCATGCTTGTAATCCCAACACTTTGGGATGCCAAGGTGGGAGGATCATTTCAGCCCAGGAGTTTGAAACCAGTCTGGGCACTACAGGAAAACCCTGTCTACAAAAAGGAGAAAATTAGCCAGGCATAGTGGTGCATGCCTGTAGACCCAGCTACTAAGGAGGCTGAGGTGGGAGGACTGCTTGAGCCTGAGAGATCAAGGCTGCAGAGAGCCATGATCATACCACTGCACTCCAGCCTGGGCAACAGAGCGAGACACTGTCTCAAGAAAAAAAAAAAAATTATTCTATGTAGTCCTAAAACTATTATGTAGAATACTATTGTTTATATCACATCACGTGAGCCCTTTAAATGGCTTAACACTTATTTAGGGATGATCCATAAAGTTTTCTCGCTAATTAAGTATACCTAAGAACAATTAAGTATAAAAGTGTTACTGCCTTGACAGGAAGATTGTAAAAACTTCAAAAAGACAAATAAATAAAAGAGTCAAAACTGCAGCTCTGTGAGGCTCAAATAACATCTAATTGAAGTCACAGTGAACCTCTAGCAATCATTCTGAACACCATATAATTCACTTAATACATTTTGCCTGAACGCCCAACACATCTGAATTACCAACACCTGTATGTAGCCAAGAAACTGACAATCATTTATAAATTATCACCTATGACTCCATCTGCTCTATGCACTTATTTTTTAAATTTTATTCATTTATTTATTATTTTTATCTTTTGTAGAGACAGGATCTCACTATGTTACCCAGGTTGGTCCAGAAACAGAAACAGACCCACACTAATTTCATAAATCAGATGACCATACAGTCAATCGATTTATGAAGAAAAGTGCCACATGGTGCAGAAGGAAAAGGATGGTCTTTTCAATAAATGGTCCTGGATAAAGCAGACACATCCATGTAGTAAAAAGTGAATCATAGCCAGGTGGGGTGGCTCACACCTGTAATTCCAGCACTCTGGGAGGCTGAAGCGGGCAGATTACTTGAGCCCAAGAGTTCGAGACCAACCTGGGAAACATGTTGCAACCCCATCTCTACAAAAAATACGAAAATTAGCCAGGCATGGTGGCACATGCCTATAGTCGCAGCTACTCAGGAGGCTGAGGTGGGAGGATCACTTGAGCCAGGAGATGGAGGTTGAGTGAGCTGAGATCCTGCCACCACACTCTAGCCTGGGCAATAGAGTGAGGCCCTGTCTGAAAAAAAAAAAATGCAAAAACTGAAATAAAATTGTTATAAGGTTAACACAGAAAAATGTGTTCATACTCTTAGGTTAGGCATTGATTTCTTAAAGATGACATGAAAAGCAGTAACCATAAAGGAAAAGATTGATAAAGTATAATTTCATTAAAATTAAGAATCTCAGGCCGGGTGCAGTGGCTCATGCCTGTAATCCCAATCCTTTGGGAGGCCGAAGCAGGTGTATCACTTGAGCCTAGGAATTCCAGACCAGCCTATGCAATGTGGCAAAACCCCATCTCTACTAAAAATACAGAAAACAGCTGAGTGTGGTGGTACTCCCCTGTAGGTCCCAGCTACTTGGGGGCTGAGGCAGGGGGATCATCTGAGCCTTGTGAGGTCAAGGTTGCAGTGAGCTGTGATTGTGCCACTGCACTCCAGCCTGGGCAATGGAGTGAGATCCTGTTTCAAAAAGAAAAAAAACAGAGAATCTCCATTCATGAAAAAACAACATAAAAGAGTGAAAACGCAAGCTACAGATTGAAAAAAGGGAAATGCAATACATATAAATCCTAGAAAGGAGGCATATCCAGAATAAAGTATTACAAATCAACAGGAAAACAAGCATATCAATGAAAACTGGATAAAAAGGTTTAACAGGCATGTCACAAAAGAAGACACATAAATGGCAATAAAAGATACTCAATCTCAATGAAACCACACTGATATATTACTGCACCCCTACTAGAATGGCAAAATGATTTTTAACTGACAGGCATCAGCGAGGATGTGGGGTAACCAGAATATCCTTGCTAAATGGTACAACCACTTTGGGAAAATGTTCAACAATATGTAATACTAAAGTTTTATCATTCATATACCTCTAAAACCAACAATGCCACTCCAAAAATATACTCCAGTCTAGTAATGTTCTATTTCTTGATCTGTGGTGGTTCACTTGGTCAAAATTCATTACTTTTTTTTTTTTTTTTTTTGAGATAGGCTCTCACTCTGCCATCCAGGTCGGAGTGCACTGCCATGATCACGGCTCACTGCAATCTCAACCTTCCGGGCTCTGGTGATCCTCCCACCTCAGCCTACCGGGTAGCTGGGACTACAGGCACACACCACCACACACAGCTAACTTTTGTATTTTTAGTAGAGATAGGGTTTTGCCACATTGCCGAGGCTAGTGTGGAAATCCTGGGCTCAAGTGATCTACCCACCTTGGCGTCCCAAAGTGCTGGGATTACAGGTGTGATCTACTGCGCCCGGGCCCCCTGCACATTTAAAATTGTGAACTTCTTCTGTATACTTCAGTAACTTTTCCAAGATTTCTTTGACGCAAAGTTATCAGAAATCTTAAAGCCAGCATTTCAGAATAGAAAAAAATAGCTTCTGGTTCACTAGTGAAATTTTACTAATAAAATTTAAAAACAAAAAGAAAGCTACTAACGCATATCAGCTCCAAACAGATTAAACACTACCAGCAGATCTTTAACTTCGTGAAGCACTGGGATTCATTCCTTTGGCAAAGAAAGGATGAACAACACCGTAACCCAAAGAAAAGGTACCACTGCCAGAAAAGACTTCTTTTCGAAAGCAGCTCTAGCAGCAAAAGACAGAAGGAAAGCAAGGAAACTAGGCCAAACGTCTTGGTTAACTCTTCGGTGAAAGGACGCCACATGAGATGATGATCTAAGAAGCCAGAAAGACAGACAGACAG
Source organism: Homo sapiens (assembly GCF_000001405.40). NCBI lineage: Eukaryota > Metazoa > Chordata > Mammalia > Primates > Hominidae > Homo > Homo sapiens. The sequence goes on along the minus strand of NC_000001.11, from coordinate 21,440,975 downwards.
GCACAGGGAAACCACAGCAACTCCTCGGAGTGCAAACAGCAACCCCACAATCCAACCTAGCCGAAATCCTGCGGTTCATTTGAGGCTTGCCCCGCTAGTCAGGAGGTGATTCAGTGATGGCTACAAACGCTCCTCATGTGCATCCTGGACCTGGCACACCTGGCTTGCCCATCACCAGCCTGGAGACACCGCCAGGAGCAGAAGCCCGGAGGCCAGTAAAGACCCCAACTTTGCAAGTCAGGGGCGCGAGCGCTCTCGCCTCTCAGGCCCGCAGAGGGAACCGATTTCCGGCCTCGAGGGTGGGGTGCGGAGTCAGTGTCCTCTACAGGATATAGGAGGACGTGCCCCCGAAGCTGCTCCGTCCCTCCACCCCCTGGGATGCCACAGAACACCCGCCAGCGAGTTTCTTCCCCAGCGCCCACGAGAGCTGGGCTGAGGGCGGCAGCGGCAGGCGAAGAATCCAGCGCGGGGAACTCAGCCCCCGGCGGTGCACGACCCCCCACACCCCCCACCTCCCACCCGCCCCCGCGCTCGCGCAACAAAACTTGCGACGGCCGCGCCTCGACCCAGGTGTGCGCCCGCCGGTCCCGGATTCACCGCCCGTCCAGCCTGGCGCGGCGCCCTCACCTGAGAAACGCTGGGTGGACTTCGCCGTAACTTCCCATCCAGACGGCGGCCCGCAGCCGCGCCGCCGCGCCTCGGCCCAGCTCCTGGCGCCGCAGGTTGCCAGTCCCGCGTTCCCAAAAGCACCGCGCGCAGAAGCTCACTCAGTCTCGGGATCCTCACCTACCCATCCCAGTACCGCCGCTGTCTCAACCGCCACCCAACCCCTCGCCTGTGCCTGCGCCTGCGCCTGCGCCTGCAGCCCACTGGCTCCTCAGGGTCCGGATGGGCCGCGTCAGGAGAACCCAAGGCGCAGGCGCGGCGGGGCCTTAAAGGGACTCGGCGGCCTCTACTGCACAACAGGTTCGAGCAGGTTAGGGGCCCTGCGGGCCGAGAAAAGGAGTAACCTAGGTGATGCACCGAGTGCAGCTGGGACGGGGAATCCCTCTCTGCCCTCCGCGTCTCTCTCAAAGCACCAGCCCTCGACCCTCCAAATCGCTGATTTCCCCGGCCACTTGAACCGCCCCTGCCAGGTTAAAGAAGCAGAAGACACACCCCCTCGGAGGCCCGGAGCGTCCCCGCGTGCCCACACGGATTTTATTTTTTTCTGAAAAGATGGTACATTTACATGGTTCGAAATTCAAATAGGGCCAGGCGTGAGCCCTGGAGTTCGAGACCAGCCTGGACGAAAAAGAAAGAGCCCCGTATCTATTAAAAAAAAAAAATCAAATAGTACAGAAAATTGTAAAGTTAAAATAGGCATCTTTTCCATTCCTGTCTCCCAGTCTCACCCTGTAGGCAATCTGTGGGATGCTGTTCCTGTGAATCCTTCCAGGGATATTTTATGTACGTTTTCGCTTTTTTTATTTTTATTTTTTTTTTTGAGATAGAGTCTTGCTCTCGTTGCCCAGGATGGAGTGCAATGGCATGATCTTGGCTTCCTGCAACCTCCACCTCCCAAGTTCAAGCTATTGTCCTGCCTTAGCCTCCCAAATAGCTGGGATTACAGGTGCCCACCATCCTGCCTGGCTAATTGTTGTATTTTTAGTAGAGACGGGGTTTCACCATGTTGGCAAGGCTGGTCTAGAACTCCTGACCTCGAGTCTTGCTCTGTCACCCTTGCTGGAGTGCAGTGGCACAATCTCAGCTCACTGCAACCTCTGCCTCCCAGGATCAAGCGATTCTCCTGCCCCAGCCTCCCGAGTAGCTAGGACTACAGGCGTGTGCCACCACACCCAGCCTCCCTTCCCATTTGGCACGTGCCAGCCACGTGCCAAGTCCCAGGCCCCAAACTGGTTAGGGGTCAGGAAGAGCGTTCCAAAGAGCTCACACAGAAGTTCAATCCTATCTCTCCACCAAGGTGGGCGACACCATGGGGCTGCAATGCCTGCTTTTGTGCTTTTCAGGCACCTCCCCCAGTGCTGCCAACTGCCCTTCTGAAGGGCCTGTGTTTGCCACCCTCTGCCTTCGCACTAATTTGCTATTTCTAATCTGCTCTGGGCCAGGAGAACAGATAAAACTAGGGCCCTCAATGGTTTAGAGTTTTATAGTTCACCAAGTGCTCAAGGCACATTATCTTCTGTGAACCTCACCCCAGGCCCTAGGGAAAGACAGATCAGGACGAGCCACGTGACTGTGCAGGTCATTTAAGTTTTCATTCTCCTACCTCTAAAATGCTGAAAATAACAGGAACGACTCCATAGGACTGGTGTGAGGATTAAATATCCATGGACTGCTTAGAACAGGTCCAGCATATAGTGGCAATAACAATATTAATGAGAGCTAACATTCAGTGAGCACTTAGCATGTTCCAAAATCTGTTCTGTTCTAAGTGCTATATATAGAACAGCTTATTTGATCCTCAAAAGAAAGCTACATTTTTAAGTATCATTACTTCCCCTATCCTACAGATGAGAAAAATGAGGCATGGAGAAGTGATTTTCTAAAGATCACAAAACTGGGCTGGGCACAGTGGCTCAACCTGTAATCCCAGCACTTTGGGTGGCCGAAGCGGGTGGATCACCTGAAGGCAAGAGTTCCAGACCAGCCTGGCCAACATGGTGAAACCCCCGTCTCTACTAAAAATACAAAAATTAGCCAGACATGGTGGTGCACGCCTGTAATTCCAGCTACTCGGGAGGCTGAGGCAGGAGAATTGCTTGAACCCAGGAGGCGGAGGTTGCAGTGAGCTGAGATCATGTCACTGCAATCCAGCCTAGGGGACAGAGTGAGACTCCATCTTAAAAATAAATAGCCCAGGCATGGTGGCTCACGCCTGTAATCCCAGCACTTTAGAAGGCCCAGGCGGGAGGATCACCTGAGGTCGGGAGTTCAAGACCAGCCTGACCAACATGGAGAAACCCCATCTCTACTAAAACTAAGAATTAGCCGGGGGTGTTGGTGCATGCCTGTAATCCCAGCTACTCGGAGGCTAAGGTGAGAATTGCTTAAACCTGGGAGGCAGAGGATGCAGTGAGCCGAGATCGCTCCACTGCACTCCAGCCTGGGCCACAGAGTGAAACTCCGTCTCAAAAGAAAAAAAAAAAAAAAATTAGCCAGGCAAGGTGGCGGACGCCTGTAGTCCCAGCTACTCGGGAGGCTGAGGCAGGAGAATGGCACGAACCCGGGAGGCGGAGCTTGCAGTGAGCCGAGATCTCGCCACTGCACTCCAGCCTGGGGGACAGAGCGAGACTGCATCCCAAAAATAAATAAATGTTAATAGGCACATGTAGCTAGTGGCGACCATATTAGTGCAGAGTCACACGCATAAGGCTCGACTGGTGTTATGCCCAAACGCTGACTTATTCTTCAGTAGCCCCCAGCTCAGACCTCCCCAGCACCTGCTCAGGAGCTTCTTGGCTCTCCGCAGCCGCTGCACCTCGCGCTGGGCGTCCTCGTGGACCTGCATGGTGCCCTCGGTCTTGTCCCGCAGGCGCTACATCTGTTCCTCTAGGCCTACGTTTGAGAGCCAGGATTCCACTCCCCAATGTGCTCTCACCACCCTCTGAGCCCTCACCTCCCTGGGGTCCCGGACAACTCCAATCAAAGCCCCCACCCACCCACCGATGCCAGACAAACCCCCAGGCACACTCCTCTCCTGGGTTCTGACACCACCCCGAGGGCTCCCAGGCTCCTCCCCCTTGCATCCTGGTTCCACTCTCAGACTCCTCCCTACCCTGGCTCTGCCCCTAGTTCCCAAGCTCTGATTTCCCTTGCTAGACCTTTTCCCAGGGTCCTGGCTCTGCATGACCAGGGACCTGTCTCCCTCTCTACCAGGACCCTAACACTGCCGCAGCCTCCTCCTTCCACCAGCTGCCCAAGCACCCACCCCCAGCTGCCCAAGCACCCCCACTTCTGGGCTCGGCTTCACCACAGAGCTCTCGGCCACCTCCTTGGGGATCCTGACACTCTCAGACACTATTTCTCAGGGCTCTGGCTGCACCCCAGGGCGCTCAGACTCCTCCGCCGGACCTCCCCGGACCCGTCCCCGCCCCCACCCGGAGGGCGCGAGCCCCTCCCCCCGGGCCTCTGGCTGCACCCAGAACGCTCAAGCCCCTTCCTACCTGGACCTGCAGCTGGTGCTTGTGCAAGGCGGAGTGGATCAGGGCGAGGGCGGAGGAGTCTGAGCAGGCCGGGGAGGGGCCTCGGCGGGGCGAACGGCCTCTGCCTGGCGAGTAGCACCGCGGTGGGGACGGGGTCCGCTGGCCCCAGAGTCCCCGCAGGCTGCGCTCCGACGCATCCACGGTGCACTTGGAGCCGCTCAGCTGGACGCCGCTCTCAGCCTCGGACAGGACGGCCTGAGGGTAGAGGAGGGAGGCAGAAGGAGGCCGCAGAGCTAGGAACCGTGGGGTTGGCTGGGCAAAGACGCCTAGGCGAGGCTGGGGGCCGCCTCATCCCAAATGCTGCCTCCTACAAGAAGCCTTCCTGATTTCACCTCCTCCACTAACTCAGCCCTCAGCTCGCCGCTGAGGCCTCCCGTTTATTGCAAAGACATCATTTGGCATTGCTCACAGGTGGGCTCCGAAAGGGCCGTGCCTCCCCTCTGAGACTGGGGGCTCCCCAGGGCAGGGGCCAGGTGAGTTAGCAGGGGTGCTGAGCAGCTACAGCCTGGGTCCCAGGCCCCCACCCATTTGCAGTTCAGTCCCAGGCCACCGAAAGGCGTGGCGAGGGAGCCCGGGGTTTCCTGGCAGGGCCCTGTCTTCCCACCTCTCTGGGCTCACACCTGTGCCAGGTCCCTTAGGCTCTGCTGTAGCTCCTCTCCGTCCTCTGTCTCCAGGGCCGCCTGCTCCTGTAGCCACAGGGATTCCTGGAGTGCGGTGAGGGAGACAAAGGGTAGTCGGGGTTCTGTCTTATCTGAAACCTCCCCTTCCCCTCCCTCCCTGGCCCACCACTGACCAGGTGGCCTCTGAAGCCATGTCCATAGGCCAGCCACCTGGTAGACCCCACAGCAGGCCCGAGACCCTCACTGAACAGACTAGGCCCAGAGAAGAGCTGTGTTCTGCCCCAGGTCACACAGTTGATGGGAGGAGACCCGGACCTAGAACCCAGGTCAGGCCCCAGACAGGGGGGTGACCAAACCAGGCTGTACCCCCGAAGAGTGAGTGTCCCACTGGTCGGGGGAGGGGGTGAGGGGAAGCTGGGTTGCCAGAGGCAGCATCTGGACCTGGAGACAGTGGATGGGAGTTCAAGTCCCGACTCTCCCGCTTACTGGCTCTGAGACTGGACAAGCATTTCCCCTCTTGGGCCTCAGTTTCCCCATCTGTGTCATGAGGATTGCGCTACAGGGCTGCTGTGAGGAAGAAATGGGATGGAGGAGGTGAGTGTGCTTACCACAAAGCCTGCACACCTGTGAGGGCTGAACCTGCGTGTGAGTGGGACGCTGGGGGTGGCCCAGGCAGCCCAGCCCTAAGCCTGTGTCCATGGATCTGTCCGGTACCCCATCCCACACTGCCACATCTCAGGGGCAGCTGCAGCTCACCAGGGCCTCAAGCTTCTTGGTGAGGTCCTTGTTGACCTGATCCTTCTCCAGATTCTGCTTCTGAAGACGCTCCACTGCCAGGCCCAGCTCTGTCACTCTGGAGTTGGGGGAACAGCAGAGGTGAGTGGGGGACCACCCCTGCCTCTCAAATCCACTAGTTCTGTGTCCACCATGCTTCTCCAAACCCGAGGCAGGGACCCTAACATCCACCTCCCTGGCTGTGTGACCTTAGGCAAGTCCCAGCTCCTCTCCAGACCTCACACCTCTCATCTGTGAAGTGGGAATGAGGTTGCCACCAGCTTTATCTCATGGGAAAGCACTTGAGGACTTGTCCAGGTGGCAGGAATAAGGGGCAAAAGTTTTTGTTTTTTTTTTTGAGACAGAATCTCGCTCTGTCATTCAGGCCGGAGTACAGCGATGTGATCCTGGCTCACTGCAACCTCTGCATTCTGGGTTCAAGCGATTCTCCTGACTCAGCCTCCCTGGTAGCTGGGATTACAGGCACCTGCCACCACGCCCGGCTAATTTTTGTATTTTTAGTAGAGACGGGGTTTCACCTGTCAGGCAGGCTGGTCTTGCGCTCCTGACCTCAGGTGATCCCCCCACCTGACAAAGTGCTGGGATTACAGGTGTGAGCCACCGCACCCGGCCACAAGTTCTGTCATTGGAGGCTAAGCTGTTTATGATATACACTGGGCAAGCGCCTTCGGAACCTCAGTGGGGTGCCTGGGAAAACTGGCTGAGGTCACAGAGGAAGGCCTGACCCTAGTGAACAGATGCTCCCTTCTCCCCAACTCTCCAGTTTTACCTTCTGCAGGGACACCTGCCTCGTGTGGCACCCACCAGGTACCCACCTGGCACTGAGGTGAGCCTTGTCCAGGTCGCTTTGCATCTGCTGCTGGGCCAGGTCCCTTCTCGTGAAGCACCTTGTCCTGCAGCTGCTCCTCCAGCTGGGTCTGCAGCAGGGCCTGCTTCTTCAGGGCTGCCTCGACCCTTCTCTCTGCCAGCTGCAGGCCCATGCTCAGTCCCAGGCCGACCTTCTGGACAGCTCCCCTCCCAGCTGCAGCAGGTCCCTGGGGGAGAGAGCACAGGATGGGGATGGGATGGGGCTCACTCCCAACTACAAATTAAAACTACGCTGGGGCCAGGTGTGGCGGCTCACACCTATAATCCCAGCACTTTGGGAGGCCGAGGCAGGCAGATCACCTGGGGTCAGGAGTTCGAGGCTAGCCTGGCCAACATGGTGAAACCCCATCTCTACTAAAAATACAAAAAATTAGCCAGGCGTGGTGATGCACTCCTGTAGTCTCAGCTACTTGGGAGGCTGAGGCAGAATTGCTTGAACCTAGGAGGAGGAGGTTGCAGTAAGCTGAGATCATGCCACTGCACTCCAGTCTGGGCCACACAGCCAGACTGCGTCTCAAAAAAATAAATAAATAAAAATAAAACTACACTGGGCTGGGTGCAGTGGCATGCACCTGCAGTCCCAGCTATGCAGGAAGCTGAGGCAGGATTGCTTGAGCCCAGGAATTTGAGGCCAGAATGGGAAACATAGTGAGACTCCATCTCAAAAACTAAAGAGGAAGAAAGAAAGAAAAAAAAACCCTACACTGGGATGTCGTTTGTCCACTATCACATTGGGGAAAAAAAAAAAAGGGACACATAATACACAAGGAGGGGCTCTGGGGCAACAGGCCCTCCCCTACACAGCTGGTGGGAAGGTGAGTACAACCACAACGGAGGGCATTGAGGGAGAGCTCCGAAAACTATGCATGCATAGGACCTTCCCCACCGGCTCCTCCTCTAAGAATGTATCCTACAGATATACCCCAGCACAGAGGAGATGGCTTGTGGACAAGGAGGTTCACTGCAGCATTGCTCATGTAAGAAATCCTGGTGACAACCTAAATGTCTATCAAAAGGGGACTGCTGCTAAGTACACAATGGTACATCCTTTAAGTGGAAAACTGTGGCCAAGAAAAACCAGTGGAGAAGTTCTTCCTGGCCTGATCCAGAGCCACGTCCCAGTTATAACTAGTAGGGGAAGAAAGCATCTTCAAGAACTGTGAAGATGAAATTTTACCAGGCGCATATACAAAAAAGTGTGTGTGTGTGTGTGTGTGTGTGTGTGTCATCTGCACTATTTGCTTATATAAAATAACCCTGGAAGGTCACTTAAGAAACTGATAGGGCAGGCACGGTGACTCATGCCTGTAATCCCAGCACTTTGGGAGGCTGAGGCGGGAGGATCACCTGAGGTCAGGAGTTTAAGACCAACCTGGCCAACATGGTGAAACCCTGTCTGTACTAAAAATACAAAAATTATCTGGGTGTGGTGATGTACGTCTGTAATTCCAGCTCCTCTGGAGGCTGAGGCAGGAGAATCACTTGAACCAGAGAGGCAGAGGTTGCAGTGAGCCGAGATCGCACCACTGCACTCCAGCCTGGGCGACAGAGCGAGACTCCGTCTCAAAAAAACAAAACCAAAATTTTAAGTAGCCTTTATAATTTTTATATTTAACTTCTGATTATGTCACATGTTCACAAGTTTCACATTTCAAAAGGGTACACAGTAAAACGGCTCCCTCTCACCTCTGAGCCCAGATATTCCCCTTCCTTCTTTGGAGGCAAGCAGCATTATCAGCTTCTTTTTCTTTTTATGTATACAATTTTTTTCTTTTTTTTTTTTTGTCTTTTTCTTTTTTGGCCACCAAGTTACCATGAGAAGCATTATCAGTTTCTTTTTTCTTTTTCTTTTTCTTTTTTTTGAAATGGAGTCTCGCTCTGTCTCTCAGGCTGGAGTGCAGTGGCACAATCTTGGCTCACTGCAACCTCTGCCTCCCGGGTTCAAGCGATTCTCCCACCTCCGCCTCCCAAGTAGCTGGGATTACAGGCGTGAGCCACCACACCCAGCTAATTTTTGTATTTTTAGTAGAGGAGGGGTTTTGCCATGGTGGCCAGGGTGGTCTTGAACTCCTGTCCTCAGGTGATCCTCCCGCCTCGGCCTCCCAAAGTGCTGGGATTACAGGCATGAGCCACCGTGCCTGCCCTATCAGTTTCTTAAGTGACCTTCCAGGGTTATTTTATATAAGCAAATAGTGCAGATCACACACACACACACACACACACTTTTTTGTATATGCGTCTGGTAAAATTTCTTTTTTTTTTTTTTTTTCCTTGTCAGGGTTTATTTTATCAGCTAACATTCATTCTTGACCTAGACAAAAACAATTAGATGATTATGACTTGCTTTTCCATCATCAACTCATTTTTTTGTATGAATAACCAAAAAATTTCTTCAACACTTTTTTTTTTAAGAAGAATCTATAAATAAATAAAGCTTTAAACAATCCTGGGTTCAAGTTAAACAGTTCCAGTTCCCGAAAAGTTCACAGCCTTGTTTTGTGGGCAGTTCTGCTGTTCCTGGCTTCCCCTTCCAGGAGGGGACGTTTGCAGGTCTGGGGGTCCTGGTGACTAAGCTGTTAGCTCCACTGCCTGCCTGTTTCCGTCCTCACAGCCCTGGGAGGACCCCGGGTGGACAGAGTCCTTACAATTTAGGAGATGCTGCTGGCAAAGGAACTGTTGACCCAAAGCAGGTGGCCTGAATGGGAAGTGCCAGGCTGGACACTTGGGGGCTGAGGGCACTGCCAGCTGCCGCCGCCTCTGGACACCTCAGCCCGGCGCTGGCCCGAGAGGAGACTGCTTTCCAAATGCAGCGAAGAGACTGAGACAAGACCCGTGCTTCCGTGTGAGTTGGGATGCGGGGCATAAGTTAACACATATTCCAATATGTACAAAACAACCTGCGCTCAGGCCCGCGCACCCAGGAAGCCCATGGTGAAGGTGAGGTCACCTTGAGCCAGGCCTCTGGCTGGGTGTCCACCTCCTGCCGGGAAGCCAAGGTGCCCCACGTGGCTTGTGCAAGACCTCACGATCCCCTGAACATGTTCCTCCTCCTCCAAGGAGTGCACCCACCCCCATGTTGAGTGTCCGAGCAGATTCCCATTTACCCTGACCTCCCTTTGAAAGAACCACACCACTAAATCCCCTTGGCACTCGCTTCCTTAGTGTGATGCATCCACCCAGGGAGGTGGCCCTGCGCGGCGCTGGCACGCTGTCCACCCTGCCCTGTTGACCATCCTGTCCTTGGACCCCAAAGTAAAATGGGGCCAGTGTAGGAGACCTGAGGGTGGGGCCCTTATGCCAGACCTCCAGGGGTAGCAACCTCATCTGACCCCAGCTTCGGCTTCCTGTGCTGCAGAAGGCGCTTGCTCCCAAGCCGGTGGTGACCCACGTCTCCACCCCATGGTGGGGCAACTGTGGTGGCTGAGTGGAAGCTGGGGCAGGAGAGAGGACCCCCACCAACCCCAGCCAGGTGGCCTGCAGAGCCCACTGCCCTAGCTCTGAGTCAGCCTGCGGCCTGAGCACACCAATCTGCTCTCTGGGGGATCCAGGGTGCCCGTGTGGGCCCTCCTAGAGACACCAGCTTGGCCTCCTAGGGCATAAGGAATGGGGACAGGGCACAGGGCACGTGCTTACAACGGATATGCAACGTGGCTTTTAGTAGGGCCATTGCAGCCAGTGGGGAAACCTGCGCGGCTGCTGGGAACAGAGCATGGCCAGCCTTTTGCCAGGGGGTGGGGAGCATGGGGAAATGCAAGGAGAGCCAGGGTGGGGAGGGCTGAGTGTCTGTTGTCAGGGAGGCCGCCTACAGCTGTTTTGCCAAGGCTAGTTGAGAATCTGAAAGCTCGAGTCCCAGTTCCTGGCCATACAGAGCCACTGTGGTCCGAGGGTATGGCTCCTGGGCAGGGGCTATGGTCCCATGCTCCAGCCGATGGAAGCCTGATGAACTTAATCCGTACGCTGGTGGGAGCAGTGGTATTTGAGCTCTTGAGTATGTGTTTCGGTGATGGGGCTGGGGCAGCCTGCTAGCAAATCCCAGTGGGTCAGAAAGGAGAACAGAGGCAGGGGAGCCCTCGGTCCCCAGCCCTTCCAGTCTGAGCCAGGCCTGCCTGGATGGTCACCTCCAAGGGCCAGCCGCGGACTCACGCACAAGTGGCAGCATGCCTGGCCAAAGCCTCCCCACTCCTGGGCTGCCAGTTGGCCCACGGAAGGCCGGAAATGCAGCTCGGGCCTACTACCCAAACCCTCCTTGGTCTGAGGACTGTAGGGAGTGGGTGGGGCCTGAACATCAGCTTTGGCCTCCTGACCCAAAGCATGAAGCAGGACCATGGGCCAGAGAGGGGAGCAGGCTTCCTGGGGGCTGGACTCGAGTCTTCTCTGCCTCAGATGGGGTGGGCCCTGACTTTGAGGGAGCTACAGATGGGTGAGCTGGGGGCTCCCCAGGCCTCGGGGCATTGGGGGCAGCCAGAAGAGGAGGAGCTATGGGATGGCCTGGAGCTGGGGCAGTTGCCAGAAGCTGGTCTCACTCCTAGTAGCCCGGACAGAGGAGCTAAGAGCGAGTGCTGTGTGCATAGTTGGTGAGGGACACACTCCCGGCCTGGCAGGTCCACTTTCCGCTGTCCTCGTCTCTCACGCAAACCTTCAGTTTTTGCGATAAATCCAAGGAGGCCAGGAGAGCAGCTCCAGGCACAACACCTGCTCTGGAGGCTCTGCCCTGACCATGGCATCCTTCGAGCACGCTTTCCTCTGACCCACTGGGCTGCACCTGTTGATTTCTCAAGCCCCATCCCTGCCCAGCCCCACTATGTCCCTGCTGTGTTTTTTTTCAGGACGCAGCTACCTCTGTGGAGCAGGTTTGGGATGCTCATCCCTTGACAGTCTTGGGTGGACCTGTCGTCTGTCCTGTTTTATCCCCCACACACCCCAAGAGGCCTCCCCGTGGCCACCACCGCCACTACCACTTCTCAATGATGTGGCTCATGTAGTCCTCGGTGGGCACGCGGCCCGGCTCGTCGGCGTCCTCCCGCGGCAGCGCCTCCTTGGCCCGGTGCAGCAGACGCTCCTCGCGGCTCCTCAGGCGCTGCTCCCTGCGCTCCAGCTGCCGCTTGTACTGGTAGTGCTGCTGGAAGAGGTCCTTGGCGTAGTCATACAGCTGCATGTCCAGGTCGTTGAGCTCCTCGATGCGCCGGATGGTGTCCTCATCCACCTCCACGCCGCCCGCCCGCGTGCTGTTGTACTGCATGAAGGGCCGGATGAACTTGAGGTTGAACGTCCGCTCGAACAGGTACTGCGTCTTGCGCTGGAACTCGGTCAGGCCGAAGAAGGCCATGCCCCGCAGGTTCTTCTTGGCGCTCTCGAGCAGCAGCTGGGCCCGCTTGCCCTCGGGGATGAAGGACAGGTTGTAGCAGCCCACCAGGCTCAGGTCGGCCAGCATGCGCACCTGGCGGTTGTTGGCCAGGTTGTACGGGCAGTCCATGAACTCCTGTAGCGTGCAGCCCGACCAGTCCGTGCCCTCGTAGCAGGGCGGCAGCCCCTCAGGCGTGGGCGTGCGCCCATCACACATGTGCAACGACGTCTTCCACGTGGCACCCCTCTGCACATGCCGCCACTCGCTCAGGTAGCGGGACACGGGGTCTCGTAGCAGGGTGATGTAGTAGAACTTCCTGGGCGTGCGCAGCGCGGCGGAGTCGCGGCGGTCCAGCACGCCGGGCACGCAGTTGGTGAGCTCGGTCCAGTCGGCGTGCAGCCCGCAGCTCCAGCCGGTGGAGAAGCGGGAGAAGAGCCAAGTCTCGCGGCGGTTGGGCCGGTAGCAGGTGCACTTCTTCTGGCCGGGCCGGCAGTCGCACGGCACCTCGAGGCGTACGTTCTGCACGAGGTGGCGGCCGAAGGTGGTGCCGCCCGTCTTCTGGATGTGCAGGAAGACGATCACGTCGTCGCCCTTCATGTCGAAGCGCAGCGAGCGCTCCAGCTCGCGGACCGGGAAGTAGTGCTTCTTCTCGTAGTGGGGGTCGGGCGTGGGGAACAGGTCCAGGTCGTCGGGCGGCGCGCCGCCGCCGGGCGCGCCCAGGCTCAGTCCTGGGCCCGCGTACTGGTACAAGATGAGCATGAAGCACACCGGGCCCGCCACCACCAGCACGAACTTGCTGGCGCGCTCAACCATGGTCCTGCCGCTGGCGCGCCGCCGCCGCATGTGTCACCATCGCCGGGGCCCGGGCGCGGGGCGCGGGGCCTGGGAGGGCAGGAGGCGCGGGCGCAGCTGCCTCCGCCGCCGCCCGCGCTCCGGCCCGGCCCGGCTACTCGGCGCCCAGGCCGCCCGCAGCGGCGCGGGCCCCGACCCTCCGCGGTGCCATGGCTGCTCCCCGCCCGGCCCCGGCTCCCCGGGCCCGACGCCCGACTCCGCTCCCGCTCGGCCCCGCTCCCGGCCCCGGCCAGCACTGCGCTCTCCGCGCCCCCAGCACCAGCCCGCTCCGCTCCACTCCACTCCGCGCCGAGAACGCCCCCCCTGGCTTATTCTTTACTTTTCCTACTTTTCCAGGCTCAGCAGGGAGCTGCTGGATGAGAAAGAGCCTGAAGTCTTGCAGGACTCACTGGATAGATTTTATTCAACTCCCTGTGGGTACCTGGAACTGCCTGACTTATGCCAGCCCTACAGAAGTGAGTTTTACTCATTGCAGGAACAACACCTTGGCTTGGCTCTTGACTTGGACAGTGAGTACCTTACTATGAAGGTGATAAGACTCCACCTGGTCCTCCAGATATGGGTGATATTCCTGTTCCAAGTGGTCCTTATTGACCCGAGAGATGTCATTGCCGCAGGCAGGACCCGTGGGCGCATAGAGGTTGTAATGAAATTGTAGTTTCAGTTAGAAGCCCAGACATGAAATGGGTCAGTGAGCATGGCTCTCTATTCCTAGTCTCCGGCCATGCCTGTGGCAACCTGAGCCCACTCTCAGCACATTGGACCCAGGCAGGTGTAAAAAATTCACAGAACCATGATTTGGACTCAAGGGTTTGTAGATTTCCTCCTTCATTCAAATTTCAGTGTCTTGCAACCACGAATGAGCTGGGCATTTGATGAGACAGGGCTGAATACTGCAGTTTTCCTCCTAGAAATCATCTGGGGCATTTTCTTTGGGGTACCGATGGGAGCAATAAGGCATAACTGTTTGCACAAACTTGGGATAAATGATTTTGGGATAACTGTCTACCAGAATAGGGACATTTCACCCTTGGTTCTGAGATGCAAACCAAAGAATCTCTATCATGACCAGCTTTGAGGCCTCCTGAAGTATATCTCTCACATTGTCCTGTTCTCATGCTGAGGAGCCTGAGGTCCCTGTGTGGGGATTAGACAGTGGACTGTTATGGGTGTAGGTGAATTGGCTTATCTTGTCTGTCCCTGTCTGAATTTATTGCAGGAATTAAAAAGGACCAAGAAGAGGAAGAAGACCAAGGCCCACCATGCCCCAGGTAAGTTTGAGCAATTGTCAACAGCTAATTCTGTGTTGACACCTGGAGACTCCTGGTTCAGGGAAAGCAGAGCAGGCCGACATTATCGATTACATGTTTTCAACCAAGCCTGAATTATTCCTACTCACATTGCTATTGGTTTTCATTGCAGTAGATATTTAGGTTTCCGTTTCTTCCTCCCCTTATCACTTACTAACCTACTGTAGGTCGACCATACTTCAAAAGCTGTATCCTCATGGTGACTGCATGGAAACTTGAGCACATTTTATGGAAAATTATTGAGCACAGTCTTTTCATGATCACTGTATGCTGTGTGTCCTGAGGGCACTAACTCAGAGTGTCCTGTACTCCCTCCTCAGTGTGTCACCTGGACAATTCAGTGAGCGCTCGCTCTCTCTCTCTCTGCCTCTGTCTCTCTGTCTCTCTGTCTTTCTCTTTCATTCTTTTCTGTTTGGCCCTGTTCCATCCCAACTGAAGGCAATAATTTGTTACCTCATTAATGGATGTATCCTTTTTCTTTTTTAACCACTTCCTAATGCTACCCATGAAATCTAGTTGGGGCTCTGTGGTGTCTGATTTCCCCTGGCTTATTCTTTACTTTTTCTACTTTTCCAGGCTCAGCAGAGAGCTGCTGGAGGTAGTAGAGCCTGAGGACTTGCAGGACTCACTGGATAGATGGTATTCGACTCCTTTCAGTTATCCAGAACTGCCTGATTCATGCCAGCCCTACGGAAGTTGCTTTTACTCATTGGAGGAAGAACACGTTGGCTTTTCTCTTGACGTGGATGGTGAGTACCTTTCTATGAAGGTGATAAGGATCCACTGAGTTTTCCGTATAGAGATCCTATTCCTGCTCTAAGAGGCCGTTACTGAGCTGAGAGATGTCATTGCTGCACTGAGGACCTATAGGCACATATAGGTTGAACGAAACTCTAGTTCTACCTGGAAGCCCAAACATGGGATGGGTCAGTGAGCGTGGCTCTCTTCCTAGTCTCAGGCCATGCCTGTGGCACTCTGATTCTACTCTCAAGGCATTGGACCTGGGCAGATGGGACAAATTCAGAGAACTATGATTTTGACTCAAGGGTTTGTAGATTTCCTTTCTCACTCTAATTTCAGTGTCTAAAATCCTCACAACCATGAACAATCTGAGTATTTGATGAGACAGGGCTGAATACTGCAGTTTTTCTCCTATAAATCGTTTGAGGGCATTTGCTTTAAATTGATTGGAAAGATATGGCATAACCGTTTGCACAAACTTGGGACAAATGATATTGGGATAATGATCTACCAGAATAGGGACATTTTACCCTTAGTTTCTGGGACAAAAACCAAGGAATCTCTATCATGACCATCCTTCAGGCCTCCTGAAATATATCTCTCACAGTGTCCTATTCTTATGCTGAGGAGCCTGAGGTCCCTGTGTGAGGATTAGACAGTGGAATGTTATGTGTGTAGGGGAATCAGCTTAATGTGTCTGTCCATGTCTGAATTTATTGCAGAAATTGAAAAGTACCAAGAAGGGGAAGAAGATCAAAAGCCACCATGCCCCAGGTAACTTTCAGCAATTGTGGTCGCTTAATTCTGTGTTAACACCTGGAGACAACAGATCCAGGGAAAACAGTGTGTTTGATTTCATGTTTTCAATGAAGGCTGAATTACTCCTGCTGACATTGCTATTGGTTTTCATTGCAGTAGACGTTTAGGTTTTCATTTCTTCCTCCCCTTATCATTTACTAATGTACCATAGGTTGACCATACCTCAGAAGTTGTACCCTTATGGCGACTGCATGGAATTTTAAGCACACTTGATGGAAAACTATTGAGCTCACTCTTCTCATGATCACTGTTTGCTGTGTGTCCTGAGGGCACTAACTCACAGTGTCCTTTTACTCCCTCATCAATGTGTCACCTGGCCAATTCACTGAGCTCACTTTCTCTCTCTCTCTGTCTCTCTCTCTCACTCTCTGTCTTTCTCTTTCATTGTTTTCTACTTGGCCCTGTTCTATCCCAACATAAAGGCAATAATTTTTTTACCTCATTAATGGACCTATCCTTTTCCTTTTTTGACCACTTCCTTATGTTACCCCTGAAATCTAGTTGGGGCTCTGTGGTGTCTGATTTTCCCTGGCTGCTTTAGTTTTGTCTCCTTTTCCAGGCTCAACGAGGTGCTGATGGAAGCAGAAGAGCCTGAAGTCTTGCAGGACTCACTGGATAGATGTTATTCGACTACTTCAACTTACTTTCAACTACATGCCTCATTCCAGCAGTACAGAAGTGCCTTTTACTCATTTGAGGAACAGGACGTCAGCTTGGCCCTTGACGTGGACAATAGGTTTTTTACTTTGACAGTGATAAGGCACCACCTGGCCTTCCAGATGGGAGTCATATTCCCACACTAAGCAGCCCTTACTAAGCTGAGAGATGTCATTGCTGCAGGCAGGACGTATAGGCACATGTAGGTTTGAATGAAACTGTAGTTCCCTTTGGAAGCCCAGTCATAGGATGGGAAAGTGGGCATGGCTCTATTCCTATTCTCAGACCATGCCAGTGGCCACCTGTGCTCAGTCTGAAGACATTGGACCCAAGTTAGGTGTGACACGTTCACACGACTATGTAGCACATGCCGGGAGTGATCTGCCAGACATTCTAATTTGAACCAGATATCTCTGGGTAGCTACAAAGTTCCTCAGGGGTTTCATTTTGCAGGCATGTCTCTGAGCTGCTATACCTGCTCAAGGTCAGTGTCATCTTTGTGTTTAGCTCATCCAAAGGTGTTACCCTGGTTTCATTGAACCTAACCCCATTCTTTGTATCTTCAGTGTTGGTTTGTTTTAGCTGATCCATCTGTAACACAGGAGGGATCCTTGGCTGAGGATTGTATTTCAGAACCACTGACTGCTCTTGACAGTTGTTAACCCACTAGGCTCCTTTGAGTAGAGAAGCCATAGTCCTTCAGCCTCCAATTGATATCAATACTTAGGAAGACCACAGCTAGATGGACAAACAGCATTGAGAGGCCTTAGCCCTGCTCCTTTCAATTCCATCCTGTAAAGAACAGGAGTCAGGAGCCGCTGGCAAGAGACAGCATGTCACCCGGGACTCTGCCGGTGCAGAATATGAACAATGCCATGTTCTTGCAGAAAACGCTTAGCCTGAGTTTCATAGGAGGTAATCACCAGACAACTGCAGAATGTAGAACACTGAGCAGGACAACTGACCTGTCTCCTTCACACAGTCCACGTCACCACGAATCACACAACAAAAAGGAGGAGAGATATTTTGGGTTCAGAAGAAGTAAATGATAATGTAGCTCATTTCTTTAGTTATTTTGAACCCCAAATATTTCCTCATCTTTTTGTTGTTGTCATTGATTGTGGTGACATGGACTTATTTGTAGAGGACAGGTCAGCTGTCTGGCTCAATGGTCTACATTCTGAAGTTGTCTGAAAATGTCTTCATGATTAAATTCAGCCTAAACGTTTCATCAAGAACACTACAGAGTCGATACTGTGAGTTTCCAACCTCAGCCCATCTGTGGGCAGAGAAGGTCTAGTTTGTCCATCAGCATTATCATGATATCAGGACTGGTTACTTGGTTAAGGAGGGGTCTAGGAGATCTGTCCCTTTTAGAGACACCTTACTTATGATGAAGTATTTGGGAGAGTGGTTTTTAAAAGTAGAAATGTCCTGTATTCCAGTGATCATCCTGTAAACATTTTATCATTTATTAATCATCCCTGCCTGTGTCTATTATTATATTCATATCTCTACGCTGGAAACTTTCTGCCTCAATGTTTACTGTGCCTTTGTTTTTGCTAGTGTGTGTTGTTGAAAAAAAAACATTCTCTGCCTGAGTTTTAATTTTTGTCCAAAGTTATTTTAATCTATACAATTAAAAACTTTTGCCTATCACTCTGGACTGTTGGATTGTTTTTTACATTCAGCGTTATAATCTTTTGTTATGCTGATTGGTTTTGGTGGGTACTGATGCGAATTAATAAAAACATTTTCATTTCCCTGTTTATTTTCTAATCTCTTCCACCTTGTAGGCTATGTTTACCATATGTAGCAGAATGCATGTACTCCATTTCTTGGTTCTAGATATTTATATTCTTTGTGAGAGTGTGTGTGTGTGTGTCTGCGTGTGCCTCTGGCATTTAGGAAGGGTTGTGTAGCTCATGTTTGATATTGACTAAAAATGTTTCATAGTTTTCCCCCCTTTGAACTAGACACACTTCTAATATTTGGTTTATACGTTTTAAATTATGACTTTCAACGTCAAATATTTCCATATGACAGTCAATTACATGATGTGTTTTCTTTTTCCTACCTCCTTTACCTGCCACTTCTCATAATCGTATTTGAACCTAAACATACACCAGTGACATTCTGTGGTTGTCATCTTGCCCACACCTTGGTTTTTGGTTTAGATCCACAATTAAATATATTAATGCTCATGAGCTGTTCAAAAGTGAATGTCACAGTCATCACTTGCTGAGTGGTACTCATCCTAACAGAGTCCTCATGAGGGAATCAGGTCTCGCTGAGTTTAGCATGTTTAATAATCTTCCTCACGGTCTTGATACATGGATCGCATTACTGGATATAAGGTGTTTGCCCAAAATGATTTTTCTTGTGTTTTTAGGAGCTATTGTCTTCCTTGCGGGACATACATGGTGTATGTTCTCGTTGTGGGATTCTATTTTGTTCTACCAGGACCTATAATTTCTGCCAGTTACTTCATTTGTTCTCTTCACCATGAGTCTCCTGAGGATGCTTCCTTTGTCCATGCCTCCCCATCTCCCAGCAATTCTGCGTTTCCAGGACTGGCACCTCTGGTCCTCTGCATGGTGAAGCCCCTTCCTTTCAATTCCCCAGTAGCCAGTGCTCTAATCCACCAGGTCTCAGGCATGATCTGTGTTTTTCCACATGCTCTCTCTGAGGATAGTTTTACCTGTGTTCTGTCATGAACAGGCCCTCCCTGCTGTCCTGGCCTCGATTTGCTTAGTGTTTCCTGCTCCCTCTGCCCTTGTGTGGCTCCCAGACCAAGTGAAAGAAAATCACCTGAGGACCACAGTGTTCCCTAGCCCTGGTGTTAAGGGACAGGGTTATAGGTGGGATTTTTGACTCTCTAAGTTAACCCCTAGGGCTTTGAAGTGTCTGTTGAGAAATTCAGCTGTTATCGTCCTAGGTGGACTTGCTCTCTCCTATCCTCCTACTTCAAATGCAGAACTTCAATCGTATACAAAAGAAGACCGAGTCATATAACAGAACACACCCTTATTCATTGGCTGGCTTCACCAATCATCTCATGGCTGAACTTTTAAAAATACACTCTTAGCCACATACCTATGAAATGTATATGTGTGTGTATACATATGTGAATTTGCTTCTGAGATTATGGAGGCTGAAATTCCCAAGATGGAAGGAAAGCTGGATACCCAGGAAAGCATTTGTTTCTCATTAGGCCTCTTAATTCTCTCCTGACCTCTGATTGATTGCATGAGTCCCCCCCTCGTTAAGTGGGGCAATCTGCTTCACTTAGTCTGCCCATCCCGATGTTAATCATATGCGAAACACTCTCTGGAACACAACCAGAATCACATTTGGCCGAATGTCCCGGCACCCCGGTGCTCGGTCACAGTGACACGTGCAAGTAACTATCACACTTGCCCTTTGTCACATTTGTCATTTCCCCTGTTTTTCTCCCAATCTGCAGCTTATATTGTTCTCTTAATACTGTCTCGTGTTGAGCAAAAACTTCTAATTTTTATCAAGTTGAATTTATCAATGTTTTCTTTAATGGTTTGTGTTTCTTGATAACAAAGAACACTTTGCCTAACTGTGTCGTGAAGATTTTGTCTTATATTTTCTGCTATACTTTTTCTAGTTTTATAGTTTATATTTAGTTGCATAATCCATTTTGAGTTAGTTTTTGAGTCAGTATTGAGGTTCAGGTGAATCTTTTTCCTTTGGGGATATGCATGTCCAGTTGTTTCTACACAATTTGTTGACAAGAGAATGCCTTCTCCACTGAATCATATTTGGACCTTTGTCAATCCGTTGGGTGGTTGAGACTGGTCTGAGGGCTGTCCTGGTGTTTGGACAGAGAGACAGGGCATGAAGTAGGGTGGTTCTTATGGGAAAAATTAAGGAAGGCACATTTTTCTATGAGGCACAGGAAGCCCCAAGCACAATTGGGGTACCCTCTACCAGCATGTTGTAGCACACTCATCTCTGCTGTCTCTACCTCTCCTGTTGCAAAAGCTTGGGTGTGCATAGACACTGAGGTCGAGTGGTGTCTTTGGGCACTTTTGAGCATTAACACCAAAGCTCCAGCATCAAATCTTAGAATATCAAGCAGCCGGGTGGATCACCTGAGGTCAGGAGTTCACGACCAGCCTGACTAGCATGGTGAAGCCCCGTCTCTACTAAACACAAAAAATTTAGCTGGGCATGGTGGTGCATGCCTGTAATCTGAGCTACTTGGGAGGCTGAGACAGGAGAATCGCTTGTGTACCTGGGAGGCAGAGGTCGCAGTGAGCTGAGATCACACAATTGCACTCCAGCCTGGGCAATGAGAGTGAAACTCCATCCCCCCAAAAACAAATAAATAAAAATAAAAGAATATCAAGCAGCCAAAGAAGCAGGAAAACATGACACATAATGAAGAATCTAATAATCTGGTTGAAATTGACACACAAGTTGGAAATAGAAGAAAAGGACATTACAGCAATTAGTATAATTGTATTTTAATTAAATGGAGAGGTTGAAGATTTTTTAAATATCAAATTCTGTAGATAAAAACTATGATTTACAGTGTGAAATGGAAGAAGGCACTGGATTAAACATTGCAGAAGAGAAGATTATTGAACTAGAAGGAATAGAAGTTGAAACTAACATAAATGGAACACACATTAACAAATGACTTGAAAACATAAAAAGACCATCAGCATAAAAACTTTAAACACCCTAGTAAAGGGCTAAATGGAATCCCTGAAGGGCAGGTAGTGGAGAAGAGAGACAAAGATATTTAAAACATACTGGATGAAAGATTTAGAAGCTCCATGGAAACAATAAACTTCAAATATTACAGAAATATGATTATCCTAAGAACAAGAAACATGCAGAAAACTTCACCAAGGAACACCTTAATCGAATCCATCAAAACCGGTGATAAAAAGGAAATCCTAAAAGTAATAAAAGGGAAAAGAACATGTTACATACAGAGCACTAAATATAAAGATGGCATAAGATTTCTCATAGGAAACTTTACAAACAAGAAGTTTGCAATAAAGTATTTAAAAAAAGAAAAACTGTCACCTACAAGTCTACACCTGGCCAAATTATCTTTCAAAAATAAACATGAGAAAAAATATTTTTGAACAGAAAACAAAATGATCTCAATTTGCAGATGGTGTGATCCTATGTATAGAAAATCCCAAACAATACATACAAAGGCAAACACACATACATGCACACAGACACCAGACACACACACACACACACACACACTATCAGAGTTAATAAGTGAATTCAGCAAACTTTCAGCAAACAATCCATTGTGATGGCAATGAACTATCTGAGAAGAAAACTGACAAAATGATTTCATTTATAATAGCACCTGTAAGGATAATATGCCTGGGAATAAATTTGTTCAAGAAGGTGCAGTACTTGTACACAGACAACTACAGAACATTGCTCGAGGAGACTAAGGAAGACCTAAATCAATGGAAAGACACCTTGTGTCCATGGGTTGGAAGTTGTAACATGGTTAAGATAAAAATACAACTCAAAGCAATCCACAGACTCAATACAATCCTATCAAAAAGTGGCCTTTTTTACAGGAATGCCTGAGAAGAACTTCATGTTCCTAAAAAATAGCAAGTGTCCCCCCAAAACAAAAGCAATCTTGAAATGCAAGAAGGAACGTTCTCTATTCCAAACGTCTTTAACTGCTCTTAGCAATACTTGGTAGTCTTCAATATATAGGCTTTCACCCCCTTTTTTTTTTCTTCTTTTGTTTCTAGACATGATCTCACTCTTTCACTCAGGCTGGAGTACAGTGGCAAGATCACAGCTCACTGCAGCATGGAATTCTCAGGCCGATGACATCCTAGGGTCTCATCCACTGAGCACCTGGGACTACAGGCTCACACCACCACACCCGGATAATTTTTCTGATTTTCAGTAGAGATGAGGTCTCACTATGTTGCCTAAGCTAGTTTCAAGCTTCTGAGCTCAAGTGACCCTCCTGCCACGGCCTTCCTAAGTGCTAGGATTTGAAGCTGAGCCTCGCTGGCTTTCACATCTTTGCTATGTAGTTTATATTTCTTGGTGTTATTGTAAATGTTTATGAAAGGAATCTTTTAAAAATTTTGTATTAAAATTATATATTTAAGGAATTACATATATTATATATATTTAAGGAATACAACCTGAGGACTACATATACATATACATATACATATGCACATACACATACACATTATACATATACATATACATATACATATACTATACATAATGAACTAATGCCTACTAGGTGAGGGGCTGCCTTGTGAGCAAACCCAAGGTCCTTGGCTCACAAAGCCTTGTCTAGAAGGATGGAGGGATCAGCAAGGTGGGCACACAGCAGGTTCTGTCTTTAGTGCAGGCACCTGCCCACTCGGGTCTCTGGCAATCCTGACCAGGCTTCACGATGGGTGAGGTGAGCTAGGAATGGGAAAGTAGATGACCTCAGATCCAGGGACTGCAGTTGTCACCTGGGGACCTGGCATGTGCGTGGAGGAGTCTCCCACTGATTTGGCCCTGGGCCAATGCCCAAACGTGCACAAGGACAGGACGCTTGGCCTCAATGTTTTAGGAGCCCCCAGTCTTCTAAAGAGGGTTTGTGGTGGGGAAGAATGTTCAACAAAACAGAAGAGTTATGGGTACTCTAGCTTGGCAACAGAGAATACTTCCTTGTGCTACTAAATGACAATATTTGACAATTATGGATGACACAATTGAGCAACAGCTTTCACTGTTTAACAAGCAGTGTCTCTGGAACACTAGGTTAGTGCTGTTGGAAGTTGACTGAAAAGTCGGTGGTTTGAGCCCATCCAGTCGCATTAGTGTTTCTAGCTGATGTGACCTTCCCTCTGAAGAGTCTCTTCCTTGGACCAAATATATCTTAAAGCTTCTCCTCTTCTTGTCCCTTGTCTATTTTCCAAGGTGCCTCTTTGTTGCTTAGGGCAAAAAAAGTTCATTATTAATCCACACCCAGCAAACATCTACCCTTACTTATCCCGGTTTTTAGGGTTTTGAGTTTGTTTGTTTGTTTGTTTTCTCAGCTTCTCATATTTGGAATACAGGGAATTCCTAAAGTGGAGAACAACAGAACCTGAATCACGCCTATGGTGAAACCACAGGCTCTGGGTGAAAAACCTAATCTGCTAGCGTTTAAAGTTAAACACATTAATTTTCTGTTCTTCCATTTCTATCTGTCTAATGGGCTAAATCAGAACACTTAATTTGTCCAACGTTTAAATGAGCAGCGCAGGAAAAGCGTGGAGCCAATGCCTGTCACATAGCAGTTGGTCAACACGCATGAGCTCCTATCAGCGTCACGGCCTCCAGCATTTCCATCAGGCTTTGATCTTTGAAACGTCCTTCCTGATATTAATGGGTCATTCTTCAAACATTCTCTAACCGATGGCCATGAAATTGCTCCAATGTGTATTATTACAAATACAACTGCAGGGACCAGACTGACACATGTATCTGTCGTGCATCACTTGTCTATTTCTCCGTAGATAACTGGAGATGGAATTGTCAGACCAAAGTATTTATACATTTCTGAATTTGCTAATTTCTATCCAAATTACTATGAAAAGAAGCTGTAACAAGTCACACTTTTAATATTCTATGAGAATTCTTTTTTTCTCCATCTTCTGGCCAAAACTGGGAAGTACTTGCCTACCATTTCCTCTGAACTTACTTTTGCCAACATTTCTGTAGTCACACAGTGGGATCACATTGCATGCATGACATCAAACTCAAATCCTTAAATGAAAAGAGGGGTTCACAGGGCTGTATAAAAATTTACATTCAAAATACAAAAATGCAAATATATATGTGTATACAAATACATATATACACACATACATATATGGGAAAGGAATTTTTTTATTTGGATACTTTATCAAAGTTACATAGACTTGAAAATTTGTTTAGTAAAACAGCAGTCCCCTTGTGTACTCCCAGAGTTTCATCACATAGAAGCAAGTATTTAGTTATTTATCTCCTTATGTCTAAATAGATATTATCACTTTTTGATTTTCAAGTGTAGGCACTATCTCTCCTTCACATACTTGCTCATCACCACCACCCCCAAACATGCCTCTCACTACCTTACCCTCTAACATGTTTGTGTCCTAGTTTGAGGGCCAACTACTACATTATTATAACCTGTATATGTTATTCAGAGTTCAGTCACATTGGATATACATAGCGGGAATGAAAGGCCAGTATCTTCAGGGACTCTCTCTCAAGTGGATAAGCTTCGGAGATTTTTGTAATCTTTGGTCACCCTCTCCATCTTTTTCCTATTCCGGGTAAGTACTAGATCTGATGGGCCCAGCTCAGGTCAGGCACTCTATCCTTGAGCAGGGGAGAGCAGGACATCTTCATGTGTAGTACCAAGAAGACACTGTCCAAAGAGGGACAGGTAGTTCTAAGACAGAAAAGTCAATATGGGGTATGGGTAGGCAAAACGAGGACACGAAAAAAAACCACGTCTGTTCTGTGAGGGGAGCATGCAGTGGAGGGTGGATTCAGAGTGGGAGGGGAGAGTTTTGAGAGATATGGGCCATGGATAGTCCTCTGTGGGCTGGAGACACACAAGACTGTTGGGATCTCTCAGGGGCAGGGAGTTGAGGAGAATCTGCCCTCCCCAACCTGGGAGACTGGTGAGGGGACTGTCCTGGTCACCAGACAGAAATGGGGTCTGGGCCAGGGCAGTTCTGGTGGGAAAGAAAGAACAGGACATCTTCTCCTTAAGGTAAGGTCCTGAGTTCAGGTCTTGGTAGGGAGGGATTACCTTGGGCATTGGCCACTGAAGATGGTTGGCCAGATGAGTGCACTGAAATCTATGTTCTATAAACTTGCAGTTCTAGTAAAAGAATGACTGCAGTAAAGGGTCTTCACGAAGAGGACGTGGAAGACCTGATTCAGGTTGGGGGCTCCAAGAAGAATGTCTGTCCTGCTGTGCAGAAGCCTTCTGCATAGCCTCCCTGGTCCCCTTGCTCAGTCTCCCGGCCAGACCCCCAGAGTCCCTGCCCTGTGCACCCTGGAAGTACACAGTGAGTTCAGCCAAGGCATCTGCAGCCGGGACTCATCCCCAGACATTTCTGTGGCCTTGGGTGCCCTGGACTTCTCCAGGCCCTGTCTTGCAGGCAATCGTCCTGCAAGGGAATGGGGGAAGGAGGCTACTTGACAGTTGACTCTGAGTGGCTCCACAAGGTCCTGACTTAGCTCCTAGTCACTTGCAAACCTATATACCCCCATCTCATCCCCCAAACGATGCAAAGAAACTTTGTCAGGACTCACGCCAGACAAATAGGATGGGGCCGTTCCATAGAGCCAAGTTCATAGGATATCAATAAGAGATGAAAACCACCTGCTGCAAGGTGTCACAGTGGGAACCTTGGGGGCAGGGAGCAGTCACTGAACTGTCAGGGTGAATCCTGGCTCCTGGCCCTCATGCGCCCTTTCTCCCCCTCCCTCCTTCTCTCCTCCCTCCTGTCTGCTCTTTCCCCTCTCTCCCCTGCATCCCTCAGGTACCTTCCATGGGCCCTCACCCCTCCTTTTCAGAGGCTCCAAAGTGAGCCCTCAAAATACTTGGTAACCTTGGGCATTTCCAAAACTGGAGAGATTTGGCCACACCATTTTTATGAGCTAGGAAGTTCCTCCAGAGCTCTTGCCTAAATTTTTCTGCTGATGAGAAGAGAACAAAAGAGTTTCCATCTGATCTGGTCCTAAGGCAACTGCTCCTTGGAGCAGAGTCTGGGCAGGAAGAAGGGGGTTGCCCAGGGCCCCAGACTTGCCCCTCCCAGCTGCTGTGCTCCTCTCCCCTTCACTGCGGGAGAGCTGGCCAGGGATCGGGAACCTCTGTTCTCCACAGTTGCTGCGATCCCAGGCCCAAATCTAAATATTGGCTGATTTAGGAGGCTGAGGGAGGCAATTTCCTGGAGAGAGGTGTCAGGATTTGGGACAAGAGCAGCATCTAGTTGCCGTCCACAGAGATCCCAAGGACAGGAATCCACTGGTAGCCAGTTGGAGGGGATCCCATGAAAAGAAAATGAAACGTGTGCATTAGAACTGGAGCCAAGACCAGGAGCTGAAAAACTGCGCCGTCCTAAGGGATGAAGGAATTAGGGAATCCCGGAAGTGAAGTTTTTCATATAGGTCATTTCTTCCACAGAGATACAGGGCAACGGCCCAATGATGGGAATAAAAGAAAACTCGGGGTCTAGGATTGAGGGGAGGCAGCCTTTTCAGTGGAGGAGACCTGTCACCTGGAGGCCCAGGGTCGCCCTGAGAGGGGAGGGGTCTTGCTGGGTCACTGGGTCCAGGACTCCAATTGCACACAGCCAGTGGCCTGGAGGGTGGGTGACCATGACTGGGGCAATTTCCCCCATTCCGCTTAGGGAGCAATAGGAACATCACTGGCATTATACAGAAAGGTCCCACTGAGACTTGAATGCTGATCACGTTACTCAGAGTCCAAAGCTCTCACCATTACATCATGGAACCTCACAATAGCTCATAACTGGAGGGCACTGAGTTCATAGAGCAGCCGTAGCTCCCACGCACCTATGTTCATGCATTTCCTCTGATCCCTCAAGCAACACCAGGGAAGGTGGACCTGAGAGGGAGGAGTCGTCCTCTTTCTTTCTCTGCCCTCTCCTTTGATCAACTTTTACCATTTCCTTTGCATCTTAGAAAATGAGGCAAAATCCAGTTTGGGCTTAGGGCCAGAGAAGAGCCCTTGAGGCCTCCCTCATGGAAAACATACTCTCTCAGTTTACCAGAGTTTCCTGTACCAAGGGGAAATTTCTGCAAACAGTAATGTTATACTCTTTTTGCCTTCCCTCTTTTCCCTTTGCCCAGGGAGGCCAGATGATTGTCAGAACAGGACTTGGGACTTCCTGGGTGCCTCGCCCCCTTCCTCCATGTAATAAATAATAGCTGACACCAAGCAAGTGGGATTGGGAGGCAGGGAAGCTTTCATTTTCTTTTTCATATACTTTTATGCATTTGTTTGGTTGGTTTTGGCAAGATTTTCTCACCAGAAATGGAGATTTGTTGGATTGAAAATAAAAAGTAATCAGCCATGTTTTACATTCAACATTTATTGAACCCCTGCTGATAAAGCACTTGCCAGCTTCAATGGGGCTGCTAGAGATGAGAGTACACAATCCCTGACTTACACATGTCTCGTCCCAACTAAGGCCTAGGTTATCTGAAGGGGAGATTATCAATGGCAAATGCAGGCTCCTCCTGTGGAAAGAAATTCTGCTTCCTGGAGCTGGTGGTCTCTTCTCCCACCAGTTCAAAGAAGCTTCTCTCGCACTGTGGAGCTGCCCTCCCTGCCCCACAAGGTTAGGGTATGTGCCATTGAAGCTGAGGGCATATGTGGGAAATTCAGACATTCTGTAACACCTGCTGTCTCTTCCCACGCAGGTGAACCCTTGCTGAAGCAGGACAGCAAGCAGGTCCAGGTGGACCTCCAGGACCTGGGCTATGAGACTTGTGCCAAAGCAAGAATGAGGCTGAACAGGAGGAAACCACCAGTACCGGTAAGAGCACAGGGTATGGGGCTCACCTTCCCTCCCTGGAGTCAGCTGTCACATTTGGGTGCTGTTGGCCAATTCCACACCTGACAAGTAGTGGGGAAGAGGAGGACAGGAGGTTAATAGGAGAACTGTTACCCAAAATGAGGCTGAGTATAAGTTTGAATTTCTACAATGAGTTTGTGGCATACTGCTAATAATAATAATAATCATATAAAGTTCTATCCAACTGATTATTATAGAAATACTAAGGCCTACTTAGAGACCACATGAGGTTTTGGAAACATGCAAACCGTAAGTTAAAAATAATTTTGTTTTGCATTATAAAAGGACTACAACTATAGGGCCACCCACCACATTGAAAACCAGAAGAGAAGAAAAACACAGTCTCTCTCATTCTTGAGGAAGTGTAGTGTGGCAGTTAAGAGAAAAGATCCTGGGGCCAGACTTGTTGCTTCAAATCCCGATTTGTAAACTTTCCTATGCCCCAGTTTCTTCAAATGTTAAAATAGTAATAAAGGAACTACCCACCCCATCAGGTACTAATGTCAATTAAACGAGTAAATTCTTATAAAATGCTTTAGAACAGTGCCTGGCATTGGGTAAAATGCTGTGGATTAGTTCTCATTCTGACTACCACCGCCCCAATACACTGATGTTAACATGCTGATATATTTATTCGAAGTCTTATTTTCCTTTGCCTATTTTTCACACAGTTGTAACCCAATAAACTTTTAAATTATACTAAAATTTAGAGAGCATTAAACTTGCAGCATGCAGAAATAGCTTGTCCTACATTCTTGTGGCTATCCTAACTAGATAAGGCCACGTTAATGTCTTAAGAAACATCAGTGTGTGTGGAATGAACACAGGACATTGGAGGATTTGAATTCTGGCTCTGCCATGTGCTAGTTTGAGTGATCTAGAACAAGCTAGTTGACCACCTCTCTTTAAGTTTTGGTTTCCCCAGTCGGTAAAATAGAAAGTGGTGAAACCTAATTTGTGGATATAAGGAGGATAAGAAATATTGTATTTGAATGCTTAGTACAGTGTCAGGGTTGAATAAAGTACTACTTCAACTTTTTCCATAGTAATTATTGTCCTCGTGACCAAACCTGCCTCCTCTCAAAGGCAGTGGCCACAACAGCACATCCAACTTTTATTTAGGAAGACATCTTTGTCTTTTTTCAGAGTGTGAGGAGCACAACAGCCTCAAGGAAATGGTCCTGATGGAGGGGCTGTGCTCTAAGCAGGGGTGCCGGGGCTCAACGCTGGCTAGTTCCTCCGAGAGGAAGCCCTTGGAGAACCAGCTAGGGAAGCAGGAAGAGTTCTGGGTATATGGAAAGTCAGAAAACATCTCAGTCCTACGAAAGGACATCAAAGATCTGAAGGCCCAGCTGCAGAATGCCAACAAGGTCATTCAAAACCTCAAGATCCGGGTCTGGTCCCTCTTGGTTACAAGTGATTATTTGTCTAGTCTGGAAAGACCCTGGAAGCTGGGAGCTGTTGGCACCCTGGAGGGGTCTTCACCTCATAGTGTCACTGATGAGGATGAGGTGTGGCTGTCTGATGGCACTGGGGCTTTCTACTCTCCAGGACTTCAGGCCAAAAAGGACCTGGAGAGTCTCATCCAGAGAGTATCCCAGCTGGAGGTCCAGCTCCCAAAAAAATCAACTAGAAGGGAAGCTGGCTGAGGAGCTGAGATCAGCCTCGTGGCCTAGGTAAGGATGGCACTGTTTAGGCATTTTCTGGATTGAAAATGTGTAAGTTTGTGCTTGGTGTAGGGTAGCTCAAGCAGTTGGAAGAAAGAACATGTCTGGGTATTCACAAGGACACTGATTTAAATGGTAGATATAGGTCTGTGGAAAAGACAGGTAGGCAAGCAGGAGGGCATAGGATGATGTCCCATCATCTGCAAGATACCAGGTCTCAGGGAATTCCTCTTAGGGATATATTAGTAAAGTAACAGTATATATGGTATAGTATAGTATAGTAGTAATACTGGAATCAGACTGCCTAGCTCTGATGCTTATACCCATTCAACCTTCTTAACCTTTCTGAGCCTTTGTCCTTACCTTAACAATAGATAAAATCAACGAAACCAAAGTTGTTTCTTTGAAAAGATTGACAGAATTGACAAACTTTTAGCTAGACTGGCCAGTGAAAAAAGGGAGAAGACTCAAATTATAAAAATCAGAAATGAAAACGGGAACATTACCACCAACCTTACAGAAATAAAAAGGATTATAGGAGAATACTATGAACAATTGTATACTAACAAATTCGATAACATAGATGAAATGGATAAATTTCTCAAAAGACAAACTGCCAAAACTGAATCAAAAAGAGAAAAAAAAAATCTAAATAGACCTATGACAAGTAAAGAGATTCAATCAGTAGTCAAAAAACTTCCAATAAAGAAAAGCCCCAGGACTACATGGTGTTACTGGTGAATTATATGAACCATTTAAGGAAGAATTAGCACCAATCCTTCTAAAACACTTCCCCAAAAATAAAGGAGGGAAAACATCCCAGCTCATTTTATGATGCTTGTATTACCCTGATACCAATGCCAGACAGAAACATCACAAGAAAAGAAAGCTGTAGACCAATATCTCTTGTGAATAAACATGCAAAAATTCTCAAGAAAATATCAGCAAACAGAATCCAGCAGCATATTAAAAGGATTATATGCCATGACCAACTTGGATTTATCCCCGGAATGCAAGATTGGTTTACCATACAAAAATCAATCAATATAATATAACATATTAATACACAATAAAGGAATAAAACTATATGATCATTTCAGTTGATGCAGAAAAAAATATTTGGAAAGATCTAACATCTTATCGTGTTAAAAAGACTCAACAAACTAGAAAGAGAAGGGAACTTTCTTCAACCTGATAATGGACGATATTAGTCGTGCTGCTGATAAAGACATAAAGACTGGGCAATTTACAAAAGAAAGAGGTTTAATGGACTTTCAGTTCCATGTGGCTGGGGAGGCCTCACAATCATGGTGGAAGGTGAAAGGCACATCTCACATGATGGCAGATAAGAGAAGAAGAGCTTGTGCAATTGGAAACTCCCATTTTTTAAAACCATCAGATCTTGTGAGACTTATTCACTATCACAAGAACAGCATGGGAAAGATATTCCCCCATGATTTAATTACCTCCCACTGGGTCCTTGCCACAACACTTGGGAGTTCAAGATGAGATTTGGATGGGGACACAGACAAACCATACCATGGACGTTTATAAAAAACCCACAGCTAATATAATACTTACTGGTGTTTTCCCTAAGATCAAGGACACAGGAATATTTGCTCTCACCACTTCTATTGAATATTGTGCTGGAGAGTCAAGCCAAAGCAAACAGGCAAGAAAAAAATAATAATAAAAGACATACAGATTGGAAAGGAAGAATTAAATGATATCAATTCTCAGGTGACATCATTTTGTATATAGAAAATCCTAAGGAATTCACTTTAAAAACTATTGGAACTAATAAATAAACTCACCAAGGTTGCAGGATACAAAATTAATATATAAAAATAAATGGTTTTGCCAGGCGTAGTGGCTCATGCCTGTAATCCCAGCACTTTGGGAGGCCGAGGTGGGCAGATCACAAGGTCAGGAGATTGAGACCATCCTGGCTAACATGGTGAAACCCCGTCTCTACTAAAAATACAAAAATTAGCTGGGTGTGGTGGCAGGTGCCTGTAATCCCAGCTACTTGGGAGGCTGAGGCAGGAGAATGGCGTGAACCCGGGAGGCGGAGCTTGCAGTGAGCCGAGATTACGCCATTGCCCTCCAGCCTGGGCAACAGAGCAAGACTCCATCTCAAAAATAAATAAATAAATAAATAAATTTTGTTTGTTTGTTTGTTTTTTGTTTTGAGATGGAGTTTTGCTCTCATTGCCCAGGCTACAGTACAATGGCATGATCTCGGCTCACCGCAACCTCCGCTTCCTGGGTTCAAATGATTCTCCTGCCTTAGCCTCCCGAGTAACTTGGATTACAGGCATGCACTACCATGCCTGCCTAACTTTCTATTTTTAGTAGAGACAGGGTTTCTCCATGTTGGTCAGGCTGGTCTCAAACTCCCGACCTCAGGTGATCCACCCACATTGGCCTCCCAATGTGCTGGGATTACAGGCATGAGCCACAGTGCCTGGCCAATAAATGGTATTTTTATACACTAGCAGTAGACAATCTCGAAGTAAAATTGATTAAATAATTTTATTTACATTAGGATCAAAAAGAATAAAATAGAAATAATTTCTGCCAAAGAAATGCAAGACTTATACACTGAAACTGCATACCATTGCAAATCTTTATGTGTGTGTGTGAAAGAGAGAGGGAGAGAGACAGACCCTCACTCTGTTGCCCAGGTTAGAGTGCAGGTGCAGTGGCTCCCAGGCAACCTCGACCTCCCAGGCTCAAGGGATCCTCCCACCTCAGCCTCCCCAGTAGCTGGGACCACAGGTGGGTGTGCCACCACACTAGACTAATTTTGTTTATTTTTTGTAGAAACGGAGGTCTCACTATGCCATCCAAACTGGTCTTAAACTCCTAGGCTCAAGCGACCCACCTGCCTCAGCCTCCCAAAGTGTTGGGATTACAGGTGTGAGCCACTGTGCCCTGCCCAAATCTTAAAGAAGATCTAAAAAAATAGAAAGATAACCCATGTTCATAGATTGGATAACTTAATATTTATAAGATGGTAATATTCCCCAAATTGATCTATAGATTCAATTCATTGCCTATCAAATTGTTTTTCAGATATGAACAAGCGTATGGAAACTCAAGAGACTTATAATAGCCAAAACAATCTTGAAAAAGAACAAAATTGGAGGACTCACAATTCTTTTTTTTTTTTTTTTTATTGAGACGGAGTCTTGCTCTGTCTCTGGGCTGGAGTGCAGTGGCGCCATCTCCACTCACTGCAACCTCCACCTCCCTGGTTCATGCGATTCTCCTGCCTTAGCCTCCCCTGTAGCTGGGACTACAGGCGCCTGCCACCATGCCCAGCTAATTTTTGTATTTTGAGTAGAGACAGGGTTTCACCATGTTGGCCAGGATGGTCTCGATCTTCTGACCTCGTGATCCGCCCACCTCAGCCTCCCAAAGTGTTGAGAGTACAGGCGTGAGCCACCACGCCCAGCTGAGGACTCACAATTCTTGATTTCAAAGCATACCACAAAGCTACATTATTCAAGGCAGTATAGTGCTGGGCAGGAAGACAGACATAGAAATCAGTGGAATACAAATGAAAGTCCAGAAGTAAACCCATAAATATATGATACAATAATTTTCTACAAGAGTGCCAAAATCATTCAATGGGGGAAGGATAGTCTTTTCAACAAACAGTGCTGGGACAACTGGATATCCACATGCAAAAGACTGACGTTGGACACCCTTACCTCATGCCATATACAAAAATTAACTCAGTCAGGCACAGTGGTTCATGCCTGTAAACCCAGCACTTTAGGAGGCTGAGGCAGGAAGCTCACTTGAGCCCAGGAGGTTGAGGCTGCAGTGAGCCATGGTGGTACCATTGCACTCCAGCCTGAATGACAGAATGAAGCCCTCTCTCTCAAAGAAAAATTAACTGAAAATGGATTAAATGCCTAAATGTAAGAGTTAAAACTAAAAAATTCCTAGAAGAAAACATAGGGGTAAATCTTCATAACCTTGGATTTGGCAATGGGTTCTTAGGTATGACACCAAAAGCCCAAACTACAAAAGAAAAAAATAAATTGAACTTCATCAACATTTAAAATGTTTGTGCATCAAAGGACACAATAAAGAAAGTAAAAAGACATCCCACAGAAATAGAGAAAATATTTGCAAATCATATATCTGATAAGGATCTGGTATCCAGAATATATAAAGAACTTCTATGACACAACAACAAAAAGACAAACAGTCCAATTTAAAAAATGGACAAAAGGCTGGGTGCAGTGGTTCACACCTGTAATCCCAACACCTTGGGAGGCCAAGGTAGGAGGATTGCTTGAGCCCAGGAGTTTGAGACCAGCCTGGGCAACATGGTGAAACCCTGTCTACAAAAAAATACAAAAATTAGCTGGGCATGATGGCATGCACCTGTAGTCCCAGCTACTCAGGAGGCTGAGGTGGGAGGATTGCTTGAACCTGGGAGGTCGAGGCTGCAGTGAGCCATGATTGCACCACTGCACTCCAGACTCTCTCTCTCTCAAAAAAAAAAAAAAAAAGGGGGCAAAGGACTTGAACAGACAATTCTCCAAAGAAGATATACAGTGGCCAATAAGCACATGAAATAATGCCCAACATCATTAGTCACTAGGGTCAATGGAAATTATCTATTTCTTTTTTTATCAGCTGAGTTTAAGATTCAAGTTAACCAAATTAGTCAATGCCAACAAAACCACAGTGAGATACCACTTCACATCCACTGTAATAAAAAAAAGACAGACTCGAAGAAGTGTAAAAATATGTAGAAATTGGAACCCTCACACATTGCTTCTGGACATGTAAAATGGTGTCGTCTCTGTGAAAAACAGTTTAGCAATTCTTCAAAAAGTTAAACATATGACCCAGCACTTCCACTCCTAGATATATATCCAAGAGAACTGAACACAAGTGTTCAAACAAAAACTTGCACACCAATGTTCAGAGCAGCATCATTTATAATAGTCAAAAGGCAGACACAACCCAGATGTCCATCAACTCATAAATGGATAAACAAAATGTGGTATATCCATAAAATGGAATATTATTCAGAATGATGTACTAATATGCAGTACAACCTGGAAAAAATATTGAAAATATTATACTAAATGAAATAAGCCAAATATAAAAAGCCACATATTGTACGATTCCATTTGTATGAAATGTCTAGAATAGGCAAATCTGTAGAGACAGAAAGGAGATGAGTGGTTGCCTAGGGCTGAGGGGGTGGGGAATGGGAGTGACTGTTTAAGAGCTACAAGGAGTCTTTTTAGGGTGATGAAAATGTCCTCGTGATGATGGTTGCTGCTATGGTCTGAATGTTGATTTCTCCCCAAAATTCGTATGTTAGAACCTAATACCTAATGTGATACTATTAAGAGGTGGGGCCTTTAGGAGGTAATTAGTTCCCTTATGAAAGGGGCCTGGGGCTGGGCGTGGTGGCTCATGCCTGTAATGCAAACACTTTGGGAGGCCAAGGTGGGTGGATCACTGGAGGTCAAGAGTTCGAGACCAGCCTGGCCAACATGGCGAAACCCTGTCTCTACTAAACATACAAAAATTAGCTGGGCTTGGTGGCAGGCGCCTGTGATCCCAGCTACTCGGGAGGCTGAGGTAGGAGAATTGCTTGAACCTGGGAAGCGGAGGTTGCAGTGAGCCAAGATCACGCCGCTGCATTCCAGCCTGGGTGACAGAGTGAGACTCTGTTTCAAAAAAAAAAAAAAAAGCAGCCTGGCATTGTGGCAAGCACCTGTAGTCCCAGCTACTTGGGAGGCTGAGCTGGGAGGATTGCTTGAGACTGGGAGGCTGCAGCTGCAGTGAGCTGAGATTGTACCACTGCACTCTAGCCTGAGTGACAGAGAAAGACCCTGTCTCAAAAAAAAGGAAAAGAAAAAGCATGGTTGGGAGGGAACACCAAGGGTGTGGCCAAGCAACCATTTGGTAAGGAGATTCATGCAAATAGAAGAGAGCCAGATGCTGTTCATCAGGACAATGGAAGGATGACCCCAAAGGCATTTTTGGAGATTGCTGGGGCTGCTTATCCCAGCACAGGCCCAGAATGCTAAGGCCTTGGGAACAAAATGATTTCAGTGCTCCTTGGCCACCCAGCTGTGTAGCTCAGGCTGCTCCTCCAGAAGGCACAGGCAGTAGACCTTTGCGACGTCTTCATGGTGCCATCTCCACTAGTCCAAAGAGTGCATGAGATGTGGGACATGCCTGTCTTCACCTACATTTTAAAGGATGGAGCCACCCGGAGCCTTGGCCTCATGACCCAGGCAGAAGCTACCACAAGGGTGAGACCACCACAGAGAGCCTCCAATAGGGAAAGCCTTAGCAGAGATGTGGGAGTGGGACTGTTCCCAAGACCCCAGGAAGATAGAGCCATGGGCATGCAATTCCAGCTTGGGACAGCTGTAGGCACCGGACTCTAACCTATGACAGGTGTGGTATGGGCTGGGCCTAGCAAACCCATGGAAACAGGGTTGCCTGGAACCTTGGGAGTCCAATCCCCAACCCAGTGTGTCCAGATTGCAGAATATCAAGTCAAAGAAGAATATTCTGGAGCCTTAAGATTTAATGTTTGCCTTGCTGGGTTTTTTATTTGGTTGAGATCTCTTATCTCTTTCTTCTTTCCTACTCCTGTTTGGAATAAAAATGTCTGTCCTTTGCCTGTCCCACCATTGTATTTAGAAAGCACATACCTTGTTTGATTTCACAGGCTCACCACTGAAGAAGAATTTGCCTCAGGATAGTACACACTTTTTTTTTTTTTTTCTGAGACGGAGTCTCGTTCTGTTGCCCAGGCTGGAGTGCAGTGGCGCGATCTCAACTCACTGCAACCTCCAACTCCCAGGTTCAAGTAATTTTCTGCCTCATCCTCCCAAGTAGCTGGGATTACAGGCACCCGCCACCATGCCTGGCTGATTTTTGTATTTTTAGTAGAGACGGGGTTTCACCATCTTGGCCAGGCTGATCTTGAACTCCTGACCTTGTGATCCATCCGCCTCAGGCTCTCAAAGTGCTGGGATTACAGGCGAAAGCCACCGCGCCCGGCGTTTCTTTTTCTTTTTCTTTTTTCTTTTTTTTTTTTTGAGATAGAGTCTTGCTCTGTTGCCCAGGCTGGAGAGCAGTGGCGCGATCTCAGCTCACTGCAACTTCCGTCTCCTGGGTTCAAGCGATTCTTTTTTTTTTTTTTTTTTTTTTGAGACGGAGTCTCCCTGTCACCCAGGCTGGAGTGCAGTGGCATGATCTCAGCTCACTGCAAGCTCCGCCTCCCGGGTTCACGCCATTCTCCTGCCTCAGCCTCCTGAGTAGCTGGGACTACAGGTGCCCGCCACCACGCCCCACTAATTTTTTTGTATTTTTAGTAGAGACGGGGTTTCACTGTGTTAGCCAAGATGGTCTGGATCTCCTGACCTTGTGATCCGCCCACCTTGGCCTCCCAAAGTGCTGGGATTACAGGCGTGAGCCACAGCGCCCAGCCAAACGATTCTTTTGCCTCAGAGTAGCTGGGACTACAGGCATGCACCACCACGCCTGGCTAATTTTTGTATTTTTAGTAGAGATGGGGTTTTGTCATGTTGGCCAGGCTGGTCTCAAATGCCTGGCCTCAATTCATCCCCCAACCTCAGCCTTCCAAAGTGCTGGGATTACAGGCGTAAGCCACTGCACCTGGCCTTAATCACACTTTTGAGTCACTTATGTCTGATTTAGATGAGATTCTGGACTTCAGACTTTTGAGTCGGTGCTAGAACAAGATCTTGGGAGCTATTGAGATGGAATTTTGCATGGAGAAGACCATGAATTTGGGCAGCCAGGGGAAAATCCTATGGTCTGAATGTTAGTGTGCCCTTCAAATTTATATGTTGGAACCTAATACCCAACGCGATAGTATTAAGAGGTGGGGCCTTTAGCAGGTGACTAGGTCATAAGATGGGGGTAGTGCCCCTATAAAAGAGGTCAGAAGGCTGGGTGCAGTAGCTCATGCCTATAATCCTAGCACTTTGGGAGACCAAGGCAGGTAGGTTACTTGAGCCTAGGAGTTCAAAACCAGGCTGGGCAATATGGTGAAACCCTGTCTCTATAAAGAATACAAAAATTACCCAGGCATGGTTGTGCATGCCTGTAGTCCCAGCTACTCGGGAGGCTGAGATGGGAAGATCACCTGAGCCCTGGGAAGCTGAGGCTGTAGTGAGCTTTGATCTTGCCACCGCACTTTAGACTGGGTGACAGAATGAGACCCTGTCTCAAAAAAATAATTAATTAATTAATTAATTAAAAAATAAAAGAGGTCAGAAGGAGCGGTTAGCACCCTTCTGCCATGTGAAGACACAGAGAAGGCACCATCTATGATTAGCAGGCCCTCACCAGACACCAAATCTGACACCTTGAACTTGGATTTCCCATCCTCCAGAACTGTGAGAAATAAATTTCTGTTGTTTATAAATTACCCAGTCTAAGATATTTTGTTACAACAGCAGGAACAGGTAAGACAATTGCCCAACATTGTGAATGTACTGGAAGCCACTGAATTGTACACTTTAAAATTATTGAAATGGTGAATGTTATGTGACTTTTACCTCAATTCAATAAAGAAAAGAAAAGAAGTATTGATATGTGCTACAAAATGGACAGATCTTGAAAACATTATGCAAAATGACAGAAGCCAGCTACAAAGGACCACATATTGCACATATTGTATAATTCCATTTTTTTGAAATGTCCAGAATAGGCAAATCCACAGAGAGAGAACGTAGATTGGTAGTTGCCTTGTGCTGGGGTTGGGGGTAAGCAGCAGGAGAAGAGGTTTGAAGGAAAAATGGGGAGTGACAGTTAATGGGTACAGGCTTCTTTTTAGGGTGATAAAAATATTCTGAAATTGATTGTGATGATCATTTCATAACTCTGGGTATGCTAAAAACATAGAATTATATTCTTTAAATGAGTGAATTGTATGAGATGTGAATTATATTTAAATATATTTTTTATAAAAAATTCTTGAGTGTGATAACAATGTTACCGAAAGAAGTCCCAATCTAAACCCCAAGAGAGGGTTCTTGGACCTCACACAAGAAAGAATTCAGGGTGAGTTCATAAAGTGAAAGCAAGTTTGTTAAAAAAGTAAAGGAATAAAAGAACGGCTATTCCATAGGCAGAGCAGTGGAATGGGCTGCTCAACTGATTATACTTATAGTTATTTCTTGATTATATGCTAAACAAGGTGTAAATTATTCATGAGTTTTCCATGAAAGGGGAAGGCAATTCCCAGAAATGAGGATTCCTCCCCTTTTAGGACCATATAGGGTAACTTCCAGATGTTGCCATGGCATTTGTAAACTGTCATGGCACTGGTGCCATGTCTTTTAGCATGCTAATGTATTATATTTCACATATAATGAGCAGTGAGGATGACCAGAGGTCGCTTTCATCGCCATCTTGGTTTTGGTGGGTTTTGACCGGCTTCTTTACTGCATCCCGTTTTATCAGCAGGGTCTTTGTGACCTGTGTCTTGTGCTGACCTGCTATGTCATCCTGTGACTAAGAATGCCTAACCTCTTTGGAATGCAGCCCAGTAGGTCTCAGATTTATTTATTTATTTATTTATTTATTTATTTATTTATTTATTTATTTTGAGACGGAGTCTTGCTCTGTCACCCAGGCAGGAGGGCAATGGCACAATCTCGGCTCACTGCAACCTCCACCTCCCGGGTTCAAGCGATTCTCCTGCCTCAGCCTCCTGAGTAGTTGGGATTACAGGTGTGCACCACCATGCCTGGCTAATTTTTGTATTTTTAGTAGAGACAGGGTTTCACCATGTTGGTCAGTCTGGTCTCGAACTCCTGACTTCATGATCCACCTGCCTCGGCCTCCCAAAGTGCTGGGATTACAGGCGTGAGCCACCACGCCCGGCCTGGTCTCAACCTCGTTTTACCCACCCTCTGTTCAAGATGGAATTGCTCTGGTTCAAATGCCTCTGACATATTTTCCCCCCTCCCTTTTACAAGGGTCCCCTTAATCCTAAGGGTTATAGGGGACAAAGATCAATCTTCTGTAAATTCTTCAGGCTGAATAGGGGAGATGATATTCCTGCCTAACAGGGTCTGTCGTATTCAGGGTAGAGAGGAACTCAGTTAGAAATTATCTGTATGGTGAGGGCTACTCATAACTCTGAGTTCTGACAAAAGGTGGTATCCGGAAGATTAATAAGTGTTCAATTTAAGAAAACATTGAGTAAGCTTATCCTGCATTCCTACACAAAGAGTACAATGGCAATATATTCCACAACAGTAAAGCAAAATAAGTTAAACTATCCCAGGTAAATTAAATTAAGAAGGCTTCCCATGAAGCAGGCAACTGTTGGAACCAAGCTGACATAACATTGCTAGCCGATTCCAATACGTGCCCAGAAATAGAATATTGGTCTAGATTTTTAAATTAACCATCCCTCTTGTTTCTTCTTAGCTGTAGCCAGAGATCATTGGTCGGTTCACAGGAATAAGCAGAGTCAGTCTAAATTGTAGAAAAAAAACTCAAAAACAACTGATGGGACTAGAACTTAATAACAAGTGTACCATAGTTCTTGAAACAATTTTTCTCTCTCCAGCCCTCATTTTTACTAAAGACAAATCATTGTAAGACTGATTCATTTGCAAAATAAGCATTAGTCTTATTATACTTGGCCTGATTATTTGTATAAAGTGCAGCAAGAATAATTATTTGCCATATAGCCTCCTTTTTAAATTGGCTTTGATGGAACTTTGCTCCATAAGAAATCTTAGATAAGACTTTTTTTTAAAGTCAAGCCAAGCCATGGGTTATTACTGTCAACTACCTGTATGAGTTGGGTAAATTTCTCTCCTCTTGAGGTCCCAATATAACTTGGGGCTCCTGGGCCTGTCAGAAAGTGACATTCTTTACTTAACACAGGTCAGGAACACTGTACAGAGACTGTGTAGACAAGGTATAAAGCCAGTTTTCCCAAGGGGCTTTTATTGGCTCTATATGTTAATTTTGATTCCTTAAAGAAAAGCATGCCACTCCAGTCAAAGCCTTGGTAAAATTACCAGTTTCTCCAATTGTGTCCTATTACAAATGAAGACAGATTCTTACTGCACTTATGCAAATAACTGTATTGCCATAAGTTAAGAATACTCACAAGTGGTTTCCAAATTCTGGATAAATAAGGTAGAGAGAAACAAATATGCCCCAACTTTTGTTTATAGGAGTATACTTTACTCAATTATCAAAAACTGTAAATAGGCTGGGCGCAGTGGCTCACGCCTATAATCCCAACACTTTGGGAGGCCGAGGTGGGCAGATCACCTGAGGTCAGGAGTTTGAGACCAGCCTGGCCAACATGGCAAAACCCCGTCTCTACTAAAAATATAAAAAATTAGCTGGGTGTGATGGTGCCCACCTGTAGTCCCAGCTACTCGGGAGTCTGATGCACAAGAATTGCTTGAACCCAGGAGGCAGAGGTGGTGGTGAGCTGAAATTGCACCACTGCACTCCAGCCTGGGCAACAGAACAAGACTGTCTCAAAAAAAAAAAAAAAAAAGTAAATAGCTTAAAAGTTTTCTTGACTCTGAAAAACAAAACAAAGGATCAGCAACATTTTAAGCAAAAAGTCATAAAAGGATTATTTCGGTCTTCTGTTATTAGTTCAGTCCATGCAATTAATGCCTGCTCTGCTTGACATTAATAAACATTTCAGCTATGACAGTCCTGAAAGTTTTTCCTCTATTCTAACGTCACAGTCTCCAAAGTTATCTGAAACCTGCGTTTAAGATCACCTGTCAAAGACCTATAGCTGATTATAAACCACCTTTCAAAGAGGATTAAAACAAGTCAACAATTGTCTATGGATGACACAAAGTCTTAGGACAGCCATTATTAAAGTCATATTTGACTAGGAATTGTGGTTACTTCTATGACTTTCAATAATTTTACATAACAATTATAACACAGGAGTTTCCCATAACTTTGGAACACATACCAATAACATATTTATACAAATATAGCCCAAAGAAAGCCAAACACCGTTTCGTATTTGACAATGCTTCCTGTATGATTTTTTGTGCGTGTGATTTTGGGTTATTTATTTTGTGCATCTGTGGCAATGAATGAGATCTCACTGGTGGTGTGGATTTGACTGATCTCTGCAACTGTGTAGGGCAAAAGAACTGGCAAAAGAAAATGACAACAAGATCCCAGCAAAGGGGTAGGGAGGGCCAAGAGAACTGAACATCTGGGCTGGCAGAGAAATCAAAGCCTAGAAATTAAGAGGTAAGAGTGTAGTGTAGGGGATATACCCCATCTCTTTGCTCCTTCCCTTTTGCTTTCTTTCCCAGGGACCCAGGTCCTTGGGACTATATTGGATCTGTCTCTGAAGCTGAAAAACAAAAGGCAGAGGAGACAGTTGGCTCTAAGTGACCAGTCTCAAGCCAGCTTTGTCAGAAATCCTAGATCACAGGAGAAGGGTGGAGAGAAAGGATATGATTATTTCTGGTTCCATTTTCCATTAGAGGTGAGAATGACAAGGAACTCTCTTCTAACTCCTCTTGAGGGCATGAAGAGGGTTAGCAGGAGAAGGGCTGGGAGCCCTGAGGTCTCCTGTAGGACCTCATATCCCACAGGCAAGGACTAAGAATTAGGATTAAATATTTTCGTGGGATAGCTCTAAACCAGTATTAGCAAGCACAGCCAGGGTGAGAATTCCTGGAATCTGACTGGGACCCTCGCAGTGAAAGCTGGGACTGTTGAAAACCCAATTTCAGTGTTTGCTACTCAAGTTGAGAGTGCAGGGCCAAGATAACTAGATCCCAGGACAGGCAGTTTGACAGTGAGAACAAAAGGAAGAGGCTGGGGCCAAGGTGCCTAGATCCCTCGAGAGAGAAGGGGTGGGTATTGGGAGGAAAAATGAGAACTGGGGGAACTCAGGAGTCTAGGTTCTGAAATAGCAGCAAGTCAGAATTCCAGGATCTCTGTCCACCCTCCTCTTCCTCTTCCCTCTATCAGGCAGAAGAGAGAGAAGGAGGGTACTGGAGAAGTAGCCACATGGATACATTCAGGCATGGTGGGGGAAAGAGGAATTTAGTGCTGCATTGGCCCTGCGTGGGTCTAGGAAGGGTCAGGAGGCCGGGGAGGGGTGGTGGGGGTCGGTCCCAGGGTTGCAGGACGCCATCCTTTGCGGTGGCCACGTACACAGTGTGTATGACCACAGCCCTCTTCTTCCTCCTCATCACTTTCCGTGGAGCTCTCGCCAAAGGCCCGGGATTTTTCATAAATAGAGCAGCATTTTGATGAGCGGCGGCGCATGCGTTCATTGTCCACAGTGTCACTTGTCCATTCCACCTTTTTCTCTGGCTTCCGTTTCGGAAGTTTGATGGTAAGGCTCCGGTTCTCGGGCTCGGTTGTCACGGTAACTGTTGTCTCAGTGACGGTCTCGCTCAGCCCAGCCCCTGCCTCAGGAGAGGGAGGAAAGGAGGAAGGGGGATGACACACCCTTCTCTTTTTCTGTCTCTGAGGTCTAGGAGAAGCAGTATGGGATTCAGTGGTAGCCAGGATCCTCCACCTTCTTTTCACCCCTCCTCCTGGGCCTCCGCTTCTCCACCCGTGGAGATAACCTGACCAACCCCACTTCCGGCTCTGCTTCCGGGTGATTTTTTTATACAAATAAGTCAAATATGTCATTTTTGGACTTTAGGGGACCTAATATCTAAAACATTAATGAAGTCAGAAAAAGATATAATTTGTAATTTGATTTTGGAAAGTTTGTCCAATATCAAAGGTTTAAAATATTTGATATTATAAAATAGAATTCTAGGTCACCCTAAGTTATTCATTTAGCCAAAAATGGTAACTCAAAAATTTTTAAAAAGCATAAAACTTTACTTATTGATACAGGGAAGACTTAGGTTTCCAAACAATCTATCTCTTGTCTTTCCTTTCTTTTTCCTGTGGTTTATTCAAAAGGCAAACAAAAATCTTCATTATCCTTTAATACTACATACAAATATTGTTCATGGCCAAGCGTGGTGGCTCATACCTGTAATCCCAGCACTTTGAGAGGCCAAGGTGGGTGGATCATTTGAGGTCAGGAGTTCGAGACCAGCCTGACCAATATGGTGAAACCCCATCTCTACTAAAAATTTAAAAAAAAAAAAAATAGCCGGGCGGGGTGGTGTACCTGTAGTCCCAGCTACTTGGGAGGCTGAGGCAGGAAAATCGCTTGAACCTGGGAGGTGGAGGTTGCAGTGAGTTGAGATCACACCACTGCACTCCAGCCTGGGTGACAGAGATAAAAAAGAGAAAACTCTGTTGTGCTTTTATTCCAATGTTCAATTTATGGAAAACCTTTAATTTTAGCCAATATGTTTACACACAGAATGTTATATGTAAAAGGCTTGTTTTTGGTACTGTAAGGAAAAATTAGCATTTAGGGAAAAAGTTTTTTTAGCAAGGTAATTTTACTTTTTGCAGAAAGGGTGCTTTTTGCAGATGGAACAATGACAAAAGCACACCTAAACAAAGGAGGGAAGCAATGTTTATTTTTTATGCAGCTTATTTTTGCTACTGTGTTTTGTCTTCATTGGCTGGAGCTAGACCTTACAATTTAAACTAAAACCCGACTGGCTAATAATTTAAAACTTTTTAAAATAGGTAAAGGCAATAGAGAACAAAGGAAAAGAGGAAGTT
This sequence comes from Homo sapiens, assembly GCF_000001405.40. Classification (NCBI taxonomy): domain Eukaryota; kingdom Metazoa; phylum Chordata; class Mammalia; order Primates; family Hominidae; genus Homo; species Homo sapiens. The sequence goes on along the minus strand of NC_000001.11, from coordinate 21,396,762 downwards.
GCTTGCGAAAGGACTTAGAAAAGTAATAATATTTTTAAATAAGGAAGGGGCATAAGCTGCAAGTTGGGACATGCCTGTGAGCACGTTTAGCATAAATATTTTGGTTAAAGTACAAGGACATCAAAGATACTTTTTTTTATATTGAACAGCTACATAGAATAGGGCTTAACAAAGAGTTATTAGCACAAAGCAAGGAGGCTTGAAAGAAGTTAGTTTTTAAAAGAAACTATTATTTCTAACACTTACGATTTATTTTTTAACAAGAAGGGAAACTTTGAAGAGGCAACTTTTTACTTTCTACACAGAATTTCTTTTACAAGATTAATTTTTCGCAAATCTTATGCAACTTGCTCAAACCTTCTAACTTAAAACAATCTATCTTAACTTAAAACAATCTAACTTATCGAACTGAAAACAATCCTTTAACCCTATAAACTAGGCCAAAAAGAAAGCACCCACATTCCTATGTCTTCTTATAATCTTTTACCAAAAACACGTTTCACTTTTCTTTTTTTTCTTTTATCTTTTTTTTTTTTTTGAGACAGAGTCTCACTCTGTCGCCAAGGCTGGAGTATAATGGCGCGATCTCAGCCACTGCAACTTCTGCCTCCCGGGTTCAAGTGATTCTCCTGCCTCAGCCTCCCCAGTAGCTGGGACTACAGGAGCGCACCACCACACCCGGCTAATTTTTGTATTTTTAGTAGAGACGTGGTTTCGCCATGTTGGCCAGGCTGGTCTCAAACTCCTGACCTCAGGTGATCCACTTGCCTCGGCCTCCCAAAGTGCCAGGATTACAGGCGTGAGCCACCAGGCCTGGCCTCACATTTCACTTTTCTTACACACCTTGCACGTAGAAGTGTTTCTTCAGTAGTCTTAATTACATGTTACAATGTTAATTCTTAGCAACTTTCGTTTTTGCTGAAAAATCTGGTAAGTAAGTGATTCTAATTATGTACCAGGAGTAGAACCTAAGACACCAGATAGAAATGCAGATGAGGTTGAACTCTTTCCAGCTGCCGGTCATGACTAACTCCACCTGTCCCCAGACTTTATCTAATGGCTTAAAAACAGGTCAGTGGAAAGATTTTCAAAAGAAAGAAGCAGTTTATGACGTTAAAGCATTTAGCAAACCTAATAGCTGCCCTGCCTAAGTTAGACCAAATATCTAAATTTCAAAGACATTTTTATTTCACCAATAATCTTTAAGACTGTCTTTATTTCCCAAAGCTTACTAAGTCACATGAACTAAAAAGCATTGCAGTTTTTATTTTTCTGACAAAATATTTAAGCACTTATTATTTTTAAACGAATTAATCAGAGCTCTTCCATATATAAACATCACACACACAACACATAAAAATACACAGAAGATCCAGTAGTTGTAAGATTTTTCATTTGCCAGTTTTTCGTTTTTTTTGTTTGTTTGTTTGTTTTTTGAGACAGAGTCTCGCTCTGTCCCCAGGCTGGAGTACAGTGGTGCGATCTTGGCTCACTGCAAGCTCCACCTCCCAGGTTCACGCCATTCTCCTGCCTCAGCCTCCCGAGTAGCAGGGACTACAAGCACCCGCCACCACGCCTGGCTAATTTTTTGTATTTTTAGTAGAGATGGGGTTTCACCGTGTTAGCCAGGATGGTCTCGATCTCCTAACCTCATGATCAGCCCGCCTCGGCCTCCCAAAGTGCTGGGATTACAGGCGTGAGCCACCGTGCCCAGCCTCATTTGCCAGTTTTTAAGTTTCTTTTTAGAGCATGTAGTTTCTTTCTTTTTAAAAAGTTATTTATTTTTGAGACAGGGTCTCACTCTGTCACTCAGGCTGGAGTGCAGTGGTGCAATATCAGCTCACTGCAACCTCTGCCTCCCAGGTTCAAGTGATTCTCATGTCTCAGCTTCCCGAGTAGCTGGGATTACAGGCATGCACCACCACACCTAGCTAATTTTTGTATTTTTAGTAGAGATGGGGTTTCACCATGTTGGCCAGGCTGGTCTCGAACTCCTGGTCTCACGTGATCAACCTACCTCAGCCTCCCAAAGTGCTGGGATTACAGGCATGAGCCACCACACCTAGCTAATTTCTAGGGCCTAATAAGCCCATACAGCTGGAAGGCAAAACAGATCCCCCAAAATTAAGGGTCTCATTTTTATACCAGATCCTGGATCCCCAAAAAGGAGGGGATCAGCCCATCTCCCAACAGATTATCTCTCAGTGGCGGTGGGAATATATCCATACCTTCTAGGTGGCCAAGAACATGCTTCTCTGATCCAAACATGCAAAGAGCTGAGAATCCTCCCTTAATTGCCATTAGCCATGCCCAAAAGTATATCCTCCAACTAGTTATTACACACCAAAGCTCTCTCATAATGTGAAGTAATTTCTGATACCCCCCCAAAGTAAAAAACGTCAGATAATGCAATGCCAGACAGAAGAGAGCCTTAGATTTCAAGAGGGATGGATCTATTCAGTTCTAATTCCTGGAGTTTCAGGAGGAAAACAGAGGTTTTTCCCAAAACAAGATCTGTGGCATCTCCTCCATTTTTCCCAAGGAGTCACAGGCTGTTAGAAATTATCTTAGGTCCTCTTGGCTGGGCGCGGTGGCTCATGCCTGTAATCCCAGCACTTTGGGAGGCCGAGGCAGGTGGATCACAAGGTCAGTAGTTTGAGACCAGCCTGGCCAACATGGTGAAACCCCGTCTCTACTAAAGAAATACAAAAATTAGCCCGGTGTCGTGGCAGGCACTTGTAATCCCAGCTACTCGGGAGGCTGAGGTGGGAGAATCGCTTGAATCCCAGGAGGCAGAGGTTGCAGTGAGCCAAGATTGCACCATTGCACTCCAGCCTGGGCGACAGAGCAAGACTCTGTCTTAAAAAAAAAAAAGAAAGAAAGAAATTATCTTAGGTGCTCTCATGTGGACAGGCAAGAAGACAAAATGGAGAAAAACAATTCAGTCAACTAAGGAGAAAACCATTTTTTTCTTTAGAAAAATAAGATCCAAGAAGAGAAAAAAATATAAAGACCTTTTAAATACACTTATAACTTGAATATCTGCTTTTAACTAAGCTGACTTTTAACCATAGCACTCTTTAAAAAAAAAATCTTTTTAAATCTCTTATTACCCGACTGTAGCCTGGCCAAATGGCCAATATTTCTGGCTTTTGAACTTTACCAAAGGTAACCTCATAGCACCTCAGGTGCTCAGAGAAAGGAAAATTCAAGAAAGGAAGTCGGAAGTTGTTCATGGAGGGAAAGAGACTCAATGAATGGCAAACGCCACATGACAGAAATAACTCATTTCCTAGGCCAAAAATTGAACCTGGGCCACCACTGTGAAAAGACAAAGGCTTAGCTACTAAGCTACAGCACTGGGCAGGCTCCATTGCTCTTTCCAGAAGGAGCCTAGAGCAGTCAATTTTGAGCTTGCAATGGCTTTTAACTGCTCAAGATAATTTTTTTTTTTTTTTTTTTGAGAAGAAGTCTCACTCTGTCCCTCAGGCTGGAGTGCAGTGGCTCAGTCTAGGCTCACTGCAACCTCTGCCTCTGGAGTTCAAGAGATTCTCCTGCCCCAGCCTCCCAAGTGGCTGGGATTACAGGCACGTGCCACCATGTGCAGCTAATTTTTCTATTTTTAGTAGATGGGGTTTCGCCATGTTGGTCGGGCTGGTCGTGAACTCCTGACCTCAGGTGATCCGCCCACCTCGGCCTCCCAAAGTGCTGGGATTAGAGTCGTGAGCCACCGCACCCAGCCTCAAGATAATTTTTAAGACTAACTATGACATGAATCCCAAAACTCCTGTTCCCTGGATGGTGGAAACCAAGAGAAATTACCACGGTGTGGTTACAAGGTCAAGCTCCCAAAGACATAAAACAAGACCTGAGGGAAATCTTGATACGGTTTTGCTCTGTGTCCCCACGAAAATCTCATCTCAAATTGTAATCCCCACATGTCAAGGGAGGGACCTGTAATCCCCACGTGTTGAGGGAGGGAGCTGATTGGATCATGGGGGCTGTTTCCCCCTTGCTTTTCTCATGATAGTGAGTGAGTTCTCACGAGATCTGATGGTTTTATTCGTGTTTGGAAGTTTCTCCTTCGCTCTTCTCTCTCTCCTGCTGCCTAGGGAGGAAGGTGCCTTGCTTTTCCTTCACCTTCCACCCTGATTATAAGTTTCCTGAGGCCTCCCCAGCCATGTGGAACTGTAAGTCAATTAAACCTCTTTCCTTTATAATTTATCCAGTCTCAGGTATTTCTTTATGGCAGTGTGAAAACGGACTACTACAAACCTCATCCAGTTTTTTTTGTTTGCTTCAGGGACCTGCAGCAAAGTTTGTAACTGACCAGTTTTCCAGGCTAGCTTGAACAGCAGGCTTATGGGGTTCTAAGCCCATGTTCTATCATAAGGTACGCCTCTTTATGACAGAACGATATAGAAAGACAAATTCATAGCACAAAGTACCCCTCTTTATGACAGAACGATATAGAAAGACAAATTCATAGCACAAAGTATACAAATCCATAGCACAAAGTATTCATAGCACAAAGTATCATAAGGTACCCCTCTTTATGACAGAACGATATAGAAAGACAAATTCATAGCACAAAGTATACCAGATTCACTACAGTTTAACCTCACAAATCCTTTTTCTCATTAATCAGAACTTTGCGGCCAGGCAGGGTGGCTCACGCCTGTAATCCCAGCACTTTGGGAGGCCGAGCGGGAGGATCACGAGGTCAGGAGATCAAGACCATCCTGGCTAATACGGTGATACCCACTCTCTACTAAAAATACAAAAAATTAGCCGGGTGAGATGACGGGCGCCTGTAGTCCCAGCTACTCGGGAGGCTGAGGCAGGAGAATGGCATGAACCTGGGAAGCAGAGTGCACTCCAGCCTGGGCAATAGAGGGAGACGCTGTCTCAAAAAAAAAAAAAAAAAAAAAAAAAAAAGAACTTTGCAGAGGAGACAGTGATTTTTACAATTCCTACAACCAGTTTGCACAGAGAGCCCACAAGCCTGACCAGTAAGAAATTCTTACCCTTTTGCCTGCATGCCAGGTTTCTGGGTTCCCTTTCCCTGAGTGACCTTAGTGACCCTGCTTGCCACATCATAGCCCTGGGGACCAAGCTGCAACACCAAAGAAAATCATCTTTTTCCTTTTCATGGAACCACAGGCAAAAGTCTCTCAATTTTGTAAGATGCCGTTCAAGGGATTGCATGGGATAACCAAATTAACATTTTCCATCCGGCCAGAGCAAAATACGTGTGACAAAACATAGATATTAACCACTCTGCTTAGCACCCAATATCGAACTGGTAAGGCTCAAACTTGCCCCTGTTTGAGCCCTGTCATCTTTATTCAAAGTGGGGTGGAATGATCTCCGACCAGCAGTTTCAACATTTGGTCTCTGGGCAAGATGGTCGCCCTGAGTAACAGAAAAGATAGGAAAGGGAAAGGAGAGAACGAGAGAGAGAAAAGCATTGCCTGCGATGAGGTGGGGAAGGCAAGGAGCTCAGGGGGTGGGAGAAAGACCCACCCATTGCAGCGACACTGACTCAAAAGTTCAGGCAGCTGCTTGTCAGTCACAAAGGGATCTTTTCCAGCAGACCCATCAGCTCTCAAGTTTCCCTCTTTTGGGGGAGGAAAAAGCTCCCATGTCCTATGGTCCTGTACTTGTCTAATCCTGTCACCCATAGCCATCAGCAAGCAGTGCAAGGCAGATTAATTCAAAGATGGGTTAACATCCCATAATGCCAAATCCTCTTTTTTTTTTTTTTTTTTCTTTTTGTGGAGAACAGGGTCTCAATATATTGTCCAGGCAGGTCTTGAACTCCTGGGCTCAAGCTATCTTCCTGCCTCTCCCTCCCTAAGAGCTAGGATTACAGGCGTGAGCCACCACGCCCAGCCCAAACCCATTTTTTAACCAAAAGGGACTTTACTGAGGGAAGGTCCTCTAACCCTCTAAATATTAGGAAGGACTCTTACCTTCCTAAGTTGGGCCTTGAACCCAAGTTCGGTCAAGCATCCTTGCCTTTTATTAAGAGGGGCCTTTAACCTTGTCTGTCTCAGGAGAAACTAACTCTCCTAAGTTGGGCCTCTCACTCAATTCCATCCTTTACCTGGGTAAAATGTACCCCACCACTTACCCAAAGTCGGATAATCGGTGCTGCAGTCTCTTTCCTTTGAGTTGGGGGTCTCCTCGGTATAGTCCCTTTGTGGTAGCCAAGAAGATGTTACCGGAAGGGTGTCCGGATCTAGACCCCAAAGGAGGATTCTTGGACCTCGCCCAAGAAAGAATTCAGGGCCAGGCGCAGTGGCTCACGCCTGTAATCCCAGCACTTTGGGAGGCTGAGGCAGGCAGATCACTTGAGGTCAGGAGTTCGAGACCAGCCTGGTCAACATATAGTGAGACCCCGTCTCTACTAAAAAATACAAAAATTAGCTAGACGTGGTGGCACGCACCTGTAGTCCTAGCTACTTGGGAAGCTGAGGCAGGAGAATCGCTTGAACACGGGAGGCAGAGGTTGCAGTGAGCCAAGATCGCACCACTGTACTCCAGCCTCGGCGACAGAGCAAGACTCTGTCTCTCAAAAATAAATAAATAATTTGGGACAAGTTCATAGAGTAAAGAGAAAGCAAGTTTATTAAGAAAGTAAAGGAATAAAGAATGGCTACTCCATAGATAGCAGCAGCATGGGCTAGTCAACTGATTATACTTATAGTAATTTCTTGATAATATGCTAAATGAAGGGTGGATGATTCATGAGTTTCCCACGAAAAGGTTGGGCAGTTCCGGGAACTGAGGGTTTCTCCCCTTTTTAGACCATAGAGAGTAATTTCTAGACGTTGCCATGGCATTTGTAAACTGTCATGACGCTGGTGGGAGTGTCCTTTAGCATGCTAATGCATTATAATTAGCGTATAACGAACAGTGAGGATGACCAGAGGTCACTTTCTTTTTTTTTTTTTTTTTTTTTGTAAGCTTTTTCACTTTTTTTTTTTTTCTTTAATTTATTTTTTTATTGATAATTCTTGGGTGTTTCTCACAGAGGGGGATTTGGCAGGGTCATGGGACAATAGTGGAGGGAAGGTCAGCAGATAAACAAGTGAACAAAGGTCTCCGGTTTTCCTAGGCAGAGGACCCTGCGGCCCTCCGAAGTGTTTGTGTCCCTGATTACTTGAGATTAGGGATTGGTGATGACTCTTAACGAGCATGCTGCCTTCAAGCATCTGTTTAACAAAGCACATCTTGCACCGCCCTTAATCCATTTAACCCTGAGTGGACACAGCACATGTTTCAGAGAGCACAGGGTTGGGGGTAAGGTCACAGATCAACAGGATCCCAAGGCAGAAGAATTTTTCTTAGTGCAGAACAAAATGAAAAGTCTCCCATGTCTACTTCTTTCTACACAGACACGGCAACCATCCGATTTCTCAATCTTTTCCCCACCTTTCCCGCCTTTCTATTCCACAAAGCCGCCATTGTCATCCTGGCCCGCTCTCAATGAGCTGTTGGGCACACCTCCCAGACGGGGTGGTGGCCGGGCAGAGGGGCTCCTCACTTCCCAGTAGGGGCGGCCGGGCAGAGGCGCCCCTCACCTCCCGGACGGGGCGGCTGGCCGGGCAGGGGGCTGACCCCCCCACCTCCCTCCCGGACGGGGCGGCTAGCCGGGCAGAGGGGCTCCTCACTTCCCAGTAGGGGCGGCCGGGCAGAGGCGCCCCTCACCTCCCGGACGGGGCGGCTGGCCGGACGGGGCGGCTGGCCGGGCAGAGGGGCTCCTCACTTCCCAGTAGGGGTGGCCGGGCAGAGGCGCCCCTCACCTCCCGGACGGGGCGGCTGGCCGGGCAGGGGGCTGACCCCCCCACCTCCCTCCCGGACGGGGCGGCTGGCCGGGCAGAGGGGCTCCCCACTTCCCAGTAGGGGTGGCCAGGCAGAGGCGCCCCTCACCTCCCGGACGGGGCGGCTGGCCGGGCAGGGGGCTGACCCCCCCACCTCCCTCCCGGACGGGGCGGCTGGCCGGGCAGAGGGGCTCCCCACTTCCCAGTAGGGGTGGCCAGGCAGAGGCGCCCCTCACCTCCCGGACGGGGCGGCTGGCCGGACGGGGTGGTGGCCGGGCAGAGGGGCTCCTCACTTCCCAGTAGGGGCGGCCGGGCAGAGGCGCCCCTCACCTCCCGGACGGGGCGGCTGGCCGGGCAGGGGGCTGACCCCCCCACCTCCCTCCCGGACGGGGCGGCTGGCCGGGCAGAGGGGCTCCCCACTTCCCAGTAGGGGTGGCCAGGCAGAGGCGCCCCTCACCTCCCGGACGGGGCGGCTGGCCGGGCAGGGGGCTGACCCCCCCACCTCCCTCCCGGACCGGGCGGCTGGCCGCGCAGAGGGGCTCCTCACTTCCCAGTAGGGGCAGCCGGGCAGAGGCGCCCCTCACCTCCCAGACGGGGCGGCTGGCCGGGCAGAGGGCTGACCCCCCCACCTCCCTCCCGGACAGGGCGGCTGGCCGGGCGGGGGGCTGACCCCCCCACCTCCCTCCCGGATGGGGCGGCTGGCCAGGCGGGGGGCTGACCCCCCCACCTCCCTCCCGGACGGGGTGGCTGGCCGGGTGGGGGGGCTGACCCCCCCATCTCCCTCCCGGACGGGGTGGCTGGCCAGGCTGAGGGGCTCCTCACTTCCCAGTAGGGGCGGCCGGGCAGAGGCGCCCCTCACCTCCTGGACGGGGCGGCCGGCCGGACGGGGGGCTGACCCCCCCACCTCCCTCCCGGACGGCACGGCTGGCCGGGCGGGGGGGCTGACCCCCCACCTCCCTCCCGGATGGGGCGGCTGGCCGGGCGGGGGGCTGACCCCCCCCACCTCCCTCCCGGACGGGGTGGCTGCCGGGCGGAGACACTCCTCACTTCCCAGATGGGGTGGCTGCCGGGCGGAGAGGCTCCTCACTTCTCAGACGGGGCAGCTGCCGGGCGGAGGGGCTCCTCACTTCTCAGACGGGGTGGTTGCCAGGCAGAGGGTCTCCTCACTTCTCAGACGGGGCAGCCGGGCAGAGACGCTCCTCACCTCCCAGACAGGGTCTCGGCTGGGCAGAGGCACTCCTCACATCCCAGATGGGGCGGCGGGGCAGAGGCGCTCCCCACATCTCAGACGATGGGCGGCCGGGCAGAGACGCTCCTCACTTCCTAGATGTGATGGCGGCTGGGAAGAGGCGCTCCTCACTTCCTAGATGGGATGGCGGCCGGGCGCAGACGCTCCTCACTTTCCAGACTGGGCAGCCAGGCAGAGGGGCTCCTCACATCCCAGACGATGGGCGGCCAGGCAGAGACACTCCTCACTTCCCAGACGGGGTGGCGGCCGGGCAGAGGCTGCAATCTCAGCACCCTGGGAGGCCAAGGCAGGCGGCTGGGAGGTGTAGGTTGTAGCGAGCCGAGATCACGCCACTGCACTCCAGCCTGGGCACCATTGAGCACTGAGTGAACGAGACTCCGTCTGCAATCCCGGCACCTCGGGAGGCCAAGGCTGGCGGATCACTCGCGGTTAGGGGCTGGAGACCGGCCCGGCCAACACAGCGAAACCCCGTCTCCACCAAGACCAGTCAGGCGTGGCGGCGTAGGCACTCGGCAGGCTGAGGCAGGAGAATCAGGCAGGGAGGTTGCAGTGAGCGGAGATGGCAGCAGCACAGTCCAGCTTCGGCTCCGCATGAGAGGGAGACCGTGGGGAGAGGGAGACGGGAGAGGGAGAGGGGGAGGGGGAGGGGGAGGGGGAGGGGGAGGGAGAGGGAGAGGGAGAGGGAGAGGGAGAGGGAGAGGGAGAGGGAGAGGGAGAGGTCACTTTCATGGCCATCTTGGTTTTGGTCGGCTTCTGTACTGCATCCTGTTTTGTTTTTGAGATGAAGTCTCCATCTTTCGCCCAGGCTGAAGTGCAGTGGTGCGATTTCAGTTCACTGCAACCTCTGCCTCCCAGGTTCAAGCGATTCTCCCACCTCAGCCTCCCAAGTAGCTGAGATTACAGGCACCCATCATCGTGCCCAGCTAATTTTTGTATTTTTAGTAGAGATGGGGCTTCACCATGTTGGCCATGATGGTCTAGAATTCCTGACTGCAAGTGATCATCTGCCTCGGCCTCCCAAAGTGCTGGGATTACAGCATGAGCCACCGTGCCCAGCCTACTGCATCCTGTTTTACCAGCAAGGTCTTTATGACCTGTATCTTGTGCTGACTTCCCATCTCATCCTGTGACTAAGAATGCCTAACCTCAGTCGGTCTCAGCCTTTTTTTCCCCAGCTCCTGTTCAAGACAGAGTTGCTCTGGTTCAAACGCCTCTGACAACAGTACCCTAGTTACATAGGAGAAATGTCCTTATTCTGAAGAAGTAAAAATTTAAGGGTGAAGTATCATGATGTCTGCAACTTATTTTCAAGTGGTTCAGCAAAATGCAAGAACATATTTCCATGGGCTGTGTTGTCCAATACAGCACCACTAGCTGCATGTTGTTTATGCTTAATTTTAAATTAATTAAAAATAAATACAATTTCTGTAATCCCAGCACTTTGGGAGGCCGAGGCGGGGGGAACACAAGTTCAGGAGATCAAGACCATCCTGGCTAACATGGTGAAACCCCGTCTCTACTGAAAATACAAAAACAAAATTAGCCGTGCATGGTGGTGGGCGCCTGTAGTCCCAGCTACTCGGGAAGCTGAGGCAGGAGAATGGTGTGAACCTGGGAGGCAGAGCTTGCAGTGAGCAGAGATCGTGCCACTGCATTCCAGCCCGGGTGACAGAGCGAGACTGTCTCAAAAATAAAAAAATAAAAATAATAAATACAATTTAAAATTCTGTTCCTCAGTTACAGTGGCCACAATTTTAAGTGTACAACAGCTACATGTGGCCAGTGGCTACAGTATTGGACAGTGAAGGTACAAAACATTTTCATCATCACAGAAATTTACATTGGCCAGTGCCAATATATATATAGAGAAAGCAAATGTTGTGAAATGTTAGCAAATGGTAGTGTTATGGTATATAGTAGTAGGCATAGTTATAAGGGAGGAGACCACCCCTCATATTGTCTTATGCCCAATTTCTGCCTCCAAAGAAGAAGTAAAAACTAAAAGGAAGAAATGAAATTCACAGGGAGACAGCCCGACACTACACCCTGGGCCTGGTAGTTAAAGATTGACCCCTGACCTAATTGGTTATGTTATCTATAGATTACAGACATTGTATAGAAAAGCACTGTGAAAATCCCTGTCCTGTTCTGTTCCATTCTAATTACTGGTGCATGCAGCCCCCAGTCACGTACCCCTTGCTTGCTCAATCAATCACGACCCTCTGAAGCAGACCCCCTTAGAGTTGTGAGCCCTTAAAAGGGACAGGAATCGCTCACTCGGGGAGCTCAGCTCTTGAGACAGGAGTCTCGCCGATGCTCACGGCCGAGTAAACCGCTTCCGTCTTTAACTCGGTGTCTGAGGGGTTTTGTCTGCGGCTTGTCCTGCTACAGTCAGACAGGAACAGATGTTAGCAAATGGTAGTGTTATGGTAGGTAGTAGTAGGTATAGTCAGACAAGAACAGAGCAGGGGAGGGCTCCCCTCACCCCCACCCCCACACACACCAGGAATGTCAGGTGACCATCAGGTGATGGGCAGGCAAGTTGTTAACTGTCTCTTTAAAATAATAATTGGCTGCAGCCAGCACCAGGGAAAGGCAGTCTTCCAATAAACAGGAACACCTGAAGCTGGTGATCAGCCACTCCCCAATAAGATCTCAGGAGCTGGGCAAGTGGGCTCACACATGCCCACTAAGAGGCAAAATGGCAGAGTTTAACTGGTATATGACCTGCTAGGCACATTCACCTGGTAAGGGAAGAGCGCCTCAAGGGAGCATGCGTACAACTCCAGTAAACACACTGCGCATGCTCCCTCCCAAGTGCTGGCAGGTCACTGAGCATGCGGACAGCCCACCCCAAGGGAAGAATCAGTGCACTTGACTGTCTCAAGTTGCCCGCTTGGCCCTCTTCCAAGTGTACTTTACTTCCTTTCGATCCTACTCTGAAGCTTTTTAATAAGTTTTCACTTCTCCTCTGAAACTTGCCTCAGTCTTTACTTCTGCCTTAAGAAAGAATTGCCTCAGTCAATTCTTTCTTCCCAGGAGGTAAGAATTGAAGTTGCTGCAGATCCATATTAATTCCCAGCCAGTAACAGTAGATCTTAGTGAGGCATGTATAGGTGTTTATTGCACTTTTCTTTCAATGGAGGGATGGTAAGAGCATGGCACAGAATTCCTAATGTGTGTTTCAAGGGCCCAAGCACCATGTGAATCAAGAACCAACTTCTTTGGAAACTTCAAGATGCTGGTCCTAACAGTTTGTTCTGCTTGTTCAACTATCGTTCCTAGGGTCCTCTCACTAAAGCAAGGTATGTGCTTATCCGATTATGTTCTTTGCATCTCTGTTTCTTGGACAGGTATTACAGAATGGTGATTTTGCAGCTAAACAGACTCAAGCTTAAATTTTTGCTCTATCACTTCATTAGCTGTATGCCCTTGGTCATGTTACTTAACCTCTCTGAGCCACAGATTTCTCACTCGTAAATTGAGGCTGAAAATAGGTGACTGCCTCTTAGGTTATGGAAGGCACTTAGCTCTGGAAAGTGTTTATGACAGGCAGCTAAAATTGTTCTAGGGTAGGAGAGATGGATTAGGTGAGACTGCTTCTTACCATGAGGAATTTCCCTTCTAAATGGAGGTCAGCCATCTGCTGGGGGACCAGGATAGCTACGCTGCTAATTGAGGGTTTAATTTGTCAGCCACAAAAAAGGTCTCTGGGAGTTGTGGTTACTTAATGCCCTTATGTGGTATTTCTATATCACTCGCTGTGTCTTTTCTTTTTAAAACTGCAGATTTGTGAAACTCCAATTGTGGGGGAACCACTGACTCTGGAGACACTTGAGGACTAAGTAGGCAGAGAGAGCCAAGCCCAGGATTCAATGAATTGAAATCACCCGGGGAATTAGCATGTTTATAACCAGTCAGTGCAGGTGTAGATATTTGCCTGTGGAAGCAAGTTCCTGAGAAGGAATTTGCATTCTCCTTTGCTCACTTGTTGGAGCAAATGTTTCTCTGGGCTGGCATTTTCTTCCTTGCTTGCCTGCGCGTTGCAACCCAGACTTGTGATAGATAAGGGTTGGGTGGTGAGATGAAGCTCTAGATAGCAAGAGAGAGGCAGAGTGGGAGTGGGGAGGAGCGGGCTGGACTGGACACCCAGGGGCGCCTGGTTGCCCTCCTTCAAAGGGAGATTGCGTGATGGCTCAGAATCCTACCCTGCTGCTTTCTTGTTTCGTGAAGAGGGAAAGTCACTTCACCTCTCCAAGCCTCCATTTTCCCATCTGTTAAAATAATAAACTCTTCCCAGTATCAGATAGTTTCTGCCCTATGTTCAAGTTTAAGGCTCAATTTCCTCAATTATAAAATGGGCATAAAAGTCCTATCTACCAGCCGGGCACGGTGGCTCACGCCTGTAATCCCAGCACTTTGGGAGGCCGAGGCAGGCGGATCACGAAGTCAGGAGTTCGAGACCAGCCTGGCCAACATGGTGAAACCCGGTATCTACCAAAAATACAAAAATTAGCTGGGCTTGGTGGCGGGTGCCTGTAATCCCAGTTACTTGGGAGGCTGAGGCAGGAGAATCGCTTGAACCCGGGAGGTGGAGATTGCAGTGAGCTGAGATAATGCCACTGCACTCCAGCCTGGGTAACAAAGCAGGACTCTGTTTAAAAATAAATAAATAAATAAATAAATCATATCTACCGCAGCATGGAGGTGAGGATTAATACTTGGCACAGTCCCTAGCACACAGTAAGTGCTCAGTAAATGCTAGCTAGTATTGGCCATTAGTCTTTTTTTTTTTTTTTTGAGATGGAGCCTCCCTCTGTCACCCAGGCTGGAGTGCAATGGCACGATCTCGGCTCACCGCAACCTCTGCCTCCTGGGTTCAAGTGATTCTCCCACCTCGGCCTCCTGAGTAGCTGAGACCAAAGGTGCCTGCCACCATGCCCGGCTAATTTTTGTATGTTTGGTAGAGCTGGGGTTTCACCATATTGGCCAGGCTATTCTCGAACTCCTGACCTCAAGTGATCTGCCCGTCTTGGCCTCCCAAAGTGCTGGGATTATAAGCATGAGCCACCACACCTGGCCAGCCATTAATCTTTATTATGGGGCTGTAATCCCTTATCTGTGATCTGAAATTCACTCTTTTTTCATCATTTCACTAGATGCCATCATGAAATTCATAACTCTCTGAAAACTGAAAGTATTTCCATAAATTTGCCACCAAAACTCATTTGATGCAAAACCTTACCTGAACTAATCCCATGTATAAAGAAAACCCACTCGGCCAGGCGCAGTGGATCACGCCTGTAATCCCAGCACTTTGGGAGGCCGAGGAGGGTGGATCACGAGGTCAGGAGATCAAGACCATCCTGGCTAACACGGTGAAACCCCGTCTCCACTAAAAATACAAAAAATTCTCCGGGCGTGGTGGCAGGCGCCTGTAGTCCCAGCTACTGGGGAGGCTGAGGCAGGAGAATGGCGTGAGCCCAGGAGGCAGAGCTTGCAGCGAGCCGAGATCGCACCACTGCACTGCACTCTAGCCTGGGCGGCAGAGCGAGACTCCGTCTCAAAAAAAAAAAAAAAAAAAAAAAAAAAAAGAAAAGAAAACCCACTGTTTGTGAGCCTATTGATATAGTTCATTACTGGGTGTGGCCCCAGAATATGTACGAAATGACCTTTCTAAAATCTGAAAATTTCTGAATTCTGAATCATTTCTGGCCCTTAGAGTTTTGGGTAGGGGGCTATGAGCCTGTAGTAGGGGAGATGTGACAGAGCCATAAAATGACATGACCGCGGTCAGAGCCAGGCTTGCTGGGTTCAAGGAGTGGGGAGATCCTTGGTGCTGCAGGAGCCTTAGGTGAGAGCGAAGGGGACAAAGGACTTACTGCAGGGGTCTTGCTTATAACAGAAACCAGCACTGGCTGATTTAAGCAGTAAGGGAACTTATTGGAAGGGTATTGGGTTAGTACCAGGGCACTGGTAAGCGGGAGAACCAAGCTCAGAGCCCTCGGGGCCAAGGAACTGTCAAAATCACCCACAGAACTGGTCAAGTGAGAAACAGCAGAGCCTGAAAGCCACAGCCTGTACTGCCAATCCTGACCCACAGCTAGCAGCAGACATGGGAGCCACTTCTAGCCTAGCTGCTGCTGCCTCCAGATACTGTCTCTCAGCCCCTGCAAAGTCTGCATTGGGAATGTCTGATTGGCAGAACAAACGTCACCTGACCACACTCAGGCTGCAAGGGAAGCTGGGAAAACAAACATCTGGAGATTTTTGCTTCCATAATGGGGAGGTACTTCTGCCTCCTACCACATGACTCCTGAGAAATGGGTTCCTCTACACTAGAAAAAAGGACACAGATGCCAGGCAACAAAACTGAACAAGAACAGGCAAAAAGTTTAGTAGCCACAGCTTCTCAGAGGAGGGATGGATTCTACCCAGACCTTGAAGGATGACCAGACTTAGGTGGAAGGGGGAATAGAGGGTGGAGAAATGCAAGGACCTAGGATTCTGGCTAGAGCTTGCTTACAAAATGACAGTCCCTGAGCTAAGCTCTTCATTCTCATTTAGTCCTCATTCCTGTAGGCAGCAGAGGAGCTATGGTTAGCAGCATTTTTCAGACAAGGAACTTGAGGATTAAAGTGGTTAGATAAATTTGTCCATGGACATATCGCTAGAAGGTGGCAGAGCTGGGCCTCTGACATCTGGGCATTCTGACATCTGGCCCATAACCTCTACACTAGACAGAAAATAGGTTCTATATTGAGTGCCTACTTCTATCAATTGATAGTGGCTGCCAGGAGCCCTGTGTTGAGAAGGATTCTAAGGTTGTTTCTGGGATATAATGTTAGAAAGTCTGTGATCAATTAGAGACATCCTCATAGTAAATTTGACCTGAGAACTCAAAATTCACATCTTGTCAAGTGAACATGCAACACTTACCAAAATCAATTATATATTGGGTCATTTAAGAAGATCCAAGACATTTCAAAAGATTGAAATTATTCAGATTATGTTCTTTGACCACAAAGGAACTAAACTAGAAATCAATAACCAAAAGATAAAAAGGAAATCCCCAACTGCCTGAAAATTAAACATTACACTATTCAAAGAAGAAATTGAAGTGGAAATCAGAAAGCATTTTGAGCTGAATTATGGTGGCACACACCTGTAGTCCCAGCTGTTTGGGAGGCTGAGGTAGGAAGATCGCTTGAGGCCAGGAGTTCAAGGCTGTTGTGAGCTATGATTGTGCCTCTGAATAGCAACTGCACTCCACTGTGGGCAAGATAGTGAGACCCCATCTCTAAAACAAATAAACAAACTTGTAGGGTGCAGCTACAGCAGTGCAGAGAGGAAAATTCATGGCCTTAAAATGCAAATATTAGGCCAGGCACTTTGGGAGGCCGAGGTGGGCAAATCACGAGGTCAGGAGATCGAGACCATCCTGGATAACACGGTGAAACCCCGTCTCTACTGAAAATAACAAAAAAAAATTAGCCAGGTGTGGTGGCAGGCACCTGTAGTCCTAGCTACACGGGAGGCTGAGGCAGGAGAATGGCATGAACCCATGAGTGGAGCTTGCAGTGAGCCTAGATTGCGCCACTGCACTCCAGCCTGGGTGACAGAGCAAGACTCCATCTCAAAAAAAAAAAAATGCAAATATTAGAAAAGGAGAAAGATTTGAAAATTAATAATTAAAACTTCTACCTCAAGTAGCTGAAAAAGAATAGGAAATCAAACCCAAGGGGGAAAAAGAAAGTAGAAAATAACAAAAATAAGAACAGATAAGAAAATCAACCATGTTTTTAAAGTTTGTTCTTTGAAAGGACAAAGTCAGCCATATCTGTCATCAGCAAGGTAGGTGGAGAAGAATAGCATGTGTGACACATAGTCCCTATAATTGGAACACTTCATCTTTTACATGGTGTACACTCATACAAGTACTAGTTAAACTAGATTTGATCAAGGACACAGAGACACCAAATGTTTAAGGATTGATGGATAATTCCATTAGGTTGGAGTTGAAAGTTACTGTAAGGAGGATGAATTAGTAAGACTCTGTTGTAAGTGACAGAAGCCCAACTCAAACTGGCTTAAGCACATAAAGGACTGTATTTGTTCACATAGATGAAAAGTCCCAAAGGAATTCTGGCATTATTCTGTCGGTCCTAGGCATTCAAATTGTGCTGCAGGAATGGCTCTTCATGGTTTTTCTCCTCTTCTTTCTGTCTTTACTCACTTCTCAGGTGGGCCCTCCTGCCTAGGCTGGAGAGGCTGTGGGCTACTCAGGGTGTGTTGTCATGGTGCTGGCAGAAGGCCAACTGCCTAAGCACATTAATGTCTCACTTGCTAACATATTACTGGCCAAAGCAAGGCACATGATTAAGCTCAAAGTCTAGGTGTGGGAAAATTCTATCATGAGGCTGTGACAAGGAAATAGAGTGAAAATTTGAGACCATTGTTTAATATACAGACATTAACTAAATGTTCGGCTTTCTGAGTCATAGGGTACATGCACGCTTAAGTTCACTTAAATACAGCCAGATTGTTCTCCAGAATGGCTGCACTGTCTACATTCCCAAGAGCAATTCACAATGGTGGGTGTTTCCCTAAATCCTCACCAATGCTCAGCATTATCCCTCTCTCTCATTTTTGCCAGACCAATGGATGTGAAATGGCTGGCAAAAATGTGAGACATGGAAAACGCTGAGCATAGGATAATGCCGGCCGTTGTTTTACTTTGCATGTCTCTGATCGTGTAGGCAACTGAGCCTCTTCACATCCTGTTAATCATTTGGATTTCCTGTCTGTGAATTGCCTGTTCATATTCTCTGCTCATTTTTCCCTTTTTTTTTTGTTCCTTTTCTCATTGATTTGCGAGAGGTCCATGCGTATTCTAGATATTGATCCCCTTGCCAGCTTTAGATACCGCAAACATCTTTTACAAATCAGTTTTCCATCAGTTAATTTTGTCTACAGGGCATTTCACTGAACAGAAAAATGTGATATAATTGAATCCAGCATTTCTTGCCTCACAGCTTGTGCTTGTTGGGTCTAGTTTAAGAGGTATCTTCTCCATCTCTAGATCACAAGGCTATGCTACGCTTTCACCTTTCAGATTTAGTTCTTTCATAACTAAATCCTCCTCTGGAATCCACCTTTGTAATGGTCAAGGGTAGGGAGCCAGTTTGTTTGTTTGTTATTGTATACAGTGCAAAGCCAGTTTTCCCAATGCCATCTACTAAAAAGCTTGCTCCTTCCTTCCTTGATTTATGGTGCCACTTTTGTTATATATCAAATCTACCTATCTATATTTATATCTATTTTTCTATTTCTATATATTTGTATATTTGACAAGATAATCTCTTCCATGGGGCACATGTCATCAGGACCTCCTAAGGCTGTGTCATGGAAAAAGAAAAAAAAAAAGGCAATCTTTCCCACTTGACTCTACTCCTTTTTTTTTTTCCCCTGTAGAGACAGTGTCTCATTACATTGTGCAGGCTGGTCTCAAATGATCCTCCTGCCTTGGCCTCCCAAAGTGCTGGGATTACAGGTGTGAGCCACTGTACCTGGAAGACTCTGCCCTTTGTGGGCCTTTATTCTAATTTAGAACATGCTTGTTGAGTTTCTCCAAAACAAAATCCATCTAAATTTTTGCTTGAGATTGCAGTGAATTTGTAAATTAAATTAAGGAGAACCAGAAATTTTATGTCATTAAATTGCCATAACCATGAGTATGGAATTGATATGTCTTCTTTTATGTCTTTAATAAAAATTTTAAACTTTCACCTTAGGGATGTTTGGCATTTCTTAATTTCCACATACTTTTTTTTTTTTTTTTTTGAGACAGAGTTTTGCTCTTGTTGCCCAGGCTGGAGTGCAATGGCGCAATCTCGGCTCACCGCAACCTCTGCCTCCCAGGTTCAAGCAATTCTCCCGCCTCAGCCTCCCGAGTAGCTTGGATTACAGGCATGCGCCACTACGCCTGGCTAATTTTTTTTTGTATTTTTAGTAGAGACGGGGTTTCTCCATGTTGGTCAGGCTGGTCTTGAACTCCTGACCTCAGGTGATACGCCCACCTCGGCCTCCCAAAGTGCTGGGATTACAGGCGTGAGCCACCGCACCCGGCCTATTTCCACATACTTTCAATATAAAGCTTAGAGGTTTCTTTTCTTTCAATTTTGAAACAATCTTAACACACAGTAGAACTGGAAGAACAATACAAAGAATTTTTTTTTCCGTGAACTATTTGAGTTTTTTTCCCTGAACTATTCACTGAACTATTTGCCAGCCTGATGCCCCATCACCCCTAGATACTTTGTACAATATTTTTAAAAAACAAGAGCTGGGAAAGGTGGCTTACACCTGTAATTTTAGCACTTTGGGAAGCTGAGGTGGGAGGATCATTTGAGCCCAGGAGTTCGAGACCAACCTGAGCAATATGATGAAACCCCATCTTTATTAGTTCATTTTCACACTGCTGATAAAGACATACCCGAGACTGGGAAGAAAAAGAGGTTTAACTAGACTTACACTTCCACATGGCTGGGGAGGCCTCAGAATCATGGCGGGAGGTGAAGGGCACTTCTTACATGGTGGCAGCAAGAGAAAATGAGAAGGATGAAAAGCAGAAACCCCTGATAAACCCATCGGATCTCATGAGACTTATTCACTACCACAAGAACAGTATGGGGGAAACTGCCCCCATGATTCAAATGATCTCCCACCAGGTACCTCCCACAACATGTGGGAATTGTGGGAGTACAATTCAAGAGGAGATTTGGGTGGGGACACAGAGCCAAACAATATCATTCTGCCTCTAGCCCTTCTAAGTCTCATGTCCTCACATTTCAAAACCAATCATCCCCTCCCAACAGTCCCCCAAAGTCTTAACTCATTTCAGCATTAATCCAAGAGTCCACAGTCCAAAGTCTCATCTGAGACAAGGCAGATCCCTTCTGTCTATGAGCCTGAATAATCAAAAGCAAGCTAGTTGCTTCCTAAGATACAACGGGGGTACAGGTATTGGGTAAATACAGCTGTTCCAAAGGGGAGAAATTGGTCAAAACAAAGGGGTTTCAGGGCCCATGCAAGTCTAAAATCCAGCAGGGCAGTCAAATTTTAAAGATCCAAAATGATCTCCTTTGACTCCATGTCTCACATCCAGTTCACACTGATGCAAGAGGCAGGTTCCCATAGTCTTGGGCAGTTCTGCCCCTGCAGCTTTGCAGGGTATAGTCCCCTTCTGGCTGCTTTCATGGGCTGACATTGAGTGTCTGTGGCTTTTCCAGGCAAATGGTACAAGCTGTTGGTGGATCTACCATTCTGGGGTCTGAAGGACAATGGTCCTCTTCTCACAGTTCCATTAGGCGGTGCCCCAGTAGGGACTCTGTGTGGGGGTTATGACCCCACATTTCCCCTCTGCACTGCCCTAGCAAAGGGTTCTCCATGAGGGCCCTACCCCTGCAGCAAACTTTGGCCTGGACATCCAGGTGTTTTGATACACCTTCTGAAACCTAGGCAGAGGTTCCTAAACCCCAATTCTTGACTTCTGTGCGTCCTCAGGCTCAACACCACGTGGAAGCCACCAAGGTTTGGGGCTTGCACCCTCAGAAACCATGGGCCGAGCTGTACTTTGGCCCCCTTCAGCAACAGCTGGAGTGGCTGGGACACAAGGCACCAAGTCCCTAGGTTGCACACAGCATGGGGACCCTGGGCCCAGCCTATGAAACCATTTTTTCTTCCTATGCTTCCAGGTCTGTGATGGGAGGGACTGCCATGAAGACCTATGACATGCCCTGGAGACATTTTCCCCATTGTCTTGGTGATTAACATTCGGCTCCTTGTTACTTATTCAAATTTCTACAGCCAGCTTGAATTTCTCCTCAAAAAATTGATTTTTCTTTTCTACCACATTGTCAGGCTGCAAATTTTCCAAACTTTTATGGTTTCTCTTTTAAAATGATTCTCCTGCCTCAGCCTCCCGACTGGCTGGAATTACAGGTGCATGCCACCACACCCAGCTAATTTTTGTGTTTTTAGTAGAAATGGGGTTTCACCATGTTGGCCAGGCTGGTCTCGAACTCCTGACCTCAGGTGATCCGCCCACCTCGGCATCCCAAAGTGCTAGGATTACAGGCATGAGCCACTGTGCCCGGCCTAGTTTTTATATTAATAGGTAGGCCTTTTATCTGGTAATTATTCTATCGGTTTTTCTTTGTAGGTGACTATATAATCTGCAAGTAATCACAGTTTTCCCTCTTATTTTTCAATCCTCACACTTTTCCGTTTCTCTGAAATGTCAGCAAGAACTCTAGGACTGCAGGGAGCGGTGGCTTACACCTGTAATCCCAGCATTTTGGGAGGCCGAGGTGGGTGGATCACTTGAGGTCAGGAGTTCGAGACCATCCTGGCCAACATGACGAAACCCCATCTCTACTAAAAATACAAAAATTAGCTGGATGCGGTGGCAGACACCTGTAATCCCAGCTACTCAAGAGGCTGAGGCAGGAGAATCACTTGAACCTGGGAAGAGGAGGTTGCAGTGAGCCAAGATCGCGTCACTGTACTCCAGACTGGGAAAAAGAGCAAGACTCCATCTCAAAAAAAAAAAAAAAAAGAAAAAGAAAGAACTCTAGGGCTAAGTTAAGTAGTATCCGTGATTTCAGGCATCCTTGAGTTGTTTCCAATCTTGGAGGTACTTAAAGCTTGTCCTATAAGACTATATTTGGGAGGCTGAGGCCGGCGGATCACCTGATGTCAGGAGTTCGAGACCAGCCTGACCAATATGGTGAAATCCCATCTCTGCTAAAAACAATACAAAAATTAGCCGAGCATGGTGATGGGTGCCTGTTGTCCCAGCTACTTGGGAGGCTGAGACAGAATTGCTTGAACTCGGGAGGCAGGAGGCAGAGGTTGCAGTGAGCTGAGATCACATCACTCTAGCCTGAGCAACAGAGTGAGACTTCATCTCAAAAAAATATATATATACACATATGTGTGTGTGTGTATATATATATATATATATATATGTATGTATATACACACATATGTGTATATATATATGTATACACATATGTGTATATATACATATATATGTATATATACACATATGTGTATATATACATATATATATATGTATATATACACATATATATATTTCGGCTAGGTGTGGTGGCTCATGCCTATAATCCCAACACTTTGGGAGGCCAAGTGGGGAGGATTGCTTGAGGCCAGGAGTTTGAGACCAGCCTGGGCAACATAGTGAGACCCTGTTTCTACATAAAGTAAATTTTAAAAATAGCTGGGTGTGGTGGTGCACACCTGTAGTCCCAGCTACTTAGGAGGCTGAGGTGAGAAGATAGCTTGAGCCCAGGAGTTGGAGGTTGCGGTGAGCTGTGTTCATGCCTCTGCACTCCAACCTGGGCGACAGAGTAATATCCTGTTTCAAAAAAAAAAAGATATATTTGCTAAATTTTGGCATGTAATTTTTTTAAAATTTTATTTATTTATTTATTTTGAGATGGAGTCTTGCTCTGTCACCCAGGCTGGAGTGCAGTGGTGCTATCTGGGCTCACTGCAAGCTCCGTCTCCCGGGTTCACACCATTCTCCTGCCTTGGCCTCCCAAGTAGCTGGGACTACAGGCGCCCGCCACCACGCCTGGCTAATTTTTTGTATTTTTAGTAGAGATGGGGTTTCACCATGTTAGCCAGGAAGGTCTTGATCTCCTGACCTCGTGATCTTCCCGCCTTGGCCTCCCAAAGTGCTGGGATTACAGGCGTGAGCCACCGCGCCCGGCCTGGCATGTAATTTTTATACACTTTTATAAGTTATTTTCTGTTCCTTGTTTGCTAATAATTTTTAAAAATCAAAATTATTGCTGAATTTATCAAAAGTCTTTTATGTACATGTGTCCCTCCAATGAAATAATCACATGGTTTTTCTTCTCTAGTCTATTAATTAACATGGAAAATTTAATGTATACATTTTCTGATGGTTAATTCTCCTTTCTTATGTGGAATACACCCTATTTTGGTTGTGATTCCAAAAAAAATAAACATAAGACTGGGCACGGTGGCTCACACCATCCAGCACTTTCAGGGCCTAAGTAGGGGGTGGATTGCTTGAGCCCAGGAGTTTGAGAACAGCCTGGGGAACATAGCAAAGCCCCAGCTCTACAAAAAATACAAAAATTAACTGAGTGTGATGGCGCACCCCTGTAGTCCCAGCTGCTTGGGAGGCTGAGGTGGGAGGATCACCTAAGCCCAGGGAGGTCGAGGCTGCAGTGAGTTGTGATCATAGCACTGCACTTCAGCCTGGGTGACAGAGTGAGACCCTGTCTCAAAAAATAAAATAAAAAATAAATACATAAAGAAATAAACACAGAATTCAGTTAGCCAATATTTTTAAGATTTTCATCTTGTGTTTATAGGTGAAAATAACCTGTAATTTTCTTTTGCTTTGCTTTGCTTTGCTTTGCTTTTCAATTGAGACAGGGTCTCACTCTGTCACCCAGGCTGGAGTGCAGTGGCACAATCACGGCTCACTGCAGCCTTGACCTCCCGGGCTCAGGTGACTTTCCCACCTCAGCATCCTGACTAGCTAGGACTACAGGCACCCGCCACCATGCCCGGCTAATTTTTGTATTTTTTGTAGAGAAGGGGTTTCTTCAGGTTGCTCAGGCTGGTCGCGAATTCCTGGGATCCAGCAATCCACCCACCTAGGCCTCCCAAAGTCCTAGGATTACAGGCATGAGCCACCTCGCTCCAGCCTAATTCTCTTTTCATGTTTTGTTTTTCCAGTTTTGAAAGTAAGATGATATTGCCTCATAAAATGAGCTAAACGATTCCCCATTTTTTTCTGATCCGCTTGTCTTAGAGTTTAAATACATTTATACCCAGAGAGAGGGATGGGCTTGACAAAGATCACAGAGTCAGAGACATTTTAGAACCCTCTTGGGGATGTCACTCCCCTGGGCCTTTGTCAGGCAGGATTGGCGCAGCCACTGCGTGGTTATCTGCTTAATGCTGCAGATCAGAAAAAAGAACCCTGGACTGGGAGCTCCAGTCCTGTTTTTCCATACAACTCGGCCTCCATGGCCTTGTGCGTTGATTTCCTCCTCCATAAAATGGGAGCATGGGCTCAGGCAACCCTGAGCTAGAACCCTGTTCTAGCCCTGACAGTGGAGGCCTTTGTGATTCCCAGACACTCTCCAGGGGGTTCAGGGCAAGCTTCAGAGACACAGACAGAAGCTGGATCAGCCTGGGCGACATGGCGGGACCCCATCCCTACAAAACATTGAAAAATTAGCCGGGCATGGTGGTGTGTCTGTGGTCCCAGCTACTGGGAAGGCTGAGGCAGGAGGATTGCTCAAGCCTGGGAGGTCGAGGCTGTAGTGAGCTGTGATCACACCACTGCACTCCAGCTTGAACGACAGAGTAAGACCCTGTCTCAAAAAAAAAAAAAAAAAAAAAGCTGGTGAAGAAGGGAAACACCACTTGGTGTGAGCGCCATCTACTCAGACAGCCAGGGCCGTGAGTCTGCAGCTCCAGACCCGGCTATGCCTGTAACCTTGTGTGGATCTCCATGTCTAACAATGGGCTCTGGGTTTTGAGCTCCAGGCAGGGGCCTGGGAGAAGGAAGAAGAAGAGGCTTCCTTACTCCCCACTGGCAGGGGAGTCAAGCCTGGTGTGTCACGGGCTCACCCCACGTCCTCCCTGGCCCTTCAGAGGCCTGGTACTGGGCACTGGAAGCTCGAGGCCTGGTGAGGTCCGGCGAGGCTAAGCCTGGCTCCGGGATTGTTTCTGGGGAGCTGCCTCTTCTAGAGGCCTGATTGGTCTTCCCCTCCCCTCCTCCCCTAGGCCCCCAGCCTGGTTCTCTGCCCCAGCTCCCTGCTGCCAACCCTGCTTTCCAAATCCCAGGCCACAAAGCCCTGCCCAACTCTTTCACTCCCCCACTCCCAATCCCAAATCCCAGCCTGGACTCTGCCCTTTCCTTCCCAGCACAAAGTCCCTTTCCTCCCCAGATCCCCTTACTCAAGCAAGGCTCATTCTTACATTGGACTTCTTTGTCTTCTTTTTTTTTTTTTTTAATTTAAGTTCTAGGGTGTATGTGTGCACAGCGTGCAGGTTTGTTACATAAGTGTACATGCGCCATGTTGGTTTGCTGCACCCATTAACTCGTCATTTATATATTTATATTAGGTATATCTCCTAATGCTATTCCACTCCACTGCCCCAACTCCTTCTTTTTTTTTTTTTTAATTATACTTTAAGTTCTAGGGTGTATGTGTGCACAACGTGCAGGTTTGTTACATATGTGTACATGCGCCATGTTGGTGTGCTGCACCCATTAACTCGTCATTTCTATAAGGTATATCTCCCAATGCTATTCCTCCCCACTGCCCCAACTCCTTCTTCTTCTTCTTTTTTTTTTTTTTTTAAAGAGACAGGGTCTCACTCTGTCATTCAGGCTGGAGTGCAGTGGTACAATCATAGCTCACTATAGCCTAGACCTCCTGGGCTCTAGCGATCCTCCTGCCCCCAACCCCCAAGGTGCTGGGATTACAGGTGTGAGCCATCGCGCTCGTCTTGGACCTGGTCCCTCATCCTCTTCTACCCAGAATGTCCCTGTTCACCCCACGTGGGTCTGCTCTGAGCCTGGGGAAATAGCCAGTATCCTTCTGTCTGTTCATTTCCTTCTTGGTTCGTCTGAGGCTGCTGCTACTCTCTGCCCCTAAAGCTGTTCCCACCTATTCCCAGAGGCTCCCTGAGCTTGACCTGGTTGCTCCTCACCCACCTGAGCTTGGGGCACCCCAATCCACTCCTAGCCCCATTCCCCACCCCACAGGGCTTCCATGGTGCTCTGGGCTCCCCTCCAGCCCCCATCACTTCTTGGGTATCACAGCCTGAAGGCTTGCATCGAGTCCTTCCCTGGATGGACACCTGCTGTCCCCTGCTGGTCAGTTTCTTAGAAGACCTCGACAGTTGTCCAGGCGCAGGGATGGAGCCTGAGCTACCCTTTTTACCACAAGCTGTCACTTCACTGTTGTCACCCAAGCTGCAGTGCAGTGGCAATCTCTGCTGACTGCAACCTCGGCCTCCCGGGTTCAAGCGATTCTCCTGCCTCAGCCTCCCAAGTAGCTGGGACTACAGGCACCCACTAAGAAGACCAGCTAATTTTTGTATTTTGGGTAGAGACGGGGGTTTCACCATGTTGGCCAGGCTGGTCTCAAACTCCTGACCTCAAGTGATCTGCCTGCCTCGGACTCCCAAAGTGCTGGGATTATAGGCGTGAGCCACCGCGCCCAGCCATAACAGTACCGGCCATTAACATGCTTTTTCTAAGGGAATCTTCACAGCAACTTTCTGAGGTAGGTTCTGTTATTGTCCCTGTTTTACAGATTGGAAACTAAAACACTGAGATAAGTCACTTAACTAAGGGATAGTGCTGGGTTTGAACCCAATACTTTCCCCTCCCCCCCTTAAGGACAGGGTCTTGCTCTCTTGCCCAGGCTAGAGTACAGTGGTGCAATCATAGCTCACTGCAGCCTTGACCTCCTGGGCTCAAGTGACCCTCCCGCCTCAGCATCAGGCATACACTACCATGCCTGGCTAATTGTTTTATTTTTTGTAGAGATGGGGTCTCACTATGTTGCCCAGGCTGGTCTTGAACTCCTAGGTTCAAGCGATCCTCCCGCCTTGGCCTCCAAAAGTGCCCCAATATAATTAATAAGGAGAACGAGAACAGCCAACATTAGCCCAGCTCTCCCTCAGGAGTCAGAGCTGCACCGGGCTCTTTAAATTCATCACCTCCTTAAACCTTCTCTCCCACTTTCCACAACGTGGGATGAAACCTTTGCCATTCACTCCACACCCTCAATGCTCCTCCCACAAATACAGCCTGTATGGCCTCCCCAACTCTCAGAGGAGACCTCACAGTGCCAACAAAGTATGCAAAACTCTTACGCATATTTCTTTTTTACTTTGTGTTTTTTTGGAGATGGAGTCTTGTTCTATCGCCCAGGCTGGAGTGCAGTGGCGTGATCTCTGCTCACTGCAACCTCTGCCTCCCGGGTTCAAGTGATTCTCCTGCCTCAGGCTCCCAAATAGCTGGGACTACAGGTACGTGCCACCACACCCGGCTAATTTTTGTATTTTTAGTAGAGACAGAGTTTCACCATGTTGGCCAGGCTGGATTCGAACTCCTGACCTCAAGTGATCTGCCTGCCTTGGCCTCCCAAAGTGCTGGGATTACAGGCATGAGCCACCATGCCTGGCCTTATTCTCCTTATTTTAAAAGGGAGCTAACAGAGTCCTAGAATGTAAAGGGACTTGGCTGACATCCCCCAGCAAGTCAGTGAAGTTGCTGGGTCCCCTCTATGGGCCTGCAGACCCAGGTGTAGGATGTGGTGCCTCTTTACCATTCCTGGCTGCCAGGAGCTCCTAGGATGAGCCTGAAGCTATATGCAAATGTGATCATTTAAATTCACTATGACTCTGAGAGAGAAGGGTTATTCTCCCCACAACACAGGTAAGTGAGCCAATTCAGGCTCACCAGGGTCACAGGACTTATCCAAGTCACTGGATTGACAGGATGAACACTGGCTTCAAGCCCAGGCTTCTCTCTCTGTTCCTCCTACTATAACCAACTGCAGTCCACATATTTTTAGTGAGCACCTACTCAGTGCCAAGCACTGTGCTAGGTGCTGGGGAGGCAGCATGCATCAGCAGACACACCCCTTCCCTCCTGGTGCCCACATCACTGCCGGAGGAGACAGGAAACAGACGTGGAGACCGGCACAGTAATAATCAGAATCCCAGTATCAACCTCAGAAGCTTAGCAAAGTGTCACAGGGCTCCATCCCTGGCGTTCCCCTGTCTCCAGGCTTCTGGAAGTTTCTTCTGCTCCTTCACCCTTCATTCACCAGGGTTTCCCTAGCTCTCTAATAATCCCCATTCCCAGGCCTCCCACCTTGACCACATTCCCAAGTCTTCACTTTAGATCGCCACCAGGGGACAGCCGTGCACCGTGGCAGGTGGCTCCTCCTGCCAGCCCAGCTTGGGCCAGAGTTTCCACCAGAATCACAGACCGTGGGAAAGGAGAGGGGAGGAGAAAGGAAGAAAGGAAGGAAGGGAGGGGACTAAAGGGTGAACCAGGCTTCCCAGCGGGGGTGTCTTAGGGAATCAGCTCTGTCCAGACCTAGGGCAGTTTCTCAACTGTTTTCCCTCCTTATCTTCCTTCCACTTTATCTTCTCCTCGTTCATTCAATAAACTTTTTTTTTTTTTGAGATGGAGTCTTGCTCTGTTGCCCAGGCTGGAGTGCAGCAGCGCGACCTCAGCTCACTGCCACCTCCGTCTCCAGGGGTCACGCAATTCCCCTGCTTCAGATTCCCAAGTAGCTAGGATTACAGGCACGCACCACCACACCCGGCTAAGTTTTGTATTTTTAGTAGAGCTGGGGTTTCGCCATATTGGCCAGGCTGGTCTCGAATTCCCGACTTCAGGTGATCCGCCCAGCTCTCAGCTTCCCAAAGTGCTAGGATTACAGGTGTGAGCCACTGCGCCCAGCCCATTCAATAAACTTTTTAAAAGGCTTTGTTGAGATATAATGTATATGTCATAAAAGTTCACTCATTTAGAATGTACAATACAATGATTTCTTTTTTTTTTTTTTTTCTTTTTTGAGACAGAGTCTCGCTCTGTCGCCCAGGCTGGAGTGCAGTGGCACGATCTCGGTTCACTGCAAGCTCCGCCTCCCGGGTACACGCCATTCTCCTGCCTCAGCCTCCCGAGTAGCTGGGACTACAGGCGCCCGCTACCGCGCCCGGCAAATTTTTTTTTGTATTTTCAGTAGAGACGGGGTTTCGCCGTGTTAGCCAGGATGGTGTCGATCTCCTGACCTTGTGATCCACCCAGCTCAGCCTCCCAAAGTGCTGGGATTACAGGCGTGAGCCACTGCGCCCGGCCTAATACAATGATTTCTAGTATGTAGAGAGATTTATACAACCATTACTGTAACCCAATTTCAGGACATTTTTACCCCAAAAGAAACCTCGTACCCATTGGCAGTCACTCCCAGGCCTAGGCAGGTACTCCTCTCCTTTCTGTCTGTATAGATTTGCCTATTCTTGACATTTCGTATAAATAGGATAATGCAAAATGTAAACTTTTGTGACTGGTTTCTTTCACTTAGTATGTTTTCCAGGTTCATCCATGTTGTAGCATGTATATGTATTTCACTCCTTTTTATGGTTGAATAATATTCTAATGTGTGGATAGACCACATCTTGTTTCTCCATTAATCAGCGGATGGACATTTGGGTTGTTTCCACGTTAGGCTATTATGAATAATGCTGCTGTAAACATTTGTGTACAAGATGTTTTGTTTTGGATTTTTTTTTTTGAAACAGGGTCTCAGTCTGTCACCCAGGCTAGATTGCAGTGACACAATCATAGCTCACTGCAGCCTCGACCTCCTGGGTTCAAGCTATGCTCCCCCCTCAGCCTCCCATGTAGCTAGGATGACAGGCATTCGCCATCACACCCAGTTAACTTTATTTTTGTAGAGATGGGGTCTTGCTATGTTGCCCAGGCTGGTCTCAAACTCCTAGGATCAAGTGATCCTACCACGTCGGCCCCCCAAAGTGCTGAGATTAGAGGCATAACAAGGCTTTTAAAAAATACAGTTACAGGCCGAGCGTGGTGGCTCACACCTGTCATCCCAGCACTTTGGGAGGCCGAGGCGGGTGGATCACCTGAGGCCAGGAGTTTGAGACTAGCCTGGCCAACATGGGGAAACCCCATCTCTACTAAAAATACAAAAATTAGCTGGACGTGGTGGTGGGCACCTGTAATCCCAGCTACTTGGGAAGCTGAGGAAGGAGAATCGCTTGAACCTGGGAGGCGGAGGTTGTGGTGAGCTGAGATTGCGCCACTGCACTCCAGCCTGGGCGACAACGGCAAAACTTTGTCTCAAAAAAAAAAAATACAGATATAATTCACATACAATAAAACTTAGTGAACCGAGTCAGTGGTTCTTAATGTATTCAGAAAGTTGTGCAGCCATCACTATTATCTAATTCCAGAACATTTCATCATCTCCCTGAAACTTATGCTCATTAGCAGTCATTCCCCATCCGTCCTCCCTCCAGTACCTGGCAACCACAAATGTACTTTCTGCCTCTATGTATTTGCCTATTGTGACATTTCACACACATGAAATCATACAATATGCGACCTTTGTGTCTGGCTTCTTTTATTTGGTATAATGATTTTTAAGCTTGTACATGTCATAGCATGTCAGTGCCTCATTCCTTTTTGTTGCTGAATAATATTGCATTATAATGATGTACAACTTTCTTATTTTTTATAATTTGAGACAGTCTTGCTTTATTAATCAGGCTGGCATGCAGTGGAATCATCATGGCTCACTGCAGCCTCTAACTCCTGGGCTCAAGCAGTCCTCCCATCTCAGCTTCCCAAGTAGCTGGGACCATAGGTATCCACCATCGTACCCAGCTAATTCTTTGAAAGTAGAGATGGGGGGCCGGGCACAGTGGCTCATGCCTGTAATCCCAGCACTTTGGGAGGCCAAGGCGGGTGGATCACAAGGTCAGGAGATCGAGACCATCCTGGCTAACACAGTGAAACCCCATCTCTACTAAAAAAACAAAAAATTAGCTGGGCGTTGTGGCAGGTGCCATAGTCCCAGCTACTCGGGAGGCTGAGGCAGGAGAATGGCATGAACCCGGGAGGCGGAGCTTGCAGTGAGCCGAGATCGTGCCACTGCACTCCAGCCTGGGCGACAGAGCGTGACTCCATCTCAAAAAAAAAGTAGAGATGGGATCTCTCTATGTTGCCCAGGCTGTTCTGAAACTCCTGAACTCAAGTGATCCTCCCACCTGCGGCCTCCCAAAGTGCTGGGATTACAGCCATGAACCACCATCCCCAGCCAGCATTTATTTATTTATTTATTTATTTATTTATTTATTTAGAGACAGGGTCTTGCTCTGTTGACCAGGCTAGAGTGCAGTGGCATAAACAAAGCTTACTGCAACCTCCACCTCCCAGGTTCAAGCAATTCTCGTGCCTCAGCCTCCCGAGTAGTTGGGACTACAGGCATGCACCACCATGCCCAGCTAATTTTTGTATATTTTGTGAAGACAGGATTTCGTTGTGTTGCCCAGGTTGGCCTTGAAATCCTGAGCTCAAGCAATCCTCATGCTTCTGCCTCCCAAAGTGGCTGGGATGACAGGCATGAGCCACTGTGCATGGCCATGTACAACATTTCATGTACATATTTGTCAACTGATAGATATTTGGGTTATTTCTACTTTTTGGCTATTATGAATAGTGCTGCTTGATCATACATGAACATGTTTTGTGTGGACATAGTTTCATTTCTCTTGGGTATATACCTAGGAGTGGAACTGCTAGGTCACATGGTAACTCTGTTTAACTTTTTGAGGAACTGACAAACTCAAAGTGTCTGCCTCATTTTCCATTACCACCAGCAATATATAAACATTTTAATTGCTCCATCTCCTTACCTTTTTGATTATAGCCATTCTAGTGGGTGTGAAGTGGTATCCCATTGTTGACTCAGCAAGCTTTTACTGAGCACCTACTATGTGCCAGGCTCCATTCTAGTGCTGGAGACTTAGCTGTGACCAGGACAGAGATGACCTATGCCTTCATGGGGACTCAAGATCTACGATAGATTGAGACATTAAAGGAGTAACAAATACAAAGATAAGACAAGTTCAGGAAGTGGTAAGAGCTAGGAAGACTTGAAACAGCGTAATGCATTGGTGGTGGGGGGTGTAATGCAGGGGGTCAGGGGAAAGGGTCCCTCTGGGGAGGTGACATTGTGATGAAACTTCACAGGTCAGGAAGAGCCACCTGCTGAGCCATGGAGGAAGAGCATCCCAGGTACAAGGAGCAGCAAGGGCAAAGGCCCTGAAACCCGATGACTCCTGTGTTCCAGGAACATCCAGGCAGCCGGAGCTTAGTGAACACAGAGCAGAGTGGGGGAGAGGATGTGGCAGAGGCTGGTAGAGGTAGATCTCATGGGCCTTTGAAAGCTACCATAAATAATTTGAATTTAGGCCGGGCACGGTGGCTCATGCCTGTAATCCCAGCACTTTGGGAGGCCGAGGTGGGTGGATCACTTGAGGTCAGGAGTTCGAGATCAAGCTGGCCAACATGGTGAAACCTCATCTCTACTAAAAATACAAAAATTCACCAGGCATGGTGGTGGGTGTCTGTAATCCCAGCTACTCAAGAGGCTGAGGCAAGAGAATCACTTGAACATGGGAGGTGGAGGTTGCAGTGAGCCACGATGGCACCACTGCACTCCAGCCTGGGCAACAGAGTGAGGCTCTGCCTCAAAAAAAAAAAAAAAAAAAAAAAAAAAAAAAAAAAATATATATATATATATATATATATATATATATATATATATATATATATATAATTTGAATTTAATTTTAAGCTTGACAGAAAGCCACTAAAATTTTGAGGGCAGAATATTCGCACTTTAAAAATCTCCTTCCTGATATACCTATTAGAATGGCCAAAATCAAGAATACTGATAGCACCAAATGCTGGGGAGGATGAAAAACAACGGGAATGCTCATTCGTTGCTGATGGGAATGCGAAACGGTACAGCCTCTTTGGAATACAGTATGATAGTCTCTTACAAAACAAACATACTCTTAACGTATGATCCAACAATCGCAGTCGCTGGTATTTACCTAAAAGAACTGAAAACTTGTGTCCACACAAAAGCCTGCACACAGGTGCTTCTAGCAGCTTTATTCACAATTGCCAAAACTTGGAAGCATCCAAGATGTCCTTCAGCAGATAAATGGGTAAAGAAACTGTGGTACATCCAGACAATGACAAGAGAATGTTTTCCAGTGCTAAAAAAAAAAAAATGAGCTATCAAACTATGAAAAGACACGGAGGCCAGGTGCAGTGGCTCACGCCTATAATCCCAGCACTTTGGGAGGCCGAGGCGGGTGGATCATGAGGTCAGGAGATCGAGACCATCCTGGCTAACATGGTGAAACCCCATCTCTACTTAAAAAAAAATACAAAAAATTAGCCGGGCGTGGTGGCGGGAGCCTGTAGTCCCAGCTACTCGGGAGGCTGAGGCAGCAGAATGGTGTGAACTCGGGAGGCAGAGCTTACAGTGAGCCGAGATCGTGCCACTGCACTCCAGCCTGGGCGACAGAGTGAGACTCCGTCTCAAAAAAAAAACAAAAAACATCTCCTTCTTGCTGCGTGTGGAGGAGGCAGAGCCAGGAGACTGGTAAGGCCATCCACACGGTCCAGGTGAGAATGCTGGAGGCCGTGGTGGAGGGGCTGGGGCTGGGGCTGGGTGCACTCTGGAGATCGAGCAAAACGATGTGCTGGTGGATTGGATGAGAGAAATGCAGGAAAGAGAGGCATCTTCCTCCTTCTGACCTCTCTTATTTACAAATATGCCTTGAAGGGCTGGGTGCAGTGGCTCACGCCTGTAATCCCAGCATTTTGGGAGGCTGAGGTGGGTGGATTGCCTGAGCTCTGCAGTTGGAGACCAACCTGGACAACATGGTGAAACCCCATCTCTACTAAAATACAGAA
Source organism: Homo sapiens (assembly GCF_000001405.40). Lineage (NCBI taxonomy): Eukaryota > Metazoa > Chordata > Mammalia > Primates > Hominidae > Homo > Homo sapiens. The sequence goes on along the minus strand of NC_000001.11, from coordinate 21,363,053 downwards.
AAAAAAAAAATTAACCGGGTGTGGTGGTGCACTCTTGCAGTCCCAGCTACTCGGGAGGCTGAGGCACAAGAATCACTTGAACCCAGGAGGTGGAGGTTGCAGTGAGCCGAGGTTGCACCACTGCACTCCAGCCTGGGTGACAGAGTGAGACTCCATCTCCAAAAGAAAAAAAAAATGCATCGAGGCCTCCATGTGCCAAGTTGACCCACTGGATTCACCAGGACCAAGACAGATACATCTCTGCCCGCAGCCTGGAGAAGCAGGACGCTCTGATGGGAAATTCCATGGTGGTGGCCAGTCTTTGTTAAGTTCTTACGGCATCTGAGGTCTTACCCTTGGCACTATGAGGGCCTGAATAAGATGCCCATCCCTGTCCTCAGGCGTTCAAGCCTCACACCAGCCTCACTCTGGCTACTGGTCATCCAGAACATGCAATCAAGTTCATGTCCCACCCCCGCAACCCCACCCACAGCCCCTCAGCAGTCCCCCAGTCCCTAGCAGCACTTCCCAAATGAATGATTTACAAACAGGCTCTCCAAAAGGATGAAGGTTCTTCTGGCCAGACAGTGCTGATTCTAATTATTTTGATTATACTGTTCCTTAAAACATAAAACTAGGTACAAACTCTTCAGGACTCTACACTGCCATAAGACCAGATTAAATACAAATATGGCCACAAATTTAGATAAACAACATCCATTGAATGTGCTGGATGACATCACTTTGCAGAATCAAAATCACATCCTTTGAATGATGAGTGTTTTGCAGGCTGTGCCAGCGTGCTGTTTGCTGCCTGGCCTTTGTTTTTCCCTTGGCACTCCTGCACTGCTGCGTATGCTGATTCAATTTGCCCAGTTCTTTTCCAGTTTGGGTGAAGGGGAACCACTAAGGGGGTGAGCACAGCAGTTCGCCATTTGGCCTTCTTTGCTGGGATTCTATCCACCCCTCTATGCTTTAAGGAACTTCATAGTCCTCCAGCATCCCTACCTTTGGAGACTCCACTTCTCCCCTTACCAAGCATATTAAAACACACCCACATTCCACATCAAATTTTTTTTGCCATGAAAATATTCATTTGTATACTTTTGCAATTGAAATGATTTCTATTCAATTTTATACTTTCACAACTGAAATGATTTCACATGCAGGGTGTGCGTGTGTGTGTGTGTGTGCATGCAAGTGTTATTTTGGTCATTGATTTTGGTACTGTAGAGTCATTACAATTCTTTTTTCAAGATTGGAACATCTTTCAGGCCCTTGGAATTCTCCCAGGCCCAAGCGCTGAGCTCATGGGGCTGGAGAATAAACCGGCCAAGCTGAGACCTGCTCCTTTCTTTCCTCATCTGCCCAAGACAATCAAAGTGGGGCAGCTGGCATCAACCTGACCCCAGGCACAAACCAATCCAGGCCCTGAAATTACATTGGTGGCTCTGGATTATGGCTGAGTCATTCAGAGAAGTCAGGATATGCTTGTACTCACTGTTTAGAGACGATCACTAAAATGAAGGCCCCAAATTATGAAAATCTTGGAACCAGATTCCCGGGAGTATGCTTGAGGCTCCCCAGTGGCCATGGACCCCAGTTTGAGGCCCCATGGCCTTCAAGGTCAAGTTGCAGCTCCTCGGCCTGGCACTCAAGACCTACCACCTTGCCCCCAGCTCCCCTTTCCAGCAGTTTTTCTTCCCATCCTTCTCCTGTCTGATATCCCATGTTCTGGCAGCTTCTCCACAGCCAGGCCTTGGCCTCTGCTGTCGTCTTGGCCTGGAATGCCCCCTCTACAGCTTTTCTATATGCCTTTTTTGTTTTAGGTTTTAAAACATTGAACAGGTAAGACATGTTCACCACAGGAAAATCAGAAAATATAGATATGCAAACGTAAATAGGAAAACAAATATAATCAGTCATCTCATCACATGGAAATCATCATGATTATTTGATACATATTCTTTGTTTTTATTTATTTTTTTTTTGAGACGGAATTTTGCTCTTGTTACCCAGGCTGGAGTGCAGTGGTGCAATCTCAGCTCACTGCAACCTCTGCCTCCCCGGTTCAATCGATTCTCCTGTCTCAGCCTCTCAAGTACCTGGGATTACAGGTGCACGCCACCATGCCCAGCTACTTTTTGTATTTTTATTAGAGATGGGGTTTCACCATGTCGGCCAGGCTGGTCTCAAACTCCTGACCTCAGGTGATCCACTCGCCTCGCCCTCCCAAAGTGCTGGGATTACAGGTGTGAGCCACTGCACCTGGCCTTGCTATACACTCTTTAAATTACAGTTTTTCCGTTCATTCGTTTATATTAACAAGAAACAATGAAAGCTGTTTTTCAGATGAAGTATTGTAAGCAAACAAAAATCCAGAGACTACTATAACATACACTCATACTCATAAACAAGTTTTGACAAATCCTAACATTTTTAGCATATTTGCTTCGGCTGTTTTTTTTTTTTTTTTTTTTTTTTTTTGAGATGGAGTCTCACTCTGTCGCCCAGGCTGGAGTGCAGTGGCACAATCTCAGCTCACTGCAAGTTCCTCCTGCCGGGTTCAGGCCATTCTCCTGCCTCAGCCTCCCAAGTACCTGGGACTACAGGCATCAGCCACCACGCCCGGCTAATTTTTTGTATTTTTAGTAGAGACGGAGTTTCACCTTGTTAGCCAGGATGGTCTCGATCTTCTGACCTTGTGATCTGCCCGCCTCGGCCTCCCAAAGTGCTGGGATTACAGGTGTGAGCCACCGTGTCCAGCTTTTTTTTTTTTTTAAATAAAAACTAACAGATACGGTTGAAGCCCCCTGGGTGCCCCTTTGCAATCCTTCTGCTGTATTCCTCCCCAGAGTAAATCTCTCACAAATTTGGGGTTTATCATTCTTATTCATGCACTTGATATGGTTACGCTTCAAATAAATGGCATGGTTCCACACATATCCTTTTGCTAGTTGGTATTTGGGTTTGACATTATGTTGTAGAGGTGTGTTCACATTCATCTGTGTTCATTCATTCATCCTAGTTCATTCCTTTTGCTTTTGCAAACTGTGCTACACAACATTCTGGCACAAGTCTTTATTTGTGTGTGTGAGACAGGGTCTTGCTCTGTCACCCAGGCTGGAGTGCAGTGGTGCGAATATGGCTCACTGCAGCTTCAACCTCTGGTCCTCCTGTCTCAGACTCCTGAGTAGCTGGATCTACAAGTGCACAACATCACATCTGACTAATTTACTTTTGGTAGAGACGGGGTCTCACTATGTTGCCCAGGCTGGTCTCAAACTCAGCCACTGCACCTGATTACAAATCTTCATATGTATTAAACACAAGAATACAAATTTTTCTGAGATAAAGACCTAAGATAGAATTGCTAAGTTGTATGGCACATGCAATATAAAAATTATCCTTTTGCTTAATTCAACCACAAATCATGAACTTTCCATTTCTTTTTTCTTTTTTTTTTTTTTTTTGAGACTGAGTCCCACTCTGTTGCTGGGCTGGAGTGCAGTGGTGCGATCTCGGCTCACTGCAATCTCCGCATCTCGGGCTCAAGCGGTTCTCCTGCCTCAGCCTCCCAAGTAGCTGGGATTACAGTTGCCCATGCAATGCCCGGCTATTTTTTTTCTATTTTTAGTAGAGCCAGGGTTTCCCCATGTTGGCCAGGCTGTTCTCGAACTCCTGACCTCCAGTGATCCGCCCACCTTGGCCTCCCAAAGTGCCAGGATTACAGGCGTGTGCCACCTAGCCCAGCACATTTTTCCATTTCAATAAATAAATGACATCAATATATTTTAATGGCTGTGGAGATTCTGCCAAAAATTACTCAACGTTATTATGATAGGCATAATGAGTTTCTATTTTTTTCTATCATAATCTAGTCTGTGAGGGCAAATTTTTGTAGTTATACTTTTATGCATACTTTTAATTATTTCCATAATTAAAGGAATTCCTAAGTAGAACTTCTGGGTGAAAAGTGATATGTTTTTAAGACCAACTGTCCTGAGAATTCTTGAACCAACTCTTCCTTCCACCTGTAGGGTAGGAGGGCCTGTTTCCCCCAAATCTGCTCCACTTACCTCCTGACAAGCATTTGCCTCCGGAAATCTTGCCTATCCTTACGCTCTCACCTCTCCCGTCCCTTCTCCTGTTCTCAGCAGATTCTGAGCTGTGGACTCCTGCAGCCCTTACTAATTGCCAGTGCAGTGGTACAAACATGGCTCACTGCAGCCTCGGCCTCCTGGGCTCAAGCAATCCTCTCACCTCAACCTCCTAAGTAGCTGGAACTGCAGGCATGCACCACTGCCCCAGCCAATTTTTTTTTTTTTTTTTTTTTTTAGACGGAGTCTCACTGTCGCCCAGGCTGGAGTGCAGTGGCGCGATCTCGGCTCACTGCAACCTCCGCCTCCCGGGTTAATGCCATTCTCCCGCCTCAGCCTCCTGAGTAGCTGGGACTACAGGCGCCCGCCACCACGCCCGGCTAATTTTTTGTATTTTTAGTAGAGATGGGGTTTCACCGTGTTAGCCAGGACGGTCTCGATCTCCTGACCTCTTGATCCGCCCGCCTCGGCCTCCCAAAGTGCTGGGATTACAGGCGTGAGCCACCACGCCCGGCCCGGCTAATTTTTTATAGAGACAGGGTCCCACTATGTTGCCAGGCTGGTCTCAAACTCCTAACCTTGGATGATCTGTCTGCCTTGGCCTCCCAAAGTGCTGGGATTACAGGCATGAGCCACCGCACCTGGCTCCATTTATGTGAAATTTCTAGAAAAGGAAAAACTAGAGAGACAGAAAGCAGATCAGTGTCTGCCTGGGGATGAAGACAAAAGCAGGGATTACCTGCAAGTGGCTAGGAGGGATCTTTAGGGGGCGATGCGAGTGTTCTTTTTTTTTTTTTTTTTTTGAGATGGAGTCTCTGTCACTCAGGTTGGAGTGCAGTGGCGCGATCTCAGCTCACTGCAACCTCCGCCTCCTGGGTTCACCCCATTCTCCTGCCTCAGCCTCCTGAGTAGCTAGGACTGCAGGCGCCCGCCACCATGTCCGGCTAAATTTTTGTATTTTTTTTTTTTTTTAGTAGAGACGGGGTTTCACCGTGTTGGCCAGGATGGTCTTGATCTCCTGACCTCATGATTTGCCTGCCTCAGCCTCCCAAAGTGCTGGGATTACAGGGGTGAGCCAGCCGGCAATGCGAGTGTTCTAAAACTGGCTTGTGGTGATGATGGCACAATTCTGTGAATTTACTAAAAATCATTGAACTATACACTTAACATGGATGAATGGTATGGTGTGCAGGTTACACCTCAATAAAGAGACATAACGAGTCGGGTGCAGTGGCTCATGCCTATAATCCCAGCACTTTGGGAGGCCAAGGAGGGAGGATCACTTGAGGCCAGGAGACAGAGACAAGCCTGAGCAGCACACTGAGTCCTCGTCTTTACTAAAAATTAAAAAATTAGCCAAGTCTGGGTGTGGTGGCTCACGCCTGTAATCCCAGCACTTTTGGAGGCCAAGGCAGGTGGATCACTTGAGCCTAGGAGTTCATGACCAGACTAGGCAATATAATGAGACTCCATCTCTACAAAAAATAGAAAAAAAAAATTAGCTGGGCATGGTGGCACGCACCTGTAGTCCCAGCTGTGTGAAAGGCTGAGGTGGGAGGATCACTTGAGTCTGGGAGGTTGAGGTGGCAGTGAGGTCGACCTGGGAGCTCAAGGCTGAGTTATAATTATGTCACTGCATTCCAGCCTAGATGACAGAGCGAGACCTTGTCTAAAAAAAAAAAGAAAAAAAGAAAAAAAATAACCAGGCGTGGTGGTGCCAGTTACTCAGGAGGCTGAGGTAGGAGGATCGCTTGAGCCCAGAAGTTTGAGGCTGCAGTGAGCTGTGATTGCACCACTGCACTCTAGCCTGGGTGACAGAGTGAGACCTTGTCTCTCAAAGAGAGAGAGACATGACAACATGACAAAAGGACAGTCCCTACATTTGCTTTGTAATCTGATTGGAGAGCTAGACAAGTAACGAAGAAACTAAGTGTAGAATTAGGAATTCTGATAAGTGGCTGGGTGTAGTGGCTCACACCTGTAATCCCAGCACTTTGGGAGGCCGAGGTGGGTGAATCACCTGAGGTCAGGTGTTCGAGACCAGCCTGGCCAACATGGTGAAACCCAGTCTCTACTAAAAATAAAAATTAGCCAGGCATGGTGGCACGTGCCTGTAATCCCAGCTACTCGGGAAGCTGAGGCAGGAGAATCACTTGAACCCAGGAGGTGGAGGTTGCAGTGAGCCAAGATTGTACCATTGCACTCCAGCCTGGGCAACAAGAGCAAGACTCCGTCTCAAAAAAAAAAAAAAAAAAAAAGAAAGAAAGAAAGAAAAAAGAAATTCTGATAAGTACAATGAAGGAAATGAGGTGGGTGCAGTGAGGGAGAAGAAAAGGAGAGTCCCCTTAGAGAGGGTCGACAAGAAAGGCCTTTCCGGACAGTGACATTTGGACTGAGACCTAAAAGGAAAAGTGATGGGGGAGTCAGTCCAGATGAGGGGCAGCCTGGTCTGACTCTGTTGGGGGAAAGAGCTTGGTGTTCTGGAGCTCATGGGAACCCCATGAGCCATGCTTTTACACACATGTTATAGACTGTCAAAGCGGTGCAGGGACTTGCCCAAGACCACAGGGCACAGGAGCGATGGGGTGGGTGTTTGGGAAAAGGTCTGCTTGTGCCTTGAGTTGGCATCAGCCTTCCTGTCAGTGTGTTCTTGCAGCCAATGCCAACACCCCAATCACACACAGGCTGGCCAGCTTGTCCACACTGGCCTGTCACTGCCCAGGGCTTGGGGCACCATAGGTGGTGGAGGTGTCTGGGCACGTGCTAGGCTAGGAGGCAGCAGAGGTGTGAGAAGCGTGGGAGGTGTGGGTGACTTCATGCTGCCCCAACACCTGCTGTGAAAACAGTGTGAGTCACAGGCAGGGATGGCTTTGGGATCCCCAAGACAGGCCCCACCCAGCTCTCAGGTCTGCCAGTACAGACACAGGCTCCAAGCGGACCTACCTACCCACCCACACCTCCTCTCTTTGTCTAAGACCCTCCTCAATATCCTGCAATTGCGGAGCGCAGACCGGGATTGAAACCTCCACAATGCCACTTCTTCGCTGCAAGACCTCAGACTTCACCAGCCTTGCTCTCCTCTGCTCAACGAGGATGTTGATGTATACGAAAGAACAGACCTGGGATCAGAACCCATGCCCACTTGGCTCCACAGCCCTGGTCTTTCCATCATGCCAGGTCGAGGGGCTTCCTGCAATGGGCCTCACTGAGGGGCGAGTTTAGTGTTCTTAGCCCTCTCCAGCATCCAAATCACCTGGGGGGACCTGCCTTCAGTTATTTTGGTTTAATTGACCTGAGGTGGGATGCAGGCATCAGTACCTTTTAAGAGCTCCCCAGGTGATGCAAATGGACCCCTAGAGCTGACAATTGCTGATCCAACCCCTTCATTTTACAAAGGAGGAGACTGGTGAGGTGTGGTGGCTCACACCTATAATCCCAGCACTTTGGGAGGCCAAGGTGGCTGGATAGTTTGAGCCTAGGAGTTGGATACCAGCCTGGGCAATGTGGCAAAAACCCGTCTCAACAAAAAAGTACAAAAAATTAGCCGGGTGTAGTGGTGTGCACCTGTAGTCCTAGCTACTTGGGAGGCTGAGGTGGGAGGATCACTTGAGCTCAAAAGGTTGAGGCTGCAGTGAGCCATGATCTCGCACTGCAGCCTGGGTGACAGAGCAAGACTCTGTCTCAAAAAACAAACAAACAAACAAACAAACAAATAAAAAAAAGGAGAAGTCTGAGGCCCAGGGACCCTGAGTGACTTTTCCCATGCCCCAGGCCCCCTGATCCCCCACTCATAGGCAGCTGTAGCTGGAGTCCTCAAGTTCTTCCCTCCACATGAAAGAACTACAGTGATGATGTACAAAGCCATGGTGGAGAGCAGGAACTTTAAAATCAGACAGAGTTGGGTTCACATCCTTCATTGCCACTTACAGGCTGTGTGACCAGGAGCAAATCAATTCACCCCTCTGACCCTCAGGATCTTCATCTGTTAAAATAGTGGTCATGTGAGTGCCCCATGAGATAGTGTATGCAGAGAAGAGGTGCTTATTAAACAAGGCCTCATTTCCTACAAGAGCCTTTCTGTAGAGTTTGATAATTTATGGAGCATCAACTATGTGCTGGTCCCTGTTTCTATAGCTGGAGTTGCAGAATTGGGCCTAGGTAGGGGAGACAAAGAGAGTAAACAGACTGAAGAAGACAGAGAGAGGTGCTACATTAGCAGTAATGCAGGGGGCTGTGGGGGCACAGACGGGGAAGGCTTCTTAGAGGAGGAGATGGTCTTACATTCAGATAGCTGTTTAGTGTTAAAGCAAACATTATAAAACATTAATCTAAAAAGACAGATTGAGGCGGAGGGTGGTGACTCACACCTATAATTCCAGCACTTAGGGAGCTGAGGTGAGCGGATAACTTGAGGTCAGGAGTTCAAGACCAGCCTGGCCAACATGGCAAAACCCCATCTCTACTAAAAATACAAAAATTAGCTTAGCATGGTGGCGCTTAGCTGATTACGACTGTAATCCCAGCTACTAAGGAGGCTGAGGCAGGAGAATCGCTTGAACCCGGGAGGCAGAGTTTACAGTGGGCCGAGATCGCACCACTGCACTCCATCCTGAGCCACGGACTGTGACTCCATCTCAAATACATAAATAAATAGAGAGATGGAAAGCCATTGGAAAAAGATAGAGATAAATCTATCAGGTGCCTGGACTGAGTTTGTTACTGAGGTTGAATATATAACCTACCTAAGGGCTTCCTAGCAGCAAAGGCAAAACAGGAAATATACTTTGTTATAGTAGTTTGGCTCTGGGGGAACTTGTTTCTTTGAAATAACGTATTTTTACTCCCTCAACTTGGAAGGGCTATACATAAAAGAGCTGATATTGTAGTGAGGGCATTTGAGGAAATGGTTTTCCACTCTGCCTGCATTCCTGTCCCCTCTGGCAGTCCCCCTGTGCTCATCCCAGCTAAGTCTCAGGAATTCCTTCCCCTTCACTGCTCCACCCTGGCCTACTTTCTCAGCTACATTCCCCTCCTCTGTGCTCTCTGCAAAACCAAGTCTCCCATCAGCGGAGGTGTTCACACGTGGGCCAGGTGACACCTGTGGAGGAAACTGCAGTGGAGCTTCATAAACTAAAACAGGGACTGGAATGGATAACTTTGGACATCTCGTCCAGGTCCAGCCTTCAGGGTCTGTGAATCTGTACCAGGGTAACTGAAATGCAACCCTACTCCTCACCGTAGTAATTCCAGCTTCTGTATGATTCTTCAGAAAAAAAAAACAAAAAAAAAACAAAAAAAAAAAACCGCCCAGTTCAAATCCCACAACTTAAAAGCTGCCTTCTCTAGATTAGTGCCCACGTCCCCCCTCGGCTTCAGCTTCTTAACACAGATAACGGCAAGGAGTTGTGGGGTGGCTTCATGATGGTGCATGCCTATTATTTAGGTATATCCTTATTCTATCACGAACAGAAAGGCATTTGCAGCAACTCACAAAAAACAAATAAAACAGAGCCGGGCGCAGTGGTGGTGCATGCCTGGAGCTCCAGCTACCCAGGAGGCTGGGGCAGGAGGATCCCTTCAGCCCCAGAGTTTAAGATCAGCCTGGGCAACATAGTGAGACCCCTCTTCACTAAAAAAATTAAATTAAATTTAAAAATAAGAATCTTCTGGCTGGGCGCAGTGGCTTACAACTGTAATCCCAGCACTTCGGGAGGCTGATGCGGGCAGATCACTTGAGGTCAGGAGTTCGAGACCAGCCTGGCCAACATGGTAAAACCCTGTCTCTACTAAAAATACAAAAAAATTAGCCAGGCATAGTGGCACACACCTGTAATCTCAGCTACTTGGGAGGCTGAGGCAGGAGAATCGCTTGAACCTGGGAGATGGAGGTTGCAGTGAGCCAAGATCACATCACTGCACTCCAGCCTGGTCGATGGAGTGAGACTCTGTCTTAATCAATAAGAATCTTCCTTAAGGTTCTTACAGCAAAATTAATGAGTTAATTAATTTAAACAAAACAACTGTGTTTACCAGAAAGTTAAGATAATAGACAAATTGCCTCATCCCAGCTCTCCCACTTGGAGGCTGTGTGATCTTGGGCAAGTTGCTTCATCTCTCTAAGCCTCAGTTTCCTTGTCTGTAAAATGGGATAATAGTAGTAACCACCCCCATTGGGCTATTGTAGAATTAAATAAATGAATACAGAGGAGTACTTAGCACAGTGCCTGGCATACATTACTTAGACAAGATATTTTATCAGTTTTTATTTTTATTTTTATGATGATGATGTAATCTAGCTTTCTGTGTATAAAAATGTAATCTGGGTAAAGCTGAGCCACCCAAAGCCAGTCTCAGCCCCCTGTTGAATTAGAAACACTATTTCCTCCTCTGAACAAAACAAACAAACAAACAAACTGCAAAGCAATTTAACTATTTATTCAGTTCTTTTGAGAATGTTAAAGCAGACATCATCCATAATCTTAGTAAAACTTTCTCCCGTGTCCTGCCTGCTGCTCTCTCTCTCTCTCCTCCGCCTGACCCCTCACTCTTTTTCAATATCTCACAGCACAGCAGCCCCCAAATCTGCGTCTGGATCCCCCAAACACTCCCTCAAAGCTCAGCCTGCGCTGGCTTTGACCCACTTCATCCCCTGCTCCAGCCTCTCCCCATCTTTCCCACCCCACAACCTCTGCCCTTTCTCTTGTAGTTTGTTTCTTTCTCCCCCACCTCCACCCATTACCCAGATTCACAGGGTAAAGCCCGGGCTGCAGCTGCCTGACACACCAAGTTTCCTTCCTCAGAGAGGACAGGGAGGAAGGAGGCTCTGAAAACGTTAATAACGTTTTCCCTCTTCCCAAAATGGACATAAATCTGTCAATTCAGCTAAATACAGAATCACATCAAAGAGTTTCCAATGGTTAATATCTGAGGAGCGATATTATAGGGACTATTTCTTCCCATTGTATTCATTTCCGCATTATCTATTTTACTTTTTTCTCTGTTTTTTTTTTCTTTTTGAGACAGGGTGTCGTGCAGCAGTCTTGAACTCCTGGGCTCAAGTGATCTTCCCACCTCAGCCTCCCCAGTAGCTGGGATACAGGCTTGTGCCACCATGCATGACTTTTTTTTTTTTTTTTTTTTTTTTTTTTTGAGACAGAGTCTTGCTCTGTCGCTAGGCTGTAGTGCAGTGGTGCGATCTCAGCTCACTGCAACCTCCGCTTACCAGGTTCAAGTGATTCCCCTGCCTCAGCCTCCGGAGTAGCTGGGACTACAGGCGCATGCCACCATGCCCAGCTACTTTTTTGTATTTTGGTAGGACGGGGTTTCACCATGTTGGCCAGGATAGTCTTGATCTCCTGACCTCGTGATCCGCCCACCTCGGCCTTCCAAAGTGCTGGGATTACAAGTGTGAGCCACCGCGCCCAGCCCCAACTAATTTTTTAAAAATATATTTAGTAGAGGCCAGGTGTGGTGGCTCATGCCTGTAATCCCAGCACTTTGGGAGGCTGAGGCGGGCGGATCACTTGAGGTCAAGAGTTCGAGACCACCCTGACCAACATGGTGAAACCCTGTCTCTACTAAAAATACAAAAATTAGCTGGACGTGGTGGTGGGCACCTGTAATCCCAGCTACTCTGGAGGCTGAGACATGAGAATTGCTTGAATCTAGGAGGTGGAGGTTGCAGTAAGCCGAGATCACACCATTGCACTCCAGCCTGGGCAACAAGAGCGAAACTCCATCTCAAAAAAACAAAAACAAACAAACAAAAATATATGTATGTATATATATATTTATATTTAGTAGAGACAAGGTCTCACTGTGTTGCCCAGGCTGGTGAACACCTGACCTCAAGCAGTTCTCCTGCTTCGGCCTCCCAAAGTTTTGGGATTACAGGCCTGAGCCATGGTGCCTCGACCCTATTGTCTGTTTTACAGTGACCATGTATTACATTTGAAATTTGAAAAAATAGAGATTTTTTTTTCAAAATTAATTAAGGAAATCAGGGCAGAGGGAAGAAAAAGTAAGGTAAAAGCAGCGATAAAGTAAGTATCCTAAGTATATTCCATTGCTCTTGTATTTAAATCAAGTGAAGTTCGAAGTATGGCGCCTGGAACAGACTCAATAAATAGCAGTGAGTGCTGGACTTCATGGGTCTCTGTCCTTCACAGAAACTCAACTGCCCAGTTGAATCAGAGTAATTGGTGGCCCAAGGAGACACGAGAGGGGGGTCAGGGGGGATAGCCTGATCTCCAGTCTTTCACCAGGGGCCCAGGGCAGGGGGAAGGGTCCTGGCTACCTCACTGCAGGGTTGGATGAGTCAGGAAGAGCCTCATTGGGCCTGACAAGCTCTGCCTGCCTGTACCCTGCCTGCACCCTGCATCTGAGCACGGAGTCCCCTCCCCTGCCAGCCTCTTCAGAGCTTCTTCTGCCATTTTCATGACTGTATCTTCTTAGACAGGCTGGTTACTGTTCCTTGGAGAGTCTGGTGATTTCCTCGGGTGCCCTAGACAGTATTTCAGCTCAGTTACGGAAGACAAAACAACATTAAAAATTAAAAAGCTCTTACAGCGAGTCTCATTCTGTCTGCATGCCTGTGGGTCGCTCAGTGTGTCCAGCCTCTGTCTGACTTGGCACGTGGTATTACTCTCAAAGCAAAAAATCAGCCAAACAAAAGGGATTCTCTGGGCACCTACTGTGTACTAGTCATTACCAAACACCTATTCTGTACAAGACGATGACAGAGGCAAAGCGGAGGAAGAATAATGCCAGTGATAGCCATGGCCACATATATTGAACGTCTGTGACTCATGTCTCTCCACACATTCTGGGAGATTCCTTTTGGATCCTGGTGAGTCCTGAGGCTGCATGGCTGGAAACCCACACCTAAACTACAATGCCAGGTATCTCCAGGGTCTCACTTCCTGGCTAATCAGAACCCTTGGCCACAGTGATTGGCAGAGGAATTGACACATGTCTCAGTGACAGTCGACAAGACTCAGTTTTGGGAATGTTAATTAGAACTGTAGGAAAAAGTGAGTCCCTGTTTCCGCTGGGAGTTGATAAGAGAGTAGGATGTGAGCCACTGCTGAGGGCAGCCATCTTGTCATCATGAGGCCAAGAGGTGAGGCCAGCAGGGAGGGAAGCGGTCTTCAGAGATGGAGTAAATGAGACTGAATCCTAATGTCATCATCTGAGCTCCTCTTGGAGCCATGCCTAAAGCTAGCTCTGCCCCTGTACTTTGTAGTTACACAGGCTCTGTGTAACTCAATTGGCTCTGGCCAATTCAGGTTGGTTTTCTGCGTTTGAGCCCTGATGCTCCGATGGGGCAGACCCTGTGCCCAGAGGCTTGAGTATTTGGAAGGGGCAACTCCCCACATCTCATCCAGTCTCCAGCAGTCTAACAGGGGACACCTTCTCCTGTCATGAAACCACTTGTGTCTGTCAGAGGGCATGGCGAGCCCATGAATACCAACAGAAGCAGCTGCATGCCAGCAAAGGAGCAAAGCCCCTCAAACTAGCTGTGTCTTCTCGGGCAAATCACTTTCCCTCTCTGAACATTGATTTTCTCACCTGCAATATGGAGGTGATGTGGGAATCCTAGCACCTACCACATAGAATTGTGAGAATCACTCAGATAATGCTGCAAAGCACCTGCCACCATGTCTGGCACATAATAAATGCTTAGCATTTGTTATGGCTGGCCGTTCCCAGAAAGCTGTTTGGATGAGGTGATCTCTGAAGATCCTGGAGGAGTTGGAGGTAAGGGTCAGAGTCGGCAGCAAACCTCACTTGCTTGCTTCCGTTTGAGCAGCATAAGACCAGGGGCTGCGTTTTCTGGAGCAGCCTGGTAGAATGGAAAAGACTCAGCCATCACCTTGGGAGGCCTTGGTTCTAGTCCTGATTCTGCTGTCAAGCCGGGTGAGTGGCTTTGGAGTGGGTTTGGGCATGCTGCCCCTCACTCCCTGCCCGCCCCGCCCCATCCTTAATGTGCCCCTTTCAGAAGCAAGAAAGCCACAGCCTTTCTCCTCTGCTTTCTTCATAGAGCCAGGAGAACCACACCTTACTCAATATAGTGTCCCCAGTACTCTGCCCTGAGCTGATACAGCATTCCAGAATGTCCATTTTATGAGTGATTAAAATGTGGTCATAATACCTATACCTGACCTTCTGATTTTTTTTTTTTTTTTTTTTTTTTTTTTTTTTTGCCGGATTCTCACTGTCGCCCAGGCTGGAGTGCAGTGGCTCGATCTCAGCTCACTGCAACCTCTGCCTCCCACGTTCAAGTGATTCTCCTGCCTCAGCCTCCGGAGTAGCTGGGATTATAGGCACCCGCCACCCTGCCCAGCTAATTTTTGTATTTTAGTAGAGATGGAGTTTTGCCATGTTGGCCAGGCTGGTCTCAAACTCCTGATCTCAAGTGATCCACCACTGAGCCCTGCCTTTTTTTTTTTTTTTTTTTTTTTGAAATGGAGTCTCTCTGTCACCTAGGCTGGAGGGCAGCGGCGTGATTCAGCTCACTGCAACCTCCGCCTCCTCGGTCCAAGCGATTCTCCTGTCTCAGCCTCCTGAGTAGCTGGAATTACAGGTGCCCACGACCATGCCCGGGTAATTTATTTGTATTTTTAGTAGAGACGAGTTTTGTCATGTTGGCCACACTGGTCTTGAACTCCTGACCTCAGGTGATCCGCCTGCCTTGGCCTCTCAAAGTGCTGGGATTACAGGTATGAGCCACTGCACCTGGCCCTTTTTTCTTTTGGAAACTTCTTGTTAGAGAGTAACAGAGACAGAAAAGCACATAGATCCTAAGGAGACTGCTCAATTTTTCACAACTGAACTACTCCCTCCTCCGTACCTAACCCTTACTAGCACCCAGAAGCTTCCCTGGTGCCCCTTTCCAGTCATTCCCTCCCCAAAGATAACACAAACCTAACTTCTGACAGCACAGGTCTAATTTTGCTTATTTTTTGAACTTTTTGTAAATGGAGCAATGCTTAAAGGCTTTCTAGCGGTTTGTTAAGTTACAAAAGGCCCACGAGGTATATTAACTCCTTAAATCTTTACAACAGTACAGTGAGGTGGGTAAGAATTATGAACACCATTTTACAGAGGCAAAAACGGGAGCTCAGAGAGAAGAGAACATAATCACATTGCTGGCAAGTGGAGTGCCAGGATAACTGGGTTTCATTTTTGTGTGTCCCTGGATCTTCAATGTCTCTGCAGGCATCAGGCTATGATTCTTAGGAAGACACTTGAGGAATAGTCAGGAATCGGACACCAGGCCAGGGCAGCTGATAGTTTAAGTACCCCATGATGGAGGGGGGCTCTGGACCTTCAGGTCTGGTCACCTTGCAGACACGGCCAGACCCTCCCCCCTTCACCATGCTCCCAACTGCTGCACTCAAGGAGCTTTTCGACCTCCCTGAGTCCTCCACACTGAAGAATTTGGAATGCTGCTGGAAGGAAGGAGCAACATAGAGTTATTTCCACAGAGCCCCTCCCCGCCCTCCAGGTTCCCAAACAAACTGCCCAGGAACAGATGGTCCGCTTTAGAATGACTCTGTGTGCCCAGACGCATCCAGGGCCACTCTGGGTCAGCACCTGGGCAAGGGTTGCAGTCAGTTGCTCCTCCTCTTCCTTGCTGGCAGTAGGTTCTGTTTCCAAATTCACCCTGGTCACCCACCACTACAGCCTCCTCACCCCCGTTGGCTGATAGGCAGGATTCCCCGGATCTTTCCCTCTGGCCTCACGAGCATTCTGTCTGGCCTAATGAACTCTTAGACATCCTTCAAAGCCCAAATCCCAATGCCGCCAGGATGTCTTTCTCCTGAACATACACTCATTATGCCCCCTACACAGTAGTTTCTCTTTCTCAGCCCAACCCAAATATAGATGATCACAAAAGTCACACAACAGTCACACACAAAGACCACAGTGTCACCACACACACAATGTTTTTATCTCGATGTCTCTTGCAAACTGGGTTACACACAAAGTTGTACCAAATCACAGCCATGTCCCTCTTTTGTGTGGGCACGTACAACACACGCAAACTACACCACAAAAACCCAGGATTTTTTCACAACTTGTTTACAACAGGGACACCACATTTCTTTCTACCACATTAACATGCATGTACAACAGGACCCAAAAGTGGAGATCACACATCACACACACACACAGGCAGGCTGTCTTCTGTTCCTTCCTCCTTCCCTTGACCTCACAAAACCTACACGTGGAGACAGTGTCTCTCCTGGACCTGCAAATTCACACGCCTAGAGAGCCACGGCTCCTTCTCTCTGCTTTGCTACCATTCCCTCCCTCACCCCTCTATCACGGGGACACACACACACACAGCAACAAACCCCAAATACAGCGGACACACACACACAGCAACGAACCCCAAATATAGCAGACACACAAACACACAGCAATGAACCCTAAATATAGCGGAGACACACACACAGCAACAAACCTCAAATATAGCAGACACACACACACAGCAATGAACCCCAAATATAGTGGACACACACAGAACAAACCCCAAATATAGTAGACACTCACAGCAACGAACCCCAAATATAGCGACACACAGACACACGGCAACAAACCTCAAATATAGCGGACACAGGTTGTCCTGAAGTCCCTGGACGGCAACGAATCCCAAATAAATCAGTCAGGGCTTTCCTTCACATATAAACACACGGGCACGCGGAATCCACCCCTCCCCCACTTTCTGTCTCCTCATCTCTCTTCCTCTCTTACACACACACACACACACACACACACACACACACACACACGGCAACAAACCCCAAATATACCGGACACACACACACAGCAACAAACCTCAAATACAGCGGACACACACACAGCAACGAACCCCAAATATAGCAAACACACACACGCACATATACACACAGAGCAACAAATCCCAAATATAGTCAGGACTTTCCTTCACACATAAGCACACGGGCACGCGGAATCCACCCCTCCCACCGTTTCTGTCTCCTCTTCTCCTCCCTCTTACACACACGCGCGCGCGCGCGCGCGCGCGCACACACACACACACACACACACACACACACACACAAGCAGCTGCAGCGCCCCGGGTCACACTCCAGTGCAGGAGCCAGGCAGGAGACAAAGGTCGCCGAGGCTCCCGGCGGCCCCACCGGACACAATCGAGCCTCTTCCCGGTTCTGCTAGCTCCCAACGCCGGTCTCGGCAAGGTCTGGACCCTGCGCCCCGAAGCAACAACTCCCGCCTGCTCCTGCCCTCCAGGTTCCCCGCGCAGCCCGGGCAGCCGACTCCCAGCGCGCCAAGGGTTAAGGGCCCGCGCGGGCGCGGGGAGTGCAGCCTCAGGCCGTGATTGGCTGCGCCACCCAGGCCCCCGCGCCCTGCCATTGGCCCCGCGGCGGCCCCGCCCCTCCGGCACTCGGCGCCGAAGCCGCGAGCTCGCCCGCTGGAGCTGAGCGCGCCGCCTGGGCCAGGCAGCCGAGCCGTCCGAGCAGCTGGGCTGGGAGCAGGGAACCCGGAGCTGGGAATCGGGAGCCGGGCGCGGGGAGCTGCGCGAAGCCGGGGCGGAGCACGCGAGCTATGGTGAGTGCTGCGCGCGGAGGTCTGGTCCGGTCCAGCCCAGCCTCGACGGTCGCGGGCAGCGGTGCCGCGGGTGGCACCCGGGGCCGCCCTGGCTCGCGGGGGGCTGGGCGCCGGCTGCAGCAGCAGCCCCCGCCCGGCTCTCGGAAGGCGTGGAGTCGGGGAGCGCCCGGGCAGAGCGCGGCTCTCCCGGCGGCGCTGCGCTTGGTCCCGTCGGGGGCGGCCGCGCCGAGCTTGGTTCTGGTCCCAGCCGGATGTGGGGGGCTCGGGGTCCCCGGTTCGCTTTGGGGACGGTTGCTGCGGTCTGTTTTGGGTTGTTCTGAAGTCCCTGGACTCAGCTTGGCTTGGAGACCCAGGGCAGCCGGGCTGGGTCGGGCTCGCGGGTGGCGGCGATTTCGAGGTGCCTGGATGCAGCTGGACCTGAGCGTCCCGGGACACTGAGGTCGGTCTGGGGCTCGCCTTGGGGCACTGTGGGTGGCCACGCCCGGCGCATTCGGAGGGCTAGGTTGCGGCCCTCTGGGACTGCTGATCCAGCTGTGGCCTAAGGGGTGTATGTGGTGGCGACGCAGCTAGGTCGGTGCTGTCAGAGACCAGGGGACACTCAGGGGCCCTGCACCCAGCGATCCGGTCTCCCCAGCATCTCCCGGTGATGGGTCCTCAGAGGAGGGGCTTGCTGAGGCCGAGTGCTGACTGCGATAGGCAGGAGTACCAGGGAGAAAGGGAACTGGGGAGGGGCGTTTCATGGGGCTCTCTAAAGCCCCAGAAGAGAAATCCATTTGATCCAGGCTGGGCTTCCTGGGGGGGGGCTGTTGGGAGGGGCATTGTCCCTGGACCCCAAGAGCAAAGGCCCTTTGTCCACTTGTCCAGGGCCGGGTGCCGGCCTCTCCATCACGGGAAGGGAGCCATCTACTTCTCTTTGGTTTCTTTCCCTATAGACGAGCCACTCGGATTCCCTCTCCTAGTTCTGTTCTGTGCCCTGTGAAGTGGGTCAAAGTCACCATGTAGGGCTGAGGAGGGCATGTGCCTGGGATGGTGGCTGCCAGTACCTGTGATCCAGCCCCTCCACTTCTCTGTGATGATGCTGCCAAGCCCGAGGGCGCCTGGATGGGAGCAGGATGGGACCCCCTGTAAAGCCGAAGAGTCCCACAGTGGTTCCCAGCCCCTGCTGTGCCCAGAGCTGGAGTCCCCTTACAACCCGCCCCCCCATCTCTCCCTTCCAAGGCCTCTTCTCACCCAGCTAGGGTCTTCTTTGCTTAGGCACCGCCAGTTGCCTCACTAGAGTCAGAAGTGGTGGAATTATGGCTTAGTTCTATACCTGAAGGTGCTTAGAGACCACGTGAGACTCAACCTACCTCCTCCATTAGGAATCTCCCCTGTAATGCCCCACCCAGACCGTTTCCGACACAGGGAGTGCACTATCTGTGGACCAGCACTGGATTTAAAGTCTCAGTGTATGGGCACCAAAAGGCCGTGAGACTTTGAGGTTGTATGATCCCCTCTGCCTCTAAGCCCACCCTGAGTTACTCATAAAGAAAATTTTTTCTTCCTTAAAAACCACCAAAAAAAGAAAGAGGTCCCCTCACTTTGCCTTGGTGACACTTTATAGATCCTTACAACTGAAGAAGCCCACCAGCCTATTGTGAAGAGTCCAGGCTTTGACGTCACACCAATTTGTGTTTGAACCCCATCCCCTCCACTTCCCCACAGGGACTTTGGTCTAGGTGAAGCATCACCCTTGAGTTTCAGTTTCCTCATCTGCAAGATGAGATGATAACACTTACCTCCAAAGGGTGAGATAACCCAAGTGAGAGTGCTTTGCTTCAGTACTGCTTAGTTTTCTTTTCCAAGCTTGAGCCCACGCTGGGAAGTTCTACCTAACATCTAACCTATTTGCCCCAGGGGTTGTCTCTGGAATCCAAAACAAAAGTCTGTCATCCATCTGTCCAGGGCTATGGGCTGGCTTTTCCAGCACAGGGACAGAGGCCACCTATTTGCTGGTCTGGAAGACGAATGAAAGTTTATCATGTTGTAGGGAGGAGACCGTGATACTTTCGTCTGTCATTTAGCCAGGACGTGTTGAACACTTACTCTAAGCCAAACCCCATGTGAGGGAGGAAAGAATTGACTGAATAAACAGTGTTATGGGAGCTTCCACCAGGCCATAAACGTCTGCACTGGTCCTCAGACTTTTTGGCACGTCCTTGGAGAGGTAGAAATATGCCAGGCAGGGGCTCTCTCCAAGCTGGAGAGACGAGAGAAAGCTTCATGGAGCAGGTGACATCTGAACTGGAAGGGGTGTCCCGGGAGGGGGACCTGTGTGACAGAGGAGCAGAGGTGTGAGTGCACAGGACAGGCTCCTGGAAAGGCCAGAATGGGGCTGGTCTGGCACCTGGCTATGAAAGGGTCAGGAAACAAAAGAGAAAGAGGGCAAAAAGGTTGCTGGGGCCAGAAAGTACTAGGCTGAGGAAGTCCACGGTGGATTGTTGACCGGCGGTGCATGCATGGGGTGGCGGCTGATGTCAGGCCTCCCTGGCTCCTGTCATTTTAATTTCCTCTAAACATTGGTTCCTGTGCTGTCATTCCTGAGGCAGGGGTGATTCGGGACTGATCAAGTGTTTATTCCCTGGATCTCCTGCTCCGCGGCTTTTAAACAAATCCAGCACTCACTTCTTTGCAGTGTGGCCAAGTTGTCCTTGGCCCCTGGGTTCCTAATGCGGCGCGTTTGCAGGGCGTGTGTGTGTGTGTGTGTGTGTGTGTGTGTGTGTGTGTGTATCTGTGTGTGTCTGTGTGTCTGTGTGATGTGTTTCCTGTTGTCCTCACTGAATCTCCCTGATGGTCACCAGCTCCCCACCCACGTCTCTAACCCCTTGGCAGGGAGTCAGTGCTGTTCTTAAGGGCCTCGGATGGACCGTCTCCCCCTGTTTTCTCCCAGTGCAAGCCGTGGGCCGAGGGTTCTGAGGAGGCTTTTTATGTCTCCTGCCTCCGGTTGTACTCAAACCACCCTGCAGCAGGCACAGAGAGGTGAAGGAGGTTGCCCAGGGTCACAGAGCAAGATAGTACCAGAACAGGCACAAACCTCCTGGACTTTTGGAGGGGTAACCTGGCAGACAGTTGGGGGAAGGAGACCCAACCCATCATCCCCCATCTGCAGCTGTGGCACCTTGAGAATGTTCCTTCACTTTCCAAGCTGGGGCTGAGTTGAGGCTACCGCTGAGGGTTGGGAATGCTCTTTACTATACAGCAGTTGAGTTGAGAACAGGGCCCAGGGTTTTGGTTTGAATCCTGATGTACTACCAGCTTGCTGTGTGACCTTGGGTCAGCCATTCCCCGGCTCTGTGCCCCCTTTCCTACAAAGTGGGGCAGATTTGCTCCACTTCTCCAGATATTGTGAGGGTACAATGTATGTAGAAACACTGTGGGAACTATTAAGAATGTGAGGGAGTCCGGGGGCAGTGGCTCACGCTTGTAGTCCCAGCATTTTGCGGGGGCGAGGCGAGAGGATCACTTGAGGCCGGGAGTTCAAGATCAGCCAGGGCAACATAGTGAGACCCTATCTTAAAAAAAAAAAAGGTAGGGAGAAGCGTTACTGTTTGAAGATAGGAGACTAACCACATGCCCCCACGTCACTCTGGTGCCTCTCAGCCACTCCAGATGGGGCTCCCAGAGCACAGTGCGTACTTCACCCTGGGCAGCCTGTGCCCCTGCTGGTGACTGGGCTACTGAGGCCTCCTTACATTGCTACACTCTTTTGGTAAACAAGGATGTTGTTACCTTTTGTTAAAGAATAAATACATTGTTTTCCCTGCAGAGTTGGGGAGGCCAGGGGAAGAACAGGATTTGAGGCATGAGAGGGCTACAAGGTGGGCTTGGCAGAATGTTCTGGGCGTTAGCCCAGAAAACCAGCTTGGCCAAGTCCACACTTTCATGTCTACGGTGAGAGAGGAACCATGAGCAAATGTTTACAATTTTTTGTGCTTCTGCTCAATTTTTTTCTCTCCAATTGACTGGGTAAGCCTCCTGCCATAGTCAAAGGGCTTCATTCATTTGTTCATTCACTCACTCACCAAACAAGTCTGTCTGGCACAACACGAGGCATGGGGGCCGTGGTCAGTGTGAGTGAGACTGATAGGTCTCTCTCTCCCACAGTCTGATGGACAGGCAGGCAGACAGATACAGAGCAGGAAATTACAAGCGCAATTACTGTTGTCAGGGAGACACGCGGGGGGCTGTGGGATTGGACCGGGAACCTGACCTGAGGATCAGAAAAGGCTCCCTGAGCACATGGCATTAAAATCATAACCTAAAGAGCGAGTGGGACTGGGAAGAGTGTTGGGGGGCGGGGGGTGGAGGGAGCAGAATGTGCAAGAGTACAGACCGCTGTGCCTTCAGGGATGGTTCATCTGGAGGCACGGAGGACTGTGCTTAGGAGGTGGCCCGGAGGGTGCACTCAGGGATGGTCATATGAAGGACCTGGGGCTCAATCCTTAGGGCAGTGGGGAGCCACTCAGGAGTTTATTTTTTAAATTTAATTAATTTACTTATTTATTGAGACATAGTCTTGCTCTGTCACCCAGGCTGAGTGCAGTGGTGCAATCTCAGCTCACTGCAGCCTCAGCCTCCCTGGTTCAAGTGATTCTCCTCAGTCTCCCGAGTAGCTGGGATTACAGGCGTGCCACCATGCGACTAACTTCTGTATTTTTTTAGTAGACACCGGGTTTCGCCATGTTGCCCAGGCTGGTCTTGGACTGCTGACCTCAAGTGATCCACCCGCCTCAGCCTCCCACAGTGCTGGGATTACAGGTGTGAGCCACCGCACCCAGCCTACTGAGGAGTTTAGAGTCAGGGGAGTGACACGGTCGGATTTGCATTCTGAGATGGTCACAGGCTGCTTTGTGGTGATTGAGTAGAAGGAGTGAGGCCGAAGGCTGGGAAACCAGTGAGGAGGCACCTGAAGTGGCCCTGGGAGAAAGGTGGTGCTGCAGGCACCATCCAGTCCTCCTCTAGCCCAAACCACGCCCCTGGCATGCTGCCCAGAGCAGTCAGTGAAGACAGAAGGAGGCTGTGGCCCCAGACAGAGGTCCCAGACAGCCCCTTCTCCTGAATGTATTGACCCTTCCCCTCATCCTTTCAGGCAGATAACCAGCCGAGGGCCCTGGTCTCCAGAGCCTTTAATAGAGGAGAAAGAACAAGTTCCCAGATCGCTCTGAAATAAGGTAGAAAATGCTATGTGCCAACCTGGGGATGCAGCTCCAGAGTCATCCTGCCCATAGGTGTGTATCAGGGAAGCCTTCCCAGAAGAGGTGTTAACACTTGGTGGAATGCTTCCTAGACGCCAAGTTTTGGACACATAAAAAATTAGGAGGGGGGTTCACTTGTCCTTGAAGAGTTAATAGTCTGAGGGGCACAGTTTAATGAACAACCAGTGCTGGCGGAACCCCACTGTCAGGGTGGCACTGGAGTCCAGGACCTGGGGCCTGCCCTTTCCTTGGGCCCCTGAGGGCAGAGTGGCTGGGATGCCCCAGGCCTGTCTTGGTGGGCTGACAAGCCTAGGAATGGCTCCCTCCTCCCAACAGGGCCCCTTTGGACTTCCTGGGGGGAGGTGTAAACAGGGGAGCAAGTTTCTAGAGAGCATTCAGGAAATCGGCTAGGTGGGGATCTAACATCAGGGAGGTGGGCCTGGCTTCTGGGCCTTCTAAAGACGCTAGAGCGCTTGTATGAAAAGGGGATTAGGAACCACCAACTTCGAGGCCCCTGTTTGACAAGTGGGAAGACTGAGAGACAAAATGAGCATCTACTATGTGCCTGGCACTTAAATGTAATCTCTGCTCTTCACACCAACCCCAGGGAGGAGGGTGAGCCTTATTTCAGAGTTGTAAAAGCTGAGGCTCAAAGGTCACTTAGGGAATTAGGGACGGGAGCTAGACAGTGGCTCCCCGATTCCTCTAGATTATTATGGCTTCAGTCCCAAGCTGCCACTCAGTTTGGCAGAAACTTGGCCTTCCTGGGAAAGCCCACTGGGACAGGGATAGGACTGTTGAGCCGGTAGCCAGAGGCGTTGAGAGCTCACTGGGGCTGGACACTGGCCAGGCTCAAATGCTGGTTATTTATTGTTCACCTTTGCACCGCACTTGACAGTTAGACCTTTTCTTCCCCATTCACCGACTGTTCTTGGATTCCCACTGCCAATCAGTAGCAGAACTAGAACTTGAACTCAGGCCTTGTGACTCCCAGCCCAGTCCCCCGCCCTGAGATCCCCAGCTCCCCAGCTCAGATAACAGCCCCTCCCTGTCTGGCACCACCTGGTCCCCTGGCCTGGGTCTCCACTAACCCCCACCCCTAACACCTGATGTCCCAGCCTTTCTGACCACATAGCCCTCTAAGCAGGAGGAGCAGCCCCTGGCCCAGAAGCCTCCTCTCCCCATCCTCCTCCCACAGCTCCCTTCCCTCCTTGGCTGGGAAGGCAGGAGGGTGGGCCTGGGGCAGCAGCCAGGCAGAGTTAGGTTACAGCGTAAACACAGTCATGTCAATATTTACCTCTGCCTGGAAGCAGAGCCTCCCACCTCCCTGCCTGACTCCCTCCAGCTGCCCATCCAGCTGCACATGGCCCGCTCCCAGGCTCTGATCTGGTCATTGAAAGCAAGGCCAGGGTGGCTTCCAGCCCAGGCTCTGCCACTAATCCTTGTCCTCCTGAACCACGGTCTTCCTTCGTGGGCCTCAGTCTTCCCATCTGTGAAATGACATGGCTGGAGCAGACTGACTCCAGGGCCGTCTTCAGTAATGACATGCAGGATGACAAGTATAATACTCTCATTCAGAGGATAGACTCGAAGTTGTGCAAATCTGGGTTTGAATTCCAGCCCCACCACTTCCTCACTGTGAGACTTGGGGCAAGGCACCTAACCCCTTTGAGCTCCACTTTCTTCCTCTGTAAAATGAGAGCCTAGCAGTACCCATTTTGTTTGCTGGTGAGGATTCATGAGCTATGTTTGTAGCACTTGGCACAGGATAAGGTTTGATTAAATGGTCATGGTGGTGGTTGTGATTCCAGATAAACATTTTGCGATTCTCTGAATCCAGACACTTGGTTGCGTCACTTGGAAACTGGAGCCAAGGGTGGGGACTCTAACCTCATGTCCTCCTGGTCCTCTGAGAGGCCACAGGCTGGGCTGGGGTGTCCAGGGGTTGAGAAAGCTCCTTGGTCAATACCACACACACCCCCAGCTGCCTGGCCATTGGAGTCCCTTCTTATTGGGCGGAGGTCCAGGGCTGAAATGTCCTCAGAGCTATGTGGCCATGAGAGGGATGAGGGAGGGCAGAGGGGGCAGAAGGGGAAGGAAGGACTCATTTCCTCAGCAGCTCTTTCACAGAAGCTTCGAGTCCATTACACACATGAGCTGTTCCTTCCAGCACTGGAGAGGAGGGGGCGAGGGGCGAGGACTGGCTGCCTCCAGGTGCCACATCTGAGCAGGCAGTGTGGGGAGGAGAGGGCAGGGAGGCGGGATCTGCCCGTGCAGCAGGAGTGGGCCTTGGAGACTGATGGGCCCAGGTTCAAACCTGGCATCCTCACTTTTTGCATTGTCACCTTGGACAGCGTGTCACCTCTCTAAGCTTTATTCTCCTGTCTCTAATATGGAGCTCCTGGGGCAGTATTTTGCCCAGTAGTTAGAAACGCTCAATCAGATCCTGTTTCAGAGTAGCCCAGCTGAGGGCTGGCACATACAGAGGACTCAGTCGGTGTCACCTGCTGTTATTGTCATGACTGTTACGATGATGACACAGGATGCCAGACTGGACCTCATGAGGGCAGAGATTGTACGTTTCTAAAAATTGTGGTATAGTATAATTTACTTAAGTAATGTATGCATATCTTGTACAGCTCACGTTTTACAAATGCACACACCTGCATACTACCTGGACCAAAGTGTGAACCATTCCCACAGTTCCCGTGTGCCTCCTCCATCAGTCCCCTGCAGCAGGTGGCCACTGGCCCTCTAGTTTGGCCTGGTTTTGAGCTTTCTCTGTGTGGATTCATTCATGTGTGCTCTTTTGTGCCTGGTTTTCTTCAGCTTTGGACAGCAAGGAATGTTTGAGGTTTGTCCGTGTCGCCTGTACCAGCATCTGCTCCTTTTTAGGCTGAGTCGTGCCGCATTGGGTGGATGTACGTGTAAATGTCCGTGGCTGACATTTGGGTTGATTCCAGCTTGAGGCTGCTGTGACATTCTCGTATGTAACTCTTTGCAGACCTCAGCACTCATTTC
This sequence comes from Homo sapiens, assembly GCF_000001405.40. Lineage (NCBI taxonomy): Eukaryota > Metazoa > Chordata > Mammalia > Primates > Hominidae > Homo > Homo sapiens. Next base: position 21,337,120 of record NC_000001.11, on the reverse strand, counting down.
TTTGGGGCACATACTTAGGAGTGCAACTCCTGGGTCAGAGGGGCAATGTGTGTTTAACTTTCTTTTTTTGTTGTTGTTTTTTTGAGATGGACTTTCACTCTTGTTGCCCAGGCTGGAGTGCAATGGTGCAGTCTCGGCTCACTGCAAGCTCTGTCTCCTGGGTTCAAGCGATTCTCCTGCCCCTGTCTCAGCCTCCCAAGTAGCTGGGATTACAGGCGTTTGCCACAACACCAGGCAAATTTTTTCTTTTTTTTAGACGGAGTCTCGCTTTGTCCCCCACACTGGAGTCTCGCTCTGTCGCCCAAGCTGGAGTGCAGTGGCGCGATCTCGGCTCACTGCAAGCTCCACCTTTTGGGTTCACGCCATTCTCCTGCCTCAGCCTCCTGAGTAGCTGGGACTACAGGTGCCCGCCACCACGCTTGGCTAATTTTTTGTATTTTTAGTTGAGACAGGGTTTCACTGTGTTAGCCAGGATGGTCTCAATCTCCTGACCTCGTGATCCGCCCACCTCGGCCTCCGAAAGTGCTGGGATTACTACAGGTGTGAGCCACCGCGCCCGGCCACAGCCGACTAATTTTTTGTATTTTTAGTAGAGACGGGGTTTCACCATGTTGGCCAGCCTGGTCTCGAACTCCTGACCTCAGGTGATCTGCCCACCTCGTCCTCCCAAAGTGCTGGGATTACAGGTGTGAGCCACCACGCCCGGCCTCAGTGAATGTTTTTTGTTGTTTTGGTTTTGAGACAGGGTCTCTCACTCTGTCACCCAGGCTGGAGTACAGTGGCATGAACACAGCTCACTGCAGCCTTGAACTTATGGGCTCAAGTGATCTTCCCACCTCAGCCTCCTGAGTAGCTGGTACCACAGGTGCACCACTACACCCAGCTAATTTTCTGATATTTTTTTGTAGAGACAAGGTCTCACTAGTTGCCAAGGCTGGTATTGAACTCCTGGGCTCAAGTGATTCATCCACCTTAGCCTTCCATGGTGCTGGGATTACAGGTATGAGACACTGCCTGTCTCAAGTGTTTTTTGAAAGAAGGAAGAAATTTGAGTCCTTTCTTTGTCTTAATGCCCCAGATTCACTCTGTAGCCCTGCCCCTGCCCCCAGGGCCTGGCAGTTCTGGGCTGGCACTCTGCCCAGACCCTGGGCTTTGGGCTTCGCCTGCTGTTCTGCAGGGTAGGGAAGGGCCTCCCTCCCTGGAGACCCACTGATTGGCTGTGTGACCTCAGGCAAGTCCCTTCCCCTCCATAGTCCTCACTTTCCCCTTCCGTCAAGCACTGGGTGGGTCGAAGCTTCCCAGCTCCCTGTGTCTGTGGTCTCCCTCATTTGGGAGCCTTTGCTCCTGGTGTTTGGTGCCTCTTCACCCCCAGGGTCTCACCCACCCCAGGCAGGAGCTCAGCTGGCCTGTAGCTTGCAGAAGGACCATTTGGGAAAGCTGGTGGGCCCTTCATTCTTGGTACCCGCCCTAAGAGCCTCACTGCGACTCTGTCCACCCTGGGTGAGAGCCCTCCAGAGTAGGCCCCCAGCCGTGAGAGCCCCCCACCCACTGAGGCTTGGCATCAGGTCGCCCTCGGTCTGAACCCTGCTATTCCCTGGCTCTGGGACTTTGGGCGGCTCAATCCACCTCTCAGGGCTGCAGCGTCCTCATCTTCAGGGTTGTGAGCACCCAAGGAGGCCCTGCCTCATTGTGGGGACAGAAGAGAATGGAGCAGTCACATGCCTGCCCCTAAGGAGCTGCACTCTAGGGGAGGAAGCTGGAGACCAAACAGGCAAAGCCACCCACCAGAAGGATCGCTCCGAGAGAAGAAAGGAGACAAAACAGGGCGATGTGGTGGAGAGTGGCTGTGAGGGGAGGGGGCCGCTCTAGAGGAGCGGCCAGGAAAGGAGGTGATGTCTGAGCTGGGACATGAAGGTTGAGGAGGGGGCAGCCGGGCAAAGACGGGGGCGGGGGAGATGAGAGTTCCCGGCTGCCGGAACAGCAAGTTTGGCACATGTAGGGGGTGAACGCTGGTGTGGCCGGGCAGAGGCAGTGGAGGGTGGAGGGAAGGCTAGGGAGAGGTGGGCCTGGAGGGGCAAGCCATGGACAGCCTTGTCTGTGGGGCAGGGGTCAGCATTTCGTTCTAATAGTGGTGGGAAGCCACTGGAGGACCCCACGTTGAGGGGCGACTGGGCTTGGTTTCTGTTTGGAAAGACCTTGGCTGCTGTGTAGAGCATGGACTGTAGGGGGCAGGAGGGAGGCAGGAGCGCGGGCCTCAGGATATTCGTCTGTCCTGAGGCTGAGGAGGCGTAGGTTTCTGCAGGATCTGGGATTTTGGCTGCTACTTCAGGGATGGGAGAGAGGTAGCCAGGCATCCCAGATGCTTCGAGACCTTGCTGGCAGCAGAGCACAGTGGGCAAAAGTTACCTGTGGAGCCAGACAGACCTGTCTGAACCTCCACTTCAACTCAGCCTTCCGGGGTGGGCTTGGGATTCTCCCAGAGTGACCAGTTCCCACCGTCCCAGCCCCTGGGGACCCAGAGAAACAGAGCCAGAGGGCATTGAGCTGGAGCCTGCCTCCCTCGCTTCCGCACACCCTGCCGAGAAGTGAGGGCATAGGAAGTGATGGCCGCAAGGGGATGCCCAGCCCCTCTGCTCCAGGGCTGCTGTTCACACGGCCACGCTGGAGGGAATCCTGTGGCTTTGTGGTTCCTTGTTTCCTGGGCTGGTCTGGTGGAAGATGGCCATGAGAAAGCGGCACTTCATCTTCCTTCGCCCCTGAGTGTTCAGTGGGTGGTTACTCGGCATCCTGTTGGGCTTCCGGTGTGGTGGCTGGGAGCCAGAGAGAGGAGGGCATGAGAGCTCACAGAGTCACAGGAGGTGGGACTTGGAGGTCATCTAGGCCAACTTCCTCATAGGGCAGACCAAGGCTCACAAAGGGAAAGAGACTTACCTGAGGCTATACAGCAGGTTAGAGGCAGGACTTAGACCCTGATTCTAGACTCCTCATCCAGCACTCTTTCTAGATAAGATGGAGGTATGGAGGTTTTGGAGCCAGACAGATGTGGGTTGTAGTCCCAGCTCTGTCACTTAGTCCCAGCTGGGTGACCTTTGGTGAGTGACCATCTCTGAGCCTCGGTTTTCTCCTCTATGAAATGGGATGATGGTAGCACCTTTCTCATAGTGGTGTTGTGAAAAGTGGTTGATAATTTATGACAGGTTGTAAAGCTCACAGGACGGTGCACGGAGTTGGCCCTTGGGAGGTGGGAGCTGTTATTACCTTTGTGGCTCCGTCATTTTTTTTTTTTTGAGACGGAGTCTCGCTCTGTTGCCCAGATTGGAGTGCAGTGGCACGATCTCAGCTCACTACAACCTCCACCTCCTGGGTTTAAGCAATTCTCCTGCCTCAGCCTCCCAAGTAGTTGGGATTACAGGCAGGTGCCACCATGCCTGGCTAACTTTTGTATTTTTTAGTAGAGACGGGGTTTCACCATGTTGGCCAGGCTGGTCTCGAACTCCTGACCTCAAGTAATTTGCCTGCCTCGGCCTCCCAAAGAAGTTGGGATTATGGGCGTGAGCCACTGCGCCCAGCCCGTGGCTCTGTCATCCTAACCTCCTGAAGCACCGGAAAGAATGGCTGCGTGCTGGCCCTCACATATGCTGTTTTCTGATGAACGCGGTTAGGGAGGGAAGATGAGAATGGGCCATGGTTGGCCCATCTCTCTGCTACTTATTTTATTTCCCCACTATATTTGAGAGACTCCTTAGCCAGGCCACACTACTACCCACCCACCCCCCCGCCCCCCCCACGGCTCTGGTGGGCTGGAGCTGTGCTGTCTGCCTTCAGCCCAAATAGGGGTGGGGGAGGCGGAGGCACTAAGTGCAGGTCCCGGGTGAAAAACTGGGCAGCTCCCCCCACCTTCTGCATCAGATCCCTACCACGCACCACCAATACCTGTTTGTTCAGTGTGACCTAGTGGTTAAGACCAAGGGCCATGGGATCAACTTGAGCTTGAACCCTGGATCTGCCATTGAATTGTCACCAAGGACTTTTAGCAGGCGTGTCTTCCTCTCTGAGCCTTGGATTTCCCATCTGTGAAGTGAGGATAAGTCCCTCCCAGGAAGACTGCAAATATTCAGTGAGAGGAGCAGCACTCAGAGCATGCATGGTGCATATCTGGTGCTAGACTCCAAGAATTGGATGGCACTAATATTGTAACAGTGTTGACACATGTCCCAATTGTTTCTCTTTCCATAGCTGTTCTTAGAAACTTACTTCACCATCCGCCCACCCCACCCCCATCCTGTGTTCCCGCAGCCCCCTTCCCTCTAACTCCTCGCCTGACTGACTTCTCTCAGGGTCACCTTGGACTGAAATCTTTCTCCCCCTCCCCTCCCCTCCCCTCCCCTCCCCTCCCCTCCCCTCCCCTCCCTCACCTCCTCTCCCCTCTCCTCCCCTCTCCTCCTGTCTCCTCCGCTCTCCTCCTGTTTCCTCCCCTCCCCTTCCCTCCCCTCTCTCTCCTATCTCTCTCCCCCCCTCCTCCCCCCTCCCCCTGGACTAACACAGATCAAGAGTTCAAGCTCTGGCCCAGCCTGCCTGGGTTTGAATCCCAGCTCTGCCATTTACTGGAGCAGCCTCAGGCAAAGTACTTAATTCTTAGCCTCTATTTCTGCATAAGTAAAATGGGAATAAGGATAGTGCCAAGCTTAGAGAGTTGTTTAAATAAGCGACGAGATTCTTGTAAAGTGCCAGGATCAGTGCCTGCAGTACACTAAGTGCCTAATAAATGTCACCTGATTTATTACTAGGCAGGGTTCTGATGGAGCAGAGCCCCTGCCTTTTCACCTCTGCGTTCCCAGTGTCTGGCAGGGATGGGACTGGAAGGGATGCAGGCTCTCTAGGGGTTTGTACTATGGCATTGGAGAGTTGCCTTCCCAGTGAAGCAGGCCTCTCCAGAAAGGGGAAGGGACTCGGGCCACATCTTAAGCATGTCTGTCTGGCAGATATTTCCCACAACCCTGCTGCACACCACTGGGTGCTGAGGATGGGGTGGGGGAGGGTGCAGTAAGGCTGCCCTTAGTGAGCTCAAGTCCACGGAGGAAAGTGGGACAAAACGGCCCTGATACTATCAGAGAATGACCAGCCCAGGGCTGGCAGGTTGCTTCTGAGGAGGCTCCTGGGAGTGGTGATGTTTGATGTTTCCTTGTGGGAGTGACATAGTAGTAACTTCTGTCTGCATTAGGGCTTTATTCAGTAATCCTCCATTCTTTCCTGCCCGCGGTGTTTTACTAGTCTTAGCAGTAATAATAATAGCGTTTCTTGAGTGTTTGCTGTGTGCCAGGTACAGCACTAAATATTTTATGTTATAAATTTACTTAATCTTCACATCAACCCTGTGAGGTACTTATTATTGTTATTCCTGTTTTGTAGGTGGGAAAACTGAGGGACAGAGAGGTAATGTATCTCTCCTCTCAGTCAGTAATTGGCAGAGCTAGAGTGGAACCTGGGCAGTTTTGGCTACAGAGTCTATGCTTTTTTTTTTCTTTTTTTTAGCGAAGTCTCACTCTGCCTGTCACCCTGGCTGGAATGCAATGGCACCATCGTGCATCATGGCTCACTGCAACCTCAACCTCCCAGACTCAAGCGATCCTCCCACCTCAGCCTCTCGAGTAACTGAGACTACAAGCGTGCACCACCATACCCGGCTAAGTTTTTATTTTTTAATTTTTTAATTTTTTTGAGACAGAGTCTCACTCTGTCGCCAGTCTGGAGTGCAGTGGCATGATCTCGGCTCATTGCAATTGTCACCTCCTGGGTTCAAGCGATTCCTCTGCCTCAGCCTCCTGAGTAGCTGGGACTACAGGCGCTGCACCACCACGCCCGGCTAATTTTTGGATTTTTAGTAGAGATGGGGTTTCACCATGTTGGCCAGGGTCGTCTCGATCTCCTGACCTCAAGTGATCCACCCGCCTCGGCCTCCCAAAGTGCTGGGATTACAGGCATGAGCCACCGTGCCTGGCCTAATTTTTTTGTAGAGACAGGGTTTGCTATGTTGCCTAGGCTGGTCTCAAACTTCGGGCTCAAGCGATCGTCCTGCCTCGGACCCCCAAAGTTTGGGATGACAGGCGTGAACCACCACCCCTGGCTGAATCCAACTTGTGCTTCCTCCATAACTGACTTCTACCCAGCTGGTCGTAGTCCTTATGATCAGCCAGTCTCATGGACTCTGAGTGCCTCACCTTCCATGAGAGTCCTTTGCAGCCAGCAAAGGGAAGAAATTAATCTTAGGTCTTCCTGTACAGCCTGTGTTCAGCATCAGCTCAGGGGTGAGCGGATAGGGACCTTCAAGGAAGGGGGTGTGGAAGTTTAAGACCCAGAAAGGAAAGGACCTGAGTCAGGGGGAGGAAGAAGGATTAGCCTAGGAAGCATTTAATGGGGAGAGAAAGGAAACTCAGAAGGCTGAAAAAGTTGGCATTCAAACTGAAGCAACATTTGCTGAGTACGTTTCCTGTGCCAGGCATGGCAGTGTCTGTGCCTTCCAGGAGCTCCCAGGCCTGTGGGAGAGATAGATAAATTAGCAGGTAAATTGCTGAATAGTATTTGGTGAGGTCAGCTAGGGGCGGTAGCTCACACCTGTAATCCCAGAACTTTGGGAGGCTGCGATGGGTGGGTCACTTGAGGCCAGGAGTTCGAGACCAGTCTGGGCAACATGACAAAACCCCATCTCTACAAAAAATACGAAACAATTAGCTGGGCATGGTGGCACGTGCCTTTGGTCCCAGCTACTCAGGAGGCTGAGAATCACTTGAACCCGGGAGGCAGAGGTTGCAGTGAGTGGAGATCATGCCACTGCACTCCAGCCTGGGTGGCAGAGGGAGACTCTGTCTCAAAAAAAAAAAAAAAAAAAAAAAAAAAGTATTTGGCGAGTATGTGGGCAGGAGCCTTTAAAGGCCCAGAGGAATAGGACCTGGGAGACTCTGTCTCAAAAAAAAAAAAAAAAAAAAAAAAGTATTTAGTGAGTATGTGGGCAGGAGCCTTTAAAGGCCCAGTAACTTGGTCCAGGGAGGTGATGTTTGAGTTGGGTCTTGAAGGATGGGTAGGAGTTTGCCAGCCAGGCAAAGCTAGTAGTAGCAGAGCCAAAATTTAAACCTGAACAGTCTGGCTCCAGACTCTGTGTTCTTTCCTGCAGCATGCTTGGCCCTGCTGCCCTACAAGGCCTAGCCTTGGGAGGTGAGACTCTGGGTCCTGGGTCACTCCACGTGAGCCCTAGACCATTTTCCCATCCAATTCCTGCTTTTGCTCTTCACAAACTCCCACTCTCTCCCCCTTCTGCAAAGGTGGTTGGGAGTTGACTAGCCTTGTAGGCAGTCTGTGTCTCTCTAAGTGACTAGGATTTGTGGTGTGCTGAGAAGGGTACACAGATTCTACCCTCAGTTCTCCTGTGGCAGGTAGGAGGCACAGACAGACAGAGAAGCATTTCCTGGTTTGTTTTTCCACTGTTTGCCCCGAGCACATGAACTGTGCTTTGCATAAGGCACCTCCTCAGATCATTGCAACAACCCTGGCAGGTAGAGGTAATTTACTGCCGTTTTAAGCATGAGAAAGGTGACTCACAGAGGTTGAGCCATGTGTCCAAGGTCACACAGCTAAGCCAGTAAGTAGAGGGACTGGAATTTGCACCTCAATCTAACTGCAAGGCCTGTACTCGTGTTTTTAAGCCATCAGGAAGAATACCAGGTTATGAAGGCCACGCCCCTTTCTGGTGAGTCTCACCTCTGTGCTGGTAATCAGGACACCCAGGAATTGCAAGTCGGCGGTAGCAAGCATAAGGTTGCATTGATTTCAGTGCTTCTCAACGGACATGTGCATGAGAATCATCAGGAATGCTGGTTACAAATGCAAGTTTCATTGCCCTCATCCTAGAGGTTCTAACTCAGTAAGTGTCGGGGGGAGGGTCCAGGAACCTACATTTCCAGCAGAATGCCTGATTCTGATGCTGGTGGACCATAGAATATGCTAGAAATCTAATTTATTACATGTCTTCTCTGGGTCCAACACTATCCTGGGCATTTTATTTGGTCACTTCAGCCATCAGAACATCGCCTGGTAGGGGGAATGGATGCAAAGGGAGGTGGGAGTCTAGAGAGAGATTCGCAGCAGTCATGATGAACAGCCAGCATGTCCATTCCACCTTTAGATCAATTGGATAAGGAAACTGAGGCTCAGAGAGGCGGTACCTTGCCCAAAGCTTGTGGTGGCAGAGCTGGGATTAGAAAGCAGACCCTCAGCAGCCGAGGCCTGTGTTCCTCCTAATACCCAACGTGGTTGCTTTTGCAGACTTCCACACAGAGATTCTTTTTTTTTTTTTTTTTTTTTTCGAGATGGAGGTTCGCTCTTGTTGCTCAGGCTGGAGTACAGTGGAGTGACCTCAACTCACTGCAACCTCCATCTCCCAGGTTCAAGCGATTCTTCTGCCTCAACCTCCTGAGTAGCTGGGATCACAGGCGCCCGCCACCATGCCTGGCTAATTTTTTGTATTCTTAGTAGAGACATGGTTTCACCATGTTGGCCAGGCTGGTCTGGAACTCCTGACCTCAGGTGATCCACCCACCTCGGCCTCCCAAAGTGCTGGGATTACAGGCGTGAGCCACTGCACCTGGCCTACACACAGATTCTTGGGGACATCTGCCAAATATCAGCATAGGTAAATGTGGGATGATCAGTGGTGGCAATATCTACCATTTACTGAGGACCCACTATGTGCCAGGCACAAGGTCTAGAATGGTTAGCAAGCAGGCATGGTCTTGGACAGTTGCACAGATCTCTAACTATAAGCAGGTTGCTATGGGAGTTTATGTCAGAGGAGCCATCCCTGGCAGAGAGCAGGAGCAGGGAAGACATCCCTGAGGAAGAAGGATTTGAGAAGAGATCTGAAAGATGTGTTAAGTGTTAACCAGGCAAATAAATGGAGAGAAAAAGAGTCTAGGCTGTGAGAACAGCATGTGCAAAGGTCCTGGGGTGAGTGACCTATAGCAGCAATCTCCAACCTTTTTGGTGCCAGGCTTCGTGGAAGACAATTTTTCCATGGACAGGGTGTGAAGAATGGTTTCCCTTATGAGAATCTAACTAAGCCCGATGATCTGAGGTACATGAAACTGTTCCACCTCAGTTCATGTTAGTTAGATTCATCACCTTAGTTAGATTCTCATAGATTCTCATAGGAATGCACAGCCTAGATCCCTCGCACGTGCAGTTCACAATAGGGTTCGCGCTCCTACGAGAATCTAATGCCACCGCTGATCTGACCGAAGGCAGAGCTCAGGCGGTAATGTCCACCCACAGCTCACCTCCTGCTGTGCGGCCCGGTTCCTAACAGGCCATGGACTGGTACTGGTCTGAGGCCCGGGGGGCTGGGGACCCCAGCTGTGTAGCTGGAGTAGAGAGGAAGGGTGAAGCTGAAGGGTGGTCAGGGCTGGGTCCCGCAGGGCCGTGCAGACCAGGTGAGGCTTTATTTTCCTCTATACCAAAAGACTCCATTTGTGCCCTCAAAGTAAGAAAAGGCAAAAATGTGTAACAAGCAGGGTGGAGGTCTCCCGGTTCTCGAAGGGGTGTCAGCAGGGAGCTAAGATGATCCAACTTGACTTGAGTGGGGAGGGCAAGAGTGGCATCAGAAAATGGTGGTGGCTTTGCCCAGGCCAGTGGTAGTGGTGAGGGAGAGGCAGACAGAGAAACTGAGTAGAGTGGGCAGGGCCTGGTGATTGATTGGAGTGGGGCAGGGGATCAGCCCGTCGCTTTGACAAATGAGAAAACAGAGCCCAGAAAGGTTGCATGAGCCACCGGAGTCACACAGTCCAAGCGTTAGAGCCAGACGCTAAGCTGGAGCCTCCCATCCCAGGGCCTTCCAGCCAAACATGGACTCCAGGCCCCAGATTCCTGGCAGCTGCTCTGGCAGAGTCCCTCTTCCCAGTCTCCTGGTGGCTTCGTCCCTCCCCATGCCCTGCTGCCTGCAGAGTCTGGCAGCTTCAAGGGAGTGGGGTGCTTTGAAGCATCTACAGGGAGGGCAGTGCTGTGACCTCCAAATTCTTTCCATGTGACCTATGCGACCCCAGCGAGACCAGGGCCCTCAGGACCCTGCCCTCCCCAGGCTTTGACGGAGTCCACAGAGGTGGGGTTTAGGGGCCAGAGCCACTGTGCAAACACAGCCCCTTGCTGGGGAGCGGGGGTGTTTCCAGGGACCCGAGCTGATGCCCTGTCATGAAGAGAAAGGAGACGCAGGGGCCAAAGGCTGGGGAGACCCTCTCTGTGCTCAGTGGGGTCTCCCCAGCAGCGGGGAGCTGCTTCCCCATCCAGGCTCCGTAACTGCAGGCTGCTGGCTGCTGTCTTAGGATTTCTGTTTTCTTCCCTGATGTCACCCCAGTTGGCACCTAAGACCTCTGAGATGCTGCTCAGTTAAATGGATTCTTAGCTCTGCAGGCCTCGCCCCACCTCCCTACGCTGCTCCAAACCATCCCCCTCCTGAAACCAGAAATATAACCCCCCTATTATGAACCTCATCTCCTCGAACCTGAGCCCCTATTTTCCTTAAGATTTGGATCTCTCTTTGGGGTTCAGGCCCCCCTTTTTTCTCACTAGGTTCTAGGACCTGCTTCCTGCTTAGGCACCTTCTTCTCCCTGGACCCCTTCTTCACCCTTAGACCCTGGACCTGGGTCTGATCCCTCTCTGGGGACTGGAGGCTCTGCTGTCTTAGAGACCAGCACCCCCGACACACACACCCCACGGTCTCCCAGGTTTCTCTAACCCCCAGGGGCTTCACCCTTCTCAGCTTGACACACAGTAGGCACTCAAGAGACAAGCTTGATCCTGCCACCCCTTCTCCCAGCCCTCCCCATTTGTGGCCCCTCCTGTACCTCCCCACCCTCCCCCGCATGGGTATTTTTGCTCAGGGAGCTCGTGCTGTGTGGCAGCTGAGTCTGGGAAGCAGCTATTGTTGGCTGAGAACGTGGGGCGGCAGAAGGATGGGGGCTGAGAGGAGGCAGGAAACATGCTCATAGGTCCAGGCCCAGCCCCCTGGTCCCCACACCCCACTGGGTCCAGGTGAGGCCATTTTAGGACAAGTCAAAGAAAGCCCCCTTCCCACAGCCGGGAGCTCCGTTGTGGAAATCACTGCGCTAGGGGAAGCTGGCAGCAAGTTTGGAAACAAGGTGGCTGGCGAAAGTGCCACCGGCAGCTTCGGAGAGCAGCCGGGGCACCCCTTGAGCCTCTGGGTGGCGTCGGGACAGTAGGCAGGACTCCCTGTGTGTTGATGCTCTGCTGCCGCCCCTTCTCGTTGCTTCTCGTACCTGTTTCATGTCTGCTCCGTGGAGCAGGAGGTGGGAACCACAATTTATTGAGCATTAACTTTGAGCTAAGCTGTGTGCTGAGCAATGAATGCATTGACTCAATTCATACCTCAGTCAGCTCCAAGGAAGTGGGTCCTATTGTGTCCCCATTTAATAGGTGAGGAGGCTGAGGCTTGGTGAGGTGAGGTGACTCGGCCAAGGCCACACAACTCCTGACTCTGTTTTTGCAGGCTTCTGTAGAGCATCTGACTTCAAGGCTGAGTGTGTTTTGCTTGTGGCTGAAAAAGACCAGGGACAGCGAGGAGGGAGGAGGCCAGCAAAAGAGGATGAGAAGCCTGCATGGGGAGCAGGGAGTGCCCTTTCTGGTGTGGGGACAGGCAGCTGGAAGCAAATTTCAATCTGGATGAGGAACTGGCACTGTTCTGTCCTCTGGCCCCTCTTGCCCCTTAATTGTGACGTTACTTCTCACCGCTGAAGGGGAACCGCTCGAGACGCTGGCTTGTCCTGGCACCTGCCTTGAGCAGAAGCTCAGAGAAAGATGCATGGAGGGAAAGAGTGGGGAGCAGAAACAAGCCATCAGGTACCAGGTTGGTGGTCCTGGAGCCAGTTTATGGTTCATCTAGTCACAAGGGCCCCGTCTCTGTGTTTAGTGTCAGCTAATGAAGAAATTGAATCCAGTACACAAAATTGGATTTTGCAGTTTTGCAACCAGTCTCAACCCCCCTCTATTGTGTAACGTGTTTCTTTAGAGAAGGAAACCCACAACAAAACATGTGTGCTTTCCTCCTGGCGACCTCTGATACCTCCATTGAAGACATGGCTTAACGAGAACTGTTTTTCTCCTTCTTTCGTGATTTGTGACTTTTCTTGCAGGCTCCAGGTGGCAGTGAGTCAGCCATAAAGCTCGTTCAGGAAAGTCCAGAGGAATTTTTCTTCTGCATCAGGTTCAACTTGAGCAGTGCTGGGTGACGCCCAGTGACACACTCGGTTGGGGAAGGAGAGGCTGGCACACTCCACTAGCTGCTTATCTCTGCCACCTCCGCCTCCATTTGTCCCTGGCTTCCTGGGGCCCAGAGCCATCTCTGCCAGAGCAGGGAGGCCGATTAAGTGACCCGCGGGCTCCTTCTGCCTGACTCAGCTCAGCTCCAGCCCTCTCTGGGGAGAATGAGTCATTTTTTCAACCCTGAAATGTTTCTCTTCATGTGGGAAAGGGGCGGGGGTGGGGAGAGCCCCTCCTGGTCCTCTCCAAACTTGTTCCTCAGCTCTGAGGGACACTTCAGCCACAGACAAAGGGATTCTAGGGCAGCTCTGGAGAGGGCAGTCAGACCTGAAGTCAGTAAACCACAGCTGTGGCAGCCGTTGGAGTCTCCCTGGACAGAAGCACACTGGGCTGAGTGGGTGGAGTGTCCCTGTCAGTCCCGCACTGATGGATGGTTTCTCCCTTGGGGATGGGCCTCTGCCCCCTGCTTCCTCTGCCCACCCAGTTAAGAAGCTATATGAGCCCGGGTGTGGTGGTGCACATCTGTAGTCCCAGCTACTTGGGAGGCTGAGGCAAGAGGATCGCTTGAGCCCAGGAGGTCAAGGCTGCATGAGCTATGGTCGAGGCTGCATGGGCTATGGTCAAGGCCGCACTCCAGCTTGGGCAACAGAGTGAGACCTTGTCTCTTTAAAAACAAAACAGGCCGGGTGAAGTGGCTCATGCCTGTAATCCCAGCACTTTGGGAGGCTGAGGCAGGTGGATCACTTGAGGTCAGGAGTTTGAGGTCAGCCAGACCAACATGGCAAAAACCCATCTCTACTAAAAATACAAAAAAATTAGCCGGGCATGGTGGTGCATACCTGTAATCCCAGCTACTCAAGGAGGCTGAGGCAGGAAAATAGCTTGAAACCCGGGTGGTGGAGGTTGCAGTGAGCCGAGATTGCACCATTGCACTCCAGCCTGGGCAATGGAGTGAAACTATGTCTCAAAAAAAAAAAAAAAAGAAAGAAAATTGCCCCCATCTCCCATTTTCTGTCTCCCTTCACTACCTCATTGCTCCCCTTAGCCCCTCCCACAGTCTAACATGCTGCATATTTGATTTGTCTTATTTATTCTGTCTCCTACTAGCATATAAGTTTCATGAAGGCAAGGCTTATTTTATTTTATTTTATTTTATTTTATTTTATTTTTAGTTTTTTGGGACGGGGTGCCACTCCGTTACCCAAGCTGGAGTGCAGTGGCACAATCACAGCTCTTTGCAGTCTCGAACTCCCAGGCTCAGGTGATCCTCCCATCTCAGCCTTCCAAAGTGCTGGGGTTACAGGCATGAACACTGCACTTGGCCCAAAGGCAAGGATTTTGTCTGTTTTGTTTCCTGCTATATCTGTCGAGAACAGTGCTAACACGTAGTAGGCACACGATTTTAAAGAGGGTAAGAGGAAAATGAATGAGTGAATGGATGTGAGCCCCTGGCAGAGTATCCGGCCTGCAGTCAGGGCTATTGTGTATTTTGATCCATAACCCTCCCCCCGCCGGTTCCAGCTGTGTTGTTCTGGGAGGCTAGGGCCTTTCTCCACCTACGCCCTCAAGGTCAGCTTATCCACTCTTGAGGTTTCATGCTTAATTTTTATATTTGAGCTTCTCATACCAGTGTGTGAGATTGCCCTGGGGATCAGAGTAGGGTACTTGCATCATAAAATAAAAAGGTACTATTTTGGAGCAGAATGCAGAATTGGCATGAATTTTTGAGATTCAAAAGGAAATGAGACTTAAGCTTTTTTCACAGCTTTTAGCTGTGTCCTCAGTCCTGCCAGGGCACAGGTTGACTCTCCTCTGCCATGTGGGTGCTTTGGGAAAGTGTAAGCAGCCTTGTTTTTGGAAATGACCCCAACCCCTGAGCCCTGGGACCTGCCCTCCCTCCAAAGCCCCAGTGAGGGGTTTTCACCAAACATGCACAAATTCCAGCAGAGGGCGGATCCATGTGCGTCCTCTTCCGGGGGCCATGCCCACTTCCCTTCCCGGCCTCCCCGTTTCTTTCTCTCAGCAGAGTGCTAGATCAGAACCTCTTGTCCTTCCTGACAAGAGGCCCTTGTCTGTCTGCCCCCTTTCCTGTGCCTCTCCTCTCCATCGCTGGGTTTTCTTGTCCTTTTCCCCAGCTAGGTGGTTAGATCAACTTCCAACCCCTCAGGGCCAAACAGTGCCACCACACTGGTGTCCCCATCCCCTATGCCAGCAGTGGCACTGCCATTTTGGTCACAGGCCTGGGGCCCTGGAGTGTGACACATGTGGGGGGCCTGGCACAGCCCCAACCTGTGCCTCAGCCTGCGCCTTGCACTGGCCAGGTGAGAAGGGCTGGTTGCTCTCCTGCCCCCAAAGAACCCACTGGTGTTTCCATGGCAACTGTGCAGCCAGGCTGCCTGGGCGTCTGCTGGGCTAAGGGCTACCAAGTCCTCCACAAGGTGCCCATGGTTGTGGGAATGGAAGCATTTGCTAGAGGTGGGTGGCACTGACCTGTCCCCAGCCGTTAGGGAGGGAGCTGCACTCCGGGCTCAGGTGGGGTGTGGGGTCTCCTGGTTTTATCCACACCCCCATCCCCACTCCATCTCACTGAGAAGCCGCCTTGCCACTTCTTTCTGAGCCCCTGTTTCTTCATCTGTAAAAGGGGCATATAATGCTGACTTCAGAAGTTGTTCCAGCTCCTGACATGAGCCAGGTGGGGCAGCAGTGAGGGAGCTTCAGGCAGAGGAGGAGGGAGACAAGACCAGACCAAAGGGTGGCCGGGGACGCAGCTCTGTTTCATTCGGACCTGGGAATCACACCAACTGGCCCCTTCCAAGCGGTCTTAGATCCTGAGGAAGCATTCTTCCCTCTCTCAGCCTCAGTTTCTCCTTCTCTAAAATGAAAATAGGGTGGGCACGGTGGCTCATGCCTGTAATCCCAGCACTTTGGGAGGCCAAGGTGGGTGGATCACTTGAGGTCAGGAGTTCGAGATCAGCCTGGCCAACATGGTAAAACCCTGTCTCTACTAAAAATACAAAAATTAGCCGGGTGTGGTGGCACGTGCCTCTAATTCCAGCTACTTCGGAGACTGAGGCAGGAGAATCGCTTGAACCCGGGAGGCAGAGGTTGCAGTGAGCCGAGATTGCGCCATTACACTCCAGCCTGGGCAACAGAGCGAGACTCCATCTCAATCAATCAATCAATCAATCAATCCTGTGTGACAGGACTGCAGAAAGAATGGAGAAAGATAATAAGTGCATGACAAGCCTGGTGCCTGGCCCAACACACCGTAGGTGCTCATTCCATATTGATTACTTGTGAAGGCACCCATGGGCCACTGCACTGGAAATTGTCTTTCCTGTGGTCAGGCCTAGGTCCCCAACAGACCCTCTTCCAGGACATGGCTGCTGGGGGCCCCAGGGCTGCTCCTCCCAGTGGAGAATTCCTCTTATGTTATTCACACAGAGATTTCCCCAGGAAGTCTGAGCCCCTCTTTGTGTATCTTCCCAGCTGTTATCTGGGCCTCCTGAAGGCCTGCCTGGCTTTCTGGTTTATGTTAGGGTTGTTTATATGGGGTCTTATCTCTCCCAGGAGCAGGGGCCAGCCTGGGGAGCAGCAAGATTGTGGGCTTTGAGTCAGAGCAACCTGGGTTTGAGTCCCCAGCTCCGCCACGCACTAGCTCTGGGACCCTTGGCAAGTGACACCACCTCTTGGAACCTCGGTTTCCTCCTCTGTAAAGTGGGGATGGTAGTACCTCCAGCACAGGGTGATCATGAAGATTATGTGGGAAAATATCTGCGCGGTGCCTGGCATGGGTTAAATGATGAGTTACAGACAGCTCCTTTCCCCTTTTCCAAACCAGGAGGTTCTGCAGCAGCAGGATCCTAGAGGCTCAGACCCAGGGCAAGGGAAGACCATCACAGCTCCTCAAGGCACCACCTCGGCAGTAGGCAGGGGAGGCTGCACAGCCGAGCTCCACGCTGCTGGCAGCTCCCAGGACTCCATGGCCTAGAGGAGGCTGGGGACCTCAGGAACCCTCCGCAGAATGAAGGAAGGGTGGGGAAGAAAGACACAGAGATGAGGCTGCGGCCCCTATAGGAGCTTGGGTGAGTGTGGAAGATAAGAGCACAGGCTCTGGAACAGACACGTGCGTCCTTCAGGGAGCTGTGTGACCCCCTGTGAGTGACTCAACCTCTCTGAGCCTCAGTTCCCTGTCTATGCAAATGAAGGATGATGGCATACCATATCTCCTGGGGTTGCTGCGAGGCGTTGATAATACATGGAAAGTGCTTAGCACAGTCTGGCCAAGAATTTTCTACTTATTTTTAGGTTGTATTCTCAGGACCCACTGACTTCTGGCCAAACTCTTCAATTACTCATAAAACAGTATTAAATTTTTTTTAAAAAGCTTATTTCTCCAGCACCTTCCATGAGCCCTGCAGGCAACGTGCTTAGCGCCTACCTCTCATTATCCCATTTGATCGTAGCAGTCCTCTGTGGGGTTGGCCCTGTCACCATCCCCATTTTATAAATGAGAAGTCCGGTGACCTGTTTGAGCCCATACAGCTGTTGACGGCTGGAGCCTGGAGATAGTCGTGGGCGGGGTTAGTGTCTCACCAGGTATCAGCTGGACGCAGCAAACCTCAAACAGAATCCATGGGGAGAATCTGTGAATGAGCTTGTCCAACCTGCGGCCCGTGGGCCGCATGTGACCTGGGATGGCTTTGAATGCGGCTCACCACAGATTCATAAACTTTCTTAAAACATTCTGAGATTTATGCATGCACCTTTGTTTTTTAGCTGATCGGCTATCGTTGGTGTATTTTATGTGTGAC
The DNA here is from genome assembly GCF_000001405.40 of Homo sapiens. Classification (NCBI taxonomy): domain Eukaryota; kingdom Metazoa; phylum Chordata; class Mammalia; order Primates; family Hominidae; genus Homo; species Homo sapiens. The sequence goes on along the minus strand of NC_000001.11, from coordinate 21,319,987 downwards.
CCAAGACAATATTTCTTACATTGTGGCCCAGGGAAGTCAAAAGATGGGACGCTGCTGCCGAGTGTAAACAGAAGATCTGGAGTGGGGTGGGGACACCTGTGGACTCAAGACAGCCTGGGTGGCGAGTGGTGTGTGGGGGCTGGCACTAGAAGCCATGGGACCGCGTGTGTTTGTTCAGCCTGTCTCAGCTGAACTAATGTAAACACCCAGACTGCTTGTTGGCCCTCTGGGGGACCAAGACAAACTAGGGAACAGTGAGCCGTGCCTCCCGGTGCCTGGTAGGGAGTGGCGAGAATGAGGAGCCAGGTCTCAGGAGAGGCTGAGGAGAGTTGGACAGGGATGGAGCCTGGCTTTCCTGCCCAGTTCACAGAGGGGAGGGCACAGCTGCTGGCTTGGAGGGCTCCCAGGAAGGCCAGGAGCAGAAAGTCTGAGAAGCAGATTGGGGGCAGCAGAGGGAGTCTGGCCCTTGGTGCCGGGGGTGCCCTGGTGGACAGAGGTGGGGGCAGCATGGAGCCGGCATTTATGGAGGCCCTAGTATGTACCAGGCCATTTAGACACGAGGTCTTATCATGTCTCTAGAAAAGCCCTGCGTAGTCCACTTTATGATTATGATTATGATTATGATTATGATTATTATTATTTTGAGACGGAGTCTCGCTCTGTCTCCCAGGCTGGAAAGCAGTGATGCGATCTCGGCTCACTGCAACCTCCACTTCCCGGGTTCAAGCGATTGTCCCACCTCAGCCTCCCAAGTAGCTGGGATTATAGACGCACACCACCACGCCTGGCTACTTTTTTGTATTTTAGTGGAGACGGGGTTTCACCATGTTGCCCAAGCTGGTCTCGAACTCCTAAGCTCAGGCAATCCACCCACCTTGGCTTCCCAAAGTGCTTGGATTACGAGCTTGAGCCACCGTGCCTGGCCTCACTTTATTATTTTGACTTAGCTGATGAGAAAACGGAGCCCGGGAGATTGTACAGACCCAGCTCCACTGAAAACCCACAGAATTTGGCTTCCTGGGAGGGTGAGTTTACGGAAGCATTTTCGGATAGTATTCCTTCGCATCTGCCTCTGCTGACGTCACATTTCCCATGCTGACTTTCTTCTGACCCTCGCTCAGCGTCTCCCCCGACAGAAGTGCGGCCTCTGGGGAGCTGTAGCTCTTGCTGCAAATCCCCTCCCCCGTCCGCTTTTTGGCACACTGCCTGGGGGCCTGGCCAGGCTGAAGTGACTGTCAGGTCGGGTTAGCTCCTTGGAAGGCTGGTGTGACCAACTCAGGGGTGTCGCCTGCCTCTCACCCAGGGAGGAGGATTTTGCCACCTCTGCTTGGATAGGCTTGTGAAGTGGGCCTCAGGAAGGCTCACTGGTTCTAAATCTTCAAAAAATGGGATTTTAGAAGTTGCTAAGGCCTGAAATATCACCCCACCCATTTTACAGATAGAGAAACTGAAGCCCAGAGCGGAGAAATGTCTGCCCCAAAGACAGTGAGAGGCTGAGGCACAAGGGAGGGGAGGTCTCCAGGGAGGACACCCCTAGGCCAGGCTGACCTTTGTTAAGGGAGTGGGACAGGGTCAGGAAAGGGCAGGGATGAAGGAAATAAGTTCCCCAACTGCGTCATGACCTGAAACCCAATTTCACAGCTGCTCCCACTCTGCTGCCCTCCCCAAGCTGTGCCCTGGAAATGTCCTTGGGCCCTCAGGAACGCTGATCAGTTCCTGCACATGCGCCAGCAGGGTACTTGTTTCATTGGGTTTGGGTCTCTGCGAGTCCACACGAGGGCCTCCTGCTCCCCACTTGCCACGCCAGGTCTTGCCCACTGCTCTCCCCCACCGTTTCCCTCACTCTTGTTCATCTCCGAGTCCAACAGCTATCACTTGAGTTGTGCAGAGCTGGGAAGAATCGTTTAACCGTCACAGCAGCCAGCGAGGGGACCTCGTCCATGCCGTCTGATACCTTCAAGGTGCACCTTGGAGGGGCAGGCCCTGCTTTGCATGTGTTTTGTCCCCACTTCGAGAAAGAGATCGCGGTGGCTCTGATTTAAGTTCAAGAACATTGGGGTCACACCCCGAGCCTGGATTTGAACCAGGAGACAGACACTGGCACCCCACACCTTCGGCCACACCTGCTAAAGCCAGGGACCTACAGAAGTCACATGACCTGTCTGAGCCTGCACAGCTCTTGACTGCCCTGACCCACTCGTGCGTCTCCAGAGGATCTGTTTGGATGCAAGGTGGTTAGGACCCCACCTTGAGTTGGGGAGCAGGGGCTCAGGAGAGGCCGAAGAGAACTGGGCAGGAATGGAACCGGGCTTTCCTGCCTAGCTCACAGAGGGGAGGGTGTGGCTGCCAGCCTGGAGGGGTCCCAAGAAGGCCAGGAACACAAAGTCTGAGAAGCGGGTGGGGAGCAGTAGAGGGGCTCCAGCCAGCCTGGGCCCATGACTCCATCCCGGTCAGGGGACCAAGATTGCTCAATCCCCAGAGCTGCAGATGCGTCACCAGCTCAGCGTCGCCGCGGGCTGGACTGGCCTTGTGACAAGCAAACCCTTTTCCCCATCTGAGGCCTGCGAGCTGGCCTTCCCCTCTGTCTGTTCATTTTGGGAGACCCTCCCAACAGCAGCAGGAACAATGGCAGCCACCGGATGCCAGGCCCTTTGCAGACACGACCTTGTTTAATTCTCAGAAGAGTCCCGGGAGCTAACAGTGGGCGATAGGATTCCCACTTCACAGAGAAGACTAGGATCGCATGGCAGCAAAGCACAGGGCTGGCTCGAAGCCCAAGTCTGTCTGACCTATTCTGGTGGGTAGCAAAATATCTCAGACATATTAAAAGCATCAGGCTCAGTAAAACCAAACACTGGTATGTAAGTGTTCAGCTTAAGGAATAAAACATCCCAAATGCAGTTGAATCCCCCATACCCCCACACCCCCAGTCCGTTTCTTACCACTCTCTCTCCCAGGGGAAGAGACTGGGAGAGACTCTTCAGTGACTGTCTTGATACTGTTACTCCTGACCTCAGGTGATCCGCCCACCTCGGCCTCCCAAAGTGCTGGGATTACAGGTGTGAGCCACCAAGCGCAGCCTGATTCTGCCTCCCTAAATGATACATAGGTATGATGTTGCTCACTGTTTTTGAACTTTCAATAATTGATTGGAGGCTCCATGTTGACTTCTGCAGCTTTTCTGTCTTCCTGTTGTTTGAGTTGCAGCCACTTGGTTTTCATTACCGTGTAGTATTCCATCCCATGATGTGGCTCTCCTGTGGTTTATCCAGGCTCCTATAGATGGGCATTTAGGCTGTTTCTCATTCACAACCACAGCACATGCTGTGTGGGACTTCCATATTCATGTCTCTTGGCGACCACAGGAGAGTTTCTAAGAAGTATGTGTGTTATGTATGTTAAGAACTGGAATCAGGCCGAGGATGGTGGCTCACACCTGTAATCCCAGCACTTTAGGAGGCCGAGACGGGTGGATCACCTGAGGTCAGGAGTTCGAGATCAGCCTGGCCAACATGGTGAAACCCCATCTCTACTAAAAAAAAAATACAAAAATTAGCTCAGTGTGGTGGCGCACGCCTGTAACCCCAGCTACTCAGGAGTCTGAGGCAGGAGCATTGCTTGAACCCAGGAGGCAGAGGTTGTAGTGAGCCGAGATCGTGCCACTGCACTCCAGCCTGGGCAACAGAGCAAGACTCTTTCTCAAAAAACAAACAAACAAACAAAAAACTAGAATCAGATAAACCCACGGCATCATGGGATTCCTCACTGAGAGAACAGGCCAACAATATTGGGGTTGCTGTTCTGAGGGTGAAAAACCCCTTAAGGACAGTAATGTTCTTCTGATTTGCTGCTGTAAACAGCACCAAGAACAGTGTCTGGCGCATTGTGTGCGTGTAGTAAATCTGTTCCCTAGACAAGAGGACATGTGCCAGCTACTGTGGCAGGTACTCAACTTACACAGCCGCACTCAGTCACTGTGAGGAGGGGTTCTCCCAAATCACAGGTAAGCTGACTGTGGCACCAGAGAGGTTAAGTCCCATTCTTAAGGTCCTACAGCCGGTACCCAGGTTGACTGACTCCAGAACCAGCACTCTTTCCTGACGCTGCCTGTGTAGACAGAGGGAGTGGATTCATAGAGCCCTAGAATCCTAGAATATGGGGAAAATAGGGCCAGCTTTTTTTTTTTTTTTTTTTTTTTGAGACAGAGTCTTGCTCTGTCACCCAGGCTGGAGTGCAGTGGCACACAGCTCACTGCAACCTCTGCCTCCTGGGTTCAAGTGATTCTCACACCTCAGCCTCGCAAGTAGCTGGGATTACAGGCATGCGCTACCACACCTGTCTAATTTTTGTATTTTTAGTAGAGATGGAGTTTCACCATGTTGGCCAGGCTGGTCTCAAACTCCTGACCTCAAGTGATCTGCCTGCCTTGGCCTCCCAAAGTGCTGGGACTACAAACCTGAGCCCCCATGCCCGGCCAGGAGCAGCTTTTAATGCCTAGTTGCCTATATACAAGCCCCTAGGACTTTCCAGGTTGTCCTAGACGCCGTGAGGGTGAGGTGGCACCAGCTGGTAGATCACCTTTGGCCTGGGATACCCCAGACATTGGGGCTGAGTGACAGCTCATCTCTGAGGTTGATCCATTGGGGAACTGCAAAGGTTGGGACCCCAGTAGGCATCGGATTCAGCTGCAGTTGGATGGAGGTGGCAGCCTGAACCAACCAAAGAATTATTTGCTTGGGACATGAGCAGACCTGGGCTCAAATTACAGATCTGCCACTTATTAGCTGTGTGATTTTAGGCAAGCCTCTTAACCTTTCTGAGCCTTATCACCCCCATCTGTTAAATAGGTATTGACTCTGGCTTGCAGAGAGATAGATTTGAAATTAATGAGTGTGACAGTCTTAACACAGTGCCTGGATAGTAGTTATTAATTACAGTACAAGGGAGGGTTTTCTACTGGGGATACATACAAATCACTACAGATACATACAGATGGGGCAGCATGGGACACAGAGGAAGACTTCATAGAGGAGATGACATTTCATCTGGGTTTTGGAGGGTGAATAGGAGTTCTCCAAGCCAAGAAGCAGACCATAGGTCAAACAGTTTCTATGCGTCCTGGACTAGATTTGGTATTGAGAGGGATAAGCACAGTGTTGTTTACAAAAACAACAACAAACAAACTCAAGTTGCTTGCAGTAGATAAAGATACATGATCCCATGGAAATGGCACAGGCCAGGTACTGACTGAATAGACAAAGAATCAGTGGCGTTGGGGTCTTAGGAACACGTGAAAGCTGTGAGCCAGGACAGTCAGGAAGTTCCCTGGAGGGGAGGTTGGATTTAGATGACAAAGGAAGATGGAGAGGGGCTGTCTGACCCTTGATTTCCTGACTGGGCTGGGTTAGGAAAGGGGTCACCCAGCTTGGCAAGGGGCTGGGGACATACCTAGTAGGTTCTGTCAGAAGCCCCACTGTGTCCCTGTCACCAGGGCTGGGGCCGATCCCTGCCTTGGAAGAAAAGAAAAGTTGTTCCTAATTGTTAATTGTGCAATGGCAGATTGGCTCCCGAATGGGACTGAACTGAGCCAAGCCCTGGAGGGAGAGGAGGAGCTCAGGCTGTATCACTACCGAGCCAGGAATTTGGGGGCCCGGGAGGGGGTTTGGGAATGTGGCTGCGTGAGTGTCCCAGGAAGGGCCTAGCCAGCGCCCCCTTCCCAGAACTCCCACGCCATTCTGCAGGCTCCCATAATGCCTGAGTATCGGGTAGAAATTGGGTTCAAATTTGATCCCATCTTTTTACCAGCTGTGCAACCTTGGACTTGTTACTTAACCTCTCTGTGTCTCTTATTCCACATCTTTCACGTGGGGTTGCTGTTATGGTTAATTAGAAAACACACGTAAAGTGCTTAGCACGGAACCTAGAATGAAGTCATTGCTCAAGATGTGGCTTTTGCTGGTGCCATGTCGTTGGTGTTACCGTTTAGCAGCTGCAGCCTCAGCACTGTCATCATTGCCCCTACATCTGTAACCCAGGCCACACTACTGCTCAGGTTGAACCCAGGGTCATTCCAGCTGCTCGTACCCGTTCTCCGTGAGCCGGGACATTCCTGTGCCACAGGCATTACCTTGGCAGTGCCTCTCTTTAGGAGGCAGCACTTGAATTCCCCATGTGCCTTTTCATGGATTATCGCCTTAATTCCCACCATAGCCCAGTGAAGTAGGTTCACATGTCCCCATTTTATAGATGAGAACACATGCTCAGAGAGGTAAGGCAACTCACCCAGGGTCACACAGCAGTAAATTACAGAGAGTCCAGCTGAGGTCTGTCTGTTCCAGAACCTTTGTTCTTTCCACTCCAAGGTTGAGGGAGCAGCTTGTTCTCATTGGATCTGAGCCTGGTGCTCAGCCCCCTGCTCCCCCACTCCCACCTGCATCATGTATTCCTCTCCCTAGTTCTCATCCCCGCCCAGCTCTGCTCTGGGCCTGGGACCACTCTGGACCAAGACTGCAGCTAGGGCAGCTCCTGTCCTCCTGAGCCAATGCAGTCATCATTCCCCCACTGTCAGCTGGAATCAGCCCTCCTCTCCCCAGCCAGGCGTTTCCTCCCGGGCTCCCTCCATCCCCCCAGGCAAGCATGACACATGTGTCTTGAGGGGGATGGAGTGTACTGGGGACCAGATGGGAAGCTGAGCCTGGGGTGGGCTTGTCCAGCAGATATGCCTGGTCACCGAGGCAACGCCAGCTCAGCAGCATCTGGTTTGGCTGCAGGTCCACCCTGATTGGCTGGGGCTAGACAAGGGGAGTTGGCCTTGGCATTGTGGGCAGGTGAGGGGACAAGCACAGAGGCATCAGAGTCCAGGAGGGAATAGTGGGGCGCAGAGGGCAGAGTGGAAACAATAAGTAGTTTAGAGTCAGACAGACCTGGTGTCCAGTCCTGCCCTGTCACTTTCTGGCTGTGTGATCCAAGCAAGTCACTACCCCTCTCTGAGTTGCAGTTTTAGCATCTGCAAAATGAGAGACAATGATAGTATTTACCTTACATCTGCATGAGAGGATCAAATAGCAGTGCTGGTGATCACAATACTTTGTGTCTTTGAACTATTTTAATTCTCATAGCTACCTATGAGAGTGGGGCTATTATTAGCTTTGTTTTTTTAATGATAAACCAAGGCACAGGGAGGTCATATCACTTGCCCAAGTCAAACAAATAGTAGTAGGCAGAGCTGGGATTTGAATACAGGCGGTATAGACCCATGTCCACCACACTCCAGCCTGCTGCATCCTCCTACCTCTCAGTGACAGGACAGCACATGGGACACGTGCTGTGTCAGCTGGGGATGCTGCTTGCTCTTTTTATTTATTTATTTAAGAGACAGGGTCTTGCTTTGTCACTAAGGCCAGAGAGAAGTGGCGCAATCATAGCTCACAGTAACCTTGACCTCCCTGAGCTCAAGCGATCCTCCTGCCTCAGCCTCCTGAGTGGCTAGGATGATAGGTGTGTGCCACCACACCAGGCTAATTTTTTAAATTTTTAAAATTATTTTTTTGAGACAGGATTTTACTCTGTCTTTCAGGCTGGAGTGCAGGGATGCAATCACAGCTCACTGCAGCCTCAGCCTCCTGGGGCTCAAGCAATCCTCCCACCTCAGCCTCCTGAGTAGCTGGGACTACAGGTGCCCCCCACCATGCCCAGCTAATTTTTATATTTTTTGTAGAGACAAGGTTTTGCATTGTTTTCCAGGCTGGTCTTGAACTCCTGAGCTCAAGCGATCCTCCCGCCTTAGCCTCCTGAGTAGCTAGGACGATAGGTATGTGCCACCACACCAGACTAATTAAAAAAAAAATTTTTTTTTTTTTTTTTTTGAGACAGAATCTCACTCTGTCGCTCAGGCTGGAGTGCAGTGGCATGATCTCAGTTCACTGCAACCTCCGCCTCCTGGGTTCAAGCAATTCTTGTGCCTCAGCCTCCCCAGTAGCTGGAATTAGAGGCATGCACTGCCATGCCCGGCTAATTTTTATATTTCTAATAGAGATGGGGTTTCACCATTTGGCCAGGCTGGTCTTGAACTCCTGACCTCAAGTGATCTGCCCGCCTCAGCCTCCCAAAGTGCTGGGATTACAGGTGTGAGCCACTGTATCCGGCCAATTTTTTAAATTTAAAAAAATTTTTTTTTGAGACAGGATTTCACTCTTTCAGGCTGGAGTGCAGTGGCACAATCACTGCTCACTGCAACCTCAACCTCCTAGGGCTCAAGCAATCCTCCCACCTCAGCCTCCTGAGTAGCTGGGACTACAGATGTGCACCACCACGCCTGCTAATTTTTATATTTTTTTGTAGAGTTGGGGTTTTACAATGTTGCCCAGGCTGATCTTGAACTCCTGAGCTCAAGCGATCCTCCCACCTCGACCTCCGAAAGTGCTGGGATTGCAGGCATGAGGCACTACACCAGGCTAATTTTTTTTTTTTTTTTTTTTTGTGGAGACAGGGTCTCACTATGTTCCCCAGGCTGGTCTCAAACTGCTGGTCTCAAGCGATCCTCCTGCCTCAGCCTCCCAAAGTGCTGGGATCACAGGCGTGAACCCCCATGCCCGGCCCGCATGCTCTTTTCTCACTTGCCCTGGAAGCCTGCGCTGTTGGTGGTGCATGGGACACGCCTACTGAGTTTATAAATGGGTGGACAGAGGAGGGCACAGATGCTATGAACATTCCTGCATGTTGGGCAACAAAAGGGAGGCACTGGGGGTGTGACCCTGCAGGCCCTGTGGTGTGGGCAGCCAGCCAGACCCAGCCATGGCCCTGAGCTGGCCAGGGAGCCCCACTCTGAAAACAACAGCCCCCATTCATCAAGTCCCTATTGTGTGCCACACACTTTGTCTACATTCTCTCATTTCATCCTCACTACCAGCCTGATTGCCCACGATGGCAGAATGTGTCTTTGACAGAAGCTGGTTTTGAATGTAGGTCCAGCTTTCCTCACAGGGGCACTGAGCTGGGGCCATCTCTTGCCTCCTGAGGGGTGGGTGATGGTTTCCTTGTCAACATGTTTTTGTAGGATATGTTGCTGATTGTGGGTTGAGGGAGGAGGCTGCAGGGTAGGGTTGGAAGAGCCTAGATGAAGATTTTCATCCTGGTTGGCCCCTTACACAACCCCTTCTATTCCTTGATCCTTCGTTTTCTTCGTTCGTCAAAAGTAGTTTATGATCAGGGACAGAGCAGAGGGCTGGGAGAGCCAAGGTGACCAGAGTCTTGGCCCTTTAAGACTTCATCGTCCAGTGGCAGGGACAGTCACCCATACCCAAGTACCCAAATCATCCCTGGAAGCTCGGGTGGGGTCTGCTGGGGGTGTGTGCAGAGTGCAGTGAAAGCACAGGGCCAGAGGTGGCAGGAGGGATGATGTGGACACAGGTTGTTTTGCCTTTCTTCTGCTAACAGCAACCTCCTTCCTTTGGGAATTGTTCCTCCCCAATTCCTTGTGGTGCATGGGACACGCCTACTGAGTTTAGCCGATTAACCAGGCTGTCAATCACAGCATCAGGCCCCACCTCTACTAAGTCACAGGGGAGGGCACAGGAAACAGGCCTGGCCAATCAGAGTTCTTCCCTGGGACTTTCTAATTCAGCCCAGGGAGAGAGAAGGTTTTTTTTCTCTAGGGCTCTCAGCTACCACAAGGTAAGCCTGGCCGAATTCTCTGGGTGTGAAGGATGTCTAATCTCAGAGATGAGAGTGAAGGTAACACACAAGGGGAAGATGAGGCATGGAAGATGAGGCAGGGGAGAGAAATCTAGCAGCAGCATCTGAACTCCTGGATCGTCTCCTGCCTGATGATCCTCCCTCCCTCCCTCTGAGGCAATGTGAGCCAAGATGTTTGTTTTGTTAGAAAATCCAGCTGGGGCCTGGCACAGTGGCTCACGCCTGTAATCCCAGCACTTTGGGAGGCCGAGGCGGGTGGATCACGACACGAGGTCAGGAGATCGAGACCATCCTGGCTAACACGGTGAAACCCCGTCTCTACTAAAAATACAAGAAATAGCCGGGTGTGGTGGCGGGCGCCTGTAGTCCCACCTACTCGGGAGGCTGAGGCAGGAGAATGGCGTGAACCCGGGAGGCGGAGCTTGCAGTGAGCCGAGATCGCGCCACTACACTCTAGCCTGGGCGACAGAGCGAGACTCCGTCTCAAAACGTCTCAAAAAAAAAAAAAAAAAGAAAGAAAAAAAAAGAAAATCCAGCTGGGTTTGGTTTTTATCATTAACAGCCCTGAGGGTCCTGATTGAAGAGGCTTCAGAGAGGAGGTGGCATTTGAAGCATGTGTTGAAGGAGTTCTTGGGACTAACAGCAATGGTGAGGTTATGCCAAGCCAAGGAAGCTGGTGGGAAGGATGTGATCATGACCTGCTTGGGACAATGGCAGGTGCTGATGTCCGGGCAGATCCTGAAGGGCCTCGTGCCACAGAGCAGAGCTCCGACGCATTGACTCATTCCTTCATGCACCCATTCATTCACCCAACCAAGCCAGCGCTCACTGCATACCAGGCACTACTCCAAACACTTTCTGGGTAACTAACTGCATCCTCCCAACAACTTGGTGGGACGGGTACTGTGATTCACCACTTTACAGGTGAGAAGACAGAGGCACAGAGAGGTTAAGTAACTCACTCAAGGTCACAGTTGGTAAATGACAGAGCCAGGGTTTGAACGCCAGCAGTCTGGCTCCAGAGTTTCTGTCCTTAACCACAGAGGGGGAGTGACCATCCTCCCCTGACTCCAGCCCAGGGTTCTTTCTGTGTCTCATATCCCAGTGGGGACAAGACTGCAGTGCCTGTGTCTGGGATGTGGCCCTAGAACTCTGGAACCCCAGTGTGCCTGAGTGAGGGGAAAGGAGAGAGGGAAGGCCCTGTGGATCCTTTTAGAGGACACGAGGTGCTGTCCTGGCCCAGTTCCAGTCCCAACTAGCGAGGAGCCTGTGCCAGATTCCTGCTAGGTGCCCTGCTGTTTCTGCAAACTGTGATAATCTCCAGAAACAGTGAATGATGGGCTCTGGCTCAGTCCAACTAAGCCTGCTGCAGGAGATGGGGAACTTTAAGAAGCTGTGGCTCATAGCCCAGGTACTGGGGAGTTTTAAAACTGCTCCTAGCAAGGGAAACCCTGGGCAGGCAGGAAGGGGAGGGGGCTCTGAGACACGGCATCAGAGAAGGAGCCCTGGGGGACTTGCAGCATTCGCTCAGGCCCCAGCTCGCCCCTCAGTACCCAGACTCAAGCCCCTCCCATGCACAAAGGCTGTTCACCGTCTCATTCAGAGGTTGGGGGTACTAGCCCTGTTTCACAAATGAGGAGGTTGAGGCTCAGCAAGGGCAAGTAACTTGCTTGAGGTCACCCAGCCAATTTTCCTGGGTCCATGTCCAGGGCCCTGGACAGCCTCATGAAGGCTGCCTCTTTGATCTTGTCTCTGATCCCAAAGGGTTTCTGGAACACACGCCAGAGCTCCCTCAGGCCTCCTGGCCCCTCCCTCTCACAAGACGCCCTTCCTCCCTTCCTCTTGTTACTCCCAATTCCAGAGAAGGGCTGTTCCCCCAAATAGAGAGTGCTTTGCCGTTTGTGGGGAGGATCCTGGCAACCCCTGGGGGTCCTACACAGGTGGTCTCCGGGGTGGGGGCTGGAGGGTAAGACTTCCGGTTGTCCCTCATTGGCTAGGCCCTAGCAGGGTGTATGAGGGCAGGACAGCCCATCTCCAGAGCATGCACAAATGCTTGTTAAACTAAAGCTGGGGCAAAGGGAGTGCCATTTCAGCTGAGACTCAAAAGGTTGGCCATTTTCTGACAGCACAGCAGAGAGTGAGGTTTACCAGGTGGAGGAAACAGCATGAGCAGAGGTCTGGAGGTAGAGAAGTGGAAAATGTCTCCAGGGGAAGGGCAGCTGCTTTCCATGTGGGTGGGAGCAAGCTCGTTCATGGTTCCAAGCTAAGAGTGAGCCAGGGAGGTTTTGAGGGGTGACCCCATTCTAGACCTTCTGGGGGGATCCAGAAGGCGTGTGACCCATTGGGATCGCAGCAAAACTGAGCCAGGCACCTCCTCTCTTCTGTCCTGCCCAGATCTCTGCCTGACAAGGATGCTCAAGGCGGGGCCAACCTCTCAAGGGGGCAGGGCCTCCCTCTCAAGGGGGCAGGGCCTCTTTCCTGTGCCTGGCCACCTTTCATAGAGGCTTATCTGTCCCTTCCCATTTTCTGTCTGGAGCCCAGTGCCCTAGGAGCAGTGGCCCTGCGTGGGTACAGCCTGGCCGCCACAACAGGTCTGGTCTTGCCAGCCAGGCAGAGCTTCCACTTTGTACCTCAGAGGTACAAAGAAGCCCCAGCCCCAGACCCAGTGGGGACAAATGACAGGAATGCCTCCTGGGGTGCAAGAAAATGTCCTCTGGAGGCCCCTCTGCTGCTGACGTCCTCACATCAATGACTGTAGTGATCATGTTTAAAACTTGCTTTTTATGAAATACTTAATATGTGCCAGCCACTGTGCTTGGCACTTTACACAGACTCTAGTGGTGTCTCACTAGATGCTCATAACCCCCGGCAAGGAAGCCACTGCCACCCTCACCATGCAGAGGGAGGAAATTGAGGCTCCGAGAGGTGACATGACTCGCTCAACATCACACAGCTGCTAAGCAGCCAAATGTGTCTGACCTTGAGATCTATCTTCCACCCATGATGTGGAGATGCTAGCTCCAGCCCCCCAGAGTCGCTGTGAAGAGCAAAAGTGAATTAAAGGGAACGAGCCCGCTTTGGAAATGTTAAAGCCAGCATTACAGGGCCCGGGCTGGGGTAATGTGGACAGGAGTTCTAAGCAGGGAGCAGTCTGGGAGCTGAGACCCATGCTGGACCCAGAGGAAGGGGAGAGTCTTGAGTGCAGGGAGACGAGGGAGTCCTCGGTGGACCTCAGTCATCCTAAGCCCAAGAGTTGGCTCAGTCCTCGCTGCCAGGCCCTTAGCATTTGTGGCACAGTTGCAGGGCTTTGGAAGGAGCACTGGGCCGGGAGTATAAAAGCCTGGCTTCTAGTCCTGACTGTGTCCCTGACTCAGCATGTCCAGGGGGCCTCAGTTAGTTCATCTGTAGATTGGGGGGGTTGGTCAGACAGGGCTCATGGAGACCTTCCTCGACTCCTCCCCAGAGGCTTGAGCACACCTCGCTGCTGCCCTGTCTTTGTAACACTCATCGCTCTCTGCAGTGAGGCCATCACTGTACTGGTTAGGGTCAAGTTGGAGTCATATTGCCTGGGTTCAGATCCCAAATGCCTTAGAGCTGGATGATCTTGACTGTAACCTTTCTGTGCCTCAGCTTTCTCACCTACAAAATAGGGTCAATAATATGGCCGGGTGCAGTGGCTCAGGCCTGTAATCCCACTTTGGGAGGCCGAGGTGGGCAGATCACCTGAGGTCAGGAGTTCGAGACAGCCTGGCCAACATGGTGAAACGCCGTCCCTACTAAAAATACAAAAATTAGCCAGGCGTGGTGGTGGGCACCTGTAATCCCAGCTACTCAAGAGGCCGAGGCGGGAGAATCGCTTGAACCCAGGAGGCGGAGGTTGCAGTGAGCTGAGATCACGCCATTGCACTCCAGCCTGGGCAACAAGAGCGAAACTCCAAACTCCATCTGAAAAAAAAAAAAACAAAAAAACACTTAACATATAGTATGTGGCACACAGTAAGCACTCAATAAATGTAAGATGCTATTGTTAATATTGCGACTCTTAGTAACATTGTTTATTGTCTCTCCCTGTATTACAATTCAAGCTCCTGACAGCAAACGCTTTGTTTTGTTTAATGTATTCCTGGTGGGAAGCTCATTTTTTGGCACATAGTAGGTACATAATAAATATTTGTTGAATGAATGAATGAGCAAATGAATACACAGACAATGACATTGACATCCCCAGCGTCCAGGAGGCCCCATATGGCTGGATGTGGAGAAGGATGGATGCTGGGAAGACAAACCCAGGCCAGCTGCTTGCTCAGGGCCCAGCCAGCCCTCTTTGTTCCTAGCAGCCCTTGGGGCAGGCCCTGTATCAGTCTGCCCTGATGGGGGGTCCATTCCACTCAGAACAGAGGGTTCTCTCTGGGGATCGAGGTGGCTCCCTGTCCTGCCACCATGACCACAGCGGTATTTGTGGGTGTCTGATGCTGTTTTCCAGCTCAGATTCCAGCCACCAGGCATGGGGGCGAACGTAGATTTTTCCCTGTGCTCAGCAGCCCTCCCTCCCAAACCCACAGAGTGGAGCCCAGCCTGTTGTCTCTTTACCACCCGTACCCGCCCTTTCCAGAGGCCACTCTCACGAACTGAAATGCTCCCACTGCCCCTTACACAGCTCCCTTGCCTCCCTCCTGTTCTAGAATTTCCAGATGGGACTGCTGACACAGCGGTTCTCCTGTGAGTCCTTCTTGGCCCCGGTGGTCTGAGCGACCCTGAGGACGTTGGTGTATGTGCCCAGTTTTGAGAGTGAGGGACAGATTGTTATGCCATTCTCTATACAGAGAAAACGAAAACTCAGAGGAGAGGTTTGCTGGAACATTTACAGTTGTCGGAGGCCTGAGTTGGGATTCACTCAAGTCTGTTTATTTCTTTTGCCTTCATTCATTCATTCAACTCGTATTTCCTGAGTACCTGCTCTCTGTCAAGCACTGCACAGCAGTGTTCATGGTGCCTGCCTTGCCCAGGGATCCAGATGTTAATCAGACCAGAAGTTAGCCTGGCTTTGTAGACTGTGTGTACACCAGTGTTGTCCAGTGGAACTTTCTGGGATGATAGAAACGGCCTGTGTCTATGCTGTCGAGCCTATGTGTGGCTATGAAGCATTTGACATGTGGCTAGTGCAAAGGAGGGTTGAATTTTTCACTTTATTTTTAATTAATTTGATTGAAATAGCCACATGTGGCTCATGGCGCTTCTATGTTGGATGTCGTAGTTCTGCATAGATCTTTGAAGATGTCGTTCAAGGCCTTAACCTGTGGGTCTCAAACTCAAACGTAAGCAGGGACCAAGGATGGGACCGGGCTGATTTTGCAGAGGCATCTTCAGTTGTGTCTTCTTTCCCAGTCGTCAGTATGTTCAGCACTACAAAGGAATCAGTTTCTGTTTTCCTTGAAACATGAGCCCCTCCAGACCTATCTTTCAGTTTTCCATTTTTTTTTCTTAATAAGGTGTAATTTCCATTACAGTGAAATGCACAAGTGAGGGCTGAGGAGTTTTGACAAATGTAGACACCTGTGTAACCACAGAATCAAGATAGAGGGTATTTCCAGGACATTCTCATTCCCCAGAACATTCCCTCATGTGCCCTTCCAGTAAGTCTCATCCTCGGAGGTGGCTGCTGTTCTGATGTCTGTCGCCATATGGCTTAGTTTTCTTGTTTTGAAGCTGCATGTAAATCATTTCACTTTTGACCAAGACAAGGATATGAGAAATATTTCTCTCTTTTTTAAAAGTAAGAAACAACATTGACATGATGAAAATTGGCAGCTCACCCTGGGGCCACAGTGAGGAGGAGATAAGGGGTTGGGGTGGGCTGTGGAACCCCAGGGACTCGTGGCCTGTCCAGAGGAGGTGGCCACTCCTCAGCCCCAGCCACCACGTGGAGAATGTGGTCCCAGCATTGGCGTATCTTTTTTTTTTTTTTTTTTTTTTTTTTTTGAGAGGGAGTCTCGCTCTGTTGCCCAGGCTGGAGTGCCGTGGCGCGATCTCGGCTCACTGCAAGCTCCGCCTCCCGGGTTCACGCCATTCTCCTGCCTCAGCCTCCCAAATAGCTGGGACTACAGGCGCCCGCCACCACACCTGGCTAATTTTTTGTATTTTTTAGTAGAGACAGGGTTTCACTGTATTGGCCAGGATGGTCTCGATCTGCTGACCTCGTGATCCGCCTGCCTCAGCCTCCCAGAGTGCTGGGATTACAGGCGTGAGCCACTGCGCCCGGCCCTTTTTTTTTTTTAAGGAAAATGGAAACTATTCATTTTTTTGAAATAATATCCCCAAAGTGTTACATTTCAAAAACTTTTCTAAGCCAGGCACGGTGACTCATGCCTGTAATCCCAACACTTTGGGAGGTCGAGGCAGGCAGATCACTTGAGGTCAAGAGTTCGAGACCAGCCTGGCCAACATGGCAAAACCCCCTATCTATTAAAAATACAAAAAATTAGCCAGGTATGATGGCGCATGCCTCCTAGTCCCAGCTACTCGGAAGGCTGAGGCAGGAGCATTGCTTGAGCCTAGGAGTCGGAGGTTGCAGCGAGCTGAGATGGTGCCCCTGTACTCCAGCCTGAGGGACAGATTGAGACCCTGTCTCAAAAAACAACAACAACAACAAAATTCCTAGTGCCGTAGGCCAAATAATTCACATCTGTGGGCCAGATGGCCAGTTTGTGAGTTCTGCCTTGGGCCAGTTGGAATGTTAGTAATAATCACAGCTGGTATTTCCTGAGTGCTTCCTTTGTTTCAGGTCCTGTCCTAAGTGCTCTCTATTAGTAAGTCATGTAATCCTTGTAACAATTTATTAATAGATCCACTTTACAGATGAGTAAGCTGAGCCATAGAGAGGGATTAAGTGATTTGCCCAAGGTTATGGAGTGAGTGCTTGGGAGAGCCAGGATTTGAATTCTGACTGTTTCTCCACAATCTGTGTTCCCCACCACTACAAATGTTCCTCTCGAGGGCAAGGGTGGAGGGTGAGGCCGCTGGGGATGGTTATGCCACTTGGGCGGAGCTTTGACAGCCACCACGGTGCCACCTCCCTGAACAGGTGAGGAGAGAGTACCACGGCCCCACCCTGCTGGGATTGCCCTGGCTCGGGCACTTTGCATGTCTGGGCACCTTGGCTATCAGTTGGTGGAGCCCAGTTTTAGGGAGTTCTGGGAAAGCAGCCAGTGGTGGGGCTGGGTAGATGGAAGCCTAGTGGATGAGGAGCCATGAGAGGCATAGAAAGCACTGGGCAAGTGGGGGCAGAAATAGCAGGAGCCTGGCTGGGTAGAGCCCAGGCCCGGGGGGTGGCAGGGGAGAGCTGGAGATGAGGATAGAGAAATCAGCCAGCCCAGGCCCAGGGCCACGGCAGGCTGCTGCTGCCCAGGGGCCAACAGCTGGGGCATTCCTGCCCCCTGGTGATTCATCTGGACAAGCCTGTCATTTGGGGAAGGTACGGGAGGGGAATATAAACATCACCAGGCAAAACACTGCTACATTTCCGTCATCACCTTCCACCTCCAAAGGGGGCAGGGCGGGCCAGGGGAGGAAACTGAGGCCCAGGGAGCACTCGGCTTGAACTCATGCCAGGACTTCTGGCTCCCACTCTGGCGTTCTGTGCATTCCTCAGGGCAGGGGGTTGGGAAAAGGGTCTGTGGTCATTTCTGGAGCCTGAAAAGGGGCATGGCAGGAAGGGGCCAGCAGACACATCCAGATCCTCTCTGGCCCTTATCTTACTTGTAAGTCACCGAGTCAGGGCCTGATATGCAGTAAGTGCCAAATAAGTATTTGCCATTATTAACGGATTTTCCTAATTTGATCCTCACACCCAGTTCTGAGATATGAGCTGTTATCATCACCGTTTCACCAATGAGAAAGTCGAGGCTCAGACAGGTAGACTCCCCGGGTCACAGAGCCAGAAAGTTGTTGGCAGGATTAAAAAGAGTGATGTGTGTAGGGCGCTTAGCACCACCCTGGTGCACAGCAAGGGGCTTGGTGTGGGGCCTGGGCCAGAAGAGGGGGAGGTGGCAGGACTGTTCAAAGAGGGCCTCCTGGAACAGGTGGCGTGGGGCTGGACGTGGGGAACTTAGCCTGTTAAGCTGCTGGTTCCTTTGGGGCTAAGGTTGGTTTCTGACTAAGACCTAATACCCGCTGGGTCTCCCCACTCTGAGAATGCACTGCCTGCTAGAATGCCATGCAGTTTTGGGCCGCACTTGGGCCTCACGTGCTTTCCTGCAGCTCCACATCAGGGGAGCCTAGTGAGCCTGGCCTGGAAGGGGCGGTCTGGCCTCAAGGTGGCCATGTCACCTCTCTGAGCCTCAGTCTCCTCATCTGTCAAATGGGAACAGTGCTACCTACCACACAGGGTTGTGGTGAGGGCCTGGCATCACAGAACTTGCAGGAGATGGCTGTTGAATTGGCCTTTTTTTTTTTTTTTTTTTTTTTTTTTCTGAGACAGGGTCTCACTCTGTCACCCAGGCTGAAGTACAGTGGTGCAATCTCGGCTCACGGCAACCTCCACCTCCTGGGTTCAAGTAATTCCCCTGCCTCAGCCTCTTGAGTAGCTGGAACCACAGATGTGAGCCACCACGCCACCATACCTGGCTAATTTTTTGTATTTTTTTTTTGTAGAGATGGGTTTTTGCCCTGTTGCCCAGGCTGCTCTCTCCTGAGCTCAAAGCAATCCTCCCACCTCAGCCTCCCAAAGTGCTGGGATTATAGGTGTGAGCCACTGCACCCAGCATGAATTGGCTTTTTGTTTGTTTGTTTGTTTGTTTGTTTTTTGAGACGGAGTCTCGCTGTCGCCCAGGCTGGAGTGCAGTGGCGTGATCTCGGCTCACTGCAGGCTCCGCCCCCTGGGGTTCACGCCATTCTCCTGCCTCAGCCTCCCAAGTAGCTGGGACTACAGGCGCCCGCCACCTCGCCAAGCTAATTTTTTGTATTTTTAGTAGAGACGGGGTTTCACCGTGTTAGCCAGGATGGTCTCTATCTCCTGACCTCGTGATCCGCCCGCCTCGGCCTCCCAAAGTGCTGGGATTGCAGGTGTGAGCCACCGCGCCCGGCCCATGAATTGGCTTTTTAAGAACAGAAGTCAGACATAGCCCCAAGCCAGCCTAGGGAAGCTTGGTCCATGTGTGAGCTCAGAACCCAAACATTCTCACTCCTGCTTTTCACCTGTGTACTTTGAGAGGGTCAGGAGGAGACACACCCTCTTCAGCTTTGTCTACACTGGGTCAGGAGGAGACACACCCTCTTCAGGTTTGTCTACACTGGACATGAGTGCTAGGGAGCAAGTTTGCCATTATTGTCCTCCAAACCCAAGAGCAGCAAACACTTATGGAGCACTTGCTGTGTACCAGGCACTATACAAAGCACCTTATATTTTCATTGTACTCCTAGGAAACAGGCTCAGTAGCTGGATGTTGAGCAATCAGCTAGTGATGCTGGAGTGGAGACTTGAACCTATGTAGTCTGGCTTCAGAGTCTATGCTCTTAAGAAGAAAAAAAAGTCTACCAGAAGGGAGCAAAAATAGTAATTCAGGGCTGGGCACGGTGGCTCACACCTGTAATCCAAGCACTTTGGGAGGCCAAGGCGGGCAGATCACTTGAGGTCAGGAGTTTGAGACCAGCCTGGCCAACATGGCAAAACCTCATCTCTATGAAAAATATAAAAAATTAGCCGGGTGTGGTGGAACATGTCTGTGGTCCCAGCTACTTGGGAGGCTGAGGTAGGAGAATTGCTTGAGCCCAGGAGGCGGAGGTTGGAGTGAGCTGAGTTTGCACTACTACACTCCAGCTAGGGCAACAGAGCAAGACTCTGTCTCAAAAAAAAAAAAGTCATTCAGGGCAGTCTTTCCGTTGCAAAGCCTTTTCACATGTGTGATGCAATTTTGTCCTTAGGACCCCTGATGAGTGCAGTGTTACCATCCCTCTCTTAGAGGTGAGGAAAATGGGCCCCAGAGAGGGACACGACCTGCCCAGAGCCACCCACCTGACTCCAAGCCTGGTGTTCTTCTCCCTGCTTCTCAGCCGCCTCCTGGGGATACTGTTGTCCAGCTGGAATGGTGGCAGCCAGCAGGCCAGCAGCAGGGAACCCTGCGTGTCCCACAGCCCCCATGTGCTGCCTCCAGTGGGTGAGCAGCATCCTGGCCCATGCCATGGTTTCCTGCTTCCACCCGACCCTGATCTCAGCTTAGAGCCACCAGTTCTCAGAGACAGTTGAGTGATTTTTCAAACTCCATTCCTTAGAACCCCTGAGGGAGCTGGGTTCAGGGTCAGGATATGAGCTCATTGAGTGCCTAAGTGGCAGCTCCACTTACATCTCTTTTGTATTTTGGGTTGCTGTGTTTAGTTTTTTAAATAAAGGACTCTATGGAATGAAAAAAAATCTGTTTGCAAACCACTGTTCAGATCCAGCAACTACTTCCCCATTTTACAGATGAAAAATGGACAGCAAAGCTCATTTTTTCCCCATAAATGACAATAATATTCAGGCATTGTTCTAAGTCTTGTTACTCGTTTTATCTTCACAAGCCTATGAGGGAGACACTGTTGTCATCTCCATTTTACAGATGAGGACACTGAGGCTCAGATGGTGAAGTAGCTTGCCCAAGGATTAGAATCCAAGGAGCCTAGCTCCCAAGTCCACACCCTCAGCCGTCTGCAACCTGACAGACATACTATCTCTTTGTATCCTGAAGAGGGATGCTACTTGCTGAGGCCCAGGGTAAGGCAGTGTTAGAACTGGGACCGAGATGTGGATCTCCAGCCTCCCAGCCCTATTCCTGTTCCTTCTGCTGTCCAAGACATCGCCTGGGCTGAAGAGGGAACCCTGGCTCTGTCATTTTCTAGCTGTCTGATCTTGGACAAGTGAATGGACTTCTCTGAGCCTGTTTTCTCACCTTAGAAGAGAGATAACAGTACATCATGAGGTCATCATGAAGGTTAGACAGGATCAACCACATGAGTTGGCTGGCATGGGGTTCATGGATCCAAGGAGTCCCCAGAGCTTCCTGCCCCACCCACTTCCTCCTCCCTCTGCCCAGCCCTCACCCACCCACTCACCTGTGTAACACAAATACTAATTACAACTGACTCCATGAGCTGCTTCCTGGTTGAGCACAATTACTGGGCAGCTCAGTCATCACCATTATACCATATCATTCAATGAGACGGGTTAACTTTGTCTTAAGTTGTACGTGATTAGATCAGCACATTGTCAGAGAGCGCTTGGTCTCTTCAGATTGGGACTTCCCCAGCCTGGTCATCACACAGTCCAGGACATCACACAGGAGCACAGGAGCATGAGGAGGTGCAGGGGCATCTGTGGGTAGCCCTGGAGTCAGGACCAGCTGCTTTCTGGTCTGCTTTGCAGTTTGTGCTTGGAGAAGATCAGAGTGGACAACTCAGCCCCTTAAACCCAGCTGGGAGGTGACACCTGAAGTCGTAAGGATGGAGCAGGTGAGGCAGGGTGGGTTAGAAGGAGGTGGTGATTGCCGTCTTATCTGATGTCATGGGAAAACCTGGGTTCAAATCCAGGCTTTGCTGTTTACCAGATGTGTGACTTAGGGTGAGTTACTGATGCTCGCTGCACTCCAGTTGTTTCACACTTGCAAGGAGCTGACATGTGCCACCGAGCCCCAGGTCTAGTGCCTGGCACACCACGGGTCTTCTCTGGTCGTTCCTTCCCTCCCATGTGCTGCTTCTCTGCTAGGCACTGGGCTGAGGCCTTTCCGTGGCTCACTTTTTTAAGACGTGTAAGGATCCTTTGGGGTCGGCACCATGATCATCTCCATTCACGTCCGTGGAAAGATGTGAAAGCCAAAGCATAAAATTGAAGTGAAATGACTTGGTCAGGGCCACACAGCCGCACTTGGCTGCTCTTCACTGTGTTGGGATGAGATGCCAGAAGCATGCTGCCGCGGAGCACCGAGGAAGGGTCACTGCGAAGCCCGAGAGAGCTGCCTGGAGGAAAGCGCGTTAAGCTGAGGAGCCAGCCGGAGAAAGAAGGCAGACTCGAACTCCTGAGGGAGTCGGGAGGGAGGGTTTAGCAAGCCAGGCCAAGGTTCATGGGCTTCATCCTGCCAGCTCCAGGGAGTCTGTGTGTGAGGCAGTTCCACTTGAGAAAGTCCTGCCCAGGCCAAGCATGGTGACTCATGACTGTAATCCCATCACTTTAGGAGGCTGAGGCCGGAGGATCGCTTGAGCCCAGGAGTTAGAACAGCCCGGGCAATACAATGAGACCTTGTCTCTACAAAAAAAATGTTTAAAATTAGCTAGGCATGGTGCTACCCACCTGTGGTCCCAGCTACTCAGGAAGCTGAGGCAAGAGCATCACTTGATCCCATGAGTTTAGAGGCTGCAGTGAGCCATGATCACACCACTGCACTCCAGCCTGGGTGACAGAGCGAGACCTAGTCTCTTAAAAAAAAAAACAACAACAACAAGAGCCATGGCTCACATCTGTAATCCCAGCACTTTGGGAGGCGGAGGTGGGTGGATCATCTGAAGTCAGGAGTTCGAGACCAGCCTGGCCAACGTGGTGAAATCCCATCTCTACTAAAAATACAAAAATTAGCCGGGCATGGTGGCGGGCGCCTGTAGTCCCAGCTACTCGGGAGGCTGAGGCAGGAGAATTGAATTGCTTGAACCCAGGAGGCAGAGGTTACAGTGAGCCAAGATTAAGTGACTGTACTCCAGCCTGGGTGACAGAGTGAGATTCTGTCTCAAAAAAAAAAAAAAAAAAAGAAAAAGAAAAAAGAAAGTTCTGCCAGGAGCTAGCCAGGAGCTGAAAGACTAAAGGGAGCTACAGTAGGAGATCAAGGGGGTCAGGGGGTCACCGGGGAAGGCATGCCGAGGGGACAGAGCCCAGTGGGCCTGGACAGAGGACCAGAGATGATTGATGGAGGTTGCCAGGCAAGTGGACAGGGTGGGCAGGTCAGTGGCCTGTATCAGGTAGGAGTGAGAGGCTGCTGACCAGGTTTGGGGCTTGGGCATGGGGTGGCCTCCACAGCAGGCACTGAAGAATGGGCCAGCAACACTAGGTAAGATTCCCGGTGCCCCCCAGGGCCTCTGGCAGTTGAGTCAACACTGGGCCATGTGAGTGAGTGCTTCCCAGCGCTGTGTGTGTGGAGGCAAGTCTCCTGCTGCCAGCACATTCACGGGAGCCCAGCCCTGGGACTCGGGGCCACGCCAGAGTGGTTGGCTCACAGGCTGGCAGGGCTGCTGCCTTCTCCAAGGGGCAGTTAGCAACCTTGACCTCCTACCTCTGCCCTGTGCCCTTGGCCTTCCAGTGTCTCCCTGAGTCTCACCTTGAGGCCTCCCCAGCCCCTGCCCACCTGCTGCCTTCCCCTGCACAGGCCCTCAGTTCCATCTGAGCCCTTGGTACAAAGGGGAGTCTCCCTCTCCAGGCCCCAGCAGTTATATCTGTCCCTATTTCCCACATCCCAGATGGGTGGCCCGTAGCCTCTAAAGGAAGTTAGCCTACAGAGCCAGGCCCCGGGTAGGAGGCACAAAAAAAGGAGGTGAGGCCCTGAGATAACCAGGAAGATCTGGGTTTGGGCTCCAGCTCTGGCAAGCTGCTTCCTTTCTCTGAGCCTCAGTCTCTGCATCTGTAAAATGGGGATCCCAGGACTTATCCCACATGGTGATTGTAAGACACAAGAGTAAAAGAGCCTTGAGAACTGGGCAATGTCAAGGTCAATGACTCTGTTTTGTTTTGTTTTACTTTATTTTATTTTATTTCTCTCTCTTTTTTTTGTAGTTGAGACAGGGTCTTGCTCTGTCACCCAAGCTAGAGTGCAGTGGCGTGATCTCAGCTCACTGTAGCCTCAACCTTCTAGGCTCAAGCAATCCTTCCACCTCAGCCTCCTAAGTAGTGGGGCCACAGGTGGATGCCACCACACCTAGCTAATTTTTTTTTTAAATTTTTTGTAGAGACAAAGTCTCACTGTGTTACCCAGGTTGGTCGCAAACTGCTGGGCTCAAGCAATCTGCCCACCTCGCCTCCCAAAGTGCTGGGATTACAAGCATGAGCACCCGGCTGAAGGGTACATGATTTCTATTAATAACTCGTATTTGACTTCTTGCTGTTGATATTAACCTCCATCACCTGGGCAATCTGTTATTTTCACTGAGTTTACAGCAGGGCTAGAGTAACAACAAATGTTGGCTGAACAAAGGCCAAGACTGGAAAATCTGGATGAGGGCAGAAGCAAATGGGAGGGGTGGTGAGGAAGACAAGAAGAAGCAAGCAGAAAGAGGTGGCCTGCGCAGGATGTCCCTCTGGTGTGGTTCACGCAGGCTTGGGCTGCTGGATGCCAGGCAGTTCATGTTCTAGCTTACTCGGTATTTACAATGGCCCTTTTACGGATGAAGAAACTGAGACCTGAGGGTGAAAACAACATGTCCGAGGTCACATGAGCCAGGAAACCTGTGAGTGGGCTCAGGTCTGTCTTAATTGCCTGATAAATGTTGTTTCTAACTCTGTTCCACAAAGGATTCATGATAGGTTATAAATAAAATACATTCAGTAAAACGACATGCAATACCAAATGGAAAATCAGAATCACGGAAAACAGAGTGGAAAATGTGGACAAGGAAAAAGCTGAACCTAAAGGCCAAGAAAGTGCCCATAGGCGAGTTTCTGATTTGGCTATGAGTTTCCTGGCAGCCAAAGAAAAAAGAGATACAAGCTGATTCCTGTTATTAAAAAGTAAAGAAGCAGTTTACACTTTCAGGAACTTCATAGTAAATTTTAAAATAAGCTAATCACATGGAAATTTCTCTGGTGAAAAATACTGGGAAATATAATGGATAATGTAATAATAATAAATGTCAAGTGGCATATCTTTAGAAATGATAGCCATATTTTTATATCTTATCCCTTGCCCAAAGTTGTGTTACTTGGGTTTGTTTTTGTTTTTGTTTTTTTGAGACAGGGTTTTGCTGTGTTTCCCAGGCTGGTCTTGAACTCCTGGCCTCAAACAATCCTCCGGCCTGGGTCTCCCCAGGTGCTGGGATTGCAGGCATGAGTCACCATGCCCAGCCAAGCACTTTATCTATATTAACTCATTTAAGTGTCACCACAGTCCTATGAGGGAGGTACTATTGTTATCATCATCCTCCTCATTTGACAGATGAGTACTGAGGCACAGAGAGGCTGAGTCACTTGCTCAGGGTCACAGAGTTGGGAAGTTCAGACTGGGGATCTGAAATGAGGTTTAGATCCAGAGATTTTACCCACTACATTATAGCATCTGTGAAATATAAGTGTTTAGCTACCAGATAATATGAGTGTGTTTTAGATGACATGTAAAGATTGAACAGATCCCAGCCAATTACCAGCACCAAAAGTAGTAACTGATGGGGACTTCGGCCACAAAGGGCAGCGTCTCTAAGGAGCTGAGGCTTAGAGACAATGTGAAAGTAGCTGTGGAGGGTGTGGCTCAGTCCCAGGCCTCAGAATTTCACATGTGGGGCTTCCCTTTTCCACCTCATCACCCCAAGATGACTTAACAATCCCCCGCCTTTGGCCAACCAAACGCAAGAGCCATATGAGTGACTAATGTCGTCTGGGCAAAGGGGGTCATGCCCAGGTGCTACCAGGCCAGGAGGCTTTTGTCGCCAGAAACCTGTGCGTGTTTATATTTCTCGTTTCTGCTCACCACAGGCCTTTGATTTACAAGGGTGGAGTTTCCAGAGCTGGGCACTGTTGCACCTTCATCTGGCTGTCATCACTTCCTCTGTGCAGCTGGGGCACCGGGGACTGAGGACGGGGCAGTCCACAGGGAGCTGTGGTTCCACCCCTTCACTCTTGGTTTCTGCCAGGCCCTCCTCTTGAACACTAGACCCAGATTCAACCCAGATTTCTCCTCCACGGCTGCACAGTGCCAGGAAGGGAACTGAGAAGACCAAAGTGGAGGTTCTTTACCTTCCCCAACACACTCGGGGCCAGGCGTGGCACCCACAACTGCAAATGAGACAATTAGGGAGAATAAGTGCTGGCTGCCCTGTCAGCCCAGAGCCTCAGTCTGCCCAGGGCACCCAGACTCTGTGAGGTTCCCACCTGAAGAAGCAGTTCCATCTTCCACAAGGAGCACAGGACCAAGAGTCCAGGACCCAGGTTCGAGGCCCAGCTCTACCACTTTCTCGCCGCGGGGCTCGGGTTCTCTGGAGGCAGCGTAATGGAGTCAGTGGGTTTGGCAAGGGGAAGATTCGCATTATGGCTCCCTCAGTCTCCAGGCAGGTGACTCAGGGCTGGGGGGAGGTCCTTTCTCCTCTCTGACCCTTGGTCATCTCATTTGTAAAGCGGAGGTGATGATTCTCATCTCAGGGACGAGGCACTGTGGGGTTAGGAGAGAATTTGTCAAGTGGCATGGTTGGTTTTTGGTCTGTCTAGGCCCCTCCCCCTCTCTGTAAGCTGGAAGCGGTACTTGTGAGGCTGAGGCTCTAGGTGGGTGTGGGGAGCCATTGGGGTAGTGAATGGAAGGCCCTGGGCGAAGGGCCCCAGGCAGCTGTTGAAATGTCACTCACCCACTGTGGACTTCCCACCAAGCAGAGCCCGCCAAGCCTTTCCCGTCTGAGGTGGGTTCAGTTTCACTACCGGGCTGAGGCAGGCATCTCAGGAAGGGGCCCTCGGCTTTTGTGTGCTGAAAAATAACCAGGCTCCATCTCTGCTGATTTCTGCTTGGGAGTTCCGTGAGCTTCCTGCATCATCTGTCCACAGACAGGCTGCCGCAGGGTGGACATCAGAGTCCCTGGGGTGGCTTCCGGCCTCCCTCCCTTGCCTCCCGCCTTTGCTCAAACATCTGTAGAGGCTCCAGCCCCAGACTAAGCCCTTAAGGAGACAGGGTCCCGTGAGACCCAGCCTCTGCCATCAGGGTTCTCCTGTCTAAAATGCTGTGTGCCTCAGTAAAAGGCAGCATGGGGTAGGGTGGCTGTGTGGGGACACAGAGCCAGGGACCAAATGCTGTCTGGGGTCCCTGGAGGGTGGTCAGGAGAGCTTGCCAGAAGGGGGAAATCTCTGAAATGAGACAGAAGGAGGAGGAGCCATCGCTTAACCACACCTGGGCGAGTTAACTTCCCCAAGCCTCAGTTTCATTCTCTGTAAAAGGAACCAGTGATACCTGCTTCTGAGGGAAGGGTGAGAAGCTTAAAAGAGATGGTATAAAAGAACTGACAAATCCCGTACACCAGCCGGGTGAATCCCTTACACCACCCACATGCCCCGGGGAGATGTTCTGTGAACTGAACTTCTTTTTCAAAAGTCTTTTCCTCTGGCAATCGACACCTGGTAACGTAGTGTAACCAAGTGTCCTGTTCTAGAAAAAGCCCAGCTGCAACCCAGCAGTAAGTGAAGCAGCCTCAGAGTCCCCTCTCTCTCTGGGATGGGTAATGGAAACTCCTCCACCCAGTGGGAGTGAGGCAGAAGTCTCCAGAATTCAGAGCTTTCCCATGCACCCTGCCTCCCCAGGGCCTGTGACCTTTAGATGTGTTCCCTGTTTCTGTAGGCATTATGAAGTTAGATGCAGGAGAGTTCTTGAGAACTTGAAGGCACTTCCCCTCTACTTGTCCCCCCTTTGATTTTAACAACCGTTTGTTGAGCACCTACTCTGTGCCGGGTGATGGAGAGTCTCTGTTGGACAGGCCAGACAAGGTCCCAGCCCCAGTAAAGCTGTGGATTCTGGAGAGGGACAGAGACAGTGATGATAAAGACATGGAAACAAAACAGTCTGCAACAAGTACTGTAAAGGAAAACAAACAGGATGCTGTAACAGAGAATTTGGGGGACTGCTTAGGGTTCCTGGGACATTTGAGGAGCTGGTAGGCTGAGATCTGAAGTTGGAGCTGACCATGGGAAGAGTAGAGAGGAGGAAAAAATGTTCCAGATAGAGACAACAGCAGCTACAAAGGTCTTGGGGGAAGAAGAAACTTGTAGAAACTGAGGAGTTGTGTGAGGAGGTTGGTGGGGGAGGGGGCGCTGGCAGCACAAGATGAGGGCCCAGAGTGGGCAGGGGCCATGGGGCCTGGTGAAGGGTTTGGATTTCATTCCAGGACAGTGGAGGGTTTTTAAGCAAGGGAGTGGTAATATCAGAATTTTTTTTTATTTTATTTATTTACTCAGACAAGATCTTGTTGTGTCGTCCACGCTGGAGTGCAGTGGTGCAATCACAGCTCACTGTAGCCGCCACCTCCTGGCTTCAAGCGATTCTCCCACCTAAGCCTCCCAAGTAGCTGGGACTACAGGCGCATACCACCACGTCCTGCTAATTAAAAATATATAATATATAAATATATATATATATATTTTCTTTTTGTAGAGATGGGGTCCGTGTTGCCCAGGCTGGCCTAGAATTAGACTCAAGTGATCTCCTGCCTCAGCCTCCCAAAGTGCTGGGATTACAGGTGTGAACCACTGAACCCAGCCAGATTTCTGTGGTTTGTTTGTTTGAGATGGAGTCTCACTCTGTCACCCAGGCTAGAGTACAGTGGCACAATCTCAGCTCACTGCAACCTCGACCTCCTGGGTTCAAGCGATTCTTCTGCCTCAGCCTCCTGAGTAGCTAGGATTACAGATGCATGCCACCAGGCCCAGCTGATTTTTTGTATTTTTAGTAGAGATGGGGTTTCATCATGTTGGCCAGGCTGGTCTTGAACTCCTGACCTCAAGTGATCTACCCAACTTGGCCTCCCAAAGTGTTGGGATTACAGGCGCGAGCGAGCCATGGTGCCTGGCCTCAGCCAGATTTCATTTTAAAGGCTCATCCTGGCTGCTGAGGGGGCTGTCAGAGGGCAGGAGTGGAAGCCAGGAGACCATCTGGAGCCATTGCCCTCACTGTCCCTGTGACGTCAGGCCCCTCACCCCTCTAAACCTGTTTATTCACACATATGTGTGACTGTGAGAATCAAATTTGGAATGAGCAGAAATGCACTTTGCAAAGCTGAAAAGTACGCATAAATGCAGGGATTCCCGCCTTGCTAGAAGCGGAGAGTCCTTTGGAAATCTGCTGGGTTAGACCTCTCTGGGGTTCTTGGTTGGGACAGTGCTGGGCCTGAGTCCCTAACTGAACACCTCATATCCGAGAGAGCCCCCTTTCCCTGCCTAGGGTTATAGGAGAGGGCTCAGGGGCTGGGGAGGGGGGCACCTGGCTGAGGCTCCGAGTCTTGAGGGGGAAGATGGGAAAGAAGGGTCCCCTTCCTGGCTTCTGACTCCCCCTGGAGCAATGGTTCTCTTGTGTTGCAGGGAGGGCGACACCTTTGAGCACGGGGGTGACCACCGGACCACCCTGCAGCCATCCAAATGCACACACACAGCTCCTTTCATCCCGTGTCAGGGAGTTCTCTGAAATTTTCTGAAACTCATTCACGAACTCTGGCTTAAAGGCCTCTGAGCTAGAAAGGGGAACTGAAAGGGGACACCTACCTTTTTACCCCACCTTTTTTGTCTGGTCTTTCTAGCATTAACCCCCTAGACACACCTAAGGGCTGATGCCGGGGGGAACCTGTCTTGATTGCTCTGGGCCACATCGAGGGCACCTTCCTGATACTTTTGTTATCTGCCACTGGGGACCCGGTTGTTGAAGGGGGACTTAAGATTTTCTCGAAGGAGGGGTCACTGTGAGGGCCTTTCCTGCCTGCTAGGGGCTTCAGTTTGGGGGCCCCCACTCCCGACCTCCGGGGAAGGGAGGGGTCCCCATCTCCCCCGGGCCTCTCGGGTCTTGGGGTCTCCCCGGGAGGCCGGAGGTTGGGAACCGGGCGCCGGCGAACCGATCAGGCCCCGCCCGCGAAGGTGGTGCAACGCCTGGCCCGGCCCATCCCATCCCGGCCACCCGGGCAGCGGGACCAGGCGTCTGGGGCACAGCATGCGGGGCGTGTGGCCGCCCCCGGTGTCCGCCCTGCTGTCGGCGCTGGGGGTGAGGCGGGCGCGGCCTGGAGGGCGGGGGCGGGAGGCGGGCGGGACCCCTCCCCGCGCGGGCCGCTCCGTGGGCCGGTCTCGGTCTCGGGTGTCCAGGCCGGGGCGGGGCGCGGCGGCGGCGGCGCCAGGGTCGGGGCCGCTTCCCCATTCGGGCGCGAGAGCCATGGAGGCGCTGAGGGAGTCCGTGCTGCATTTGGCCTTGCAGATGTCGACGTACAAGCGGGCCACGCTGGACGAGGAGGACCTGGTGGACTCGCTCTCCGAGGGCGACGCATACCCCAACGGCCTGCAGGTAGGCGCCCTCCGCTCCCTCCCGAGGTCCAGGCGCCCCGGGCCCGGGCATGCGCGCTGCCGCTGCCGCGCCCCCCGCCCCTACCTACCCCGCCTCTTCCCCTCCCTTCCCCTCCCTCGTCCCGGCATCCGGGAGGGGCCGCGCCTCCCCGCAGCTGGAGCTCCGCGCTGAGAAGCCTTCCGGAGCCCACCAGTCTCCCCTCACCTGCCCCCGCCATCCCTAGAGCCTCCCGGCCACCTGCTTCTGGGGCCACAGCCCAGGTGGCAGAGTTGAAAGCACCCCCGAGACCCGAACTGGTCCAGTTCCCTTTCCACAGAAGGCACAGTTTGTGCATGTCCCGGGACTTGCCCAGGCCCTTTACCGGCAGAGTCTACGGCTGTTTCTGTTTTAGCGTGGAAAGCCCTGCATCCCTGGAACCCACTCCCCCAGTCCGGGGCAAACTGGGAAAGTTGGTCACCTTATCCGGGAGGCAGTACCACCCTCTTCCTCTTGCCCTCCCAATACCTGAGTTTCCTGGGGCCAGAAACCTGTTCTCTGCCCCCTCTCCCTGCCCCTTTTCCAGCCTACTAAGGAAGTCCAATTCCTCCCCTCCCCAGGGTCTCCGCCCGTGGGCATCCCATCTGCCCACTCCTGGGGAGGGCCCCACCCCCGTCCCTGCCTTGTAACAGGACATTGAGCAAGGCTGCTTTCTGCCCTCCCGTCCCTGGGGGGCTGCACTGGGACAGTTGTGGCCAAGACCTCAGTGCTGGAGGGGTTTGGAGCCAGCCAGGTGCGTGGGAAGGTGCTGGAAACGCTGCGGACACCCTAGGAGACCCAGTGATCTGGCTCTTGAGAAGCCAGTGTAGAAAGAGGAGCTGGGGCACCCCAATTCTCGGAGGACTTCTGCCAGGTAGACCAAGGGAAGTATTTGGGAGAATCTTGGGGCCACTTGGTGAACTGGCACACAACTCTTCCCAAAGGCGAGCTTAGGATGAATGGACGCTTAGTTGCCAGGCCCACTCCACTCAGATACGCCTCTTAGAAGCGGGAATAATCCTCCCAGCGCAGGGAGACACCATTGATGGAGTTCCTCCTCCAGGGTCACATAGGCCCAGGGGACCCAAACTCACAGTCCCAAGGGCTCTACCCACTGGGATGTGTGGTACCCCTGCTTAACCTTCAGGAACACCCCTGAGACCTGTAGGGATTACTGTCCCCACTTACAGATGTGGAAACTGAGGCTCTGAGAGGGGCAACCACTGGCCTTCGGTCACCGAGCTAAAAATCCGAGAGCGACACGTCAAACCCTGTCTGTCTCAAACCTCTTCCCAGTGGACTCTTCTTAAGAGGCTGAAGCCAGCAGGAAATTAGATTTCTGGGGCAGGTGCTTTTCCCTTCTCAAATCAAAACAGAATCTAATCAGCAATGTTTTTCAGTCTCATCTTCCACAGAAGGGTCTAAATATATCAACACAAAAGCATTTCAGAATTCACAGCAAAGTAATAATGCCATGTTGCTGTTATCCTCACAGCAGCCTGTTTGGGGTATAACCTTTTTCAGATGAAATAGCACATTTCTCTGGGGAGGGCCCCCGGCCAAGCAGGAGGAGCCCCGTCTCTGAAGCCAGCGACCCGGGTTTGAGTTCTTACTCCACTCACGACCTTGGGCTAGTGGCTTAATCTCTTTCAGTGGTGATGGCCTCACTGTGAAATGGATGTTAGAGAAAGTGGATGTCATACATATTATATGCAGCCTGCTAGGATTATTGTTTTATGACCCATGAAGTAAGGGCTGGCGTGGCCACATTATTGATGATAAAGGTGAGGGACAAAGAGAGGTTAGAGACATTCCTGGGGTCACGTCGCTGTTGTCTATGGTTGGAGTTAGTGTCCTGTCCCCAAATGGATACATTTTCCACTTTCCTTGCAGGAAAAGGCAAAGAGGTTATGCAAGGATTTGGGGCATTTTTGTGGGTACCCAGCTTGGCTTGTGTGGTGTTGCCACAACTTCCCCAAAGTGAACATGAAGTAGCCAGTGCTTGCTTTTCTGAGTCAAGGACCCATTCATCTCCATTTATGAGGCAGAGTATTCTATTAATTGAATGTTTTCAATCATTGTTTTTTTTTTTTTCCCCAGTGTAAAAGCTTTATATGCTCACTTGGGGGAGAAAAAAAGATAGTCAAGTATAAAAAGGAATTAAAAACGGAGCAGTAATCCTGCCACTTGGAGATAACGGTTTCTAGTTTTTCACACTTGTATGTATGTATTTTTAAACATAGTTGAGCTCACTGTAAATACACAATGTTATATCCCGCATTTTTCATTCAGCATCTTCTACATTGTCAGAAACTTCCGAAACATGCTGCCATTAAAAATCATAACACCTCATGGTACCAACATATAAAAATATATTTATTCAATCCACTGTAGTTGGACACTTAGGCGCAACTGCTGTCACTCTGTGGGTGACCCATTTTTAGCTTTTCAGATTATTACCTTTGGGCCGGTTGCTAGCGACACAACTTCTCTCTCAACTTTATTTATTTATATTTATTTATTTATTTTGAGACAGAGTCTCTCTCTGTTGTAGAGGCTGGAGTGCAGTGGCGCGATCTCAGCTCACTGCAACCTCCGCCTCCCAGGTTCAAGCAATTCTCCTGCCTCAGCCTCCGGAGTAGCTGGGATTACAGGCGCACGTCACCACGCTCGGCTAATACTTGTATTTTCAGTAGAGACAAGGTTTTGCCATGTTGGCCAGGCTGGTCTCGAACTCCTGCCCTCAGGTGATCTGCCTGCCTCGGCCTCCCAAAGTGCTGGGATTGCAGGCATGAGCCACCACATCCAGCCTGTGCTCTCAATTTTAGACTTTTTAAAACAGACCCTTCATCCCAAATCTTTTCTCTTGATGGACAGCTAAAAAATAAGCTATTTGATTTTTCAAGATTTTGAAGTCCATTCGTTTTAGGAAGTCCCAAGTGATCAACACCAATAACTAATAAATGAACACTTCCATTTTTCAGCCAAACTTGACACATTTGTTACTTTATTACTTGCCACATTTATTTATTTTTTATTATTGGACCTGCTGGCCAATGTTGAATTTAACCAGAGCAAAATTCTACCTGTACCTCACCTGAAAGGGTTTTTCTTTTTCTTTTTTTTTTTTCTTTTTTTTGAGACAAGGTCTCACTCTGTTGGCCAGGCTGGAGTGCAGTGGCGCAATCTGGGCTTACTAGCAGCCTTGACCTGTGATTCTCTCACCTCAGCCTCCCAAATAGCTGGAACTACAGGCATGTGCCACCATGCCTGGCTAATTTTTTGTATTTTTAGTAGAGATGGGGTTTTGCCATGTTGCCCAGGCTGGTCTCGAACTCCTGGCCTCAAGTGATCCTCCTGCCTCAGCCTCCCAAAGGGCTGGGATTACAGCCACCGTGCCTAACCTGTTCTTTTTCTTTATCCCATATTTTAGGCACAGATTACTTGCAGTCTACTAAAGTGAGTCACTCTGAACCAAGCACAGAATTCAAAGGAAGCTGGCTCTAACTTGGAGCCCCAGCTCTGTCTCTCCTGCGCTGTGAGACCTGAAAGCAACTCACTTCCACAGCTTTCTTTGTAAAATGGGGTTAATATTATTAGCCCACCTCTCAGAGCTGTTGCAAAGGCTCAGTGGGACAGTATGAGGGAAAGCATTTTGGATAATGCTTAGAAAATGGATTTGGTTATTAGGTTATTACAAGGATTATTACAGAAACTCACTATGAGTGACATGATATAATAATATACATCTAAATATGCTAGCTTTTGCTCTGAAGCCTCTTGCTCTGCCAAAGCCAGCTGCCTGATCTTCCCACACCTGAACATACACCATTTTCAGCGGCAGGAAGGGATATAGCTGAAGTTACACCTGCAGCCTGAACTGAGGAGCAGATGGCCATGTCTACCAAAACCTTTGAAATTCATTCAATTACTTCTAAAAATCTTTTTTTGTTGTTGTTAAGAAAAAAAGAAAGGTGAGATATTAAATTCTTAGTTATAGTTTTCTCATTTTTTTCCCACCTTGCACAGGGCTCTCTTCTCTTCTCTTTTTTTTTTTTTTTTTTGAGACAGAGTCTTGCTTGTTGTCCAGGCTGTAGTGCAGTGGCACAATCTCAGCTCACTGCAACCTCCACCTCCTGGGTTCAAGCAATTCTCCCACCTCAGCCTCCCCAGTAGCTGGGATTACAGGCGTGCGCCACCATGCGTGACTAATTTTTGTATTTTTAGTAGAGATGGAGTTTTACCATGTTGGCCAGCCTGGCCTCAAACTCCCGACCTCAGGTGATCCACCTGCCTCGGCCTTCCAAAGTGCTGGGATTGCAGGCATGAGCCACTGTGCCCAGCCTTTTTTTTTTTTTTTTTTTTGAGGCAGGGTCTTGCTCTGTTGCCCAGGCTGGAGTGCAGTGGCGTGATCATGGCTCACTGCAGCCTTGAATTCCTGGGCTCAAGCGATCCTCTCACATTGGCCTCCCAGAGTGCTGGGATTACAGATATGAGCCGTCATGCCTGGCCAAAGCTGTCTTTCCAGGGTGATTTCAGGGACAAGCCCGCTCAATACTTTAAAAAGACATGTCTGTTTACCTGGAGTTGTTATCAACTCTGTTTGCCTATTATATAGCCTTGAGGTTTGAGAGTCTGAGAAGTCACACCTGGGACCTCAATCAGCCTCCTCATTTTAGAGATGGGAGACTGAGGCCCAGAGACTGCCCAGCAACACACAGTGGGATATTTGACTTCTCAGGGTTACCATCTTTCTCCCATGCTGTGGGGAGCTGGGTGTTCCTTCTGGGAAGCGATGAAAGTTGGAAAGTACTTGTAAATATTAGCCTTTGATTCTTGCTAAGATGTGAGGAGTGCCCTCCCCTACAACGGATCATATTTTAAGCTGTTACCAGTCATTTAAAGTCAGGCATCTGGGTGGGGTAGCAGACAAGGCTCAGGCAGAGACAAGAGGACACAAGGACTTGAGAATTTTGCTCTGGACTGACCCCATTGCCTCAGCCAGAAGGCCACCTCATGGAAACTTTACTGGAAGAAACTTCCCCAAACTGACTTTGGGGAACTTTCGGAGGCAGGGTTCCTCGCAGGCTGGGCTGTCACAGTCGACTTGCTCTCAAAGGCTTACTCCAGGGAGCCTGGTGCCCCTGCCAGCGCTCCCAGGTGGCTGGGTTTCTGGGCTGCAGAGGGGTGGGATCCCTGCCAGACCCTTGCCCAGACCACTCCCATTGCTGCTTCGTGCAGCCCAGGTTGCTGGGTTCTGCCTTCCCTTCCGACCTGACTCTGAAAACCTGGCTTCACCTGGCTCCCCACCCTTTCTGCTCCCGGCTTGTCTCGTGGGCCCCAGGCAGCAGGCCCCATCCTCACCTGCAGAACTTGTTCTTGCTGTAAGCCTAGGTGAGCCAAGCACTCACTTCTGTAACCAAATATGTGTCCCGGATTAGGGCTTTGTTCCCTTGGCTGTGGAAACCCTGGGAACTCCTGGCTGGATAGCGCTGCTCTTTTTCCCTTACTCTAGCTCTCTCGCTCTTTCTGTTTCTCTGGCTCTCTCATTTCTTTGTCTCATTCTCCACCTCTCTCTTTTGAGGGCACCCCCTCCTTCTCATTCTCTTTCTGCCTCCCACGACAATAAGTAGGAAATTAAGCCCACCAGCGAGCTGAGCATCTGCAGTGATTCTGCATCTTCCAGGCATCAGCGCTGCCTCTTAGCGGATGGCCATTTCACAGTCCCCTCTCCTGAGATGGACTGGGCTGCCTGCCACCAATCCTCCTACCCTCCAAGCTGCTTAGGCCAGTCTCCCATGCTTGACGGGACCTCATTTCCAAAAGAAACGTAAGAAACCAGTCACATCTCCCCATGCTGTGACCTCATCTCACGGATCCCCTCCACAGTCCCATGAAGGAGGCTGGGCAGGTGCGACAGGGATGCAAAGAAGAGACTCAGCCGAGGCCAGCGGCCATTGGAAGCAGATCGGTGCCCTGACTCACGGCCCAGCCCTTTCCATTGCACCCAGGAATTGGCCACCCTGCCCTGGAGAGGCCTCCTGATCCTGGCCTAGTACCTCTAGGTGACTTCTCCTGCCCCAGGGTGAGGCATCTGGATTCGTTCTGCCTTTAGAGACAAGGCTTATCCAGAAACCATGAGGCCCGTAGCCGATAGTACAAGTCAAGCAAAGAACAAGACAAAGGTTAAAAACTCCATTTTCAAACTCCATTTGCCATTCTTGCCTGGAACTATGAATTTTTAATTCAATTCTGGCTTAATTTTAATTTAATTTTGCAGTGAACACCATCTGTTTAGATTCAGCACTTTGCATCAAACAGTGAGGGTCAGCTCCACTTCCTGTGGTAGGTCTGCGGCTGCCAGTCCTGGAGACGTGGGTTGCCTCACTGTTCTCTCTCCTCTCTCCTTGCCTTCATGCCCCGACTTCCTGGGTTTCTTCTGGAGCTAACGCTAATACCTACTCTTAGGAATGTTGTGAAGATAGGCTGGGTGCAGTGGTTCACGCCTGTAATCCCAGCACTTTGGGAAGCTGAGGCGGGCAGATCACCTGAGGTCGGGAGTTTGAGACCAGCCTGGCCAACATGGTGAAACCCTGTCTCTACTAAAAATACAAAAATTAGCCCGGCGTGGTGGCGGACACCTGTAATCCCAGCTACTCGGGACGCTGAGGCAGGAGAATTGCTTGAACTCGGGAGACAGAGGTTGCAGTGAACAGAGACCTCTCCACTGCACTCCAGCCTGGGCGACACAGTGAGACTCTGTCTCAAAAAAAAAAAATTTAAAAAAAATTCAAAAAAAGGAATGTTATGGGCCGGGCGCTGTGGCTCACGCCTATAATTCCAGCATTTTGGGAGGCCAAGGCGGGTGGATCACGAGGTCAGGAGATTGATTGAGACCATCCTGGCTAACACGGTGAAACCCCATCTCTACTAAAAATACAAAAAATTAGCCAGGTGTGGTGGCATGTGCCTGTAGTCCCAGCTACTTGGGAGGCTGAGGCAGGAGAATCTCTTGAACCCGGGAGGCCAAGGTTGCAATGAGCCGAGATGGCGGCACTGCACTCCAGCCTGGGTGAGAAAGCAAGACTCCGTCTCAAAAAAAAAAAAAAAAAAAAAATAATGTTGTGAAGATAGAATTGCACTATCAAAATAGAATTAATATGATCCCAGGCCCTTAGCACTCAAGTATTTATTTGCTGCCATTGTTCTTTTTTCCCTTTCCTATCCCTCTGTTTCTTTCATCTTCCCCTTCTGTTCCTTTCTTCTCTCCCTTCTCTCCGCAGATGGCTTTGCTCCTTGCTCTTAGCTGTCTCCTTGTCGCCCACACCATGACATTTCCCTGTACATTTAAGGTGAGGTTTTCCTGCATCCCAAGCCTAGTGGCTGCATCCTTTGGCTCCCTGGAGCCAGCACCAGGCACAGGGGTACCTCTTTTCTTTTCTTTTCTTTCTTTTTTTTTTTTTTTTCAAGACAGCGTCTCACTCTGTCACCCAGGCTGGAGTGCAGTGGCGTGATCTCTGCTCATTGCAGCCTCCAGCTCCCAGTTTCAAGTGATTCTCTCACCTCAGCCTCCCCAGTAGCTGGGATTACAGGCATGAGCCACCATGCCTGGCTAATTTTTATATTTTTAGTAGAGACAGGGTTTCACCATGTTGGCCAGGCTGGTCTCAAACTCCCAACCTCAGGTGATCCGCCCACCTCACCCTCCCAAGGTGCTGGGATTACAGTCATGAGCCACTGCGCCTGGCCTCTTTTTTACTTTTTTGAGATAGGGTCTTGCTCTGTTGCCCAGGCTGGAGTGCAGGGGCACAATCATGGCTTACTGCAGCCTCGACCTTCCGGGCTCAAGCAATCCTCCCACCTCAGCCTCCCAAGTAGCTGGGACTACAGGTGCATGCCACCATGCCTAGCTAATTTAATTTAATTTTTTTTAAGAGATGGGGTCTGACTGTGTTGCCCAGGCTGGTCTTGAACTCCTGGGCTCAAGCCATCCTCCTGCCTCAGCCTCCCAAAGTGTTGAGATTATAGGCATGAGCCACCATGCCTGGCTGATGGGTACCTCTTAAACCAAGGTCTCATCCAGGTGCAGTCCAGCACTTTGGGAGGCTGAGGCGGGTGGATCACGATGTTAGGAGTTCGAGATCAGCCTGACCAACATGGTGAAACCCTGTCTCTACTAAAAATACAAAAATTAGCCGGGCGTGGTAGCACATGCCTGTAATCTCAGCTACTCAGGAGACTGAGGCAGGAGAATCGCTTGAACCCGGGAGGCAGAGGTTGCAGTGAGCCGAGATCGTGCCATTGCACTCCAGCCTGGGTAACAGAGGGAGACTCCATCTCAAACAAAACAAAACAAAACAAAACAAAACACTGTCTCACGGCCTCCTTGTGCCCTGTGAGCTGAGCCATGATAATGGGGACATGAGAAGCCTAAAGGAGGAAGGATGAAACAAATTAGGGGCAGCAGGACACATACGTCAGTGTCCCTAGGCAAGGCAGTCCCTGCTTCAAGTCCTTGGGACCCCTCTGAGTACCAGAGACCAAGGTAAAGTGTGTGAGATAACTGATTACTCTGAAAAAGCACTTTATAAACATTTGAGTACAGTGTACATGTTAGCATCATACCAGGCTGTCTCTCTCTGCACCAGGCCCTCACAGCCTGAAGTTTTAATTCATGGTCTGAAACTTTCATTGCTCACTTTTTCAGAAGAGATTCTTGAGGGATTTGAGCGGGCGGCATCCCTCCCACTGCCTGACCCAGCTGCTTCAGTGTCTGAGCCTCCTGGGCCTCCACGGAAGTGTCTCTAAGCCCCAAGATCCTTTGCTCAGTTTTGTTTTGTTTTGTTTTGTTTTGTTTTGTTTTCCGAGACGGAGTCTTGCTCTGTCGCCCAGGCTGGAGTGCAGTGGCGCAATCTCAGCTCACTGCAACCTCCGCCTCCCGGGTTCAAGCGATTCTCCTGCCTCAGCCTCCCGAGTAGCTGGGATTACAGGCGCCTGTCACCACTCCTGGCTAATTTTTGTGTTTTTTAGTAGAGATGGGGTTTCTCTATGTTGGCCAGGCTGGTCTTGAACTCCTGACCTCAGGTGATCCTCCCACTTCAGCCTTTTAAACTGTTGGGACTACAGGCATGAGCCGCCGTGCCCGGCCCCTTTTCTCAGTTTTGGAACCCAGTTTTTTTTTTTCCACAGAAAGTGCTTGTGTTCCTCCATCTCTGGTGCAGCAATTCCCAGTCATTTCCTGCCCAGTAAATACCTAACCATGGCCACGTGGCTTCTCAGTACCCTTCCCTCAACTGACCCACTTCAGATCCCCGAGTGCCAGGGTGGGACTCCCTCAGGGCTCTGACCCGGCACCAGGGGCACCCCTCAGGCTGTTGGTGGGGCCGTTGCAGGTCAGAGTCTGAGTCTCCTCATCTTCCCTGACAGCTTCCCCTCTTCCTGGCAAGCCTTGCTCCCTCCACCCTGCCCTTCCCAAAGGGTAAATCTAATCATGTCACTCCAGTCCTCAAGAGGAAGTCCAGGCTCTTAACCTGGCTTTCTGTGCCCCTTAGGATCTAGGCCCTCCTCTCCTCTCCACTTCCATTCCTTCTTATCTGGCCAGCTCCTACTTATTCTGACTGACCCAGGCCAGACATCACCCGTTCCAGGAAGCCCTCCCTGATTGAACCCCTGCCCACCCCAGTCTGTTTCTTTATCTGCCTCCCTGCTGGGCTGTGTATTTCCAGCATGGCCCTGAGTTGGTGCTCAGCTGTTAGCACATGACACGGTGTCACTGAACACGTTACCCCACCTTCAGGAGACCCTTCCTGTCTTGTGGGTGTGGGTTTTGCAGGAAGCATCTCTTGGAACAGAGGAGAACCCCAAGCTGCCTTGGGTGTGAGAGGCCTGGGCTGTCGGCCCCCATTGCTGCTGGCTGGTGTGTCCCTCCTCGGGCAGGGAGGGCCCTGCCACACCCTGCACTTCCTCTCATTGTGCCTCCCTTCCTGTTTAGCTAGACTGTTAGGCTGGAGGGATTTTTCCTCCCTTTCAGGACCTGAATGGAGCTATTTCTCCTTGCATCTCTGCCAACATCTCCCAGGATCCACCTCTGATCCACTGGTGGGCTCGGGCATCAACAGCTTTGGGTTCCAATCCCAGCTGTCCCCATTCAGCTGGGTGGTGAGAAGCCAGGGTCTCACCTCTCTGGACCTCAGTTTCCTCACTTGTAAAAAGAAAAATAACAAGGTGGCTCGCGTGTTTTTGCGTGGGATTATGAGGGTTTAATGAGCTAAGGATGTCTGTGCTTCTGGGAAGTGTGAGCCATGGCTGTGTCACCCTTGTCCCTGACCCCGCTGATGTGGGGGCTCTGCAGAGAGCCCAGCTGGGTACTCACTGGATGCCTGCAAGTCCAAACATCCTGTTCTTTTTTGAACTCCTCACTGGAGAAACAGGGAAAAGCTGTAGTTTTTTCCTTCCACTCATATCGAGTGACACAAAAAAACAAGCCTGTCGGGGCCGAGCTGCTTGACTCTCTGATGTTTGGGAGCAGATCCGAGCAGCTGAGCAGGGTGGCTGTTCCTTTCCTGGATTAGGGCTGAATCTGTGGGAACCAGACCACCCCTGAGACAGGAGGCAGCCCTGATGCCTCTCCAGGGCCTGGGCCTGCAGCGGAACCCCTTCCTCCAAGGGAAGCGGGGCCCGGGGCTCACGTCTTCCCCGCCCCTCCTGCCTCCTTCCCTGCAGGTGAACTTCCACAGCCCCCGGAGTGGCCAGAGGTGCTGGGCTGCACGGACCCAGGTGGAGAAGCGGCTGGTGGTGTTGGTGGTACTTCTGGCGGCAGGACTGGTGGCCTGCTTGGCAGCACTGGGCATCCAGTACCAGACAAGTAGGTGCCTTCGTGTTGCATGGTGGGCTTGACTCACTCCTGCACCCGGCTCCGTCAGCTCGGGCGAGGGGGGCTTCCCTGCTTAAGCCGGGGCAGGGCTCTGAGGCTAAGGAGGGAGCCAGGCCCAGGGGGGTCTGGGTGCTGAGATAGACCAAGACCCGGGAAGTGGGCAGCGTGGGTGATATAAAGGTCTCGCACTTGAGTCCACATCCTGTCCCAGCAACTTACTGGCTGTGTGACCTCGGACAAGTCACTTATTCCCTCAGCCTGTGTCTTCTCTAATTTAAATGGGAAAACAGTACCCAACTGGGGGATGGGTCTGCGGACTAGAGATAACATATGTCCCATAGCTGGTGCCTCGTAGGACTTCTTCAACTTTAGCTCTGGGTACTGTTGTTGCTAGAATGTGGGGTAATTACACACATAGGCTGACATTGTCTGCTATCTCTAGTTCCAATAAAATAACAATAATGCCCTCTGTTTACTGAATTATTTCCTCGGACCAAATACCCAAATACCACACCCCTCGCTTCAGATGCAATCTCATTTCCTCCTGGAGGCAGCCCTGTGAAGTGTGGTTACTTTTGGCCCCTTTTCCATATTAGGAAACTGAGGCACTGAGATAGAGTGACTTGCTAATCCAATGCGGAAGTTGGAATTCACCCACAGGCTACTGGGCTCAAGCCCAGGCTCCACCTCCCTTTGTAATCCAAGTACGCTCCAGAGCGCATTACACCCCCAGGAGAGCTGCCCTTCCAGATCCAGCTGCCCATCGTGTTCCTTGATCGGTGCCTTTGTCCCACTTTGAATGGTGATACAATTGGGCCACTCTGATCCTGCTGTAGGGGTCTGAGACTGGTTCTCTGTTTCCAACTAAGTGGATCTAGCCAGCTGCCTCACACAGAGTTGATGCTCAGTAAACACTTAAGAAGTGCGAAGGGGTGGATCCAAGTTAGAAATAAGAATGGGGAATTAGCCAAAGCCAGGGCCTCTCAGTCCCCTGTGCCCCAACATCTATTCTTCTGATGGCAGATGGTTCACCTAGTTGAGCAGCCTCTGGGGGCTCTGCTCAGCATCCCACCCACTGACTCGGTCGCTCACCCCATGAGAGAGATTAGGAGCTTTCACAGGATCTTGGAACATCCACTACAGGCTGTGTGGAGCCTTCCCTCTGTGAAGTTGCTGGTCTGTGAGGGTGGCCACGCTGCGCTGGGGTGGGGAGGGGACTCAGGGGCCTAGAAAAGAGCAGGGCCTTCATCTGAGCATTCTTCCATCCCTCCTGGGTAAGGCACACAGGTATTCATTCATTCCACAAAGATAGGTTGTACTTAAGAAATAATTGCTTGATTAGTTAACTATAATGGTTTGTAGGTGTTTTACCAAATGTGCCTGGCTCAGCAGGTGCTTAATGCATATTTGACTAATTAATGACTAGTTTTCAGGCCCTTAACCAGATGTGCTTAGCATAGTGCCTGTGCCATAGGTGTGCAGATAGTAAAATGAATAAATTAATGTTTGAATGAACGAAGGGGTAGGAAGGAAGATCAGGCTGGGAACAGCCTTTCTCTGCTGAGTGTATGTATATTGTGTGATCGTGTCCTGGTGTGTGTGTGTGTGTGTTTGTGCCTCCTCTGCTAACAGGACACAAGCTCGTCATCCTCTCCTGCCACTGCCATGTCGCCTCAGCCTAAATCAGCTCTAGTTCTGAACCCCCTCCTGGTCAGTGTGGACCCTGGCCAGCACGTCTGCACAGCTCTTGGCTCAGAGCAGCGGGAGCTGGCCAGACTCCGGCAGCCAGTGTTACCCTGAGACTGCCCCTCGGAGCTCCAAAGATATGTCTTCACCAGAAACCAGGGGGGAGTCCCCACGGGCCAGCTCCTGATGATCAGACCCAAAACATTTCTGTTGTTATTGCCCAGTGGGGCCCCTTGGGAGGAATCCTGCTTCTGCCTCTGTTGTGTCCCTCTCTGGGTCTCAGAAGGGTTTTCTCCAGCCTGGACCTGGGAGAGGAACATTCTTCCCCTGGAGTGGAGCTGGGCAGAGTATCAGGTGACCCCTGAGCCACCTGGGAAAGCAGTGACCACCCCAGATATTAACAGTAACCTCATTACCCAGGAGCAGGTGCTGGTGCTGGCCACATCTGAGCAAACATCAGGCCAGTCAAAGCAAATCTGGCCGGGCGCAGTAGCTTACGCCTGTAATCCCAGCACTTTGGGAGGCCGAGATGGACAG
The DNA here is from genome assembly GCF_000001405.40 of Homo sapiens. Lineage (NCBI taxonomy): Eukaryota > Metazoa > Chordata > Mammalia > Primates > Hominidae > Homo > Homo sapiens. The sequence goes on along the minus strand of NC_000001.11, from coordinate 21,276,958 downwards.
ATCACCTGAGGTCAAGATGTTCGAGACCAGCCTGACCAACATGGTGAAACCCCGTCTCTACTAAAAATACAAAAATTAGCCAGGGATGGTGGCGCACAACTGTAGTCCCAGCTACTCAGGTGGCTGTGATGGTGCACACCGGCTACTCGAGAGGTTGAGGCAGGAGAATCACTTGAACCTGGGAGGCAGAGGTTGCAGTGAGCCAAGATGGCACCACTGCACTCCAGCCTGGGCGACAGAGCGAGACTCCGTCTCAAAAAAAAAAAAAAAAAAAGAAAGCAAATCTGATGATTCTGAAGGCCAGCCTCTGGGAATGTCTGGACACATAGTACGTGTTTACTTACCTTCCTGCTATGCTTCCTTTCCAGAAACATGCTGGTGCTTTGCAAACAGAGGCAGCAAAACAAACAATACATTCTCCAAGAACATATTTTAAAGAAAGCATTCTACACAGTTTTGAGGCCAGGCTGTCCAGATGAGTGTCTGTAAATTAAATCTAGGATCTGTTTCTGCTTTCTCAATTGATCACGCATGTCCCAACGGAAAGAAATGTTTGCTGCCTCTGCAGGTGGTGAACAAGTGCTGAATAAGGCCTTTCATTCATTCGGTTGTTCATTCAAAAACACGTATTGAGGCCGGGCGCAGTGGCTCACGCCTATAATCCTAGCCCTTTGGGAGGCCGAGGCGGGTGGATCACCTGAGGTCAAGAGTTCAAGACCAGCCTGGCCAACATGGTGAAACCTCGTGTCTACTAAAAATACAAAAATTAGCCAGGCGTGGTGTTGGATGCCTGTAATCCTAGCTACTCAGGAGGCTGAGGCAGGAGAATTGCTTGAATCCAGGAGGCAGAGGTTGCAGCGAGTCGAGATTATGCCACTGCACTGGGTGACAGAGCAAAAACTCTGTCTCAAAAAAAAAAAAAAAAAAAAAAAGCACGTATTAAACAGCTGCTAGTTGCCAAACACAGTACTAGACAATGGAAATATAAAAACGCATAGGATATTGGCCTGCCCTGAAGTTCACATTCTAGTAGGAGAAATGAACAAGGAGATGGTCGTGACATAGCACAGTAGCAGAGCAGGCACCCAGGCCGCTGAGGGGCCCAGAGAGGGAAGGGGGTCGATGAAGGTTTCCGTAGGAAGAGGGGGCCTTAGATGAGGGGGCCTGGAAACCATGAGGTCATCAAAATGCATGAAGCACTTCCTGGGCCAGGAATATTTCATGAAGTTTCTGCAAACCATTAAATAGTTAAATAATCAAGCCATTGCTCCTTAAGCACCTCGTAGGTCCCTAGCCCAATGTCCAGCAAAGTAGGCACTTAGTGAAGAACTCAAATTTCTGAGACTGCTTTATTTATTTATTTGAGACAGAGTCTCACTCTTGTCGCCCAGGCTGGAATGCAGTGGCGCGATCTTGGCTCACTGCAATCTCCGCCTCCCGGGTTCAAAAGATTCTCCTGCCTCAGCCTCCCAAGTAGCTGGGATTACAGGTGCCCCCCATCATACCTGGCTAATTTTTGTATTTTTAGTAGAGACAGAGTTTCACCATGTTGGCCAGGCTGGTCTCGAACTCCTGACCTCAGGTGATCCGCCCACCTCGGCCTCCCAGAGTGCTGGGATTACAGGCATGAGCCACCGAGCCCGGCCTCTGAGACTGACTTCTGGGACTAGTTTCTTGTTTTGTTTTTAAACCCAAGTCCCTGTGTGATAACAGCAAAAACCTTTATCAGTTAATTAATCAGTCTGTCTCTCTCTCACACACAGACACATACACACAGATTCTGATGCGTCTTCCCGCGTTAGGCTCACTCTCAGCCTGTCTCCTGGGCATCTCCACCAGCCAAGATGTTGTAAAATTTTCCTTCCTGTGGTTCGATGTGTGAAAACAATAGGTATTCTTTTCCTTCTCTAAGTATGGAGTTATATCGTAATACTCAACAGGCTCTTTCAACCTACATGGAAATTCTTTCCCTGCCCCATAAAGATTCTGGTGCCTTCCCCGAGTTTGGGAGTGGAGCATGCAACTGTGATTAAGATGATTTGATTTAGAGATATTTAAAATGGCACCATCACCCCCACCATTTCCTTTCTCTGTTTTCATGTGTAATGGCTCCATAATTTTTTTATGGCACACCTCTCGGCTGTGAACAATAATTTTTAATTGTTGTGTGATTATCTCAAAGTCAGATCACCCTGATTTTCCTGCTGTTGTGCAGCTGCTCTGAGCCCTTTGTCAGCCACCCATCTGAAGGACTATGTGTTTGTCATCAAATGTTACTAATTCCACAAATGAACCTCTGCCCACTGGCCTTATGTTCCTGAGTGAGGGGAACACTGCCCATACTAGCTCGTGCGTTCTTTGCTGCTCTCTAAAGACTGGCCTGAAACTTCAGACCCTGAGACTTGAGGAAGCTGAGCCCCCGTGCCCAGCCATGGCCATCATCACTGTGAAATCTGTGAAATTGGTCCTACCTTTCTTCCTAACTTTTAGATGGATAAACTGAGGCATGGAGCGATGAGGTCACTTGCCCAAAGCCCCACTGGCAAACGTAGAAAGCTGGATTTGAACCCAGGTCTAGTGGCCTCCAAAGCCCACCCTGCCTCACTGCCTCCCTGTGTGGTGGGGAAACGGATCTCAGCAGTCAGGCTGCACCAGCCCCTCGTGTGACTGGCAGAGAGGTGGGGAAGGAAAGCAGAAAAACACAGCCTTGGCATGGCTGGACCAAGACAGGCCTGGGCCCAGCTCTCAGCTCTCCGCCCTCCCACATAGCTGGGCGACCTTGTTCCGTTCACTCCCTCAGTTTCCTCTTTAACTAGGGACATGATGCCTGCATCTGATGACTTGTAATGAGTTAAATGAGATCCTGAATGTGTGCAAAGTGCCCAGTACACGGCCACGTTCAGTAAAGTCCCTTTGGTCATCAGCACAGCCTGGGTAAACGGACGATGGGGCTGGGCCTGTGATTCTCGATCCTGCACAGTCAGCTTCATGTTGCTGCCTCAGGCCAGGCCTCTGCGTAGGCCACCCAGGCTTTGGGTCCTTTGGGAGAGCTCAGCCGCCAACCTTGAGGCAGGGCTCTGGCCCTTTCCTCTTGCCTCTGGCAAACCAGTCTCCTCGCTCTTATCCCCCAGGATTGAGTGCAATGGCTCGATCTTGGCTCACTGTAACCTCCATCTCCCGGGTTCAAACGATTCTTCTGCCTCTGCCTCCCAAGTAGCTGTGATTAAGTCGGCCTCCCAAAGTGCTGGGATTACAGGCGTGAGCCACGGCACCTGGCGTAGCCTTTGGGTTTTTGAGGATTCCCTGAGGTCACTCACTCTCCTGCTTGTACGTAGGAGTGATTTTTCCTATTTCCTCCTTCTATTTCTAATAGGCTTTCCTCCTTCCTATGTCCTGTCATCCATACTGTCTACATCACCCTTTTGGCACATAGTAAATGTTCAGTTTATTTTTGTAGAAAGGAGGACAGACATTTCTCCTACTGTTCCATTTTGATTTATGTGTATATCCCCAACTGAATTGTTAGCTCTTGGATTAAAGGACTCTGCCTTTTTATGCCCAATACCCCAGTACCCTACACACACACACACACACACACACACACACACACACGCACACACGCACGGGCACACACTTTCACGCAGGTGCACACATGCACACACACGCACTCCATACTCAGCAGAGAACCTGGAAGGTAGTCATTATCTTGCTGAATAAATGAATGCATGCGTGAATGAATAAATTTGTTGAGCATCAAGGAATAATAAAGAGTCAATGAATATTTATGGAGGAGAAGGTTGATTAAGAGAAACACCTGGGTTCTGGGTACCTTTTAGCCACAGGAAGGATTTTAGACAGCTGAGTAGAAGTCTTGTGTTATAAGCGGAAATCATTTCTCTGTAGGGGTCTAGTGACCGTCCAGTTCCAAATCTGTGTGGTCAGGGCCAGGGTGGGACATGTGGCCCCTGGGCCCCAAGCCCCCTTCTCTGCCCTCCCTGCTTCTTCCCTGCCTGCCCTTCACTGGCCTCTTGTCCTTAACCCTTCCAGGATCCCCCTCTGTGTGCCTGAGCGAAGCTTGTGTCTCAGTGACCAGCTCCATCTTGAGCTCCATGGACCCCACAGTGGACCCCTGCCATGACTTCTTCAGCTACGCCTGTGGGGGCTGGATCAAGGCCAACCCAGTCCCTGATGGCCACTCACGCTGGGGGACCTTCAGCAACCTCTGGGAACACAACCAAGCAATCATCAAGCACCTCCTCGGTAAGCATCCAGCATGGAGACCAATAAATGGGCCACAGCGGGGAGCTGTCAGCTGGCCCAGCCAGCTTCCCAGCTGCGCCTGCTTAAAGGAGGAGCTTGGCAGAATGGGCCGGGCACGGTGGCTCACACCTGTAATCCCAGCACTTTGAGAGGTCAAGGTGGGTGGATCACTTGAGGCCAGGAGTTCAAGACCAGCCTGGCCAACATGGCAAAACCCTGTCTCTACTAAAAATACAAAAATTAGCTAGGCATGGTGGCGTGCGCCTGTAGTCCCAACTACTCGGGAGGCTGAGGCAGGAGAATCGCTTGAAACTGGGAGGCAGAGGTTGCAGTGAGCCGAGATCGCGCCACTGCACTCCAGCCTGGGCAACAGAGTGAGACTCTTGTCTAAAAAACAAGAAAAGAGGAGCCTGGCAGAATGGAAGACCATAGACTTGGGAGTAGGTGAAGCTGGGTTAGAATGTCTGCCCTCACTCATTGTATGATCCTGAGTAAGTCACATATCTCTGAACCTCAGTTTCTTCATCTGTAAAATGAGACTAATAAGACCCAAGGTACAGAGTTTTGAGAACTAGAGAGCACATGTGTAAAGCATTAGCATGGTGTGTGTGGCATGTAGGGTGTACACAAGAACTGGTGGCTGTGGTCGTTACTTTTGTGGCTTCAAGCTTGGCGTAGCTTTTGACTAGTATTGACTGTGAGTTTTGAAAGTTATGAGCAAAAGGGATCGAGACTGAACACACTAGATCAGATTCTAAGGTTGTGATCCAATGAAAGTTCTAACAACAGCTTATCAGAGGATTAGTTATTCAGTGTAGGCGGGAATCATCCTTAGCCTCACGGTGATCGGGCTTGCACGATAAGCCCTCTGGTCAGAGTTCTCTTTGCACTTCACTAGGCCTTGGGCACCTCTAGTTCACCCCTGTGTTGATGGTTTTTCCTCAGATTAGAGCTCCACGTTGTCTTGTTTGCAGCTGTATCCTTAGTTAATGTTTGTTGGATTCCCGTCTGCCCACTGGGCTCCTCCCCCAGTGTGAAATCATGACACCTGTGCTGTACCATAAAGCTGCCCACCTTAACCCTCCCACAGCTGGGACCATGGCTGTCTCCCTCTGCTGCTGTCCCCTGCTCCATCCTGGGACCCTAAATGCTGGGAGAGGCTGCATTCTGAAAAGTCAGTCAATTTATCCATCAACAACAGAACCTAGATCCGACAAATACTGATTGTTTTAAAAAACTTTAAGATATTCAAAGGCAGGTACAATAGAAGATACCCAAAAGGGGACAGATCTTCTTAAAGGGACACGAATCTTAAGAGACAGGAAATGATTCTAAATGGACAATTAACAATTTAAGGCAACTGGGTCTTTTAGATTACAGGGAAAGTAGGCAAACCAGGTGAAGGAGACCTTTCCTTTCTTTCCTGCCCCAGCCCCACAGAGCAGAGCCGCCGCTAGGTAAAACACACCCACCCTTTCTCCTGGCCTCCGACAGCTCCTGAAGCAGCAGCAGCAGCTGCCTTCAGCCTAACTTCCTGAGGATGAGCAGGGTGGTGTGTATGGAGGTAGGGTTGAAGCTCAGTATGTCCGAAGCAGCAAAGCCCCAGTCTGAGATGTCCCCCTGCCTGCCTTATGCCACCAAAGTGCCTTTGAAAGGGCATGCAGCTTTTCATTTTAGAACCAGACACTTAAAAGGCAAATATGTCTATCATTGCAAGACTGGAACTCAAGGACGACCCTTCTCCAGTGCCTAACATCACAGCTGGGGGCTTGGCAGGGCCCATAGTCCAGGTAGTATAACAAGGTGGGTCGGTTCCTCTGCTTCAGACTCACCAGGACCTGGGTTCGAATCTGGACTCTGCCACTTACTATGAGGTCTTGGGTCAATTACATCACCTCCCTGGCTTGTTTTCTCATGAGTACAGTGGGAACCATGCCTCCTCTGAATTTTGAAAATTAAATGGGAAATACATTTAAATGTATTTAAACCATGCCTAGGCTTGGCATGTTGTGGTGGCTGCTGTTTGTATTGATGCTACTGTTATTCACCCTTGACCTTTGCACAGCATTTGACAGGTTACAGAGCTGTTTTGTAGACACCATCCCACTTGATCCTGCAGGGTGGAAGCTGGGAAGGTGTTGCTCACTCTGTTGGTAGATGAGGAAAGCGAGATCCGGAGAGGTCCTCATGATAGGCTAGTGAGTGGCAGAGCTGAGACTTGCTTGATGCCTGGTCTTGTGCCCTTTCCTCTGTCCCACACCACCTCCTTCAGGTACAAGGGACAGACATTAGCTCCCTTTCCGCAGTGCCTGCAAGAACCTGCAGGGGGCGCAGAGCCTGAGGGCCTGAAGGAAGGAGAGACACGGATGTCCGCCGTGCGCTGTGCACTGTACCATGCTCTTTAGAGCCACTGCTTCCTTAATCCTCACAACCCCAGACTTCGGAATTGTTGTTCCCATTTTATAGATGCAGCAACTGAGGCTCCCAGAGGTTAAGTGACTTTGTCAAGGATATACCACCAGTCCAAAATGGTGAGGGGCTCACTCTCTGGGGAGCAGTTAGCATTTAGAGGGGATGGGGCAGGACAGTGGACAGGCCCTCTAGCTTCCCAGTGAGGCCCAGAATGGGCTCTTGTGCATTGTGTGGGTTCTGGTCTGACTGGTTCTGGGGCTGGTTCTCACTGGGAGAACCTTAGGTCTGAGCCAAGATTGAGTCCATCCCCACTGTTCCTGACAATCAAGCCGTGGGTGGGGAGCTGCATCCAATGGGCCATGGAACAACCCAAAATCATGCATTCAACCCTGACCCCGAGGCCAAGGTCTGGTGATACCAGGAGGCCAGACCGCAGAGTTCTGAAGTCAAGCAGTCCTGGTGTGCTAGCTGCTTATCACTCGTGTGGCCTTGGACAAGTGACCTGGCTTCTCTCCCACTTAGTTTCATTATCTGTACAGTAGGGATAATGATGCCTCCTAACACATACAGTTACTGTGAGTATTGACTTGCCTGGGATGGTTCAAAGTGCTGAGCACTGGAATACATCGGAATACTAGCCTGGCACCTAGTAGGTGCTCGTCAAAGCACAGCTGCCCTCCTTGGTGGTGGTAGGTGAGTTCCAACCCAGACTTCTTACAAACAAGCTGTATGACTGCAGAGAGGTCACCCAGATTTTTAGGTCCTCGGCTCATCACCTATAAAGTGGGAACTAACTGAAACTCAGCTCATTAGTAGGGATGCTCTAAGGGTTAATTGGGTGGGCAAAGAACAAAGTCATTATTTCTTATTTATTAGAGAAGCGCTGGTATGTGGACCCAGTTGTCAGGAAGGAGGTGCAGAATACAGCTATGACACACTGAGCATCTCACTTGTATTATTTCATTGAATTCTCATAGTAAACTCATGGAGTAGGCTGCATTTGCACATTTTACAGATGAGACTCATGAATATGAAGGAAATGTATTTCCTAGGAAATGGTGAGGCTGGGATTAGACCCAGAGCTGTGGGACCTCAAAGCCTGTATTCTTTCTCTACTCACTCTACTGTCAGATTCAGCAGGGAGAGGCCCTGGGTCGGCACTGCTGGCAGGGAGAGCAGCCGAGAAGTGTGGTTCGCCTGCCTCCTTTCCCCAGCGGCTGCTCCACAGAGTTCTCAGCCCAGGCCAGCCAAGCCCCAGCCCAGGTCCAGTGAACACAGGAGCTGGGGTCACCCCCATGTCATACTGACTAGGGGCTTCCCCGGAAGACATATCCTGGGGTCCTCTCCCTCAAGGCTCAGTCCTCGGAACTAGTCTGGAAATGGCCCCTCACCTGTGGGCTTGATACCTGGGACTTTGATACATGGAAACTCCTGAAGAGGCAGATGGCAGGTGAGTGGGTGACAAAAAAATGCAGGAGTGTGGGCCAGTGCATTCTTGGGCTTAAGGCCAGGCTGGGTTCAGCGTCTCCAAGACAAAGGGGTCAGCCAACAGGCGTCGGAAGGGAGCCAGAGCTGATGGGCACGGGAACAAGCCGGAGGTGCCCAGGCCACTCTGACCTGCTGAGGCGAGGGCTTCCCTCTAGGCGGAGAGGGGAGAAGGGACATTTAGAGTGCCAGTGTGGATTGTGTCAGCCGATCCGGCAAGATAGTTATTACCATCTGCTTGTGTGACCTTGGGCAAGCCATGCATTTCTCTGCCAGGTGAATTCATGCTAGGCTCCTCAGAGGCAATCCAGGCAGTTCTGTAGCAGGTGGGCCGAACTAGGCCAGGTGCCACTGTGGCATGACCTGGCAGTCTGCCAGCTGGGGATGCTGACCTCAGCTGCAGGACACACAGATGCCTCGCACCTCACTCTGCCACTCCCCCAAGTGGCCAGCATGGGCTGTCCTTGTAGGTTTTGGGGAGATGAGAGTGGGTGGCCTCACTTCATCAGAGGAAGGAAGCAGCCAGGCCCTTCAGCCCTTAGACTTGGCCCTGCCTTGGACTTTCCAACTGTGCTTGTAGCTCAGATTATTCTACCAGCTAGAGAGCCTACACCACCCCCTCCAAAGCCTCCGAGACTTTTCTCAAACCTGCTGCCTCCATTGTCTTCTGTGGCTACCAAAGGGCCTCTCTAGGCTTGAGCTACAAGTACACTGTGTGCACCTGTCCTGTTTGCTTTACTGTATTTTATACTGTAAGATGAACGCATACAAAAAAATCAATGCGTGCTCATTGTGACAATTCAAGCAACACAGATTCCATAAAGAAAAAACTAGCAGTCTGCCTTCCAGTCTCCCTGGGAGATAGACATACAATATTCCAATAGCGTTAAACGTGTCCATGTCGGTGATGTGGCAATTAATCATGTCACCCTGTGACATCGCTCGTATTTTTATTTTGACATATTTTCCTAATACCTGCTGTCTAATTGAGTTTCATCTTCCTGCGCATATTGGAAGGAAGCCATCTATGGACAGCATCTGCATCATGAATGCTTTCTATCCAGTATGGTGTCTACAGGAGTGGGTGCTGCCTTCCTGTTTGGGGAATGGTTACGTGGATTGATTGATTCTTAGTCTGTTTGTGCTATTGTAACAAAATACCACAGACTGGATGATATGGTTTGGCTGTGTCCCCACCCAAATCTCATCCTGAATTGTAGCTCCCTCAATTCCCACATTTTGTGGCAAGGACCCAGTGGGAGGTCATTGAATCACGGGGGCGGCTCTTTCCCGTGCTGTTCTTGTGATAGTGAATAAGTCTCACAAGATCTTATGGTTTTAAAAATGGGAGTTCTCCTGCACAGCCTCTCTCTCTCTTTGCCTGTTGCCACCCATGTAAGACGTGACTTGCTCCTCCTTGCCTTCCACCACGATGGTGAGGCCTCCCCAGCCACGTGGAACTGGAAGTCCATTAAACCTCTTTCTTTTGTAAATTGCCCAGTCTTGGGTATGTCTGTATCAACAGTGGGAAAACAGACTAATACACTGGATAATTTGTAAACAACAGAAATTTATTTCTCACTGTTCTGGACGCTGTGAAGTCCAAGATCAAGGCACGGGCTTGTTCAGTGTCTGTTAAGGGTTGCTCTCTGCTTCCAAGATGGCACCATGAACTGTGTCTTCACATGGCATATGGGACTGAAGAGGGGGGAACTGGCCCCCTCAAGCCCTTTTATAAGACACTAATCCATTCATAGAGCAGAGCCCTCATGACCTAAAGGCCCCATCTCTTAAAACTGCTCCTTAAGGATTAAGTTCCAACATGAATTTTGGAGGGGACACAGACATTCAAATAATAGCATTGACTCAACGATGTGAGGATGGGAGGGAGCGTCCAGGGCTTCTTAGGGCCAGCTGGGCTGCTTCAGCTTCACCTCCGGTTTTCTGAGCCAACCTGCAGGAAAGGACAGGGAAGCAGAAAAGGCTTAGGCTCCAGTCCTGGCCACAGCCACTTTTGCGACCTAGGACGAGTTACCCAACCTCTTACTTGTAAATGGAGTGTGATAACAGCCACTGTGGAATGGTCAGGACAAGATGCACACACAGCCATGCCTATGCCCATCTCAGAGGAAGCAGTTCACTTTCTCAGGAAGGCTTAGAAGTCCAGCATGCTACCCGCTAGCTCTGCCTTGATAGGCCAGTTTCTTCACGCACCTGGGCCTCATTTTCCTTGTCTCTGAAATGGGATGGTGATATCCGCCTCAGGGGACCAGGGTGAGGTTGTGACAGCAGCACAGGGCCTGCTGTAGATGCTGTGAGCGGTGGCAGTGGTGGAATTATTTTTGTTCTGCAGAGCAAGGCGTCTCCTTTATCAGCACCCCTTCCCCCCAGCACAGGATGGGGCTCCTGAGGCCTGTGACTGTCTGAACGGAGTCTAGTTTTATCTAAAACAAACACTGGTCCTGCCCTGGTGTGGAGTCAGGGCCCCACAGGCTCCTGGCCAGATGGTCCCACTGCATCAAGGGAGGCCGCACGATTCCCAGACACCCCTATCCCAGCAGCATGTGGGGGATTCCCAGACACCCCTATCCCAGCAGCGCGTGGGGGATTCCCAGACACCCCTATCCCAGCAGCATACGGGGGATTCCCAGACACCCCTATCATACCCCACAGCTCTGCCTGCCTGGGCGTTCATTTCCTCCCTGAGGAGTGATGTGGAGAGGGCATTCCAATGAAAACTCCCAGAGGAAGAAGCGGCCGATGAAATGGTGCTCTGTCTTCCTCTCTGGGACTTTGGGGTAGGGACTGAGGAAGCTTCTGGAACTCGGGGCCCCTAGAAGGAAGTACCCAGGCAGTGTGGAGCTCTGTTGTGTGGCCCTAGGCTGCCAAAAGATCTTCATAGTACAAGGAGGCCGCAGAAGTGCTGCTGTCTCCAAAATGTGTCCCCAGCATAGTGCCAGGAGCCACACTGTTGGGTGTTGGCTTCTTCTTTGCCTCCATGAAATCTTCTGGGAAGTAAACATGAGCCAGGGGTGTCTTAAAGGAGACCACAGCATCAAGCCCTGGTCTTGCTGAACTCAGAGTGACAGCCCCGAAAGGGGACAGTGCCAGCCTGGGGCTAGTCTGAAAAAAGATACCGAGACGAGCACCCCTTGAGAGGCAAGGTTGGGGGCCTGAACGAGGGGCTATGGAGGGTTGGCACAGTCCTAGAGACCTTTTTCTTATTCAGAAAAAGGTCTGTGCCTGATTTCACTTTGTTTTGTTTTGTTTGAAACCAAGTCTCGATCTGTCGCCCAGGCTGGAGTACAGTGGCGCTATCTCGGCTCACTGCAACCTCCGCCATCTGGGTTCAAGCGATTCTTGTGCCTCAGCCTGCCGAGTAGCTGGGACTACAAGCACCCGCCACCACACCCGGATAACTTTTGTATTTTTAGTAGAGACAGGGTTTCACCAGGTTGGCCAGGCTGGTCTCAAACTCCTGACCTCAAGTGATCCACCCACCTTGGCCTCCCAAAGTGCTGGGATTACAGACATGAGCCACTCATTTCACTTTGAAGCCCAGTCACCTCCCGCAGGCTAGAGTGCTACGTTTCTCTGTCATTCATTCCTTTATTCACTCACCAATTATGCATCAGACACTTTCTGTGTGCCAGGCATTGCTTGGGGCTGGGGATTATGTAGGAATAAGACAGTCTTTTCTTGTGGAAGTTACATTCCAGCAGGGAAGACAGACAGTAAACAAATAAATGACTAAATACATGATAGGATTGTAAAGAGAAGGGCTCAAAAACATCAAGTAGGGCATGGGGCCAGAGAGGGAAGAGGCGATTGTAGCTGCAGCGATCAGGAAGGGATGGGCTTTCTCAGAAGGGATGTCTGAGCAGATGCTTGAGTTAAGGAGAGAAGAGACCAGCCAGCCATGGGGAAGAGTGTGGGGCAGGAGCTGGAGACAGGTGGGAGCGCAGACCCCGTCACCCAGGGTGGCATTTCTCAGCCTGCAGTTATCATTACGCCTCCATGAAATGTTAATGCCACAGGTACTCTGGATGTCTGTTGCTATTCTTAGTCTGTATACACAGAGTAAAAAGCGTGAGATGCTTTGTCCTGCAAGAATAAATTCCTGGGGGCAGTATTGCCCCTGTTGGGGATGCGTGATATAGAGCCTTCTGGCCAATTTCAGGAATTGGGGCTGGGTGCGGTGGCTGACGCCTGTAATCCCAGCACTTTGGGAGGCCGAGACAGGCAGACCACCTGAGGTCAGGAGTTTGAGAACAGCCTGGCCAACACAGTGAAACCCTGTCTCTACTAAAAATACAAAAATTAGCCGGGCGTGATGGAGGATGCCTGTAATCCCAGCTACTCGGGAGGCTGAGGCAGGAGAATCACTTGAACCCAGGAGACGGAGGTTGCAGTGAGCCAAGTTCGTGCCACTGCACTCCAGCCTGGGCGACAGAGCGAGACTCAGTGTCAAAAAAAAAAAAGGGGGGGGGGGAATTGGTATATTCCAGTGCCTATTTGGACTAAAAGGAGTTCAAGACAATGCACTCTACAGACTCCCCAGACCAGGGCTCCCCTTGGGTGTCTCATAGAGGCCTCAAACTTCGAGTGTCTGGAGCTGAGCTTTAGGCAGTAGCTGTGTGCACTGAAGCTCCTTCCTAAGCCTGCCCCTCATCCTCAGGCTGCGGTTCCCCAGTGTCAGCAGCTTCTCACTCAGGCCAAAGAAACTTGACTCCATTCTTGACTCTCCTTTCTCTCATGTTCCAAATACTTCTCGCCCCCTTCTCTGCCGCCATCCTGGCCAAGCGCCCACCTTTGCTCACCTGGTCCCCTGCAGCAGCCTCCCGCCTGGCAGCCTCACTTGGGCTCTTGTCCCCTGGAGCCTGCAGGATAGTAGGTGCTCCCTGAGTGAGGAGGAAAAAGAAGAGGTGGGAGAGTGTGCCGTGGGTTGTCCCCGTGGGCTCCTGGAACCAGGGGGAGGAAGAGGAACCGTACCTTCTACCAGGGCTCCTGCCCCAGCCAGCATTGGCAGTGGGGATACTGATGACACACACAGAGGGGGCATGAACACCAACTCCTGGCGGGGCCCCCTCATCCTGTCCACTCCTGCCCCACCTGCCCGATTTCCTTTAAAAAAAAAAAGGGAATCTTGGCCAAGCATGGTGGCTCACGCCTGTAATCCCAGCATTTGGGGAGGCTGAAGTGGGCAGATCACACGTCAAGAGATTGAGACCATCCTGGCCAACATGGTGAAACCCAGTCTCTACTAAAAATACAAAAATTAGCCAGGCGTGGTGGTACACGCCTGTAGTCCCAGCTACTCGGGAGGCTGAGGCAGGAGAATCACTTGAACCCAGGAGGTGGAGGTTGCAGTGAGCCGAGATTGCGCCCCTGCGCTCCAGCCTAGTGACAGAGCGAGACTCTGTCTCAAAAAAAAAAAAAATAAATATAAAAAAAGGAAACCTTAGGTGGGCATCCGGCCTCATCACCCTCTCATCTTCCAGATGTCCTTCCTCTCCAGAAAGGGACACTGGGCTCTGTTCTTGCAGCCACCACCTGTTGCTAGGGGCCTACTAGGTCCCTATCCAGGGCTGGTTCTGGGGCTGCAGGGACCACTAAGACATGGAATGGCGGAGGGGCAGCCCAGGCACAGCCCCTGCTTCTACTCCACATTGAGTTCATCCTTCAGCCCGAAGCTCAAACGAAGCTTCCCCGGGGCCTTGCTTGGCTTCCCTGGTCTCCTCCCGCCCTCCCCTTCAAGGCCTCTGGGATGTTCTCACAGCGTTCACCCCGTGCGTAATCAGATGCTCCCGCGAGTCCTTGGCTGCCGTTTGCCTCACTCACCACGCTGCATGCCTCACGTGGACAGGCCTCCAGTTATGTTGCCCACTGTCCCCCACACCCGGCCTGGCGGTTGCCAGGCAAAAGGAACTTTGTAAACAATGTGGGAAAGCAAGTGAGCGTGGCACCCAGGTGGTGGGGGCCAAAGGAATGGAGTTTGAACCTGGCCTGTGGCAGCCTCTCAGCGAAGGAGCAAGGGAGGCTGTGTCTGAAGGAGGCATTCCTTCTCCCTCCCGGTGATAATTTGGGGCTTGCAGACAGGTGTTAGGGAAGAGGGCCTCGGAACTCGCTGTGATTAGCACAGCCAGGCTGCTCCTGGGAGCTGTTCTTTAGGCCTCTTATCTTTGTGGCCTTGGGGGAGGGAGATGCCAGGCTCACTCATGGGCCAGAGCACACAGAGTGCCTTCCCCAGCGCTGGCCCTGGCATTTCAGGGCTTTGGCCGGAGCCAGATGTGGAGGGTGAGACGCTGCATCTGAGGCCTGGGGAGCAATGACGATTCTCCTGCTTTTTCTTCCAAGAGCTTCATTGGGAGTGTTGCCATAGGAACGAGGCCCCTGGGAGGGGCGAGGCACTCCCCTTTTGCTCTCCCTGATCTTCTGTATCCCAGCTTCCCCATTTCCGCCCTCCCCTCACAGAGTCCTCTTCTCAGAGCTGCCGTGGTGCCTGGGGGACATGCAGGTGTTTCCAGCACTTAGCAACCCAGTAGCCCATGGTCTCCAGGGCTGTACGAACCCTCCATAGCCCCTCGTTCAGGCCCCTGACCCTGTCTCTCAAGGGGCTCTCTTGTCTCTGTGTCTTCCTTCAGACTAGCCCCAAGCTGGTCCCGTCCCCCTTTCAGGGCCATCACCCTGAGGTCAGCAAGACCGGGGCTCGATGCTCTGATCAGTGAAAGCCATGGTGCTATTTATGGTGAGGATCGGGGGGCAGGGAGCTCTCGGGGTGAGGCTGGGAAAGCTGATGAAAGACTGGCCAGGAAGTGACTCATGTCCTTTGCTCCAAGTGACTACGCCAGACAGCTTTCTTTTCTCCAAGCAGTCCGCCTGCCCTTTCAGGCATCCCCGCTTGTCCCCACACTGTCCTGTCCTGCTCCGCGCAACCCAGTGGCCTCTCCCCTCCCTTCCACCTGGTGAACAACTTCAGCTTTCAGAACCAGCTCAAATGGAACGCCCTCTGGAGACCCCTCTTCTCCCCACCCCTCCGAAGGGAGTGACTTTTCTCTGTGTTCCATAGCCACGTGCGTTGTTCATAGCACTGTCGTGTCTTGTGGTCATTTCTTTGAGTTTCTGCTGGGTGCCAGGCACAGGGCTGGGCTCTGAATTTTATAGGCATAAATAAGACCCGCTTTCTGTCCCAAGGAGCTCACGGTCTAATGGTGGACACAGGTATGCAGAGCGGTGAGGGCCTTTGGGAATGAACATCTTAGGAGAGCCTTCATCAAAAAGATGTCCCCGTAGAGGCCTTGAGGTTGAGTAGGATTTTAACAGGGTCCCATGCAGAAGCTCCTTGGGGACAGGGATGTTTTCTCTTGTGTCCCACAGCTTACACAGGGCCTAGCATAGAGTAAGCATCTAGTATCTGGTCAGAGGGTGGATGGATACAGTTCTGCCAGGAAAGTCTTTGTGAAGGAGCTGGGGTTTGAGGGATCTTTGAAGGAGGCAAAGGAAGGGGCTTCAGGGCCAGAGAGAAATGAACATGAAATGAGGGAATGTGTCTGGAGCAGTGAGTTTCCCAGAGGAGGCAAGAGGGACAGATGGAATTGAGGGGTTTAGAGTATCTGGCATGGCCTGGAGCAGGGCTCTGAGAAGAAGGCTCATGCACAGAGCCCCAGTATATAGTGGGTCCCTTGTGGACCTGAGTGGCAGGAAGCGGTCATCTTCACCAGGTGCACCCACCGGAGCATTGCCTTTAGCAGGTGGCATCTGGACCAGGGCACTGAGGTGAGGGAGAAGGGAACAGAATCTCCGGGTGTCTGGGGTAAGGTCTGAGAAGCCACTGCAGGAGGGAGATGCTGCTTGCTGGAGTTGGCAAGGGCGGTGGAAAACGGCCCCAGGAGTTGGCTGTAAGCCTGGTGAACGTGCCTAGCCCCTCCAAGGAGGAAGCAAAAAGTAAATTCATAATGAATGAGCCTTTTGAGTTTCCATCCAACTTCAGTCTTTATCACAAGAAAGATCATCTGGTATCTGAAAACCAAGACCGGCCTCTGTCCCATGCACCAGGCAGGGGTGTTCGTACCACACGTTATCCACAGGGGAAGAACACTGTCCTGCTGGTGGGCACGTGCGGTCAACCCGGGGACACGTCTGTGAACCCAACTGGCAGAGGGAGAGAAACGTGGTCGATTCTTTTTCTTTGCAGTCAGCAAAATTTCGGGAGCGCCTTCAGCTTGCCAGGCTCTGTCCAGGGGCCCTCACATACTCACGGTGACGGCATTCCTCACTGCCACTCCGACAGGCAGATGTCAGAGCTCCTTTGCAGCTGAGAACACCAAGGCTCCGAAAAGAGGGACTGCCCCAAAGCCACCCAGTGGGCAAGTGGGGCCGCATTGCAAACTCCACTGTCTGTTGTTCCAGAAAACTCCACGGCCAGCGTGAGCGAGGCAGAGAGAAAGGCGCAAGTATACTACCGTGCGTGCATGAACGAGACCAGGATCGAGGAGCTCAGGGCCAAACCTCTAATGGAGTTGATTGAGAGGGTGAGTGCCTCGGGCTCTCCCTCCCCAAGCCCCGGCCCATGCCACCTGCCCGCCCCCTGGCTTCCACTCCAGCCTTCTGGTACCACTGGCCCACCTCATACGTCCAGCCGGTAGCACCAAGAGAAAGACAGAAAGAGAGAGAGCGAGTGTGCGAGAGCACATGTGAGTGTGAGCACATTGCGTAGCTGCGTGGGTGGGTTGTCTGTGCATGTGTTTGTGTGAGAGTGTGTGTCAGCATCTGTTGTAGATGTCTGTCATCTGTCTGTGTGTCTCTCTGTGCATCTGTGTGTGGGATGGGGGCCATGTTTAGAGGGAAAATATTCCTCCACGTTGCTGCTGTTTTTTCCTCAGGGGTTATGTTTGTGTGTGTGGAGGGGTGTGTGCCTGTTCCAGAAAGACCCACAGAGAGTCTTGGCCCAGAACCAGAGCCCTCCCCGTGAGCAGGGACCCAGGCCACTCTCCTATACCTGCTTACTCCTGAGCAGGGGAAGACATCTTTCTTGCTTTCTTGGGCACTTCCCAGACTCTGAGGCTTCCTGGTGCAGACAGTAGGTGTCTGTGGATGTTTTCTGCCTGCCTCGTGTTCCCTGGACAGCCCTGCCTCTTAGCTTGGCTCCAGGAAAGCATTGCAGCAGGGTTGGTGGCTGCATGCGCTGGGGACTATGCTAGTCCCCTCCTCTCTGGACAGGTCCCATGTGCCAAACCAGGGAAGACCAGGGAGATTTTTTAAAATCCCAACTTTCTCGGGAGGCTGAGGCAGGAGGATCACTTGAAGCCAGGAGTTTAAGACCAGCCTGGGCAGCATAGCAAGACCCCATCTCCAAAAAATTTAAAAATTAGCCAGGTGTGGTGATACACACCTGTAGTCATAGCTACTTAGGAGGATGAGGTGAGACAATCACCTGAGCCCAGGAGGTGGAGGCTGCAGTGAGTTGTGATGGCCCCACTGCACTTCAGCCTGGGAATCAGAGCAAGACTCCATCTCAAAAAAAATTTTTTTAAAATCCCAACTTTGAGACTAAAGTAGACCGTAATTTACCAACCTTCTTAAACATGTGGAGCCTTTTTTATCCCAGAGGCACAATTGAATTTATGTTTTGATATAATCACATTCACACAATTCATTATCCAAAATATAAACCGTGAACCGGGAAAAGTCTCTTTCCCATTCTCATCCCAGCCACCCAGGGAGCGGCTGGATTCATGCCTGGCTGCTTGGCTTGTCTAGGATAAGCCTTTGCTCCATCCATGGGTCTCCAGCTCATGGGTCGGAAACCCCCGATGAAGACCAATCCTTTCCTTTGCTCTTGAGGCTCAGAGAGGTCAGGCGACTGCTCCAGGGTCACAGA
Organism: Homo sapiens; assembly: GCF_000001405.40. Classification (NCBI taxonomy): domain Eukaryota; kingdom Metazoa; phylum Chordata; class Mammalia; order Primates; family Hominidae; genus Homo; species Homo sapiens. The sequence goes on along the minus strand of NC_000001.11, from coordinate 21,258,921 downwards.
GCAAGTCAGCGGCAGAACCAGAATTCACATCTGGGTCTCCCCGCCACCTCATCACCTCCCTGCCTGCTCTCCCTCCCCACAGCTCGGGGGCTGGAACATCACAGGTCCCTGGGCCAAGGACAACTTCCAGGACACCCTGCAGGTGGTCACCGCCCACTACCGCACCTCACCCTTCTTCTCTGTCTATGTCAGTGCCGATTCCAAGAACTCCAACAGCAACGTGATCCAGGTGAGCTAGCTTGAACCTGCAGCGGTCGAGGGGGCGGGCACGACCTCTTCCTGTTTTGAGTTTAGCAGGACCTGGGGTGGGAGAGGGGCTTGCCCTGGGTGGGACGGCGGTCTTCTAGTTTCTGAGCCTGGGTTATTTCCAGAGGCCCCACTGGTGAGATCTTTGCAGGCTGCTGGCCTTGCGTAGATGGGCACTGCATACAGGTGAAACTTTGGGTGCTGATGGGTTTCCGTGGGCCCCAAGAATGATGTCAACTCCTGGGCACAGCTGAACCCACATCCTGGTTTCCCCCTCCTTAGCGTCTGCTCTTTGTAACTCTTCTTGGAATGGGTTTGAATCCATCTCTCCCTGTCAGAGCATGCCCCAGACAGAGGCTCAGCCTGCCCAGGGGAGCTCCAGCACTGGTCTGCCCCAACCTCCAATGCAGAAGTGAGAAACCCAGGCTGGGGGTCCTAAAAGCTGAGTTCCCAGCCCATCTCTACCATTCAGTCACTGTGTGACCTTGGGCAAGTGCCTCAACCTCTCAGAGCTACAGTTACCTTATAAATCAAATGGATTGCAATAACACCTGTCCTAGGTATGCCAAGATGTGGCCATGGGTGCCAATAGTAGCAAGCAGAATTTGACCCTCCCCTCCTGCTTGGCAGGCACTTGACCAGCACTGTCTTCTTGAATCCCCATTCTAGCTCTGAAGGTTAGGTTTTATTTTCCCTATTTACCTGAGAAGAAACCTGAGAATCAGAAAGGTTCAGTAACTTGGCCAAGATCACACAGCTTTTGAGTGACTCTTAACCACCTGGAAAGCGTTGGGGAGATAGAGGCACTTTGCCGAGGCAAGTAGCTGTTTAAAAAGGAGGGTGGCTCTGTCCAGCCCTTCTGAGGAGCCCAGGAGCCCTGCGGGGGGGGGCCACGTGGACAGGCAGGAATGTGTCATCCCGTCCCTGAGTGGGCTTCTCAGTGACTGTAGCCAGCAGTCCTGCTTCTCCAAGGGCCTGAGCTGGGCCTCTGCTGCCATGTGCCAGCCATTCCCAGGGCAGGAGGCCGTGCAGTGGATACACGCATTGCAACACGAATTCCCTCTCATGCCTGCTTCTCTTGCCAGGTGGACCAGTCTGGCCTGGGCTTGCCCTCGAGAGACTATTACCTGAACAAAACTGAAAACGAGAAGGTAAGCGTGCCTCTCCCCTCCCAGCCTGCCTCCCAGCACGGTCCTTCCTGCTCCGTGTCCACACCCACACCTGTGCAGGTCTTTGAAGCTAGGGGAGCCCAGGGGTGTCAGTGACCTGATGGGTGAAACAGGCAGACCCTGGCAGGGGAGGGACACCCCTAGGCTGGCTGTGTCACTCAGGCATCATGGACACAAGGGGCAAGAGACAGGTATCATTTGTCCTGGTTCTAGAGAGAGGCAGAGGCAGCAATAACAGCTACCACAATTCGCCTGGCCCTTTATACATCACCTGTGACCCTCCCATTAACCCTGCAGATACTGAACTTCATTTGCCTCATCTGTCAAACAGGAATTAGTTTTGTCTTGCCTTTTACAGAAGAGGGTATCAGGCTCAGAGATGCTAAGTGATCTGCTCAAGGTCACATAGCCAGTAAATGACGAGCCTGAGATTCACATCCGGATCCACGTGCTCCGAAGCCCATGGCTCTCCCTCCCCCTGGCCTGCCTCTTGTGATGCCTCTTGGGGCGACCTCACCTGGAACTCATTCATCTGTCCTTTCATCCTTCCGCCGGCATGTACTTGACCAAGCGCCCACAGAGTGCCTGATGCTGGGGAGATGGTAGCAGACAAGACCACCATAGCCTTCGTCCCACAGGGCCTGTGGTTTGGTCGGCGAGGCGGATATTATTTAACTAAGAGAAAGTGAAGCTGAGAAAGTCTACCGTGGAGACCTAATTCAGATCTTGGAACACGGGTGGGGGGTGGTCAGAAAAGATGCATTCTAAGAATGGAAAGACAGCCCCAGGACAAGCCCTGGAAGACAGGGACCAGCCCAGGTGGGGACCTGTGAGACGAGCCAAGACTTTGGGCTTTCTCCTGGAGGCTGTAGGGAAGCAGCAGAGAGACACGGCCCCGAGATCATTCTCAATGCTGTGTCTCCCACGGGTGTCTTCTTCTTTTTTTTTTGAGACAAAGTCTCTCTCTGCCGCCCAGGCTAGAGTGCCATGGCGCACAATCTGGGCTCACTGCAACCTCCTCCTCCTGGGTTCAAGTGATTCTCCTGCCTCAGCCTCCTGAGTAGCTGGGATTATAGGCACCTCCCACTATGCTCAGCTAATTTTTGTATTTTTAGTAGAGACGGGGTTTCGCCATGTTGGCCAGGTTGGTCTCAAACTCCTGACCTTAGGTGATCCACCCACCTCAGCCTCCCAAAGTGCCAGGATTACAGGCGTGAGCCACCACACCTGGCCCCACGGGTGTCTTGGGGGCACTGTGCAGCCCCCTGGCTCCCTGTGCCGGACTTGGCTGGCCAAGCCCCCCACCAACTCTCGTCCAGTGGATAGTGGGGGGGCAGCCACTGACAGTTTGGGGTATGGGCCCTGCAGGTGCTGACCGGATATCTGAACTACATGGTCCAGCTGGGGAAGCTGCTGGGCGGCGGGGACGAGGAGGCCATCCGGCCCCAGATGCAGCAGATCTTGGACTTTGAGACGGCACTGGCCAACATCACCATCCCACAGGAGAAGCGCCGTGATGAGGAGCTCATCTACCACAAAGTGACGGCAGCCGAGCTGCAGGTAACTTGAGCGCCGGCTGCTAGGGAGGCTGGGATGGCCTCCAGGTTTCAGACAGGGCCCTGGACTGGGGGCTTTTATACTCATTTCATCTAGTCCTTGAAACTATGTGACAAAGGAAGGATGGTTGTTATGCCCAGTCCACAGATGGAAAAACTGATGCTCAGAAAGGTCAAGTTACCTGCTGAAGGGCACACAGCTAGTAAGTGACTCCAAAATAGGCGCCTGGCCGACACCAGGCTGCTTCTCTGTAATTAATAGTGTTTACTTGGAGGCTCGGGGTCATGACCACACCAGCTTACATTGACAGCGCCTTTCCAGTCTCTCCAGCACCAAGCACATCGAACTTGGTTACAGTGAGCACTTAATAAATGCATGGTGTGGATTCTGTCATTACTTTTCCCTTTTCTGAGCCAGATCAAGGTCCGGAGGCTCCTAAGTGGCAGAGGAGCCAGCCGCAGATGGGCTCACTGTACAACAGGGCGTTAGATCTGTGATGCTCTCTGTCACCCATTGGAGAAGCCCAACGTCCAAGGGCTCAGCCTCTGCCAAAGGCTGCCCTCTGGTGGCTGCTTGGTTCTTGAGGGTCCAGAGAGAATAGCTTGCTGGTTCCTTCTTTCCAGAGCATCAGCTGGCATTGCAGAGGGATCAGCAGAATGGCCACCACCGATCTTGCCGTTTCTTGACATCACCCAGGAATGCGTGGCCAGGCCTTGCTTCTCTGCTGAGGAGGGGCTCCCGCAGAGTGTCATCTCCCTCCTTCCTTACCTTGTGACCAGCCGAATTTGACCTGTTGTCCGTTCCTTCTACTTTCAGGAAGAACACTAGGTCCCTGCCCTTTACCCTCCTCCAGCTGACAGGTGTATATGGGTCCGTCTTGGGACCTTGCGCTTCATGTGCTTCCTGGCTAGTGGGGGACACCAGCTAGAAACAACCCTGTCTCATTGCTGAGTGCTTTGGGCAAAAGCAGCGGGCCCTGGGAGCCAGGGGTGGGGAGAAGTCAGGGAAGGTGAGTCTAACGATAGATGAGCATTTCCAGGCCAACTGGGTGTCCCAGGCGGAGATGCAGGCCGTGCTAGGGCCCACGATCAGGGTCAGGGGAGCCTGGCCTCCTGCTGGTGCTGGCTGCCCTTCAGCTCCCAGAGAAACTGGCCTGAGGCTCAGTGGTGCTGCTCAGACCAGGATGGAGATCAACAGCTGCTGTTAGATACCATCTGGCACTCTTTTCCTGCTCTGAGGCCAGGAGGCTGAGGGTGATGTTGTTTGTGCATTATAATTTGGTTTGTTCCAGCCGATTTCTCAGCCTGAGGGGCCCCCGCAGTGCCTCAGCCCCCTACCGTGGCCATGATGCCAACTGTCTGTGCCAGGAATAGCGGAGAAGGCACAGGAGCCCTGAGCACATCAGCCCAGCATGGCCACCAGGTTCCCCCCAGGCATCCTATCACCACTGCTTCTGCTCTCTTCTTCCAAGCAGAGGAAGAAAGGCTTTTCCTGCCTCCCAGCTGCACAGCTGCCAAGGTGGGGGGAGTTTAGCAGACTCAGCAGCTTGTAGTACACAAGCCCTGGGCTTAGATTCAGAGGACTGTAAGCCCCTTGGAGCTCTAAGTGCTGGGATTATAAGCATGAGCCACCACGCCTGGCCAAACAGCCTCTGTGTTCTAAGTACCCAAAGTTCAATTAAGATCTTTAGGAAATATATGGATTCTCTCGAGTTTTTACAGATATTTCTGATTAAATTCTAATGTGAATTTGGCTGCCTTCCTTGTAAAATGGGCTTGGCTCGTTCACTCACCCCAGCTGTGTGCCAGAACACAAATGAGACATAGCCCTTGCCCTCACAAGGGACTGTGGTTCCTCTTTTTTTTTTTTTTTTTTTTTTTTGAGACAAAGTCTTGCTCTGTCGCCCAGGATGGAGTGCAGTGGCATGATCTCAGCTTACTGCAACCTCTGCCTCCCAGGTTCAAGCGATTCTCCTGCCTCAGCCTCCTGAGTAGCTGGAATTACAGGCAGGCACCACCACGCCCGGCTAATTTTTGTATTTTTAGTAGAGTCGGGGTTTCACCATGTTGGTCAGGCTGGTCTCGAACTCCTGACCTCATAATCCACCCGCCTCGGCGTCCCAAAGTGCTGGGATTACAGGCATGAGCCACCGCACCTGGCCTGTGGTTCTTTTTTTTTTTTTAATTTGAGACAGAGTCTCGCGCTCTCGCCCAGGCTGGAGTGCAGTGGCGCCATCTCGGCTCTCTGCAAGCTCCACCTCCTGGGTTCACGCCATTCTCCCACCTCAGCCTCCCGAGTAGCTGGGACTACAGGCACCCGCCACCACGCCCGGCTAATTTTTTTGTATTTTTAGTAGAGACCGGGTTTCACCGTGTTAGCCAGGATGGTCTCGATCTCCTGTCTTCGTGAGTTGCCCGCCTCGGCCTCCCAGAGTGTTGGGATTACAGGCGTGAGCCACCGCGCCCGGCCTGTGGTTCTTAACTTTAAGTCACAGAGTCCTTTGAGAACAGATCAAAAACCATGGACTATCTCCCAGAATAAATGGGTATATATGCATATTTTTAAAATTATGTCTGACATTTAAAGACGTCCTGGCCGGGCATGGTGGCTCAGGCCTGTAATTCCAGCACTTTGGGAGGCCGAGGCAGGTGGATCACCTGAGGTCAGGAGTTCAAGACCAGCCTGACCAATATGGTAAAACCCCGTCTCTACTAAAAATACAAAAATTAGCCGGGTGTGGTGGTGTGCGCCGGTTGTCCCAGCTACTCGGTAGGCTGAGGCAGGAGAATCACTTGAACCCAGGAGGCGGAGGTTGCATTGAGCCAAGATCACACCACTGCACTCCAGCTTGGGTGACAGAGCGAGACTCCGTCTCAAAAAAATAAAATAAAATAAAATAAAATAAAATAAAATAATAAAGAAGTCCTGGCCCCCTGAAGCCTGTGTTCTAAGTAAGAATCTCTTCCTGGCCTGCCACACAGGGTTGTTGGAGAATAAGTTGAGGTAAAGGATGAGAGTTCATTCAGTAAACTCATTTGCACAACCCAGTACAAGCATAACATATTATATTCATCATTATTGTTACTATTCCTTTGTTATTAGCGATGTCACCCAGGAACCCAGCACTAAATCAATTTGATTCATTCTACTCTGGGACAGAGAATGTCTTGTTCCCTGGTGTCTGGAAATGGGGTTTTCTTCCCATACTCCAGGTAACTTAGGGAAAAGCACGCCAGGTTTCACAGTGTGGTTCTAGGCTAGCCCTGCTGGGGTACAGAATGCTTCCAGGCTAGTCCCCAGCAGAGTCTGAACTCAGAGCTGTGAATCAGACACTCTTCCATTACTTCTGGGGGCCTGAGGACCTTCCCCTTCCTTTCTAGGACCCTCACGCCAAAGGCTGTTTGGGCCTGAGCCCCATTTTCTACCCCATTTCTCCAGCTGAGATGAAGCTCAGAAGCATTCTTCTCTTCTCTCCCAGTTTCAAACCTATTTGAATTGGTTGGTTTGTGACCCACAGTACTCCTTGGCTGCAGGTGTGGAAAATGGAGCTCACTGGTGTGCCCCAGAGGGTGTGAGTCACAAGTGGAATGTCCTAGTCAGTTAAAACAGCCGTCTCCATGGAGATGGAGCTAGGCACATGTGTTTAAGATAGGAGTTCACTAAAGCAGCCAGGATGGAAAATGTGAAAATCCTGGTATTCAACACATCTTATCTGACAGTCATGGGAACTTCCCTGCACAGAACACCTGCTTTCCCTAAAGGGCCAGGGTTGTGTTGAAGAGTACACAGGGATTTCTCACCGTCTTATATCTGTACCTTGATCAGAGAGTTCCAGTTGTCTGCAGTTTATGGAGCTCTCGTCCACTGTGTAAACACTGACAGTTTGTAAACTTGTCGATTTTCCCAAGGCCTTTGCCAACAGGTCATGCAGTCAGGTGGCTCTAATGGTGGAACCCTATTTGAGGATCTCACAAGCACAGCTCCAGTTTTTGTAGTCACAGAAATGTTAAAGATTAGCCTCAGAGGTTACCTGCCTGAGGGCCTCCTACCAGGAGGAGGGCAGAGAGGACAAGGTAAAGAGAAAAGAAACTCAGGGTTATTGGGCAAGCAGGTATAAGAGGCACAGATCTATCAGCTCTGGGAGGGGAGGCTGTTTTCCCCTTTTTAGAGAAAGAACGGAAAAAGGCTGGAGGTCCCAGAGCTGGTTCCTCCTGGGGATGCTGATCCAGGTCTGCTCATTCTTAGCTCATTCTTAGCCCAAGTGGCTCTTCCCAGCTCACCTAGCTGGCAGGGATGCACTGGAGCCCCCTGGCCCCCAAGTCCGCTGCGCACATCTCTTACCAGCTCCGCAGGTATTTTACCATCAGCCACGGTGGGAAGAGTTACCCAGAAACTGAGAGCCAGTTGTTAACTGTTTTGTTTTTGTTTTTGTTTTGAGACAGAGCTTCGCCCTGTTGCCCAGGCTGGAGTGCAGTGGCATGATCTTGGCTCACTGCAGCCTCCGCCTCCCAGGCTCAAGTGATTCTCATGCCTCAGCCTCCCAAGTAGCTGGGATTACAGGCGTGCACCACCACGCCTGGCTAATTTTTTTATACTTTTAGCAGAGATAGGGTTTCATCATGTTGGCCAGGCTGGTCTTGAACTCCTGGACTCAGGTGATTCTCCTGTCTTGGCCTCCCAAAGTGCTGGGATTTACAGGCATGAGCCACCGTGCCCGGCGCAGTTGTTAACTGTTTACCAGCACGCCACTGCCTTCAGGACCTGCCCTCCTCACAAATTCACCTGTCCTTTGAGGTCCTTGTTCCCCAGCAGCTGAGTTGCCCTTTTAAACCCAAAGAGATGAGTGAACCTGGGTTTTAGACCTCCACAGTGGCTAGTTAACTATGTGACCTCAGGAAAGTCACCTTACCCCATCTGCAAATTCAGCATCTCTTTTTTTTTTTGAGACTGAGTCTCGCTCTGTCGCCCAGGCTGGAGTGCAGTGGCGCGATCCCCGCTCACTGCAAGCTCTGCCTCCCGGGTTCATGCCATTCTCCTGCCTCAGCCTCCCGCGTAGCTGGGACTACAGGCGTCCACCATAATGCCCGGCTAATTTTTTGTATTTTTAGTAGAGATGGGGTTTCACCCTCTTAGTCAGGATGGTCTCCCTTTCCTGACCTCGTGATCTGCCCGCCTCGGCCTCCCAAAGTGCTGGGGTTACAGGCGTGAGCCACCGCGCCCGGCCTCAGCATCTGTTAAGCGGGGGTTTATGGCTACCTCCCTCACAGAGGGTGTCATCAGTATATACCAACAGGCTATAGACTGGTCTTACATTACAGATCAATTTTACTTTATTGATTGATTTTTCCATGTGAAGGCCATATGTGGAGCCTCTCTCACCTCCTTTGTCTTGCATTTTGTCCTTTTTCAAGAAAACAAAAGAGAATTTGGAATTGGACAGGCCCAGGAACATACATGGGAGACCTTGAACAAAGATTGTAATGGCCAATATTGATGAGTTGCTTGCTAAATGCCAGACATATCCATCTAAGTGATCGACATGTACAGGCATTTTTGCTGTAGCAGTATATATAATTCCAAAAAACCTTGTGTTCTGTAAAATCGCACACTAAAAATAGCAGTACGTGTGGGGAAAATAGAACAAGAGCAGAACAAAAGTTATGCAACTTTACTTGAGGATACTGTGCTAAGCGAAATAAGCCAATCACAAAAGGACAAATACTGCCTGATTCTACTTATATGAGGTACCTAGAATAGTCAAGTTCATAGAGACAGAAAGTAGAATGGTAGTTTCCAGGAGTGGGGGTTGGGGCCAGTGGGAAGTTATTGCCTGATGGGTAGAGTCTCACATTTGCAAGATGAAATCTGTGGGGCCAGACGCGGTGGCTTATGCCTGTAATCCCCTCACTTTGGGAGGCCAAGACGGGTGGATCACCAGAGGTCAGGAGTTCGAGACCAGTCTGACCAATATGGTAAAACCCCGTCTCTATTAAAAAAAAAAAAAAAAAAATTAGCCAAGGTGGTGGCATGTGCCTGTAGTCCCAGCTACTTGGGAGGCTGGGACAGGAGAATCACTTGAACCCGGGAGGCGGAGGTTGCAATGAGCTGAGATCGCACCACTGCACTCCAGCGTGGGCAACAGAGTGAGACTGTGTCTCAAAACAAAATAAATAATTTAAAAAAGCAATCTGTGGCTGGATAGTGGTGGTGATGGTAGCACTGCAGTGTGAATGGACTGAATGCCCCTGAACTGTGCTCTTTTTTTTCTGAGGCAGGGTTTCACTCTGTCAACCAGGCTGAAGTGTAGTGGTGTGATTTCAGCTCACTGCAGCCTCGACCTCCCAGGCTCAAGCAATTCTCCCACCTGGGACTACAGGCTCAGACCTCCATGCCTAGCTAAGTTTTAAATTTTTTTTTGTAAAGATGGGGTGTCACCATGTTGCCCAGGCTGGTCTTGAACTCCTGGGCTCAAGCGATCTGCCCACCTCAGTCTCCCAAAGTGCTGGGATTACAGGCATGAGTCACTGCTCCTGTCCTTGAACTGTGCTCTTAAACATGGTGAAGATGGTGAATTTTATATGTATTTTACCACAGCTTTTTTTTTTTTGAGATGGAGTCTCGCTCTGTTGCCCAGGCTGGAGTGCAGTGGCGTGATCTTGGCTCACTGTAACCTCTGCCTCCCTGGTTCAAGCGATTCTCCTGCCTCAGCATCCCGAGTAGCTGGGACTACAGGCATGTACCACCACGCCCAGCTAATTTTTGTAATTTTGGTAGAGACAGGGTTTCACCATGTTGTCCAGGCTGGTCTTGAACTCCTGACCTCAGGTGATCCACTGGCCTCGGCCTTCCAAAGGGTACCACAATTTTTTTTAAGTTGCGCAACTTTGTAATCAGAATCCTAACAAAACAATAATTAGAAACTTGAGGAGTACCTCAGCATGGCTGGAGGCTGCCGTGGGGAAAGCACCAGCTGGGAAATGCTAGCTGTGGACACCAAGACCCTGCAGATAAGACAGGGAGCTCTGGCCAGGTGGGGTGGCTCAAAGTGCTGTTAATCCCAGCCCTTTGGGAGGCCGAGGCAGGCAGATCATGAGGTCAGGAGTTCGAGACCAGCCTGACCAACATGGTGAAACCCTGTCTCTACTAAAAATACAAAAATTAGCCAGGAGTGGTGGCTCACACCTGTAATCCCAGCTACTAGGGAGGCTGAGGCAGGAGAATCGCTTGAACCTGGGAGGCGGAGGTTGCAGTGAGCTGAGATCACGCCACTGCACTAGAGCCTAGACATGAGAGCAAGATTCCATCTCAAAAAAAAAAGAAAAGAAAAAGAGAGCTCTGAACAAGCGCCTTTAGGGTCACAGAGAAAGTGCAACCTGCTGGAGGCTGAGAGTTACAGGTCTGGAAGGCGCCTCTGTGAGGAGAGGAAGCCCCAGGCGCGAGCGCTCATTTTCAGTCATCTTAAAATAGAGCAGACCAGGCTGGGTGCGGTAGCTCATGCCTATAATCCCAGCACTTTGGGAGGCTGAGGCAGGCGGGTCACTTGAGGTCAGGAGTTCAAGGCCAGCCTGGCCAAGATGGCAAAACCCCATCTCTACTAAAAATACGAAAATTAAGTGGGCATGGTGGTGGGTGCCTGTTGTAATCCCAGCTACTCGGGAAGCTGAAACAGGAGAATCACTTGAACCCTGGAGGCAGAGGTTACAGTGAGCCAAGATGGCACCACTGCACTCCAGCCTGGACAAGAGAGTGAGACTCCGTCTCAAAAAAAAAAAAAAAGTAGAGCTGACCAGCCTGCTGTGTGCATTAGCTGAGCTGAGGGCTTTTCCTTTCTTGCTGAAAGTTAATGTTCAACCCTTCCCGATCCCATGCCTGAGAAATATCACCTTCGGACCAATGCAGCTCAGAAGTTATGCTGCTGTCTTCCTGAATTTACCAATCATGTAGAAGTTCACTGATGTTACTTACAGAATCCCATGTTGAATAGAACAAACAGCATAAGCTTGTTCAGTCCTCACAAATAACCCAGTGAAGTGGGTTCTGTTATTATGGTGATCCCCACTTCTCAGACAAGATACTGAGGCCCAGAAGGATGCATTAACTTACCCAGGGTTACACAGCTAGCAAGGAAGAGAGCTAGAAGATGAGCCCAGGCAGTTTGGCTGCAGAGTCTACAAGCTCAACTGTTTCAGGCCTGTCTAAAGCTCAGTCTCCTCATCCATGAAGCAGGGATAATAGTACCTACTGCTTGGACTCGCGTGAGGACCAGGTGGAATCATATGCATCAATCATTTGCCACGGCTCCTGGCACACAGGAGACGCTTGCTGAATGGTAGCGGCAGCTGCTGCATCTTCTCATTGCATCCTCATTCCATTTCAGGTTAAATTTTGGTGTTGGACTCCTTAGAATTCTACCTACAGCATCTCTGACAAAAGCCCGCCAGGCTCCGCTTGACTCTCTGCCCGGTGCGCTGTCAGATGGCGCCAAGCCCAAGCTCTTTCCTTTGCTTCCTGTAGAAGCCCGTCCTAGAGCCCTGGGCTGTGAGGAGGAGCAGCCCCACAGGGTCACACTGTCCTTTTCCCTTGCAGACCTTGGCACCCGCCATCAACTGGTTGCCTTTTCTCAACACCATCTTCTACCCCGTGGAGATCAATGAATCCGAGCCTATTGTGGTCTATGACAAGGAATACCTTGAGCAGATCTCCACTCTCATCAACACCACCGACAGATGGTAAGAGGACCCCCAGTGGCCTGGGGCACGCCTCTCACAGACAGCCCTCTTCTTGGGCAGGTGGGCAGGGGTGGGGATGACAGTCTGACTCAGGAGAGTGGGACCTGGGCGGGCTTTTACGAGAGGCAGCAGGACATCCTGGTTACAGGCACAGGTTTAAATCCCAGCCTCTTTCAAACTACCAGCTTTGTAGCCTTGGGCAAATTTCGTAACCTTTCTTAAGTTCATTCTCCTCCTTCATAAAATGGTGATACAAATATCACCTGTGGCCGGGCATGAACGCCCGTAATTGCGGGACTTTTGGGAGACAGAGGCAGGAGGATCCCTTGAGTCCCTGCGTTTGAGACCAGCCTGGGCAACATGGCGAGACGGTGTCTCTACAAAAAATAAAAAATTAGCCAGACATGGTGTCGCGTGCCTGTCACCCAGCTCCTTGAGAGGGAGGCTGAAGTGGAAGGATCTCTTGAGCTCAGGAGGCAGAGGTTGTAGTGAGCTGTGATTGCACTGTTGCACTCCAGCGTGGGAGACAGAGTAAAACCCTGTCTCAAACAAAAAAACCTAGCACCTACCATTTAGGGCTGTTGTGAGAATCAAGTGAAACAATCCATATGAGGTGATTTAATAGAGTGCCTAGCATATACTGGGACTCAGTAAATGTTGGCTATTATTTTTAGTTAATACTTACGATTTTCTTTCTTTTCTTTTCTTTTTTTTTTTTTTTTGAGATGGAGTCTCACTCTGTCACCCAGGCTGGAGTGCAGTGGCGCGATCTCAACTCACTGCAACCTCTGCTTCCCAGGTTTAAATGATTCTCCTGCCTCAGCCTCCCAAACAGCTGGGATTATAGGCGCCTGCCACCACACCGGCTAATGTTTGTATTTTTAGTAGAGATGGGGTTTCACCATGTTTGCCAGGCTGGTCCCCAACTCCTGACCTCAGTTGATCTGCCTGCCTCAGCCTCCCAAAGAGCTAGGATTACAGGCATAAGCCACCACACCCAGCAATACTTATAATTTTTAAAAAATTTTTTGAAAACTACCAAAAAAATAGGGAAAAAAATTTATCGTATTTAACTTATTTTTTTCCTAACTCCCCAAACTTACTTGTTAAAATTTTTTTAATGAGATGGGGTCTCACTATGTTGCCCAGGCTGGTCTCAAACTCCTGGTCTCAGGCAATCCTCCCACCTTGGCCTCTCAAAATGCTAAGATTACAGGTGTGAGCCACCTCACCAGGCTCTGAAAAAATTTTAAATGACTCCTGTTGATCTTGTGGTATGTGTGTGTGCATATGTAGAGAGAAAGCATGGGGGAGGGCAGGAGAGAGGAGGGAAAGAGAGATCGGTTTTCTAATATGTGGTCTTTTTTTCCCATTATCATAACTAAATGTCTAGTCTCCTTTTCCCTTGACCTGTATCCTGAACATTTTCCCCCTTGTCATCTCAAAACCTCTGCAAACATCATTTTTCATGGTTGCATAGTACTCCGTCGTGTACAAATACAGTTCTTTACTTCCTCCTTCTCATTATCAGGCATTTTGGTTGATTCTGATTAGAGGTTAGATGTTCACTACAGTCTCAAGGTGACTTCTTGGCAACGGTGGCAACAGCTACAGATAGGTTCCCTGTGCCCTGCAGGTGGGGCAGTAGGAGCTGTCATCATGGAAAGCTTGGCCTGGCTGGGCTGAGCTTCTTTTCCTGCCCCTGCTATTCTTAGCCTCTCTGGCCTTCTGGCTGGGGCACCTCCAAGCTGTAGAAGTGGTAGTCACCTCTCCAGCCCAGCCCTGTAGCATACACCATTGGGGTGGGTCTCCATGCTGGGGCTTCATAGCTTCCAGACACAGAGCAGCTAGGCAACAAGCATTTATTGAGCACCTGTGGTATACAAGTGACTGCACTCAACACTGAAGCGTTTCCTATGGTAGAAGACCCAGGCTTTTCCCTTGAAGAGCTTACATTGCACGTGCTTAGGGAGCAGTAACCCACCAAGCCCCCGCAGGCTGGAAGGGGCCTGGGGTCACAGGCCAAGTTTGAGAGCCCCCTAGGGGCCAGCAGGGGAAGGGCCGCAATCCTCCCTGCCTAGGTGTCCCTGAGCCTCTCTGGCCTCCTCTCCCCGCAGCCTGCTCAACAACTACATGATCTGGAACCTGGTGCGGAAAACAAGCTCCTTCCTTGACCAGCGCTTTCAGGACGCCGATGAGAAGTTCATGGAAGTCATGTACGGGACCAAGAAGGTGAGCCTGCTACTGCGTATGCCTGAATATGGGCTGAGCGCCTACTTTATGCCAAGGTGTCTATGGGAGCACAGGAAGGGACCTCAGCCAGCTGGGGGTGGGTAGAAGCTTCCGGAAGGAGTGCTTATGCCAAGTAAAGGGTAAAGAGGAGTCCTAGCCACTCAGCCAATTTATAGCAAAAAGTAGTTGCCAGTAGTGATGATAGATGCTCCCCTTGAACAACTCATGATCCTCACAATGCCTGTGAGGTGAGTACTGTTATTAGCCCCACTTTGCACAGGGGACCACCAATAGTATTACTTCTTCCCCGGAAACGTAAAACACAGAACAGCACCTGGTCCTTAGAAGCACCACGCGACTGTTCAGTGTTATTATTTTCCTCCCAGTTTGTATTCTGGGAAACCCCAGGCCAGGTGGGCTCTACCTGCCGTTAAATGCCCCTGCCAGGAGCCCTGAGGGTCCATTCTTCCAAAGGCTTCAGGGACCTTCCCTGCCCTCCCACAGGGGAACCTACCCCCAGTGGAAAGTTCCACAGCCACTTCCACCTTCTCCCCAAGGAAGTGGCTGTCACCCTCTCACTCATGCAGCCGACTAATGGTTACTCATTGAACTCCTGCCATCGCGTGCCAGGCTCTAAGCCCAGTACGGGAATACTGAGACAGGTGAGCTGGGGTCTGTACCCCGAGAGCCCACACCGGCTGAGGGAGGTGATAGGAAATGACCAGTTCTCGTATGTGCTGATGGGATACATCACGCTCGGGCCCCAGAGAGTGGCTGGAAGAGGCCCCGCTACAGAGCAGTAGAGGCTGGTGTGCCAAGCTCACCTGGCACAGCTTCCCCAACCCAGACAGCAGCTAGCAAGACCCCAACAATCCTCCCCAGAGAGGAGGCAGAGCTGACTCCAGCTGGACCCCACTCCTGCAGCCCTTCCCAGAGTCCAATCCAGATGAGGATTGGCAGAGAATGGCAGGATGTGGGCTCCTGCTTCGAGCCCTGGAATGCATCCTACACGTCCTCTCTCCCATCCCCATGCAAACCTACCTCTGGCAGGAAGGGGACTGAGGGAGAAGGTAGCTGGGAACAAGCCCCATTTCTAACCAGAGGCACTTCCAAGGGCACCACCAGACCTTGGCCACAAGAAGCATACTGCCCTGCAGAGGACAAAGCGGGAGCAGTGGGTTGGCTGCCCTGCCTGGCCAACTTGCCTTCCTGCTCCTCCTGCATCTACCTTGGACTGGCCCTGGGTTAGAGATGGGGCCAAAGCCAGGATTCTGTTCCCTGCAGAACTTGGCCTCCCAGGGGACTTCCTACAGAGAGATTTGATCAGGACCCAGGATGATGGTTCCAAAGATGGTCTGTGTGTGGAACATACACCCACATATTCTCTCACCTTCCCAGGTTACAGATGAGGAAACTGAGGCTCAGGGAGGTGAAGGGACTTTCATAGTCACCCAGCAAGAAAGCAGCAAGGGCCTGGTGTGGTGGCTCACGCCTGTAGTGCTAACACTTTGAGAGGCCGAGACAGGTGGATCACCTGAGCCCAGCCTGGAAAACAGCAAGATCCTGTCTCTGTTTTTTTTTTTTTTTTAATATATTTATGTGTTTATTTTAAGAAAAAAGAAAGCAGCAAGCTTGAATGAAAATCCCAGATCTGATATTTACAACTTTGAGGCACTTTCAGCTACTCACTTACATAATGATGATAATAACCAAAGATACCATTATTGGATATCTACCTTTTATAGGCATTATGAATTCCTACTACCGCTGTTATCCTCTTCCATTTTACAGATGATGAAATCGAGGCTCAGTGAGGGAAAGGGACTTGTTCAAAGTTGCTTATAAGTGGAGAGGAGGCTCTGAAATCCAGCCTATCTGATTCCATAGCCCTGAGCTCTGTACCACTCAGCCTCTGCTCTGCAGGAACCAAAAGTTAAGGTCAAGCTTCCCTGTGGTTGCCAAGGGCTGATATGGAGGAAGAGGGATGAGGAATTATTGTTTAATGAGTATAGAGTTTCAGATTTGCAAGATAAAAAAGTTCTGAGCCAGGCGCAGTGGTGCATGTCTGTAGTCCCAGCTACCCTGGAGGCTGAGGCAGGAGGACTGCTTGAGCCCAGGAGTTTAAGGCTGCAGCGAGCTATCACTGACTGCACCACTGCACTCCAGCCTGAGCAACAGAGCAAGACCCCATCACTTTTTAAAAAATTAATTAATTAGTCAGTAATGGAGTGAGCTTCCCTGGGCCACCTTCAAAGCACAGGGTGCTGCTTGAATATGGCACTTGGAGCAAGTGGGGCACAGGGAGGCCTCAAGAGAGGCAAGGGCAAGTGGGAACCCTGAAGTGGGAGGGTCTGAGCAGGGGTCTCTGGATACCCCAGGGCTGATGGGTGAAGGCTGCTGCTCACCTGTTTCTTAATCTCCAGCCCTCCCCACTCCCCAACTGTGACAGAGTCTGGGCCCAGGCCAGGTCCCTCCTCCTTGTGTTCAGCCCAACTCAAAGCCACCTCCTAGCTGTGTGACCTTGGGTAGTCCTTACACCTCTCTGAGCCTCAGTTTTTTTAATCTGCAATTGGAGATCACTCCTGACCTCACCTCACAGGACTTTTGTGAATGGCCTTCATTCGGGAAAAAGCATAGAGCATGGGAAGCAGTGTGGTGTGTGCGTTTGTTCATCCTGGCAGGGAGGGAGCCTGCTGTGAGGAAACGGCATGGAATTTGGAGTCAGAAGATCCAAGTTTGAATTGTTTCTTCTAATCACACCTTAGGCAGATTGCCTCACTGGGGCAGGGGCTCAATCTCCCATCTGTAGAAAGGGGTAACAGATCCCTGCCTTGCTTATCCAAGGGCCGCCTAAGATTAGACGAGGGGATCCCTGTGAAGTCTCTTCTGACTGCTCAAGCGCTGCATGCAGCCGTTTCTCATCAGCTATCACCCATTTGTGACTTGAGACTTCCAGCAGGGAGGAAGGAACCCCTTGCTGAGTGCTCCTTGTATTACAGTGAGGAAGAGGTTAAAAAAAAAATTGCAGCCAGGTCAGGGTGGAGGAGGCTGCCTGGCTGCTCTTCATCTTCCCAGACCTGACTCATAGATCTCCTGCAAGATGCAGGCTTCCTGACCGGTCAGATCGATCAGACCCTCGCTCCTTTTGGAGATTTTCTCACCATCCTGTAGTACTTCCAGGACTTCGTGACCTGTAGGCAGAGAGCGTGGCCTCTTTGAAGGAAGACATTGGAGCCGGACTTTCTGAGTTCAAATTCCACCTCAGGCCGGGTGCGGTGGCTCATGCCTGTAATCCCAGCACTTTTGGGAGGCCAAGGCTGGTGGGATCACCTGAGGCCAGGAGTTCAAGACCACCCTGGCCAACACGGCAAAAGCCCGCCTCTACTAAAACTACAAAAAATAGCCAGGTGTAGTGACACACACCTGTAATCCCAGCTACATGGGAGGCTGAGGCAGGAGAATTGCTTGAACCTAGGAAGCAGAGGTTGCAGTGAGCCGGTATCACACCACTGCACTCCAACCTGATAGACGGAGCAAGACTGCATCTCAAAAAAAAAAAAAAAAACACCTCAACCACTTACTCCCTGGGTGATCCCTTTGGCCAAGTGATTTAACCTCTCTGTGCCACAGTTTTTTATCTGCAAAAAGAAACAGACTGGGTGCGGTGGCTCACACCTATAATCCTAGCACTTTGGGAGGCTGAGGCGGGCAGATCACCTGATGTCAGGAGTTCGAGACCAGACTGGCCAACATGGCGAAACCTTGTGTCTACTAAAAATACAAAAATTACCGGGGGTAGTGGTGGGCACCTGTAATCCCAGCTACTCGGGAGGCTGAGGCAGGAGAATCTTACTGTGAGCAGTATATGCAGTAGGGCCCGCTCTCACTCCACTGCTACACTTCACTGTGATTACTGCTGTGGATGGTGCAATTACATGTCTGTTTCTCTCACTGGATGTTCTGGGCATTTCAGTTGAGACCCAGGAGTACAGGCTCACTGTTGATTCATCTCTAGCTTCGAAAGACCTAGCACAGTCAGGATGCAGGGCAACTGCTCACAGAACGCTGGATGCGTAAATGAATGAAAGCTCGTGTGAAGGAATGGGTTTATCCAGAGAATCTCCAGAGAAGACGACACATAAGAAAGTCTGTCTGTGATTCAGCCCTCACAGCCTGGAGCCTCCACGGAGCTTCAAATTAGAGTCCCCCTCGTCCTGACATCCTGTGTGGTCGGCCTCGGCCAGACACAGACCATGTGTCCAGCTTTGGGCTTCTCAGCCGAGGGAGGGTAGGCGCGGGAGGGAGGGAAAGGCTGAGGGCAAGGCATCCAAATGGACACGTAGTTGGGAAAACTAAAAAGAACATGGGTAAGAAGAAGAGTGGCCCTTCCTTTCTTTCTTGCCTAGAAGGAATTTTTGTAGCTAAGGCATAATTTACATACAATAAAAATGCAGTGTACATTAAGTATTCAGTTCAGTGAGTTTTTGGTTTGGTTTGGTTTTGAGACAGAGTCTTATTCTGTCACCCAGGCTGGAGTGCTGTGGTATGATCTCAGCTCACTGCAACCTCCATCCCCAGGGTTCAAGCGATTCTTGTGCCTCAGCCTCCCGAGTAGCTGGGGTTACAGGTGCCTACCACCACACCCGGCTAATTTTTGTATTTTTAATAGAGATGGAGTTTCACCGTGTTGGCCAGGGTGGTCTCGAACTCCTGACCTCAGGGGATCCACCCACCTCAGCCATCCAAAGTGCTGGGATTACAGGTGTGAGCCACCATCCCGGCCTTTTTTGTTTGTTTGTTGTTTGTTTTTGTTTTCAATTGAGACAGTCTCGCTCTGTCACCCAGGCTGGAGTGCAGTGGCCTGATCTTGGCTCACTGCAACCTCCGCCTCCCAGGTTACAGCTATTCTCCTGCCTCAGCCTTCTGAGTAGCTGGGATTACAGGCATGTGCCACCACGCCTGGCTAATTTTTGTATTTTTGGTAGAAACAGGGTTTCACCATGTTGGCCAGGCTGGTCTTGAACTCCTGACCTCAAGTGATCCACTTGCCTCGGCCTCCCGAAGTGCTGGGATTACAGGCATGAGCCACCACACTTGGCCTCAATGAGTTTGACCAATGAAGTCACCCATGTAACCATCACCACAGTCAAGATAGAGAATATCCCCTTCTGCCTTGGGCATAGCATGCTAAAAAAAAAAAAAAGAAAGAAAAAAATGTATAAAAAATTTTAGAAAGATAGAGAACATTCCCATCATCCATTTGTCCAGCGCCCTCTGAGCAGCAGGTACCCTCATGCCCCTTTCCTGTCAGCCCCCAGCCCCCAAGGCTGGTGCAGCTGGGTGTGGACGGAATTATACACGATGTGCCTGGCTGCTTTTGCTCAGCTTGAGTCTGTGGAATTTATCCATGCTGTCGTATATATCAGTAGCTAGTTCATTCCTTTTTGTTGCCAAGTAGTATGTTGCTGTATAAAAATACCACATTTTGTTGATCCGTCTGCCTGCTGATGGGCATTTTGGCTGTTGTCAGTTTAGGGCCATGATGAATCAGACTGCCCTGAGCGTGGGTGGTTGTTAACCACCTGTTCTTTGGGGTTAAGAGGACATCACTTCCTCTGTCGTACGAGGGATTTATGTGAGCAGGGCCACCACACGTGGTCATATATACTGTCCACAGAGGGATGCCTGGCCGGGGAGTGACTGGGGCTGACATTAGCCCAGCACGCGTCCCTGGGCCATGCCCAGGAGGTTGCAGCCCACAGACGCCTATTTCCGGTTTGCACAGAGGGGTTGTATGGACTGTTGGGGCTTGTAGGCAAGACCAAGAAAGAATCAAGGCATTGCAATCCCGCGGTGAGCCAGGTGTGGTGGCTCACGCCTGTAATCTCAGCACTCTGGGAAGTCAAGGCAGGTGGATCACTTGAGCCCAAGAGTTCTAGACCAGCCTGGGCAACATAGTGGGATGATGTCTCCACAAAAAAAAAAAAAAATTTTTAAATAGAAAAAATTAGCCAGGCATAGTGGCCTGCACCTGTTGTCCCAGCTACTCGGGAGGCTAAGGTGGGAAGATCACTTGAGCCTGGGAGGTCGAGGCTGCAGTGAGCTGTGTGATCGCACCACTGCACTCCAGCCTAGGTGACAGAGCGAGACCCTGCCAAAAAAAAAGAAAAAAAGAAAAAAGTCCTGCGGTGTTGCTGTGGTGTTCTCATTTGAGGAGATCTTCAATGGCATTGGAGCCCTGGCCCTGGGGCAGTTTTTTCTGTGACTCAGGGTAGACCAGTCACTCTCCACCGCTCTTTGCCTCCAGGACTCCTGCTCTTCCCAGGAGGCAGGACGAGATGGGGGTAGGTAGGAGCATAGGATGTGGAGTCAGGCACGTCTCAGTTCTCATTCCAACAACACTTGTCACTCGTGGGGCACCCTGGGCCAGCAGCTGCTCCGTGCCGAGTGTGTTTCCCCATCAGTCAAACGGCTTGTAAGCCCCGAGGGTCATTGAATGGCTCAACGGGACACTATTTGTGAAGTCCCAGCACAGAGCCTGGCATTCAGGAAATGGCAGGGGGTGGGAGTGAGGGTATCAGTGGCCTCTTGGTCCGGTGACTAAAATAACTTTACTGGGTCGGAAAGCTCTCCCTGAACTTCCAGAACAAAGCATGGGCCCCACATGGTGCTACCTCCCAGCAAGAAAGGGGTTGGGAAACAAAGGGCTGGGGCCCAGCGAGCCCCCTGACTTGTGTTTTCCAGACCTGTCTTCCTCGCTGGAAGTTTTGCGTGAGTGACACAGAAAACAACCTGGGCTTTGCGTTGGGCCCCATGTTTGTCAAAGCAACCTTCGCCGAGGACAGCAAGAGCATAGTAAGTGCCTTCCCCGTGGACACAGGCTGTGAGGTCACACTTGTTGTGGCCTGCACAGACCTGCCAGTTCACACTCCAGCCCACCCTGGGCCTTTCCTGCTCCTGGGCAGGGGACCTTAGGGCCACAGCCTCAATGCAGAGGCTTCACTTCCTCGAGCCCTGGGTAATGGGAGTCTCACGAGGGCAGCTCTTCAGTGCCAGGCCCTTATCTGCACGAGCTCATGTGATCCTCCCAGCAGCCTGCAAGGCTGTGACAGCCATCCCCACCTCCAAGGGCTGTGAACGACCCAGAGAGAATGTTGGCAGAACAGCTCTGGCCCAGAGGGTGACATTTTTCTTATTTTGTGGGTGACAGGTTTGTTCTAGACAGGCAGAGGAGTGCCATGGCAGAGCGCCTTGGAGACAGCCCGGCCTAAGCTCAGATCCTGGCCTCACCGCTGGTCGGGTGGCCTGGGACAGTTCTTACATCATCTGCAATGTGGAGACGGGGGCATTCCTCCCACAGAGAGAGATTAAATGAGATGCCACACACTGGGCACCGGCATACAATAAGGGTTCAGCTAATGGGAGTGGTCATTTTATTGTTACAATCTTGATGACAAATAGTATTCATTATGTAGCTGTCATCTGCAGCCGGAGGTGAGCCAACCGCAATTCAAATCCATTACAGTGACTGGCCTGTGAGCAGCTGGGCAGGGTCTGAGTTGGGGTCTGCTGGCCCCTCTGCTCTTGTTGCCGCACAGCTCTGCCTTCCCCTTCTCTAGAACCTTCAACTTTCCATCTTCGAGCTTGTCTGCTCATGACATTGTCTCCCTCAAGAACACCTGTCTATATCCAGCCTGAGCATGGTATTTCCGAAGCTGCTCCTCGGAACATGAGTACTCTAGATCTTAAAGCCCGCTCCATCAAAAAGGAATGCTGTGGTCCAATAAGGCAATAAGGCTGGGAGAGGCTGTGTCTTCTCCCCTCTCTGGAAGAATCACGGTGCCTATTATTACCATATTAAAGGCTCTGAAAAGTACCACAGCAGAGACTTTTCCAACTTTCCCGAAGCTCATCCTAAGCTTATTGGAGCATGGAGCCCTGTGTGTGGAAGGCCAGTCCTGTCTTGCAGGGTGTTCACGTTAGGAGCGTGGTTTGGAAGCACAGCTGTGGCTCCCCTTCTCACCCAGCCTGACGCTTGGAAAATTGAGTTTAATCTCTGGCCATCATTGTTCTGCACGGGGTGCCTGTTGCATTTACCTGAGACCAGTGCGCAGACCTTACTGCTGTGATGTGTATCTCCTCAGGCCACCGAGATCATCCTGGAGATTAAGAAGGCATTTGAGGAAAGCCTGAGCACCCTGAAGTGGATGGATGAGGAAACCCGAAAATCAGCCAAGGAAAAGGTGAGGCTGGCCAGGCACTTGGAGGGGGTGCTGCGGCGTCCAGCACAGATAGAGGAGGGTGGGGGAAGGAGAGGCCGGTTTTTTTGTTTGTTTTTTGAGGCAGAGTTTCGTTCTTGTTACCCAGGCTGGAGTGCTATGGTGCGATCTTGGCTCACCGCAACCTCCGCCTCCCGGGTTCAAGCGATTCTCCCACCTCAGCCTCCCGAGCAGCTGGGATTACAGGCGTGCGCCACCACGCTCGGTTAATTTTGTATTTTTAGTAGAGATGGGGTTTCTCCATGTGGGTCAGGTTGGTCTCAAACTCCCGACCTCAGGTGATCGACCCGCCTTGGCCTGCCAAAGCGCTGGCATTATAGGCATAAGCCACCGCGCCCGGTGAGGCCAGTTCTGTCCGGCAGCACAGCCTGGATGCTGTCTCGCCTTCAGCGGGTGAGCGGTCTAGGCCTAGCAGGATTCGGGGTAGGCCTCAAGCACATGATTGCTTGGATGTCTGTAGAAGACAAACCTCGCTGAGTGTACGGGGAAAAGGTGCAGGAAAACGCAGCACGTCCCGTGGGTCGGGAAGGCTCTGGCACCCTCCAGTGGGATGGGAGTCAGGGAAGACTTCCCTTGGGAAAGTGACATTTAAACAGAGACCTAAGGGATAAGTAGAAGTTTTGCAAGGGGGAAACCTTTCCAGAAAAAGACATGAAAGCCCAAGGCAGGCAGGGCCTGGCTCTGGTTCCCCTTGGCCCAGACTATGAGCCCAGCACCCAAGTTGCTCAGGCTGGCCTGGTCGATGTTGCCGGGCACTCACTTCCTCTGTCTGTCCTGTCCAGGCCGATGCCATCTACAACATGATAGGATACCCCAACTTCATCATGGATCCCAAGGAGCTGGACAAAGTGTTTAATGACGTGAGTAGCTGCTGCCCTGCCCCCTTGCGTTCCTAAATGCCCCCTTAGAAAAGGGCCGAGGCAGGGCTGGGTCCAGATGGGGTGCTAGAGGCAGCATGGTTGTCAAAACACACAGGGATGATGTGGTGTGGGGCTTGGGTATGGGTCAGGCATGAGGAAGCCTCTTCTTCTTCTTAATTTGGCTCCTGGGTCAGCTGGAGGCCCTGCCTCCCCATAGCCACCATCCATCAGCAGTGCCCACCAGTCAGTACAGAACCCGTGCTGTGTGCCCCCTGGAAGTGGTCAGCTCCATTTAATATGTGGGAAATAATGGAGGAAACAGACCCCAGAAGGTGCAGAGAGAATTGGTGGCCCTCAGACATCAGGGGTGGGGTATGAAGTGGGAAAACCCCCACACCACCTCCTCCCTCCCTGGTCGTGCTTCCAGTTACCTCCTGTCCCTGCGGCCCTCCTCCACCTCCCCAGAAACCCGGACCTCTGATTTTGACTTTGAAATGCTAATGGGAAAGAAGCAGCTTAAATCCAGGTGCATTTTTAAGCTTGGTTTGGGCAATGGAGGTGGTTGATACATCCCTGCTTATTAGAACTTTTGGCAAATCACTCAGTTAGGTGGATTGTGCTTCTGCCTCAAATTATGAAGTTTTATATCTTCTTGTGATTGAAATACTTGAATTCAGGTATTTAAGAAAAAATTTTTTTTGAGACAGGGTCTCATTCTGTTGCCCAGACTGGAGTGTAGTGGTGCTATCTCAGCTCACTGCAACCTCCGCCTCCCAGGCTGGCTCATATTCATGAGCCACCATGCCCAGCCTGAATTCAGGCATTTAAAAATCTAATAACCTCTCGTCATGGTTATATTTAGAACCTAAGACTATAAAGACTCATTCTGAGATCATGAGACTCATTCTGCTGCCTTTTCCTTGAGAATCATTTAAGATGCTCCAGAGTGTCATGACGCAAGATCCTTGGGCCTCTGGAGGCATCCTGGGCAGAGCCCAGGATCCATGTCCTGTCCCTGAGGCTCCAGCGTTTCACCAGAACCAGGGAGAATTTTGCACCTGTCAAGAGCTGAGCCAGGCGCAGTGGCTCATGCTTGTAATGCCAACACTTTGGGTGGCTGAGGTGGGGGGATTGATTGAGCTCAGGAGTTTAAGACCAGCCCGGGCAACATAGTGAGACCTCATCTCTACAAAAAATGTAAAGATTAGCTGGGCATGTTGGCATGTGCCTATAGTCCCAGCTACATGGGAGGCTGAGATGGGAAGATCACTTATGCTCAAGAAGACAAGGCTGCAGCAAGCTGTGATTGCACCACTGCACTCCAGCGTGGGCGACAGAGCAAGACCCTGTCTCAAAAAAGCAGAAAAAAAGCTAGAAAGCTGGGCCGAGTAGTGAAAAGGGTGTACAGTGATGCCCTTGACAGTTCAGATAGATTTCTACTTTACTTATGAGATCTAGTATGGTAGCTACTAGCCACAGGTGGCTATTTAAATAATTAAAACTTAAATTAGTTTAAATTAAATTTAAAAGCCACACTTGCCACATTTGAAATGCTTATTAGTGGCCGGGCGTGGTGGCTCACGCCTGTAATCCCAGCACTTTGGGATGCCAAGGTGGGCTGATCACCTGAGGTCAGGAGTTTGAAACCAGCCTGGCCAATGTGGTGAAACCCCGTCTTTACTAAAAATACAAAAATTAGCTGGGCTTGGTGGCATGCGCCTGTAATCCCAGCTACTCTGGGAGGCTGAGGCACGAGAATCACTTAAACCAGGAGGTGGAGGTTGCAGTGAGCCAAGATCGTGCCATTGCACTCCAGCCTGGATGATAGATCAAGATTCCCGTCTCAAAAAAAAAAGAAAGAAAGAAATGCTTAGTAGTCTGCCATACTGGACAGCGCAGGCATAGAGCACAGAACATCCATCATCGCAGGAGGTTCTATTGGACAACATGGGAGATATTTCTTGCCTGGGCCCAGGCACTGCTGTAGGCACATCCTGCAACGGTGTCATTCCATCTCGTGCCCCAGGGTGAAGGCCAAGAGAAGAGCTGACCCTGCAGCCCCAAGCCCTGCATTCCGGTCTCCAGCCTGCAGATTAATCTCTTAACCATGACAGCCCTTGGCTTCCTGTCTTGGAAGATGCACACCACCGAGGGCACACTGTGATTGACTCCACTTCTTCTTTTCTAGTACACTGCAGTTCCAGACCTCTACTTTGAAAATGCCATGCGGTTTTTCAACTTCTCATGGAGGGTCACTGCCGATCAGCTCAGGAAAGCCCCCAACAGAGATCAGTGAGTTCCCCCAGGCCCTGCCGGCAAGGTGCCAGCTCCCCACCTGTGGGCAAGCCTTGGGACGAACTGGCCTTCATTGCACCCTCACTGTGCACCCGATCAGCTATCACGAGAGCCGTCTGAAGAGTGGATGCCCTTGTTATCCCACTTTTCAGATGAAGAAACCAAGGGCAAAAGAAGTATGGCCCAGCTAGGAGCTGGGATGGGCTTGAGCCTGCCCAGCCTGTTGGCAGGGTGAGCCTGGCCTCTGGAGCGGAGCCGATCTGGCACCTTGTCTCCGCTCCACTGCTTTGGGATTTGGAGCCTTCATTTCATTTTCCGCAGAATAGGATGGGAGGAGCTGGTTCTGGGGTCCTCATGGCAGTCAAATGTGAGGACCTCTGGGGAGCGCCAGACCCCAAGGAGGCCCCAGCAAGAGCAGCTTTCCCATTGTTCCTCACTACCACGAATGGTGGGATCTCAGGACAGGGAGCCCACAGAGGCCTGGGGAAGGTTCTGGATGGGCTTGACAGCTGTGCTTCCCAAAGCTCACTGCACATCAGAGTCCTCTGGGGAACTTTTTCAAAGATACAGCTTCCTGGCCGGGCGTGGTGGCTCACGCCTGTAATCCCAGCACTTTGGGAGGGCAAGACAGGTGGATCACCTGAACCCAGGAGTTTGAGACCAGCCATGGTCAACATGGCAAAACCCTGTCTCTACTAAAAATACAAAAATTAACCGGGTGTGGTGGCGCACACCTGTAGTCCCAGCTACTCAGGAGTGAGTAGCTGAGGCACGAGAATTGCTTGAACCCGGGAGGCGGAGGTTGCAGTGAGCCGAGATCGTGCCACTGCACTCCAGTCTGGGTGACAGAGCAAGACTCCATCTCAAAAAAAAAAAAAAAATACAGCTTCCTGACCTTAAATCAGGATAACCTAGAATGAGACCTGGTCTTTGTCCTTTTTATTACTGTCTCCTCAGGTCAATCACAGTAGCTCAGGCCTGCAATCCCAGCACTTTGCAGGCTGAGGTGGGCAGATCGCTTGAGCCTAAGACTTCAAGACCAGGTTGGGCGACATAGGGAGATGTGGTCTCTACAAAAAATTTTTAAAATTAGCTGGACGTGGTGGCACGAACCTGTAGTCCCAGCTACTGGGGAGGCAGAGGTGGGAGGATCACTAGAGCCCAGGAGGTCGAAGCTGCAGTGAGTCAAGATCATGCCACTGTACTCCAGCCTGGGCAACAGAGCGAGACCCTGCCTGAAAAAAAAGAAAGAAAGAAAAAAAAAAACTGTCTCCTCAAAAAAATTAGATGTAGTCAGCCCAGTTCCAGTCTTCAGTCCAAGGTCCTTCCATTCCTCAGTGCAAACATTTGGGATAAATCTTAGGGAAGGGTGCAATCAACTTCTCTTTGCCTCTGGTGCCCCCTGGTGGACTATAGGGGTTCAAACATCTCTATTTCCTTCATTTCCAGCCTCCAACCAGGACACCCCGCTATGTACAAGAAGGTGGGCTTTTACCTTCAGAACATGGCATAGGCTCTGTTGCCAGTTTATCTGAAGTATTTTAACTTAGCTTGAATGTTTTTATTTAAATTTCCTTGCCTACCCATTGAAGTATTTGTGATTATTTGAATATAAATATGATGTTTTAAATTCCTCCATATGGCCAGGTACAGCGGCCCACGCCTGTAATTCGAACGCTTTGAGAGGCCAAGGTGGGAGGATCTCTTGAGCTCAGAAGTTTGAGACCAGCCTGGGCAACATGGTGAAACCCCATCTCTACAAAAAATTTAAAAAATTAGCTGGACGTGGTAGCATGCGCTTGAGCCCAGGAGGTTGAGGTTGCGGTGAGCTACAGTTGTACCACTGCACTCCAGCCTGGGCTACAGAGCAAGACCCTGTCTCTAAAATAAATAAATACATAAATAGAGTTCTTGGCCAGGTACGGGGGCTCACACCGGTAATCCCAGTACTTTGGGAGGCCAAGGCGGGTAGATCACTTGAGGTCAGGAGTTCAAGACCAATCTGGCCAACATGGTGAAATCCCGTCTCTACTAAATATACAAAAATTAGCCACGCATGGTGGTAGACACCTGTAATCCCAGCTACTTGGGAGCCTGAGGCAGGAGAATCGCTTGAACCCGGGAGGCAGAGGTTGCAGTGAACAGAGATTGCACCACTGCACTCCAGCCTAGGCAACAGAGTGAGACTCCATCTCAAAATAAATAAAGTTCTCAGTATGTTCCCATGGCTGTGGGGCTCACCTGGAGGAGGCAGAGTGACTGTCTAGGCTCTTAGAGGAAATGTGGTACCCATCTCACTGCACTCCTCACTCACCCTTCCCCTCTGTACCAGAGAAGTCATTGAAATGCCAAATACCTCATGACTATATACCATTACTTTCAAAACCTTTTTTGGTCTTGGGATCCTTCTACACTCAAAAAAATTATTGCTGGGCGCGGTGGCTCACGTCTGTAATCCCAGCACTTTGGGAGGCCAAGGCGGGTGGATCACCTGAGGTCGGGAGTTCAAGACCAGCCTGACCAACATGGAGAAACCCCATCTCTACTAAACATACAAAATTAGCCAGGCATGGTGGCACATGCCTGTAATCCCAGTTACTCAGGAGGCTGAGGCAGGAGAATCGCTTGAACCCGGGAAGCAGACGTTGCGGGTGATCCAAGATGGTGCCATTGCCACTGCACTGGCCCTGATTTTTTTTAAATTTTATGGAAAATAACTATTTTCAAAAAATTAATGAGAAGAGAGGTATCGTTTTACTTTTTGCAAATTTCTTTATGTCTGGCTTAATCAAAGACAACTGGATTCTCATATCTGATTCTGCAGTCAATCTGTTACCATATGTTGTTTTTATATATAGAAAGAATTCTTGGCCAGGCGTGGTGGCTCACGCCTGTAATCCCAGCACTTTGGGAGGCTGAGGCGGGTGGATCACGAGGTCAGGAGTTCAAGACAAGCATTGCCAAGATGGTGAAACCCCATCTCTACTAAAAATACAAAAAATTAGCCAGACGTGGTGGCGGGTGCTTGTAATCCCAGCTACTCAGGTGGCTGAGGCAGAGAATTGCTTGAACCCTGGAGGCAGAGGTTGCAGTGAGCCAAGATCACGCCACTGCACCCCAATTGCCCTCCAGCCTGGGTGACAGAACAAGACTTTGTTTCAAAAAAAAGAGAATTCTTGCCTCACATAGGAATTTAGTTGGGAAAGGGAGGGATGAGGGATATTTTAATAGTCTTTTCTGGTACTTGTGCACGTTCTTCTGATACTACACCAAAACTCGAAAAGTGATAATTTTTTAAAGGTTAATTGCACTATGGAATCTGAAACCACATCCATGAACTTTATTTTTTTCTTTTTTCTTTTTTTCACTGTATCACCCAGGCCAGAGTGCAGTGGCATAATCTCAGCTCACTGCAGCCTCAACTTTCCCAGGCTCAGGTGATCCTCCCACCTCAGCCACCTGAGTAGCTGGGACTACAGGTGCACACCACCACACCTGGCTAATGTTTGTATTTTTTGTAGAGACAGGTTTCACCATGTCACCGGGGCCGGAATTTTTGTAATTTTTTTTTGCCCAGGCTGGTCTCAAACTCTTGGGCTCAAGCAGTCCTCCCACCTCGGCCTCCCAAGGTGCTAGGATTACAGGCATGAGCCACCATGCCCAGCCTTCATGAACTTTCATACTCTGTTACACTAAATTCCATTGGTCTGTCCTGCACTTTGAATGGATCTTTTACCCAGGCGTGATTTTGTAACATCATGTCTTAGTCATTTGGAAAACAATGGTTCACTGAGTCTTACAGATCTTCCAAATGGTTATACTTCCAATATACAATAGCAAAAAAATCCACATTTGTTAATATCACTGCTGACCTCTTGAGAAAAACCTTCCATTATTATTGGTAAGGTGTCAAACTTGTGGTGGCCAATATAAGTTTTTCAAAATTTTAATTTTAGCCTGAAACTTCAACATTTTTTTAAATCTCATATTTTTATCATTGGCAACAGATGGCTTGAGTTGTTTTCCTTGAGGTGATAAGCTCACTTTATTCATTTTAAAGAAAATGTCTGCCAGATGTCCACGTCTGAAATTCCATAGTTTACCAGTCATCCTAAAAGTACCAACAGGGTTCCAGGAAAGAAGCAGAATGCTTTATATGTGGATTTAATGTTACTCCACCTCTGTAACATTAAAAAAAAAAAAATTAGCCAGGCATGGTCACGAGTGCTTGTAGTCCCAGCTACTTGAGAGGCTGAGGTGGGAGGATAGCTTGAGCCCAGGAGTTTGAGGCTGTAGGGAGCCATGATCATGCCACCGCACTCTAACCTGGGTGTCACAACAAGATCTTGTCGCTTAAAAAGAAAAAAAAAAAAGTCTTGTATTCAGGGGTTGAGATGTAATGAAATTAATCATTATGACGGCGCAGTGGCTCATGCCTGTAATCCCAACACTTTGGGAGGCCGAGGCAGGCGGATCACGAGGTCAGGAGATCGAGACCATCCTGGCTAACACGGTGAAACCCCATCTCTACTAAAAATACAAAAAATCAGCCGGGCAAGGTGGTGGGCGCCTGTAGTCCCAGCTACACGGGAGGCTGAGGCAGGAGAATGGCGTGAACCCCGGGGGGCGGAGGCTGCAGTGAGCCGCAGTCGCACCACTGCACTCCAGCCTGGGTGACAGAGTGAGCTCCGTCTCAAAAAAAAAAAAAAAGATACTCTTCAGTGGTGACTTTTCAAAATCTTTTTCTTTTCTTTTTTCTTTTTTTTTTGAGATAGCCTTGCTCTGTCACCCAGGCTGGAGTGCAGTGGCTCAATCTCAGCTCACTGCAACCTCCACCTCCCAGGTTTAAGCAATTCTCGTGCCTCAGCCACCCACGTAGCTGGGATTACAAGTGTGCGCCACCACGCCTGGCTAATTTTTTTTGTATTTTTGGTAGAGACAGGGTTTTGCCGTGTTGGCCAGGCTGGTCTTGAACTCCTGGCCTCAAGTAATCCACCCACCTCAGCCTCCCAAAGTCCTGGGATTACAAGCATGAGCCACTGTGTGCTGATATTTCAAAATCTAATGGCCCTTCCTGCTCTTTGTAAGAACCTCAGTATTCCACCGTGTGATATGACATCATTAATTAACTGATTCCTTATTTATAGACAGTCAGGTGTTTTCTAGTTTTCTCCTAAAAAGCAGTCCTGCACCCAGGCACAGTGGCTCACGCCTGTAATTCCAGCACTTTGGGAGTCCGAGGCAGGAGGATGGCTTGAGGCTTAGAAGTTGAGGCTGCAGTCAGCCATGATCACACGACTGCACTCCAGCCTAGGCGACAGAACGAGACCCTGTCTCAAAACAAACAGTCCTTCTGTAGATGTCCTTGTACTTGTGTGCACTTGGGCCTGGGGTCAAGGAGAGTCTGCATTTTTAATGCCCTTATTCCCGATCCCCAAGCAGCGCTCCAGGCAGGCTGTCCCCACCTGC
The DNA here is from genome assembly GCF_000001405.40 of Homo sapiens. Taxonomy (NCBI): domain Eukaryota; kingdom Metazoa; phylum Chordata; class Mammalia; order Primates; family Hominidae; genus Homo; species Homo sapiens. The sequence continues at coordinate 21,228,085 of NC_000001.11, read as the reverse complement.
CTCCCGCCCTGTGCTGAGACCTCCTGCATGTGTGTTGCTTGCAGGTGGAGCATGACCCCGCCCATGGTGAACGCCTACTACTCGCCCACCAAGAATGAGATTGTGTTTCCGGCCGGGATCCTGCAGGCACCATTCTACACACGCTCCTCACCCAAGTAGGCTGCCTCTGGGGCCCCTACCCCAATTCTTTTCCCCCAGCCCAGCCCTGGGGCCCATACGACCTAAGCCAGTCTCACCATGTGATCTTTGCCCCAGTGCTTCAGGTTGCAGATGTCAGAGATGTTGCAGAGGAAGCAACATCCTCACCCACTTTCCTTCCCTCCAGTGAGATCTGGAAGCCCTGCACAGTGGGGTATTGGGAGCATCTCATGGAATCAAGAGCCCTACCTCAGGGAAACGCCCCTCTGACAATGTTATAACACAGTCAGAGCTGGGGAGTGGGGAGGGTTAAGGCTGCTGTCTCAGTTTGAATCCCAGGTCTGCTATTGGATGATTGTGTGGTCCTTGGGCAAAGCAATTGACCCATTCCCAGCCTTGGTCTACTCATAAATAGAGCTGGTCAATGGCGACCATTGCTAACGCTTTCGCAATGACTGAAGAGGACAGTTAGGTCTGTAGAGCATCTAGCACAGCGCATGGTGCCCAATAGGCACAGCTGACCACACAGACTGTGCCCAGCCTCCCTCTGGCTTCAGGGGCCTTGCTGGAGACTCAGGCCATGACCACACCCTTATCCACACAGAGCCCTGTGGAATTTTGCTATATCTCTAAGCCCAGGAAGTGAGGGTCACATACCTGAGCAAGAGTGAGAGGCCCTCCTCTCAAAGCATCATCTCTACCTTTGTGTCTTTCCCTCCAGGGCCTTAAACTTTGGTGGCATAGGTGTCGTCGTGGGCCATGAGCTGACTCATGCTTTTGATGATCAAGGTACGAATTCCAGCTGGGCACGATGGCTCATGCCTGTAATCTCCGTGCTTTAAGAGGAGGATTGCTTGAGGGCAGGAGTTTGAGACCAGCCTGGGCAACATAGCAAGACCTCCATCTCTACTAAAAAAAAAATTAGGCTGTGCATGATGGATTATGCCTGTAATCCCAGCGCTGTGAGAGGCCAAGGCTGGTGGATCACCTGAGGTCAGGAGTTCGAGATCAGCCTGGCCAACATGGCGAAACCCTGTCTACTAAAAATAAAAAAATTACCCGGGCATGGTGGCGGGTGCCTGTAATCCCAGCTACTCAGGAGGCTGAGGCAGGAAAATCGTTTGAATCTGGGAGGCGGAGGTTGCAGTGAGCTGAGATTGCGCCACTGCAGTCCAGCCTGGGTGACAGAGCGAGACTCCATCTCAAAAAATAAAATAAAATAAAATTGTATCTACTAAGAAAGTAAAAATTTAGCCAGGTGTGGTGGCAAAATTTTAATAGTCCTAGCTACTTGGGAGGCTGAGGTGGGAGGCTCACTTGAGCCCATGAGTTTGAGGCTACAGTGAACTATGATTATGATTGCACCACTGCCTGGTACAGGTTCCTTGGTCCCCTTTAGACTGGGCCAATCATCTTCCAGGCCCCACTGCCTCTGCTTTCTGCATCCTTCACTTCTAAGGGTCTTAGCTTTGGAGGCAGAAGGATCTGGGTTCAAATCCTTGCTCTGCCACCTGCCGATTATATGAAGTTTAGCAAGCGCTGTCATTTCTCCAGGCCCCCATGTCTTGTCTGTAAAAGGAGCGTGATGGTTCCACCCTCCCGTGGTGATTGGGAGGACTGTGTGAAGTGTGTAGTGAGGTGCCCTGCTCGTGGAAGTTGTCCCGCTCTTGGGGTTCCTATTAGGTTTAGCAGAGAGTGGACATTCCTCCACCACTCCAGAGACTTCTCCAGTCCAACTGCAGTCAGGGGGCGTTGAATCAGTCCCTCCTCTCCAACTAATGTCCAAAATCCTCCTCATTGCCTCCTTCCTTGGGCACTCCCGGGCGGAGATGGAAGAAGCAGAGACCTGGGTGGCCTGGGCCTGTCTTGTGATCCTAGGTCAGCTGGCTCCATCTGCCTCTTCCTAGGCATCTGTTACTCAGGGTCAGGGGCCCTTAGCCAGTGTTGAAAATAAGCCAGGCACGGTGACGCACACCTGTAATCCCAGCACTTTGGGAGGCTGAGGTGGGCAGATCACTTGAGGTCAGGAGTTCAAGACCAGCCTGGCCAACATGGTGAGACCCCATCTCTACTAAAAAAAAAAACAGAAATCAGCTAGGCATGGCGGCATGTGCCTGTAATCCCAGCTACTCCAGAGGCTGAGCACAAGAATTCCTTGAACCCAGGAGGCAAAGGTTGCAGTGAGCTGAGATTGCGCCACTGCACTCCAGCCTGAGTGGCAGAGTGAGACTGTCTCAAAAAAAAAAAAAAAAGAAAGAAAACAAAGCAAGCCCCACTGAGCCTCGGGCCACGCTGGAGCTTTTCCCGATTTCTCTCCTTCATCCTCTCCCGCCTCTGACTGGCCACCACATCCACGTCCCTCGGCACTCACAGGGACCTCGTCTCCCCATGGTGGCTGGAGGACGGGGGTGGACGGATGAACCGCTTCTCACCAGGAGCAGGGAGGAGCAGCAGGTCCCTGCTGTGCCCCTCCCTCCCTTGACATGACGCCTCCCTCTGACCCACAGGACGGGAGTATGACAAGGACGGGAACCTCCGGCCATGGTGGAAGAACTCATCCGTGGAGGCCTTCAAGCGTCAGACCGAGTGCATGGTAGAGCAGTACAGCAACTACAGCGTGAACGGGGAGCCGGTGAACGGGCGGCACACCCTGGGGGAGAACATCGCCGACAACGGGGGTCTCAAGGCGGCCTATCGGGTGAGAGCCCCGCTCCCCACACGCGCACGGTCCCAGTGCTGGCTCCTTCCAGATGCCTGTCCGTAGAGGATCATCACGGACAACCAGGGCAGGCGCAGCAGCCGTGCGAGCTTCCGTTTCCTCTTCTGCGAAATTGGGGGTGGCGAGGACCAATCGCGATGCCGACCGTGGAGGCTCCCCCACCACAGGGCTTGGCACCAGAAGGCTTTGTGCTCTGAGTCTGGCCTGACAAAGACACAGGAAGGGGCTCGGGCTTCATCCGCCTGAAGAGCCTGCCTGTTCTCATCTCTGCAGGGGAAGCTACCACCAAGTCAGCCAGCTGTGGGTCTGGGAGGCCCCTGAGGACTAAGCAGCCAGGGCAAGGAGCACTGGTCGTGGAGCCAGTTCTGGGTTCAAGTCCCGGTTCTGGAGTAAGTCACAGAACCTCCTTGAGCCTCACTTGACTTGGCTCTGATTAGCTACTACCTGCATTATTGGGTTGTTGGGAAGATAAAACAAGATGATTTAGACACGGGCTGACCCAGAGAGACACTCAGAGATGCTCGCGGAGTCAGATGGGAGAGTTAGTAACAGAGGCCACGAGAGAAAAACAGTAGGTGTCTGTCAGAGAGATTAAGACAGGGCTTCCTCCCAACCACGGCAGTAAGAGCAGAAATCCATAGAGCTGTCATTTATTGAGGCCTTCTTAAGTGCCAGGCTTGGAGTATTCCCAGCAGCTTTACAATTAGGTATTATAATCCCCGTTTTGCAGATAAGCACACTGAGCCCAGAAACCTTGGATAGGTTGCTTAAAGTCCACGAGTCAATGAAAGGTATTGAGAATCTACCTAGCAGGGGCTGTGTTTGAAGCTCATCCTGCTCTCTAAAAGCTTATACTCTTAGTGGAGGCTGGAAGGGGAAGAAAGGCAAATAAATACATCATAAATCTGTAAGATAATGTCAGCTATTGAAAAGGTGACGAATATAAACTGGGGCGAAGTAATGAGGAATAACGGGGGGTAAAAGGAATAATGGGGAGGACGCTGGCCACGGCAGGCCTTCTCTGGGGTTATGACATTTGCATAGAGACCTAAATGATGAGGAAGAGCCTGGGAAAAGCTGGGGAAAATGGTCTCAGCAAGAGGAAGAGCAAGTGCAGAGGCCACGAACTAGACACAAGCCTGGCACGTCCAAGGATGGGAAGAAGGGCAGGGCAGAGTGTAGGGAATGCGGGGACCAGACCACTCCAGGCTTCTGTCGGCTGCGGCTAAGGAAGGACCTTTGGTTTTGTCCTGGTTATGATAGAGAGACACAATATAGGGTTTTAAAATAGAGGAATGACATGATTCAACCTACCCTTTAAAACAGGGGTCAGCCGGGCGCAGTGGCTCATGCCTATAATCCCAGCACTTTGGGAGGCCGAGGTGGGCGGATCATTTGAGGCCAGGAGTTCAAGTCCAGCTTGGCCAACATGGTGAAACCTCATCTCTACTAAAAATATAAAAATGGCTGGGCACGGTGGCTCATGCCTGTAATCCCAGCACCTTGGGAGGCCTTGGTGGGTGGATCACGATGTCAGGAGTTCAAGACCAGCCTGCCCAAGATAGTGAAACCCCGTCTCTACTAAAAATACAAAGATTAGCCAGGCGTGGTGGCAGGCGCCAGTAATCCCAGCTACTCGGGAGGCCGAGGCAGGGAATTGCTTGAACCCGGAAGGTGGAGGTTGCAATGAGCCAAGTTCGCGCCACTGCACTCCAGCCTGGGCAACAGAGCAAGGCTCCATCTCAGAAATATGTACATATTTATATATAAAAAATAGCCAAGTGTGGTGACGCATGCCTGTAATCCTAGCTACTTGGGAGGCTGAGGCATGAGAATCTTTTAAACCCAGGAGGCAGAGGTTGCAGTGAGCCAAGATTGTGCCACTGCACTCCAGTCTGGGTGACAGAGCGAGACTCTGTTTCAAAAAAATAAATAAATAAAAATAAAACAAGAGTCCTCTGGGTGCCGTGGCTCATGCTTGTAATCCCAGCACTTTGGGAGGCCAGGGTAGGTGGATCACAAGCTCGACTTCAAGACCAGCCTGGGCAACGTGGTGAAACCCCGTCTCTACCAAAAATACAAAAAAATTAGCTGGGCATGGTGGCGTGCATCTGTGGTTCCAGTTACTCAGGAGGCTGAGGTGGGAGGATCGCTTGAGCCTAGGAGGTGGAGGTTGCAGAGAGCCAAGATTGTGCCAGTGCACTCCAGCCTGGGTGACAGTAAGACCCTGTCTCCAAAAAAAACAAAAACAAAAACGAGTCAGCACACCTACAGCCCATGGGCCGAATCTAGCTGTGAGGCTGTTTTTGTAAATGAAGTTTCTTGGCGTTGCAGCTGGCTCCATTTGTTTCCATGTCTGTGGCTTTTTTTTTTTTTTTTTTTTTTTTGAGACAGGGTCTCACTCTGTCACCCAGGCTGGAGTGCAGTGGCGCAATCTCGGCTCACTGCAACCTCTGCCTTCCTGGTTCAAGTGATTCTCCTGCCTCAGCCTCCTGAGTAGCTGGGATTACAGTCATGTGCCACCGCACCTCGGCTAATTTTTGTATTTTTAGTAGAGATGGGGTTTCACCATGTTGGCCAGGCTGGTCTCAAACTCCTAACCTCAGGTGATCCACCTGCCTGGGCCTTCCAAAGTGCTGGGATTACAGGTGTCAGTCATCGCACCCGGCCATGTGGCTGCTTTCATGCTGCAATAGCAGAATTGAGTCATTGCAGCGGTGACCATTAGCCCACAAATCCCAATGTGCTCACTCTCTGGCCATCCACAGAAAAGGTTTGCCAGCACCTGCTTCCTAAGGTTCACTGAAGTTGCTTTGCCAGGAGGGGAATGGAATTGAATCAGCCTGAGTCAGAAGACTGATTAGAAAGCTGTTGTGAGGTTGTCCAGGCAAGAGACAGGGTAGAGCAATGGGAAGGGGGAGCGGAGCAGTGGTCAGTGTTTGATCTGAGAGAAAGAGAAGAATTGAAGAAGCGTTCTGGGTTTGGGGCCTGGGATGATGGATGGTGGTACCATTGACTATGATGGGAAAAGTTGTGTGTATGTGTGTGTGTGTGCATGCACACACACGATGTGGCTCTGTTTATACCATGTTAAGTTTGAGATGCATCTTGGCTGTCCAGCTGGCACAGTTGAATATACACATCAGGGAAGAGGCTGGAGCAGAAGGTGTAAATGTGAGAGCCATCAGTGCGTAGAAGGTATTTTAAGCCATAGGGCTAAACGAGTGCACATCAAGAAGAGGGCTCCCCTAGGCTGAGCCCAGGCCCAGATCCCCAGAAACTAGTCCTTGCCCCAACACGGGGGAGCTCCCTGAGACCTCCATACCAGTCCCCTCCTTCACCACCTGCCATGGGAACCCCTGAGCTTTGGTTTTCTCTCCTCCCAGGCTTACCAGAACTGGGTGAAGAAGAACGGGGCTGAGCACTCGCTCCCCACCCTGGGCCTCACCAATAACCAGCTCTTCTTCCTGGGCTTTGCACAGGTGAGTCCATTAGGAAAACATGCCACACATGGTACATTCTGCCATCTTGATGTTTCAAGAGCCCAGAGAGCCGAAAGGCAAGTTCCCCACAGATTGAGAACTTCCCAAGTCACTGGACTGTGCACAGCACATGTGCCCTGTCATTAGAGAGATGCACGGAAGGGCCCAAAGTACCAGTGAAGGGATTCCTGGATCTGGTGAATGAGAAGACGAGGTGATCACCCAGGGCCCTTCTGGTTCTAGGGTTCTAGAGGTTTCTTAAACTTAAGATGACCAGCCAGGCACAGCAGCCCACGCCTATAATCCCAGCACTTTGGGCGGCCGAGGCAAGTGGATCACCTGAGGTCAGGAGTTTGAGACCAGCCTAGTCCACATAGTGAAACCCTGTCTCTATGAAAAAATACAAAAAAAAAGTCAGGCATGGTGGTGGCTGCCTGTAGTCCCAGCTTCTTGGGAGGCTGAGGCATGAGAATCACTTGAACCTGGGAGGCAGAGGTTGCAGTGAACCAAGATCACGCCACTGCACTCCAGCCCGGGCAACATAGCAAGATTCTGTCTTGCTGTGATCATCCCAGATCATCCCTTCAGTCGGCATTCATCTGGTAGCCTTCTGCTGGCACTCAGAGCTACCAGGCCATTAGACAATTTGTTCTGCCCAGGAAATGAGAGATCTGGACTAAATCCAAGCTTTTCCAACTGGTGTTTGGACACAGTCCTTTGTTCAGATGGAATCGAATGCAGTTGCCTCAGAGATGCTGCGCTGGCTGAAGGAGAACAGTTTGGAGACAACTGCGTTAGAGGCTGCTGGCATGGGGGGTGGCACACCAGCCCTACACCAGCCCACTGTCTCTTCCTGACCCGCTCAGGGGACCCTCCTGACTCCCCGGGATCTCAGGATCAGGTGGGGGGCTTATCTCCCTGGTGTTGTATTTTCTGGGTTTTGTTTTTTTGGAGCCGGAGTCTCCCTCAGTCACCCGGCCTGGAGTGCAATGGTGTGATCTTGGCTCACTGCAACCTCAACCTCCCGGGTTCAAGTGATTCTCCTGCCTCATCCTCTCATGTAGCTGGGATATAGGCACGCACCACCACGCCCATCTAATTTTTGTATTTTTAGTAGAGACAGGGTTTCACCATGTTTGTCAGGCCGGTCTCGAACTCCTGGCCTCAAGTGATCCACCGCCACCTTGGCCTCTTAAAGTGCTGGGATTACAGGTATGAGCCACCACACCCAACCTTGTTTTGCTTTTTGAGACAGGATCTCACTCTATCACCGAGGCTGGAATGCAGTGGCACAATCACAGCTCACTGCAGCCTTGACTTCTCCAGCTCCAGTGATCCTCCCACCTCAGCCTCCCCAGGAGCTGGGACCATAGGTGTACACCACCATCCCTGGTTAATTTTTTTTTTAATTTTTTGTAGAGATGGGGTCTTGCCATGTTGCCCAAGCTGGTCATGAACTCCTGGGCTCAAGCAGCCCTTCCACCTTGGCTCCCAAAGTGCTGGGATTACAGGTGTGAGCCACCGCACCTGGCCTCCCCTGCTGTTATAATGGGGGCAGTCTGGCAGCCCGAGGGCCCCACAGTGACCCTGGCCTCTCCCTGTTGCCCCTTCAAAGGTCTGGTGCTCCGTCCGCACACCTGAGAGCTCCCACGAAGGCCTCATCACCGATCCCCACAGCCCCTCTCGCTTCCGGGTCATCGGCTCCCTCTCCAATTCCAAGGAGTTCTCAGAACACTTCCGCTGCCCACCTGGCTCACCCATGAACCCGCCTCACAAGTGCGAAGTCTGGTAAGGACGAAGCGGAGAGAGCCAAGACGGAGGAGGGGAAGGGGCTGAGGACGAGACCCCCATCCAGCCTCCAGGGCATTGCTCAGCCCGCTTGGCCACCCGGGGCCCTGCTTCCTCACACTGGCGGGTTTTCAGCCGGAACCGAGCCCATGGTGTTGGCTCTCAACGTGACCCGCAGTCTGATCCCCTGTGAAGAGCCGGACATCCCAGGCACACGTGTGCGCCACCTTCAGCAGGCATTCGGGTGCTGGGCTGGTGGCTCATCAGGCCTGGGCCCCACACTGACAAGCGCCAGATACGCCACAAATACCACTGTGTCAAATGCTTTCAAGATATATTTTTGGGGAAACTATTTTTTAAACACTGTGGAATACACTGGAAATCTTCAGGGAAAAACACATTTAAACACTTTTTTTTTTAAGGAAAGAATTGGTATATTTATTATGTTCTGTTTTTCTAAATAACCTGTGGACAAGGGAAGCCCCACTGATTTACTCCCTCTCTTCCCCACTCCCTGTGAGGCTGGGCTGAGGCACGGATCCCTGGGCCACAGAGCAAGTCTCCAAATCAGACAGCTGCCTCAGCCCCTGGGATGTGTGATTTCAGCTCCTGTCACCTCATGCAAGGGCGTGGAGACCAGTAGAGGTGTGGAGGCCAGGCAGAGAGAGGAGCCTGCTCTGCGGGGGGCCCAGCTCATGGGCACTGCCCCTTCAGCTAGCCTGCCTCCGTCCCCTGAGTCCAACAGTGGGAGCCCTAGCTGGGAAGTTCTGATCCCCAAAGCCACAGCAGGGGACTGATGGCTATAGCAGAATGAGGTCGGGTCAGGACCCTCAAACACCATCTGGGAACACCAAGCACCCTGAATCGAGACTGCAGGAGCCCTGCGGGGTGAGACTGTGTCAGAGATACACTGCTGGCCACAAGTGTCCCCTCTCAGTCCCACCTTTTCGGGCTGTCCCATGTCTATCTCAGGGGCCCGTTACCTCTCTGCAGCAGTCCCCCATCCCAGCCACACCAGGGTCTGTCCGGCCAACCCTCTTCCCCAGGGAAAGGAGAAAAGAGAAAACAGGCTGGGCCCGGTGGCTCACTCCTGTAATCCCAGCACTTTGGGAGGTTGAGGTGGGCGGATCACCTGAGGTCAGGAGTTTGAGACCAGCCTGGCCAACGTGGTGAAACCCCATCTCTACTAAAAAAAATTACAAAAATTAGCCGGGAGTGGTGGTGGGCACCTGTAATCCCAGTTACTCGGGAGGCTGAGGCAAGAGAATCTCTTGAGCTCAGGAGGCAGAGGTTGCAGTGAGCTGAGATTGCGCCACTGCACTCCAGCCTGGGTGACAGAGGGAGACTCCGTCCCAAAAAAAAGAAAAGAGAAACAGCTGTCACCTCCCGCAGGACCCAAATCCTCTCTCTGAGCACCGTCATCCACCACATGGCTGGGCCTGGCTCCCAGGACCAGTCCAGTCCTCTAGTGCCTTATCTGAGGCTGCAGCCGCCAGTCTCCACCCCAAGGAGACAGCCCCTGCTCCTAGATGCCCTTGGCCTCCGCAGTGCAGCCCCCAGGTGTCCTGACTGAAGCACAGGCCATAGCCCCATTTCCCCGGTGCCTGCAGGGCTAACCTCCACGGGAGCCCAGGAGCTCTGGCCGGCAGGTCCATGGCACAGGGCATCGGAAGACTGCAAAACTGCTGGACTTACCCTGGGCTGCAGTCCATTGTCGGCCCCTGGGTTGAATCAAGATAGTACTTGCAGCTAGATGGATGCTTTTAGCCAGGGGACATTGTGAGGGGAAGATTCCTCCACCCAGTCTGGCCTGTGGTGTCTGTCTCCTCCCTGAGACCACAGCTTCTCCAGTAGCAGACTCATGGGCGCCACCAAGTGGAAGCACCTGGAGCGGCCTCTGCCATCCAGTGGGGAAGCCAGGCCCCGAGACGGAGGTGGGGGCAGCACGTGCCCTCCACAGCCACCGCTTTCCCGCCTCAGCAGCCCAGGCCTCCTGGCCCAGCCCTGCCTGGACAGTGCTCTCCCCTCACCCGGGAAGCTGGAATCCTCCTGCCCGAGAGGAAGCAGACGGCACAGGGACACCCCTGCCACCTTGGGATCTGCCTCCAAGCTGGTGCAGGGTATCGAGAGTGGATTCCAGATGGAGGTCCTGGTCCCAGCACGCAGCAGTCCTGGTAGCTCTGCAGAGGAGACAGGAACCCGAGAAGTAGCTGAAGCAGAAGCCAGCCGCAGTCCCCTTGCCACATAGAGGCGGGCTTCTCCCAGCCATGGTGTCCCCTCTGCCTCCCCTCCCCCGACCCTCCTGCCTTCCGCGTGGAGGGTGGTGGTCCTGTAGTGTCAGCACCAGCACCATGGGCTTGGACCCCCTCCCTGGACACAGGCAGGTGTCCTAGGGCTGGGGGTGCAGCCCGAGGGAATGGAGACCACACTCATGGCTCAGGTCTGCCGGGGCCGGCAGGGGGTTGGGGAAGAAGAGGGCTCAGGCCCAGCAGGGGTGGAAGCCCCTGCCACTGCCACTACCCGCTCCAGAGCTTTAAGGAAAATGAAGTGAGACCCCTCCCCTTAGGCCTGGGGAGCCATAGGGCTGGCTTCTCTGTGGGTGCGTGGACGTGGGGTTGGGAGCTGGGAATCTATTTTTTGTATTATGTTTTGAGCTACTGTAGTTTTGGCGTGGCACTATTGTAATGGAAATAAAATACTTGTACGGAGGGCCATGTGTCTGGGTGTCTGTCCTCCCAAGGTGCTGTGTGTCCTTTGAGGCCGGCACAGGGCTGTCCACCCTAGCTTCTCCAGGGCTGGGCGCATCTGTCCCTGAGAGCAGGGGTCTTGGACCCTGACAAATGCCAGAAGGTTGCTCAGTACCTGTGCCCCCAGCCACCCTTCCTTCACCTACAAGTGTGTGAGCACCCCCTGCTGGTGAGAATGATGCACATCACCACCTGGGTCCAAGAGGCCTCCTGGTAAAAATAATTTTTCTGTTATCTTCGAGCAAGGGAGTTTCCAGGTCTCAGATGTTTGGGCAGGGCAGGCAGTAGGGAAAATCAAAGAAAGGTTCAAGGAGGGCCAGGTGCGGTGACTCATGCATGCAATCCCAGCACTTTGGGAGGCTGAGGCAGGTGGATCACCTGAGGTCAGGAGTTTGAGACCAGCCTGACCAATGTGGTGAAACCCCAGCTCTACTGAAAATACAAAAATTAGCCAGGCATGATGGAGCACACCTGTAATCGTAGCTATTTGGGAGGCTGAGGCAGAAGAATCGCTTGAACCTGAGAGGCGGAGATTGCAGGAGCTGAGATTGCGCCACTGTACTCCAGCCTGGGCAGCAGAGTAAGACTCCATCTCAAAAAAAAGAAAAAAGCAGGGCACGGTGGCTCACGCCTGTAATCCCAGTACTTTGGGAGGCTGAGACGGGTGGATCACTTGAGGTCAGGAGTTCGAGACCAGCCTGGTGACCATGGCGAAACCCCATCTCCACTAAAAATACAAAAATTAGCTGGGCACAGTGGCGCACGCCTGTAGTCCCAGCTACTCAGGAGGCTGAGGCAGGAGAATCACTTGAACCTGGGAGGCAGAGGTTGCAGTGAGCCAAGATCATGCCAATGCACTCCAGCCTGGGTGACAGAGCAAGACTCTGTCTCAAAAAAAAAAAGGAAAGAAAAGTTCAAGGAAGAGTCTCTGATGTACACTGTGCCTCCTGGGGTTTGCGTGTGTTCTTCACTCTGCCTGGAATGTTCTTGCCTGATAAACTACCCATCCTTGAAACCCCCAGCTCAGCTTCTCCTCCTCTAGGAAGCCTTCCTAACCTCCCAGTCAGTATCAAACTCACACAAGGCTTCCTTCTCCTATCACAGTGTATGGGTTTGCTAGTACCTAACAAAGTACCACAAACTTGGGGGCTTGCACAACTCTTAGTTCTGGAGGCTCAAAGTCCAAGATCAAGGTGTTGGCAACATTGACTCGGTTCCAGGCTCTCCTAGCTTCTGGCAACCTTTGGTGCTCCTTGGCTTGTAGAAGCATCACCCGGGCCTCTGCCTTCATCTTCATATGGCGTTCTCCCTGCACGCGTGCCTGTCTCTGTCCAAATTTCCCCCTTTTATGAAGACACCAGTCATACTGGATTAGGGCCAACCCTAATGACCCCGTTTTAGCTAATTACATCAGCAATGACCCTATTTTCAATTTTTTTCTTTTTTTTTTCTTCTGAGACGGAGTTTCATTCTCATTGCCCAGGCTGGAGTGGGGTGGCGTGATCTCGACTCACCGCAACCTCCACCTCCCAGGTTCAAGCAATTCTCCTGCCTCAGCCTCCTGAGTAGCTGGGATTACAGGTACGCGATGCCACACCCGGCTAATTTTTTGTATTTTTAGTAGGGATGGGGTTTCTCCATGTTGGTCAGGCTGGTCTCGAACTCCCAAACTCAGGTGATCCGCCCGCCTTGGCCTCCTTCCTCTTCCCCGCTCTGAGACCCTGGGACCTCTCACTCCTCCTCTCCTCCTTTTCCCTTCTTTGTTAACAATAGATCCTACCCCCTCCCCACCCAGCTCCGTGCCTGCCCCACTCCCCAAGCAGGAATTAAAACCCCAGCCTGGCCCTTCAGGGATTTACCCTGCAGCTAAGCAGATGGAAATACGTGCAGGATGCAAGTTAGGAACAAATGGAAAATAATAAATTGTATAAGGAAAAGGGAGCAGCAGAGGCTATCCGTAAGGGTGAAGTTGCTGCAGAAGGGAGGGACCAGAGAAGAGTCCACACTTTGAGAATCTAATACAAAAAGAAACCCAGTGAGAAATGGGCAAGTCCTTTATAAAGGAAACTATGCAATTTTCCTGAAGAACATAAAAGAAGACCTGAATAGGCCGGGCGCGGTGGCTCATGCCTGTAATCCCAGCACTTTGGGAGGCCGAGGCAGGCAGATCACGAGGTCAGTAGATCGAGACCATCCTGGCTAACACGATGAACCCTCATCTCTACTAAAAATACAAAAAATTAGCCGGACGTGGTGGCGGGCGCCTGTTGTCCCAGCTACTCAGGAGGCTGAGGCAGGAGAATGGCATGAACCTGGGAGGCAGAGCTTGCAGTGAGCCAAAATCGCGCCACTGCACTCCAGTCTGGGCAACAGAGTGAGACTCCGTCTCAAAAAAAAAAAAAGAAGACCTGAGTAAATGCAGGTAAACACCCTGCACTTTCCATGGATGGAAAGGTTCAATATAATAAACAATACCTGCCGGGTATGGTGGCTCATGCCTATAATCCCAGCACTTTGGGAGGCCGAGGCAGGCAGATCACCTGAGGTCAGGAGTTCAACACCAGCCTGGCCAACATCATGAAACCCCGCCTCTACTAAAAATACACACACAAAAAAAAAAATTAGCTGGGCATGGCAGTGGGCACGTGTAATCACAGCTACTCGGGAGGCTGAGGCAGGAGAATAGCTTGAACCCAGGAGGCAGAGGCTGCAGTGAGCTGAAATCGTGCCATTGCACTCAGCCTGGGGGACAATGCAATTATTTGCAGATTATTATTTATTAGATTTATTATTATTTGAGACTCTCTCTCAAATAATAATAATTCTCCCCAAAATTAATTTGCTGTTGCAGTATACTCTCAACCAAAATCTCAAGGTAATTTTTCATGGAACTTGAAAAACTGATTCACATAGAAGATCAAATGCACAAGAGTGGCCAAGCAGACCAGGCACGGTGGCTCACGCCTATAATCCCACCACTTTGGGAGGCCGAGGCAGGCAGATCGAGGTCAGGAGATCAAGACCATCCTGGCTAACACGATGAAACCCCATCTCTACTAAAAATACAAAAAATTAGCCAGGCGTGGTGGTGGGTGCCTGTAGTCCCAGCTACTTGGGAGACTGAGCAGGAGAATGGTGTGAACCCGGGAGTGAGCTGAGATCGCGCCACTGCATTCCAGCCTGGGCGATAGAGCAAGACTCCATCTCAAAAAAAAAAAAAAAAAAAAAAAAAAGGAATAGCCAAGCAAAGACAATTCAGAAAAAATAGAACAATGAAGTAGCTGGCCTGATCAAAATATGTTATAAAGCGATAGTGAATTACATATATGGTATTGGTGTGGGAATAGAGAAACTGAACACTTAGAATGGATTAGACAGCAAGAAATACTTCTGTGTCTGTGTGGGAATTGGTATAGGATAAAGGGGGCACTTGTGCAGTGGCACACACCTGTAATCCCAGCACTTTGGGAGGCCGAGGCAGGAGGACCACTTGAGCTCAGGAGTTCGAGACCAGCCTGGGCAACACAGCAAGACACCTGTCTTTACTAAAAATACAAAAATTAGCCTGGTGTGGTGGCACATGCCTGTAGTCCCAACCACTCAGGAGGCTGAGGTGGGAGGTTTGCTTGACCCAGGATGCAGAAGTTGCAGTGAGCTGAGATCACGCCACTGCACTCCAGCCTGGGTGACAGAGTGAAACCCTGTCAAAAAAAAAAGGGAGGCTGTGACTCCATCTCTTTAAAAGAAAATAGGGAAGCTGGGTGCAATGGCTCATACCTGTAATTCCAGCACTTTGGGAGCCTGAAGATTGCTTGAGCCCACGAGTTTGAGGCCAGCCTGAGCTTCATAGCAAGACCCTGTCTCTACAAAAAAATACAAAAATTAGCAGAGTGTGGTGGCACGTGCCTGTAGTCCCAGCTACTCTGGAGGCTGAGATGAGAGGATCACTTGAGCCCAGGAGGTCAAGGATGTAGTGAACTGTGATTGCACCACTGCACTCCAGCCTGGGTGACAGTGAGAGTCTGTCTCCATCAATCAATCAATCAATCAATCAATCTAGTAGGAAAGACAACTAGACTCAGGCTAAAGAAAAAAGTTTTAAAAATCATGGAAGAATTTTAATTTTCCTCATTGATATCCTTAAACCACACTTCATTTCCAAATACACACAATAACAAAGTCATACTTAAACCTAACATGATACAGCTATCCTGGATGCAACCAAAAACACACCAACCCTTCCCCAGGAGAAGATGCAAAATCCTTGGATAATGCTCATTCTTCTCTTTTGATATCCTGTAACCTAAATACCATAATATAAAGTTTACTATTATTTTATTTATTTATTTATTTTGAGACAGGGTCTCACTCTATCACCCAGGCTGGAGTGCAGTGGTGCAATCTCGGCTCACTGTAGCCTCCACTTCCTGGGCTCAGGTGATCCTCCTGCCTCAGCCTCCCCAGTAGCTGGGACTACAGGTACACGCCACCACCCCCAGCTAATTTTTTGTATTTTTTGTAGAGACAGGGTTTTGCCATGTTGCCCAGACTGGTCTCAAACTCCTTGGCCTCAAGCAATTGCCTGCCTTGCCCTCCCAAAAAGCTGGGATTACAGGCGTGAGCCACCACACCCAGCCTAAATTATTAATATATCTCATGTTAGATGATAAGGGAATAAGAGGGAAGAAAACAAAAATATTTGGCTAATCTATATACAAACATTCATAACAAAATAAGGAAGAAATACTCATAGTTATTACTGTCCTCATTTCTGCAACTGGTCATGTGGTCAGAGCTGGTCTTTATAATTCCTCTTCCTCCACTGCCCTTTCCATATTCCTTTTCCCTTAGCAAGCACCTCATCTGGTCATGGTTCTTTGCCTGGTGGGGTGACCCAAACCTTCATTCCTGAAATTCCTGGACCGTTAATAGTCCTGCCTGAACTGGGCTGTTGTCGCTTTTGTTTACTTTAGTCACAGGACGTGGTACTGATGCTCTCCACTTGCAATGAGGTTATGTCCTGATAAATCCATCTTCTTTTTTTTTTTTTTTTTTTTTTTTGAGATGGGGTCTCACTCTGTCACCCAGGTTGGAGGGCAGTGTGCAATCTTGGTCACTGCAGCCTCAACTTCCCAAGCTCCGGTGATCCTCCCACCTCAGCCTCCACGCACTATCACACCTGCCTAATTTTTTTGTATTTTTAGTAGAGACAAGGTTTCACCATGTGGCCCAGGCTGGTCTCGAATTCCTGGGCTCAAGCGATCTGCCTGCCTTGGCCTGAGTGCTGAGATTACAGGTGTGAGCCACTGCACCTGGCCCTGATAAATCCATCTTAAGTTGCAAATATCCTAAATTGAAAATGCACTTAATGCATCTAACCTACTGAACATCATAGCTTTGCCCTGAAATGTGCTCAGAACACTTCCGTTAGCCTACGGTTGGGCAAAATCATCTAACACGAAGCCTATTTTGTTGACTAGATATGTTGACTATCTCACGTAATTTATTAAATACAGCACACTGTAGATTACAGTATCAGCTGTCTACCCTCGTGATCGTGTGGCTGACTTGGAGCCGCGGTCGCTGCCACTGCCCAGCATCATGAGAAAGCATTGTACTCCATATTGCTAGCCCAGGAAGAGATCAAAATTGAAAATTCAAAGGATAGTTTCTACTGAATGTGTATCACTTTTGCCCATCATAAAGTCAAAAAATCATAAGTCAAATCATCGTAAGACAAAGACTGTCTATATTAACAGATGCCCTAAGGGAGCTCATGTATTCCAGATATACTCTCCCTTACCTCTGTTGTGTAGCAGCAATACAATTTTCCCTTAGTAATCAAGACCAGTCATCCCAGCCAGTACAGTGACCTCCTTCTTTGCCTGTTAATTTTGGGTATGGGGAGCGCAACGCGACTGAGTGGCAGCCTCAACCTCCAGTTCAGTGTAATCATTGTGTTGCCTAGTGGAAGCATTTCTCCCTTTGGAACCAACCTCTAAACTAGCAGAGCCTAAGGTCATGGGGACGGGAAGCAGAAATGCTGCTAGTGCATCAGTAGGGATAAAAGTGATTGGGGGCCAGGCGCGGTGGCTCACGCCTGTAATCCCAGCACTTTGGGAGGCTGAGGCAGGCAGATCACAAGGTCAGGAGATCAAGACCATCCTGGCCAACATGGTGAAACCCCATCTCTACTAAAAATACAAAAATTAGCTGGGCATGGTGGCACGTGCCTGTAATCACAACTACTCGGGAGGCTGAGGCAGGAGAATCGCTTGAACAAAAGAGCCGGAGGTTTCAGTGAGTCGAGATTGCTCCACTGCACTCCAGCCTAGTGACAGAGCGAGAGACTGCCTTAAAAAAAAAAAAAAAAGGTGATTGGAGTCACTCCTAATCTCCTAATTTCTACCCTTTGACTCCTGGCCCCATGAAACTTGGATGGTCTCGATCTCCTGACCTCGTGATCCGCCCACCTCGGCCTCCAAAAGTGCTGGGATTACAGGCGTGAGCCACTGCACCTGGCCCCACTTGATTATTAAAATCCTCTTCTGCTAACTGGGTGTGGTGGCTCACGCCTACAATCCAGCCTGGCCAACATGGCAAAACCCCATCTCTACTAAAAATACACAAATTGGCTGGGCATAGTGGCGCATGCCTGTAACTGCAGCTACTCAGGAGGCTGAGGCAGGAGAATCGCTTAAACCAGGAGGTGGAGGTTGCATTGAGCCAAGATCACGCCATTGCATTCCAGCCTGGGCGACAGAGTGAGACTTGGTCAAAAAAAAAAAAAAAAAGGAGAGTAGTTATCCACAGAGGATGGTGGGGCCGTGCTTCAAAATCCTAAGGGTCTGCACTGTGATTCACCTAGAGGGGTCTACCGAAGACTGAAGACAACTCTATCTGCTAATGACACTCCAAGTGCCATTGGATCTGCTGTATCCTATGGCCCAAGTGGCAGTGCAGCTTGCACGGCAGCCTGGACCTGTTTCAGAGCCTTCTCTTGTTCTGAGTCCCACTCAAAACTAGCAGTTTTTTCCCATTCCAGAGAGTGTAGCTATAAATAAATAAATAAATAAATAATCTAAAACTAGCAGCTTTTCAGATCACTCAGTAAATGGGTCAGAGCAAAATACCCAAATGTGAAATACATGGTCTCCAAAATCCAAAGGGACCTACCAGGCCTTGTGCCTCTTTCTTGGTTGTAGGAGGGTCCAGCTGCAACAATGTATTCTTCATCTTAGAAGGGTTATCTCCTTGAGGTCTGCAGTTCAAGACCAGCCTGGCCAACATGGTAAAACCCAGTATCTACTAAAAATTCAAAAATTAGTCAGGCATGGTGGCACATGCCTGTAATCCCAGCTACTCAGGAGGCCGAGGCAGGTGAATTGCTTGAACCCAGGAGGCAGAGGTTGCAGTGAGCCAAGATCACGCCGTTGCACTCCAGCACTCCAGCCTGGGCAACAGAGTGAGACTTCATCTCAAAAAAAAAAAAAAAAAAAAAAAAGGAAGGACTAACTCAACATGCCTGAGACCACTGGATCCTTAGAAATGTCACCAGAGTAGAAGGCCCCTGAATTTTAGTTACCATGCAGGCTGAGCTCCCAACATGAACTGGGTGTTGAATTTACCAATAAGGCTAGAGTAGTTGCTGCTTCTTGCTAACTAGGTGCATTCAGCACAGTATCATCAATGTGTAGGCTGATATGGCATCTTGGGTAAAAGGGAAAGCAATCAAGATCCCTGTGAACAGCTGGGTGTGGTGGCTCACGCCTGTAATCCTAGCACTTTGAGAGGCTGAGGCAGGAGGACTGCCTGAAGCCAGAATTTTGTATAGATCCCTGCCAAAAAGAAGGAAAAAAAAAAATCTGTGAACTAAATTATGACAAAAAGGTGGAGAGTTGGCCAGGCATGGTGGCTCACACCTGTAATCCCAGCACTTTGGGAGGCTGAGGCGGGTGGATCACCTGAGGTCAGGAGTTCAAGACCAACTTGGTGGCCAACATGGTGAAACCTCATCTCTACTAAAAATACAAAAACTAGCTGGGCGTGGTAGCACACACCTGTAATTCCAGCTACTCGGGAGGCTGAGGCAGGAGAATCACTTGAATCTAGGAGGCGGAGGTTGCGGTGAGCCGAGATCACGCCATTGCACTCCAGCCTGGGTAACAGGTAAGACTCCATCTTTTTTTTTTTTTTTAAATTGTGACAGAGTCTCGCTCTGTCACCCAGGCTGGAATGCAGTGGCACAATCTCAGCTTACTGCAAGCTCTGCCTCCTGGGTTCGCACCATTCTCCTGCCTCAGCCTCCCAAGTAGCTGGGACTACAGGCGCCCACCAACACACCCGGCTAATTTTTTGTATTTTTAATAGAGACAGGTTTCACTGTGTTGGCCAGGATGGTCTCGATCTCCTGACCTTGTGATCCACCCGCCTTGGCCTCCCAAAGTGCTGGGATTATAGGCATGAGACACTGCGCCCGGCCGAGACGCCATCATAAAAAAAAAAAAAAAATGCTGGAGAGTTGAAATATCCTTGAGATAGGACAGTGAAGGTGTTGCTGAAAGCAAACTGCTTCTGGTGGTCTTTATGGACAGGGATGGAGCAAAAGGCATTTGCCAAGTCAGTAGCTGCATACTATGTATCAGGGAACATGCCAATTTGCTCAAGCAATTAAACCATATCTGAAACAGCCGTGCAATTGAGTTACTGTCTGATTAAGTTTACGATAATCCACTGTCATTCTCCAAGATTCATCTGTTTTCTGCACAGGCCAAATAGGTAAGTCGAATGGGGATGTGATGGGAATCACCACTCCTGCATCTTTTAAGTCCGTGATGGAGTACTCATCTCTGAAGTCTCTGCGAATGCAGAGTGGTTTTGGTTTACTAATTTTGCGAGTAGAGGCAGTTCTAGTGGCTTCCATTTAGCCTTTCCTACCATAATATCCCTTACACCACAGGTCAGGGAACCAATGCAGGGATTCTGCCAGTTGCTGAGTATGTCTATTCCAATTATGCATTCCAGAGCTGGGGAAATAGCCACAGAATTGATCTGAGCATCCACTGGGCCCACCATAAGTAGGACCTGAGCTAAAACCCCATCAATCACCTGACCTCCATAAACCTTTACTGTGATGATGGACCACAGTGACATTTTGGGTCTCCAGAAAAAAGTGTCAATTCAGAGCCAGTGTCCAATAATCCCTGGAAAGTCTTACTACTTCCTTTTCCCCAATATGCAGTCACCCTGGTAAATAGCCACAGGTCCCTTGGGGAAGACTGGGAGAAAGACTAAAGGTATATGTTTTTGGCAATGTAGTAGATCTTTCTTAGAGCATCTGTCCTCCCTTTCATTCAAGGGATTCTGGTCTCTAAGTCAAGTGTAGAAACTGGTTGAGAGGCCATGTTTCTCTGTTTTGGTGATTCAAATTAGACTTCATTCATTCCATAACTCTTCTGCTTATTCAGCTCAAGTAAGAATTTAATAGGACATGTGCAGTGGCTCATGCCTGCCTGTAGCCCCCAACACTTTGGGAGGCCAAGGCGGGAGGATCAGTTGAGGCCAGGAGTTTGAGACCAGCCTGATAAATAAAGTAAGACCCTGGCTCTACAAAATATATATAAAAATTAGTGGCCGGGGGCTAGGCGCGATGGCGCATGCCTGTAATCCCAGCACTTTGGGAGGCCGAGGCGGGTGGATCACCTGAGGTCAGGAGTTCGAGACTAACCTGACCAACATGGAGAAACTCCATCTCTACTAAAATTACAAAATTAGCTGGGCATAGTGGCACATACCTGTAATCCCAGCTAGGCTGAGGCAGGAGAATCACTTAAATCCAGGAGGTGGAGGTTGCAATGAGCCGAGATTGTGCCATTGCACTTCAGCCTGGGCAACAAGAGCAAAACTCTGTCTCAAAAAAAAAAAAAAAAAAAAATTAGTGGCTGGGCGCAGTGGCTCACACCTGTAATCCCAGCACTTTGGGAGGCCGAGACGGGCAGATCACCAGAGGCCTGGAGTTCGAGACCAGCCTGACCAACATGGAGAAACCTCGTCTCTACTAAAAATACAAAATTAGCCAGGCGTGGTGGTGCATGCTTGTAATCCTAGCTACTTGGGAGGTTGAGACAGGAGAATTGCTTGAACCCGCGAGGCAGAGGTTGCAGTGAGCCGAGACGGTGCCATTGCACTCCAGCCTGGGCAACAAGAGTGAAACTCTCTAAATATATATATACATATATATATACACACACACACATATATATGTGTGTGTGCTTGTGTGTGTGTATGTATATATATGTGTATATATACATATACGTATATGTATATATACATACCGTGTTAGCCAGGATGGTCTCAATCTCCTGACCTCGTGATCCACCCGCCTCAGCCTCCCAAAGTCCTGGGATTATAGGCATGAGCCATGGTGCCCGGCTGAGACTCCATCTTAAAAAAAAAAACATAACTGGAGAGTTGATATGTCCCTGAGATAGGACAGTGAAGGTGTTGCTGAAAGCAAACTGCTTCTGGTGGTCTTTATGGACAGGGATGGAGCAAAAGGCATTTGCCAAGTCAGTAGCTGCATACCAGGTATCAGGGAACATGCCAATTTGCTCAAGCAATTAAACCATATCTGAAACAGCCGTGCAATTGAGTTACTGTCTGATTAAGTTTACGATAATCCACTGTCACAGATGAATCTCCAAGATTCATCTGTTTTCTGCACAGGCCAAATAGGTAAGTTGAATGGGGATGTGATGGGAATCACCAGGATCACTTGACCCCAGGAGGTCAAGGCAGCAGTGAGCCATGATTCTGCACTCCAGCCTGGGTGACAGAGCGAGACCCTATCTGGAAAAAAAAAAAAAAAAGACTTTAATAGATTACTCATATTCTTCTTTTCAAGGGATGCCGTGATCAACTAGCCAATGCATGCATAGGTCTCTGTGAGTCAGATCATTCTGGTTACTACTTTGGCTCTGTGTTCATTACAGTACCTGTGCACTGTGGTTTTGGCAAGTAAGTACTGCCACTTGACCCCTGCTATCCCAGGATCTCATTATCCACATTGTATTTAGGGATCCCAGTTCAATGGGAAATTATAGCAATTCCCACTGTAATTTCTTTCTTTCTTTTTTTTTTTTTTTTGAGATGGAGTCTCACTCTGTCGCCCAGACTAAAGTACAGTGGCAGGATCTCGGCTCACTGCAACCTCTGCCTCCCAGGTTCAAGCCATTCTTCTGCCTCAGCCTCCCAAGTAGCTGGGACTACAGGTGCATGCCACCACGCCCGGCTAATTTTTGTATTTTTTTTTTAGTAGAGATGGGATTTCACCATGCTGGCTAGGCTGGTCTCGAACTACTGGCCTCAGGTGATCTGCCCGCCTCGGCCTCCCAAAGTGCTAGGATTACAGGCGTGAGCCACCTCGCCCGGCCCCCACCGTAATTTCTAACTAAAAGAGAAAAAGACCACAGAGCTCTTCAAGGATGCTGAAGCTCCTCTCAGAAATGTATTCACCACAGTGGTGAAAGGTGTGTCCTCTGGATCCTCCCACAGTGGGTAAATAGGTCTTCCAAGAAGAATGCACTCTGCATTCCAACCCCCCTAAGCCTTTGGATCCTTCTCTTTGCAGGATAGCAGGGCAATTCTGGTATTTCAGCTTCATTTACTCATTTACCTTCGGGTCCACATTTCATACAACCAACCAACCAACCAACCAACCTGCAAGGGCCTTTTTTTTTTTTTTTTTTTTGAGATTATTTTCACTCTTGTCACCCAGGCTGGAGTGCAATGGCACAATCTTGGCTCATTGCAGCCTCCACCTCCCGGGTTCAAGCTATTCTCCTGCCTCAGCCTTCCGAGTAGCTGGGATTACAGACATGTGCCACAATGCCCAGCTAATTTTTGTATTATTAATAGAGATGGGTTTTCACCATGTTGGCCAGGCTGGTCTCGAACTCCTTACCTCAGATGATCCACCCACCTCGGCCTCCCAAAGTGCTGGGATTACAGGCATGAGCCATTGCGCCCAGCCTGTGAAGGCCCTTTAACCCCTTGAGCAAAAACACTGATTCCAGAATCTCTGCTTAGTGGACCCATAGTGCACTGGTTGGCAAACATTTTCTCTGTAGATGGCCAGATAGTAAATATCTTAGGCTTGGCAGACTATTCTGTCTCTGTCACAATTACCAGGTTCTGCTGTTGGAGGACAAAAGCAGCCATAGGCAATACACAAATGAGACAGCACGTTCCAATGACATTTTCCTTATGGACACTGAAATCTGAATTCCATATGATTTTCATGTGTCATAAAAGATGATTCTTCTTGGCCGGGCATGGTGGATCATGCGTGTAATCCCAGCACTTTGGGAGACCAAGGTGGGTGGGTCACCTGAGGTCAAGCGTTCGATACCAGCCTGGCCAACATGGTGAAACCCCGTCTCTACTAAAAAATACAAAAACTAGCTGGGGCGGTGGCAGATGCCTGTAATCCCAGCTACTTGGGAGGCTGAGGCAGGAGAATCACTTGAATCCAGGAGGCAGAGGTTGCAGTGAGCTGAGATTGTGCCACTGCACTCTAGCCTGGGTGACAGAGCAAAACTCCATCTCAAAAAAAAAAAAAAAAGAATATTCACAATTCATCTCTTTCATCTTTTGTGTATTATTGTCATATATTTATTATTTATTTATTTATTTAGAGATAGAGTCTCACTCTGTCACCCAGGTTGGAGGGCAGTGGCACGCTTTTGGCTCATTGCAACTTTTGCCTCCCAGGTTCAGGTATTCCTCCCACCTCAGCCTCCCGAGTAGCTGGGACTACAGGTGTGTGCCACCATGCCTGGCTAATTTTGTGTTTCTAGTAGAGAGGGGTTTTGCCATGTTGCCCAGGCTGGTCTCAAATTCCTGGGCTAAAGGGATCCTCCTGCCTCGGCCTCTCAAAGAGCTGTGATTTCAGACATGAGCCACCACACCAGGCCAAAAATTGTATACATTTATGGTGTACAACATGATGTGTTTTTTTGTTGTTGGTGGGGTTTTTTGTTGTTGTTGTTGTTGTTGTTTGAGACGAAGTCTCACTCTTGTCCCACAGGCTGGAGTGCAATGGCGCGATCTCGGCTCACTGCAACCTCCACCTCCCAGGTTCAAGCGATTCTCCTACCTCAGCATCCTAGTAGCTGGGATTACAGGTGCCTACCACCAGGCCCGGCTAATTTTTGTAATTTTAGTAGAGACAGGGTTTCACCATGTTGGCCAGGCTGGTCTCGAACTCCTGACCTCAGGTGATCCACACGCCTTGGCCTCCCAAAGTGCTGGGATTACAGGCATGAGCCACCGCGCCCAGCCCAACATGATGTTTTGATATGTGTATACATTGTGAAACTGCTACATCAGATTAATTAACATATGCATTACCTCTCACACCATTTTATTTGTGGTGAGAACTTTAAAAATCTACTCTCTTAGCAATTTTTAAGTATACAATATATTGTTGTTAACTATAGTCACCATGATGTACAAAAAAAAAAAACCTCTTGAAATTACTCCTACTAACTAAAATTTTCTGTTCTTTGACCAATATCTCCCCTATATCTCCACCCTGCTCGTATTTTTCCACATCTATAAATCAACAATACATTGTTATTATTATTATTATTTTGAGACCCGGTTTCGCACTGTCACCCAGGCTGGAGTGTAGTGCCACGATCATAGCTCACTGACACTTCAGCCTCCTGAGCAGCTAGGACCACAGGTAGGCACCACCGCACATCCAGCTAATTTTTAATTTTTTTTTTTGTAGAGACAGGGTCTCACTGTGTTGCCCAGGCTGGTCCTGAGCTTACGTGATTCTCTTTCCTTGGCCTCCCAAAGTGCTAGTATTACAGGCATGAACCACTGAGTCCAGCCCACATTGCTGTTATTTTTGCTTTAGATTGTCAATTATCTTTCAGGGTAATCAGAATTTTTTTTTTTTTTTTGAGATGGAGCATCTCTCTGTCGCCAGGCTGGAGTGCAGTGGTGCAATCTCAGCTCACTGCAACCTCCACCTCCCAGGTTCAAGTGATTCTCCTGCCTCAGCCTCCCAAGTAGCTGGGAATACAGGTGTGCATCACCACACCCAGCTAATTTTTGGCCAGGATGGTCTTGATCTCTTGACCTCTGATCTGCCCACCTCAGCCTCCCAAAGTGCTGGGATTACAAGCGTAAGCTACCGTGCCTGGCCTAGAAATAATTTAAACATGTCTTTTGGCAGGAGGTGGTGGCTCACACCTGTAATCCTAGCACTTTGGGAGGCTAAGGAGGGAGGATCACTTGAGCCCAGGAGTTTGAGACCAACCTGGGTAACATAGGGAGACCTCACCTCTATAAATAACTTTAAAAATTAGCCAAGTGGCCAGGCACGGTGGCTCATGTCTGTAACCCCAGCACTTTGGGAGGCCAAGGTGTGCAGATCACCTGAGGTGAGGAGTTCGAGACCAGCCTGGCCAACATGGTGAAACCCTGTCTCTACTAAAATTACAAAAATTAGCCAGGCATGGTGGTAGGCGCCTGTAATGCCAACTACTTGGGAGGCTGAGGCAGGAGAATCGCTTGAACCTGGGAGGTGGAGGGTGCAGTGAGCCGAGATCACACCATTGCACTCTAACCTGGGAGACAGAGTGAGACCCTGTCTCAAAAAAAAAAAAAATTAGCCAAGTGTAGGGGTGCGCACCTGTGGTCCTAGCTACTCAAGAGGCTGAGGCAGGTGGATCACTTGAGCCTGAGTGGTCAAGGTTGTAGTAAGCCATGATCACGCCTCTGCACTCCAGCCTGGGCAACAGAGCAAGACCCAGTGTCAAAAAAAAAAAAAATATATATATATATATATATCAAAGCATGGTGGTATATGCCTACAGTCCCAGGTGCTTGAGAGACTGAGGTGGGAGGATCACTTCAGCCCAGGAGGTGGAGGCTGCAGTGAGCTATGATCGTGCCATTGCACTCCAGCCTGGGCAACAGAGTGAGATCCTGTCTCAAAAAATAATAATAATAACAAAATAAATATACCTCTTTATTTTAAAATAAATGAATCTATACAATAATTATAGATTCATAGGAAGTTGCAAAAAATAGCATCAAGAGTCCTGCTTACCCTTCATCTAGCTTCTCCTAATGGTAACATTTTACATAACTATGTACAACATCAAAACCTGATATTGTCAATTCAAGAAACTGACATGAGTACAATGATTTTAAGCAGAATACAGACCTTATTCAGATTTCACTTATGTGAGTTTTTATATGCATTCCAGTGTGTGCATGTAGAGTTCTGTGCAATTTACACCATGTATGAATTCGTTACCAGCACCCTCATTTTTCAAATCAATTCTTGCGACATATAGAATTCTGGGTTGATGGTTTCTTCAGCACTAAAGATGTCGGCTCATTGTCTTATGCTTGCATGGATAGTTTCTGATAAGAAGTCAGCTATAATTCTTTGTTCCTCTGTATGTAATAATGTGTTGTTTTTTTCCCTTTGGCTGTGTGATGATTAATTTTAGGTGTCGACTTGACTGAGCCATGGGGTGATCAGATATTTAGTCAACAATTATTCTGGATGTTTCTGTGAAGGTGTTTTGGATGAGTTTAATTCAGCATCAGATTCAAATCAGTAGACTAAGTAAAGAAGTCTGCCCTCCCTAATATGAGTGGGCCTCATCCAATCAATTGAAGGCCTCAATAGAACAAAAAAGGTTGACTCTTCCCTGAGTCAGAGAATTCTTCCCATCTGACTGCCTTCAAACTGGGACATCAGCTTCTTCCTTTCCTGCCTCAGATCAGAACTGAAATATCAGGCCAGGCGCAGTGGCTCATGCCTGTAATCCCAGTACTTTCGGAGGCCGAGACAGGCAGATCACCTGAGGTCAGGAGTTCGAGACCAGCCTGACTAACATGGAGAAACCCCGTCTCTACTAAAAATACAAAATTAGCTGGGCATGGTGGCGCATGCCTGTAATCCCAGCTATTTGGGAGGCTGAGGCAGGAGAATCTCTTGAACCCGGGAGGTGGAGGTTGCAGTGGGCCGAGATCGTGCCATTGCACTCTAGCCGGGGCAACAAGAGAGAAAAAAAAAAAACTGAAAAATCAGCCCTTCCTGGGTCTCAAACTTGCCAGCCTTTGTGCAGAAACCATACCGTTGGCTTTCCTGATTCTCACGCCCTCGGACTGGAACTAAACCATTGACTGTCCTGTGTCTCCAGCTTGCTGACTCATCCTGCAAATCTTAGGACTTGTAAGCCTCAATAATTGCATGAGGCAATTCCTTATAATACATCCCTATCTATCTACCCATCCATATCTTATTGGCTCTGTTTCTCTGGAGAACCCTGACTAATACAGGCTGCCTTCATAATTGTCTCTTTATCTTTGTTTTTTTAAAAATTTTTAAAATTTTTTATTTTTATTTTTTGAGACAGAGTCTCCTTATGTTCCCAGGCTGGAGTGCAGTGGTGTGATCATGGCTCACTGAAACCTCTGCCTCCCAGGCTCAAGGGATTTCCCATCTCAGCATCCCAAGTAGCTGGGACTACAGGTGCACACCTCTACTGCCAGTTATTTTTGTGTGTTTTGCAGAAGCAGGGGTCTCGCCATGTTGTCCAGGCTGCTCTGGAACTCCTGGGCTCAAGCAATCCACCCACCTTGGCCTTCTGAAGTGCTGGGATTACAGGCGTGCACCACCATGCCCAGCATATCCTTGGTTTTTAGCTTTTTGACTATGATGTATCTAGGTATGGTTTTTGTTTTTTGTGGGGATGATATCTATACTATTTAATATTCTCTGTGATTTTTGGACATATGTTTTGATGCCTTTCACTATTTTTGGAAAATTCTCAGCCATTATCTCTTCAAACATTTCTTCTCCCTATTCTCTTTCTCTTCCTTCTGTGAGTCCAATTACATGTATATTTGAAAACCTGATGTTGTCCCACAGTTCTCAGATGCTCTGTTCTTCGTTTTTTCACTTATTTTTCTTTCTTTCTTTCTTTCTTTTTTTTTTTTTTTCAAGACAAGAGTCTCACTCTGTCATCCAGGCTGGAGTGCAGTGGAGCGACCTCGGCTCACTGCAACCTCCGCCTCCCAGGTTCAAGTGATTATCCTGCCTCAGCCTCCTGAGTAGCTGGGATTACAGGTGTGGACCACCATGCCCAGCTACTTTTTGTATTTTTAGTAGAGACGGGGTTTCACCATGTTGGTCAGGCTGGTCTCAAACTCCTGACCTCGTGATCCGCCTGCCTCAGCCTCCCAAAGTGCTGGATTACAGGCGTGAGCCACCGTGTCTGGCTTTATCTTTCTGTTTGTATTTCAGTGCAGGTAATTTCTATCAACCTATTTTTCAATTTTTTTAGATTCTTTCTTCAATTTTGTGGAGTCTGCTGATATAGATACACCCTTAGAAGGCATGCATCCTCTGTTACCATGCATTTATTTCCAGAATTTCCACTTGACTCAAATAGTTTCTGTCGCTGCTGAAATTGCCCAGCTGTTTATGTTTGTGGTCCATTTTTTCTACTAGCATCTTTAACATATAAATCATGACTAAAATTCCTGTCGCTTTCAACAACTGCATCATTTTTTAGCATTGCTGGCTTAGTGGATTACTTTCTATATTGTTTGTTTATTTGTTTGCTTGTTTTGAGACAGAGTCTTGCTCTGTCATCCTGACTGGAGTGCAGTGGCATGACATTGGCTCACGGCAGCCTCGACCTCCTGGACTCAGGTAATCCTCTCATCTCAGCCTCCCAAGTAGTTGGGACTGCAGGCATGCATCACCACACCCAGCTCTGCTTTGTATCTTGATGGTGGATTGTTATTTTATTTCTTGATTTTTAGTGTTTTATAATTTTTGAATAAGTGCCTGACATTGTGTGTAGGACAGTTGAGACTTAAATAGTATTCATTCCTGGAAACGGGCATGTAGCACTTAGTATTGGAGCTGAAGTTAGTCTAGTCAGGAGTTGGGCAGGGTTTGGATTTCGTTGTTGCTATGGTTACCTTCATTGTTGCTATGGTTACCTTCATTGTTGCTATGGTTACCTTCATTGTTGCTATGGTTACCTTCATTGTACCACTGGCTCTCCAGTCTTTTAGCATCATCCCAAGCTGAGGATGAGGGCTGGGTTGCTGGAGGGATTTACTCCGTGTTACTGCTCTACCTGCCAGCTTTCCACCCCTAAGTTAGATTGCTAGTGCTTGTTACTTGATGCTTGCTAGCCTTAGAAAGCGGGGGTGTCTGTTGTCCTGGTTCAAATTCAATCTTATGCAAACTCCGTCGCCCTAGGTCTTGAGAGTGGGGCTTCCTCAGTGATCTTGCTCCTTCCCCCTTTCCACAGCACCAAAACTCTGCCTAGTACGTTTGGCAGATCCTATGTGAGAGTTTCTTGCCCCTTTCCCAAAAGTAGGAACCTCGTAATGGTATTGGCATACAATCCTGGGTCGAGGATAGTTTTCCATCCCTCCCTCTTCTCCCAGCTGCAGTGGGTCTTCACATGTGCCCTGGGGGTGAAGGTTCACTGCCATTTCCCTGCAGCCTAACACTTGTGTTCTACAAGGGGAAAGGGCCTTGTTGAGGCTGAGACCTCCCTGCATTCCTGCAGCAGCAGCCCCTTCCTGCTGCCAGACCTGCATCTGATGGTGCAGAAATACAGATGCAAAGTGGCCACCTCTCTAACTTCAGTGGTGAAGACTGTATAGTTAGTTGTGAGATAGTGGGAGACCATAAAATAAGGTTGCCATGGTCATTCGCTGGCTTGTTCTGGGTGATGATACAGTCAGTTCATTATGAGATATGAGGGAAAGTAAGTTCTGGAATAAACTCCCGTGGTGCTGTGGTGAGACACAATCTATTTTTACCTAAGGAATAATACCTTGAGCTAATATAATAGGAAAGTAACTAGTTCCTGATTATTAGCCACGCATATGACTTTAAGCAATGGATAAACTGCAGCTGAGACTTACACGGATGAGATATTGCAGGATCCCAAGCGACTTCTGAATTCTCAAACGGCTTCCAGTTCTTTGGCTTGCTGTCTTCACTCACTTATTCATTCAACTAATATTCAGAACCTACCATGTGCTAGGAATTGTGCTAGGTGTTGGGAATACAACATGGAATGAGATAGGGTTCTTGTTAGTTATGAAGTAAGGTTGGGCCGGAACTGGTGGCTCACGCCTGTAATCCCAACACTTTGGGAGGCCAAGGCAGAAGGACAGCCAGGAATTTGAGACCAGCTTGGTCAGCATAGTGAGGCCCCGTCACTATAAAAAAATTAAAAATAAGCAAAAGGCAGTCACCAGACAAGTAACTACAATTCCAAAGAATACTCTAAAACTGGAAGTGCAGGGCAATATAAAAGTGTATTTCTGGACTGGGTGGGGTGGCTCACACTTGTAATCCCAGCACTTTGGGAGGCCAAGGCGGGTGGATCACGAGGTCAAGAGATCGAGACCATCCTGGCCAACATGGTGAAACCCCGTCTCTACTAAAAATACAAAAAAATTAGCTGGGCATGGTGGCATGCGTCTGTAGTCCCAGCTACTCGGGAGACTGAGGCAGGAGAATTGCTTGAACCCAGGAAGCGGAGGTTGCAGTGGGCCAAGATTGCACCACTGCACTCCAGGCTGGTGACAGAGGGAGACTCCGTCTCAAAAAAAAAAAAGTATCTCTGCCAGTTGTAGTGGCTCATACCTGTAATCCCAATACTTTGGGAAGTCAAGGTAGGAGAACCACTTGAGGCCAGGGGTTCAAGACCAGCCAGTACAACATAGGGAGACCCCCGTCTCTACAAAATCTTTTTAAAATATTAGCCAGGAATAGTGGCATGCACCTATGATCCCAGCTACACAGAAGGCTGAAGTGGGAGAATCACTTAAGCCTGAGAGGTTGAGGCTGCAATGAGCCATGATCACACCATTGCACCCCAGCCTGGGTGAAGAGTGAGAACCTATCTCAAAAATTAAAAAAAAAAAAAGTGTATCTCAGCCAGGCATGGTGCCTCACACCTGTAATCCCAGCACTTTGGGAGGCCAAGGCAGGTGGACCACGAGGTCAGGAGTTCAAGACCAGCCTGGCCAAGATGGTGAAACCCCGTCTCTACTAAAAATACAAAAATTAGCCAGGCGTGGTAGTGGGGGACTGTAATCCCAGCTACTCGGGAGGCTGAGGCAGGAGAATTGCTTGAACTTGGGAGGCAGAGGTTGCAGTGAGCCAAGATCGTGCCACCGCACTTCAGCCTGGGGGACTGAGTGAGGCTCCATCTCAAAAAAAAAAAAAAAAAAAAAGAAAAAGAAAAAAAAAGTGTATCTCTAGGGAAGTACCTTTAAACTGAGACTTGAAGAACAAGTAGGAATTTTCTAGGTGTGCCAGGCAAAGGGAACAGCATTTGTAACGCCGAATTAGGAAGAGGCTTGGACATATGCAAGCAACTGGAAGAAGGCCCAGTGCAGCTGAAGATGATGGAGAGAGGGGGGATGGAGAGAGAGAGAGGCAGGGGCCATTCGCTGCATCCTACGGGTCATAAGAGGACGACTGGACTTTATCCTGAGAGCAATGGGAAGCTACTGGGGAGTATAGGCAGGGAGCGAGTCACATGATTAGTTTGGGTCTTTGAAAAGCTGTTCAGCAGGCTGCACAGAGAATGGATCGGAGGAGAGCCAGAGTGGAAATGGGGAGAACAGTCAGGAAGCAGAGAAAAAAGGGGAGCATGGCACATCCAGGGCAGCAGGGAGACTGAACCTCAACCCTTTTTTATTTTACTTTTGTATTTTTATTTATTTATTTATTTATTTATTTAGATGGAGTTTCGCTCTTGTAGCCCAGGCTGGAGTGCAATGGCGCCATCTCAGCTCACTGCAACGTCCGCCTCCTGGATTCAAGCGATTCTCCTGCCTCAGCCTCCTGAGTAGCTGGGATTACAGGTGTCCACCACCATGCCCAGCTAATTTTTATGTGTATATATATATATTTTTTTTTCTTTTAAATTAGAGTCGGGGTTTCACCATGTTGGTCAGACTGGTCTCGAACTCCTGACCTCAGGTGATCCACCTGCCTCAGCCTCCGAGTTAGAATTACAGGCATGAGTCACCATACCCAGCCAACTCTTTTATTTATTTATTTATTTATTTTTATTTTTTTCAAGACAGAATCTTACTCTGTCACCCAGGCTGGAGTGCAGTGGCATCTCAGCTCACTGCACCCTCCACCTCCAGGGTTCAAGCAATTCTCCTACCTCAGCCTCTCCAGTAGCTGGGATTACAGGCGCCTGCCACCATGCCCAGCTAACTTTTGTACTTTTAGTAGAGACGGGGTTTCACCATATTGGCCAGGCTGGTCTCAAAGTCTTGACCTCAGGTGATCTGCCCGCCTTGGCCTCCGAAGTGCTGGGATTACAGGAGTGAGCTACTACACCCAACCTATTTATGTATTATTTTTTTGAGACAAGGTCTCGCTCTGTCACCCAGGCTGGAGAACAGTGTTGCAATCACGGCTCACTACAGCCTCAACCTTCTGGGCTCAAGCAATCCTCCTGCCTCAGCCTCCTGAGTAGCTGGGACCGCCTGGCTAATTTTTTAGTTGTTATAGAGATGAGGGTCTCACCATGTTGACCAGTCTGGTTTTGAAGTCCTGGGTTTAGGCAATCCTCCCACCTTGGCCTCCCAACGTGCTGGAATTACAGTGTGAGCCACCATGCTTGGCTGCCTCAACCTCTTGTACCATTTCCATTTTTTTTCCCAGAGCACTAAGGCAAAAACTTTGTTCTACAGAGGAAGCGTGCTGGGAAGTTCAGGCAAGCTGTTTCTTGCTAGTTTCAAGATTTACCACCAGAGGGCAGAAAAACCCAAAGAGACGCTTGGAATAGGCCCCGGGTCCACCTCCTGGAGACCGAATCCTGGGATGCAGACAGCTGAAGGGCGTACCCTCTCCTTGCCCAGTGAGATGGCTGACTCGGGCTGACAGGAGCCAGTCTTTCTGTTTTTTAGATGTTGGTTAGAAGGCAGTGAGTAAGCTGAAGGAATTCTGGACTGGGTGCCTGAAAATGTGAGTTCTAGTTCTTGCCCCTCAGTTTCCTGACTTGGGCAAGTTACTTCACATTTCTCAGCTCCTGATATCTGCAAGAATGGAGCTGATAATCCCTGCCCCACGCCCTTGGCCCTAAGTTCAGAAGGAGACTGAGTAATGTGTTCAGAATCTGGTGTTTGAGTGACCTGGGTTTAAACCCCACCCCAACTATAAACTAGTTCTATAAACTTCATCAAGTGACTTCGTTTTTTCTTTTTTTTTTTCTTTTAAAGACCATCTCACTCTGTCACCCAGGCTGGAGTACAGTGGCGTGATCTCAGCTCACTGCAACCTCTGCCTCCTGGGGTCAAGCGATCCTCCCACCGTAGCCTCCCAAGTAGTTGGGACTACAGGCACATGCTACCAAGCCCAGCTAATTTTTGTATTTTTGGTAGAGACAGGGTTTCACCATTTTGCCCAGGCTGGTCTTGAATTCCTAGGCTCAAGTGATTCTCCTCTCCTCAGCCTCCCAAAGTGCTGGGATTACAGGTATGAGCCACCACGCCCAGCCTTCAGAGCTGCAGTTTCCCTTTTTGTTAAATGGGAATTCTAACACATCTTTTGCATATTTTTAAATTGTAAATGAGATAATGTCTATGAAGTACTTAGCACAGTTGCTGGCACGTAATAATTGTTCAATATATGTTTATTATTCACATAGAAATTTAAGAAATTTAACTCACTTATTAAGTGCTTACTTAATGGATTTCTGGGACTGGAGTTCTGCTGGCAATTTCTTTTGTAGCTTTTAACAAGATTCCTTCCCTTTTCTGAGCCCCAGTTTCTCCAACAGAAAAATAAGGGGTTACCATCAATCAATGAGTGGATAAAGAAATACACACACACCACACACACACACACACACACACACACACACACACACACACACACAATAGAATACTACTCAGCCATAAAAAAGGAAAGAATTAATGGCATTCACAGCAACCTGGATAGGATTGGAGACCATTATTCTAAGTGAAGTAACTCAGGAATGGAAAACCGAACATCGTATGTTCTCACTCATAAGTGGGAATTAGGCTACGAGGATGCAAAGGCATAAGAATGACACAATGGACTTTGGGGACTCAAGGGGAAAGGATGGGAAGGGAGTGAGGGATAAAAGACCACAAATTGGGTTCAGTGTATACTTCTTGGGCGATGGGTGTACCCAAATCTCACAAGTCACCACTAAAGAACTTACTCATATAACCAAATACCACCTGTTTCCTAAAAACGTATGGAAATAAAAAATTTCTAAAAAAAAGAAAGAAAGAAAAAGGGCTGGGCTTGGTGGCTAACACCTGTAATCCCAGCACTTTGGGAGGCCGAGGTGGGTGGATCACAAGGTCAAGATATAGAGACCATCCTGGCCAACATGGTGAAACCCCGTCTCTACTAAAAATACAAAAATTAGCTGGGCATGGTGGCGCGCGCTTGTAGTCCCAGCTACTCGGGAGGCTGAGGCAGGAGAATCACTTCAACCCGAGAGGCGGAGGTTGCAGGGAGCCGAGATTGTGCCATTGCACTCCAGCCTGATGACAGACCGAGACTCCGTTTAAAAAAAGAAAAAGAAAAAGAAAAAGAACAGGTTAGATTAGACTGGATACTCATAGGAGCCCCTCCAGCTCTGACATTCAGGCTGCTTCTCTTCCTCTCTTTCTCCCTCCCAGTCTTCTACTTACCCATCAATTACCCATTCCTTCAACAATTATAAACTGAGTATCTACTAGTCCAGGTACAGGAAACAAAACCGACCCACATCAAAACAGGTGTAATCAACGGAAGCCAGGCCTTTGGAAGTGTATTTGTTCAAAGCCTTTATCGTCTTTTCTCCAGCAATCAATCCTTGTAGGTTATTTCATGTTTGGAACAGGAAAAAATTGTGCCAAGAGTTTATTTCCATGCATCTCTGTGTGACCATGTACACACAGGAGCACACACACACATTTATATATAACATTTGCAGCAGTGTTGTCATGGGAACCATTTTTTGGTGTCTCTAGGCATGAGGGATGCCTGCGAGTGGAGGAGCTTTTATGGAACACCCCCTGCATGCACTTTTGTATGGCATGAAATCCCGCTGGGATAGTTGCCCCAAGAGCCTTGGTCGGCCCTTTTGATCATCGCTGCCTATTTTTCTCATTGATCTTGTCAAATGTGAGTGAATTTGACTGAGGGAGCTGAAGGTCAAACTTGGTGACTGGCAGAGCAAGATCCTCTGGGACATTTGCCAACAGAGTGGTCTGGATAAGTCAGCTTGGGCTTTTTGTCTTTTGAAACCCTTGATTTGGGGATGTTTAAAGGTTTGGGGAAGACTTGGATGGAAAGACAAAAGCAACCAGGGGTGTATTTTCAGAAACGACAGCTGCAGCAGCCGCTTTTGAACTTGGTGGGCAGTGCCAGAGTGGGGAGGGGGCAGAATGGCAGCAGGAGAGTGAGGAAGGGAGTCACTGTCCCCCAAGCATCTCCTCTGGACCTGGCCCCATCCCGAGTGCTTTGCATATGTTATCTCCTCTAATTCTCAAATCAGCTCTGTAAGATAGACGTTGTTGTTCTTAGCAGGAAACTGGAATATGGAGAGGAAAAGGAACTCAGCCAGGAAGCTGCAAAGCTCAGATTCCAACCCAGGTTGGGCTGGACTCCAGAGCCTGGGCTTTGCCCACTATTCAGTGTCACTGGACAACTTTCTGCAGCTTGGTTTTCCTTTACTTCTAGGCCAGAAATAGGGTGAGCGGTCAGGGAATGGCAGTCCAGAGATTCAAGTCCTGACAAACCCAAAGTCACTGTGGCAGATCCAGCCATGGGCGGCTATGAGGATGACCAAACTGAGTGTATGCGAGGTGTTACATTCACCTTGAATACAAGAGCTGGCTCAAGTCTTGGTTTTGTTAGGGCTTACTGCACACAAGGCACTTTCTCACTTACTCATTACGAAGTCTTATGAGGCCGGGCGCAGTGGCTCACGCCTGTAATCCCAGCACTTTGGGAGGCCGAGGCAGGTGGATCACGAAGTCAGGAGATTGAGACCCTCCTGGCTAACACAGTGAAACCCCATCTCTACTAAAAATATAAAAAATTAGCCGGGTGTGGTGGCAGGCACCTATAGTCCCAGCTACTCAGGAAGCTGAGGCAGGAGAATGGCGTGAACCTGGGAGGCGGAGGTTGCAGTGAGCTGAGATTGCGCCACTGCCCTCCAGCCTGGGTGACAGAGCGAGACTCCATCTCAAAAAAAAAAAACAAACAAAAAAAAAAAAACCAATGTCTTATGAGATCAATGCTATCATTATCGTTACTATAATGCAGATAAAGAGACTGAAGACCGGGCGCAGTGGCTCACGCCTGTAATCCCAGCACTTTGGGAGGCCGAGGCGGGCGGATCACGAGGTCAGGAGATCGAGACCATCCTGGCTAACACGGTGAAACCCCGTCTCTACTAAAAATACAAAAAAAATTAGCCGGGTGTGGTGGCAGGCTCCTGTAGTCCCAGCTACTCGGGAGGCTGAGGCAGGAGAACGGCGTGAACCCGGGAGGCAGAGCTTGCAGTGAGCCGAGATCGCGCCACTGCACTCCAGCCTGGGCGACAGAGCAAGACTCTGTCTCAAAAAAAAAAAAAAGAAAAGAAAAAGAGACTGAAGAAGGCCAGGTGCAGTGGCTCACACTTGTAATCCCAGCACTTTGGGAGGCTGAGGCGGGAGGATCGCTTGAGCCCAGGAGTTCAAGATCAGCCTGGGCAACATGACAAAACTCCTGTCTCTACCAAAAATACAAAAATTAGCCAGGCATGGTGGCATGTGCCTACAGTTCCAGCTATTTAGGAGGCTAAAGTGGGAGGATCACCTGAGCTCAGGAGGGCAAGGCTGCAGTGAGCTGTGATCATGCCACTGCATTCCAGCCTGGGCAACAGAATGAGACCCTGTCTAAAAAAAAAAAAAAAAAAAAAAAAAAAGACTGAAGTAGAGAGAGATTAAATGTTTTGCTCAAGGTCACACAGCTAGTGAGCTGAGATTTGAACCCAAGCAACCTGCCTCAAGAGCCTGAGCTCCTAACCACTGTGTCTTTCTGGCCATGAGTTAGAGCTGGGTGTGAGTTAGAGCTGGGTGTGGGTTAGAGCTGGGTGTGAGTTAGAGCTGGGTGTGGGTTAGAGCTGGGTGTGAGTTAGAGCTGGGTGTGGGTTAGAGCTGGGTGTGGGTTAGAGCTGGGTGTGGGTTAGAGCTGGGTGTGGGTTAGAGCTGGGTGTAGTTCTACAACTGAGCTACATGGAATTTCCTCTCCCGAAAGAGCGTCAGGAAAGATGAGGAAGTCTTTGTGAACCCTGAAAATCTGACACAGGTCTCAGTTAATTTAGAAAGTTTATTTTGCCAAGGTCGAGGATGCACACCGGTGACACAGCCTCAGGAGGTCCTGATGGCATGTGCCCAAGGTGGTAGGGGCACAGCTGGGTGTTATCATTTTAGGGAGACATGAGACATCAATCAAGATGCGGGACAACTGGAAGTGGGGAGGGGGCTTCCAGGTCATAGGTAGATATGAGACAAATGGTTGCATTCTTTTGAGCTTCTGATTAGCCTCTCCAAAGGAGGTAACCAGATATGCATTTATTTCAGTGAGCAGAGGGGTGACTTTGAATACAATGGGACGTAGGTTTCTCCTAAGCAGTTCTCAGCTTGATTTTTCCCTTTAGCTTAGTGATTTTGGGGCCCCAAGATTTATTCTTCTTTCACAACTGTTAGGGAGAAGAAAGGGGATCCATCCTTCTTTCCTTCCTTCCTTCTTTCCCCTCACTCTCTCTCTCTTTCTTTTTCTCTCTTTTTTTTTGGAGTCTTGCTCTGTTGCCCAGGCTGGAGTGCAATGGAACTGTCCTCATTTCTTGACCATCTCCTATGTGTCCAGTATTGTGCTAGATCTTTCTACCTCACATCTTTGCTGGAACACTGGAACTACTATAATCCCCTTCATAGAGATGAGAGAAATCAAAGCCTTCAGGGTGACTTAACTAAGGTCTCAGAACTTGGATTGGAGCCAAGGTCTATTGTTTTCTAAAACCTATGCCACAGAAGTAGAATAGACCTGGGCCCTTCTTCTCCCATATTTCTCAGTTATGATGCCAAAGAGAGGGGCTCAGGTGTTCTCCTAAGAGCAGGGAAGTCCACTCCAGAAACTCTTGTACAGGGAAGTCCACTCCAGAAACTTTTGTACAGGGAAGGCCACTCCAGAAACTCTTGTACAGGAGAGAACTCCAACCTCCCCAAATAGAAGGTATTCCCCACACCTGCCAGAGTAGGGTTACACCCAATACCTCAATCAGCATCCATCCCTCCAGTGTTTATGGAGGACCTCTTTTGTGCCAGGAACTGTGTTGGACATACAGCAGTGAAGGTGGAGGTCACAGTCCCTGTCGTTGGAGCTTACTCTCTAGCAGGGAACAGCCATGATACAAGTAATTACAAGCCTGAGAAGTGAAGGGAGCTCCAGGCTGATAACAGATATGGGCGTTTTACATGTATTTATGGGTGTGGGGGCCCTTTCCAACACTTTCGGTTGAGAAGGCCAAAAATGTAACTTAGTGTTCTTGGCCAAAGCTGAAAGCCAGCCATGCTATGGCATGAAATGAAAGAGGTTTCTATTTTCTTTATGTTCAAAGAGCAAGTTGTGATAGTCTCCCCAGCCATTTCCAGCTTCATAGAAGAGATAAATAAGCTAATGTTTATTGAATACTTCCTATGTGCCAGGTACTAGGCTACATAAGCTTTTTATTAATATAGTGCGATAGAATCACAAGAAAATAATGTCTCAGCACAAAAGTAGCAGGGGGAGCGGGACAATTAAGTCTGTCTAGCTGGGAGGAGGGAACCTAGGAAAGTTTGTCTCAGATGCCACCTGAACTAGATTTTGTTTTGTTTTGTTTTTTGAGATGGAGTCTCACTCTGTCACCCAGGCTGGAGTGCAGCGGCGCCATCTCGGCTCACTGCAACCTCTGCCTCCTGGGTTCAAGCGATTCTCCTGCCTCAGCCTCCTAAGTAGCTGGGATTATAGGCTCCCACCACCACACCCAGCTAATTTTTTTTGTATTTTTAGTGAGATGGGGTTTCACCATGTTGGCCAGGCTGGTTTAGAAATCCTGACCTCGGGTGATCCACCCACCTTGGTCTCCCAAAGTGCTGGGATTATAGGTGTGAGCCACTGCGTCTGGCCTTGAGCTAGGTTTTAAAGGATAAATTGGAACTTCTAGGCAAGCCAGGAGCAGGAGATACTCTAGCTGGAGGGAATAGCAAATGGAAAGACTCAGAGACATGAAAATCCATGGCTGTTCTGGGTGCATGTCAGTGGGAGAGGGCTGGGAACTGAGGCTGCAGAGATTGGCAAGAGCCAGAAGTGATGGGGCAGCAGGTGCCCAGCTGAAGAGGCTGGACTCTATCCAATATCCACATACCCTGCATGAAAGGTGAGAACCAAGCATCTTCTTCATCTTCTTTATTCAAGTAGAAGAAAAGGCATGCAATGAAGGTGGAAAAAACAAGGAGAGAAGGATTGCCAAATTTGGGAAACCGAAAAATGTTCATCTGCAGAATTAATTCTAAATCACTGCTATTTTCACTCTCCTGCTGGTGGGAAAAGGCAGAGCATAGCAACGCTTCAGTCTCTTTCCAGGTGTCTGGAGTATGGGCAGGCCAGGCCAGGCTGGCAGGCTGGCTCCCACAGAGATCACTGGAGCCAGCCTGGTGCTTGACGCCAGCTGTGGGCATCTGGAAATCCAGCTTCCTCTTCTAGTCATTAGATAGGAGGTAAATCAGTGTCCAAGGTTTTCTCAAGGCAGCAAGCTTGGCAGGATATTTAAATGGCATCAGGTTCAACCAGGGCCAGGGGAAGGCTGTGCCACCCAGGGTAGAAGAATGTGGTTTCCAGATTCAAGATGAGAAGTGCGGGTGAGTGGGTGAAGCCCCTTGGCTTAGAGACTGCTGGAGGCCTGTTAGGCATGTATTAGAGACCTTCACTGAGCCAGGCTTGGTGGAGGTGCATGTCGATTTCAGCAACGGGGTAGCTTAGTGGATTTGGTGTATGTGAGGGTTGTGCTAATAAGGCCTGGCATCAGCAAGGTCTAAGGCTGCCTTGCCCCAGGTCCAGCGGCTTCCTCCTGAACATGCTGGGTGATTAGCCAGAGGAAAAAATGAAGCCCCTGCCATGGCTCACCTCCTACATGCAGGTATTATTAACACACAGAGCCTGATTAATGAGTTAAGGCATGTCAAGAGCTTTGCCTAATGCCTGGCACATAATGAGTGCTCAGTCAACGTTAGTTGTTGTTTTTATCGGACAGACACACTAGTGGTTGGTTTCAGCTTGCTAGCTTACAGCCCTCACAATAACCCTTGGAAGTAGTAGAAATTAATAGAGTTTTTAATATGTTTTGTTTGTTTGTTGAGACAGGGTCTCACTCTGTCACCTAGGCTGGCTGAAGTGCAATGGGGTAACCAGAGCTCACTGCAGCCTTGATCTCTCAGGCTCAAGCAATCCTCCCACCTCAGTCTCCTGAGTAGCTAGGACTACAGGTGCACACCATCATGCCCGGCTAATTCTTACAATTTTTAGTAAAGATGAGTCCAGGCTGGTCTTGAACTCCTGAGCTCAAGTGATCTTCCTACCTTGGCCTCCCAAAGTGCTGGGATTATAGGTGTGAGCACTGTGCCTGGCCAAAATTTGTGTTTTTGCAATTTAGTGAACTGAGGCACAGTGCCTCAAGGACACACAGATAAAAGTGGCAGAGCTGGAAAGAACTTCTACAACTCAATAATAGCAACAACAAAATAAACAACCTGATTAAAAAAATGGGCAAAGAGGCCAGGCACGGTGGCTCACGCCTGTAATCCCAGCACTTTGGGAGGCTGAGGCGGTCGGATCACTTGAGGTCAGGAGTTCAAGACCAGCCTGGCCAATATAGTGAAACCCCCATCTCTACTAAAAATACAAAAATTAGCTAGGTGTGGTGGCAGATGCCTGTAATCCCAGCTACTTGGGAGGCTGAGGCATGAGAATCACTTGAACCTGGGAGGCAGAGGTTGCGGTGAGCCGAGATTGTGCCATTGCACTCCATCCTGGGCAACAGAGAGAGAGAGTCCGTAAAAAAAAAAAAAGAAAGAAAAAGAACCTGAATGGTCATTAAAAACACAAAAAGATGTTCAACATCACCAATGATTAGGGAAATGCAAATCAAAACCACAAAGAGATATCACTTCACAACCATTCAGATGGCTACTATATATTAATTTTTTTTTTTTTTGAGACAGAGTTTCGCTCTTGGCTGGAGTGCAGTGGTGCAATCTTGGCTCACTGCAACTTCTGCCTCTCGGGTTCAAGCGATTCTCCTGCCTCAGCCTCCCGAGTAGCTGGGTCTACAGGCATGCGCCACCATGCCCGGCTAATTTTGTATTTTTAGTAGAGACAGAGTTTCTCCATTTTGGTCAGGCTGGTCTTGAACTCCCGACCTCGGGTGATCCACCCGCCTCAGCCTCCCTAAGTGCTGGGATTACAGGCATGAGCCACCGTGCCCAGCCTATTATGTATTAATACTATATATTATAACTATTCAGATGGCTCATGCCTGTAATCCTAGCACTTTGGGAGGCCGAGGCGGGTGGATCACTTGAGGTCAGTAGTTCGAGACCAGCCTGGCCAACATGGTGAAACCCCGTCTCTACTAAAAATACAAATATTAGCCGGGCATGGTGGCACGTGCCTATAATCCCAGTTACTCGGGAAGCTGAGGCAGGAGAATTGCTTGAACCCAGCAGGCGGAGGTTGCAGTGAGCCAAGATCGCATCATTGCACTCCAGCCGAGGGGACAAGAGCAAAACTCCGTCTCGAAAAAAAAAAAAAAAAAAAGCAAAACAAAACAAACAGAAAATAACAAGTGTTGGTGAGGATGTGGAGAAATTCGAACCCTTGTGCCTTGCTGGTAGAGATGATGTAAGATGGTACAGCTGCTACGGAAAACAGTATG
This sequence comes from Homo sapiens, assembly GCF_000001405.40. Taxonomy (NCBI): domain Eukaryota; kingdom Metazoa; phylum Chordata; class Mammalia; order Primates; family Hominidae; genus Homo; species Homo sapiens. The sequence goes on along the minus strand of NC_000001.11, from coordinate 21,186,126 downwards.
GTGGTTCCTCAGAAGGTTAAATATAGAATTACCATATGATCCAGCAATCCAATTTCTAGGCATATACCCCAAAGAATTGAAAGCAGGAATCCAAACAGGTATGTGTACACCTATATTCATAGCAGCATTATTTGCAATAGCCAAAAGGTGGAAACAACTCAAATCTCCCCTGGTGTATGAATGGATAAACAAAATGTGGTATATCCATACCATGGAATATTATTCAGCCCTAAAAAGAAATATATATATATTTTATTTTTATTTTTATTTTTTATTTTTAAGAGACAGGAATTAGCTGGGCATGGTGGTGGGCGCTTGTAATCCCAGCTACTTGGGAGGCTGAGGTAGGAGAATCACTTGAACCCGGGAGGTGGAGGTTGCAGTGAGCTAAGATCGCGCCATTGCACTCCAGCCTGGGCAACAAGAGTGAAACTCTGTTTCAAAAAATAAATAAATGAATGAATAAATAAAATAAAATAGAATAAAAGAGACAGGGTCTTGCTCTGTTGCCCGGGCTGGAGTGTAGTGGTGCTGTCAGTTCATTACAGCCTTGAACTCCTGGGATCAGGCAATCCTCCTGCCTCAGTTCCCTAAGTAGCTGGGTTTGTAGGTGGGAGCCACTGTGCCCAGTGACGACTTTTTTTTTTTTTTAGTTGAGATACGGTCTTGCTCTGTTGCCCAGACTGAATTGCAGTGGCACAATTGCGGCTCACAGCTGGGCTCAAGTGATCCTCCAACCTCAAGTAGCTGGGACTACAGGAATGCACCAAACACACAGATACTTTTTTTTTTTTTTTTTTTTTGTAGAAATGGGGTCTTGCTATGTTGCCTAGGCTGGTCTTGAACTTCTGGGCTTAAGGCATCCTCCCACCTTGGCCTCCCAAAGTGTTAGGATTACAGGTGTGAGCTACAGCAGGATACCTGGCTGATCCCACCTTTTTTTTTTTTTTTTTTTTTTTTGAGAGACAGGGTCCCGTTCTGTCACCCAGGCTGGAGTGCAGGGGCACAATCATGGCTCACTGCAGCCTCGACCTCCTGGGCTACAGTGATCCTCCTACCTCAGTATCCCGAGTAGCTGGGACCACAGGGGCGCACCACCACTGCCTGGCTAATTTTTGTATTTTTAGTAGAGACTGGGTTTTGCCATGTTGCCCATGCTGGCCTCAAACACCTGAGCTCAAGTGATTCACCCACCTTGGCCTCCCAAAGTGTTAGGATTACAGAAGTGAGCCACTGCGCTCAGTAGGATCCTACTTCCGAATGAGAGGATAGGATCACATCGTGAGAGACACCTTAGAGAGGTCGTTCCGTCTTGGCCCTGCTGCTCACTTGCTTGAGGAAATCCTTTTCCAACTCTGTGCTCTGTGCCTAAACCAGGAGCCTGAGAAAGGTAATCCTTGAGGGTGTTTCCAGCCCGACCAGTCTCTGTAATACTTGTTAGAAATTGTGCTAAAACACACATAGCAACACTTACCATCTTAAGCATTCTATGATAATACTTTTTGCTCTCTTTTGCATCCTAATGAACCTGAACTATCTAAGGCCACTGTGGCTGGAAGGGCTGTGGTCAACTCTAGGAATTGCTGACAGCTGTAAGAATCACACGTGCTGTGGGCAAAGAGGTAGGACAGCTTGGCTCCAGAAGTGAGAGTGATGTTAAATCAAAGAAGCTGAAACTTCACCCTGAGGGGAATAGGGAAGGAAGTAAGGGTTGCTGAGCTGCCTATTGTGCCCTAGGCCCTGTTGACAGTCTCTGCAGACAAGTTCCTTTACTTCTTGTTCTAATCTGTTAGAGGCTGACTTACCTTCATTTGGCAAATGGTCCACAGAAGTTAGGAAACTTACTTAGGGTGGTACAGCTTGGTCTATAAGGTTAGAATCTGGATCTGTCTTATAGCCATAAAAGGAACCACCACCCTCACACACCACCATATATCCCTGGGCCCTAAGGCATTTGGAAGGGCCAACTGGCTCAGCTCTATGCAGATGAGCATTTGTGGCCCATCATGAACGTACTTGCATACGGGGAATGGAGCTAAATCTTTACTTTTCCTACTGGGGTTTCTCTCCTTCCTCCATGTCTATTTCAGGTGGGAGCCCCACAGTCTCTTCTTCCTTTATATTTATTTTTTAAAGACAGGGTCTTGTCTTGTAGCCCAGGCTGGAATGTAGTGGTGCAACCATAGCTTACTACAGCCTTGAACTCCTGAGCTCAAGAGATCCTCTTGCCTCAGCCTCCCAAATAGCTGGGATTATTGGTGTGTACCACCATGTTTGGCTAATTATTTATTTTATTATTTACTTATTTACTTATTTTTGAGACAGGGTCTTGTTCTGTTGCTCAGGCTGGAGTGCAGTGGTGCCATCATAGCTCACTGCAGCCTCAAACTCGTAGGCTCAAGTGATCTTCCTGCCTCAGCCTTCCCAATAGATGGGACTACAGACACGTGGCATCATACTCAGCTAATTTGTAAACTCTTTTTGTAGAGAGAGCAACTCACTAGGATGCCCAGGCTGGTCTTGAACTCCTGGTTTCAAGTGATCCTACCCCCTAGGCCTCCCAAAGCATTGAGATTACAGGTGTGGACCACAGTGCCCAGCTTCCTCCCCGCCACCTCCTTTTTTTTCTCCTCTTCCTCCTCCTTTTTCTTCTCCTCCTTCATCTTCTTTGTTTTCTCCTCCTCCTGCTTATCTTCTTCCTCCTTTTCCTCCTTCTCCTCCTTCCTTTTTTTTTTTTTTAGACGGAGTCTCGCTCTGTTGCCAGGCTGGGGTGTAGTGGCGCAATCTCAGCTCACCACAACCTCTGCCTCCCAGGTTCAAGCGATTCTCCTGCCTCAGCCTCCTGAGAAGCTGGGACTACAGGCATGTGCCACCACACCCAGCTAATTTTTGTATTTTTAGTAGAGACGGGGTTTCACCTTGTTGGCCAGGATGGTCTCAACATCTTGACCTCGTGATCCATCCACCTTGGCCTCCCTAATCCCAAAGTGCTGGGATTACAGGTGTGAGCCACCGCACCCGGCCGTCCTTCCTTTTTAATCTCTTTGGCCTCCCATCTCTATGCCTTAATTACCTTGGGTCTAGATGTATTCTCAGCAGGCCTTGGTGGACGTTTGCGTATTTCTGTGCAGAGCATCTAATGATACTCAAGTCTCTCTGGGCTAATACAAATGGCTTCTCTTGGCATAACATGGCTTGCTTTTAAAGGCCAGTCCCTCCAGGAGGAAAATGAAAGGGTCAGAGAACTCCAACTTGCCACAACATTTTGGAAAGTTTTTTATTTTTATTTTTATTTTTTTGGGGGGGGCGGGTGATGAACTTTACCCTTAGGGACTGGAAAGTTTAGATTACCAAGTCACTTTGTTCAAAAAGACTTTGTTGCCAGGACACAGCAAACCAAGGCTCATGGACTTAATTAAGAAACTAAGTAGTCCCCCTGGGTCCAATTCTCAGCTCACTGAGGCAAACAGAGCCATGATCCCACATGGTAACAAGCAACACACCATCACCCAGCTATGAGGAAATGTACAAGCTTATAAGCTGAGTCTTCATCTGTCATCTAGCTCTTTGGGAATGTTGGTCTTTGACAGAGGCTGCACTGGGCTCTGGGAACAGTAGATGGCTGGTCAAAGACACAATGCCCGTCTCGTGGGCTAGCAGGGCCTGCTCTAGGATACTCTTGCTTTTCTCTCTCCCTGTGCAGTGAGACTCAGTCTGGCCTCTTGTGTGACTCAGAACTTCTCCAGGGTAACACCAAATCTTTAGGCAATTCACGATTATTCAGTCATTCAGCAAATTTCACATCCTATTTATTGAGTACTAGATGTCAGAGATATTTTAAATGACTAAGTAATCTCTGGCCGGGCACGGTGGCTCATGACTGTAATCCTAGCACTTTGGGAGGCCGAGGCGGACAGATCACCTGAGGTTGGGAGTTTGAGACCAGCCTGACCAGCATGGAAAAACCCCGTCGCTTCTGAAAATACAAAATTAGCTGGGCGTGGTGGTGTATGCCTGTAATCCCAGCTACTTGGAAGGCTGAGGCAGGAGGATCACTTGAACCTGGGAGGTGGAGGTTGCGGTGAGCCAGAGATCGTGCCATTGCACTCCAGCCTGGGCAACTAGAGCGAAACTATGTCTCAAAAAAAAAAAAAAAAAAAAAAACAAAAAGGCTAAGTAATCTCCCTGCATAAATGAAAAAGAAATAGCTAAAACTTATCCAAGAATTACTATGAGCCAGGGACTGAGCTAAGGGTTTTGCATTTGTTTTATTAATTAATTAATTAATTTCTTGAGATGGAGTCTAGCTCTGTTGCCCAGGCTGGAGTGCAGTGGTGTAATCTCGGTTCACTGCAACCTCCACCTCCTGGGTTCAAGCGATTCTCCTGCCTCAGCCTCCAAAGTAGCTGAGATTACTGGCACCGCCACCACGCTCAGCTAATTTTTTTATTTTTAGTAGAGATGGGATTTCACTGTGTTGGCCAGGCTGGTCGCAAATTCCCGACCTCATGATCTGCCGGCCTCGGCCTCCCAGAGTGCTAGGATTACAAGCGTGAGCCACTGCGCCTGGCCACATTTGTTTTATTTTTTATGATAACTCTAGGAGGTAGAACCTCTTTATTTTACAGATAAGAAAACCAAGGCTTGGAGAAATTAAGTGCGTTCTCCAAGATCATACAGCTAATCAATGGTAGGGCTAAGAATCAAACTCAGGTCATTTGCTTTCAGTGGCCGCACTCGTGGAGAGTGCCCTGAGAGTTTTAAGCATCCACTGCCAAGGGGATCTAGAGGAAGGGTCCCTAGTTCAGCTTGGGGAGTGAAAAAAGGCTGCCTTGAGGAGGTGATGCTTGAGCCAAACCTTGAATCAGGAATTAGCCAATTGGCTAAGGGGAGTGAGGACGGTTTAGGGATACAGGGAGCAGCAGCAGGCTGCACATGGGCCCCAGGGCAAGGAGAATGGTTTCATTTCCAATAGACCAAGGTGGCTGCAGCTCTGAATTTGAGGTGGAGTGTGGCAGATTGGAAGCAGAGCCCAGACTCTGAAGGACTTTAGATTTAGATTGGATCCTGAAGGTGATGGTAACAGGAAAGTTAACAAAATCAGCTTTTCTTGTTGACAGTACCTCTGGCCATAGTGGGTAGGTTGCTATGCTGAAGGCAACCTGGCAAATCAGACCTAGAGTCAGATGCCTTGGGTTTGAATCCCTGTACATTTACTTAAAAGTTATGAGAATTTTCACATCTTTGAATCTCAGTTTTTAAATTTGTAGAAGCAGGGAGTGGTGGCTCACACTTGTAATTCCAGCACTTTGGGAGGCCGAGGTGGGCAGATTATACTTGAGCCCAGGAGTTTGAGACCAGCCTGGATTACATGGTGAGACCCTTGTCTCTACAAGAAAATACAAAAGTTAGCCGGGCATGGTGGTGCGAACCTGTAGTCCTAACTACTCAGGAGGCTGAAGTGGGAGAATAACCTGAGCCTGGGGAAGTCGAGGCTGCACTGAACCGTGATTGAGCCACTGCACTCCAGCCTGAGATCCTGTCTCAAAAATAAATAAATAGGCCAGGCACGGTGGCTCATGCCTGTAATCCCAGCACTGTGGGAGGCCGAGGCTGGTGGATCACTTGAGGTCAGGAGTTTGGGACCAGCCTGGCCAATATGGTGAAACCCTACTTCTTCTAAAAATACGAAAAAATCAGCTGGGCGTGGTGGTGCACACGATAATCCCAGCTACTCGGGAGGCTGAGGTGGGAGAATCGCTAGAACCCAGGAGGTGGAGGTTGCAGTGAGCTGAGATCGTGCCACTGCACTCCAGCCTGGGAGACAATGAGACTCTGTCTCAAAACAACAACAATCATATATATATATATAAAATATATATTATATAATATATAACATATATATTACATATAATGTATATATTATATGTAATATATTACATATATTACGTAATATATGTTATATATTATATGTAATATATAACATATATTACGTAATATATGTAATATATTATGTAATATATATTATATATAATATATATTATATATAATATATAATATATATTATATAATATATTACATAATATATTACATATATTATATATTATATAATATACAATATATATTATATATATTATATATTATATAATATACAATATATATTATATATATTATATATTATATAATATACAATATATATTATATATATTATATATTATATAATATACAATATATATTATATATATTATATATATTATATATTATATCTGCTGCTTGATATATATAATATATAATATATATTATATATAATATATTAAATATATAATTAATTAATTAATTAATAAATTATATAATATATATATATATGCAAGTGAGGTCTAGACTTGAGCAAGGCCATTCTTTGGGCTGAAAGAACAGAGCTCTACCTTTTTGACTTTGTTCCCTACAAACTTCCTCCATTGATTGCCTGTGGCCAGAATCTTATCAGGGACTTTTACATTATTTTGCCCAAGGTCTATCCATTTTAAAACAGATAAGTTTCATAAAGTGCTTAGCTAAGACTGGCACACAGTAATTGTCTGATGCTTGTAGCTATTATTAAGTTAGAAAATGAAGCTAGCTCAGAAAAGAATAACAATTAGGCAATTATCGGCCTGTTATCACCCTAGTGTAAATGAGAAGTCAAATAATTTCCTTGGAACAGGTTTTGATTGGGATAAGGATGCCTGAGATTCCAGAAAATGAAAGGAGAATCTGGGGAACTGAAGGACCACTAGGGAATTCTTCCTGGAGTCAATTATATGTGGAGAGGAGCAGAAAATCCCATCCTAAATAATCAGGTGTTACAGGCCGGGCATGGTGGCTCACGCCTGTAATCCCAGCACTTTGGGAGGCCAAGGCGGGCGGATCACGAGGTCAGGAGATCGAGGCCATCCTGGCCAACACAGTGAAACCCCATCTCTACCAAAAATACAAAAAGAGAAAAAAAATCAGCCGGGCACGGTGGCAGGTGCCTGTAGTCCCAGCTACTTGGGAGACTGAGGCAGGAGAATGGCGTGAACCCAGGAGGCAGAACTTGCAGCGAGCCAAGATTGCGCCACTGCACTCCAGCCTGGGCGACAGAACGAGACTGTCTCAAAAAAAAAAATAAATAAATAAAAAAATCAGGTGTTACAAATCCAGACAGTTTAAGATGCCACAGTATGAAGTAGCTGCTGTCTTCCAGTCTGGAGATGGGGATGAGGCATCCTTTTCAATGTCAGAAACTGTGGAGCTCTAGCTAGAAAGACGCCGTAGGGGGGTTGTGGTATCACTCTCTTTCAGATGCTCTTTTATCCTAGAAGGAGCATTTGGGGCTCCCAGGGATTGTCACGAATTAAGCATCCACTATGTGTAGAGCTTTATATGAATTAAAAACAACAATAGGCCAGGCGCGGTGGCTCACGCCTGTAATCCCAGCACTTTGGGAGGCCGAGGCAGGCAGATCACCTGAGGTTGGGAGTTTGAGACCAGACTGACCAACATGGAGAATCACCGTCTCTACTAAAAGTACAAAATTAGCCAGGCGTGGTAGCGCATGCCTCTAATCCCAGCTACTCGGGAGGCTGAGGCAAGAGAATCGCTTGAACATGGGAGGCGGAGGTTTCCGTGAGCCGAGATCGTGCCATTGCACTCCAGCCTGGGCAACAAGAGCGAAACTCCGTCTCAAAAAACAGCAACAACAAAATAGTAAGGCAGTGTGTGAAGCAGGATAGCAGGAGTCAGAACTAGACTCTAATCTTAGCTCTGCCAGCCACACTGTCGGTGCGACCTCGGGGAAGTCTTTTGTGCGTTTTGAGCCTCAATTTTCTCAGCTTTTCTGTGGTTTGATGGTATTGAGCCTCCCCAGTCTCAGTTTATTCATTTGTAAAATGGATACTACCTATTTCACAGGACTGCTTGAGATAATGAAGGGTACAGCGCTTAGTGCCATGTCTGGTAAATATTATATTAAAACTTGATTGCTCCATGACGCCTGCCATTTTTTTTTTTTTTTTGAGACGAAGCCTCACTCTGTCGCGCCCAGGCTAGTGTGCAATGGCACTCTCTCAGCTCACTGCAACCTCCGCCTCCTGGGTTCAAGTGATTCTCCCGCCTCAGCCTCCCGAGTAGCTGGTGCCTGCCACCACGCCTGGCTAATTTTTGTATTTTTAGTAGAGACGAGGTTTCATCATGTTGGCAAGGCTGGTCTTGAACTCCTGACCTCAAGTGATCCACCGGCCTTGGCCTCCCAAAGTGCTGGGATTACAGGCGTGAGCCACCGCGCCCGGCCGATGCCTGCCATTCTTTCCCACTCAATGCCACTGTGCTTAGGACAAGGCACCTGCTAAGGAGTGGGGTGTGCGGGGTTGGGGGTGGGAGTGATCTTGGCAGGTCTAGCTGGGAAGAAAATCCTTATCAACAAATGTCACCCAGCATAGGACATTGGGGAGCTGATCACTGGCTGCTGGTCAAAGGGCGCTCCAGTCCTGGGGAAGGCCTAGGTTTGAATCCATCCACAGAGCTCAGTTAAGGCTGCTGATTAGATATGGCGGCTCAGGTCATGTCCCCAGCCAATATGGGAGGCGGCAAGGTTCATCCAGATGAAGGTGGCATTTAGATTTAGGCTCTGTCCTTTCCCGATAGGGTGACCTTGGGCTAGTCACTTTTCCTCTGTGTCCTCTGGAAATGGGGCTCCTCATTCACCTCTCAGAGCGTCTGAGGAAGTGTCGACACAATGGGTGTGAAATGCGTGGGTTACAGGCCGGCGGGTGGCATTGGTTACGCGAAGTCCCCGCGGGGGGTCCCTATCCAACGGGTTCCATTCCGGTTAAGCGGTTCCTTCTCCAGGGGTTTTTCGCCTCGCCGCTGCCTCTCCGCCCCTGCGAGCGGGGCTCAGCGAACAGCCGACTCCGGGGCCATTACCATTGTTCTTCGAGGCTGGGCCGCAGGGGAGGACTCTCGCAAGCCAGACCTCGCCTTTGGTCTTTCCCTCCGCCCCGCACCCGCGCCGCTGTAAGCCAGCGAAGCCTCCCTCGCCGATCTTTGCCGAGGAAGCGAGTTAGCCCCTGAGCCCTCCCGAACGGCGGCCGAGGACGCACCCGAGCGTCTCCGAAGAATCCCGACCCCTAGCAGTCTCCGGAAAGAGCCGAAGAGGCTTCCCACCCTCGGTTTCCCGAGCCATTCCGAAAAAGTCCGAAGTTTTCCGAGCAGCCGTCCTGCCGGACTGCTGGAGGCGGCCACAGCGCCATGTTGGATGCTCTGCTCGTTGAGTGAAGAAAATCCACCGGCATCGCCTGAGCCCCGCTACCGAGAAGGGCGCCGCTTCCTCCGGGGAGGGGGATAAAGATCCCCCGCCGCCGGCCCATGAGGATATTGCCGTGAAAGGTCCGGTCTCTCCGCCTCCTGCCCCCGCCGGGTCCGGCCCCCCCCCTGGGGTCGCGTTGTCACGGAGACCGGCAGCCGGTGGTGCTGGCCCGCGGGGCGGCTGCTGCTGCCGGCGGCGGCGGCGGCGGAGGCGGCGGCGGCGGCGGCGGCGGCGTCGGGCGTGTGTGACCGGCCCCGGCCCCCTCCTCCTCCTCCCCCCAGGCTCCCCCCAGCCCCCCGCTCCCGCCGCCTCCCCGGGTCTGCCCCCATCCCGCCCCCCCGCTGCCCCCGGCCCCTGCACCCCGGCGCGCCCGGTCCCGCTCTGGGGGGGTTGGTGGCTTCGCTTTGCCATGAGTTTACCGCAGAAACCGGCTCTGAAATCAGGCACAGCGACTGCAGCAGGAACCGGACCCGGCACCGGAGCGGCGGCGGCGGCGGCAGCAGCGGTACCGCCTCCTCACCCGGCGGCGGCAGCAGCGGCGGCGGCGGCGGCGGCGGCGGCGGCGGCGGCAGCGGTCCCCCCTCCTCACCCGAACATCAGGGCCCTCCAGACTCAGGCGCCCCAACAGTATCCTTTTCACCTTCCTGTCGGCCCTTCGGTTCTCGTCGTCGCAGTCCAGGGGGACCCCGCAGCCCAGGGGACCCTCCTGCCGGCCGCCACAGCCCAGCCAGGAAAGGGACAGCGGCTCAAGCCCCTGCATCGGGCTTGGGCGGAGCTTTTGGGGTGCCCCGGCAGCAGCACTGCGGGGGGACCCCCAGACCCTCTGCAATACTGTGAAAGCTAGCCCCACTTGGCCATGCTTCTGCAGCCCCTTCCTTTTAGAGCTTGGGGTCCCTTCTCCCCTCCTCCCCTAAGGTACCCTCCCCCCCTTTATTGGGCAGAATTTGCTTGGTGCCTGGGACCAACCCTGCAGGGAAGGCTTTTCTCTGGTTGTTGTGAGGATTACACCCTCCTGCTCTTCACCTCCCCTCGGCTCCCCCTACAGCGGGACACAGTGGGCTTCCATAATTATTATTAGTACATAATAAACTTTATCGGTAAATTTCTTGTTTGAAACCAATCAGCTCGTTTCCGAGGTATGTTGGATTTTCAGTCTAAGGTGAAAATGTACAGAAAGCAGTTCCTCTGGATAATTTTTTTTAGTAATGGGAGAGTTGTGATGTGGTTTGTGGTAGAGATCTGAGGAGGAAATGTGACGCCGGACGCTTCCCTGTCTTTGACCTTTTTAAAGGAAGAGGAAGTTCACCGACATTACCCATCACCCACAAAAGTCTCACTTCTTGGAAGATTTGTGTTAGGCTGAATATTTTTAATGGGCTTTAATTTACTCCTCATAGGCCTGATGTCTAGAGAGTTACCAGGGCTTCTGGAGGAAAGTCTAGTATTGAATGTTTCTAATTTCATGTTATTTGCTCGATTGTAGAATTTTGGAGAGCTTTGATTGAAAAGACTTGGTGATGGGGTATTTTAGTCAAAAACTAGCCGGTGAAGGTAAAACGTTGAATTCATGTATTCCACGGAGATTTAGAAAGGTATTGCGTACCTGAGAATAACATTTCATCATGCATCACCTCCTCCCTACACCCACTGTATTTGTGTAAATCAATAAATAATGATTGGATGTTAGATGTGTTGTGTTTTTATGTTTGTGTCATCGTGCGTTTGACTTTTAGAGATTGTAGGATGTTTGAGCAAGTAAGAAGCTAACTGCTGTGAGGTCCCCAGATTATTTCACAGTCTGTAGTTTGATTCTTGTCTGTATAGATTACTTTGAGAAGGGAAAGCAATCTCCCTTCTAGAGTCATTTCAGGTCATTGTTTGTTTTCTGCCAAGTGTCATTTTCTCTGTTCTTTAAACCTAGTTCGTGATTTTCAATCCAGGCACCGCGGTGCAGTGTAAAGATAAATTCCATTCCAGTGTGACGTGTGTACTGATTTCATAATGTTTTTATCCTGCATGATTCTGTTCAATTAGGAATTGTTCACCGATGAGAAAGTGTGGTGATAACTTAGCGTTGCTTATGGAAAACCTGGTTGGTTTTGTTCAGTGTCTCTGGGGTGGGGGAAGATTGGCTGGTTTGCCTACTTAAAGGCAGAGTTCAGTGTTGAATCTTTTAAACCTGTCTTTGCTTACTACTTTGTGAGTTTAAATTCCTTTCTAATTTCATTTTTTACCTTGATTGCCTATACTCGGTTAGGACTTTTAAGTTTCTGAATTGTGCTACCACGTAAATTACTCATTACCTGCATCTTTGAGCTGTTTTGGCAATTGAACAGAAATAAAAGGAAACCTGTAGTAGGTGTCCTTGATGTACAGAGTAGTAAGGACCACAGTGCTGAATGTGACACTGTTTGGTGAATTGGGTGGCTTTTTGGGATACAGCTGTGTTTCAAGTATGCTTTTTCTCAGTGCATTTCATAGAAGGACTTATAAAAGCTCTGAGTTGGTTGCAACATTCAAGTAGTTACAAAAGCTGAAACTTAATTTTCTTTTGAATAAAAAGCACTTGTTAAAGAGATAAATTTAAGTGTAAGTTCCAGTGTAGATAATTTTAAACCAATTTTAGTCATATGGAACACTTACTTTTGTGTGGCTTTAAGTTTTTACTTTGCCTCATGCCATTGAAGCTAAAATTAATCTTCCTCTTGATGTGTTTCACAGCTCTTATTGTTTTCTCTTTGCTTTTACACACTGAAAGGTTACAATTGCTAAAATAGAAAATTTTATTATATAAACAGTAAAGGAAGTATAGGTTGTAGATTTCATCAGACATACCAGTGGTGAAGTGTTATCAACTGGTAATGGGGTATTGATTAAAAAAGGATTGAAATAGAGCAGTTCTACTTTTCTACCCTGAGGGAGTATGGGAATTTGTATTTGACGCAAGTGGTCATTGTTCAATAAGTGGATAACATTTAAGCATCTTGGCAGGAGTGCATAGCTGGAGTTAGCACTGTTCATGGCTTGAATAGATCTCCAGACCCTCAAAGTATGTGGGTATAGTTGTGTTTGCATTGAATTAATAAGTTCAGACAGTTTTATTTATTTATTTTTGAGACAGAGTCTTGCTTTGTCGCCCAGGCTGGAGTGCAGTGGTGTAATCTCGGCTCACTGCAACCTACGCCGGCTGGATTCCAGCCATTCTCATGCCTCAGCCTCCTGAGTAGCTGGGATTACAGGCGTGTGCCACCAGGTCCAGGTAATTTTTTGTAAGGCGTGATCAGACTGGGTTTCACCATGTTGACCAGGCTGGTCTCGAACTCCTGGCTTCAGGTGATCCGCCTGCCTCAGCCTCCCAAAGTGCTGGGATTACAGGCATTGAGCCACCGCACCTGGCCCTGATCTGGTGAAACCTGGTCTCTACTAAAAGTACAAAAATTAGCCGGGCGTGGTGGCGCCTGCCTGTAATTTCAGCTACTCAGGAGGCCAAGGCAGGAGAATCGCTTGAACCCACGAGGCAGAAGTTGCAATGAGCCGAGACTGCACCACTGCGCTCCAGCCTGGGTTACAGAGTGAGACTCCACCTCAAAAAAAACAAAATCAAAGGTCTTCTAGAAAATGTTTGGAACCCACGTCTTTTTTTTTTTTTTTTTTTTTTTTTTTTGAGATTGAGTCTCGCTCTGTTGCCAGGCTGGAGTATAGTGGCATGATCTTGGCTCACTGCAACCTCCGCCTCTTGGGTTCAAACGATTCCCCTACCTCAGCCTCCTGAGTAGTTGGGACTACAGGTGTGCGCCACCATGCCTGGCTAATTTTTTGTATTTTAGTAGAGACGGGGTTTCACTGTGTTGGCCAGGATGGTCTTGATCTCCTGACCTTGTGATCCGCCTGCTTCTACCTCCCAAAGTGCTGGGATTACAGGCGTGAGCCACTGCACCCGGCCGAGAACCACATCTTAAGTCAATGGAGAGGATTCCTGTAATCCCAGCACTTTGGGAGGCCGAGGTGGGCAGATCATGAGATCAGGAGATCGAGACCATCCTGGCTAACACGGTGAAACCCCGTCTCTACTAAAAATACATAAAATTAGCCAGGCGTGGTGGCAGGCGCCTGTAGTCCCAGCTACTTGGTAGGCTGAGGCAGGAGAATGGCGTGAACCCGCGAGGCGGAGATTGCAGTGAGCCGAGATCGCTCTACTGCACTCCAACCTGGGTGACAGCGAGACTCCATCTCAATAAATAAATAAATAAATAAATAGGATTGCCACATTTTGCCATTTATATTGAGGCTTCAATAGATGTGGCAAGTTTATGAATTCATTAATTCAGCATCCACTGTGTGCTGCTACACTCAGTGCTAGATGTAGGATTGAAGAGCTAAGGTAGAAATCTTTGCCCTCAAAGAACTTGGTCCTTTTGGTTAGAGGTGGGTAAACAAAACGTCATGAGGCAAGTACAGTGATAACTGATAACTCTGCTGTGAGAGTAGTCTGGGGAAGGAGGAATTAAGGCTTTCTAAAAGAAGTTGACATCTCAGCTAAATTAGAAGAATGAGTAAGAATTAACCCAGGTTTACATAGCTTTCTCTTCTGCCGGCCTGCTTTTTCCAATTCCATTGCTGCTCCATAGAATTTTAATAAATGGATTTCAGTCACGTTTCAGGCTTTTTTTTTTTTTTTTTTTTGCTAGAGGAGGTACCAGAGAAAGTGACAGTCAAACACAAGCTAAAAATTCAAAGTATTTTCTGTATCATAATCTAAGGAATTAGTGTATGAGAAGGAGATACATACCTGATCTGATCTGTGGTGGGTCTTTTCCTGGTCTCCTTCCCAGTGCATCTCGTAATATCCTTGCCCTTTTAATACTAGACTTTGGCTTAGAAACAGTACTTGCTAGTCTTAAAATAGAAGTAGATTTACCTTGGTGTATTGAGAAGTGTACCTGATTTGGAGGCAAAAAATCTGGTTTTGAGTTTGGCTCTTTCATTGTAGTAGATATCTTATCTTAGACTAACCATGCAACTGCTTCAGGCATTGGTTATCCCTTCTCTGAAATGTAGGGTCTAGACTCATTTATTCAGTGACCTTCTTGAATTATAATTGCTTATGATTGTCTTTTGAGATTTGTGTTATTCTTGCAAGTGGAGAGGAGGGATTTACAGAAACCAGTTAATGTTTTCTTTGTCTGATGGTAAGTGACATGTTCTGTGGTGGCTTATTGATATTAGAAGATACTAACATGGGGCAGAGGCAGAGGCAAAGCAGCAGTTTGCTCATATAAGCTACTTCTGGTTTTTGGCTTGTTAATGTTAGATTCAGCCACAGAGACAGAAGCACCTCTCTAACTTCAGTGGTGAAGACTGTATAGTTAGTTGTGAGATAGTGGGAGACCATAAAATAAGGTTGCCATGGTCATTTGCTGGCTTGTTCTGGGTGATGATACAGTTAGTTCATTATGAGATATGAGGGAAAGTAAGTTCTGGAATAAACTCCCGTGGTGCTGTGGTGAGACACAATCTATTTTTACCTAAGGAATAATACTTTGAGCTAATATAATAGGAAAGTAACTAGTTCCTGATTATTAGCCACGCATATGACTTTAAGCAATGGATAAACTGCAGCTGAGACTTACACGGATGAGATATTGCAGGATCCCAAGCGACTTCTGAATTCTCAAATGGCTTCCAGTTCTTTGGCTTGCTGCCAACCAAAGGAATTTTTCAATCTCCTGTAGCTCAGCTGAAATTTGAGAAAGTTAAACTATTTTAAGTGCATTTGAAATTTGTTGGTTTTTACGACTTTTTTTTTTTTTAATTTATTTTTTTAGACAGGGACTTGCTCTGTCACCCAGGCTGGAGTGTGATCTTGGCTCACTGCAACCTCTGCTTCCTGGGTTCAAGTGATTCTCATGCCTCAGCCTCCCAAGTAGCTGGGATTACAGGTGTGTACCACCACACCTAGCTAATTTTTGTATTTTTAGTAGAGATGGATTTTGCCATGTTGGCCAGGCTGCTCTTGAACTCCTGACTTCAAATGATCCATCCACCTTGACCTCCCCAAGTGCTGGGATTACGGGTGTTAGCTACTATGCTCTACCATGATCTTTATTAACTAATAATTGTTTTGTACTTTTTTTTGAGACAGAGTCTCTGTCGCCCAGGCTGGAGTGCAGTGGCGCAGTCTCGGCTCACTGCATCCTCCACCTCCTGGGTTCAAGTGATTCTCCTGCCTTAGCTTCCTGAGTAGCTGGGATTACAGGTGCGCGCCATCACACCCATCTAATTTTTGTATGTGGGGTACAGGTGGGGTTTTACCATGTTGGCCAGGCTGTTCTCGAACTCCTGACCTCAAGTGATCCACCCATCTCAGCCTCCCAAAGTGCTGGGATTACAGGCATGAGCCACCACACCTGGCCTGTTGTGTACTTTTTTGAGCCCACTGTGTGCTGCCTGACTTTATAAGACATTGAATTTTGTTAATAGAATGTAAACTCCATGAAGGCAGAGATTTTTGTTTATTTTGTTCACTGTGGAATTGCTAGCACCTAGAATACTGCTTGACAGACAGTAGGCAGTCTGTAAATTTATTTGTTTGTTTGTTTGTTTGTTTGTTTATTTATTTATTTTTGAGATGGAGTTTCACTCTTGTCGCCCTGGCTGGAGTGCTAGTGGCACAATCTCAGTTCACTTCAACCTCCGCCTCCTGGATTCAAGTGATTCTCCTGCCTCAGCCTCTAGAGTAGCTGGGACTACAGGCGTGCACCACCACGCCTGGCTAATTTTTGTATTTTTAGTAGAGGCGGGGTTTCACCATGTTGGTCAAGATGTTCTCAATCTCCTGATCTTGTGATCCGCCTGCCTTGGCCTCCCAAAGTGCTGGGATTACAGGCTTGAGCCACCGTGCCTGGCCTGTAAATATTTATTAAATAAAAAGTGTGTTGGACTTTGGGAATCAATTTGAAGATAAGTTTTAGGATTAATATAGATGGCATCACAACTCACTTACAGCATTCAAAGCTGCCCTCAAATTATTTTGCAGGGATGTATAATTGAATTGAAAATAATTCTGTAATTTCCTTTCAGATGGAATAGCATTGACCCAGTTTACAAAGCCATCTGAAGTGCCTGAGTTGTATTTGAAGTACATATTGATACTGAGGATTAGGGTTGGTATGAAGGCCAAAGAGGAACAACATCTGTAGTCAAATATTATTATTAAAAACTTATGATTATAAGAGCAAGACATAATTAAATGAGAAATTTGGAAAAATATAGAAAAGTAAAAAATCACTCATAATCTTATTAGTGGAGACAACCCCTTTTATTTTATTTTATTTTATTTATTTATTTTTTTGGGGGGAGAGAGTGTTGCCCTGTTTCCCAGGCTGGAGTGCAGTGGCACAATCTTGGGTCACTGCAACCTCTGCCTCCCGGGTTCAAACAATTCTGCCTCAGCCTCCCAAGTAGCTGGGATTACAGGTGCATGCCATTATACGCAGCTAATTTTTGTATTTTGGGTAGAGGTGGGGTTTCACCATGTTGGCCAGGCTGGTCTCGAACTCTTGACTTCAGGTGATCTGCCCACCTCGGCCTCCCAAGGTGCTGGGATTACAGGTGTGAGCCACCGCGCCTTGCCACTTTTTTAAAGAGGTGGGGTCTTACTCTACCTCCCAGGGCATGGTCATGGCTCACTACAGCCTTGACCTCCTGGGCTCAAGCAATCCTCCCACCTCAGCCTCCCAAGGAGCTCGGACCACAGGTGTGTGCCACCACACCTAGCTAATTTTTTTGTAGAGATGGGGTTTTGCCATGTTACCCAGGCTGGTCTCGAACTCTTGGGCTCAAGCCACCTGCTCACCTTGGCCTCCCAAAGTTCTGGGATTACAGGCATGTGTCCCAGTGTGTAGCTGTGATAACCACTTTTAACATTTTGGTGTATTTCTGTCCTGATTTTTTTTTTTCTGTGGATTTTAATATTAGTGGTCATACATTTTTGTAACATAAAGTCAGATTATGTACCTAGTTTTGTATCTTGCTTAATTTGCTACCTAAGTATCTGCCATGAAAAGTACTTTTTTTGGCCAGGTGTGGTGGTTCATGCCTGTAATCCCAGTACTTTGGGAGGCTGGGGCAGGAGGATCACTTGAGTCTAGGAATTTGAGACCAGCCTGGGCAACATAGTGAGACCCCATCTCTAATAAAAATTAAAAAATAGTTTGCCAGGAGTGGCAGTGCATGCCTGTAGTCCCTGCTACTCAGGAGGCTGAGGCCGGAGGATTGCTTGAGCCCGGGAGGTCAAGGCTGTAGTGAGACCTGATTGTGTGATTGCACACCAGCCTGGGTGAAAGGGCAAGACTGTCCCCCAAAAATAAAAAGAGATACTTTTTTTTTTTAAAAAATTGAGACGGAGCCTCGCTCTGTCACCCAGGCTGGAGTGCAGTGGCACGATCTCAGCTCACTGCAACCTTGGCCTCCCGGGTCAAGCAATTCTCCTGCCTCAGCCTCCTGAGTAGCTGGGATTACAGGTGCCCTCCACCACGACCGGCTAATTTTTTGTATTTTTAGTAGAGACGGGGTTTCACCATGTTGGCCAGGCTGGTCTCAAACTCCTGACCTCAAGTGATCTGCCCACCTCAGCCTCCCAAAGTGTTGGGATTACAGGCGTGAGCCACCACACCCAGCCAAGAGATACTTCTTGAATAGTTTTATTCTGTATCTACTTGAAATATAAGTGAACTTTTTGTTTATTTGGAATGCTTTTCTTGGGAATATTTTTTCACCTTTGGCTTTTAGCTTAGAAGTTATGACTGCACATTACAAAGGGGAATGTTCAAACCTTTATCAGTAAGTCAAACATCTTTTGAGTTATTGTTCCTGTAATGTTTTGCATTATTTGCAAGATTAAAACTCAGTGTAACATCACAAGTTTTTTTCCCATACAATTATTTACATTTCTTTATTATCTCTTTAAGTTCATCTTTATATGTTCAAGTATACTAAGTTTTTAAAAAAGGCTGGGAGCCAGAGTCCTAATTTTTTTTTTCTTTGTGACGGAGTCTCACTCTGTTGCCCAGGCTGGATTGCAGTGTTGTGATCTTGGCTCATTGCAACCTCCACCTCCCGGGTTCAAGCGGTTCCCCTGCCTCAGCCTCCTGAGTAGCTGGGATTACAGGCACCCGGCACCACGCCTGGCTAATTTTTGTATTTTTAGTTGAGGCAGGGTTTCACCATATTGGCCTGGCTGGTCTTGAACTCCTGACCTTGGCCTTCCAAAGTACTGGGATTACAGACGTGAGCCACTGCACCTAGTGTATTTATATATTGGCCAGGCTGGTCTCGAACTCTTCATCTCAGGTGATCCATCTGCCTCAGCTTCCCAAAGTGCTGGGATTACAGGCGTGAGCCATCGCGTCTGGCATTTAGTTGGTTTTCAGGAAGTGTTAGTATCATGAGGAGTGATTGAAGGAAGGAGGAAAAGACCACAGGGATTCATGCGGGATGAGGGAAAGAGGATTGAAGTGTGGGAACAAACATAATTTTGGAATAAGGAGAGAAAATTAAGTGGGAATAGAAAATGAACACAGCCAGTTTTAAACCAGAATACTATTTTTACATTGAGAATGGAAAGGACTGAACCTTGAAGGTTAAATGAGATGATTCCTGACCTTTTTTCTAGGTCCTAGTAATTAGTATGTAAGAAATAGAACTTGGTCGGAGAACTTGGCCAGGTGCAGTGACTCATGGCCTGTAATCCCAGCACTTCAGGAGCCCAAGGTGGGTGGATTGCTTGAGTTCAGGAGTTTGAGACCATCCTGGATGACATGACAAAACCCCGTCTTTACAGAAAATACAAAAATTAGCCAGGCGCGGTTGCACGTGCCTGTAGTCCCAGCTACTTGGGAGGCTAAGGTGGGAGGATTGCTTGAGCCTAGGAGGTTAAGGCTGCAGTGAGCCATGATTGCACTGCTGCACTCCAGCCTGGGTGACAGAGTGAGACCCTGTCTCAAAAAAACCCCCCAAAACAAACAAAAAAAACCCTTAATTCATTTATTTATTTTATTTATTTATTTTTTTGAGACAGTCTTGCTCTGTCACCCAAGCTGGAGTACAGTGGTGCGATCTCCATCTCAGCTCACTGCAACTTCTGCCTCCTAGGTTCAAGCAATTCTCATGCCTCAGCCTCCCGAGTAGCTGGGGATTACAGGTGCACGCCACCACATTGGGGCAATTTTTGTATTTTTAGTAGAGATGGGGTTTCACCATAATAGGCCAGGCTGGCCTCGGACTCCTGACCTTAAGTGATCTGCCCCTCTCAGCCTCTAAAAGTGTTGGGATTACAGGCGTGAGCCACTGCGCCCAGCTTATTCATTTTTTCGAGATGGGGTCTGGCTGTGTCTTTCAGGCTGGAGTGTAGTGGCATAATTATGGCTCACAGTAGCCTTGACCTGCTGGGCTCAAGCAGTCCTCCTGCCTCAGCCTCTTGTGTAACTGGGACCACAGACACACTCCGCTATGCCTGGCTAATTTTTTAATTTTTTTTTTTTTTTTAGAGATCTCAGTTTGTTGCCCAGGCTGATCTCAAACTCCTGGGCTCAAGGGATCCTCTCGCTTTGGCCTACCAAAGTGCCGGGATTACAGGTATGAGCCATTGAGCCTGGCATGGAAGTATGAATTTTTAAAAGGAAAAAAAAGAGTTTAAGACTATAGTCAGGGTTTAGATAGGCAGAGGTGGGTGGATTATGATGAGTGGGTGATCAATATGAACAAAGATTTGGGCCTGAAGCAAGTGTAGTGTATGCTGTGTTCTAAGGATTTGGATCTGTGTGCTTGGAATGGAGGATTCTCATGGTAGAATATTCAAGATAATGGATCCAGATTCTAGAGCATTTTGAATAAATAAGAGGAAGTTAGACTTCAGCTGTGTGAAACCATTACTTTTTTAAAAAACAGCTTTATTGAGATGTAATCCACATACCGTATGAGTCACCCATTTAGAGTGTATAATTCAGTGGTTTTGGGTATATTCAAAACCAGTTGAGAATTGTACAACTACTACCATAATTTTAGAATATTTTTGTCACTCCCCAAAGGAACCTGTTTGACTCCCCATGACTCCCCATTTTCCCCCAATTCTCCCTGCCCTAGGCAAGTCCAAGTCTATTTTCTGCCTCTATATATCTGCCTATTTTGAACTTTTTACGTAAATGGACTAATGTATTTTTTGTGTGTGATTTGTTTCAGCATAATGTTTTCAGGGTTCGTCTGTGTTGTAACCATGTATTAGCACTTCATTTTTAAAATTATTGAGTAATATTCCATGTACCATGGACATTTGGGTTGTTTCAACTTTTTGGCCTTTGGATAATGAATAGCCAAAAGGTTGGATAAAATTTCTGGCTCTGAATGATGTTGCTGTGACCGTTCATGGATGTTTTTATATAGATGTTATGTTGTAATTTCTCTTGAGTATATACCTTGGGGTATAGTTGCTGGGTTATATGAGGTAACTCCATGTTTAACATTTGGAGGAGCTGCCAAAATGTTTTCCAAAGTGGTTACACCATTTTATGTTCCTGCCAACAATGTATGAGGATTTCAGTTTTTCTGCATCCTTGCCAACACCTGTCATTATTTGTCTTTTTGATTATAGGCCATCCTATTGGGTGTAAAGTGGTATCTCATTGTGGTTTTGATTTGCGTTTCCCTGATGGCTAATGGAGTTGAGCATGTTTTTGTGTGTATTTGGCCATGTTTGTGTGCATTTGGCCATTTGTCAGTTACGGAGAATTATCTATATATATCCTTTGCCCAGTTGTTAATTGGGTCATATGTCTTTTTATTGTTGAGTTGTAAGAGTTCTTTATATATTCTGAATATAAGTTGTTTAACAGATACAGGAGTTGCAAGTATTTTCTCTCATTTAGTGGCTTATCTTTTCATTTTCTTGAGGTCTGTCTCTGTCACCCAGGCTGGAGTGTAATGGCATAATCAGATCTCACTGCAGCCTCGAACTCCTGAGCTCAAGGAGCCCTCCCACCTAAGCTTCCCAAGTAACTGGGACTAACTGCATGTGTGCGCCACTACACCCAGCTACTTTTTGTATTTTTTGTAGAGACGGGATTTCACCATGTTGCCCAGGCTGGTCTCCAACTCCTGGGCTCAAGTGATCTGCCTACCTTTGCCTTCCAAAATGCGGGATTATAGGTGCGAGCCACCACTCCTGCCTAGTTTTTTATTTTCGGTAGAGACAGAGTCTCACTGTGTTGCCCACTCGTGTCTCAAACTCCTGAGCTCAAGTGATTCTCCTGCCTTGGCTTCCCAAAGTGTTGGAATTACAGACATCAGCCACCCCGCCCAGCCTTGTGCGTTAAGGTTATATAATCCATTAAGTGCTTGAGATTTAGTGAGGTGTGCTATTTATAAAATAAGGCCTATTGGATAAACGAACTTTGACCATTTCTATCCTTTTTTATGCCCGGAAAACAAGTGTTGTCTGCTTTTATTATTAAGATAAATTACTATTAGGCAGTGGTAGTTTTGTAAAAAATAGAGTATAAGCATTTGACTGTTTTGCTGTCCTGTGAATAATTGAAATTATGAGTTACAAATTCTTAGGTTTTTGGATTTTGCATAGTGTTAGTTCTGTCAGGTTAAAATTGGTTGTTGATTGATATGAGGTTATACTCCCAGGCTATTCTAATGTATATGTTATTATAAAGAAACAAAATTGGAGCTGGGCACAGTGGCTCACACTTGTAATCCCAGCACTTCGGGAGGCTGAGGCGGGCAGATCACCTAAGGTCAGGAGTACGAGACCAGCCTGGCCGACATGGAGAAACCCTGTCTCTACTAAAAAAATACAAAAATTAGCCAGGTGTGGTGGCACGTGCTTGTAATCCCAGCTACTTGGGAGGCTGAGGCAGGAGAATCGCTTGAACTCAGGTGGCGGAGGCTACGGTGAGCTGAGATCACGCCACTGTACTCCAGCCTGGGCTACAGAGCCAGACCCTGTCTCAAAAAAACAAAACAAAACAAACAAAAAACAAAATTGGGAAATACTGCTTAATCTCTTGTTTAGCAGGATTCTTTTTGCTATTTAGGAAAAGACCACATTAAAGAAGAGGTTATTTTGTTACCCTTAGGTGTAATAAAAACAGTTTATTTGTTTTGGATAAAGACTTTCCACAAAAAAACTCTTCAGTTGCTTAACATTGGGAAGTGGGAATGAGTGGAGTTGCTGATTTTGTAAGATTGTATCTGCTTTAAGTTTTAAATTATTATGCATGTCTCCAGCTTAGCTCTTACTCAATATTCAAAGGAAGTGGGTCTTAATTAGTCCATGTATAATTTTAATGGCATCAAGTACCTAATTAATAATTGTTGAATCTTTGAGGCTAATGTAGTCAGCTGATACTCCCTGTGTTACATTGTTGATCTTTTTCAGAAATATTAGAGTTTGAAAGTAGTCCAACTTCCTGGAATAAATGCTGTTTCAAAAGCAGACTACAGAGCACTTGACCTTAGCTTATTACCTTTTATATTGTGTGACTGAGTGAGTGTATTTAAATGTGGTACATTTTAGGTAAGGCAATGAAAGCTGAGTGTGGCTCTGGAATGTCATTGATTTCATTCTTGATCTTCATTAGAAAAATCATAGTTAAAGGATCCAAACATAAGTATGCATTAGCTTATTTTTCCTTTACACATAGTAGACAGTAAATTTAAAAAGAAGTGTCTTTGAAAGGTGCCACCATGAGCCAGTGATTTTTCTAAGCTGGAAAGGAGTTTGGGGATTTTTCTGGTTCAGCTTTCTGCCCCCTCTCCTACCTTTGTTCTAGAGGCTGAGGGGAGGTTAGGGCAACTTGCCTAACCATAAAGTTCATGCCAACTCAAATTTATTTGAGGTCTTTAACAACACTGACCAGTGACCTACTAATAGATCCTGTTTCTCCTGTAATGGTCCTGGTTTGGATAGTAAATTATATGGATACCCCCACCTGGTAACCATTACATAGCTTAGACAATTAGGAATCTTTTTATTTATTTATTTTTTTTTGGAGATGGAGTCTCGCTCTGTCCCCCAGGCTGGAGTGCAATGGCACCATCTTGGCTCACTGCAACCTCTGCCTCCCAGGTTCAAGCAATTCTCCTGTCCTTCCTCAGCCTACAGAGTAGCTGGCATTACAGGTGTGCACCACCACACTCAGCTAAGTTTTTGTATTTTTAGTAAAGACAGGGTTTCGGCATGTTGGCCAGGCTGGTCTTGAACTCCTCAAGTGATCCACCCGCCTCGGCCTCCCAAAGTGCTGGGATTACAGGTGTGAGCCACTGTGTCCCACCTTTTTTTTTTTTTTTTAAGATGATGTCTTGCTCTGTTGCCCAGGCTGGAGTGCTGTGGTGTGATCTCAGTTCACTGCAACGTCCACCTCCTGGGTTCAAATGATTCTCCTGCTTCAGCCTCTGGAGTAACTGGGATTACAGGTACCCACCACCACACCTGGCCAATTTGTATTTTTAGTAGAGACGGGGTTTCTCCATGTTGGCCGGGCTGGGCTCGAACTCCTGACCTCTGGTGATTCTGCCTGCTTTGGATTAGTTTAGATATCATTAGTTTATTATAAAAGACAGACATGGAAATTATTTACATGATGAATGATTTCAGAACTTTAGTGGAACGGGCAGCTTCACGTTGATGCCATTTCAATAGTGATTTATTTCAGTTTACATACTTTCCAAGAGTGTCACCATCTCTAAATGAATAATCCTTGTCATGTAGAGCTGCTTTGGCACCTCTATATTCTGGAAGAACTTTATCTCCAACTTTTTTTTTTTTTTTGAGACAGAGTTTCGTTGTTGTTGGCCAGGCTGCAGTGCAATGGTGCGATCTCGGCTCACTGCAACCTCCACCTCCCGGGTTCAAGTGATTCTCCTGCCTCAGCCTCCTGAGTAGCTGGGATTACAGGCACTCGCCACCATGCTTGGCTAATTTTTGTATTTTTAGTAGAGACGGGGTTGCACCATGTTGATTAGGCTGGTCTCGAACTCCTGACCTCAGGTGATCCACCCGCCTCGGCCTCCCAAAATGCTGGGATTACACTGGCGCATGAGCCACGGCGCACGGCCTATCTCCAACTTTTACACTGACTGGTTGAATCTCTCTCTACCCTTTCGTTCAGAGCCTGACCCAGCAGCTACTGCTGTTGCTTGCCATACTTTTCTTTGAGATTTTTCTGAAAGGATAATGCTTCCTTTGGTTACGATTTCAGTGGCACTTGTTTTTCTTTTTCTTTTCTTTTTTTTTGAGATGGAATTTTGCTCTTGTTGCCCAGGCTGGAGTGCAATGGTGCGATCTCGGCTCACTGCAACCTCCGCCTCCCAGGTTCAAGCGATTCTCAAGCCTCAGCCTCCTGAGTAGCTGGGATTACAGGCATGCGCCACCACGCCCTGCTAATTTTGTATTTTTAGTAGAGGTGGGGTTTTGTCATGTTGGCCAGGCTGGTCTTGAACTCCTGACCTGAGGTGATCCACCCGCCTCGGCCTCCCAAAGTGCTGGGATTACAGGCATGAGCCATTGTGCCAGGCTGGCACTTGTTTTTCAACCAACGCTCAGTCAAAGAGGAAGAAACTTCTTTATGAGATGGAGTCTCTCTCTCTTGCCCAAGCTGGAGTGCAGTGGTGCGATGTGTGCTCACTGCAGCCTCTGCCTCCCGGGTTCAAGTGATTCTCCTGCCTCAGCCTCCTAAGTAGCTGGGATTATAGGTGTGCACTACTGCTTCTGGCTAATTTTTGTATTTTTATTAGAGACGGGGTTTCACCATGTTGGTCAGGCTGGTCACGAACTCCCGACCTCAAGTGATCCACCCACCTTTGCCTCCCAAAATGTTGGGATTACAGGCCTAAGAAACTTTCTAAATGCTTTTCCTGCCATGACTCCCAGCACTACACGTCCTACTCTGCCCTCGTACTGTGCTGGAAGGAGAGACCCCTGATGTCCTTTTTCTGTTTCAGGATTCTAATTGCATTTAGTTATTTCTCTTTATTCTCTTATGGTTTGTAACGATTCCTGTGACTTTCCTTATCTTTTGTGACTTTGACACTTTTGAAGATTGCTGATCCATTGTTTATAGGGTGTCCCTCGTTTTGGATTTGTTTGATGTTTTCTCATGAATGGGGCGAGGTTATGCATTCCTTCTCATTGCCCCATATCAGGAGATTCATGATGTCAGTATGATGATGATTACCTTGACTACTTGGTTAAGTTGGCATCTTGCTGGTCTTTCTATTGTGGAGTTATTCTCTTTCCTTTTGTAGTTGATAAGTATCTTGTGGGAGATATTTGATGAGTTTGCAAACAATGTTAGAATCTTCTCAAACTTTGGTTCTCAATTTTAGCAACTGATGGAGCTTGTCTGCAACATTTATTGCTTTTGTGGTTGCCCAATTGTGACTTTCTATTTCACTCTTTCCTTCTACATTTATTGATTATAATTCTATGAGGAAAAGCTTTCTTTCCTCCATTTGTTTATTATTCATATCACTATGGACTCATGGGTATATATTTTATTTTATGGGTTAAAATCCAGTAACTATCATTGTTTGTTTTCTTACTCAGATTGTTCTAGCTTTGGCCATCAGGAATTCCTTCAGGTTGATTTCTGTGTTCTTTCAAGAAGCCATTATCTTTTTTTTTTTTTTTTGAGATGGAGTTTCGCTCTTGCTGCCCAAGCTGGAGTGCAATAGCACAATTTCGGCTCACTGCAACCTCTGCCTCCCAGGTTCAAGCGATTAGCTTGAACACAGCCTCCTGAGTAGCTGGGATTACAGGCACCTGCCATCATGCCTGGCTAACTTTTTGTATTTTTGTATAGACGGGGTTTCACCATGTTGCCCAGGCTGGTCTTGAACTCCTGACCTCAGATGATCCACCCGCTTGGCCTCCCAAAGTGCTGGGATTACAGGTGTAAGCCACCGCACCTGGCATCTGGATAATTTTTCAGTTTTTTGTAGAGATAGTCTTACTGTGTTGCCCAGGCTGGTCTCAAACTCCCAGCCTCAGTTGATCTTCCAGCCTTGGCCTCCCAGAGTGCTAGGATTACAGGCATGAGCCACCATACCTGGCTCACTGCAGCCTCCACCTCATGGGTTCAAACAATTCTCCTGCCTTAGCCTCCCAAGCAGTTGGAATTACAGGCGTGCGCCACCACGCTTGGCTAATTTTTTTTGTATTTTTAGTAGAGACGAGGTTTCGCCATGTTGGCCAGTCTTGTCTCGAACTCCTGACCTCAGGTGATCAGCCCGCTTCGGCCTCCCAAAGTGCTGGGATTACAGGCGTGAGCCACCGCGCCAGCCTTTTTTTTTCTTTTTTTTTTTTTTAAACCCTTGCTCTGTCACCCAGGCTGAAGTGAAGTTTGATCATAGCTCACTGCAATCTCAAACTCCTGGACTCAAGGGATCCTCCCATTTTAGCCTCCTAAGTAGCTGGGACTACAGGCACACACCACTGTGCCCAGCTAATTTTTAAAATTTTTGGAGAGATAGGGATAGGGGTCTCACTTTGTTGTCCAGTCTGATCCCAAACTCCTGGGCTTAAGCAATCCTCCTGCCTCGGCCTCCCAAAGTGTTGGGATTATAGGCCTGAGCCACTGCACCCAGCCCTTGTTTTTTTATTTTTAAGCTTTGCCAACATCTGAGTTCCCCGACAATCGTGTTCTTAATTCTTGTTAATATGTTATTAGAGTTAGAAAGGATTCCTTCTTATATTGCAGATAAAAGAAGGAAATGTGTAGAAGGTTTTTTTTTCTTTTTTTTCTTTTTTTGCCCTTTTTTTTGTGCCTCAAATCTGAAGGCCTTTTATGTATAGATTGTACTAGGACCTGCAGATCTAGTGTCTTTACTCATCATAGGTAACAATTGGATTTAGCGAGAAAATATAGGTATTTCTGTTTTTGAGTTTCGTTAACAGCAAATTGTTTAGATGGGATTAAAGGCCCAAAATGTACTCTAGTTATCTTTGTGGAACCCATGGATGAACACCTATATATATAGAGAGAGAGTGTGTGTGTGTATGTATATGTATGTACGTGTGTATACTCACCGTTGGACTCAAACTCAGGTAATTCTACTGCCTCAGCTTCTTGAGTAGGGGGGATTACAAGTGTGTGCCACTGTGCCTAGTTTATGTTGTGTTTTAGTGGTGTTAAATCTTGTGTACCAGGTCAGAATAATTGTTTTAGTTGGAGGAGCTAAGTTGAAATAAGTATTTGGTTATCATAAGTTACAGTTCATAAGCACTTTAAAAATAACCCCTTTTCTTCAATTAACTATATATTGGCTTGGTGTGTTGGCTCACACCTGTAATTCTAACACTTTGAGAGGCCAAGGTGGGTGGATTGCTTGAGCTTAGGAGTTT
Organism: Homo sapiens; assembly: GCF_000001405.40. Lineage (NCBI taxonomy): Eukaryota > Metazoa > Chordata > Mammalia > Primates > Hominidae > Homo > Homo sapiens. The sequence continues at coordinate 21,158,395 of NC_000001.11, read as the reverse complement.
GAAACCCCCCTGGGCAACATGGCAAAACCTCGCCTCTACCAAAAATACAAAAATTACCTGGGCATGGTGGTATGTGCCTCTGGTCCCAGCCACTCAGGAGGCTGAGGTGGGTGGATTGCTTGAGTCCGTGAGGTGGAGGCTGCAGTGAGTGGAGATCGCACCACTCCACTCCAGCCTGGGTGACAGAGTGAGATCTTGCCTCAAAAAAAAAAAAAAAAAAAAAAAAGCTATGTATTTGTTAAAGAGAGAGTTTAGGCACAGAAAGGAAGTCTTCTCATGCTTTCAGTGCTTTCAGTGACATTGAAGGCTTTGGTCAGTTCATAAGGGCACCAGTGTGAAATTAGTTCATGATAAGGACAATTGTGAGAAACCTCCAGTTGGTCAAATAGCCTTCGGAAACTTACTGCTCATTATTCTTTCTGATTTTTCTTGGAATATTTTGAGAGAAAAGTCATTATTCCCTTGTATTTCAGAATCACGTTAATGAGGTAGCTTAACTGCTATTCAGCTGCAGGCTCAACTGAGTGAAAAAGGACAACTAGTAATGGTAAACTGAAGGAAAGACTAGTGGAATCTTGAGAAAGAATAAGAGAAAAAAGAGAAATGTTATTGTTTTGATATTACAGATTAAGCTAACCACAGTACCTGATTCTTAGCAGGTGCACAATAATTATTTAGTCAATAATTAATGGAGCAAATATTTATTAAGTAACATTGTATGTCTGTGCTGTCTATTGAAGAATATACAAAAGAAACCTGAGGCTGGGTGTGGTGGCTCACACCTGTAATCCCAGCACTTTGGGAGGCTAGACAGAAGGAGCACTTGAGCCTAGGAGTAGGAAGACCAACCTGGGCAACATAGGGAAACCCTGTCTCTACCAAAAAAAAAATTAGCCAGGTGTAGTGGTGAGCAGGAGGGTCACTCTAGCCCAGGAGGTTGAAGCTGCAGTGAGTTGTGATCATACCACTGCACTCCAGCCTGGGTAAGAAAGAGAGCAAGATCTTCTCTTAAAAAAAAACAAACAAAAAAAAACTACAAGAAAAAAACAGTACTCTCAAATGGAGGTACGAGATCAGAACCTTGAAAGTCAGTGAGGACTAGGGGAATAGGAAGTAGTATTTGGGCTGACTTGAAGTTGAGGGGAAGGACATCTACAGTTGAGGGAAATGGTATGGGCAGAGTCGTGGTCAGTGGTTAGGAAATGGTGTATGGTGTATATGGGGTAGTCCGAAGATCCACTGGGATAAAATAGAAAGCAGCAAATGTGCATCTGACAATTTTGGAGAACCTTTGGATATCTAACTGTATAATTTATTATTCATTTATTATTATTTTTTGAGATAGGGTCTTGCTTTGTTGCCTAGGCTGGAGTGCAGTGGTACGATCATGGCTCACTGCAGCCTCGACCTCTCAGGCTCACGCAGTACTTCTGCCTCAACCTCCCAAGCAGTAGGGACCACAGGTGGTCCCAGGTTGATATTTTGTAGAGACGAGGTTTCACTATGTTGCCTAGCCTGGTCTTGAACTCCTGGGCTCAAGCGATCCTCTGGCTCCAGCCTCCCAAAGTGCGGGATTAACAGATGAGAGCCACTGTGCCCGGCCTAATTTTTCCAAGGTTTTCCAAGGTTTTGCTGAGGTACATCCTGTCTAGAGGGAAATGAAAAGGAAAGGGTGATCATATCATGAAAGCTATCATAAAGGAAGAAAAATAGGGATTTGACTATCTTTGATTTCTGAAAGAAGAGTTAAAGTTGACTCCAGGGTTTTGAGACTAGAAAATGATGCTGTCATTGATAGAGTAAGAAAGATGTAGGATTTAATTTTATACGTTGTTTTGAGATAGTGGACAGATAAATTCAGTTTAGGACATGTTGGATTTGAAATGAGTGAAATATCCAACTCATTTTACAAACAAATGGAGATAACTGAAGATGTTTGGAAATAGGGAGATGGAAGTCAGATGAGCAGAAATGGTTGGAAAAACAAATCTGTGATAATATAAGCATAATGGAGAGAGGGAAGAGAAAAGCAAAGATTATTAGTCTATGCAGTGTCTGGTTACTTGAGGAAGATGAGGAAGCTTACAGAAAAGAGAAAGAAGCTGCTGAGAGGAAAGAGGAGGATCAACGCAGCACAACCTTTAAACTATCCAGAATAGATTCCCACTGAGTTTTGTTTATGTAATTGGAGGAAGTGACATTTAATCCTTGATAGCTAGTTTTTGATTGAAAGCTCTTGAGTTTTTTTTTGTTGTTTTTTTTTTTTTTGAGACAGAGTTTCGCTCTTGTTGCCCAGGCTGGAGTGCAATGGCGCCATCTCAGCTCGCTGCAGCCTCTGCCCTCAGGGTTCAAGCGATTCTCCCATCTCAGCCTCCCGAGTAGCTGGGACTATAGGCATGTGCCACCACGCCCAGCTAATTTTTGTATTTTTAGTAGAGATGGGGTTTCACCATGTTGGCCAGGCTAGTCTTGAACTCCTGACCTCAAGTGATCCTCCTGCCTCAGCGTCTCAAAGTGCTGGGATTACAGGCCTGAGCCACTGCACCCGGCTTTTTGTGTGTTTCTTTACAAGTCTAAAATTAGTTCTTAAAGGGCTTTGGTTTGGAGAGTTACATTTAAGTTTATACTTTTGCTTATTTTCTATAATCATATATTTTAGAAATAAAAAAACTTCTCAAAATATTTATTTATTTATTTTTTAGATGGAGTTTCACTCTTTCACCCAGGGTGGAGTGCAGTGGCGCTGTCATAGCTCACTGCAAACTCCCAACTCCTGGGCTCAAGCAATTCTCCCGCATTAGCCTCCCAAGTGGCTGAGATTAGAGGTGTGAGGCACCGTACCTGACTAAAACTTCAAAAATATGTAAATCACTTGCTGTCTCCCTAATAGGCTGCTGTTGGGGTTCTGGGCAGTAGTTACTGTGAAATCATTAATTTGAACCTGGAGTTTTCAATAAAAGATTTTAATATGCTAATCAGGAATTGAACAGAGCATGATAAACTCCATTACTATCCTTAGTTGATAAATTTTAAGCAGAAGAAAAGGAACTGTTTCAGTTAGCTTGTCTTTGCCTCATTATTGTGGATTGATGTATAATTTCTTTCTTTCTTTTTTTTTTTTTTTTTTTTTTTTGAGACAGAGTCTCGCACTGTCTCCCAGGCTGGAGTGCAGTGGCACGATCTTGGCTCACTGCAACCTCCGCCTCCTGGGTTCAAGCGATTCTCCTGCCTCAGCCTCCCAAGTAGCTGAGATTACAGGCACCTGCCACCATGCCTAGGTAGGTTTTGTATTTTTAGTGGAGATGGGGTTTCTCTATGTTGGCCAGGCTGGTCTTGAACTCCTGACCTCAAGTAATCCACCCGCCTCAGCATCCCAAAGTTCTGGGATTACAGGCGTGAGCCACTGTGCCCCGCTGGCCTATATATTTAAAAAATATATTTCTGGTTTCAGTTTCAGCCTTTGTTTATGGTTAGTCACAGGTTTGTAGTAGATAGTTTATAAGTGAGTAAAATTGAGGCATATTGTTTCAATACTCAAATAATGAGACAATAGTGAAAATACCTGCTCATCAAAATGTAGGACATCTTTTATCATACTGCTAAAGAGATATATAGATGGAGAGATACATAGATGCATAGATACATAGCATATATCTGCATCTCCTTATTAATAGTTCAGCTAGAATTTGAAATGTTAGGTTAAATTGGCTGCCTTTGAATGAAAAAGGAACTTCTATTTGTGTTCAGGGTATAATGCTCAGATGAACCGTTGGATATGCAACCAGAAAGCAGTTAGGAAGTGTTTTTCAGTTTAGTCTTTCACTGGAAACCAAAACTTTGAAAAATATATTTGGAGCGGAGGCTACTTATGACAGAAGGATTCTTAAAGTTCAACTACTTTTGACTCAGAAGGAAAACTAAGTTGAAAATACTCAAAACCAGAAAAATAGATAATTTCGTAGAATGTTGCAGGTTGTTTTGCCTTTCTGGCTCTCACAAAAAAGGTTAGTGATTGATACTGTATCTGCATATTTTCTATTCCTTTCTCTGTACTTTAGTTAATAGCATTTTGTGATTAAAAAAAATACGCCCTTGACTTACTTTTCTTGTTGTTATTGAAAGCAGTTTTTCCTGTGTCTGAGCATGTATAACATTAGTGATCTATATAGAGAGTTTGTTTATTGCAACCAGAGGCACATTCCTAGGGAAGAATGGTTTTTGAATGTTCCGTTATCTTATTTCCAGTAGGACATCTTTAGAAATGAGCAAATTCCATTAAACTAATAACCCTGATTTTGGTGGATAAGCACTTATACTAATTCTGCTTTGAGAAAAGAGATTGTTCACTCTGCTTTAGGAGCTGCTGGCTAAGTCTGGTGCTTCTTAACCTTTAACTAAGAAAAATGAGGCTTGCTGACAATAGGTAGTTTTTACTGGCCTGTGAAACCCAACAGCATGTTCAGCAATGTAAACCACAGCAGCTATCTTTTGCTGGCTTCACTGTTGTTTGAAGTATAATGAAATGCTTCTTGGCCGGTCTCGGTGGCTCACGCCTATAATCCCAGCACTTTGGGAGGCCAAGGAGGGAGGATCACCTGAAGTCAGGAGTTCGAGACCAGCCTGGCCAACATGGTGAAATCCAGTCTCTACTAAAAATAGAAAAATTAGTCGGGTGTGGTGGCACATACCTATAATCCCAGCTACTCAGGAGGCTGTGGCAGGGGAATCACTTGAACCTGGGAGGCGGAGGTTCCCCTGAGCCAAAATTGTGCAATTCATTGCACTGCAGCCTGGGCTACAAGAGCGAGACTCCGTCTCAAACAAACAAACAAACAAAAAAAAGCTGCATCTCACAAATTGCTGTACCTGCTGACTCATCTTCAAGCCCCTAAACAACCATAGTATCCAGCATTATTGAATGCTGGGACTTGAGAATAAAGAGAACCAGAATCTTAGAATGCGAGGGTTAGAATGGATTATGGAAATCTTTTAACTCACCTCCTTCTCAAATGGTCTCAGCTATTAAAAATAAATGTTACTGTGGTAGCTGTCATAGTAGATAGTTAAAAGAATGATAGTGCTATTCAGAATGCCGTTAGAATCTTCTAGATGAGTGAAGACTTTTGTCTGTCTAAGAGTCTTTGAGATGTAGTCTTTGAGATGTAGTACTTTTTAGCTTCCCTTCAAAAATAACACATCCTGAAAGTGGCCGAAAGCTACTAGGGGCAGCACACATCAGTGTCTGCTATACACTTCAGGAGAACTGTGGGAAGAAGTAAAAATGAAGAGTGGCCATTGTCCCTGAAAGTTTCTTAATCTAATTAGAAAATAGATTTGAGAAAGGAGGGAACTTTGGAGCATTTAGGAATCATTTTGTGATTATTTAAAAATTATTTTGGAAACAGCATATTCCTTTGTTTCCCAGGCTGGAGTGCAGTGGCTATTCACAGATACAGTCACAGCTCACTGTAGCCTCGAACTCCTGGCCTCAAGCCATCCTCCTGCCTCAGCATCTTGAGTTGCTAGGATGACAGAGTGTGTACATCGTGCTTGGCTTGAATGGATCTTTTACCTGTGTGTGATTTTGTAATATCATGCATTGGTTATTTGGAAGATTATACCATTATGCATCAGTTATTTGAAGATAATTGTTCATTAAGTTATGTAAATTTTCCAAATGTTGATATATTTTATTATATGGCATAAAATAATGTTATTAATAGCTAATACCGCAATGACCTCATAGGGAAAGTATTTTGGGAAGCTCTCTGGGTCATGGTAGTAGATACCAGCTCACTGTGACTTGTAATGACTGGAAAGGTAATTGAAGTTGCATTAGGAAACAGTCTGGGAGTTGAAGGGAAATGGATTTTACTTTTATAAAGAAGCTTCATGTTGAAGGCCCTGTAAGGGGGCGTTTTATTTTTCTGGTTTTTTTTTTTTAGTGTTAGCAAGTTTGATTCCATCTAAGGAGTACGTAACAAAAAGTAGTTGGCCTTTTCAAATTTGTGAACCCAAAGATTTTTTTAAAAATTTTATTTGCTTTTTTTTTTTTTGTAGAGACAGGGTCTCGCTCTGTTGCCCAGGCCAGAGTACAGTGGCATCATCTTGGCTCACTGCAGCACTGACCTTCCAGGCTCAAGCAATCCACCTGCCTTTGCCTCCCAAAGTCTTGGGATTATAGGCGTGAGCCACTGTGCCTGGCCCAAAGGAATTTCTGTGATGGAATGTATAGTGTACTTCTGAGCTTGCCTGCTTTTTCTAGGTGCTTGGTTCCCTGTCAGTTATAGATCCGGGAGTCTTTAGAACTTCTTCTGAGCCTTTTAATCCCTCCATTCTCCAGTCTGAAGCTAGACCTCAGAATTGTCTGATTAGAGTCCTGGATCAGTCTTACCTCATGGAATTGGTTTCACTTTTTCCCTAGGCTTAGTTACTGTCTTCTTTTGTTTGAACTTGTCTTTTATACTAAACTAGTATCTAGAGTGAGACAGGGATTAGGATGAATCTCTTTTTCCAAGTGGAGTGGGTGAGACAGTTTGACCTAGGAGTTTCTTGTGGCCCTAGGTAATGTAACAGAAACTGGACTGTTGTTGTATTAAATTTTGTTAGTATTCTAAGAGATTTTTTTAACATATATTCAAGGAATACCTTGAAATTAGCCCTGTTTTTTTTTTTATTTAATACAATTTGCTTTTATAGAATTATACTTTGAAAGTTGGTATTCAAGTAAGATTCTGATTGTTCTCATGTCATCTTTCATGACATGAGTAAACCTTTTGAAACATGCTGAAGGCCTAGTGATAGGACATTGGGCAAATTACAGACTATATAGGTATTGAAATACTATATAACCATTAAAGCTGGGCATGGTGGCTCACGCCTGTAATCCCAGCACTTTGTGAGGCCAAGGCGGGCGGATCACGAGGTCAGGAGATCAAGACCATCCTGGCTAACACGGTGAAACCCTATCTGTACTAAAAATACAAAAAATTAGCCAGGTGTGGTGGCGGGCGCCTGTAACCCCAGCTACTTGGGAGGCTGAGGCAGGAGAATGGCGTGAACCCGGGAGGCAGAGCTTGCAGTGAGCCGAGATCGTGCCACTGCACTCCAGCCTGGGTGACAAAGCGAGACTCCATCTCAAAAAAAAAAAAAAAAAAAAGAAAGAAATACTATATAACCATTAAAAATGTTGCGGAAACATTTACTGATATAAAAAAGTGCACATTTTCTCCGTGGAAGTCAGTTAAAAGTAGCATGTATATTCAAATTTTATTTAAAAAATACATTAGGAAAAAGTGCTTGGTGCTTGGTTATGCAACAGTGTTCATGTGGTTACTGGTTGCTGGTGAGATTAGGTCATTTGATTTTTTTCTGTAGTAAGTGATATTTTGTTTAATCACTTTATTTATTTGTTTATTTAGAGACGGAGTCTCACTCTGTTGCCCAGCCTGGAGTGCAGTGGTATGATTCTGACTCACTGCAACCTCTGCCTCCTGAGTTTAAGCGATTCTTCTGCCTCAGCCTCCCGAGTAGCTGGGATTACAGGCATGTGCCACCATGCCCAGCTAATTTTGTATTTTTAGTAGAAACGGGGTTTCACCATGTTAGCCAGGCTGATCTCGAACTCCCGACCTCAGGTGGTCCACCCGCCTCGGCCTCCCAAAGTGCTGGGATTACAGGCCTGAGCCACCGCACCCGGCCAGTTATTTTTATAATTAGCAAAGTAAAGCTACTTCTATTTTGGAAAGTGAAATCAAGTTAAAATTTGATTCTCTGTGAGCTCTTCATTCAGCAAAGATTAAATTACATTATTTTAAGAGAGTGAAGAGGAATTTGAAATGCGTTTAGATTTTCCACAGGAATCAAGGGAGTTGTTGTTAACTGTTAGTTGAGTAGAAAACTAAACTCATTAAGCATTGTTTTCCCCATAGTGTCAGTATAGTGCTGATCTCACATTGTGATGAATTAGGTTCCCTCAAATTTTTCATGACGCCATGAAAAATGGTTTAAAGTACTTGAATATAGGCATCTTTTTTTAAAGCCTTATTTTAAATGACATGGCATATTATTGCAACATTTTTTATGATGCTTGCTTCATTGTTATTTTTGTTAAGAGTTTCCATTTTAAAAGTCCTTTGCCATCTTGTCCTTGCCGTCCTGGCTTTCATCTGGGACTGCAGCAGGGCTGAGCCAAAAATGGCTGCTGCTGCAGCAGGGGCGGGCATAGTATAGGACTTGGCTGCTGTGGTTCCTGTGAAGAAGCAGGAGGGGAAGCTTGGGGAGAATGTCCTGGCTCAGGATTCTCTTAATGGTTGTGGCCACAAGAATTGGGCTTTTCTTGTGGAAGAATTTCCATACTGTAGATTCTGCTGTTTGGAGGGAATGACACTGAGTATTGGAATTTACAGCATTAGTGGGGGGACCCACCCATTCTCTGCAGTAGAAGAAATCTTAGCTGATGCTGTCATTCACTGAGCAGGATTGGCTATTTTCAGAAAGCAGCAAGGCTTACCTGTCTGTGTCAGTTGATGACAGATACATGTCCAGAATGATGGTGATTTCTAGCTTGGTGGGTGAACATACTTAAATGCGAATTATCTCTCAGAGATGGAGTGGGTGGCATATAGTAGAGGATTAAAAAGGTCTTCCCTTTCGTGCAGCTTGTGTGAGGAATACTGTTCCATATAAAAAATCTGCTTGGTATGTTAAGGTGAGAGATGGGGAGTGGTTTGAGTAGAGAATTAAAGTTGCTGTGTGTGCTCTTTGGACCACTCCCAAGAGGAAATACACTGCCATTTGGATGGGGTGAGTTTGTGCCTGAGTTCCTGTCCTTTCTGCCTGTGACTAGAGATAGGCATGATGTAAAAACACCAGGATCTGCTGCTTAGCAACCAGTAAAATACCGTATATCTGGATAGGCAGTAACACAGTACTTCATTCATTTCTCTTTCAGTGTGATGAAGAGAAAAGGCTTTTTTGCTTGAGAAACAGAAAAGCCCCCCTTCTCTAGAAAAGCCATATGTGATCATTATGGAAAATACAGGGAAAAAAAAAGAATAACAGTTTACTCATAACTCTAACTCATTGATGTATTTCGATAAATTTCCTTGAAGGAATTTTTTGTTTATATATGTATACATATTTTTGTACATATTTATGTACACATAGGTTGGCATATATGTGTTTATATATATACATACACATTTGCATAGCTGCAAATCATACTGTAAATGTAACTTTGTATTATTTTTCCTATTTTAACATATTGATATATTAACATTTCTTTCTTTCTTTTTTTTTTTTAGAGATAGAGTCTCTGTTGCTCAGGCTGGAGTACAATGGCATGATCATAGCTCACTGTAACCTCCAACTCCTGGGCTCAAGCTATCCTCCTGCCTCAGCTTACCCAGTTGCTGGGATTACAGGCATGAGCCACCCTACCTGGCCAGTATAGTCACATTTCAAAAAACATTCTGAAGGCATCTTTAATGGCTTTATAGTATTAGATATATGACTGTGCCACAATTTACTGAAAACACATTCCTTATTGTTGGATTTTTTTTTTCTTTTTTTGACATGAGGATCTTGCTGTGTTTCCTAGGCTGGCTTTGAACTCCTGGCTATCCTCCCACCTCAGCCTCTCGAGTTGCAGGGATTACAGACATGCACTTTTTTTTTTTTTTTTTTTTTAAATGAGACAGAGTCTCACTCTGTCGCCCAGGCTGGAGTGCAGTGGCGCGATCTCGGCTCACTGCAAGCTCCGCCTCCTGGGTTCACACCATTCTCCTGCCTTAGCCTCTCGAGTAGCTGGGACTACAGGCACCTGCCACCACAGCCAGCTGATTTTTTGCATTTTTAGTAGAGATGGGGTTTCACCGTGTTAGTCAGGATGGTCTCGATCTCCTGACCTCGTGATCCGCCTACCTTGGCCTCCCAAAGTGCTGGGATGACAGGTGTGAGCCACCGCGCCCGGCTGTTTACTCGATTTTTAAGTTAACAGTTTTGCTATTGAGAAGAATGCTGAGACCAGGCAGGGTGGCTCATGCGTGTAATAACCAGCACTTTGGGAGGCCAAGGTAGGCAGATTGTTTAGACCCGGGAGTTCAAGACCAACCTGGGCAACATAGCAAGACCTTGTCTCTGTGAAATTAGAAAAAAAATTGGTGAGGCATAATGGAGTGTGCCTGTAGCCCTAGCTACTTGGGATATTGAGATGGGAGGATTGCTTGAGCTCAGGAGTTTGAGGCTGCAGTGAATTATGATTGTGCTATTGCACATTCCAGCTTGGGTGACAGAGCAAGACTCTTCTCTTGAAAAGAAAAAAAGCCATGCTGGAAACCATCTTTGTGCATAATGCTTTTCAATATTTCAGATATTTCCTTAATAAAAGTAAAAATTACTGAGTCAACAGGTGTGAACACTAGGAAAATTGATGTATATTACCAGATATGAATTTTCACTTTACCTGCAGTGTACCCTAGTGCCTGCTACATTTTTAAATTGTTTTTATTGATATATAATACATGTACATATTTTCAGGGTCTACTCTACTTTTATCAGCATTAAATATTGCAGTCTTTCAATTTTTGTTGATTTGATAGGTGAAAATGATAGACGATTTTAGTTTGTATTTCTTTTATTACTTGTAAGGCTTATTTTTTTCTCCCTTGTTTACTAGGTTTATTTCCTGTTTTGAAAATTATTTGTTCATGTCCTAGGCTCATGTATTTTTTGAGATTTTGGTTTAGGTTCAAAACTTAGCAAAGGTTGGGTGCGGTGGCTCACACCTGTAATCCCAGCACTTTGGGAGGCTGAGGTGGGCAGATCACGAGGTCAGGAGTTCGAGACCAGCCTGGCCAACATAGGGAGACCCTGTCTCTACTAAAAATTAGCCAGGCGTGGTGGCAGGAACCTGTAATCCCAGCTACTTAGGAGGCTGAGGCAGGAGAATCGCTTGAACCCGGGAGGTGGAGGTTGCAGTGAGCCGAGATCACGCGATTGCACTCCAGCCCAGGCGACAGTGTGAGACTCTGTCTCAGAAGAAAAAAAACAAACAAAAAACAAACAAACTTAGCAAAACAGTGCATGTGTTTTATAAATAATACAAATTATATAGATTTATTTATTTATTTATTGAGATGGAGTCTTGCTCTGTCTCCAGGCTGGAGTGCAGTGGCACGATCTTGGCTCACTGCAACCTCCGCCTCCCGGGTTCAAGAGATTCTTCTGCCTCAGCCTCCTGAGTAGCTGGGATTACAGGTGTCTGCCACCATGCCTGGCTAGTTTTTTGTATTTTTAGTAGAAATGGGGTTTCAGTATGTTGGCCAGGCTGGTCTTGAACTCCTGACCTCGTGATCTGCCCGCCTCAGCCTCCCAAAGTGCTGGGGTTATAAGCGGGAGCCACTGACCCGCCCAAATCCTGAAATTTCTGAAACAACTATATCTTTAGGTAACTTACTAGCTTTTGAAGAGTTCAGGTTTGCCTTTTATTACAATTATTGCATTGATACTAGTAGTATTTTATAGACTTTCTTGTGTGAAATGAAAAGCTCCTTGTGACTATTAATTTTTCTTATTCCAGTTATTGAATTGCTATTGTCACCATATAATATGTAATTTTATTTATTTATTTATTTTTGAGATGGAGTTTTGCTCTTGTTGTCCAGGCGGGAGTGCAATGGCATGATCTTGGCTCACTGCAACCTCCACCTCCTGGGTTCAAGTGGTTCTCCTTCCTCAGCTTCCCTAGTAGCTGGGATTACAGGTGGCCACCACCATGCCCGGTTAATTTTTTTGTATTTTTTAGTAGAGACTGGCCATGTTGCTAGGCTGGTCTTGAACTCCTGACCTCAGCTGATTCACCTGCTTTGGCCTCCCAAAGTGCTGGGATTACAGGTGTGAGCCACCCCGCCCAGCCAATTTTAATATTTTTTAAATATAAAATTGCCTTTCTGATTTGTATGTCATTAGTTATTGAAATTAACTGTTAATAGCCATATGTTTGCCCTTCATTTACTGTACTTTAAAGTTTTTGAGACAGGGTCTTGCTGTATTGCCCAGGCAGGAATTCAGTGGTGTAGCCATGGCTCACCTCAGCTTTCAGCTTCAACCTCATGGGCTCAAGCGATTTTCCTGCCTCAGCCTCCCAATTAGCTAGGACTACAGGTGCACACCCCTATGCCTGGCTAATTAAAAACATTTTTTTGTAGAGACTGGGTCTCACTATGTTGCTCAGACTGGTCTGCGATTCCTGGGCTCAAGTAATCCTCCAACCTCTACTCCTCAATTTTTTTTAGTTTTGGAGACAGGGTCTTGCTGTGTTTCCCAGGCTGGAGTGTAGTGGCACAATCTTGGCTCACTACAGCCTCGAACTCCTGGGCTGAGTTGATCCTCCTGCCTCAGCTTTTTGTGTAGCTAGGACTACAGTCCTGTGCCCACCACAATCAGCTAATTAAAAAAAAAATTTAAAAATGTTTTTTGTAGAGATGAGGTCTTGCTGTGTTGCCCAGGCTGGTCTCAAACATTTGGCCTCAATGATCCTCCTGTGGTGGCCTCCCAAAGCACTGGGATTGCAGATATGAGCCACTACACCCAGCCCATTTACTGTAATTTTTAGCCTTTGAGAATTTTGTGATATTGGCTAGATTTTGCCATAGAGATTTGTAAGTAACCAAATTTTATTCCTAACATTGACTACTAGATAACTGAATGGTTTTGGTGAGACTTTACCATTCACACTTGAATATTTATGTTTTCTTTAAGGGAAATCACAATGTATATAAGTTTTTAATTTTGTTTCAAATGAATTCCATTTGATAAAACACGTAGCATAGCTAGGTGGGGTGACTCAAACCAGTAATCCCACTGAGTCAGGGGCCTGAGTGGGAGTATCCTTTGAGGCTACGTGTTTGAGACCAGCCTGGGAAACATAGTGAGAACCTGTCTCTTAAAAAAAAAAAAGGCATAAAATAAACTGGACACTTTTAAGAGGTATGTTGGTCCGGATCATTGGTTTTAGAAGATAGAGCAAAACTTGAGAGTTAAACCCTAGGGTTTTTTTTGTTTGTTTGTTTTGTTTTGTTTTTTAGCTCTGATTCTACTAGAAGTAGTCATGTCATCTTTGGCAATTCTCTTAATGTAACATTTTGGAACTTGGTTTCCTTGTCTATATGAGAGAGTTGATGATACCTTACAAGTTGTACTGAGGATTACATGAGCCCTCCATGCAAAATACTAAATACACTGATACAGATATGGTTGGTACTCAAGAAATAATGGCATAATTTTTTTTTTCTTGCTATGTTGCCCAGGCTGGTCTCTTAACTCCTGGCCTCAAGCAGTCCTCCCACCTTGGCTTCCCAAAGTGCTAGAATTACAGGCATGAGCCACCATGCCTGGCCAAGAAACAATGCTGTTATTACTCTAGCTAGCAGAAAACAAAAATCATTTTCTGGAGAATTAGACTATTTAACAAGGCACATGCTTATCAGTACGTGCGTTACCTCTTCTAGTGTTCTGCTGTGTTGATATTAGTGACCAAGATCTGCATAGTTTGAGAACCCTCTATTTCAAGGATTAGGAGGTAGAAAGCTTATGAGAAAGAAATCTGGCCTGGTAAAATGCACCTTCGTGGGCTTTTTGAAAGATGGGACTCATTCTTTGTCTTTCAGTGGTTTATTATAATCTATTAAAATTTACTTTATGACCTGAGACAAAGCCATTTTACTATTTAGGCTCAGTTTAACATTGTTAAACCTGTCTACTATTCAGAGTGTACCAAGGTGCTTTTATTTCTTAAGAGTTCTGTTGTATTTCATCCATAAAAATGATTGAAGCAGGGTCAGGAACCAGTGGCTCATGCCTGTAAGTCTAGCACTTTGGGAGGCCAAGGTGGAAGGATTGCTTGAGGCCAGGAGTTTGAGACCAGCCTAGGCAACACAGCGAGACCCCATCTCTACGAAAAAAAAAAAAAAGATGGGTGTGCTGCTGTAGTGTTAGTTTATAGTCCTAGCTGCTCAAAGAGCTGAGGTGGGAGGCTCCCTCAAGGGGATCCCTCAAGATTGAGGCTAGAATGAGTTATGATTGTGCCAGCGCACTTTAGCCTGCACAACAGTGAGACTCTGTCTCCAAAATAAATAAATAAATAGATTGAAGCAGATAACTGATAACTGTTATTGTTATGGGAGGGATGTTATCTCCCAAAGATTACCCATAGATACTTGGAATTAATTTTTGGAGCTCTATTTGGACTATCAGAGCTCTCTTAAAACATGACATTGCTTGCACCAAAAAAATAGAAGCCAAGGGGGCAAAAAACATGAAATTGCTTCATTTAGTTATTTGCTTTCTTAAAAAATATTTTGGGTCTGGCATAGTGTCTCATGCCTATGAACCTTGAGACCAGGAGTTGGAAACCAGCCAGGGCAACTTAGGGAGACCTCATTTCTTTTATAAATAAGTTTTTTCTTTTTTTGGAGACAGAGTCATGCTCTGTCACCCAGGCTGGAGTGCGGTGGCATGATCTTGACTTATGGCAGCCTCCACCTCCTGGGTTCAAGTGATTCTGGTGCCTCAGCCTCCTGCGTAGCTGGGACTACAGGCACATGCCACCACACCCAGGTAATTTAAAAAATATTTTTAGTAGAGATGGGGTTTTGCCATGTTGGCCAGCCTGGTCCCAAACTCCTGGCCTCAAGTGATTTGCCCACCTCGGCCTCCCAAAGTGTATAAATAAAAATTTTTGAAAAATATTTTGTATGTTTAATAATTTGTTCATTATAATGAAATTTATTTTGTGCTACAGAAGAAATAAATGTATCTTACTGTACATTATAGACATAACGTTAGTAAATGGAATTCCCTGTAGTTGCACACCTCCTTGGTTAACTGTTTGAAGTCTTTCTCCAGACTTTCTATGCCCATTACAGCATTTTAAATTTTAACTAAAATGTTGTATACTGTTTTATAGTATTCTTTCTTAGTTATCCTTTTATAGTTTTCTTTCTTTTCCTTTTCCCCTTTCCTTTCCTTTCCTTCTCTTTCTCCTTCTTCTCCTTCTTCCTTTCCTTTGCTCTCCTTTCTCTTTCTTTCTTTGTCTCTCTTTCTCTCTCCCCTCCCCTCCTCTCCTTTATTTTTTTCCTTTCTTTCTTGACGAATTCTCACTTTGTCGCCCAGGCTTGAGTACAGTGGCGCAATATCGGCTCACTGCAACCTCTGCCTCCCAGGTTCAAGTTATTCTCCAGCCTCAACCTCCCTAGTAGCTGGGATTACAGGCACCCACCACCACACCTAGCTAATTTTTGTATTTTTAGTAGAGACAGGGTTTCATCATGTTGGTCAGGCTGGTCTTGAACTCCTAACCTCAAGTGATCTGCCTGTCTCGGCCTCCCAGAGTGCTGGGATTACAGGCATGAGCCACCACATTTGGCCTATTTTTTCTTTTTAATGTAATTTCTTTAGTAACAGTTTTATGTTTCAGTAATAGATATCTATTTCCATTTTTTGGAAATGACTAGAATTACTTATGGATGCTGCTTAATTTATTTTTATGCAATTCTTTCTAATCTACTTGAGTTATTTCTGTTTTTCTTATATTATGAACCATGCTGCACTCAACATTTTTATACAGCTTCTTTTACTTGAATGGATATTTTTGGGGATAAATTATAGAAGCAGATCAAAATGTATGAAGGGAAGTATGTCAGAGTATGAAGTGGGTAAAAAGGTTGTGGAAATTAAGTGTTAGCTATTATGAGTTTTAAATGGTTTGGTTCCTGATTCCATTTAGATCTTTATTGTTTTTCTTCATTTTTGTTTGTATTTACTTTGTATTATTTTGCTTTGTTGCATGTATTCTAGTTAGCCACTTAAAAAAAATTTAATTTTTGGGGAGCTAGGGTCTCACTCTGTCACTTAGGCTGGAGTACGGTTGTACGATCTCAACTCACTGCAACTTCCACCATCCAGGCTCAAGCGATCCTCCTACCTCAGCCTCCTGAGTAGCTGGGACTGCAGGCACATGGTGCACCACACTGGCTAATTTTTGTATTTTTTTTTTTTGTAGAGTGGGGGTTTCATCATGTTGCCCAGGCTGGTCTCAAACTCCTGGGCTCAAGCAGTCCACCCACCGCAACCTCCCAAAATGCTGGGATTACAGGCATGAGCCATTATGCCTGACCATTAGCCACTTTTAGATTCCTAATACATGTTTTTTCCCTGAGGTGAGGTCTAACTGTGTTGCCTAGGCTGGCCTTAAATGCCTGGACTCAAGTGATCCTCCCACCTCAGCCTCCTGAGTAGCTTTATGTTTCAGTAATACATATCTATCTCCATTTTTTTGGAAATGACTGAGATTATAGGCACATGCCAGTGTGCCACGCTAAATTCTCTTTATAACAAAATTAGGGAAATATTATCTTGAATCTTTGGGTGGTACTGATTAGCATTTTGTTTTTTTTTTTGGAGACAGGGTCTTGCTCTGTTGCACAGGTTGGATGGAGCGTGGTGGCATAATCACAGCTCACTGCAGCGTCGATTTCCCAGGCTCAAGCGATTCTTCCCCTTCAACCTCTCTAGTAGCTGGGACTACAGGCCCACACTACCACGGCTGACTAAGTTATAAAAATTTTTGGTAGAGTCAGGGTCTCACTATGTTGTCCAGGCTAGTCTTGAACTCCTAGGTTCAAACGATCTTCCTGTCTTGGCTTCCCAAAGTGTTGGGATAACAGGCATGAGCCACTGTTTCTGGCCTAATTAGAAAATTTTAAAAACATTTTTCTATTCCCTGCACCATTTCTCTCCTACAGGGTTGGATCTGTTTTTTGTCTTGTTTCTTCACTTTCTTAATGTAAAATAGAAAACATACTGTAGTGTTGTAATTACTAAGTAAGCAGGATCTTGTTTTTTTTTTTTTTTTCTCTTGGTAGGAAAAAAATACAAAAGTTCTTTTGAAATAAAAATCTTTCTCACACTTTTTTTTTTTACATAGAACTACACATACACACACACACACACACACAAAGAAAAAATATTTTTCTCAAATAGAAATGGTAATGTTCAATTCAAACACACATGCTATCCCACAGCATTTCTTCTTCATTCAGTGTGTTGTAGATTCTTCTGTAACATGGCACAGAAAGAGAAACAGTTTGGTGAGTGGTTAAGAGCCCCAGTTGGAGTTGGTTGACACCTCTTCGTTTATGTAGTATGACCTTGGGCAGACTGCATTGCTGCTGTGCACTGGGGTTTTCTATTTTGAAATATGGGAATTATAATTGTTCCTAGGATTTTTTTGAGGGTTAACATTAACTTGTGAAGTTCTTAGAACAGTTGGTTCAAGATATTTAGCTGAATAAATATAAACTGTAATGTAATGATTATAATATAATTTTCTCATTTAAAAAATATATATGTTACGGATTTATCACATTCATTAAGTCATTCTCAAATTGATGTGCAGAAAACTTTATTTTAGAACACGTTATTTTTCCCTTAGATGTTTTCAAAGTGATGGTTTTTATTTTAGTAACTGGTAACAAGTCTTATTTTGCTCTTAGTTCCTTCAGTGAAGAACGTAATTGAAGCTTCAAAGTGTTTATAAAATAGGGAAGTAATTAACTGCTTTTCATTCCTAACCCTGGATATGTCTGCTTTTCTCAGGTTCTATTTTGTATAGTTTTTACAATATAGTCTTGTTTTCAAATAGTAGTCTTCACATCAGCCATTGCTGAAAACTGCTTACTTTAATTTTATCTTTTTATAACCTGCTGCATAAATAATTTTGCCAAGGCCAGGTGTGGTGGCTCACGCCTATAATCCCAGCACTTTGGGAGGCCAAGGCAGGCGGATCAAATGAGGCCAGTTCAAGACCAGTCTGGGCATATGGTGAAACCCCATCTCTAATAAAAATACAGAAATTAGCCATGCATGGTGGTGCATTCCTGTAGTCCCAGCTATTTAGGGGGCTGAGGCGGGAGGCCCACTTGAACCCAGGAGGCTGAGGTTGCTGTGAGCTGAGATCACGCTACTGCACTCCAGCCTGGGCAGTAGAGCAAGACTCTGTCTCAAAAAAGAAAAAAAAAATTTGCCCATGCTACTGGGACCTTCAATTTTAGTGAAAGGAAGAACATTTTATTGTTCCTATTCTGTTTTTTCTGTAGGTTATTGCCTTCTTTGCAATTGGAAAATCAGTTTCATGATGATTTTGTTATTGTGTTGGTTATCCACAAATGTCTAGAGAATACTGTATTTTCCTGAGAAAGACACATTATGACATACTGTTACAGAGAGAAGACAGCCTCAACCAAATCTGGAGAAGGTTTTTAAGAATGTGGGAAATGCTTGCTAACTTTTTAAATCACTGAGCAAAGTTAGTTAATATTTTCATTAGACTTGGGTGACCCAAGTAAGGAATCCTTTACATTTTTTTCTAATGGAAGAAAATACTGTCTTAATCAGGATAATTCTAGGGATGGGGTAAGGCTAGGATAGTTGTACTCAGTGCTAGCTGTTGGAATCAGTTTTGTAGTTTAAATTATATAGACCAGTGTGGGCCTGTAGTCCTAGCTACTCGGGAGGCTGAAGCAGGAGTTTGGCTTGAGGCCAGGTGTTCAGGGCTGTCTTTTGTGATGATCGTGGCTGTAAATAGCCACTGCACTCTAAGTTGGCAACATAGTGAAACCCATCTTAAAAAAAATTAAATAGATCTGAATCAGATTTTGCAGCTTTAGTTTTAGATATACCATATAGTTAAGACCCCTAGCTTAAGAGAATTAGGATGCTCAGTAGTGAGTTCATTTAGGTCTTGCATATAATATAAAGGATATTAACTTGGTTTTTGCCTTGTTATTTGCACAATACCTTTTTCGAAAGCTTTGAGTTACCAGCATGATGCTGATTGTTGGATTTAGAGCCTATTGTTTAAGTTTTTTTTGTTTTTTTCCGAGACAGGGTCTCACTCTGTCACCCAGGCTGGAGTGCAGTGGTGAGATTGTAGCTTACTGCTGCCTCAAACTCGTGGCCTCAAGCGATTCTCCTGCCTCAGCCTCCCAATGTTCTGGGATTACAGGTGTGAGCCACCACACCCAGCCTTCTTGTTAAGATTTTTGGCTTGTCATGATCCAGAAATAAGTTGATTATTTCTCAATGGATATATTCTTTTAGTTTCTTTTCTAGAGTAATAGTATAAACAGGGTTTGGCAAATGAGTAGAGGAAGATGTTTTTTCCCTTTGAAGTGGATTTGTTTTGGGACCTGATAAAGTGCAAACCAAGCATGTTGTACTTGACATCTTCTTAGAACTTGGAATATTTCATTACCAGTTATCTAATTGGTCAAAGTTAGAAACTAAGTTGGGCATGGTAGCTCATGCCTGTAATCCCAGCATTTTGGGAGGCCAAGGCAGGAGGATTGCTTGAGCCCAGGAGGTCAAGGCTGCAGTGAGCTGTGATCACACTGCTGCATTCTAGCCTGGGTGGCAGGGTGAGACTTTGTCTGAAAAAACAAAGCAAAAAAACCCAAATTAATGGGCAATGATAGTATTTAGCTATTTTTTTTCCATGAGGAAGTGATTTTTTTTCTTTATTTTTTTGAAACAGTCTTGCTCTGTTGCCTAGGCTGGAGTACAGTGGTGCAATCTCGGCTCACTGCAACCTGGGCCTCCCAGGTTCAAGCGATTCTCCTGCCTCAGCCACCTGAGTAGCTGGGATTACAGGCGTGTGCCATCATGCCTGGCTATATTTTTAGTAGAGACGGGGTTTGGCCATGTTGACCAGGCTGGCCTTGCGCTACTGACCTGAAGTGATCTACCTGCCTCAGTCTCCCAGGGTGTGGGATTATGGGTGTGAGCCACTGTGCCCCACAGGACATCTTGATATTAATTAAGATCATTCATATTTCCTTTGGTTTGGTCTGTGCTGAACCTTCTGACATGTACAACCTCCTTGGTTTGGGGAAGGAGGGCTTAGGAATTCTCTCTTTTTTGTTTGGAGTGAACTTGTGCATTTTTTACTCTGTTCCACATTTTTCTTCAGGTCACTCTTGAGGGACTTGGGTCATTGTGATTCATGTACCTATTGAGTTAATTTTCGTGACTTCTTTCTAGACAGTGAAGAGCCAGAGCTCTGACTTTTAGCTTCGGGGACTGATTCTATAAATATGGATGGACAGGTCATTTAAATGGATTGCATTAATACAGTTAATGGCGTTTCCAGGATGTTTTGAAATTTTCCCCTCTGTGTTTCTTATGCAAAGAGCTTACGTTTGATGTTGTGGTCTGACTTTGATGAACTGTGTTACCTGGGCTATTTCTAGTGTAATTCAGTGCAAAAGGAGGAGGAACAGTTTTACTCCATATCAGTTAATTCAGAAAAGTAGAGTTGTGGTTTTAATTTGTTGGGTTAATGAGTGTCATTGTCACACCATGAATGTGCCCAAGGTAGTTAGGATTCTGAGAGCGTAGGTCTTTTCTTTGTTTGCTTTTTAAAAATATTACATTTAGATTTAGTTATGGATTACTTTAGTTAATTATTTTTGAAGTTTCAATCTGGGATTCACATTTAACAATCTTTTTTTTTTTTTTTTTGAGACAGGGTCTTCTGTTGCTTAGGCTGGAGTGCAGTGGCCCATTGTAGCTCACTGCAGCCTTGACCACCAGGCTCAAGTGATCCTCCCACTTCAGCTTCCTGAGTAGCTGGGAGTACAAGTGTGTACCACCATGCCTGGCTATTATTGTTATTATTATTTTTTAATTTTGTAAAGATAAGGTCTTACTATGTTGCCCAGGCTGGTCTCAAACTCCAAGGCTCAAGTGATCCTCCTGCCTCTAACTCCCAAAGTGTTGGGATTACAGGCATGAGCCACCATGCCTAGCCAGCTATACTTTGTTGAATACTTCTGAGGTGCATTATGTATATATTTTAATTTTTTTCATAGATGATGGTGTCCAGTATATAATTTGAGACCAGGTGCAGTGTCTAATGCCTGTAATCCAACAATTTGGAGGCTGAGGCGGGATCGCTTGAAGCCAGAGTTTGAGACCAGCCTGAGCAGTGTAGTGAGACCTCGTCTCTACAAAAATTTAAAATTAATTAGCCAAGTGTGGTGGTGCACACCTGTAGCCCCAGGTAGTCATCAGGCTGAGGCAGGAGGATCACTTTAGCCCAGGAGTTCAAAGTTGCAGTGAACTATGATTGTGCCACTGCAGTCTAGCCTGAGCAACAGAGTGAGACCTAGTCTCCAAAAAAAAAAAAGGAAAAACAAACAAACAAAAGCAAAGTAATATCATATGAGCCACCCATGTAATTTTAGATTTTCTAGTAGCTACATTAAAAAGTAAAAAGGGAAAAACAGGAAAAATCAATTTTAATAATATTTGACTCAATATATAAAAATATTATTAAGACATCATATAAAAATTATTAGTGAGATACTGTATTTTACATTCTTTGTACTAAGCCTTTGCACTTCAGTGTATGTTTTACACTTACAGTAACAGCACACCTTGTCTTGCACTAGCCAGATTTCAAGACTTCAATAGCCCAGCGTTCCTGGAGGCTACCTATTGAACAGTGCAGTTCTGTAATATATTCAAGTGTAAATACTGTTTTCTGTCTGCTTTCAGAAAGAATCAGAATGAGCAGATTTGAGGTGCAAGGGAAAGGATGAAGAGGCAGAGCTATATGACAGGCAATACCTATCAGTATTGTGATGGTTCATACCATTTCCTTCCTGGGTTAGTTACTCTACTAACAAGTGTGGGTAACTTTGTCCAGGCATTTGGGCACTGTATTGTGATTTTATTATTTATCAGTTTTTCCCATTAAACCATGTAGTTAAGGCAAGGGAGTATGGTTTTTTGTTTGTTTGTTTTTGTTTTTTTTTTGATACGGAGTCTCGCTCTGCCACCCAGGCTGGAGTGCAATGGTGCGATCTCGGCTCACTGCAACCTCCGCCTCCCAGGTTAAAGCAATTCTCCTGCCTCAGCCTCCAGAGTAGCTGGGATTACAGGCATCCACCACCATGCCTGGCTAATTTTTGTGTTTTTAGTAGAGATGGGGTTTCACCATGTTGGTCAGGTTGGCCTTGAACTACTGACCTCATGATCCACCTGCCTGGGCCTCCCAAAGTGCTGGGATTACAGGCGTGAGCCACCATGCCCAGCCTGTTCTTTTTTTTTCCCTTTGGCAAGGGAGTGTGTTCTTTTTTTTTTGAGACGGAGTCTCGCTCTGTCGCCCAGGCCGGACTGCGGACTGCAGTAGCGCAATCTCGGCTCACTGCAAGCTCCGCTTCCCGGGTTCACGCCATTCTCCTGTCTCAGCCTCCCGAGTAGCTGGGACTACAGGCGCCCGCCACCGTGCCCGGCTAATTTTTTGTATTTTTAGTAGAGACGGGGTTTCACCTTGTTAGCCAGGATGGTCTCGATCTCCTGACCTCATGATCCACCCGCCTCGGCCTCCCAAAGTGCTGGGATTACAGGCGTGAGCCACCGCGCCCGGCCTGTGTTCTTTGTTTCTGCTTTCATAAGGGTCTGTCTATGCTAGTAATAAAGTAGATGCTATACTTATTATTAGAAGTCTTTCTGTTGATAACAGGGAGCTCTGGCATGATTGATTATATGTCTGGGACCCGGGTGTGTTACATTACCCATATTAGTTATACATGAATTCATTCCCAGGCTTATTCTACAAATTGGGAGTTGGAAAATGTGTACACCATCAGTAGTAAGACCACATGTGAGGACTCTAGTGTTATTAAATACTGACACATGGTCTTGTATTTTTGCATCTTTATAGGTTAGCTTTTGCCAGTAGTAATAACTAACATTTGATGAAAATATTCTGTGTGGACTATTCATTTTTTACCCCATTTAATTTTCTTTGTTTTTATTTTTAGTTTTTGAGACGGAGTTTCGCTCTTGTTGCCCAGGCTGGAGTGCAATGCCACGATCTCGGTTCATTGCAACCTCTGCCTCCCAGGTTCAAGTGATTCTCCTGCCTCAGCCTCTCCCGAGTAGCTGGCATCACAGGCATGCGCCACCACAGCCAGCTAATTTTGTATTTTTAGTAGAGACGGGATTTCACCATGTTGGCCAGGCTGGTCTCGAATTTCTGACCTCAGGTGATCCACCCGCCTTGGTCTCCCGAAGTGCTGGGATTACAGGCGTGAGCCACCATGCCTGGCCTACCCTGTTTAATTTTCACAATTCTGTTGTGACTCTGCGGGTGGTGTTGACCTCATTGTATAGATAATGAAAATGGGTTTTAAATATCTTCTGTTACAAAAGGCATTTGCATCTCATGAATGGAATTTGTGTGTAAATTTAGTGTATGTGGTGGGACGTATTTCTTTTCTTAGAATCTATAATAGTAACATGATGATGATGATGTATTACGTGAAATTTATGTTTGTGTTTTAGGCAGATGTAAAGTGGCACATCTGGTTTGAAAACCTAAAACAATTGTATTTTAAAATATTGCATATATATCTGAGATTGGTAACTGTTAGAGAATAAAACAAAAAAAAAACACTGCATAGTACTATATAAAAATACACTATAACATAGCAAAGCAATGCATTCATCAGCTGGCTTCACAAACAAAATGTAACTAAAGTCTCTTGCATGTACCCTCCTTGATCACTTGCTCCTCTCTTTCACCAGAGATAAGTGGTATCCTGAATTTGGGATTCATTAGCCCAATGTATTTCTGTTATTTTTATTTTTGTTTTTTTTGAGATGGAGTCTCACTCGGTCGTCCAGGCTGGAGTGCAGTGGTGCGATCTCAGCTCACTGCAACCTCCGCCTCCCGGGCTCAAGTGATTCTCATGAATCAGCGCCCGAGTAGCTGGGACTACAAGTGTGCACCACCATGTCTGACTAATTTTTGTAGTTTTAGTAGAGATGGGGGTTTCACCATGTTGGCTAGGCTGGTCTTAAACTCCTAACCTCATGTGATCCTCCTGCCTTGGCCCTCCAAAGTGTTGGGATTATAGGTGTGAGCCACCACACCTGGCCAGCCCAGTGTATTTCTATATTTACTATATATGTATAGCTGAGTTTTCTAGGTGTCTTTTTATTTCAGCTGAAGAAGAAATTGGAATTATTAAATCTCAATTTTGACATGTGTATATTTTTTCAGCCTGTAAGATATTTTCTGAACTTAGCTCCAACATTGTATTTCTGGAGAGTTATTAAGTCTCATTATGACTGAGATACAGGAATGTGAGGTTTGAAAGAGCTAATCTTAGTATTAATACCCAATATTTTGAGCTGTTAAGATTTTAATCTTATAAAGGGCAGGAATAAGACTGTTTAAAATTATTTTGCTCAGTGAAGTAAAATTCTAATGTGAGATTTTATTAAATAGGGTCTGCTTTACTATATTTAGGCGTAAGCATAGAAGCAGCAAGTGACATTGAAATCCATGGTGTAAATCTCCGCAGTAAGTACAGTTCAACGACTGAGAACATTGTGATGATGGTGACCTTTAAGCATCTGAATTCTGATGATACTTATTTATCTATAAATGAGAATGACAATACTTAGATTATTAGGATAATGGGGAGGACTAGGGGAGGACTAGAGTATATAAAGTGCCCGGAATCATCCTGGGTGCTGTCTTAGTGTATCAGATATATTTCAAACCTTAGTATTTGTGGCCTTTGAATTTAAACAGTTGCTGTTATTAGCTTCAATTGTTAGAGATAGTGTCAATGAGTGGAATATGTCAGCTAGAAGCTACTCCTTTTAGATTTTCCACATTCTGAAAGGTAGGACTATGTTTCCTTTTTGATAGTTGCATCTTCACTCTCCTATAGGGAGCCAGTGGGACTCCAAACCAATAGCATAGACAACAGTCATTAAGAAAGAAGGCTTAGGCTGGGCGCGGTGGCTCATGCCTGTAATCCCAGCACTTTGGGAGGCCGGGGTGGGCGGATCACGAGGTCAGGAGTTTGAGACCAGCCTGGCCAATATGGTGAAACCCTGTCTTTACTAAAAAAATACAAAAATTAGCCGGGCGTGGTGGCACACGCCTGTAGTCCCAGCTACTCCGGAGGCTGAGGCAGTAGAATTGCTGGAACCTGGGAGGCAGAGGTTGCAGTGAGCTGAGATCGTGTCATTGCACTCCAGCCTGGGTGACACAGCGAGACTCCGTCTCAAAAAAAAAAGAAAGAAGGCTTTGGAAGGCTTTGTGCTTGAACCCAGCCCTATCTGTGAAGTGTAATATTATTTAAATCTGCTACATTGTCATTTTTGTTTAATAGGATATTTTTCCATTTGAAACAAATGTAGTAAATGTTCATAATGAAAAATTTGGGGCCGGGCATGATTGCTCACACCTATAATCCCAGCACTTGGGGAGGCCGAGGTGGGTGGATCGCTTGAGCCCAGGAGTTCAAGACTAGCCTGGACAACATGGTGAAATCCCCATCTCTACTAAAAATACAAAAATTAGCTGGGCGTGGTGGTGCACACCTGTAATTTTAGATACTCGGGAGGCTGAGGCAGGAGAATCTCTTGAACCTGGGAGGCGGAAGTTGCAGTGAGCCAAGATCATGCCACTGTACTCCAGACTGGGTGACAGAGCAAGACCCTGTCTCCAAAAGATAAAATAAAAATTTTTTTAAAAAAGGAAAATTTGGAAGTTTTAAAAGCTATGAAAGCTGGGCATGGTAGCTCATGCCTGTGCTTCTAGCATTTTGGGAGGCTGAGATGAGAGGATTGCTTGAGCCCAGGAGTTTGACACCAGCCTACACAACATAGTGACACCCCATCTCTACAAAAAAATAAAAAATATGCTTGGTGTGGTGGCATATGCCTGTGGTCCTAGCTATAATACTTGGGAGGCTGAGGTGGGAGGATCAGTTGAGCCCAAGAAATCCAGGCTCTGGTGAGCACCACTGCACTCTAGCCTGGGTGACAGAGCAAGACTCTGTTTCAAAAACAAATAAAAGCTATGAAGAGACAAACCCTAATTTCACTATTCAGAAAGAACCTTTTCTTTTTTTAATTCAGCATTTTTTCCTAGGCTTATTTAATTTTCTTTTTGTTGCTTTAATTAAAGCAACAAAATGCTCCTCCAGAGCATTCCAAGCTATAGATGGACAAGCAGTATCTGAATTAACAGGGAGGATTTTTTTAGAATGGTGTTTAGAAAATGATAAATTTTTATTTGAATGTTAAGGAAAATGTTTGAATCTCTCAGTTTTTAAACCTCATTTCAAGGACAAATATCACTTTGGCTATGTTTATTGAGTTTTGAATAAAAATATCTAACAATATGTTTACTTTGATACGGAGAACATTATTTATATTAATGATATTGATCTTTCTATTGCCTTCATTTTTGAAAAATATTTTTCCTCACATAAAATTCTGTGTTGACAAGTATTTTTCTTTCTTTTTTTGATTATTAAAAAAATTTTTTTTTTGAGACAGTGTCTCACTGTTTCCCAGGCTGGAGTGCAGTAGTATGATCATGGCTTACTACAGCCTTGACCTCCTAGGCTCAGGTGATCCTCCCACCTCAGCCTCCCAAGTAGCTTGGACTACAGGCACACATGACCACACCTGGCAACGTTTTCTGTTTCTTGTAGAGATGGGTTTTGCCATGTTGGCTAGGCTAGTCTCAAACTTCTCGGCTCAAGCTATCCTCCAGCCAAAAGTGCTGGGATTACAGGTGTGAGCCACCATGCCCAGCCACACTCTTTTAAAGTAGTGCAAATGTCATTGTTTTCTGACTCGTATTGCTTCTCACAAGGTCTGCTGTAATTCTTACCTGTTTACTTAAGTATATGTAATTTTTTGTTTTCTTCTTCTTGCTGCCTTCATGCTGTTTGATTTTGATGTTTCCAGGCTTGTGTGTTTGTTGGTTTGTTTTATATTTACCTTGCTTAGGATTTCTCTAAACTTCTTGGATCTGTGGTTTGGAATTTTTTTTTTTTTTTTTCTGGAAAATTCTAGGTCATTATCTCAAGTATTTCTTTTTTTTAGTCTCTTTTTTCTTCTGTGAATCCAGTTATACATATATTATACCATTTGATACTTTCCCACATTAGTGGAACCTCTTTTTTTTTTTTCTTCCCTATGTTGTAGTTTGAGTAATTTCTGTTGATACATCTTAATGTATCTTTAAGTTCGTTGATTTTTTTTTTTTTTTTTGAGGCAGAATCTCACTCTGTTGCCCAGGCTGGAGTGTAGTGGCATGATCTTGACTCACTGCAATCTCCATCTCCTGGGTTCAAGTGATTCTTGTGACTCAGCCTCCTGAGTAGCTGGGATTACAGGCGCGCACCAGCATGCCTGGCTAGTTTTTGTATTTTTAGTAGAAATGGGGTTTTGCCATGTTGGCCAGCCTGGTCTTGAACTCCTGATCTCAGGTGATCCACCCACCTTGACCTCCCAAATCCCAAAGTGCTGGGATTATAGGTATGAGCCACCGTGCCTGGCCCAAGTTCGTTGATTCTTTCATCAATTGGGCCCAGTCTGCTGACATTGTATTTTTTATTTCTAGCATTTGCATTTAGCTTTTGAAATTATTTTCCATCTAAAAATAATTTTTCTTCCTGAAATTACCCATCTATTCATGTATGTTGTCTCCTTTTTCACTGTCCTTTAACATACTAATCATTATTACAGAGAAATCACTGTCTTCATTTTTCTAGCTTCTGTATCATCCCTGAATCTGGTTGTATTTATTGCTTTTTTCTCTTCACTAAAGGTGGTTTTTTCTATATGTGTGTCTCCTAAGTTTTGATTAAGCGTTGAACATTGTATAGAAGAACAGTAGAGACTGAGATAAGTAGCATTTATGTTTGGAAATGGGCACGCCACTTCTTCCTTCAGGCCTTTACCGTGAGATATTGGGTGCTTAGTTAAGCTAGCTAGCTCACGCCTGTAATCCCAGCATTTTGGGAGGCTGAGGCAGGTGGATCACTTGAGGTCAGGAGTTCAAGACCACCCTGGCCAACATGGCAAAACCCCATCTCAACTAAAAAAACACAAAAAAATTAGCTGAGTGTGGTGGTGGGCACCTTTAATCCCAACCACTCGGGAGACTGAGGCAGGAGAATTGCTTGAACCCCGGGGGCAGAGGTTGCAGTGAGCCAAGATTGCCCCACTGCACCCTAGCCTGGGCGACAGAGCGAGACTTTGTCTCAAAAAAAAAAAAAAAAAAAAAAAAAAGAGATGGGGTCTCCTGTGTTGCCCAGTCTGGTCTTCAACTCTTGGGCTCATGTGATCCTCCCGCCTTGTCCTCCCAAAGTGCTGGAATCACAGCCACTGCACTTGGCTCTAGCTTGGGTTTTTATTGTTGTTGTCATTACCTTTGGTGTACCACAGGCTTTAGAGTCTTAAAATGGTAGCTAATTTACCCACAGTGTAGAATACCGTTGCTTGGTACTAGGTGCTAGGATTGTGCTAGGGGCTATTATCCTGATCCACCCTCATCTCAGCCTTATGCGGACCTGGTGTATCTGGCCTCATAGATGTGGCTTTGTCAGTGTTACCTCCCCTCTTCCATGTAGCAGCCAGTTTGTCTTATATTTGTGGTAGTTCTCGGGTTGGAATTTCTCACCCCTTGCCCTTGCCAATGGTAGCAAACTTCTGCTTGATGGATCAGTGTGGGATCCTAGGCCCAAAATGGTTTCCATATTCTTCCTCACTGGAATTGGGGTGGGGGGTTGTTACTTCTTCATCCTGGCAACGGTAGATTTTGGAAATGTCCTGGGGGAGAAAAGGGTTTGCTGCTTTCTCTACAGGGACCTCTGCTTCATAGCAGAAAAGGACCTGTGGAATCTCTTCAGGCTTTGTGCCTGTTCCTAGCTGTGGAGGATCTACCTCTTGCACTCCTGTTCCATCAGATGGGACTCTCTCCAGTTTCTGTCATGAAGCCAGTCTTTCTTATGAGCAACTGTGAGAGATGTGTAAAGGTCTTGCTCATGTGGAGATTTGTAGTGAAGAACTTGCAAGTGAATGTCGTACTTACCAAGTGCATTGTGTCTGGGCATTCACTTCGGAAACTGATATGCCAGTCCACACTTAACTTTGAGGAATTTATTAAACTTTTAGCAGTTTTTTTTTTTTTGAGATAGAGTTTCGCTCTTGTTGCCCAGGCTGGAGTGCAGTGGTGCAATCTAGGCTTACCGCAACCTCTGCCTCCCAGGTTCAAGTGATTCTCTTGCCTCAGTCTCTGGAGTAGCTGGGATTACAGGCACCCGCCACCACGCCTGGCTAATTTTTTTGTATTTTTAGTAGAGATGGGGTTTCACCATGTTGGCCAGGCTGGTCTTGAACGCCTGACTTTGTGATCCACCCGCCTCGGCCTCCCAAAATTGTGGGATTACAGGCATGAGCTACCCCGCCCGGCCAGATTTTTTGTATTACAACCGACCATCTCTTTCTCTCATGGTCTGTCCTTTGGAATTCAGTTCATTTTGTTTTCTTGCAAGTTCAGCTCCCTAATGGGCTAAAGAAAAGTTACGTTTTATATTATGTGGCCTTTTCTCCTTTTAAAGTGAGTGTGATATTCTCTGCAGCTTTCTTTTTCCTAAGCAGAAACAGAAATCTAATAGTAATCTTTCAGATTAATCTGTGTCAAATTTCACTGCAAGAAACATTCAAAGTTGTAATCATTCCAAGAAGGATTACAAAAATACTTGAAATACCAGGTGAAAAAACTAGATTTAGGAAATCAA
Organism: Homo sapiens; assembly: GCF_000001405.40. Lineage (NCBI taxonomy): Eukaryota > Metazoa > Chordata > Mammalia > Primates > Hominidae > Homo > Homo sapiens. The sequence continues at coordinate 21,128,705 of NC_000001.11, read as the reverse complement.
GGCATTGAGAAAATATTAATAAGAATAGAGATTAAAAAATAACTCGAGCTAGGTAGAGCCATGAGCATTATACAGAAATGAAGGCCAAAGAACCTGGATAATTGCTGGATGTGGGTTGGAGTTATGAATCTGAGCTTCATAATGACCAAAGCAAAGTTATATAATTGACAATGTTGAAACTTTTTTTTTTGTTTTTGAGATGGAGTTTTGCTCTTGTCACCCAGGCTGGAGTGCGTGGCACGGTCTTGGCTCACTGCAACCTCCACCTCCCAGGTTCCAGCGATTCTGCTGCCTCAGCCTCCTGTGTAGCTGGGATTACAGGCACCCGCCACTACACCTGGCTAATTCTTGTATTATTTTTTAGAGACGGGGTTTCACCATGTTTGCCAGGCTGGTCTCAAACTCCTGATCTCAGGTGATCTGCCTGCCTCGGCCTCCCAAACTGCTGGGATTATAGGAGTGAGCCACCACACCCAGCCGAAACTTTTTTTTTTTTTTTGAGACGGAGTCTTGCTCTGTCGCCCAGGCTGGAGTGCAGTGGCTCGATCTTGGCTCACTGCAAGCTCCACCTCCCAGGTTCACACCATTCTCCTGCCTCAGCCTCCCGAGTAGCTGGGACTACAGGCGCCCGCCACCACGCCCGGCTAATTTTTTGTATTTTTTTTATTAGAGATGGGGTTTCACCGTGTTAGCCAGGATGGTCTCGATCTCCTGACCTCGTGATCTGCCTGCCTCAGCTTCCCAAAGTGCTGGGATTACAGGCATGAGCCACCGTGCCCTGCCCACTGAAACTTTTAATTTATTTCCATGAGTGGATTTTAACTAGGAAGAAATATTTTTTGCTTTACTGGCAGATCTAGTGGAGTGAATTGTGCAATTTATAAGACATCTATCTTTAACATAGATACTGTTTTTCTTGTGTTACATTTTAAAGTGTATTGTCTGTACTTTTCTCATATTTTGTGCTGGGGGAGCTGAGATAATTTCTTGAATATTAGTGCCTTGTAGTACAATGTAAGATGCTAGTTATAAGATAGTTGTTGTTTGAATCCCAGAGTCCTCAAAACAATCTTTTATTGCTAGGAAGCCAGAATGGCCTTATGCACAGGTAGGGTTAAGGAATGCATTCATTTGTTCCTTTATTCAACAAACATTAATTGCATGTCTGCTGCGTACCAGGTATTGCATTAAGAGCTGAGGATATAGCAATGAATAAAAACAAGTCATTTTTTCACAAAATTTATATTGTATTCAGATAGAAAGGTAGTACCCAGACATAATTGTCAGATGGTGATAAGTGCTGTGTAGAAAAAATAATGCAGGCCAGATGCGGTGGCCCATGCCTGTAATCCCAACACTTTGGGAGGCTGAGGCAGGTGGATTGCTTGAGCTCAGTATAATTTTGAGTCCTGAAAAAAAATTTAAAGGAGGCCAGGCATGGTAGATCACGCCTGTAATCCCAGCACTTTGGGGAGGATTGGTGCAGCCCATGGCTTTGAGAACAGCTTGAGCAACATAGTGAGACCCCATATTTACAGAAAATATAAAATTAGCCGGGTGTGAGGAGCTTGCCTGTAGTCCCAGCTACTGGGTGGGGTAGGGCGCTGAAGTGGGAGGATTGCTTGAGCCTGAGAGGTCGAAGCTGTGGCGAGCCATCATTTTGCCACTGCACTCTGGCCTGGCAACAAAGTGAGACCTTTTCTCAACAACAACAACAAAAACACCAACAATAAAAATTATAGAAATAAAAAAATACAGTATAATAACTCTTTATACAACATTTACATTGTATAAATAATCTAGAGATGATTTGAAGTATGCAGGGAGGATATGCATAGGTTTTATGCAAATACTAGATCATTTATATCAGGGAATTGAGCATCTTTGGATTTTAGTATCCACAGGACTCCTGGAACCAATCTCCTGTGGATACAGAGGGACAACTGTACTTCATCAATTGACCTAGATCCATCTCTATTAATGTGTTCTCTGATACTTGATGCCTTTATTTCCCTTATCTTTTTTATAATTGTTAGTTTTTTTTTTTAAAGGGTCTGATTCTGTGGTAGCCCAGGTTGGAGGAATGCAGTGGCATGGTCATAGATCACTGTAACCTGAAACTCCTGGGATCAAGGGATCCTCCCATGCCATTCTCGGGAGTAGCTGTGACTACAGGCAGGTGCTACCCTGCCTAGCTGTTTACTTTTTGTAGAGATGGCGGCTTGCTGTGTTGCCCAGGCTGATCTTGAACTACTGGCCTCAAGCAACCTACCTCGGCCTCCCAAAGTAATGGGAATGTTTCCCTCGACTTGACATGTTTGTTTAAGTCTCTTAAGCTTAAGAATCAATACTTTATATAAATTCAATGTAGTATTGTGGTTAAGAGTATGGACTCTGGCCTCAGAATACATAGGTTCAAATCTTAGTCTTGGGTAAGTTTTTGCCTTTTCTGTGCCAGCTTTTTTTTTTTTTTTAATTTTAATTTTTATATACATTCTTGAGACAGGGTCTCAATCTGTCACCCAGGTTGGAGTGTAGTGGCATGATTATGGCTCGCTGTAGCCTCGACTTCCTGGGCTCAAGCAATCCTCCTGCCTTAGCCTCCTGTGTAGCTGGGACTACAGGTATGTGCCACCACCACGCCTGCCTAATTTTTGTAATTGTTGTAGAGACACGGTTTTGCCATGTTGCCCAGGCTGGTCTCAAACTCCTGGACTCAAGTGATCCTCCCTCCTTGGCCTCCCAAAGTGCTGGGATTATAGGCGTGAGGCACTGTGCCTGTTCTGTGCCTGTTTTTTCATCCTGAAATAGGAATAAGTAATAGAACATTCCTCCTAAGTTTGTTGTAAATGAATTAATGTGCATAGAACAGGGTCTGTCATACTTAGTGCCTAATAAGAGTGTGTGTGTGTGTGTGTGTGTGTGTGTGTGTGTATATATATATAAAAAAATTATATATATTTATTTATATATATTTATTTATTTTCGATACAGAGTCTTGCTCTATTGCCCAGGCTGGAGTGCAATGGCACAATCTCGGCTCACTGCAGCCTCTGCCTCCCAGGCTCAAGCGATTCTCCTGTCTTAGCCTCCCAAGTAGCTGGGATTACAGGCACCCGCCACCATGCCTGGCTAATTTTTATATTTTTATTAGAGACAGGGTTTCACCGTGTTGGCCAGGCTGGTCTCGAACTCCTGACCTCAGGTGATCTGCCTGCCTTGGTCTCCCAAAGTGCTGAGATTATAGGCGTGAGCCACTGCTCCTGGCCTATTGCCTAATAATATTAGCTATTATTATTGTATGGAATATATAACCCTGGAACTTCTCTTTTAGGGGCTGTTGTCATTAAGAAAGTGAGGGTACTGTTTCAAATGTTTAAATAGAGTTTAAACATTGTTTCTGAGACTTCCCTATTTTCGTTTCCCAGTAACTTTATCAGAAGTTGAATATCATTTAGAATTCTCTCATCTTTTTAAAAGCTTTTCTTTATATCTCATATGCTGCATACGTAGAACCCAGATTTGGTCTTTTTTACACACTAACATTGTACTGGATACAAAGTTATTGAGAAATCAGCAGCTTTAAGTGGGTATGTAATTAAAATAAATTTCTTCCCTTCAAATTTATACCATTGTGGTAGCTGATACTGCCTGTTTACATTTTTTGGTAATGTGAGGGCTGAGTCACTTTTGATGAGGAATTGTGGAACTTATTTCTAAACCTGGATGTGTTGAAACAGTTAATTGAACTGGAGGTGATTTTAGATCTCCTTGGTATTAAAGAGGGATAATCAGCACTGTGGTAACAGAAAATTATGATGGAAATATTAATTCCCCTTTTTGATTAATAATTGAGTAAATTTTTCCTTAGTATTTGCTTTCACAAAAATGAAGTTCTTTAACTTGACTGGTTTAAAATGGTTATTCTCAATCTTCTTGAAAAAATTGTATTATTTAACTGTTTAGGTATGTACTTTGTTGGCTGACCAAAATAAATGCCATTTTTATGCTTCCTTTAAGAAGGATTGCACAGAAAAATTAAAAAACCAGCACATTGGGATACCAAACACTACTAGGTGGGATAGTTTGAGATTTCAAAATTCTGAAGAATTCTCATTTCCTCTACCTTATAGTCCCATGAAGGCTTCTGACTATTCCCAGAAGTCAGTCTGGCCGTCTTCTTGTTTATGTGTCAGTGAGTTATCCTCTTATAGAAGCAAAATAAAGCCTACCCTTTAGATTTCCATAATAAAGTATCAGCTTTGCTGGCTCTTCAAGGTGTTTGAAGCCAGTAGTGCCCATGTAAGAAGCAATCTCACATCTTTACTGCTTTACTGTTGGACAGTGGTTTGAATGTGTGCCAGATGAAGGACATTTCTTGAAAGCTTTGTACTACACCTTGAATTTTTTTTTTTTCTTTGAGACCGAGTCTCGCTCTTGTCACCCAGGCTGGAGTGCAGTAGTGCAACCTTGGCTTACTGCCTCCGCCTCCTGGGTTCAAGCACTTCTGCCTCTGCCTCCCAAGTAGCTCGGATTACAGGCGCCCACGACCACAGCTGGCTAATTTTTGTATTTTTAGTAGAGATGGGGTTTCATCATGTTGGCTAGGCTGGTCTGGAACTCCTGACCTCAGGTGATCCACCTGCCTCGGCCTCCCAAAGTGCTGGGATTACAGGCGTGAGCCACCATGCCTGGCCTACACCTTGAATTTGAGGAAGAGATACGTAATGTTTAAGATATTTGAAGAATATCTTAAACACAGTATCATGTGTTTCCAACTCCTAAATTGATCCCTAGATAGACCATCAGAAGGCTGTGTGTACCATAGCAATTCTGTCTCTTAGAAATGCCTTCCATCTAAAGCCTGCTCTTTGTCAACACTGGAATTACAGCACTGGATAAGGTTTGTGTATTTTTTATAGGACCTATGTGGCAGAATTTTACTTAATCATAATCTAGGAAGGAACTCTGCAGATAAGTTTGTTTTCTGTGGTTTAAAAAGTTATCCACTACAATTTGTCTTTTCCTGCCACTCACTTCCCTTTTTATTTTAACCTTAATGCCAGTAAATTTTAAGACAAGTTTTTGGCCCAAATGCTCTGATCTATTAATACTTTTTTTTTCTTTCTTTTTTTTTTTTTTTGAGACAGTCTTGCTGTGTTGCCCAGGCTGGAATGCAGTGGTGCAATCTTGGCCCACTGTAACCTTTGCCTCCCAGGTTCAAGCGATATCTCGTGCCTCAGCCTCCTGTGTAGCTGGGACTACAGGTGCGTGTCACCAAAGCCAGCTAATTTTTTGTATTTTTAGTAGAGACAGGGTTTTGCCGTGTTGGACAGGCTGGTATTGAACTCCTGGTCTCAAGTGATCTGCTCATCTCGGCCTCCCACAGTGCTTGGATTACAGGCTTGAGCCACCGCATCTGGCCTCTGAACTTTAGATATTGAAGGCATCGCATCTTTCTTTTTTTGATGAACTGTTTTTCCCACAGTGTTATGTCTTGTATTATTTAAGCCTACCACTGTCTCAGAGTCATTGTGGACTAGGGCAGATTAAGAAAATTGGAGATCCTTTTGTGACTAGACAGATGTCTTACAACTTTTAAATATTTTGATAATTTACCATTAAGAAAGAACGGCAATGATAATGGAAGACACAAGAGGAAAAGCCTGGCCATCAAGCTGTATAGCAGTTTTCCAGAGGCTTTTACTTTTTATTGGGATTGGATTATATTAACCTTACATTCATGTTCCAACCGTGTAATTTTGCCCTAATACATTATTTTAACTTTTCTCTAGCTTCTGTAGACATCATGATTCCTGTCTTGCTTGAATCCGAATCTGTATAGCTTGAAACAGCATTATTACTAGTATAAGTGCAATTACACATCATCCATATGTGTAATACAAACTGGCAGACTAAGACCCCAGCCGATATGTTAAATGCATTGGAAAGGAGTTTTTCACACATTTAAATTGTGTTATTTTCTTACATGAAAGTGCTCGATATTATTGGTTTGGGCTATAATAATTGAATCACAGTTGAACTTGAATTCACCCAAACTGAAAAACATCTCGTTTGACCTGTTCTGTATCAGTGTGCTAACTGCTGAAGGTATTAAAACACTAGGTGTGTGAAAGCATATTAAATAAGGATATGTTTATTTAAAAAGCATCCGGTTTAAATTTGCAACTAATTTTCCAATTTATGACATGCAAAAAAAGTAATTCTCCTTTTCTGTCACCTTGTAATTTATAAAAATCAACAGAAAAATAAGTTACATGGTTTGAATTAGTCATTTAGTTTTTTGGTTTTCCAGTATATGGGAGGATAGAAATTATTTGACTTCTTGCTTCTGTTTACATGATTTTGCTCTGAGTAATTACAGTTTATTCTTTTCGTATAAAGGAGTTTTCATATCTTGAAAATTGTCCATCTGAGGGTAAGCATGGTATGAATGTAATGCAGTAGAAATACTACATTGAGAGCTCATCTAAACTCTTTCAAATTCAAATGTGTCATTGTTTTAAGCAGAATTCTCTCTAATCCTAATGTTTATTGTTTACATATGCATGAATTCATTCCAGAGGGGGAATTAGAGGATGGTGGCTATAGGCTTTGTTGGGACTGGAGCTCATGTGACCTGGGTTCAGTCTTGGCTGTGACTCTCACCAGGTGTGCGAACCTGGGAAAACCACCTAACCTCTTTGTTGCTTAGCTTCCTAATCTGTAAAATGGGCTTAATAATAAGCCCATTACCTCATAAGGTAACCTACCTTACAGGCTGTTTTGAATCTTCAAGGTTGGAAGGCAGTGAAATGTGTATAATGGCCAGTGTATACACACGTGTTGTAGTTAAGATACATTGTAAAGGAACCTGAAGGTTTCCTCTCCCATTTTTGTAGATTGATGGATTAGTTTTTTTTTTTTTTTTGAGACGGAGTCTTGCCCTGTCACCCAGGCTGGAGTGCAATGGCATGATCTTGGCTCACTGCAACCTCCGCCTCCCAGGTTCAAGTGATTCTCCTGCCTTAGCCTCCCGAGTAGCTGGGACTACAGGTGTGCACCACCACGCCTGGCTGATTTTTGTATTTTTAGTAGAGACGGGGTTTCAGCATGTTGGCCAGGCTGGTCTTGAACTCCTGACCTCATGTGATCTGCCCGCCTTGGCCTCCCAAAGTGCTGGGATTATAGGCGTGAGCCACTGTGCCCGGCTAGGTGGTATTTTTGATAATTTAGGTCATATATTAGGTTCAATACTCAGTTCGCATATTTCTTAAAATTTAATTTGCACTCATAAATTGAGGAAATGAAATATACATGTATTTATTTTAAACTTTTGAAATTACACTACAAACTCTGCTTTTTGAGTAATTTTGTGTTTGAAATAATATAGGAAGTATTTACATTTATTATAACATATGGAAGCTCTCCTTTAATAATAATTGTGATACCATTTGTTGAATGTCTACTAATGTCTACTAGGTGCCAGGGTTGTTAAGAATACCATTTTAGACTGGGTGTGGTGGCTCACACCTGTAATCACAGCACTTTGGGAGACTCAGGAATTTGAGACCAGCCTAGGCAACATGGTGAGACACTGTCTGTATAAAATATTAAAAATTAGCTGGGCATGGTGGCTCACTCCTGTAGTCCCACCTACTTGGAGGCTGAGGTGGGAGGACTGCTTGAGCCCAGGAAGTTGAGGCTGTAGAGAGTCAGGATCATGCCACTGCATTCCAGCCTGGGTGACAGAGTGAGACCTTGTCTCAAAAACACCCCAAAAACCATTTTACAGGTTAGGAAACTAAACTTGTTGGTCTGACTTAAGTTTATGCTGCATATTCCTTAGGAAGCTAGTAAAAAGTAAAAAAGAAGGTAAAGTTCATACTCGTGCTCTTATACTGAGATGCGTATTAAGTAATGTGAGTTGAGATTCATATTCGGTGCCATAGTCTTTTTTCTTAACCCCATCAATCAATTGGGATATGCATATTTATAACTGGTATCTTGGATCTATTAGGACATATTTACTGAAGACTATATGTATTTGTATAATAGTATGTTAGATTTTTTTTTTTTTTTTTTTGAGATGGAGTCTCACTCACTCTGTTGTCCAGGCTGTAGTGATCTCGGCTCGCTGCAGCCTCTGCCTCCTGGGTTCAAGTGATTCTCCTGCCTTCTGCTCAAGTAGCTGGGATTATAGGCATGCACCACCATGCCCAACTAATTTTTCTATTTTTAGTAGAGACGAGGTTTCACCACATTAGCCAGGCTGGTCAGCCTCCCAAAGTGCTGGGATTACAGATGTGAGCCACTGCGCCTGGACATAGATTTTTATTAGTTGGTTTTTTTACATCAGGACATGGAGTGCTATTGTTAGTTTATGATTTGACCTAATTTTGCTTACAAAGGAGTGATTACTCAATTGGAACAGACTTAATGATGTGTAATTGAGAGGAAATAGAGGAAAAGAAGATGGACTGGATTGATAAATTGTTGTAAATTTATAGATTATGTAACTTGTCAAAAGTGACAGCATCATTTATCTAGTATGTATATTTTAATTTTCTCCATTGTGCGAAAATAAATGCTAGAAACGATCTTTGCAGATGGACTATTGGGCCACAGTCTTAAGAATTTGGTATATTTATATTCCGTGTTATAACTTTCACCAACAGTCTTCATCATATGTTTTCATAATTGTGAATGAGACCCATATTTTAGAAATTTTATTTTTATACCTATAGAGCTGACATTTTAGATAATTTTAGAACAATCACAATGATTAATTTTAGAAATAGTTTTTAAGAGTCGTTAAATCGATAAATGTGTATGTGTAGAAAATTTCTGGAAAGATGCTTAAGAAACTTGATAGTGGTTACTTTTGGAAGAAAAAGATTGGATGATGGAAGATACTTTCTACCTTACATCCTTGTATCCTAGTCCTTTCTCTTTTATAGCCTCCGTACTATATAAATGTTTTTCTTTAACAATAATTCAGTGATACTTAAAAAAAGTAATAGTTAATAGCACAAGCCACCTGCAGATCTATAGGTTATGGTTATATCTATAGTTTCTTTGTCCTTTTTCAAATTACATAATATTTACTTTTTGTTTGCCAAATAAAGTTAACTTATTCTTTGTGTATCTTTTTCCTTTTATTCTCACTGAAATACCATTTTCTTTCACTAGTCAGCATGATTTCCAGAAAATATGGTGGCCCTTTGGGGCTATATTATTCATTTGCAAATCATGACCCGGGAAAATTAGGTTGCAAACTGTACATGAATTTGGTATTTTATTCTCCGTAGTCATTTTATAAAGGAAATTTAGCTATGTTACCTTCAATAGGTTACTTTATTTCTCAAGTCTTTTTTTTTTCCCCTTTTATTTAGTCAGACATTCATTTCATAAGATTATCTCCCAGGGCTCTTTCAAATCTCTCATTCTATAAGCATTTCATACCCATTTCAGCTCAAAAGATGGCATTCAGTAGTTCTTAAAGTAGTGTTATAAACAAAATTTCTTAAACTAGATAGGCTTCAGAATAATCTTTAATTATTAAAATGCATTTATTTGCAATCTAATTTGTCTTACAAGCTAATTCTAATGTAGCTCTTCATAAAGTCAGCCATATACATACTTAAAATCTCAGTCATGGAGTTGGATTTTTAAAAGAAAATTTCCAGTAATGCAGATATATTAACTTCATATATATGTATTTTTAAAAGAAAATCAAAATTTCTTCTCTTTTTTTTTTTTTTTTTTTTTTTTAATAGAGCTTGGTTCTCAGTATGTTGCCTAGGCTGGAGTGTAGTGGCTATTCACAGGTATGATCCTGGTGCACCTATAGCTGGAACTATAGGCATGTGCCACTGTGCCCAGCTCTCAGCATTTCTGTTTCTTTTTTTTTTTTTTTTGAGATGTAGTCTCGCTCTGTCGCCCAGGCTGGAGTGTGGTGGCACGATCTTGCCTCACTGCAACCGCTGTCTCCCAAGTGCAAGTGATTCTCCTTCCTCAGCCTCCCAAGTAGCTGGGATTACAGGCACCCGCCACCATACCCAGCTGATTTTTGTATTTTTAGTAGAGACGGGGTTTCACCATGTTGGCTAGGCTGGTCTCAAGCTCCTGACCTTAGTGATCTGCCCGCCTCCGCCTCCCAAAGTGTTGGGTTTACAGGTGTGGACCACTGCGCCGGGCCCAACATTTCTATATCTAATCTTAATACTAGAGAATGAGCCTTTTCTTTGTTTGGAACCTGAAAGGAAATGATGCTTTATGCTACCTGTAGCTTCACAGATAATTACACAGTGGGTTATCAACCAAAGCTAATTAAACTATGACAGTTTCTTTCGTTAATTGCATTTTAGTTGGTTCAGTTATGGCAATGAGGAAAATAGTTATGATCCACACCCTGAGGGTTTACTATTTTCAAAGTGTTGTATACTGAAATACGGAGGTGTCTGGTTATGAACCTGTATTACTTGTTCATATGTGAAGTGCTTAGTGAGACAATGAACTGTTAACTTCATAGAGAACTGCATTTGGTTATGCGGCCTTTGAAAAATGAACAAAATCATGAAATTTCTTAATAACTTTTCTAATGTCTTCTCAAATAAAAGGAGTGGGATTATCTTTGCTGGAATCCAAATTGCAAGCCAAAAGACTGTGTCCTCTGTGGATTTCTCAGTGAACTAGTTTGCAGGGGCCAATGTGAGATAAAAATGCAATTCCTGGAATTTGGTTTAAGAGTAAATTGAAATGTAGTATAAGTAGGGTACATGAGTCCTTTTTTTGGCTGGTCTGTGTTGAACAAAGACCTAGTAGCTGCATGCTTGGAAAGCTTTCCTGTGTTCATGCAATCTTCGTCCTTATTGTAGCCAGGCAGCTGAGGAGATATCCCCTAAAGAGGCGAACTCCCCATCCTCCCACTTCTGCTTTTAATTTTTTTTTTTTTTTTTTTTTTTTTACTATATACTGGGACAGTGAAAGGCCTTCCATTGACCAGAATTACAAAGAGTGCTTTCATGCTCAGGGTTTAGCCATACCCAGTGTACAGGGCTTTTGTTAGGGCTTGCACTAGTCCTTTCTCTCTTACCTCCCTCAGTCTTATTATTCATACTTTGCAGCAGCAACTGTATCATTTTGAGAATTTTACTTCCTTATTTAAAAATAAATAGTTGCAAAAGAAAAATTCAGTTTTTTATAATGAACAATGCAAAGCAAAGCTTTTATTGTGTTTATTTGGATAAAGAAAATACACTGTTATAGCTGAGTGCCACACTGCAGCATTTGGTTTTGTTGAAATTACTCTTTGTCATTTAAAAAGTACAGTCAAAATAAACATTATTTTTTTGTGTGTGACCGTATCTCATCTAACTCATTGTTGGTGCTTGATACTCATTCATGAGATACAAGAATCTTTTACCAGTGCCAGGTGATTTTGAAAATATTAATGTTTTTATGTTAGATAAGATGAAAAGGAGAGTTTAGACAATTATGTGGATAATTCAAAAATGCCTTTAGCCTCAGTTCAGATTGACATATCTCCTTAAGATTAATCTTGTTAGTATTGTCTTTGTCCTTCACCTTTCTTGTATAGAAGTTAACCATTAAGGTGAAATAAAAAAGTTATTATTTAATAGATATTACATTTGGATATGTAGTCTTTATCAGATAGAGCTGGACTATATTTTACAATTTTATTTCCAATTTGCAATACCCAAGAGTTCTCTTTCATTTTTTTATGCAAGTGATTAATCTTTTAATGAAATGTTTAATGCATATGGAAAATTATAAAAATAATATAACAGATACTTGTGTGCCTGCCACCCAGCTTTGTTGTATTTGCTTTTTTTTTTTTTTTTGAGAAGGAGTCTCACTCTGTCGCCCTGGCTGGAGTGCAGTGGTGTGATCTTGGCTCACTGCAACATCCGCCTCCTGGGTTCAAGCGTTTCTCCTGCCTCAGCCTCCTGAGTAGCTGGGATTACAGGTGCACGCCACCACGCCCAGCTAATTTTTGTATTTTTAGTAGAGACAGGGTTTCCACTATGTTTGTCAGGCTGGTCTCGAACTCCTGACCCTGTGATCCGCACCCCCCTCAGCCTCCCAAAGTGCTGGGATTACAGGTGTGAGCCGCCGCGCCTGGCCTGTATTTTGATATTTTAAACGAGATTTTGGAGGATTTTGTTGATCCTAATATCCGAATCTGTGTCTTATTTATGGTTATTTTATTTTCTCATTTGTCTCAAATTTCCCTCCTAGACAAGTCATTTGTTAAGATAAACCTAGTGAGTACCCTTGATTACCCTTGATGTTACATGGTTTCTGCTGGAAAGTATCAAATAGAACTTTCAAAATTGTATTTAACAATCTCAATATTAAACAAGCTGATATACTAAATTTTTAGATACTAAAGCTTGGTTGTCACATATTCTAAGAAGGGAATATAATGTATTACACATGGTGAAAATTTATTTCAGATATGTTATATGGACTGTTGTACAAATACAGGATTGAAGTCTGAGAAATTTTCTGTTATTCTGTCATTAATTCAGCTGCTATTGAAGTATTGTACCTCATTTTGACCTTTATTATTAGACGATTGCTCTTAGAGCTCATAATAGTAGCAGTGGTTTGTTGTATGCCTACAATATACAAGGCCCTGGGTATCCTTTAAATTGTCTGGGCACAGTGGCTCACACCTGTAATCGTAGCACTTTGGGAGGCTGAGGCAAGAGGATTGGTTAAGGCCAGGAGTTCTAGACCAACCCGGGTAACAAGATGAGACTCCTGTCTCTACAAAAAATTTAAAAAAAAATTAGCTGGGCATGGTGGTCCCTACCTGTATATTCCTAGATACTTGGGAGACTGAGGCAGGAGGACCGTTTGAGCCCAGGAGTTCACGGGTGCAATAAGCTGTGATCGTGCCATTGCATCCTGCCTGGGCAACAAAGTGAGACTCTGTTTCTTTAAAAACAACAACAACAACAACAACAAATTATTCTAATAAATCGTCTCATTTAACTGTATACAGAGAGCTGTATATCAGCTCTCTGAAGTAGTACACATTTTTTTTCCCCTTCATTTTGCAGGTGAAGAAACAATCTTATACAGACACATTTCACTTTATTTCACCTCAGTCTGTTGCACTTCACAGATAACTTGTTTGTTTGTTTCCTAACAAATTTAAGGTTTGTGGCAACTGAATGAAGCAAAGCTTTTGGCATCATTTTCAACAGCATGTGCTCACTTCATGTCTCTTTATAATTCTTTTTAGTGATCTTTGATCTTACTATTGTAATTGTTTTGAGGTGCCATGCTCATGTAATAAGGAAAACCTAGTAAAAAATACTGTGTGCTGATTGCTCCACTGAAAGGCCATTCCCCTCTCTCCCCATGGACCTTGCTCTTTCCTGAGATATATTGAAATTAGGCCAATAACCCTGCAGTGTCCTCTGTGGGTCATGTGAAAGGAAGGGTTACATGTCTCACTTTACAATAGCTAGAAATGATTAAGCTTTGCAAGGAACGTGTTAGCCAAGTTGTGAATGCAAAGGAAAAGTTTTTGAAGGAAATTAAAAGGGCTGCTCCAGTGAACACATGATAAGATTATACTAAGATATTTTTTGCCCTTATTTTGTATACATTTTCGCCAACTGTGAAAATGTAAACTGTAATTGTAAATTAAAAAAAGGTTTTTTTCCGTAGAGATGGGGTCTTACCATGTTGCCCAGGTTGGTCTAGAACTCCTGGCCTTAAGTGTTCCTTTTGCCTCAGCCTCTCAAAATGCTAGGATTACAGGCATAAGCAAAGTGACTTGCACAATTGATTTGCTGCTGGCACCTTAGCACAAATCAAGGTTAGTGGTACCAAACCGAGCTAATAATAACGATTGAGTTTTTCCCCAACATGCACATTGAAAACAAACAAAATGTCAGTTTTACTTTTCACTTAATATCTTTGATGAAACAGCAAAAAAAATTTTTTTTATTAAGTGTTGGCCTTCGAATATACATCTTCTTAATATTCTGTGTGATAAAATGGGAAGTACACATAAAGCAGTTCTGTTGCATAATTGTCCAACAGTGGTCTTAATGAATAACACTTGTGTGAGTGAGTGGCAAGCCGAAATGGCTTTTTTCAAGCATCACCATTTTGAAATGATAAACTGGTTATTTATGCTTGGATATTTTCCAGATAAATTATCAAAAATAGATGACTGTGCTTGTGATTTCAAGGAAAACTGTTGCCAGTGGTAAAATTACAGCTTTCAAGGGCCGGGCACGGTGGCTCACGCCTGTAATCCCAGCACTTTGGGAGGCCGAGGCGGGTGGATCGAGAACATCCTGGCCAACATGGTGAAACCCCGTCTCTACTAAAAATACAAAGAGTAGCTGGGCATGGTGGCATGCACCTGTAGTCCCAGCTACTCGGGAGGCTGAGGCAGGAGAATGGCTTGAACCCGGGAGGCGGAGGTTTCAGTGAGGCGAGATCGCGCCACTGCACTCCAGCCTGGCAACAGAGCGAGACTCGTCTCAAGGAAAAAAAAAAAAAAGTACAGCTTTCAAGTGAAAATTAGAATTTTGGACAGTTGTATCCACCACCATGAACTTGACAACTTTCCAATACTTAATAGACTTTTCTGATGAGATCAGTAGCGATATGAACAGATAAGATTTAAAAAAATTGAGACAGGGCCTCACTGTATCACTCTGGCTGGAGTGTAGTGCTGTGATCATGGCTCATTGCAGCCTCAACCTCCTGGGCTCAGGTATTCTTGCCACTTCAACCTCCCAAGTAGCTGGGAATACAGGCATGTGCCACCACATCCAGCTAATTTTTTGTATTTTTTGAAGAGACGGGGTTTTACCATGTTGCTCAGGATAGTCTCAAACTCTTGGCTCAAGGGATCCTCCTGCCTCAGCCTCCCAAAGTACTGGGATTACAAGTCATGAGCCACTTTGCCTGGCCCAGATAAGATTTTTGATACTGTACAATGAAATGTGTCAAGGAAGACCTGTATAACAGTGCACCAGTATTTTCCAGGTGACCAATGAATGATGTTACAAAATCATGGACAGGTGAAAGATATATTTAAAATGCAGTATAGACCAGTTGATTTTACTGTAACAGCACATGGAAAGTTGATTCATTTGGTTTTAGATTAGAAATTTCACCTAAGTTTTAAAAACTATCACTCATTGAATTTTGGTGTAATTAAAAAAAAAGCCCAATATTTAGGAAAGAGTGTTAAAATACTCTTCTTTTTTCCTGGTCTAAGACCAGGTTTTTTCCACAGACTTCAAAATAACATGTAACAGATTAAATGCAGAAGCACATGTAAGAATTCATTCTTCTGTCTGAATCCATTTGATAGAATTTAAAAAAAAAATCATTCAGCCTAAGAAAGCTTATTAAAAAAAGAAAACAAGAATTCAGCTGGTCTACCATTAAACCAGACATGAAAGTGATTTGCAAAAAATGTACAGTGCTACTCTTCTCCCTGCATTAAAAAACATTACATAGCTCTTTTTTTTTTTTTTTTTTTTTTTTTTTTGAGATAGGGCCTCTATCAGCCAGGCCGGAGTACAGTGGTGCAATCATAGCTCACTGCAGCTTCGACTCCTGGGCTCAAGCCATTCTCAGCCTCCCAAAGTGCTGGGATTACAGGCATGAGCCACTGCACTCAGCCCTTTTTCTAAATATTTATATGTTTCTGATTTTTACCACTCACATTTATTTTAAAGTCTTTATAAGTTGGCTATCTTTGAGAAATGGCATTTGATTTTTCAAAACTTTTTTTGGTAGAGTTTTAAATTTGGACTTACGATACTGGATAAGTAGTGATTAGATTGTGCTGAAATTTATGGAAGAAAGTCACTTTGAGTATGCCCCTTCTACATAAGAACATAGAATGTGCTGAAAAGCTTTCTATTTGAGAATATTTTTATTATAACATGCTTTCCTTTAGGCGTTTTATTTTGAAATGAAATGCTGCTGAATGCTATAAGAAAGAAAACATCTTTGTGGGAATTGGGTATATCTAGAATGAGAAAGTAAAATATTGCCTGTAGAATTTTTATACCTCAGAAAAACCAAATAAAGTAACATTGACTTCACATGGGTATCCATCTTAAGAAATTATGTTTAGAGTTTTGATAGTTTGTAGGATTTTTTTTTCTCAGTAAGGGCATTTTAATTGAATTTAGGAAGTAAATTATAAATGATGTAAAAGTTTGTATTCTTCCTGTTAATGTTATAACCAAAAGCTAAAAGATAATGTAGTTCACTGTTTTGCTTAGTGATCAAAAATTTTATTTTGTTTATTCATTGCTGTTCACTGGAAGACCTGCTGTCTTGGGTGGCTCTGAGTGGGGTGAGATTGACTTGTAGAATGGTTTTCAACTCTTACTGGTTGTGAATTTACAAATACAGGTAGTGAGGAAAAGTTTTTCCAGTGTACTCTGATATTATTGAGAATGATGACTACAGGATGAAGGAAGAGAATTATATTTTCTGAGTGGTGGTAGCTAATATTTTATGTTACTGTTGATAACCATCAGATCATTCTTCTTTAAGGGGAAAAATAGACTTAATTAAAAAGTGTAAGTGGAGGCCTTTGGAGAAGAGTCTTGCTAATAAAGGGGGTAATGATTTTTTCCATAATTTTCCTTCATAGCTGGCATGGTGAGAACAAGTATATTTAATAAACTAGATCTTTGGCCTGTGACAATTGGGTGAATTAATTTGGCTAATGACACTAGTCATCTAGATGTAAGAAAAGCAGTTTTCTCTCTGACCCTTCTGTGAAAAATACTTTGAGCAGAGAACTGTTATTATTCTGTAGTTGATAAGCTGCTCACCTTGGGAATAGCTGTTAAATCAGAATTAACAGCTTTCATGGCAGAGAGACATTCTTTCAGGAAGTGAATAAATGCATGTAAAAGTTCACCATGCAAAGTAGCAAAAGTCAATCAGTATCTTTCAGAATTTTGTCAAATGTGTAGCAGATTGCATTCTTTTTAGTTTCTTTTTTGTATGTCATGATATGTATATATCTATCTCACATGCTCCCACGGACCTACTTTTCCTTGTAATAATATTTTATTGTAGCTTTTCTAAGCTCTAAAGAATGAAGTTAGGAGATCCGTTGGTGCTCTTAATTAGGAATCTGGGAGAGATGTCTTAAAGGCTGTGTCACCTGGATAGTCCACGGAAAGGAAAACTCATGATCTTTATGGAAGAGCTATGTATAATAATGAAATACTGCTTAGTATGTGCTAAGCCCATCATAAGCCTTATTTTGCTAATTCTTTCCAGCAATCCCACAGAGTATTGATGAGGAAACTGAAGTTTGGAGCGATCACATCATTTTCCCAAGGTAATCTAGCTGGCAAACGAATCTAGGATTCAAATTTTTGTCTTTTCCAGCTTCAAAGTCTATGCCTTCGTAGAGTGCCACTTGTTAGTACTCAGGAATGTGCAACACATTCTAAAAGCAACAGAAATTGTTCATTTTGTCCTGAAATGTATCCTGTGTTTACATTCAGTGACAGATTAAGTTTATAGCCCATGTAATTAAATTTTCATTGTCTCATTTAATAAGAGCCTGAAAGTTCCTTTTCTGTACATATTTTCCTGAAAGATAAATTATCTAAGATTAGTTCAAAGTACAGTCTTAGATGAACTACTTGTATTAGTGTTTTATGTTCTTCATAGTTTAACAGAGAAAGTCAAGTGTTTTGGCATAGATTGGATGCAGACATTAAGGAAGAAACAAAAGTGTTTATTAGTTGCAATGGTTGAATAATACAGTATTTTCAAAAAGTTACTCTGGGTCTGGGCGCAGTGGCTCACGCCTATAATCCTAGCACTTTGGGACGCTGAGGTGGGTGGATGACCTGAGGTCAGGAGTTTGAGACCAGCCTGGCCAACATGGTGAAACCCTGTCTCTACTAAAAATACAAAAAAAGGCTGGGCGTGGTGCCTCACACCTGTAATCCCAAGCACTTTGGGAGGCTGAGGTGGGTGGATCACCTGAGGTCAGGAGTTCGAGACCAGTCTGACCAATATGGTGAAACTCCATCTCTACTAAAAATACAAAAATTAGGCCAGGCGTGGTGGCTCACACCTGTAATCCTAGCACTTTGGAAGGCCGAGGTGGGCGAATTGCCTGAGCTCAGGAGTTCAAGATCAGGCTGGGTAACATGGTGAAATCCCGTCTCTACTAAAATACAAAAAATTAGCTGGGCGTGGCGATGTGCTCCTGTAATCCCAGCTACTCAGAGGCTGAGACAGGAGAATTACTTCAACCTGGGAGGTGGAGGTTGCAGTGAGCCGCGATTGCGTCACTGCACTCCAGCCTAGGCAACAGAGCGAGACTCCGTCTTAAAAAAAAAAAAAGAGAAAACGTTACTCTGAAACCTGTGCTGAATTATAGCATTTAGATGCTGAAATAAGAGCTCCCTGTAGAATGTTGGTTAGATTTGAATATGAATTTACCTGCCTTGTCATCAAATTATCCTTTTAAGAAATTAAAAAAATATAGAAGTTATCCTTATGATTGTGCACATTTATATTTCACTTTACTTTAAAGTTTCTACTTTACAATTTGTTGGCCGGGTGTGGCGGCTCATGCCTGTAATCCTAGCACTTTGGGAGGCTGAGGCAGGTGGATCACTTGAGGTCAAGAGTTTGAGACCAGCCTGGTCAACATAGCGAAACGTTTCCATCTCTACCCAAAATACAAAAATTAGCTGGGTATGGTGGCATGCACCTGTAATCCCAGCTACTTGGGTGGCTGAGGCGGGAGAATCGCTTGAACCTAGACGGGGGAGGTTGCAGTGAGCCAAGATCATACCACTGCACTGCAGCCTGGGTGTCGGAGTGAGATTCTATCCCAAAAATAAAAAATTTGTTACAGTCTCTGTTGAAATGGGCCATACACTTCATTTCAGTGTTGTGTTAGTCCTCAAAAATTAGCAATAATTCCTAGAGGAACTGCTACATTCAGATGCTTCCTCTGTTCCTTACATTAAAAATTGGGAAATACATAAATTATACTGTGGCCACCAGGAAACTCTGGAACAAATTAATGGCCCAAGTTTTTGCAATATTGTAGGAATTTATAGACTGCTAGTCTTTGTCTTATTTACTTATTTACTTTCATTTAAATATTCTTTTTCTTCTTGTTGTTGTTTCTTTTATACTTATTTTAATTTTACAGAGACAAAGTCTTGCTAGGTTGCCTGTGCTCGTCTGGAACTCCTGGGCTCAAGCGATCCTCCTGCTTCAGCCTCCCAAAGTGTTAGGATTACAGGCATGAGCCACCATGTCCAGTCCCATTTAAATATTCTATTATTTGTGTTTTTTGTAAGCTATCTCAGATCCATTGTGGAATAAAGCAAGACATAAAATAGTGGAAAAATAAACATCATGAGCAGGGCTGAAACAAAGTAAGGGTACAAAACCCTTGTAGCTTTTTCCTTGAGACAGTCTTGCTCAGTTGCCCAGGCTGGAGTGCGGTGCTGTGATCTCAGCTCACTGCAACCTCTGTCTGCCAGGTTCAAGCAATTGTTGTGCGTCAGCCTACTGAGTAGCTGGGATTACAGATGTGCACCACTATGCCCAGCTAATTTTTGTATTTTTAGTAGAGATGGGGTTTCTTCATGTTGGCCAAACTGGCCTCAAACTCTTTGCCTCATGCGATCCACCCGCCTCATCCTCCCAAAATGCTGGGATTTACAGGCATTGAGCCACCACACCTGGCCCCTTGTAGTTTTTTTTTTTTTTTTTTTTTTTGAGATGGAGTCTCACTCTGTCGCCCAGTCTGGAGTGCAGTGGCGCGATCTCAGCTCACTGCGACCTCTGTCTCCCGGGTTGAAGTGATTCTCCTGCCTCAGCCTCCTGAGTAGCTGGGATTACAGGCATGTGTCACCACACCCAGCTAATTTTTGTATTTTAGTAGAGACGGGGTTTTGCCATGTTGGCCAGACTGGTCTCGAACACCTGAGCTCAGGTAATCTGCTTGCCTTGGCCTCCCGAAGTGCTGGGATTACAGGTGTCAGCCACCACACCTGGCCTCTTGTAGTTTTAAAAGATAAAACATTAATTTCTTTAACATCTTTAAGCATTTATATTAGTCCTTATATTTAAGCCTTCATATTCAGAAAATAATGAAATGAAATACCTTACTAAACTTAATAGCGTCCTACACTGGAAGGATGTAATAGAGTAAAATTGACAACCCGTTTTATCAACATTCCCCTCCTTTCTCCATTGTCTAGTAATCTTACTAATGATGAGTGAAAAGACAATAGAAGTAGTTATACATGTTTATATATATTACATATAAATATGTACAGTAGTTTATATGTAATACAGGGAATTGATTTCTGAATAATAGGGTTGATTGTACATCTGTTTTATATACCTAGCTTATTTTAGACCTTCCTCATGGATATTACCTAAGAGATGGTTTCTTAGCAAGTGGTCAGATTTTCTTTGTTTATTCTTTCAAAGATTGTATTTTTTGTTTGTTTCTTTGAGACAGGGCCTTGCTATGTGCAGTGGTTAGAGTGCCCAGGCTGGAGTGCAGTGGTGTGATCTCAACACTGCATCCTCTGCCTCCCAGGCTTAAGCGATCCTTCCGCTTCAATCTCCTAAGTAGCTGGGACTACAGGTGTGCGCCACTGCGCCTGGCTAATTTTGTTATTATTTGTAGAGATGAGTTCTCCTTGTGTTGCCCAGGCTGGTCTTGAATTCCTGGGCTCAAGCAGTCCTCCTGCCTTGGCCTCCCAAAGTTCTGGGATCGCAGGCACAAGCCAACCTGGCCAAAAAAGAATTGTTATAACTTGTATAAGCTGGGCATGGTGGCACGTGTCTGTAGTCCCAGCTACTCGGGAGGCTGAAGCAGGAGAATTGCTTGAGTCGGGGCAGTTGAGGCTGCAGTGAGCCATGATTGTACCACTTCACTCCAGCCTGGGTGACAGCATGAGATCCTGTTTCAAACAAGAAGAAAAACAGAAATCAAATAACTTGTATGAATAGCTGTAATGCTCACACTAATAGTATCACTTGTTTCATTAATAAAACTTTATACATTGGACAGACCTATTAAGATTATAGCTAACTTGTGGAGACCCCTGCTCTGGAACCTCAGAACTCATCTCTTAGCCAATACAACTTGTGACTGTAAATGCTAAGCTATTTTTAAAAATTGGATAGTTTTCAGGTTGGGCCCGGTAGCTCATTCCTGTCATCCCAGCACTTTGGGAAGCTGAGGCGGGCAGATCACTTGAGGTCAGGAGTTTGAGACCAGCCTGGCCAACATGGCCAGTCTTTACTAAAAATACAAAAAAATTAGCTGGGCATGGTGGTACACGCCTGTAGTCCCAGTTTTTAAGGAGGCTGAGGCAGGAGAATTGCTTGAATTAAGAGGCAGAGGTTGCAGCGAGCCAAGATGGTGCCACTGCATTCCAGTCTGGGTGATAGAGTAAGACTCCATCTCAATAAGTAAATAATAAAATCAAAAATTGGATAGTTTTCTAAATAACCACTATGATAGTAACATTTATTGAGCTTTCCTATCTGCCAGACAGTGTTAGATGCTCTGAATATATTATTTCTGTTCCAGGAGAGAGTTTGCATTTTCCCATACTTTTTTTGTTTTAAATGCTGAAAGAAATTTTAGCAATATATTGTATAGAGTACAGTAGCCCACGTGGTGTAAAACTTGATTCTCTGGTTTTCTGTAGGGCTGATAGGTAAGTTGCCCTTGTCCTGATGTGTCAACAGTAGAGTGTAAAGTGTGAAGAGTATTTTGAATACAATAGTCATTTCTGTGAATGGCTACCGTAACATCTGTTGGTTTTCCTCCAACCTCAGTGGCCACTTCTCTGCAAGTTGCTTTACTAATTCCTCCTTTGTCTTATTGTCAGGTGCTTTACCTTCTTCCTTTTTTTAATTTTTTAATTTTTTTTGGCATTAAATGCTATTTTTATGTTCATTACTTTCAAATTTGTATCTTTGGATGAGAGTTCTAGCCTGAATTGCATATTCATATATTCACTTTGTGTATTTACATCTCCTCCTGGATTTTTCATAGGCATTTCAGAATTTTTATGCTCAAAATAAAACTTTTGATTTCCTTTCTACTTCTATTTCAACTTGTTCCTTTCCAGTTTTGGCGAGTAGTACTGCTGTCTGCCTAACTACTCAAGATACACTATCTGTAAACTATTCTTGGTTATTCCTTTCCTTCATGCCTCTTATGCAATAGCTATTCCCCTTGGTTTTACTATCTAAACTAGTCCTTTTCTCGCCATTCATTTCTGTTATCCTACTGTCTTCTAGGCCACTACCTTTTATTTGGACAACTGCTATAATCTCTCAGCTTTTTTTCTTTCCTCTCTTACCCTTCTCAGGTTTATTTTTTATAAAAAATGAATGGTCTTTAACAGTGCTATTATGGATCTCCTCTGTTTAAATTCTCCCATTGTCGCCTGTTAAAAGAATTCATACTGCTTACCAGGCCCTACAAGCCTCTCAGTGATGTAGCTTCTGCTTAAATTTCCAAACTCTAATTGCTACTCTCAGCATAGCTCCCTTGATCCTTTAACAAAAAAAAAAAAAAAAAGAGACAGGGTCTTGCTCTGTCACTTAGGCTGGAGTGCAGTGGCACATTCATAGCTCACTGTAACCTTGAACTCCTTGGCTCAGGCGACCCTTCTGCCTCAGCTTCCTGGGTAGCTAGGACTACAGGCACATGCGACCATGCCCAGCTAATTTTTTATTTGTATTTTTGTAGAGATGAGTTCTTGACAAGTTGCCCAGGCTGGCCTCGAACTCCTAGCCTCAACCAGTCCTCCTACATTGGCCTTCCAAAGTGCTGGGATTATAGGAGTGAGTCTCTGTGCCCAACCACTCTTATCATCCTTGATCACAGCTGTTTCCCACCTAAAACCTGTACCCCAGATGCCTACCTTCCTGGAATGTTCTTTCCCTTTCTCTTCATAGGATGGGCTTATTTGTATTACTCAGATTTCAATTCAGAAATTACTTCTACTTTATCTAGAATACTATTACCTTCCTCTCATGTCATTTAAAAAAGTTTTCTTCATACCATTTTCACTATTTTATTTTTTATGTATTTTATTTAATCTTAAAAAAACATATTTTAGGTTCAGGGGTATATATGCAGGTTTGTTTATATAGATAAATTGCATGTCATGGTGGGGGTTTGGTGTACAGATTTTTTTTTTTTCTTTTTTTTTTAAGACGGAGTTTCACTCGTTGCATAGGCTGGAGTGCAATGGCGCAATCGCGGCTCACTGCAACCTCCACCTCCCAGGTTCAAGTTATTCTCCTGCCTCAGCCACCTGAGTAGCTGGGATTACAGGCTTGCGCCACCACCTATGGCTAATTTTTGTATTTTTTGTTTTTAGTAGAAATGCGGTTTCACCACGTTGGCCAGGCTGGTCTTGAACTCCTGACCTCAGATGATCTGCCTGCCTTGGCCTCCCAAAGTGCTGGTATTACAGGCGTGAGCCAACGCACCTGACCTGTACAGATTATTTTATCACCCAGGTAATAAGCATAGTACTTGATAGGTAGTTTTTCAACCCTCACTCTCCACTCACACTTCACCCTCAAGTAGACCTTGCTGTCTATTGTTCCCTTCTTTGTGTCAATGCGTACTCAATTTTTAGCTCCCACTTGTGAGAACATGCAGTATTTGGTTTTCTGTTCCTTCATTAGTTGTCTTAGGATGACTTTCAGCTCCATCCATGTTGCTGCAAAGGACATGATCTCATTTTTTTTTTATGGGCGTGTAGTATTTCATGGTGTATATATACCACATTTTCTTTAGTCTACCATTGAAGGGCATTTAGGTTGGTTGTATGTCTTTGCTATTGTGAATAGTGCTATGACAAACATACCTGTGCATGTGTCTTTTTAGTAGAACGATTTATATTCCTTTGGGTATATACCCAATAATGGGATTGCTGGGTCAAATGGTTTAAGTTCTTTGAGAAATTGGTAAACTGCTTTTCACAATGGCTGAAGTAATTTACATTTCCACACTAGCAGTATATAAGCATTCCCTTTGCTCCGCAACATAGTCAGCCTCTGTTATTTTTTGACTTTTTAATAATGGCCATCGTGACTGGTATAAGGTAGTATCTCATTGTGGTTTTGATTTGCATTTCTCTAATGATTAGTTATGTGGAGCATTTTTTCATATGCTTGTTGGCCATGTATATGTCTTCTTTAGAAAAGTGTTTGTTCATGTTCTTTGCCCACTTTATAATTTTTCCTATTTTAATTGTCTCATTTGTTTACTGACTTTTGGTCTGTTTGCTCCCAATAGAATGTAAGTGCCACAAGTTGTTTGGTTTAGTACTTTGTAGCTACTCATAAAATATTTGTTGAGGATGGATGAATGAAGAAGGATGTTACTAGTGCTTTCAAGAAGACTTTTAAGCATTTGTCTTTCTAGTACCACTTTCCTGCTCATGATCATATCATATTACTTCTAGTTTGAGGGCCAGAAAGGGGAATTAACAGATTGAATGTCATGTAGCCGGCATTGTTCAGAGTATTTCATGTAGGGATTTAGTTAATACTCAGAGCAATTTATGGCTGTTTTTGCTATCACCATTTTATAATTGAGGAGCTAATACTTTGAGGTTAACTATGATTACACAGTTTACTAAGGGATAACGTTAGAAATGGAACCCAAGATTGTCTGACTCCAAGACCCCTGCAGCATGAAATGGTAAG
Source organism: Homo sapiens (assembly GCF_000001405.40). Taxonomy (NCBI): domain Eukaryota; kingdom Metazoa; phylum Chordata; class Mammalia; order Primates; family Hominidae; genus Homo; species Homo sapiens. The sequence goes on along the minus strand of NC_000001.11, from coordinate 21,103,919 downwards.
GAATTCTGTGGACAAACTGCTATACGAACACAGAATTTTGGTCACTTAAAAAGGGAGAGATGTTTTTTTTTGTTCTGAGACAGAGTCTTGCTCTGTTGCCCAGGTTGGAGTGCAGTGGTGTGATCTTGGCTCACTGCAACCGCTGCCTCCCAGGTTCAAGCAATTCTCGTGCCTCAGCCTCCCAAGTAGCTGGGACTACAGACACATGCCACCACACTCGGCTAATTTTTGTATTTTTTGTAGAGATGAGGTTTCACCATGTTAGCCAGACTGGTCTTGAACTACTGGCCTCAGATGATCCACCCACCTTGGCCTCCCAAAGTGCTGGGATTATAGGCATGAGCCAGTGTGCCCAGCCTGGATCTTGTTTCTTCATTAATTTTTCCTCTTTCATTCTTCCACTGCTGTAAGTTTATCCTCATAGTCACCATTTACCCATTCATCTCCAGATAAAATGAATCACACTCAATATTCTCTAGGGCATTATTTATAATTTTATTTTATTTTTACAGTTCTCTTAAAACAGGATTTGTAGAAGTTAAGTGATATGGAGTAGGGAAGATTTAGGATTCCTTTTTGGTTGCCTCCTTGCCTCCTTGCTGTGTAAATAGTGAACATTTGGTGTAGGGGACTGGGTAGATGGTAATAGTCAAGAGTATGGAAGAGGGACAGGGAAAGTGAATAGAAAGCAGTATAGGAGTAGAGTTCAGCTGACCAGATGGACTGGGTTACCAGACTGCAATTTTTCAGTCTGTTATTATAGTACATTAAATCAAACAAATCACACCAATGCTTATATTAAAAGCATTAAGGAGCTTTAGTGAGACATTGTACTATGAGGAGATCCATGTGCTTTTACAAATATTATCAATTTAAAAAATACATCCAAATATTTCCCCCTTATAGTAACTTTGTCAGAATTAAAGCATAATATAGTTGGTTTCAATATAAATTTTTAGTACTAGTAAAGGTGGTTTAATAGGAAAGAGAATTGAAATGGAATATATTTGTGATCCTGTTCCTTTTGCTATGGATGGATACGTTAATTTTTTTCTCTTGACATTTGTTATTTTAATTTTTAAGTTATTACTTGAGGTTATAGAATAAAATTAAGAATTTGCTGCCATTATTACTGAATTAACATTTCACTGGACTATTGGCATATCAGAAATTGCTTTCATTATTGATGACTATAAAGAATACCTGGAGAGGAGGAAAAATAGGAGGATGGAGTGGAAGAGATGACAAGAGTCAAGGTGGTGGGAGGGTGTCAAATAATAAAGAAATTGTTCTAATTATTAAGAACCTAATCCTGAGTTTAAGCCATATGTATACTGTGTTTCAAATAATACCATCAAATTTTTATTAATGATGATTTTAAGAATGTCTCTTTAGCATTGTCCATTTATTAACATAGCACCATAAGTGCGTCATGGATGAATTTAATTAATGTTTGGTAACTTAAGGTTTGTGTTATCAGGTGTATTATATAACCATAGCATTTATAATTTGAAGTTGGCAGTCTGGTACAAAGTGTTGGGGGAAAATTGTTTTATTAGGTAAAAATCAGGGTTTGCAATCTGTGGCCCACTGGCTGGCTACCTGTTTTTATAAATAATTTTTGTATTTTTAATGGAGACGGGGTTTCACCATGGTGGCCAGGCTGGTCTCAAACTCCTGACCTCAGGTGATCAACCCACCTTGGCCTCCCAAAGTGGTGGGATTACAGACATGAGCCACTAAGCCCAGCCAGAAATACCTCCATTTTTAAAACTATTTCCTTTTTGGTGTTTGTCTTTTTTCCTCAGATAGCTTACCATATAAAACTGCAACATTCTTTAGTTGCTTTCTAGGCCTGAGAATTCACAGCATCTTAATTGGGCTTTGGTGCATGTTTCATAAATCTTCTCAAGCTTATCCCATTTTTTAATTTGTAATTTATGATTTCATTTATAAGTTTTTTGTATATAACTTATAACTTTAACAGATGGCCGAGCTCTCAAGTGTGATGAAAAGAAAGGTTTTTTTTGTTACCAGTTATACTCTGAAGGTCTGGGTGTACTTTATTGTAGTTCCCTGCCTGTGTTGCAGAATACAAATTATTTGATTCAAGAAAGTATTTATGATACGTTCTTGGACAATATAATGATGTAATAAATATAATAATAACATAAAGGTGAAATTTGTAGCTGTTTGATCAGTTTCACTCAAAGTGGTATTGATTACATTGATTTAAAGTTGGAGGAATGTCTGTTGGAATGAGTCCCTCCCTCCCACCCTCCCTTCCTTCCTTTCTTTCTTTGTTCCTTCCTTACTCCCTCCCTCCCTCGGTTTTTTTTTGTTGTTTTTTTTTTTTTCCTGAGACCCTGTTGCCCAGGCTAGAGTGTAGTGGTGCAATCTCGGCTCACTGCAACCTCTACCTCCTGGGTTCGAGTGATTCTACCACTTCAGCCTCCTGAGTAGCTTGGAATTACTGATGCCCACCACCATGTCTGGCTAACTTTTGTATTTTTTGGTAGAGACAGAGTTTTGCCACGTTGGCCAGGCTGGTCTTGAACTCCTGACCTCAAGTGATCTGCCCACCTCAGCCTCCCAAAGTGCCGAGTTTACTGGCGTGAGCCACCGTGCTCGGCCCTATTGCATATTTTATCCTGCAGTGATTTAAATTAAGATGAAATTCTTGACCAAGCACGGTGGCTCATGCCTGTAATCCCAGCACTTTGGGAGGATGTTTTTCATTGATAGTTAACCATGATTTTTCACTTTGTGAAGTTATTTTTACCGTTAAACTTTGATCTCTTTTTTATCTGAAAATACGTCGACTTATTTCTAGGTACCGTAACTAAATCTCTCCTTAGGTATATTGACAGTCTTCATCTGATTTAGTATAAGCGTGCTTTGACTTGGGTTTATTGGCTGTGGAGAAGGATCTTTTCTTGATACTAGTGAAGAGAGAAGTTTGTCAGGAGTAGTGTCAAAAAGCAGGTTGGGTGGTTTCCATCTTGTGAAGTCATTAAGCAAGATTTGAGGAGTGTGGATGATCCTATATTGCTTTTTTCCTGTCATTGAAAAAGAACGTAGTTTGCCGCCCAAGCCCAGCTGTTTTCCTGTGTGGTGCCTGTTTTACTGTTACTGTTGCATAACAATTCTCTTTGTTTGTGTAGATTCGCAGGATAAGCCATACTACTTCTTTTTTTTTGTAAGAGATGGGATCTGCCTGGAGAGCAGCCTGGCATAATCATAGTGCATTTCAGCCTTGAACTTCATGGGCTCAAGGGATCCTTCTGCCTCAGACTCCTGAGTAGTTGGGACTATAGGCACGTGAAACTGTGCTTGGCAAGCCATACTTTTTTTAAGTCTATTGAACCGGATCATGATGATGAAACATTTTGAGTTTATGACTTCTTTCTGCAATATTCTGGATCCTGGGGTGAGAGTGGTAGAACAGATAAGATGCTTGTCTCACCATGGAGTTCTAATATTATTTTTAAATTACATGCAATAATATTTACTTTTTTTGGTAACAGCATTATTGAGATATAATTCACACACCATAAAATTCAGCCAATTAAAATGTACAAATGTACAGTTAACTGTATTAAATTATACTTAATATCCAGAGTTGTGCATCCATCACCACAGTTTTAGAATGTTTGGTTTATCTCAAAAAGAAACCCAGGATCCTTTAGCAGTCACCCTCCTTCCTCCCACCTCTCCCTTCAGCTTAGGCAACCACTAATCTACTTTCTGCCTCTATGGATTTACCTATTCTGGACATTTCATATAAGCAGAATCACATGATATACAGTCTTTGGTGATTGGCTTCTTTAACTTACCATAATGTTTTCAAGGTTTATCCGTAATGTACATGTATCACCACTTTCTTTTTATTGCCAAATAAAATTCCATTGTATTGATATGCCACAATTTGTCCATCTAACAGTTGATGGACATTTATCTCCACTTTTTTGCTATTATATATAATGCTGATGTGAACATTTGTGTACAAGTTTTACATGGACATGCTTTTTATTTTTCTGTTGAATACGTGCCTAGGAGTGAAATTACTGAACCATATGGTGACTCTATTGCTTAACCTTTTGAGGAACTGACTATTCATTTATTTTGGATATATAGTTTCTAAGTTCTGAAAAATGAATGGTTTTTGTAACCTACTGTGTAGAAGACACAGAAAACTTCCATTTACCCTGTTATATTCCTTCAATGATGTCCCTTTGTGGATAAACTCTGCCCCCAACCTCTAGGCCCTGGCAAGCACTGATCTGCTTTCCATTTCTACATTTTTGTCTTAACTAGTATATTATATAAATGGACTTACAGTCTTTTTGAGTCTAGCACTCCCTCAGGGACAGGGTCTCACTCTGTTGCCCAGGCAGGAGTGCAGTGAGTCTAGCTTCTTTTACTTAAAATAATTAGCATTTGAGATTCATTCATGTCTTTGTGTTTATTAATAGTTAATTCCTTTTAAATGCCTACTAGTATTCCATTATATGGATGTACCATAGTTTGTCTATTGGCCAGTTGAAGATATTTGACTCATTTCTAGTGTTTTTGGCCATTATGAATGAAACTGCTGCAAGCATTTGTGTTCAGGGTTTTGTGTAAATTTAAGTTGTCATTTATGTTGGGTAATACCTATGAGTGGGACTGCTGAGTCATATGGTTAGTGTATGTTTAATTTTATAAGAAACTGCCAAACTGCTTTCCAAAGTGACTATACCATTTTGCACTCTACCAACGTGTGAGATTTCCAGTTGCTCCTCATCCTTATCAGCACTCATTATTGTCATTTTTTTATGGTTTCAGTTAGTGTAACAGGTATAGTGATATCTCGTTTTGGTTTTAATTTGCATTCATTAATGATGTTTCATTAAGGAAGTAAAGAGCCTTTTGTGTCTTTATTTGTGACGTGTATATTTTCTTTGATTAGGTGTCATTCATTTAAAACTTTTCCCCATTTGAGGCTAGGCACAGTGGGTCGTGCCTATAATCCCAGCACTTTGGAAGGCTAAGGCAGGAGCATTGCTTGAACTCAGGAGTTTGGGACCAGCCTGGGCAACATAGCGAGACTTCATCTTTACAAAAAATGAAAAAATTAGCTGGGCATGGTGGCACATACCAGTTACAGGTTGAGCTGGGAAGGTTGCTTAAGCCTGGGAGATCAAGGCTGCAGTGAGCCATGATCCTGCAACTGCACTCCAGTGTGGGGCAACAGAGCAAGACCCTGTCTCTCAAAACAGCAACCACAGCAAACTTTTGCCCATTTGAAAAATATTAGGTTGTTTGTTGTCTTGTTATTGAGTGTTTAGTTTCTTTCTTCTTCTTCTTCTTCTTCTTTTTTTTTTTTTTTTTTTTTTTCGAGACAGGGCCTCGCTCTGGTTGCCCAGGCTGGAGTACTGTGGCGTGATCTCTGCTCACTGCAGTCTCCACCTCCTGAGCTCAGGTGATTCTCCCACCTCAACCTCCCAAGTTGTTGGGATTACAGGCTCTAACATGCCTGCCTAATTTTTTGTGTTTTTAGTAGAGATGCAGTTTCACCATCTTGCCCAGGCTAGTCCTGAACTCCTGGACTCAAGCAGTTCACCCACCTCAGCCTCCTAAAGTGTTGGGATTATGGGCATGACCCATTGGGCCCAGCCTAGTTTCTTCATGTATCCTAGATACAAATCCTTTATCTTATTTACGTAAGTTTTAAAAGTATTTACCACAGTCTGTATCCTGTCTCTTTGTTCTTATAACAATGTCTTTCACAGTGGAAATGTTTGTAGTTTTGATGATGTTCAGTTTATCAATTTTCTTCTTTTTAAAAAATATTTTGTAGAGACAAGGCCTTGCTTGCTATGTTGCCCAAGCTGGTCTCAAATTCCTGGACTCAAGTGATCCTCCCACCTCGTCCTCCCAAAGTGCTTTGATTACAGGCATGAGCCACTGTGCCTGGTCATATCAATTTTTTTTTTTAAATACATCATGCTTTTGATGTGTTATCTAGGAACTCTTGGCCTAATCCAAGATAACAGTTGTTTCCTCTTATTGTTTCTTCTAAAAGATTCATAGTTTTCTGTTTTACACTAGATCCACACATTTTGAATTAATTTTTGTACAAAGGGTGAGGTGTTGGTAGAGAGTGTCATTGGTTTGCATATGGTTTTTCAGTTGTTTCAGCACCATTTGTTGAAAAGACTATTTCTCCACTTAATTGCCTTTGCACCTTTGTGAAAAATCGATTCACTACATTTGTGTGGGCCTTCTTACAGGTTGAATATTCTGTTCATTGATTTGTTTTTATGTCCTTTTGCCAGTACCACACTATTTTGGTTTTCAAGTGTTAATTTTAAGGTTGGAATGTTTTGTCTAATGCCCCCTTCCTTTTGGTTTTTCAAAGTTAAAAACTTCATTTTTCCTATCATAAAAAACAGACATTTTATTTTACCTGAGGTGACATATAGCAATACCTCAAATTCATGAGTTACTCCTTTCTTCCTATCTGGATTGTGAACAACAGTTTGAGATACTGAGGTAGAGGATATGTCAAGTTGAAGATGCTGTGGATGACTGCGTGTCCTTTTTCCTAGGGATACCTACTGAAAGTGGTTGCATTGTGTACAAGTCTGATCATTAGCTGCATCATCTTAGCACACAGCACCTTTTTTCGATGAAAAGAGTCTCACTCCTTTTACTCCAGAAAGGAAATACAAAATTGGAAAGATCGTGTATCCTTGATAGAATCTGCACACTATTTGTACAGAATAGTAAAGCCAAACTTAGAAGAATCTCCTCTGACTATTCCATAGTCATGGTTCTTTTATCTATTTATTTTAAAAGTTTATTTTTTGTGGTAAAGTATACATAACACAATATTTACCATTTTAATCATTTTTCGGTGTACAGTTCTGTGGCATTAAGTAAATTCACATCATGCAGTCATAACCACCATTCATGTTCAAGATTAATCATGATTATTTTTTAACCTAAGTTCCATCACTGAAACTTCTAGCACATTAAAGTTACATTCACTTTTTGAAATTACATTTTAACAATGCTCTAGCATTTCAGGTCAATCAAGGCCTTAACATTTTTGTAAATCTTATAGTTATACCCATAAAAACTTTCAGCCAGTAGTATAACTTCCAGCAAACTTTGACTTTCGTCATATGTGAGTAGCATTCAGTTAGTCTTTAAAAGATAGCTTTTTAAAGTCTGCCAAATGTATGTAGCTCACCTATTATTATCCCCATCTATGTCCAGAGGAATTTGGCATATCAGCATGTTTTATTTTGGTTATTATCAAGGCCATTTGAGTGGTTCAGATGTAGGACCCAACTGGAATTGTTAACTTCAACTTGTTTTTGTTACTGATATTTCTTCACAGTGGGCAATTAAATTTATGGGGGACAAGTGTAATTTTGTTCAATGGATATACTGCTGTAGTGGTGAAGTCAGGGTTTTCAATGTGTCCATCACTTGAAAAACATATGTTGTACCCATTAAGTAATTTCTCATCATCCCCCTACTCCTTGTGAGTCTTTGTTTTCTGACATTCCACACTCTACCTCCATGTGTATACATTATTTAAATCTCAACAGTAAGTGAGAACATGTGATATTTGTCTTTCTGAGTTGTTTCACATAAGATCATGGCTTCCAGTTCCATCTATGTTGCTGCAAAAGAATGACCTCATTTTTTTATGGTTGAATAGTATTCCATTGTGTATATATACTACATCTTCTTTATGCAGTCATCTTCTGATGGACACTTAGGTTGATTCCATATTTTTGCTATTGTGCAAGGTGGGCATTTTTGAGGAGAGAGGCTTACTTTGTTGCCTTCTGCCTTTGCTTTGCCATATGGATTGATTGTATTTGAATCTGAATTGGGCATTAGAAAACACTGTTAAAGCATATTAGTCTGTTGTAGAACTAAAAATGTGAGGGCATTAGAAACTTCATTTGAAACTTTTGTGAGTGTATCATTCATTTTTGCATATGAATATCATTTTGTCTCACAGAAAATGTGTATGTGTATTTTTATCTTGTGTAGAAATAACAGCGTAGTCAGCAGCCATTGTTGCATAGTCTCTGGCAATATTGTTTTGTTTTTTTTTTGTTTGTATGTTTCTAAACTTACAGGATATGTTTCTGGGTAAACTTAAAAATGACTAGCAGGAAATCAATTGGCAATATGTGCTGACTTGTATCTGAGTTAATAGAAAATCAGAGCCAGAACAAGGGGTTTTCTGGCTAAGCTCTTTGAGACTAATGTTTCTGGATTTGTTAAAAATCTAATATAGGTCAGGTGTAGTGGCTCATGCCTGTAATCCCGGCACTTTGGGAGGCTGAGGCAAGAGGATTGCTTGAGCCCAGGAGTTTGAGACTAGCCTGGGCAATATAGGGAGACACCATCTCTACCAAAAAATTTAAAGATTAGCTGGGCACGATGGTACACACCTGTAGTCCCAGCTACTCTGGTGAGTGAGGTGAGATCACTTGAGCCCAGAAGGTTGAGGCTGCAGTCAGCTGTGAACCCAACACTGTACTCCAAAACAAAACAAAATCTAATATAATGGTTTCTAGTTGTGTACGTTCCAGAGATACTAATTGCAAAGATTCAATGATAAAGAATAGTATAGTCTTGCAATTCTAAAATTCCAAGAGCTTGGAAAACTTATTCTTTTTCTTGCATTGGTAAATTTCTGGACAGAAGGGTAGAAGTTTGAATATTCATATATTTTGCTGTAGAGATATTAATGTGTTTGATTAAGGGTGCTGCCTAGATTCTGCTAGGCGTGTTAAGTAATATACATAACCACTGTATTTGCTTTCCAATAGGGTTTTTGGACCTGAATTAACAGCCAGCATTAAATTGAGTTGAAACAGAGTTTAAAATTGGTTAGTTTTATTTCCCTAGATCTCAATGGTAAAAGGTAAGGAGAGCAAAGGAAGAATTGCCCAGGTGAATATTTGGGCTCGAGGGATCCTGTCATCACAGCTTTCTTAGTGGCTGGAACTACAGGTATGCACCACTGTGCCAGGCTCTTTTTTAAAATAGGTTATTTTTTCTTTTGTAGGGGCTATTTACAAAAAGAAATCCTGGCTTTTATTATTATTATTATTATTATTATTATTATTATTATTATACTTTAAGTTCTAGGGTACATGTGCACAACGTGCAGGTTTGTTACATATGTATACATGTGCCATGTTGGTGTGCTGCACCCATTAACTCGTCGTTTACATTAGGTATATCTCCTAATGCTGTCCCTCCCCCCTCCCCCCACCTCACGACAGGCCCCGGTGTGTGATGTTCCCTTTCCTGTGTCGAAGTGTTCTCATTGTTCAGTTCCCACCTATGAGTGAGAACATGTGGTGTTTGGTTTTCTGTCTTTGCGATAGTTTCCTGAGAATGATGGTTTCCGTCTTCATCCATGTCCCTACAAAGGACATGAACTCATCCTTTTTTATGGCTGCATAGTATTCCATGGTGTATATTATGTGCCACATATTCTTAATCCAGTCTATCATTGATGGGCATTTGGGTTGGTTCCAAGTCTTTGCTGTTGTGAATTGTGCCGCAATAAACGTATGTGTGCATGTGTCTTTATAGCAGCATGATTTATAATCCTTTGGGTATATGCCCAGTAATGGAGTGGCTGGGTCAAATGGTATTTCTAGTTCTAGATCCTTGAGGAATCGCCACACTGTCTTCCACAATGGTTGAACTAGTTTACAGTCCCACCAACAGTGTAAAAGTGTTCCTAAGGAAATCCTGGCTTTTTTTAAAAAAAAAAAAAAATTTTTTTTATTATACTTTAAGTTTTAGGGTACATGTGCACAACGTGCAGGTTTGTTACATGTGTACATGCGCCATGTTGGTGTGCTGCACCCATTAACTCGTCATTTACATTAGGTATGTCTCCTAATGCTATCCCTCCCTCCTTCCCCCACCCCATGACAGGCCCTGGTGTGTGATGTTCCCCTTCCTGTGTCCAAGTGTTCTCACTGTTCAATTCCCACCTATGAGTGAGAACATGTGGTGTTTGGTTTTTTGTCCTTGTGATAGTTTGCTGAGAATGATGGTTTCCAGCTTCATCCATGTCCCTACAAAGGACATGAACTCATCCTTTTTTATGGCTGCATAGTATTCCATGGTGTATATTATGTGCCACATTTTCTTAATCCAGTCTGTCATTGATGGACATTTGGATTGGTTTGAAGTCTTTCCTGTTGTGAATTGTGCCACAGTAAACATACATGTGCATGTGTCTTTATAGCAGCATGATTTATAATCCTTTGGGTATATACCCAGTAATGGGATGCCTGGGTCAAATGGTATTTGTAGTTCTAGATCCTTGAGGAATCACCACACTGTCTTCCACAATGTTTGAACTAGTTTACCGTCCCACCAACAGTGTAAAAGTGTTCCTATTTCTCCACATCCTCTCCAGCACCTGTTATTTCCTGACTTTTTAATGATCGCCATTCTAACTGGTGTGAGATAATATCTCATTGTGGTTTTGATTTGCATTTCTCTGATGGCCAGTGATGATGAGCATTTTTTCATGTGTCTGTTGGCTGCAAAAATGTCTTCTTTTGAGAAGTGTCTGTTCATATCCTTTGCCCACTTTGTGATGGGGTTGTTTGTTTTTTTCTTGTAAATTTGTTTGAGTTCTTTGTAGATTCTGGATATTAGCCCTTTGTCAGATGAGTAGATTGCAAAATTTTTCTTCCATTCTGTAGGTTGCCTGTTCACTCTGATGGTAGTTTCTTTTGCTGTACAGAAGCTCTTTAGTTTAATTAGATCCCATTTGTCAATTTTGTCTTTTGTTGCCATTGCTTTTGGTGTTTTAGACGTGAAGTCCTTGCCCATGCCTGTGTCCTGAATGGTATTGCCTAGGTTTTCTTCTAGGGTTTTTATGGTTTTAGATCTAACATTTAAGTCTTTAATCCATCTTGAATTAATTTTTGTGTAAGGTGTAAGGAAGGGATCCAGTTTCAGCTTTCTACATATGGCTAGCCAGTTTTCCCAGCACCGTTTATTAAATAGGGAATCTTTTCCCCATTTCTTGTTTTTGTCAGGTTTGTCAAAGATCAGATGGTTGTAGATGTGTGGTATTATTTCTGAGGGCTCTGTTCTGTTCTGTTGGTCTATATCTCTGTTTTGGTACCAGTACCATGCTGTTTTGGTTACTATAGCCTTGTAGTATAGTTTGAAGTCAGGTAGTGTGATGCCTCCAGCTTTGTTCTTCTGGCTTAGGATTGTATTGGCAGTGCGGGCCCTTTTTTGGTTCCAGATGAACTTTAAAGTAGTTTTTTCCAATTCTGTGAAGAAAGTTATTGGTAGCCTGATGGGGATGGCAATGAATCTATAAATTACCTTGGGCAGTATGGCCATTTTCATGATATTGATTTTATGAGGCCAGCATCATCCTGATACCAAAGCCTGACAACAACAAAAAAAGAGAATTTTAGACCAATATCCCTGATGAATATTGATCCTCAATAAAATACTGGCAAACCGAATCCAGCAGCACATCAAAAAGCTTATCCACAGTGACCAAGTGGGCTTCGTCACTGGGATGCAAGGCTGGATCAACATACACAAATCAATAAATGTAATCCAGCATGTAAACAGAACCAAAGACAAAAACACATGATTATCTCAATAGATGCAGAAAAGGCCTTTGACAAAATTCAACAGCCCTTCATGCTAAAAACTCTCAATAAATTAGGTATTGATGGGACGTATCTCAAAATAATAAGAGCTATTTATGACAAACCCACAGCCAATATCATACTGAATGGGCAAAAACTGGAAGCATTCCCTTTGAAAACTGGCGCAAGACAGGGATGCCCCTCTCTCACCACTCCTATTCAACATAGTGTTGGAAGTTGGCCAGGGCAATCAGGCAGGAGAAAGAAATAAAGGGTATTCAATTAGGAAAAGAGGAAGTCAAATTGTCCCTGTTTGCAGATGACGTGATTGTATATTTAGAAAACCCCATCGTCTCAGCCCAAAATCTCCTTAAACTAATAAGCAACTTCAGCAAAGTCTCAGGATACAAAATCAATGTGCAAAAATCACAAGCATTCTTATATACCAATGACAGACAAACAGAGAGCCAAATCATGAGTAAACTCCCATTCACTATTGCTTCAAAGGGAATAAAATACCTAGGAATCCAACTTACAAGGGATATGAAGGACCTCTTCAAGGAGAACTACAAACTACTGCTCAACGAAATAAAAGAGGACACAAACAAATGGAAGAACATTCCATGCTCATAGATAGGAAGAATCAATATCGTGGAAAAAAAATTTTTTTTTAATAGAGGCAGGGTCTCTTGTGGTCTAGGCTGGAGCTGGCTTGTTTAAATTGCATTTTTTTAATTTTTGAAAAACATATTCGTGTGGTTCAGAAGTAATGTTAAAAGACTGTAGCTATGGTCAGGTGCGGTGGCTTATGCCTGTAATCCTAGCACTTTGGGAGGCCGAGGTGGGTGGATTGCCTGAGCTCAGGAGTTCGAGACCAGCCTGGGCAACATTGCAAAGCCCCATCTCTACTAAAAATACAAAAAATTAGCCGGCTGTGGTAGCGCATGTCTATAGTCCCAGCTGCTTGGGAGGCTGAGTCACAGGAGGCTGAGTCACGAGAATTGCTTGAACCTGGAAGGCAGAGGTTGCAGTGAGCTGAGATTATGCCACTGAACTCCAGCCTGGGTGACAGAGCGAGACTCTGTCTCAAAAAATAAAAAATTAAAAAAAGAAGACTATAGCTGTTTCCAAAGTAACTGTATTTTAAACAGTACATGTTTTGAGAAATCCTGTTCGGTATCTTTGTGAAATAGGGTATAGTTTAGAAATTCTGCCATTACTTTATGTATTATAGAAGTTAACTTCCTTTTTTATTTCAGAACTATGTAGAAATAAGAAGTAGAGAAAGCATAAATTGACATTGACATCTTGGCCTAAATAAGAAATAATATAGAAAAAGACCCTTTGCATTATTTTTTTATCTCCTGATATTAGTTGCCTATTTTACCTATAAATCAGTATTTATTTGATGACATTTGTATCCTTGATCTTCCTTTCAATGAGGAAATGATAACTTGAGTCTTTCACTTTAAGAATATTGCTTATGCTGAACATTAGAGCAGTAGTTTTTCTTGTAGTGGAGTGGGGCAAGGTTTAGGAACGTTCAGCTGGGAATTATAAATGGAACATTAGTGTTTTGGCAGACTGAAAGACAATTTCTGTTTATTTTCACTTCTTCTTTTCTACTTTGTGCAAATCCACCTTTTAAGGAGGTACTGACTGTAAACAACCCCAGTGCCAGACATGATTACCATTGATCAAGAAGGTTTATTTTGAAGAGAGTTCATCCTTCATGAAGTTTCATAAACATTTGTTCTTTAAAATGTATTGGTCCTCTCTTTTCTGCATAAGTAGGAAACATTCATATCAGTAATACATGTCATGTAATATCCTCATGGATTCTTGGATTTCTCTGATGAAATTTAGTCTTTGCAAGTGTATTTGCCTAGTTGGCATTTGTTGTAGCATGTATGTAGTGAGTACTTTAATAATCAGAGTCTTTAACCATCAAATTATATTTATTTCTGAAATTTGTCTTTTGTTATTATTCTACTAGAAAAAAGAAAGAGGAGAATTCGAAATTTTTTACATTTATATTTCTACTTAGAGTCTTAATTCAGTATTGCATACCATCTATGTAATCTTACTAATAGTTTTGCTTGTACTTCCTAATGATATAAATCACAGCAATTTGAAATACAGAAATATCAAGTGGATGTACTACTGTATTTCAATCATGGGTTATGAAAAATCAGCATGTTCTGGATTATTGTATGTGCATGTTACACTGCTCATTTATTGAATTAGAATTTTAAGTAGCACTATGAAAAGCTGTTTTGCCTGTATCTTGAGCTCAGAGGGAAAGAAACATCCAATGATTTATGCTTGGAGATACAGAGTTTGGTGAGAACTGGTAATAAGCACAATGGCAGGCAGAATTAGGAAGGAAGTATGTTGTAGTGTACAGAGTTTTACATGGGTCATTTCTTTGAATTCAAATTCTGTAGAAAATTTCTGGCAGTTCCTGTCTCATGCTGATTTATTTAGGCTTTTTTTTTTTTTTGGTAGAGAGGTTTGCTAATTGCAACTTGTTAAACTCCTGTGCTCAAGTGATCCTACCACCTCAGCCTCCCGGAGACTACAGGTGCTGGCAACCACACTCGGCTAATTTAGTAGAGATGAGGTCTTGCTGTGTTGCCCAGGCTTGTCTTGAACTCTTGGGGTTTAAGTGATTCTCTCAGTTTGACCTCCAAAAGTGTTGGGATTATAGGCTTGAGCCACTGTGCCCAGCCAGTTATTTTTAGTACAAAGTAAAGGTGGCAGAGTCTCATCATGGGTCTAAAGTTTGGACACTTATTGTATAGTTGTGTTTGTTTTGAGATTCCATGGAATGTTTATCATGGGAAGGCTTTTGAAGAGATTGATTTAGTCATTTTAGGACATTTGAAACATTTGGTTTTTAGTTTTAGTGGAGAAGTATATAACTCACTAATTGGGTGAAAATGCTTAGGTCGTTGGTGGAATTTTGTGGTTGCAATTTTCTCTAACTATTAAGCATCCATTTTTGAATTCTCTTATCCTTAACTCGCTCTTCTAGAATTCCTAGAGGACCTGTGCAACAACCTCTTGAGGATCGAATCTTCACTCCCGCTGTCTCAGCAGTCTACAGCACGGTGAGTGTCTGAAGGTTGTCAAATTGTGTGTGTGCTTTTGTGTGTGAATCCTTGGTATTAATTATAGGCAGTGTTTGTTTGATTGACACATGACAAATTTTTGGCAAAAAGTTCAATAAAATTCTGAATAGAATGATAGGCCCTTTCCATATCATCTTAATCTAAGAAATGGAGTGAAACAAATACTGTGTTAAGATAGAGAGACCTGTCTTATTTTTCCTTTCTGTAAATATTCACCTCTGGCCTTATTATTATTATTATTTTTATTATTTTGAGACAGAGTTTCACTGTGTCACCCAGGCTGGAGTGCAGTGGTGTGATCTTGGCTCATTG
Source organism: Homo sapiens (assembly GCF_000001405.40). Lineage (NCBI taxonomy): Eukaryota > Metazoa > Chordata > Mammalia > Primates > Hominidae > Homo > Homo sapiens. Next base: position 21,088,804 of record NC_000001.11, on the reverse strand, counting down.
CAACCTCCGCCTCCTGGGTTCAAGCAATTCTCCCTCCTCAGCCTCCTGAGTAGCTGGGACTACAGGCACGTGCCACCACACCTGGCTAATTCTTGCATTTTTAGTACAGATGGGGTTTCACCGTGGTGGCCAGGCTGGTCTCAAACTCCTGACTGCGGGTGATCCACCTGCCTTGGCCTCCCAACGTGCTGGGATTATAGGCAGCTTTGTATTCTTTTTGGACTCTTGAGTTTTATTTTCTTTCTGGATTTTTTTTCTTAAAAATTTTATCAGTTTTACATTTTCTAAACTTTAAATTTTTTAAGTTTTACTTTTTATTCTCCTTGATTACATATTTTCAAAATGCTGAAAGTTTAGAAGAGTGAACACTTTTTTTTTAAATTTTGAGATGGAGTTTTGCTCTTGTTGCCAGGCTGGAATGTAACGGTGTGATCTCAGCTCACTGCAACCTCTGCCTTCCCAGTTCAAGTGATTCTACTGCCTCAGCCTCCCAAGTAGCTGGGATTATAGGCGTGTGCCACCATGCCCTGCTAATTTTGTTCTTTTAGTAGAGACAGAGTTTCACCATGTTGGTTGGTCTCGAACTCCTGACCTCAAGTGATCCACCACCTCAGCCCCTCAAAGTGCTGGGATTACAGGCCTGAGCCACTGTGCCTGGCCATGAACACTGTTTTTAACAGAAGGAAATTTAATTTTTTTTCATTTTTAAGAGATCGGGTCTCACTCTGTCACCCAGGCAGGAGTGCAGTGGCATGATTATGGATTACTGCAGCCTTGAACTCCTGGCCTCAAGTTATCCTCCTGCCTCAGCCTCCCAAGTAACTGGGACTACAGTCACATGCTACTGTGCATGCTAATTAAAAAATTTTTTTGGCTGGGCACGGTGGCTCATGCCTGTAATCCCAGCACTTTGGGAGGCCGAGGCAGGTGGATCACGAGGTCAGGAGATCGAGACCATCCTGGCTAACACAGTGAAACCCCGTCTCTACTAAAAATAGAAAAAATTAGCCGGACATGGTGGCGGGCGCCTGTAGTCCCAGCTACTCAGGAGGCTGAGGCAGGAGAATGGCGTGAACCCAGGAGGCGGAGCTTGCAGTGAGCTGAGATCGTGCCACTGCACTCCAGCCTGGGCGACAGAGCGAGACTCCGTCTCAAAAAAAAAAAAATTTTTTTTGGTAGAGGCAAGGTTTTATGATGTTGCTCAGGTTGGTCAGACTCCCGAGCTCAAGCAGTCCTCCTGCCTCCACCTCCCAAAGTGCTGGGATTATAGACATGAGCCATTATGCCCAGCCCATTTAATTTTTTATATTAGATGATTCAAATTCATAAATGAAGGGAAAATAATTATTTTGAGGATTCTTACTTGGTTGAGCAGGCTGGTTTCAAATTCCTGGGCTCAAGTGATCCACCCACCTTGGCCTACGAAAGTGCTGGGATTACAGGCGTGAGCCACCATGCCCAGCCATATGAAAGAAAATTTAAAAGTTAGAGGATGAAGCTAATAATATTAGAAGTAAATTTTAGGTGTTTTACAGTGAACCTAAGGTAATTTAGGGGAATTAGGGAGTGAAACCTATCTTTTAAATATTTCGGTTCAACATACCATTTATTCCTGTGGATATAGATAGGATACCTTAAAAGGACTCATAGTCTACTGAGGGAGATAAGAAAATAAATAATTCTAATATAAAGTGATATGATAGAGAAGTGATTCCTATTATTTTGGGTTGTGAATCACTTTTAGAATCTGAAAATAGTTGTAATGCTCTCTCTTTCAAGAGTTACATATACATAGTGTTTACATATAATTTCAGAGTTTCCCAGATGTCCATCAGGCCATTTCTTTTTTTCTTTTTTTTTTTTTTTGAGAAGGAATCTCACTCTGTTGCCCAGGCTGGAGTGCCGTGGCTCGATCTTGGCTCACTACAACCTCTGCCTCCTGGTTCAAGTGATTCTCCTGCCTCAGCCTCCTGAGTAGCTGGGATTACAGGTGCACATCACCACACCTGGCTAATTTTTGTATTTTTAGTAAAGATGGGGTTTCACCATATTGGCCAGGCTGGTCTCGAACTCCTGACCTCAAGTGATCCGCCCACCTTGACCTTCCAATATGCTGGGATTACAGGTGTGAGACACTGCGCCCCACCTCATCAGGCCATTTCTAAGCTCCAGATTAAGAACCTTTGATTAGAGACAGGAACGTGTTAATTGCATGCGAAAGGAAGAGGTGACTTCATTGAGAAAGTGACACTTAAAGCAGAAGATGCAAGACTTCTGTAGGTAGAGAAGAGAAGGCAAAGCCTTCTAGGAAGTGAAGATCCAGAGGCGTGGTTAATGGAATGGCCAGTAGACAGTTCACTATGACATAATATGAAGTGAAATAAAGAGTATGTAGGTTGGTTGGGGGGGTTTTAAGCTGATCTTTGTATATTTGCAAATTAACCAGGCATGGTGGCATGTGCCTGTAGTCCCATGTACTTTGGAGGCTGAGGCAAGAGGATCACTTGAGGCCAGGAGTTAAAGGCTGCAGTAAGCTTTGATCAAACCTCTATGCTCCAACCTGGGTGACAGAGTGAGACCCTCAAAAAAAAAAAAAAAAAAAAAAGAGTATCATGTAGGTAATGGATATTTTTCTTGGTCTGTCTGAAGGCTCAGTAACACCTATTGTAGATCAATTAATTATTTCTGCAGCCCCATTCACTCTTAGAATTGACCCAGTTTCTGTTATAAATTATCTGGTCACCCTAATCATTAGGAACCTTCAGTTCATTGAAAAATAACATTTTGAATAACACTTTGAAAAATAACCTTTGGGCCAGGCGCGATGGCTTACTCCTGTAATCCCAGCACTTTGGGAGACCAAGGCAGACGGATCACGAGGTCAGGAGATTGAGACCATCCTGGCCAACATGGTGAAACCCCATCTCTACTAAAAATACAAAAATTAGCCGGGTGTGGTGGCGTGAACCTGTAGTCCCAGCTATTCGGGAGACTGAGGCAGGAGAATTGCTTAAATCCAGGAGGCAGAGGTTGCAGTGAGCCAAGATCGCGCCACTCCAGCCTGGCGCCAGAGTGAGACTGTCTCAAAAGAAAAGAAAAATAACCTTTGGCTGATTGTGCTGTCTCCTACCTGTAATCTCAGCACTTGGGGAGGCCAAGGCGGGAAGATTGCTTGAACCCAGTAGTTTGATACCAGCCTGTGCAACATAATGAGACCCCATCTCAACAAAAAATAAACTAGCCAGGCATGGTGGTGCGAGCCTGTAATTTTAGGTAGTTGGGAGACCGAGGCAGGAGAATCACTTGAGCCCAGGAGGTCGAGGCTGCAGTGTGATACATGATTGCGCCTCTGAATTCCAGCCTGGACAGTAGAGCAAAATCCTGTGTCTTAAGAAAAAAGAAAACTTAAAATATTTTTTTCTGGCACAACCTTTCTCTAGGTCTTAGTTTTTTATAGTTTTTTCAAAAAGTACTATGCAAAAGAACAGCATCATTGTCAGAATCCCTCTTAAAATACGATAATGTTTTCTAATTACCTAAGTATACTTTCACCATTTAATTATTATTTTTAAATTAAGATAAGTAAAAATGAAAACTTCTAGTAATCCTGAGTGATTTATGGAGGCAAATACTATAACCATTTTTGGAGTGTAGCTTGTCTTTCTTGTCTTTTTTTTAGACCCTATGCTTTATTCTGTCCCTTTATCTCGTATCAGCTTTTTGTATGCCATTCCTTAGATAACATTTCTTAAATAATAAATGGTTATATATTGTTTATTATAAAAGAATTTAATCACTCAGCATTGAATACTTAAGCTTAAGCTTTTACTGTGTGTCATGCAGTGGTCTAGGTGTTCAGGATATGGTAATGGAGCAACACAGACCCTCAGCCCTCATGGATATTACATCTTTATGGGATAAGAAGACAGCAAACAAATATATATACAGTATACTATTGGGTTTTAGTAAGTAACTTGATGAGAATAAAGCAGGATAAAGGGATAGAGAATGACTGGCCATTCTACCTTAACTAATTCTCTCAGGGAAAGTCTCTCTGAAAAGGTGGCAATTAAGCTGAAACTGAAGATTTCTAGGAAAAAAAAAACATTTGTGGTAGAAGGAACATCAGTGCAGAGGCCCAGAGATAGGAGTGAGCTCAATGTAGTCTTAGAAATGGAAGAAAGCCAGTGTGGCTGGAATGGAGGGAGGTTGGATTTGAGACATCAGATTATGTGGACTGGTATGGTTTGGCTTTGTGTCCTTACTTAAATCTCATGTCGAATTGTAATCCCCAACAAGTCAGGGGAGGGACCTGGTGGGAGGTGATTGGATCATGGGGGCAGATTTTCCCCATGCTGTTCTTGTGATAGTGAATGATTTTTCATGAGATCTGATGGTTCAAAGGTGTGGCACTTCTCCCCTTGCTCTCTCTCTCTCTCCTGCCATCATGTAAGACGTGCCTTGCTTCCTCTTCGTTTTCTACCATTATTGTAAGTTTCTTGGGGCTTCCCCAGCCACGTGGAACTGTGAGTCAGTTAAACCTCTTTTTTTTCTTTCTTTTTTTTTTTTTTTTAAATTACACAGTCTCAGGTAGTTCTATAGCAGTGTGAGAATGGACTAATACATGGACATTACAGACCATAGTAAAGATTTTGGATTTTAATCTAGATATAATAGAAAGCCAGTGGAGGATTAAGAGGAGTAGGTGTGAATTTACTTTTAAAAGGTCACTGTGGCTGCTGTATGGAGAATAGACTGTGTGATGTGGACATGTGGTGGTGATTGAAATGGGAGTAAGGAGAAGTAAAGTCAGTAGAATATGTTGATGTCTTGGATGTGGGATGTGAGAGAAAAGAGTAAAGGTGGTGTCGTAGATCTTGGTTTGGGCAACTGAGTGGTCCTATTTGTGGAGATGAATACTGAATGAGGAACGAGTATTTTGTTGAAAAAACCTGAGTTATAAAACCTCATAAATGAGGACATGTAATTCTGTAATTTTATTACTTTGGAGAATAGATCATCCAAATCCTGTGAGCAACAGCACACTGCCTGTCATGCAGTTTACAGGAAATATTTGAATCTAAGCTTTTGAATGTATTTTTTTAGTTTGATCTAATTTGATTTTTACTATTTAAAACTACTGTCATATTTGTAGTCCTTTGATCAGTTTTAAAAAATCGAGACCAGGCATGGTGGCTCAAACGTGTAATCCCAGCACTTTGGGAGGCTGAGGTGGGTGGATCACTTGAGCTCAGGAGTTTGAAACCAGTCTGGGCAACATGGTGAAACCCTGTCTCTATTAGAAAAAAAAAAAAAAGTGTGTGTGTGGCTGGGTGTGGTGGCTGACGCCTGTAATCCTAGCACTTTGGCATGCCAAGGAGGGAGGACTGCTCGAGCCCAGGAACTTGAGACCAGCCTGGGCGACAGAGTGAAACCGTTGTCTCCAAAAAAAAAATGTGTTTGTGTATATATTATGTTTTATGCCTATTCTGGAAGAAAGGTTTTTAGGCAGCTAAAAGTTACCTTAAAGTGTGATAGTCTCCACTTTTTATTTATTTATTTATTTAACAGAGTCTCACTCTGTCGTCTAGGTCAGAGAGTAGTGGCATAATTACAGCTCATCGAAGCCTTGAACTCCTGAGTTCAAGTGAACCTCCTACATCAGCTTCCTAAATAGCTGAGTAACTAGGATTACAGGCACAAGCCACCGTGCCCAGCTAATTTTTTAAACTTTTTTTTTTTTTTTTTTTTTTTTTTTTTTTTTTTTGAGACAGAGTCTCGCTGTGTCTCCCAGGTTGGAGTGCAGTGGCGAGATCTCGGCTCACTGCAAGCTCCCCCTCCCAGGTTCATGCCATTCTCCTGCCTCAGCCTCCCAAGTAGCTGGGACTACAGGCGCCCGCCAACACGCCCGGCTAATTTTTTGTATTTTTAGTAGAAACGGGGTTTCACCGTGTTAGCCAAGATGGTCTCGATCTCCTGACCTCGTGATCCGCCCGTCTCGGCCTCCCAAAGTGCTAGGATTACAGGCGTGAGCCACCGCGCCCGGCCAATTTTTTAAACTTTTTAACAGAGACAGAGCCTTGCTATGTTGCCCAGGCTGGTCTCAAACTCCTGGCTTCAATTGATCCTCTCACCTCAGCCACTCAAAGTGCTGGGATTATGGTGTGAGCTGCTGCATCCTGCCGGTTTCCCCTTTTTTGTTGTTTTTTTGTTTGTTTTGAGGTGGAACCTTGCTCTGTCACCCAGGCTGAAGTGCAGTGATGCATTCTTGGCTCACTGCAACCTCCATCTCCTGGGTTCAAGTGATTCTTCTGCCTTAGCCTCCTGAGTAGCTGGTATTACAGGCACGTGCCACCACACCTGACTGATTTTTGTATTTTTTAGTAGAGAAGGAGTTTCGCCATGTTGGCCTTGCTGGTCTTGAACTCCTGATGTCAAGTGATCCACACGCCTTGGCCTCCGAATATGCTGGGATTATGTCATGAAGTAAAAGTTAACCCTCAGTTCACCTCCTACTGCCTTAGCATATGGTGTCCATATGTCACTTTCATTGAGTTGGTTAAATTCCTTGAAAGGCTCCTGGCCAGTCTCAAAATTACACAAAGATTATGCTTTTTTGTATCTGGTATGCAGGCTTTTTACACTAATGTCCGTCATTTTACATAATAGGGATTTGCTGATAATCAAAGAAGCATTAAAAGTCAGACTTGGCCAGGCACGGTGGCTCACACTTGTCATCCTGGTACTTTGGGAGGCCAAGGTGGTGGGAAGATTGCTTGAGCTCAGGAGTTTGAGACCAGCCTGGGCAACATGGTGAGACCGTGTCTCTGTATTTTTAAAAAATTAAGAAAAAAAAGTTGGGGCTGTGCGTGGTTGGCTCACTCCTGTGATCCCAGCACTTTGAGAGGCTGAGGCGGTTAGATCACTTGAGGTCAGGAGTTCGAGACCAGCTTGGCCAACATGGCGAAACACCGCCTCTACTAAAAATACAAAAAATTAGCTGGGTATGGTGGCGTGAGCCAGTAATCCCAGCTACTTGGGAGGCTGAGACATGAGAATTGCTTGAACCCGGGAGTCAGGGGTTGCAGTGAACCGAGATGCACCACTGCACTCCAGCTTGGGCAATAGAGCAAGGCTCTGTTTCAAAAAAAAAAAAAAAAAAAAAAAATTGGACTCATCTTCTGGAATGTGTTCATGTTACATTTAGTCTAGTTATTTTGTATTTGTTTATTTTAACCTGGTTTTTGTAAGTTTGCCCTGGGAACATTTATCAGATATGAGAGAGAAGCTTATGTCATTATTCCTTATTAGCCATAATTGAGTGATTGATCATATGAACAAAAAAAGAATCAAGCACATATATATATATTTTGAGATGGAGTCTCACTCTGTCGCCCAGGCTGGAGTGCAGTGGTGCGATCTTGGCTCACTGCAACCTCCGCCTCCCAGGTTCAAGTGATTCTCCTGCCTCAGCTTCCCGAGTAGCTGGGACTACAGGTGTGCACCATCCATGCCCAGCTAATTTTTTGTATTTTTAGTAGAGACGGGGTTTCACCATGTTGGCCATGATGGTCTTGATCTCTTGACCTCGTGATCCACCCGCCTCGGCCTCCCAAAGTGCTGGGATTACAGGCGTGAGCCACCACGCCCAGCCCAAGTACATATTTTTAAAAGGTCTAGTGAGAGCTGCATATGTTAAATGGGGGAGGGAAAATGTCAAAACTAAAGAAACATAGGTTAATTTGAAATATTAATTGATAACTTTCTTATATTGGCCTGCCTCTGCAGTATAAACTGTGGAATTTTACTATGTTCTATAATTTTGTCGTATATATTTTACTTAGAGAAATTAGATTTTATGACTATCAGGCTAGTATTTTTAATATAATTGCAGAGATGAACTTAATAATAGAATAATGACATTACTAAAAGAAGGAGAAATTTATATTCTGTGAGGTTGGAAGGGTTATCTTAGTAACTGCTTATGAAAAATTCACAGCTGGGCCCGGTGGCTTATGCCTGTAATCCCAGCACTTTGGGAGGCTGAGGTGGGCAGATCACGAAGTCAGGAGTTTGAGATCAGCCTGACCAACATGGTGAAACCCTATCTCTACTAAAAATACAAAAATTAGCCGGGCATGGTGGCGCACACCTGTAATCCCAGCTACTCAGGAGGCTGAGGCAGGAGAATTGCTTGAACCCCGGAGGCAGAGGTTGCGGTGAGCTGAGATGGCGCCATTGCACTCGAGCCTGGGCAACAGAGTGAGACCCTGTCCCCTCCAAAAAAAATAAAGGAAGAAAGAAATTCCTATAAATTATTTAAATTACTTCTTAATAAATAGCTCTTTTTTTTTTCTTTTTTTTGAGACGGGGTCCTCCGCTCTTGCACAGGCTGGAGTACAGTGGCATGATTTTAGCTGACTACAGATAATTCCTCTTCAATGCCATAAAATTTATTTTCTTCTTTCTCTCTCTCTTTTTTTTTTGTTGAGACAGTGTCTCTCTCTGTTGCCCATGGTGGAGTGCAGTCGCACGATCATGTCTCACTGCAGCCTTAAACTCCTGGGCTCAGGCTATCCCTCCTCCCTTAGCTTTCCAAGTAGCTAGGACTACAGGCATGCATCACCATGCCTGGCTAATTTTTTTTTTTTTTTTAGTTGGAGTCTTACTCTGTCACCGAGGCTGGACTGCAGTGGCACCGTGTTGGCTCACTGCAACCTTTGTTTCCTGGGTTCAAGGAATTCTCTTGCCTCGGCCTCCCGAGTAGCTGGGATTACAGGCACCCACCACCACGCCTGGCTAGTTTTTATATTTTTGGTAGTGACGGGGTTCACCATGTTGGCCAGGCTGGTCTCGAACTCCTGACCTCAGGTGATCCACCTGCCTCGGCCTCCCAAAGTGCTGGGATTACAGGAGTGAGCCACCGCACCCGGGCCATGCCTGGCTAATTTTTAAAATTTTTGTAGAGATGAGATCTTGTTGTGTTGCCCAGGCTGGTCTCTAATGTCAGGGCTCAAGCAATTCTCCCGCCTCAGCCTTCCAAAGTGCTGGGATTACAGGCATGAGCCACCATGCCCAGCTATGCCATAAAATTTCATGAGTTTTTTTTTTTTTTTCTTTTGCGACAGGGTCTTACTGTGTCATCCAGGCTGGAGTGTAGTAGCTCAGTCATGGCTCGCTGCAGCCTCAACCTTTTAGGCTCAAGAGATACTCTTGCCTTAGCCTCCCAAGTAGCCAGGACTACAGATGTACATCATGACTCCTGGCTAATTAAAAAGCATTTTTTTTTTTTTTTTTTCTGTAGAGACAAGGTCTCATTATGTTGCCCAGGCTGGTCTTGAACTCCTGAACTCAAGCAATTTTCCTGCTTGAGCCTCCTAAAGTGTTGGGATTATAGGTGTGAGCCACTGCTCCTGGCCTCATGATACATTTAGCCATTTTATATTTTATAAAATCTTGATTCTTTTACCCTAAAGCTTTGTTTAATCTAATTAGAGAACCATGCTTTTATTTCTTTTGCCAGGCCACTGTTGAGTATTTGCCAGGTCACTATTGAGTAGGCTAGGATTTCAGTGGAGATACCTCGCCAGAGACAAAAGTTTAGCTTGGGTTGATCAATATTCTTTAGGCAATGGTGTCCAGCCAGATGTAAATCTGTTTGATTGTCCTATCATCTAGCACAGATGGCAAATATATCATTTAAACTAAAGATTTATTTATACTTTTTTTAGAAGAATCATTTATCTTTACATCTCTGCTTTTAAAAATTGATACTTAATAATTATTTGTGGGATACATGTGCTATTTTATTTATTTATTTGAGATGGAGTCTCACTGCGTTGCCCAGGTTGGAGTGCAATGGCATGATCTCAGCTTACTGCAGCCTCCGCCTCCTGGGTTCAAGCGATTCTCCTGCCTCAGCCTCCATAGTAGCTGGGACTACCGGTGCACGCCACTATACCCGGCGAATTTTTGTATTTTTAGTAGAGACGGGGTTTCACCATATCGGCCAGGCTGGTCTCGAACTCCTGACCTCAAGTGATCCACCTGCTTTGGCCTCCCAAAGTGTTGGGATTACAGGCATGAGCCACCATGCCCAGCCACGTGTGTTATTTTGATGCATGCAAGTAATGTGTGGTGGTCAAATCTGGGTAATTAGGATATTTATCACCTCAAATATTTATCTTTTGTGTTAGAAACATTTGAAATCTTCTAGCTATTTTGAAATATACAACAAATGAATGTTAACTATAGTTGCCCTACTCTGCTAACGCTAGAACTTATTCCTTTTATTTAACTGTATGTTTGTACTCATTAACCAACCAGTCTTCATATGTCTCACCACCCTTCCATGCTTCCCAGCCTCTGGTAACCATCATTCTACTCTGTACCTACATGAGATGAATTTTTTTTTAACTCCCACATAGGAGTAAAGACATGATATTTTTCTTTCTTTGCTTGGCTTATTTCATGTAACATCATGACCTCCTCTTCCATTTCTGTTGTTGCAAATGGACGTGGTTGAGTGATATTTCATTGTGTATATATGACACATTTATATTATCCATTATTCTGTTGATGGATACTTACATTGATCCACATCTTGGCTATTGTGAATAGCGCTACAGTAAACACGGGTGGCAGCTATCTCTGCACTGAATTCATTAATAAATAAATGAATGCTATAAATTCTAAATGCTGTAGAATTCACTTATAATTTTAATGCACTGATTTCCTTTCTTTTGGATATGTACCCAGCAGTGAGATTGCTGGATCATATGGTAGATCTATTGTAGTTTTTTCACGAACCTTTATACTGTTCTCCTTAGTGGCCTTACTAACTTATGTTCCCAGCAGCAGTGCGAGCATTCTCCTTTCTCTGCTTTCTCGGCAGTGTCTTTTTGTTGTTTTTTTTTTTTTTTTGAGACGGAGTTTTTGCTATTGTTGCCCTGGCTGGAGTGCAATGATGTGATCTTGGCTCACCACAACCTCCGCCTCCTGGGTTCAAGCGATTCTCCTGCCACAGCCTCCTGAGTATCTGGGATTACAGGCATGCGCCACCACGCCTGGCTAATTTTGTATTTTTCGTAGAGATGGGGTTTCTCCATGTTGGTCAGCCTGGTCTCGAATTCCCAACCTCAGGTGATCTGCCCACCTTGGCCTCCCAAAGTGCTGGGATTACAGGAGTGAGCCACCACGCCCGGCCCGTTTTTTTTTTTTTGTATTTTTAATAATAGCCACTTTAACTGGAGGGAGATGAAATCTCATTGTGGTTTTCGTTTGTGTTTCCCTGATGATCAGTGATATTGAGCACTTTTCATATACTTGTCAGCCATTTGTATATCTTCTTTTGAGAAATGTCTGTTTAGATCATTTGTCCTTTTTTTTTCTTTTTTTTTTTTTCTAGACAGGGCCTTGCTCTGTTGCCCAGGCTGGAGGACAGTGGTGCAATCCTGACTCACTGCAGCCTCAACATCCTGGGCTTGAGTGATCCTCCTGCCTCAGCTTCCTGAGTAGCTGGGACTACAAGCATGCTGCCTCCATACCAGGCCAATTTGTTTATTTATTTTTGTAGCTATGGGGTCACACTATGTTGCCCAGGATGGTCTTGAATGCCTGGGCTCAAGCAGTCCTCCTATCTTGACCTCCCAGAGTGGGATTACAGATCACTGCCTGCCCATTTTTAAATTGGATTTTTTTCTTCTTTTCTTTTTGCTGTTGAGTTGTGTTTCTTATATAGTTTGGCTGTTAATCAATTGTCAAATGTATAGTTTGCATATATTTTCTCCCGTTCTGTAAGTTGTCTCTTTACTCTGTTGACTGTTTCCTTAAATTTGCAGAAACTTTTTAATTGGATATAATCCCACTTCTCTAGTTTTGCTTTTTTCTCTTTTTAGATTTTACCCAAAAGAAAAATCTTTTTTCAGACCAATGTTCTGAAGCATTTCCTTGGTGTTTTCTTGTATTCGTTTCATGGTTTCAGATCTTAACATTTAAATATTTAGTCCATTTTGGTTTGATTTTGGTATATGGTTAGAGATAGGGATCTAGTTTCATTTCTCTGCATGTAGATATCCAGTTTTCCCAGCACTGTTGATTGAGGAGACTGTCCTTTCTCCTGTGTATATTCTTGGCACCCTTAAAAAAATGAATTGGCTATAAATAAATGGATTTGTTTCTTGATTCTCTGTTGTCTTCCATTGGTCTATGTTTTTAGTCCAGTATCATGCTGTTTTGGTTACTGTAGCTGTGCAGCATATTTTGAAGTTAGGTAGTATCATGTCTCTATTTTTTTATTTTTTATTTTTATTTTTTGAGATGGGATCTTGCTCTCTCTCCCAGGCTGGAGTGCAGTGGGCATATCTTGGCTTTTTTGCTTTTCTGCTGCTTTGCTTTTGCTTTTCTTTCTGCTTTTTTGATGTAGGTGTTTATTGCAATAAACTTTCGTTTTACTACTGCTTTTGCTGTGTCCCATGGATTTTAGTATTTTGTGTTTCTACTGTCATTTATTTCAGGAAATTTTAAAATTTTCTTCCTCATTTCTTCATTGATCCATTGTTCATTCAGGAGGATATTGCCTAATTTCCATGTATTTGTACAGATCTATTTCCAAAGATCTTTTTGTTACTGATTTCTAGTTTCATTGTATATCGGTCAGAAAAGATACTTGGTATGATTTTATTTCTTTTAAATTTGCTGAGACTTGTTTTGTGGCCTAAGTGGTCTATTTTGGAGAACCCGTGTGCTGATGAAGAGAATGTGTATTCTGCAGCTGTTGGATGAAATGTTCTGTAAATGTCTGTTAGGTGTCTTTCGTTTAAAATGCAGTTTAAATCCAACGTTTGGTTATTTATTTTCTTTCTAGATCATCTGTCCAATGCTGAGAGTGGGATATTTAAGTTGAATAATAGTTCAAGTCCCCAACTATTATTTTATTTTAGTCTATCTCACCCTTTAGATCAAATAGTACTTGCTATATATGTCTGGGGGCTCTTTTGTTACGTGCATATGTATTTATAATTGTTATATTTTCTTGCTGAATTGATCCGTTTATCATCATATGGTATACCTTTTCTGTCTGTTTTACAGTTTTTGACTTATAACCTGTTTTATAAGGCAGGAGTAGTATAGCTACTACTCCTGGTTTGTGTTTGTGATGAGTAACTTTTTTTGTCTCTTCACTTTTAGTCTATGTCTGTCTTTTTTTTTTTTTTTTTTTTTTTTTTTTTTTTTTGTGAGTTGGAGTCTCACTCTGTTGCCCAGGCTGAAGTGCAATGGCATAATCTCGGCTTGCTGCAACCTCCGCCTCCCGGGTTCCAGTGATTCTCCTGCCTGAACCTCCCAAGTAGCTGGGATTACCGGCACCCACCACCATGCCTGGCTAATTTTTGGATTTTTAGTAGAGATGGGGTTTCACCATGTTGGCCAGCCTCATCTCAAACTCCTGGCCTCAGGTGATCTGCCCACCTTGGCCTTCCAAAGTGCTGGGATTACAGACATGAGCCACCCTGCCCGGCCCTATGTGTGTCTTTACGGGGAATTTCCTATAGGCAACATATAGGTGTGTAATGTTTTTTAATCCAGCCAGTCTATATTTTTTAATTGGGAAATTTAATTCATTTACATTCATGGTTATTATTGATAGATAAGTACTAATTCCTATCATTTTGTTAATTGTTTTCTTGTTGTTTTGTATATCCTTTGTTCCTTTTTTCCCTCTCCTTGTTTATTATTTCAGTTTGTTGGTTTTCTGTAGTGATAAGATTCGATTCTTTTTTCTTTCTTCTTTGTGTATCTGATCTATCAGTGAGTTTTATACTTTCCCATGTTTTCATGATTGTGATTATCATCTTTTCACTTACGGTAACCACCCCGGCGAATACTTTACTTTTTGTAGAGGCAGGGTCTTGCTGTGTTTCCCAGGCTGGTCTCGAACTCCTGGGCTCAAGCGATTCTCTCACCTCGCTCGGCCTCTCCAAGTCCTAGGATTAAAGGCATGAGCCAGTGTACCTGGATTAGTTTTCTTTTTTAATACAACATTGTATTGGAAAATATTTTTCCAAGTTATTACACAGCAGTTATAATCTTCCTAATTCTGTAGGAACATAATAATTAGGAATTTTTAAAGAACTTTCTTCTTAGCCATTTAATCTTTTTTTCCTGTTTAATGCGTTTGAATTATTTGGTATGGAAAAGTAATGAAATTTTCTTGATTGTTAAGACAGAAAGGATTTGGTTGTAAGAAGATTTATGTATATAAATTATTATTATTTTTTTCTCCAGTAGCATTTATGAATGATAACTGACCATAGTTAGAAATCCAGATTTTTGTATTTGATAAATTTAAATACGAGATGATAGCATTTAGATATTTTCATAATGTTAGGCATTCTTATAATGTTTAGCTTAGAATTTGCCAGTCATTTGGAAATACCTAAGTCAGTTGTTCTCAACTGGAGGTGAGTTTACCCCCAGAGATATTTAGTTATGTGTGGAGATGTTTTTGACTGCCACAGCTGGTGAGGGTTGAGGAGATGGACAGAGGATGCTGCTGTCATTTAGTGGGTAGAGGCCAGGTAAGTATCTAAACATCCAAGTGCATGCAACAATCTCATGATAAAGAATTATCCTGGCCCTAATGGCAGTAGTGTCACTGTTGAGAAACTTGAATCTAGATTTTCTCAAACGTTAGGCAAAATTATTAAGATTGGTTAATATTATTAATATTTATTCATCTAGCCAGTATTTGTTCAATACCATCTATGGTACTCTACTAGATGGTGGTAGAAAAACATATGAAAGTAAAAAATAATGAAAATTGTAGTGTTTAGAAATAGAGAAACAAGATTTAAAACTGATCATTTCTGTTAAGATATGAGAGAAGGTGGAAGGATCATTTGAGCCTCAGAGGTCAAGGCTGCAGTGAGCCATTATCACACCACTGCACTCCAGCCTGGACAACAAAGTGAAAACCTGTCTCCATTAAAAAATAAAAATATCTCTTCCAGGGACGTTGTCTACAGGCACTCAGAATGATCCAGCATGTGACAATACCATCATAGACTTCCCTACAATACAGTCTCTAACAAAACTAGGCTGTCATGAGCCCTTGGTAATAGAATTGTCGACCTTTATACCAAGAAGGTTGGGAAAGCACCGAAATCTGCATGTGGCGTGTGCCCAGGGAGACTTAGAGGGGTCCATGCTGTGAGGCCTACAGTTCCTGTGAGAAGATGCCATTTTAGGTGATACCTGAACCATGAAATGTATTCAGCTGTTCATGGATGAAGAGGAAGAGCATAAACCTTCCCAATAGATATTGCAGAGCTCCAAGGCCTTAAGGTGGGAGCCTCCTGATGATTGGTGGCTCAGAACCGTGCTGTCCAGTAGAGCATTTCCTTTTGAGCACTTGAAACGTGGTTAATGCAATTAAGGACCTGAATTTTAAATTTTATTTAATTTTCATTAATTTAAATGTGAATAGCTGCAAGGGCGTTTGAAAATGCCCTTCTAGAGGCTGACAAAATCTAGGTCATGTAATTTTGTAAGATTTTGATAAAGTATTTGGGTTTTATCTGATGTATAGAAGGAGCTGTTGAAGAGTTTCTACTAAGGGAATGACATAATATTTAAATCATGAAAATACTCATATTTATTAGCAGATGAATTGGAGTTTATAGGTTACATGGGGAGCAGAATGTTAAGAGCAGCTAAGTGGCTCTGGAATCTGACCAAATGAATTCAGATCCTGGCGCTTCCACTAGCAGCTGTGTGTGTCATTGGGTAAGTTTCTTGCACCTCAGTTTCCTTCCTCATGAGTAAAATGGAGATAATAATAGTGCTGATCTCCAAAGGTTCTTAAGAAGGTTAAATGAGACAAATCCATTTAAACCTCCTAGAGCTTGATACACAGTCATCACTCA
Organism: Homo sapiens; assembly: GCF_000001405.40. NCBI lineage: Eukaryota > Metazoa > Chordata > Mammalia > Primates > Hominidae > Homo > Homo sapiens. Next base: position 21,072,881 of record NC_000001.11, on the reverse strand, counting down.
GATATGTACCAGCAGCTGCTGCCACCATCAGTAAGTATTCTATTCTTACAACTACAATGAAGAAACTATTCATACCGTTTATTTGATATGAAATCTGAACAAGCTTAGTGTGGTGTTAGATAAAACGCTTATGACTTTCATTTCAATAGTGTTGCTTTTTTATTTTTAAAAAATATTAAAGGCTAGGCGTGGTGGCTCACGCCTGTAATCCCAGCACTTTGGGATACTGAGGCGGGCGGGTCACGAGGTCAGGAGATCGAGACCATCCTGGCTAACACAGTGAAACCCCGTCTCTACTAAAATACAAACAATTAGCCGGGCGTGGTGGCAGGTACCTGTAGTCCCAGCTGCTCAGGAGGCTGAGGCAGGAGAATGGCGTGAACCTGGGAGGCAGCACTTGCAGTGAGCCGAGATAGCACCACTGCACTCCAGCCTTGGCGACAGAGTGAGACTCCATCTCAAAATAAATAAATAAATAAATAAAATAAAAAAATTAAATGTCTTTTTCTGTATAGACATGGGATCTCCCTATGTTGCCCACACTGGCGTCAAACTCCTGGGCTCAAGGAATCCTTGTACCTTGGCCTCCCAAAGTGTTGGGATTACCGGCATGAGCCACTGCACCCAGCCAGTGGTGTTGCTTTTCAAACTTTAGTATTTATCATCAATACTTATTATATATTTGTCATCTTGGAATGTCCAACTTTATTACCTTAGAAAAGTAAACTCCTTTAATAAACTACTAGATGTACATGATACAAAACTTAGGAAGTTAAGGGATAAAAGACTTGTAGTATAATTATCCATGTGTTAAATATATTTTCTCTTTTGACTTAACCGTTGCCATATTATTAGACCCATTGTTCATTTTTAATAATCCCATAGGAAGTTGTTTGTAGAAATAATATAATTTTAATAGTGTTGCCTAGGTGTAGTTGTAGATTATTGTCACTTTATGTTTAAAAGCTACTTCTCTCTCTCTGTCTTTAACTTATTTGGGAAAATAGCATTTGGGAAGTAGCTGTTTAAGTGCTTTTCTTCTTCTTTTTTTTTCCTCTCTCTCTTTTTTTTTTTTTGAGACGGAGCCTCGCTCTGTCACCTAGGCTGGAGTGCAGTGGCGCAATCTTGACTCACTGCAATCTCCGCCTCCTGGGTTCAAGCGATTCTCCTGCCTCAGCCTCCTGAGTAGCTGGGATTACAGGCTCGCACCACCATGCCTGGCTAATTTTTGTATTTTGGTCAAGCTGGTCTTCAATGCCTGACCTCGTGATCCACCTTCCTTGGCTTCCCAAAGTGCTGGGATCACAGGCGTGAGCCACCGTGCCCGGCCGTGTAAGTGCTTTTCAAATGCCAGTTTTTGCAGATGGTAGTAGTGGATACAGTTTTTATTTATGGAACCTTCTGTGGAGTGTCAGGACTGCACTGGAGGATTACATGGAGTGGATGTGTTTCTCTTTGGTTTTTTGGAGACAGGTTCTCACCCTGTTGTCCAGGCTGGAGCATGGTAGCATGATCATAGTTCACTGTAATTAACTTTGAACTCCTGGGCTCAAGCAATCTTCCTGCCTCAGCCTCCCAAGTAGCTGGGACTACAGGTGCATGTCGTCATGCCCGGCTAATTTTGTTTTGTTTCATTTTCTGTAGTGACAGGATCTCACTATGTTGCCCAGGCTGGTCTAGAACTCCTGGCCTCAGATGATCCTCCTGCCTTAGCCTTTCAAGGTTTTGAGATTACAGGCACGAGCCATGCCACCTGGCTAACATGTTTCTTATATTAGATCAATCATTTATTTTGGCTACTAAAGCTAATGTGAATTTTCAATTTATTCTTTATATCTGATATGAATTGCATTAGCTAATGTTGAAAATCAGTCATTTGCACTGAAGAACCTATTGTATGCAGGGTATGAGGGGGTGGTAGCGGTTGTACCTACTCTCAAGAAATGGAATGAAATATAATAAAATGAACTTACTAGACAACAATATCAATTAGTCCACTTTCAAGTTCTTTGGAAGTTTCTTTTTACACTTACAAAAAGATTCAGTCTATTATTACTAGTTAAGAATTATTATTGTGCTGTCAAGAATGTTTATGGAATGTCAGTTTACCTTTGATATTCTAAAACTGCCCTCTCTTCAGTTTTTGGGTGGTTCCAATTTATATTAATTGACATATCTGAAACTTAGCAAAAAGAAGGTAGTTTGTTTTTTATTTTATGTTTGCACATACATGTTTGGCTCTTAAAATGTTAGTAGGTTATATAGTTCTTTTCATTAAGGAGTTTTAAAAAATTAATAGTTAAGAAGAATGTAGTTATATCTACACCATGAAGTACTACTTAAACATTTAGAACAAGAATGAAGTAGGTATGTTTATTGACTTGGAAAGATCTCTAATGTTTTGATAAGTGGAGAGGAAAACATGTCATTGAATATTTATTATTGTGTTGTTGCTATTATTTTTACACATTTGTAAGTGTATAGAAAGGTTTGTAATAATGTGCTTCAGAGTATTAATCATTTTGCCATAGGGAGTGGAGTGGGATTTGAAGGGTAAAGAGGGCACTACTTTTTCTTTTTTTTAACAAAAATCATGTTTATACATTATTGTAGCAATTAGAGAAAGTAAGCATCAAACTTTTTTTTTCCACAGTCTTAGTTGCCACTGCCTGATATGCAAATTGGTAATAATTCTATCCTGATTCAATCACTAGATGCAAATGGTTTTCCACAGTGGCCTTAAAATTTTCCTAGATTATTGAAAAATAATATTGTATTAGCAGTAATAAGTTGTGGCTTGCCGTTTTCCTTTGTGGTCTTAAATTTATTTTTCCAAAATTTTAATATAGGACAGTTAGCTGAGTTCAAGTCTTGCATTACTTTGAAAGATCATCTTTGACTGAATTCTATAATGATTTATAAGATAACCATGATTGAGTATATTTCATTTCTCTATTCTTCCTGTGCTCACCTTTTACGTAAAACAACAAAAAAAATCTCATTCTTACCCATGATTAGCTCATCCTCTTTTCTTTCGACAAACCTCACAGTCAGTGTCATCAAATATTTGTGAAATCCAGATGCTGCTGCTGCTTTCCTACCCCCTCCTCTCCCCCGGTAAAAATTCCTACGAGTTAGACTCAGTCTTTTTTCTGTTTGGCCTTTCTTTCTAAATAGAGAACAGCCTTTCCTGTTGTGACAGCCTAAAATGTGTTTGAAGTTACTTTTCTGTGTTTTCCTAAGTACAAAATAACTGAAAGATCCTCTGGCCTCTTGGAGCTTGCTTTTCCAGGGGACTAAACATTGGAGATGTTGCAGAGCTTTTAAGAATATTGAGATAAACTTAATTTAGAAAACATATATTGAATGAGAGCTATATGCAAGGTTTTGTGCCTGGTAATGTGAGAAAGCAGTGGTGGACACTATGATCCTTGTCTTTAAGAGTGCTCATTTTACCAGGCAAGATGGTGATACGTTGTTTTAAGTACATGTGGGAATGTGAGGAAGAGACATTAATGATTATGTAAATGAGAACAAAAATATGTAAATAAGTAGTAACATTTACTGGTATAGTTTTTCTGGGTTCTCATTAAGCAAAAGTACTTGGAGGAGTGAAGCATGGTTAAACAGAGAAAGATGGTATCTAGATGAACTCTAAGAAGCCATAAAATGTAGGTGGGCAGCAAGTTTGGACTGCATCTTACAAGATATTGGAATGAGTGTACATACATCAGTTAAAGCCTTTGAGGTGGAGGATAAGGTTACAGCTACATAGTGTAATGAGCCATGAAATAGATAACAAAAATTGACCAAACCTAGGCAGAGGAGTTAACTGGTGAAAAACTCAACAGAACAGTTTATACAGGTTGAGCATCTCTAATCAAAACATTCAAAATCTGATATGTTCTAAAACCTGAAACTTTTTGTGTACCAGCATTATTCTCAAAGGAAATGCTCAATGGAGCAGTTCAGATTTTGGATTTTCAGATTGGGGGTGCTGAACTGGTAACTGTTTGCAGGTGTTCCAAAATCTGAAATCTGAAACATTTCTGGTTCCAAATTTTTCAGATAGGGATACTCAATCTGTAGAACATTTTCTTTATTACTATAAGTAACACTTACTGTGTAACAGTTACTTTTCTAAGCATTTTATGTGTATTAACTCAATCCTTATGACAACTGTATGAGGTAGGTATAATTACATTCCCCATTGTTAGTTGGCAAATAGACACAGAGGTGACGTATCCTGCCCAAAGTTATCCAGGTAGTGTGTGGTAGAGGTTGGATTTGAACTTTGGTGGATCTTTTAACATTTATTGAGTGACTACAGTGTCCCAGACACTGTGCTAAATGCTTTACATTCATGATATTATTTAATACTTATGACAACCTTTATTTACAACAAAGGAAAATGGGACTTGGAGACATGTAATTTGAATACAGGTCTGTTTTGAATCTACAAGTTCATGTGAAGTATTCTGTTTTTTTTTTTTTTTTTTTTTTTTTAAAGACAGAGTTTCACTCTGTCGCCCAGACTGGAGTGCAGGTGCAGTGGTACGATCTCGGCTCACTGCAACCTCCACCTCCTAGGTTCAAGCGATACTCATGCCTCAGCCTCCCGAGTAGCTGGGATTACAGGTGCCTTATGCCCGGCTAATTTTTTGTATTTTTAGTAGAGACAGGGTTTCACCATGTTGGCCAGGCTGGTCTTGAACTCCTGACCTCAGGTGATACACCCACCTCGGCCTCCCAAAGTGCTGGGATTATAGGCATGAGCCACTGTGCCCGGACCCTTCTTTTTGTTAAGATCACAAATAAGGTCAAAAGCAATACTCAATTTTTGGGGGATTAGGGCCCTTTTGAAAATCTGATGAAAGGTATGAATCTACTTTGCAGAACAGTAAACATACAAACATAGGGGTTTTCTTTTTTTATTTTATTTTTTGTTTATTTATTTATTTTTTTTGAGATGGAGTCTCGCTCTGTCACTCAGGCTGGAGTGCAGTGGCGTGAGCCACTGTGCCTGGCCTCTTTTTTTATTTTTTAACTGCAGTTTTAAGAGAGTTCAATAACTCTCACTGATAAGATTCCTTATTCTAGTCTAGACAGATTTTCCCCTTGCAGTGGTGCTGTGTTGCACTTTGAACCTGATTCCTAGGATTTGGAAATAGCTCAACTTCGACTTTACGGTGTATTAAATGGAGAGGTATCTTATTAAGATTTTATTTACCCTTCTATTTTGAAGTATTTTTCTTAAAAAGCATTTATACATGTGGTACTCAGTTGTATTCTGGTTATTAAAAATTTTATGTCTTTTTCTACCCATCATGGTATCTGCTTGCTGATTAATAACATTTATGAAAGTTAGGATTCCTTGTTGTTAATATTTAATGTGAATTTGCTCATTAAATGTTAAATCAGATACCTTGTTAAAATATTATTTAATAAAAGCCAGACGTGGTGGCTCATGCCTGTAATCCTAGCACTTTAGGAGGCTATGGTGGGCAGATCACCTGAGGTTGGGAGTTCGAGACCAGCCTGGCCAACACGGTGAAAACCCGTCTCTACTAAAAATACAAAAATTAGCCAGGCATGGTGGTGGGCACCTGTAATCCCAGCTGTTCGGGAGGCTGAGGCAGGAGAATCCCTTAAACCCCAGAAGCAGAGGTTGCAGTTAGCCAAGATCATGCCATTGCAATCCACCCTAGGTGATAAGAATGAAACTCCGTCTCAAAAAAAAAAAAAAAAAAGAAAAGAAAAAAATTACTTAATATGTATTTACCTGATTACTTTTCTTCAAAAGAAGGATTAACCTTAAAGATACAAGGGTATGTTATTTTGTTAAATGCCAGTTATAAATGTCTTTTGAATTTCTGGGATAAGAAAACAGTAGAAATAATAATAAAGTTCTTTAATGTTTGAAAACTGAAAATGTGTTTCTTTGAACTGTGGGATATTCCCTTCACAGCAATTTTACAAAGTATATGTACTGTTTTTAAAAATAAAACAACTGATATGGACCACGTTTAACTAAAATGAGTCATAGGAAATTAGATTTTAATAACTAGTTGTGTGGTAAATGGAGTTTTAATTATTTTAAGGAAAAGGAAAGAAAGACCATTAGTATCTCCAGGCATGGATTTATTATTGCCATGAAGTTGTTGTCATGAATAGAACGATCAGTTTTTACTGTAAACTTTGATAGACACTGGAGCATTTAACTTCAACTTTATACAGTTCCCTTTTTATCTTTTAAAAGCACATCTGGCTGTCGGGAATTCTGTAGGCAAGAAATTGTGAAGGATTAGAAACTGTTCTTTGTGCATTTAAACTGTCATTCTGTGGTTGCTTAATTGCCATATAGAATGCAGAATACTAGATTAGAAAGGTGTTTAGTTTCTTTAGCTGTTACAGATCCCAAAGAACTTTTGACTCTGTTAATTTCTTATGGCTATAACATTTCTATGTTAATTTTTTACATATCTAATGTAAAATCAATGGTATATTGTTATTCTTTGTTCAATAAGCATTTGTTTAGTAACTTTATTTTTTTTAATGTTTTTATATTTTTTACTTTTTTTTTTTTTCCTCCAGGAGTGGACTGAGTCTGATGAGGCTGCAGGGCCTGGCCCCTCATCCCTCCCCCTCCCGCCATAACTCTTTAAAAAATTCAGAAAAATCAATTAGGATGAGGTGTCAAGTATTTAGTTATTTGTTATTATTAATTTTCTTTTGAGACAGAGTCTCGCTCTGTTGCCCAGTGGTATGATCATGGCTCACTGCAGCCTTGACCTCCTGGGCTCAGTTGGCCCTCTCCCACTTCAGCCTCTTGAGTAGCCACAACCTCTGGCTAATTTTTGTATTTTTATTAGAGACAGGGTTTTGCCATGTTTCCTAGGCTGGTCAAGTATTTATTTTAAACTTGCTTAAAGGATTAGACTTTGCAAACCACAGCTTTAGGTTTATTGTAACACTCTCACCCCCATTTGTATAAATGAAAATCAAGCAGGAATCATTTCACCCCAAAACTGTCTTACACTTACTGGCTTAATATTAGGATTTTAAACCAACAGTTTAAATATTTGTAAATAATTAAACACACTTTTTATATACTAGGCATTATGATAAATATTATCTTAATGTGTTGAATAAATCAGCATGATAAGTCCTTACTTTTCACTTTTACAGAAGAGGAAACTAAACTTAAGTAATTTGCTTATATAGTTTCTGTATAGTAGAGCCAGAATTCAAACTTAGGTCTCTGACACCAAAACCCATTCTCATTTTTTTCTTTTTTTCTTCCCCCCGCCGCCCCACCACTGTTTTTTTTTTAAGATAGAGTTTCAGTCTGTCTCCCAGGCTGGAGTGCAGTAGCATGATCATAGCTTGCTGCAACTTCTGGGCTTAATCCTTCTCTCCCAGCCTCCCTAGAGCTAGGACTACAAGTGCACACCACCATGCTAAATTTTTTTTTTTTTTTTTTTGGTAGAAACAACCCCATGCTCTTTTATTGATGCTGTTTAGCCTACTTGGATGCCTTGAATCTGTTTACCTTCTGTTTATGTTCCTTCTTTCAAGTTTGTGTTTGGAAAGTGATAATTCGTGACTCAGCCTCAGAATGGAGGCATATATCACACATCTTACATGATTTGGATCTGTGTCAGAGGAACTTAATATTGTGGTTTTGATAATATAATTGAATTTATGCTTATAGTTGAATACTAAAATCTGAGATTTATTAATACCTTGGAATTAAAATAGAATTCACTTACCTTGGATCAGTTAAATAACTAGTTGATTAGCAACTGACTGAAGATCAACAGGAAAATAGTAAGGCATTAGTTTTAAAAAATTAAGTTGTAAGTTGGTAAATGACTAATTCCATTGCAGTCACTGAATGTATATCAGTAATCTCCAGACTCGCATACAACCTTGTCTTGGTGGAAAGCTCTGACTATGGATTTTGAACATAAGAAAGAGAATGTGAGTGTCTGTTAAAAGCCATCACTCCTCAGATGATGTTAAAAGTCTTCACTCCACATCTTCTGAGGAGTTGTCAAGTGTTCCTGCTTCTGACCACAAGGACAGCAATTGGCCTGTAATATATGTATTCCTTGAAAAAGTAAGGAGTTAATTTGTTATGCTTGTGTAGACTGTTACTAATTTTGTGTAGTTTTACTAAATGATTGGATTTAGTAGAATAGACAAACCTTACCACTCTTTTTTTTTATTCAAGACAGTCATTCCTAACTGATCAAGGTTTTGCTGTTGAACTGGGAAAGGACCTTGGAATCATAATATAGTGCTACACGATTCTATTAGCAGTGAAAGAAATAAAAATGTTTTTACTATCTTGGCTTCCTCCCTTTACGCTGTAAAGCAGCCCTGGCTACCTGATGTCTTCATGAGTTGATATTCTAAATAATTTTACCCTCAAATAGCCATATAATAGTAAGATTTGGTTGAATTAGTAACAGAGAAAATATTTATAGTTAAACATCTGAGTGGCCACTTGTCTGCAAGTACTGTCATAAGTACTCATTAAATCCTATTCCTGTCCACAAGGATTGCAAGGGCGCAAACAGATGATAAGAATCAGTGATCACTCACTGATTGTGTCCTTGCAGTCTCTGGGTGGCTGCAGGGCACAAAGGATAGCATGAACCTCGCCATTGGCTGCAGGGCACAAAGGATAGCATGAACCTCGCCATCCTCAACTACATCATTGGCTTAAGCAGGATTTTATAAGACAGTCTGGATACCTCACTGCCAAGTTCCAAATAGCAGATTTTGCTCACTATAAAATTAATGTGTCTGCTAGAAAAATGGAAACACAGAGAAAAGTATGACAGGAGGCTGGGCATGGTGGCTCATGCCTGTAATCCCAGCACTTTGGGAGGCTGAGGCAGGTGAATCACTTGAGGTCAGGTCAGGAGTTGCAGACCAGCCTGGCCAAGGTGGCAAAACCCCATCTGTGATAAAAATACCAAAAAAAAAAAAAAAAATTAGCTGGGTGTGATGGCATGCGCCTGTAATCCCAGCTACTTGGGAGGCCGAGGCAGGAGAATTGCTTGAACCCGGGAGGCGGAGGTTGCAGTGAGCCAAGATTGCACCACTGCACTCCAGTCTGGGCAACAGAGTGAGACTGCGTCCCCCCCCCCAACACCCCCCCCCCCAAAATGAAAAGTATGACAGGAAAAACATCCGTGATGTTGTTAACAAAAGACTCACACCACCCATTTTAACGTGATCCTTCAAGTTGTTTTGCTGTGCACTTAAAAAAAAAAGTTATTAGTGCACCACCGATTTCTGTCCTGCTTTCTTTACTTAAAATTATACCATAAGCAACTTCTCATTTTTAAAACACATTTTTCTAAATATATATTTTAAGAATGTATTTACTTGTTCTCTAATGAGTTAGTATTTTTTACTCTTACAGTGTTCAAACAACTGTCACATAGTTTCTTGGCATCCATAAATTTTCTATTTTTTTTAACGCTCTCTCAGCAGAATCAATATTCTTTTCAAAATACTGCCTCTAACTTTTGATCTGAACCCTTGTTGTTCTCAAAGTGTAAGTCAGGTGCCACCAAACCCTTCCAGATTCTTCTCAGACCTGGTTACTTTTGATTTTTCAGCAGTACTTTAAATACATCTCCTATTAGCCGGGCGTCGTAGCATGTGCCTGTAGTCCCAGCTATTCAGGAGGCTGAGGTGAGAGGATTGATTGAGCTTGGGAGGTGGAGGCGCCACTGAGTTGTGATTGTGCCACTGCATTCTAGCTTGGGTGACAAAGTGAGACCCAGCCTCAAAAAAATTAAAAAAATAAATATATATTCTATGGTATTTATCACATAATTCATTTATGATGACAGAGTAGGTGAAATTAGGAATCATATCAAACTGGTTTGGATTGCTGTGTGGTATCCTGCCTATCCTTTATATTCTGTCCCAGCATCAGCAGACCCATTATTTAAAATATATATATATTGGCTGGGCACCGTGGCTCACGCCTGTAATCCTAGCACTTTGGGAGGCCAAGGTGGGCAGATCATCTGAGGTCAGGAGTTCAAGACCAGCCTGGCTAACATGGTAAAACCCTGTTTCTACTAAAAATAGAAAAAATTAGCCAGGCGTGGTGGCACGCACCTGTAATCCCAGCTACTTGGGAGGCTGAGGCAGGAGAATCGCTTGAACCCGGGAGGCAGTGGTTGCAGTGAGCCAAGATTGCACCGTTGCACTCCAGCTTGGGCAACGAGTAAAACTCCATCTCAAAAAAATAGGTATATCTATATCTGTATCTATATCTATATCTGTGGATATATCTACTGCTTACGTCTTCTCCGTGGTGCTAGATCCATATCAATCCTGAGACTACTGACATTGGTTTGATTGTTCCTTAGTCACCTTTTGCCTATATTTTGAAATTCTGAGATTCTGACTTTGATTTAATTTTAGTTTAGGATATTACTGATTTATTCTCTGATGATCTTGTTTATTTTCTTTTAGAATTATAAGCAGAGGCTAGGAGTAGTGGCTCATGCCTGTAATCCCAGTACTTTGGGAGGCTGAGGTGGGAGGATTGCTTGAGCCCAGGAGTTTGAAGCCAGCCTGGGCAACATAGTGAGGCCCTGTCTCACCAAAAAATAAAACAAATTAGCCCAGTGTAGTGGCACACACATGTAGTTTTAACTACTTGGGAGGCTGAAACGAGAGGATTGCTTGAGCCCTGGAGTTTGAGGTTGCAGTGGGCTATGATCGCACTACTATGCTTCAGCCTGAGTGACAGAGCAAGACCCTGCCTCAGAAACAAACAAACAAAAAGCAAGCAGAGAGACTGGGTGCGGTGGCTCACGCCTGTAATCTCAGCACTTTGGGAGTCCAAGGTGGATGGATCACTTGAGGTCAGGTATTTGAGACCAGCCTGGCCAACATGGTGAAATCTTGTCCTATTAAAAATACAAAAATTAGCCAGGCATGGTGGCATGTGCCTGTAGTCCCAGCTACTTGGGAGGCTAAGGCAGGAGAATTGCTTGAAACCAGGAGGTGAAGGTTACAGTGAGCCGAGATCGCGCCACTGTACTGCAGCCTGGGTGACAGAGTGAGACTCTGTCTCAAAAAAGAAAAAAAAAAAAAAAAACAAGCAGAGAAATAAACCATATTGATTACATAATGAGAGTGAGCACAACCTTGAGTATGTAACAATTGACATTGACAAAATTGATCCAGAAATAAATTTTAGCTTTGCCTTTTGCCATCTTCCTCTCATAAGTTTCAGACTTTTTCATCTGAAATTTGCTAGTTTTGATAATTAGCTTAGATGCTATGTGGAATGTTGGTAATGAACCTACCTCTAGATTTACTTGCTTGGCCCTGACTGCTCTCCTGAGCTTAGATTCATGTATTCAACACACTACTTATTATTTCCATTTGAATCTCTGATAGGCATCTAAAACTACTTGTGGTTATCCCTTTCCCTTTGTCTATTCTGCCTCTAATCCTGTCTCACAGTAATAACAGGTTGAACATCCCGATCCAAAAATATACAATGCTTCACAATCTGAATGTTTTGGAGTGCCAACATGATGCTCAAGGAAAATGATCATTAGAGCATTTGGATTTTGGATTTTTGGATTAGGGCTGCTGAAGTGGTACAGTGCATATATTCAAAAATTAAAAAAAAAACCTGAAATACTTCTGGTACCAAGCATTTTGGATTAGGAATACTTTCCCTTCTTCCCACCTAATCTTTCAAGCCATAAACTTAAAATCCATCCCTGATATCCATAATCTATCACTTTCAAGTATACTATATAATTTATTTAAGTATTATGGCTGTTAGTATTTCAGCTAGACCATAAACTCCAGGAATGCAGGGATTTTAGTCTCTTTTACTGATGTATTCCATGCACCTAGTACAATGCTTGGTATAAAGTTCTCAATAAATATATGTTAAATGAATGAATGAATCAATCAGTCTACATTCCTTTCTGTTCCACCTGCTCAAACAAAGTATCTTGTTACTACCGTGTTCTAAGCCACCATTAGTTGTGGCCAAGATGATTGCAGTAGCTTTGTTTTTTTTTTTTTTTTTTTTTTCTTAAGAGACAGGATCTTGCTGTGTTGACCAGGCTGTGATGCAGTGGCTTTTCACAGGCATGATCATGGTGCCTTACAGCGCCGAACTGTTGGGCCTCTTGCCTTACGCTCCCAAGTAGCTGGGACTGCAGATGTGAGCCACTGTGGCCTGGCATGATAGCTTTTAACTAATCTCTGCTTCTATTCTTGTACTCTTCAGTTCTTATTCTTACAAAGCAACCAAAATGATCTTTGGAAAACATTCGATCTTTTCACACTCCTGCTTTTAAAACTTCCAGTAGGTTCCCAGTCATGTTAGAATAAAACCCTAAGTCCTTACCATGCCAACAAGGACTTAAATGTGTGTTGTTTTAAGCTGTTAAGTTTGTGATTTGTCTCTTGATTAATTCAGATAACTGATAAATTACCTAGCCAGATCAGTGTTACCCTATTATATTCACTGGCACCCCTTATTCTTCAGAGGAGGGAATTATTCAGGGTGTGTACACCAAGTACAGGAATACTGAGAGCCATCTTAGATTTGAGTCCACCCTGGCTGGATGCAGTGACGCACGCCTGTAATTTCAGCACTTTGGAGGGCCAAGGCAGGCGGACCCCTTGAGCCTAGAAGTTAAGACCAGCCTGGGCACCATGGTGAAATCTTGTCTCTACAAAAAATAAAAAATTAGCCGGGCATGGTAGTGCATGCCTGTAGTCCCAGCTACTCAGGAGGCTGAAGTGGGAGGATCACTTGAGCCTGGGAGGTAGGTGGAACCTGCAGTGAGCCGAGATCGGGCCACTATACACCTGCCTAGGTGATACAGACCCTGTCTTAATAAAAAGAGTTTGCCCTGTGGCCCTCAAGGATTCACATAGGGTCCACTTTCGTTAACCTTTGATACCTAGACATTTTTGGAAGTGCTTCTTTCTTATTCGTTTATTTTTTCATTTGTTAGCATTGTTACTGACCCTCCAATTTTAACAACATTTTCTTGTTTCTATTGGATAGTTACTAAATAAGAAAAGCAACCCTCAGAATTAAACCCAGTGCTGACAAAGTCCATAGTAGAACATACATGGTATGTGTTTGCTTGAGTTTTTAAGTATTACTTGAATCATATAAAATTATTTTTCTTTTTTAAGGTTAAAATATACTTGAATATCTGTAAATCTGGAATTTCATGTAATTCAACCTATTAAGTATAGGTAAGAGTAGAGCAAGGAGGAATGCCATTTTCTTTTTCTTTCTCTTTTTTTCTTGGTGGTTGGGGATTGGCAATGATATTAACAGAATTCAAATGGTGTCATGTATAAGTAAAACTTCCTTCCTCATATCCACTGTAGTGCTCCTTTTAGTTGAGCAGACCAGCTTTTATTTAGTTCTCAATATCTGTAGATTTGGGGAAATAAATGACCTGAAGGAAGAACTAGGATGATACAAAATATTAATGAAGGGAAAAATACTTGACTTATCTATTCTGCTGCTTGAGGAGCATAAAGTATAGAAATTACCCACATAAGAAAAGCTTTGGGATCTTTCAAAACTACCCAGAATTGAACTTTGTTATTTCTGTGTATGAGTTGCAGCTGCTGAAATGTTTTGAGATGACCTCACTAAATAAACTTTATCTTGGGATTTAGAAAATAAGGGATGTCACACATATAAACCATGTGCCTTTTACCTTTATAGGAATCATTTGTTGCTGAAAAATTAATTTACTTGATAGGAATCCTGGAGTTTCCTGTTATTCTTTTAGTAACTGATTAATTACTATACTTTTTAAAGCAGTATGTTTTCATTCATATTATATAAAATATATAGAATAAAAACAGTGGTTTGTGTGTGTGTTATATTTAACAATATATCTATTCAGTCAATGCCTGTTTGTGTAGAATCCAGTCACAAGTCTATATCTGAGTATTTATAGAAAGTTTGGCCAGGTGTGGTGGCTCATACCTATAATCCTGGCACTTTGGGAAGCGGAGGTAGGAGGATCACTTGAGTTTCAGAGTTTGAGACCAGCCTGGGCAACACAGTGAGAACTTGTCTCTACAAAAAAAAAAAAAAAAAAAAAAAAAAAAAAGAGAGAGAGAGAGAAGAAGAAGAAAAATTACTGGGCATGGTGGCATGTACGTGTAGTCCCAGCTACTGTGGAGGCTGAGGTGGGTGGATTACTTAAGCCTGGGAGATGGAGGCTGCAATGAGCTGTGATCACACCAATGCACCCCAGCCTGGGCAACACAGTGAGACCCGATTTCATTAAAAAAAAAATGAAAAAGCAAGTTTATATTTGATGATGATCATGAGATACCCCTAGAGCCATGTCCACACTCTGGCTGCCTGTGTTTTTAATATACCAATATATGGTTTATTTGGCTTGTAGTGTGTATGGGAAGTCAGGACAATTTCATGCAGAAAGCCTTATTTTTGGTTACTCTTGAAAATTTTGAAGAAGTAGCACTGCTTATCTGGAATTCCTGCATGCCAGTACTTGACTACAGGAGAGTATCTCAGTATCTGCTGCCCTCTGGGGAGTGGCCATTCTCTTATCGTTTTCCATAGTCCCTAATCTCTGTTGTTTACATCTGGCCAGTTTTTTCCCATTTTGTTTCCTCCAGGGGGTATTTCTCTTGCTCTGGAGTCATGTAAGAATGATCATGTTAAGGAAACTTTGTTTTCCATATTTTATTTATTATTTGAAAATTGTGGTTTATGTATGATAGCTCTTAATTGGCCAGAATATAATCAAATCCAATAAGTTAGTGCTAGATAAATAAACTTTATACCTAATGACTAATCCTAATTTGCATGATCTTTATGGTCTACCTTAAATTTTTAAAAAACTCTGTCAAGTTAATATTGGTCACCAACCACCAAATATCATTAATTTTATAGGAGATTATTTTTTGGTGGAAATCTTGAATGAAAATTCACTAGCTACCTGAAGTTTCCACTGAGTCAAAATTTTAGAGCTTTTCTTTCTTGCAGCAGTATTTCTTTTTAAATTTTCTTTCTTCTATGCAGAGTAACAGTATAATACCAATGTAAGTGATATTTTATCACAGGTGTTAGTAGTTTGCTTGTTTTTGTCTTTAATCTTGTTTTTGAGGTAGGTGGTGTGGAAGAGGATTAAAATACACGTTCATATAAGTACATAAAACTTAAAGGTAGAGTTTAACAAATAATTTTAAAGCAAAAAAAAAATTTTAAACCAGCTTTAAAAAAATCACATGCCCTTTCTGTCATAATTTCCTCTCTCCCCAGAAATAATACTATCTGCCTTTTAAAAGTCATTTTCCTGCTTCTCTTTATAGTGTTGCTAAACATGTGTACATCTATTGACTAATACGGTCAAGTTTTGCCGGTTTTGGATATTTGGATAAATGGAATCATACTTTATATATTCTTCTTAATCTTTTACTCAGTACCATTTGTGAGGGTCATCTAAATTGTGTTATGGTAGTTTTTTATTCTGTTTCTGTATAGGAAAATTTTCAGTGTATGAAAATTTCATTATTGATCAATTCTGTTAATGAACAGTTGGGTTGTTTCCAATTTTTGGTTATTAAAACAATACAACTATGAACATTTTTGTTCATGTACCCTGGTGCACGTTTTCATTGTTTTCAACCAGAGGTATACCTAGGAGTGGAATGGCTGGGTCATAGGGCATGACTGTTTCCAAGCTTACCAGCTACTGCCAAATTGCTTCCCAAAGTGGTTGTACCAGTTTACATTTCTACCAGCAAGAGAATGAGAATTTTGGAAGCCCCACATTGTTACCAATGCAAAAATATAATATCTGTAAGAAGCAAAAATGTTTCTCGGGCATATTTTCTTTTAAATGCAATAAGCAGTACACACAAACATATATTGCACTACAAGAAATGGTTGATGTATTTTGCTTAGGATTAATATTATAGAAAAGACAACAGTCTGTTTAGCTTTGGAGGTAGTTAAGTAGTTGCTGTTTTCAGCTGTTCTACACCTCTGCTCCCTCCCAGCCTTCATAATTGAGAAGGTAGCAATATCTTTCAAATAATGGGAAAACGTACTTGTTTTCTTTGTATGAGAACTTGTTGCTACTCCCTTTAAAGAAGATGGATTTCAACAGTATGACCTGAAATTGAACAGTTTACCAAGAGAGAAGAACCCTTAGCTAGATAATAGAGGATTCAGTAATCATTAATTTAGGAATATTTTGCAAGAGGTATTTAAATTTTAGTGTAAATTTGATTTTTATCTATGACAATTTTATTAGCCTTTGTGCCATTTCTTTGGGATAGGATTGTGCTATTTCTGTTCTGTATAATTTCTAGTAAAAGATGGTATACCTTTTTCCCTGGCAGAGACATTAAGCCCTGTAACAAATACACTAAAAGCGAATATGGAATGCCTAATGCAGTGTGACATATGTAATAGAGGATCTTATTTGAATTGAATAGAGCACAGTGAAGCTGAGAGATTTTTATTATATGTAACAGCCTGTTTCTAGGAAGAATTTCTTAGAAATTCTAGTTCTTCTATTATTTTGATACAGACTTATTTTCTTTGGCCTGCTTTTATTAGTAGACATCCCCAAATTTAGGAGGAAGTGCCTTTTTAGAATATCTGATACCAAAGGATTACCAGTTTGGCAGAACTATTTAGAGTTGCAAAGGATGCATACCATAGGGATATACCCCTGAAAGTTGTTTTTCATTGGTGTTTCCTTTAAGGAAGCTTTTTATGTAGAAAGAACAGCACTTTAGGCTTTGGCACAATGCTTTTTCTCTTTCTCTCAAACATTTGTGTTTTATGGGGCAATATAATAGTTTTCTGACAAACCAATGGATACTAATTTTATGTGTAATAATTTAAATTGTTCTTTCAGTATTCTTTAGTATATGTCAGTACCTCTTTACAGTTCTGTAAGAAACATAGCTTACAGTCTTTACAACTCTGCAGATGTATTTTTCCTTTATTATTCCTAATTATTTCATATATTTCTGTTGATACTAGTGTACAGGTTTATATTTTTTATGTATTTAGTTCAGTTGTGTTACTTCATTTTCTCATTGGTTGCTATTTCTACCTGTTTTTGCCATCATATGAAATGCACTGGATATATCTTTAAGTTCCTAATTTTTGAGGTGAGATTTTCTTTAGGGTATGTACTCTAAAGTGAAATAATTTTGGGGTGATGGTTTTGAAGCACTTGGTGACACATTGCTCTGTAATCCTGGGAAGATAGTAAAGTAACCCATTCACAGTATTTTATCTGTGTCCTGTTTCCTTAGATCCCTGCCAATAATGGGGCAAAGATTTTATTTTAACTTACTTTTGTTAGTTTAATTGATAAACATACAATGTATTTTAATATTTTTTATCAATAGTATTTTAAAAATTTACTATGATTTAATTGTCATGGGCAAATTTGGTATTTAATTTTTATCAGAATAAATCATAAAACTGGTCTAAGATAGATTTTATATAGTTAACTTCTTTGCTCTCTTTTTATTTTCACTTTATTTCACTGTACAGAATTTTTCCCGTGTTAAAAATGTGTATTCATATTGAGGTTTTTACTTTAGCAAAATATCAAAATAATTAATTCTAAAACATGGGAAATAATATAAATTCATAAGCTTTGTTGTAAGAAATTTTCTTATAAGAGCTCTTCATTTCTGATTATTAATTTTCTAAAGTAGATGTTTAAATAGCAATCCAACTTTTCTCCTTTGAAAAATTTCCTTGGTGAGATTTATATATGCTGTTACATTTCATGGTAAACTTTATGCCTTTATAAATGTAATAGTCACTCAAAATTGGAAACAAAATTTTCCCAAGAAAATCATAATCAAAGTTATTTAAAAAACAAGGATGAAACTAGATACAATTATTTTAAGTGTTAATCTTTGGTCATATGGTAGCATCATTTATGTGTCTTTTAACTCGTAAGCTTTTGGTTCTAGTTAGTTCTGTGTGAGTCCATTTGATTTCAGTATTGGGATCAGGTAGCTGATCCTGAAGATGTTTATATCTGTTTAGAGAGTTATAAGTGATTTGAAGGTTAGAGTACCAGGGACTAGATTTTCTTCAGACCTTTTGACTGAGTGAATTCCAGGCCATTTTCCTTTTTCCCTGAGCAGAGTTTTTAACTTTATGATAAAATTCAGAAGACCTATGAACTGAAAATAGAGAATATGTCTAATGATGAATTTTAGCATTTCTTTGCATTATGAATATAGACAACAATTGCCATTAGTTATTATTTTTAACGCACCACTGAAGAACATATATTACTATGTCAGGAATTTGTTTTTGTTTTTTTCTTTTTCTTTTCTTTTTTTTTTTATTGATCATTCTTGGGTGTTTCTCGCAGAGGGGGATTTGGCAGGGTCACAGGACAATAGTGGAGGGAAGGTCAGCAGATAAACAAGTGAACAAAGGTCTCTGGTTTTCCTAGGCAGAGGACCCTGCGGCCTTCCGCAGTGTTTGTGTCCCTGGGTACTTGAGATTAGGGAGTGGTGATGACTCTTAACGGGCATGCTGCCTTCAAGCATCTGTTTAACAAAGCACATCTTGCACCACCCTTAATCCATTCAACCCTGAGTGGACACAGCACATGTTTCAGAGAGCACAGGGTTGGGGGTAAGGTCACAGATCAACAGGATCCCAAGGCAGAAGAATTTTTCTTAGTACAGAACAAAATAAAAAGTCTCCCATGTCTACCTCTTTCTACACAGACATGGCAACCATCCGATTTCTCAATCTTTTCCCCACCTTTCCCCCCTTTCTATTCCACAAAACCGCCATTGTCATCGTGGCCCGTTCTCAATGAGCTGTTGAGTACACCTCCCAGACGGGGTGGTGGCCGGGCAGAGGGGCTCCTCACTTCCCAGTAGGGGCGGCCGGGCAGAGGCGCCCCTCACCTCGCAGACGGGGCGGCTGGCCGGGCGGGGGGCTGACCCCCCCACCTCCCTCCCGGATGGGGCGGCTGGCCGGGCAGAGGGGCTCCTCTCTTCCCAGTAGGGGCAGCCGGGCAGAGGTGCCCCTCACCTCCCGGATGGGGCGGCTGGCCGGGCGGGGGCTGACCCCCCAACATCCTTCCCGGACGGGGCGGCTGGCTGGGCAGAGGGGCTCCTCACTTCCCAGTAGGGGCGGCCGGGCAGAGGCGCCCCTCACCTCCCGGACGGGGCGGGTGGCCGGGCGGGGGGCTGACCCCCCAACCTCCCTCCCGGACAGGGCGGCTGGCCGGGCGGGGGGCTGACCCCCCCACCTCCTTCCCGGACGGGGCGGCTGGCCGGGCAGAGGGACTCCTCACTTCCCAGTAGGGGCGGCCGGGCAGAGGCGCCCCTCACCTCCCGGACGGGGCGGCTGGCCGGGGGGTGGGCTAACCCCCCCACCTCCCTTCCAGACGGGGCGGCTGTCCGGGCGGGGGGCTGACCCCCACCTCCCTCCCAGACGGGGTGGCTGCTGGGCGGAGACGCTCCTCACTTCCCAGACGGAGTGGCTGCCGGGCGGAGGGGCTCCTCACTTCTCAGACGGGGCGGTTGCCAGGCAGAGGGTCTCCTCACTTCTCAGACGGGGCGGCCGGGCAGAGACGCTCCTCACATCCCAGACGGGGTGGCAGGGCAGAGGTGCTCCCCACATCTCAGACGATGGGCGGCCTGGCAGAGACGCTCCTCACTTCCTAGATGGGATGGCGGCCGGGCAGAGACGCTCCTCACTTTCCAGACTGGGCAGCCAGGCAGAGAGGCTCCTCACATCCCAGACGATGGGCGGCCAGGCAGAGACGCTCCTCACTTCCCAGACGGGGTGGCGGCCGGGCAGAGGCTGCAATCTCGGCACTTTGCGGGGCCAAGGCAGGCAGCTGGGAGGTGGAGGTTGTAGCGAGCCGAGATCACGCCACTGCACTCCAGCCTGGGCACCATTGAGCACTGAGTGAACGAGACTCCGTCTGCCATCCCGGCACCTCGGGAGGCCGAGGCTGGCGGATCACTCGCGGTTAGGAGCTGGAGACCAGCCCGGCCAACACAGCGAAACCCCGTCTCCACCAAAAAAATACGAGAACCAGTCAGGCGTGGCGGCGCGCGCCTGCAATCGCAGGCACTCGGCAGGCTGAGGCAGGAGAATCAGGCAGGGAGGTTGCAGTGAGCCGAGATGGCAGCAGTACAGTCCAGCTTTGGCTCGGCATCAGGGGGAGACCGTGGAAAGAGAGGGAGAGGGAGACCGTGGGGAGAGGGAGAGGGAGAGGGAGAGGAGGGAGAGGGAGAGGAGGGAGCTAGGAATTTGTTTTAATATTTTTATACCTGTATTTCAATATAGATCATTTGTTGTCATAATCCTATGTATTTTATGTATTTAATAACACGATTCTGAGAAGTCTGTATTTTATGCTAGATTGGCAAAGGGTTTGTGTTCCTCTCAAATTTAAGAACTATTCCTTAAGGAGAATGACTTCTTTCATTTTAGCAGAGGACAGAACTGCCCATAATTCATGAAAGTTTGCAAAACCATCAGTGTTAAGTCTGCATTAGTGTATGAGAGGGAAGAGCTGGCTAGGATTGATTGGTAGACACTTCCACTAGGGGTCTGAGTAAAGTGGTTTCATATCCGTAATGGGCTGATGAGCAATTTATTGCCTGCAAAAAACGGAGAAAATGAAATTTTTGGTTACGTAAAAACATGCTGATTATTTTTCAGTTGTATAAATTTGTGATTATTGTATTATATTAGAAAATATAAATGAGAAAATAAATACCTGTAATGCTTTCTGTTAAGATTTTGGTATATCTCTTTACAGATCTTTAAAAATATTACATATACATGTTTTTAGATGTATGTGTGTGTATTATATGCATACGTAAACAAATAATGTATATAGAAATATTCCTACACATGTGTATGTATATGTATATTTAGATGTCCTTTTTAAAAATTTTTTTGTATTTAAAGAGATAGGGTTTTCCTCTGTCACTCAGGTTGTAGTACAGTGGTGTGATCATAGCTCACTGTAAGCCTTGAACTCCTGGGCCCAAGCAGTCCTTTTGCCTCAGCTTCCCAAGTAACTATTTCTACAGGTGGATGCCACCATGCCTAGCTAATGAAAAAAAAATTTTTTTTTATAAAATACAGTTGAAGTCTTGCTATGTTGCACAGGCTGGTCTGAAACTTCTGTTCTTAAGCAGTCTTCCTGTGTTGGCCTCCCAAAGTGCTGGGATTACAGGCATAAGCCACAGCATCTGGCCAGATATATGTTTTTAAAGACAAAAATGAGATTATGTCGTATAAGTAACTTGCCATTTTTGGAGTTTAGATTTATTGAGATGTAATTTAGTAAAATTCACCCTTTTTAGTGTATACGTCCATAAGTCTTGACAAGCAGAGACATTCAATTCTCACTATAAGCATGATACAGAACAGTTCTGTCACCCTCAAAAATCTCCTTGTTCCTCTTCTGTAGTCATCTCCTTCCTCTTTCAACCATTTATTTCTTTTCTGTTCCTTTTACAAAATGGTATCATACAGTTTGTAGTTTGAAGTATTGTTTCTTTCCTGTAGCATGTGTTTTCCTTTATGATTTTTGGTTTTGAGATCATGCTTCAAGAATCTTTTATCAAATTGATGAGAATATTCATGTATATATTTTTAAAGAATTCTGTTTTTTTCAATTTTAAAAATTTTAAGTGTTTGTTCAGTCTCGTGCTTATTTTAGTGTAAGTTGTGAGGTAGGAAATCCAATTAAAAATCAGATAGTTCAGCTGTATTTATTAAGATTGATTTACTAATATAATGTTCTTACTAAATATTGATTTCCTCACAGGTAACACAAGTGGCAAGACAGCCGGGAACCCCTACCCCATCCCCTTATTCAGCACATGAAATAAACAAGGGGCATCCAAATCTTGCGGCAACGCCCCCGGGACATGCATCGTCCCCTGGACTCTCTCAAGTAAGATAAACCTTTTTTAAAAAAATAAGAAATGTCCCTGTAAAGGCATCATTTTTGTTTTTCTAAAGAGACTCCTAAGCAGTAACATAAAACATTACTTGTATAGTAATTTCAAGTTTGTCTTTGGCATCTTTTCAGACTTAACCGTTCATAAAGATGGCTACTAACAAATTTCACACATTTCATTTTGAAGTCATTAAAAATTAACTGTTGGTGATATTTAGTTTTCATTTTCATTGTTTAAGAAGTTAGAGTTTTATTCTAAAGTTTACTGGAAAACCCCCCCACAAAGCACTGATTTGCTTTTCGATGCTTAATCTGCTACCGTCTCGCACCCCTTTCGGGTGAAGCATTAATGGTTATTTTCTACTTATGTGAAAACTTGGTGTCTTCCCCTCTTGAGTAGCATCAGTGGGATTTTTTGTTTGTTGGTTTGGTTGTTTTGTAAGTCGATTATTGTAATTTGATAGGCTTAAGTTTTTGTTGAACTGTTAGAAGAATTGTGAACTCCTTAGTGTATTTCTACTTAATAGTAACAACAGACGTTCAGACACTGTTTAAGGAGGATGTTCCTATGTGTTCCTTGCACTTAAGCTGTTTGCCAAGATATATTGTTTAGCTTGCACCGACCTACTGTTGCAAGCTTGTTTGGATTTCCTTGTGGTTAAAAGTTGGCTAGAGTTATAAAGTCCCTTACAGAATGTGGACTGAGTCAAGCCAATAACGTTGATCTAACTGTGTGAGATTATCAGTATTTACATGTAACAGCTACTCTTTTGATAATGAAAATCATTTTTATAACATTATTTGTGATTTTAGCCTCCATATTTTAGGCCTTTTAGAGATTGAATAATAGGAGAGATCAGGAATTACTAAAAATAATGCTAAAGGTGGTGATTATAAGTTAAGGGCTGATTTTATTTTTTATTCTTCATTATTTTTTAGGGACAATTTTTATTCCTTATTATTTTTTTAAAGACAGGGTCTTGCTCCGTGGCCAAGGCTGGGGTACAGTGGCATGATCATAGCTCACTGTAACCTCTAACTCCTGGGCTCAAGTGATCTTCTTGCCTCAGCTTCCCAGTTAGCTGAGACCACAGGCTCATGCCACCATGCCCGGCTAATTTTTTTCTTTTGGTTAAATTTTTTGTAGAGATGGGGTCTTGCTATGTTGCTCAGATTGGCCTTGATCTCCTGGCCATGTGCTGATTAATTATATTTTAGACTATAGAATGTTTGGAAAAGGAATGTACAGTTTGCCAAACCATGACTGAAATAGCCCTATTAATGAATATAAGTTTGTCAAGAACTTAGTGCTATACCTAAACTTAGTCTAAATCATTCCTATATAATTTGGAGTTTTAAACATTGAAAACAAAACAAAATGAGCTCCTGATTGTTTAAATGAGGTTCCTGTGTTGGGTTTCTTAGACTGAACACAACCTCTCAACTTACTATTAAGGTGTATTAATCTGAGTCTAATCAGGAGAGAAAAACTATGCACTCTCAAGAATATAAGATATAAAGAGCAAACGCTTACCTTAGGGCTGAGTAGAGGCTCAGATAGGGAGCCTTTCTCTGTAGGGTTGAGCCAAAGGCTGTGGTAGAAGAGCCACTGTGGTGCTGTTCAGAACTTGCTGAAACTCTTTGTTCTGGAACTTGCTGGAAATGTGCCCTATGAAGTATTGGGGAAAGCTTTCTTCTCCAGCACCAATCTCTTATAGCCAAGAGCTGATGCAGGGCACAATGGCTAAAAGGCTCCTTACTGCATATCTGTTTCCCACAGACAATTCAAAACATTAGATCCACTGGATCAGAAGTCCCAAGTGGTAGAGCAGCTTGCACTGCCCATCCCAAATTTGCTGTATAACCTTCGTATATTGTGTTCCCTACTCAAAATTGGAAACTTCCTAGGTGACTCTGTAGTCGGTTAAGGTGGCACATTCAGATGTAGTATATATGTTGCCTCTACATCCAAAAAAGGCCTACCAAACCTACGTCTTATTTTTTGTGGTAGTTTTAGGTGAGAGACTGCTACCCCTACCCTGGGCTAAGATCTTGACCTTGTTGGAGAGGGCACGGTGTGGCTTTCTGAATGGGAGTGGTGCCATTTCAGTGGAAGTTACTGAAAATCCACCCTCAGAACTTGTGAGAATTCTGCCCTCTAGGGTGCCGAGGGAAAGCTGTTCGCAGGGAGGTTTCTTAGAAAAGCCACTGTGCTGCGTGTCTTCCTGAGGGAATACCAGGGGTAGCTCTTGGCTGCTGGGTACTGTTGCTTGCTGTGCACTGAAGCAGAAATCTTGCTCTGATGAAGCTATGTCCATGAGGGGAGCTAGTCACTAGAGAAGCCATCTTTTGGAGAAGCTATCTGGGCTGCAGGAGCAACCAGGAACCAGGAACCAGGAACCAGGGAGCAAAACCCTTTCCTTCTACATATCTCTAGAGCCTTCTACTGACAAAACTTAATGTTGTGTCAGCTGAAATGTTAAAATATTTATAGAGCTCAGATCCATTTTCTTATTACAGGCAAACAGTGAATTTTGATATGAAAGACAAGCAGTTGATAACTGGCATGTAAGGGAAATAGCTTAGTTTTCCATTTGAAATTCTTACTGTTTCAAGTTGTGATTTGACCCAAGCAGTTGGCCCAAAGGACTTAAGTTTTCTGAAAGATAGGCTGCTCGCAAATGCATAGTTTGCATTTAAGAAAAGATGGTCTCCTAGCATCTCACTTGTTAAATCCTCAAGTGCTGTTCTATATGCCATTTTACCAGGTGCCTTTAGAAACCAGAGTACATGAATACCAGGGAGAATGGCCACCAAATATTGTGTTGCATTCTTTTGTGGTCTGTTTTGCCACCATTTTGCCTAATCTAATGAATGAACCCAGTAAATCACACCTGGTTCAATGCCCTTTTTTCCCCTCCATCCTTTCAGACAGAGGGAAGCCTCTATGGATTCATCTGTCTCCTAGCAATATGTTAACACTTGTTGATATGGTGAGGAAGTTTTTCTAAACTAGCATACCTGGAAAAATGAAGAGTTCCATGGGAAACTCAAGTTTTTTTTAGGTTTCACAGTTGAAACAGTTTGTAGGGGCAGATGCAAAGCTTCCCTTCTGCCCACTCTGAGGGTTTGCTGAAATGCTGATGATAGATTAATAGGAGAAAAAGGCATACAGATTTATCAATGTGCGTGGACACATGAGAGTCCTACACATATGAAACACGAAGAAGGGAGAGAAGGTTGAGGGCTTGAGTACCCTCTTCATAGGGAAGAGGGAAGCAGGGTGGGGAATGGGCTATCGGGAGTTTTAGAGGGGAAGTAAATGGTTTTTAGGTGAAATGAATGAGTCCAAATTACAATAGTCTTAGACAAAGTTCCTCTGAGCTCCTGGGAGGTGGCGGGAAGGTGAGGAATGAGACTTCAGTGTGAACAAAGGTTGTCTTATTATGAAGGTTAAATCTCCTAAGAGTTACCCCCAAAAGTAAAATGAAAAGTCTGTCTTGATGTGGTGATGGCTTTAGTCTCTTCTGTTTTCCATGATTAATCTTTTGTGATTATTTGATGAGCTTCCATGGGAGGGTGGTCTTAAGACAATTGTGTTTCTTTTGGAAAGACATTTTCTTAGTCATATCTCTGTGCCCCACCAAGTTCATGGATGGTAATGGAAAGAAGAGCGTTCAAAATAGAGGGGAAGGGATTATAGGCTTGAAGTCAAACCATAGGTTCTAGGGCTGGCTTTGTTACTTTCTGGTTATATGATATTGGATAAATTATTTAATATCTCTGGAACTTCGTTTCTTCATCTGTCATATAGGGGGAAATTAGAATTCTACTGCCCTGTAAGAGCGTTGTTATGATGGTTGTGTAAATTCCTGCCTCAGAACAGGATTTCCTAAATTTAGTAAGTGCATTTATTATTTGTATTCCTGCCAGACTTGGTTCTCCTCAAGATTTATATATATGTATGTGTGTGTGTGCATGTATCCTTGCCTGCTAATTCTTTTATTTGGCTACCTGTCGAGATTTAGTGTGAAACTTAGAAGCTATCTCCAAGAGTTTGAAATGTCTTCCATGTCTTTTCTGATGTTCGGATAAAAGTAGGATATTAGGCTTGGTTATTTTCTGTTGGCGGTAATTTGTTTTATTCTTCTATACAAAACAGATTCAGTCAACTGAGGATAAGATCAAAGAAACTATTTTTTAGCTACATGTCCTTTTTGATGTGACAGTCTCCCCTTCTTCTGTGAATTAAATCTTTTTGTCCAAAGTAACTACCTATGTCTGTGACTCAATGTTTGACCCTCAATCTACTAAGGTCTAAGTGAAAGAAGCTAAGCTGAAGAAAAGTGAACTTCATAACTTTGAAACGTGAAAGAGGGAAAATGAAGAATATTGTTTCCAATGTCCTCTGCAATCTCATTACCTGCTTCTTTGTTAAGACAGGATTTTACACATCCACAGGTGCTTCACCACACCTGTGTATGTGCCAAGTTTTAAGGCGTAATGTGCATTTCCCTTTTTTACATGAGCTGTAGTTCTTTCTAGCTTCGTCCTCTCTGGAGATTTTGTTTAATTAGTCAAAGACTTTAGACTATGACATTTCAGACAATGGTAAATTGGTGAGACAGAGTCTTTATAGGCATAGATTCTTTTCAGTTTCCCTGAAATGGCAACACTTTTGAACAATCTTGAAACCCAGCATGTCTGTTCTCTGGGAAGAGTAAATAGTTTGGAATTTAAAAGTACCTTTTGGTGGCAGATTGCAAAGTAAATCTCCCTGGGGAAGTGCACTCTAGGGAGTCAGGAGAAGAGACTCTCTAATTTAGAGTTCCAACCCTCCTACCACTGTTTTATAATTTAACCTATGGAAGTTCCTATTAATGCCCAGTTTTCTTCTTTGTGAATGAGCAGCTTTTGTTAGATGAGATCAGAATTTTCTTTAAGACTTCCGTGGGTTTTGGACACTAACTTGAAAGTAGCCAGTTGTTGTTATGGAAAATTATAAAACTATTTTAGATTTAAAATTACCCAAACTTTGCCTTGTTTCATTCTGTTTTTTTTTTTAAGAGAAGTTTGAATTATTTAAAATTACTTCTCAAGATAAGTAAAAACAAAAGAGACTCCTACTTATTGCTTAATTGGTGATGCACATTTGCTTTAACTTAGTTAATTTTCACGAAGTAGCAATTACAAAACAGACCAAACTGGCGCTGATTAACTAGGATCAAAATCTAGGTCTTTTTTCTCTTGGCATCATTGTCTAGACTTCCAGGCTTTTGGAGCTATATTCACAGTAATTAAGTGAGAAGACATGCTCAAAATGATGCCAAAGAAGTGAGGTAATAGGTGTTATCTGCCTGCTGTTTCTGGATTTCATTTGGCTCTCTGTTTTTTTCTGGGAGAGGAACTCCTTCTATAGCATATAATATATAGTAGCTGAGATGGTGATGGTATATGATCCACTGGTTAGATACTTTATTGTCTCTGGAAATACTAAGCAGAGTTCTTCACTGAGGAGTATTGCTTGATCGTGATGCTTATTGTTACACCACAATTTTCATCATTAGTAAAGGATGAGTTTCAAATGATGAATGGTCCCAACACCCATTTTTGCTTTATCCAGCTTCCGGGAATCTTGTTTTATTTACTAAGGAGAATTTCTCTGTGTTGTCTCATAATTGTTCATTGACTGACTGCTCCAGCCTTTGTAAGCTGTTTTTTTATTTATTTTTTATTTTTAGAGACAGGACCTCACTCTGTCACCCAGGCTGGAGTGCAGCAGTGTGATCATAGCTCACTGCAGCCTTGACCCCCTGGACTCAAGCAGTTCTTCAGGTAGCTGGGACTGTATGCGAGCTCCATGATGGCTGACTAATTTTTTAATTTTTTGCAGAGATGGGACTTGCTTTGTTGCCAAGGCAGGTTTTGTTTCTAAATCCTGGCCTCATACAGTCCTCCAGCCTCAGCCTCACAAAGTAGTGGGATTATAGGCTTGAGCCATGGTGCCCTTCTGAGACCCTGTCTCTACAAAAGATGTAAAAAATACTAGCTAGGTGTGATGGCACACACTTGTAGTCCCAGCTACTTGGGAGGCTGAGGTGAGAGGATCGCTTGAGACTGGGATGTTAAGGCTGCAGTGAGCTGGGATCACACCATTACACTCCAGCCTGGGTGGCAGAGTGAGACCCTGTCTCAAAGGAAAAAAAAAAACAAAAAAAAAAACGAATGAAGTTTAATAGTGATTTTTCCTTACTACATATGCTTTTTTTTCTTTTTGTTACCTTTTGTGAAGAATATAAATTCTGAGTTTGATGCACACTTGTTAACCATGATAAAGTAGAGGAAGCTGTGAAAATTTGCTTTAAGAAAACATCACATTTCATTGTTGAAATAGATGAGTATGGAATTTAATTTAAAAAAAGCAAAATGTATAGTTTTTACACTCCCCATGGCCCCCACTTTGAAACACATCATGTCCATCTAAGGCAGTATTTGAGCTTACCAGGATTCTTTAGCATATCACAAATATAAATATGAATATTTTATAGGCCTTTGTAACTTTTAATGACATTTGCAAAGTCATGTTATTTGTAAAGTGTTTAATGACAATATTTGTTGACACTTTTAAAAAAAAGTAGATTTTTAAGAACTTACACATATTATCAACTTAAAAAAACCAAATGGAGGATTTGTCACCAAGGGGACCAACTCAGTGCAGTCAGTACTGCAGGTGTCCAAACCCACACCAAGTCCCCATGTACCATGAATGCAGCTTCCAAAGAATCATGGTAGGCTTTTCTAATTGTTGAGATTTATTTTAATGTGATACTTGATTGGAAGAGTGTTCAGCTCTTTTGGTCATTTTTTGTTTTTATTTAAAAAATTAGTTGCAACCATATTTATAAAGCAACCTTGACCAAATGTTTTTCTAATAGGTGTTTCATCTCTCTCTCTCTCTCTTTCTTTCCATCCTTCCTTTTTTTTTTTTTGCGCCAAGGTTTCACTCTGTCACCCAAACTGGAGTGCAGTGTGTTTTCTGCTCACTGCAGTCTCCACCTCCCAGGCTCAAGCTATCCTCCTGCCTTAGCCTCCTGAGAGTAGCTGGGACTAACTGACTTTTTGTATTTCTTTGTAGAAACTGGGTTTCCTCATGTTGCTCAGGCTGGTCTCGAACTCCTGAGTTCAAGCAACCCACCTGCCTTGGCCTCACAGAGTGCTAGGATTACAGGTGTGAGCCACCGTGCCTGGCCTAGGTGTTTAATCTTTTATGCAGTCCTGTAACTTACCTTGAAATGTGCCTAAAGCAGCTTTTATATGTTTGATTATACTTCTCTTTGTATTGCCTGTAGCCGAAAAGAATTCCATTTATTTTCTTTTGACATTTCTGTGGTTAGTTTTTAAATGTTGCTGCAAGAGTGATGGTTAAGTACAATTATTTTTCAGACTTCTCACCCTAAGTTTTACATTCTGTTTGGCAAATTCACATGGCTGGAACCCACATTTTATCTAAGTATTAATTCAGCACTATTACAGCAAGCTAAAGAATTTTGTAAGAACCAAACTGATTGTGATTTTGTAAGCATTTCTTTACTTCTGTTTTATGTAGGCTCAGTCTTTTGTTGATGATGTTCATTTTCACTTAAATCCTGTCAAAGGCAAAAGGTTTAGGATTTTGTCTTTTACATTTGAACAGCTGTTTCTTTTGGATGCATCCTGGGAGACTCTTGTTTATTTCTCTGGCTACCTCTCATCTGTTTTAAGAAGTCATGAAAAACTCTGTCAGCGTTTTTCTTGCCAGTTTACCTCTTGGGAATATCACACTTCATTTATTTCCCACAGATTTGGGGGAAAAACTCACTTTAGTGCCACTAATTTATTTTTTATCTGGTTGTGACATTCAGATTTTTAGATTTTTATGGTTCTGAAAATTGCTAATTCAGTTCAGCTGCAGAGATTAGCATGTGTCAGTAAATTTTAGGATGAGAAACAGAACAGGTAAGTTTTAAGAATAATGAAGAAATTGTGCAGTTTGACTCTTCAATTTAAAGTGCTTGTGATAGTTCCTGCAAAAATGTATATGTGATTCAGAGCGTGTTGTGGGGGAAGTGAGCAGACAGAACTCTGAGGGAAAGCTCAGCAGAGAGGTTAAGTACCATAGTAGACATGTATAATATTGTCTTGAGTTTAGTCAGGCAAATGGGTATATATGTCTTTTCAGATTTATTGTAGTGGACGGGAGCATGCTGATTGCTGGGAGAGAAATGAGAAGACAAGCTTGATTCAGGACTGTTTTTATAAGGGATCAAATGAAAAAATTTACTTAAAAGTCACAAACTATAAAATGTAGTGTACAAAGGCTAGCTATCTTTATAGAACTAAGAACTGTGAATTTCAGTGACTCAGCAATCAATAAAAAGTCAATAACACACACATCTTGTAGATGATGGTCATTTTAAATTTTCTCAATGAATAGTAAAGAGAGATTAACTTAGTTATATTTAAAGCAAATAGAATCAATTAAGTATAAAGAATGAATATTATAAATTGATATATAGAACGACTATTAGAAAATAAAAATGTTGGGCTGGGTGAGGTGGCTCTTGCTTATAATCCCAGCACTTTGGGAGGCTGAGGTGGGCAGTTCACTTGCGCTCAGGAGTTTCAGACCAGTCTGGGCAATGTGGGGAAACCCCATCTCTACAAAAATTAGCCGGGTATGGCGGCGTGGGCCTCTCGTCTCACCTGATTGGGAGGCTAAAGTGGGAGCATCCCCTGAGTCCAGAAGGTCAAGGCTGCAGTGAGCCATGCTTGTGCCACTGCACTCCAGCTTTGGCGGCAGAGTGAGACCCTGTCTCCAAAAAAAAAAAAAAGAAAAGAAAAGAAATTTGTTATAATTTACTCACTAAACCAACAAACTTTTTTTCTCAGTGCATACATTTATTTACGTTTTTTTCCCTCTAATGTCTAGTCATGCTTATAATGTAACACGAAGGGCTAAGTCTGATTTCCAAGCTTTTCATCAGTTGATGGACCCTTTTCTCTGTGAAGAATGATGAACTCTCAAGCTATCTAAATTCTGTCTCCCTTGTGTGTGTGTTCTCTGTAAAGTAGTTTGTTTCATAGAAAACCCCTAAGTAGGTGACATATTGCAGAAACCATGTTGCCAACATTTTGTTATACTTTTCATGTAAAACATATTTCCATTTCTCTTCACTGCCAGTGTTTCTCCAGTTTCAAGTACTACACTATATTATTCAAAATTCTGTTTATTACTCCACATCTTACTACTCTTAATCACCATGAAAATTGCCCATCTTCTTTTATAGTTCAGTTTCAAATTTTCACATGCCTGTTTAGTGCAGTTGTCATAGTCTTAGTAAGAAATAAATTACACTAAACTATTTCAAATGGAGAGGATTTTTAATACATGAATTTGTTATACTGGCTGAATGATTAATAAGGGGGATGCTGAGGCTGGGCATTGTGGTTCACACCTGTAATCCTAGCACTTTGGGAGCCTGAGGTGGAAGGATAGCTTGAGCCCAAGAGTTCGAGATGAGCCTGGGCAACATAGTGAGACTTGGTCTCTACAAAAAATAAAAATAAAAAGGAGGATGCGGAGGTAATCTAGAGATTAATAACTGCAGAAAGCAGCTGACATCCCTGAGAGAAAGTCAGGAAAGGGGAAATACAAAGTAAATGTGATAAGACATCTGGACTGTGAAACATATTCATAACTGTTAAAATTAAAATGTAGTCGAATTAAATTTAAAGGAGTTTAATTGAGCAGTGAATGACTGGTGCAGGCATCCCCCAGAATCACGGCAAATTCATAGAGACTCTAGGGGTACCTTCTGATCAGAACAAATTTATAGACCAAAAAAAGGGAAAGTGTTAAAAAAAAAAATCAGAAGTGAGGTACAGAAACACCTGAATTGGTTACAGGGTGACGTTTGCCTTGTTTGAACACTCAGCAGTCTATGATTGGTTGAAGTATGGCTGCTGGGATTGGCCAAGACTCAGCTGTTTTTACAGCTGCATACTCTTTAGGTTTTCAGTCTTGTCTGCCTTTTAAGCTGAGTTAGGGTTCATCCACAGGGACTCAGATTTAAAAGTACGGAGTCCTTCTCAGACCATATTTAGTTCGCTTTAACAGAACTGTAATAACAACACAGTTAAATTATCTCAATTCATTGGTCAAATCTCAACTCAAATTGGTCAAAAACCAAAATCTAGGAATATGCATTTAAACTTGACACAGAAAGATTAAAAACATTCCTCTAGACTGCCTTCCCACCCCTTCAGATACCAGCCATACGTCCCGGCCTCTGGAACTTTTGACTGACTGGCTTCAATTTGGGGATCTCATGATCCCCTCTTTGGGTTTGATAAATTTGCTGGAGCAGCTTACAGATCTCAGGAAAACATGTTTACTTGTTTATTATAAAGGATATCACAAAGGATACAGTTGAAGAGATGCCTATGGTAAGGTATGGGGGAAGGGGCACAGAGCTTCTCTGCCCTTCCTTGGTGCACCACCCTCCAGCAACTTCCATGTGTTTGGTTACGTAGAAGCTCACTTAACCGTGTCCTAGGTTTTTTGGAGACTTCATTATGTGCATGATTGGTTAAACTGTTGGCCACTGGTGATCAACTTGACCTTTAGCCCCTCTCCTTCCCCTGAGGTTGGGGGTCCGACTGAAAGTCCCAACCCTCTAATCATGCCCTTGTGATGATCAACTCTAGCTGTCAGTCAACATTAGCATACAAAAAGACAGACGTTGGCGATTCTAAGGTTTTTAGAAGTTGTGTGACAGGAATCAGGATGAAGACCAAATATGTATTTCATAATATCACTGTGGTGGTGTCAGAAACTTTACATGCTGAGGTGTGAGCAGAGAGAGTGTATCTATAAAATGTTTGCATGTCACTAACGATTATTGATTTAGAACATCTTTTAAAGTGCTTATTGGCCATTTGTCTATTTTTGGAGAAATGTCTATTCAAAGCCCTTTGCCCATTTTTTAATTGGGTTGCTTCTTTCGTTGTTGTTGAGTTGTAGGAGTTCTTTATATGTTCTGGATATCAATTCCTTATCAGTTATGTGATTTATATATATTTTATCCTATCCTGTCAGGTGCCTTTTCACTTTGTTGATAGTGTTCTTTACAGAAAGTTTTTAATTTTTGGATTTTTTTGAGACAGGTCTCATTCTGTACACCAGTCTGGAGTTCAGGGTGTTGGAAATAACTCACTGTAGCTTCCGTCTCTGGGATACAAGGGATCCCCCCAGCTTATCCTCCCAAGTAGCTGGGACGACAGGCATGTGCCACCATGCCTCGCTCACAAGTTTTTAATTTTGATAAAGTCTAATTTATCTTTTGTTGTCTGTGCTTTTGGTGTCATATCTAAGAAAACATTGCCAAATTTGATGTTCTGAAAGTTTCCCCCTATGTTCCTTTGTTGGAATTGTATACTTTTAGCTCTTACATTTAGATCTATGATTCATTTTAAAAATTTTGTTTTTCTGTGTTCTCTCACAGAATGGAACTATGATTCATTTGATTTAATTTTTATGTATGGTTTAAGATAAAGGCCTGGCTTCGTTTTTTTGGCATGTGGCTATCCAGTTTTTCTAGCACCATTGGTTGAAAAGACTGTCCTTTACCCGTTGAATAGTCTTGGCACCTTTGTCAAAAATCATTTGACCACGTATGTGAAGGTTTATTTCCGGGCTCTTTTCTTTTCATTGCTCTGTATGTCTGTCTGTATGCCAGTACCATACTGACTTGATTCTTGTAGCTTTGTAGTAAGTTTTGAAATCCAGGTTTGAGACGTTTAGGTTTGTCCTCCTTTTTCGAGATTGTTTTGGCTATTGGGGGACCCTTGAGATTCCATATGAATTTTAGAATGGGCTTTTCTATTTTCCCAAAATTTGTTTTTGGGATTTTTATAGGATTCTGTGTATTTAAAAAAAAATATGTTTCATAATGGACACAACATTCTTTTTCTAAGTAGGTGAAGAAAGCATCATTGCTTGAGAGTGGAATTAAGATGTAGTATTCACCTTAATAAAGAACTTATACATAACTTTTATAGACACTCCCAAGAACTGGGAATGTTCTAGTTAATGATTCCCTTCGTAGGTACTTAAAAATCTAATTTGAAGTCCTAGTTCTAAGAGAAACAGAGAGAGAGAAGAAAGAAAGAAATTAGTGGAGTAGGAGGTGGTCTGAATTAGGGGTATATCAGGACCTAGAGTGAAGATTATGTCTAGTGGTCTCGTGTGACAAATGAATGAGAACTCTGGCTAGGGATGTTTTAGCTGAGATGTAGAAGAAGAAACTGACAGGAAACCAGAGACTATGTAAAGGTGGGAGAAATGAGGGGAAGAAATTAGTAGAGATAATCGTGGTGGCTATCAGTAGTAGGTCCAGAGAGGGTCCTAAATAGCAGCCATTGAAGTAGGAAGTGGAGAGCCAGCATTGCAGACATTGTAGAATACTTTTGTTGGGAATTCAGTGAACCAACAGCATCTCTTTATCAGTACACTGGTGCTTTTAGCCCACAGTCTTGGGGGAACTGGTCCTGGGATTGGAGAGAAAACTGAGTTGTCATGCTGTATAAGTAAAAGCTAAGCTTTGAATAGTATAGTTGCTTTTGAGAGAACACAAGTAGCCTGTGATCAAGCTATCCTATTATGTGAGTCTATTATTGTCTTCTGAGGGGCAGAAAGCCATAGCATTTCAATGTTGAACTAATTATAAAGAGTACAAAAATGGTGATGATTTCAGTAGTGTTTCCCTGCTCCATATAGTATCACTGCTCAGAAGTGAGAAAGAGTTTGATCAGTGGTTTTCATTTCTGCCTTCCCACTTAGAATCACCTGATGCCTGGGTCCCCTTCTCCAGAGATTCTCATTTAATTGCTTGGGATGAGCCTAGGTAATGCTAATGTGCACCCAGCATTGAGACAAAGCTGTGGAACAGTGCCTTTTCCCTCCTCTAATCCCACAGCCGATTAGGAACAGTGCCTTTTGATACATATTGCCCAAATGATACTTTATAGGCTTTGTTTGCTGAGGATGGTTTTCACTGAAAGGAGCAAGATGCCCCCATTTTCAGATCTTATACAAGCAAAGTGAATTGGGCTAGTCTTAATTTAGGGAAAGTAGCTCTGGTGATTGAGAAGACATTTCTGTTCAGTAGCTAAAACAGACTGTTACAGCTTTTTTACAGATAATATGCTTTGCATCGTGGTCTGTACTCAGAAGGTTTTTACGGTATTGATTTTATATGCCAATTTATTTTGGTGATAGAACCAAATTATACCCTGCCAGGTACTATGTAATTGACTCTTCTGATTCACCCAGAATAAGAGTGGGTGTTTTTTGCTTCCATACAATCAGATACGCCTAGATTTAAAGTTATACTATAGTGTTTTCAAACTGTTAAAAGCAGCCAAACTGCTTCCCCCCATATGACGAGCAGTGCCTGATCCATAGTAAGCCCCTAAATAGTTGAATGAAAACTAGCTGTAAATGAAATTTTCCAGAAGTGTCACTTTTTGGCTGTTTGCAGTGTGGATGCTTTATTTGGCGCAATAGCTTTTTTTTTTTTTTTTCCTTTTTCTGACTGGTACTGTTAATTTTGTACAGTTCAGTAAAAGTTTACCAGTACAAGCTTAACTTAAAAAGAGCCAAATACTCTAAGCCACCCTTAGAGACCTTATTCTGTGAGGGTCTGGGAATCTTAATATTCCAGCTGTTCTGTCATTGTGAATCAAATAATTAAGACTTAATTGCTAAGCTGGAAAAGTCTTTTTTAGGATGCCATGACAGAGATTTAGGTCTTTTAAACCAGTTCAGTACTATACTGAATAGAGAATTTCTTACTTTTTCTGAGTAGGTGATCTCATTGTTTAGTATGAATATTTCTAGAATGTAACTCATAAATAAGCTTTTATTTTATTATTTTTTTAGAGGTGGAGTCTCACTCTGTCTCTAGGTTGGAGTGCAGTGGCACGATCTTGGCTCATTGCAACCTCTACCTCCTGGGCTCAAACCATCCTCCCACCTCAGCCTCTCAAGTAGCTAAGACTATAGGTGCATGCCACCACACCTGGCTAATTTTTGTATTTTTTTGTAGAGACGGGGTTTTGCCATGTTGCCCAGGCTGGCCTTGACCTCCTGAGCTCAAGCAATCCACCTGCCTCAGCCTCCCAAAGTGTTGGGATTACAGGTGTGAGCCACTGCGCCCAGCCCACAAATAAGCATTTATATAGAGACATGGTATGGTGGCTAGGTATAAAGAAATACCATCTCTGTGTAACTGATTTTAAATATTAAGGTGTTTAAAGAAAGGTAATGAGAGATGATGATTCATGCTCTTTTTTTTGTACTAACATTACGGGATCTTTGGGGTGTCACTTTTCTGGCCAGAAACCTCTGTGGCCTGTGGCACCTTTGCCTGAGTTCTTGTCCTGCGTCCAGGAAGATTGAGGTATGCAGACAAGTGTAGAGTGTACAAGATGAAGAGGAGCTTTACTGAGTGTCAGAGCAGCTCAGAGGAGACCTGCAGTGGGCAGTTCCTCTCTGTAGGCAGGTCATCTTGTTGAGTGTTCGACTCTCGGCAGAGAGGAGGCCCTAGAGTGGGTGGCTCCTCTCGTCAGCCAGGTTGTCCCATTGTCTCTGCAGCTCTCAGCAGAGAGGAGGCCTGCAGTGGGTGGCTCCTCTCTGCCTTTGGTCGTCCTGATGTCTGTTGCTCTCAGCCAGAGAGGAGGCCCTGGAGCAGGTGGCTTCTCTCTGTAGGCAGGTCATTCCAGTGTTTGCAGCTCTCAGCAGAGAGGAGGCCCTAGAGAGGGTAGCTCCTCTCTACAGCTGGTCATCCTGATGTCTCTCCTTCCTCTGCCCTGCTCTGGTTGAGCCTGAGGCTTTTATGGGCCTTACAGGGGAGGTGGTGCATGCCAGTTGGTCCGTGGGCAGCCCAGAAAAGGCACCACAAGTCCCCACTCTGGTCCATGGGATGGGTAGCCCACCCCTAGCCTTCAGAACCTCCCTGGCAAAAGGTGGGGCCTCACTGAGGACTCGCCCCTTCTGGCACAGGAGCCCATTTGCCTCCCACCACTGCCTATGGCCCCCAGGTTACTTGTGCCAAGGGATGCCCACAGGCTATCGCTGAACTGCCCCCCTGCCCTATCTTGGCCACTCTCCTGTGGTCTTTGGCACCCAAAGTTTGGAGGGGCCAAGCTGGAAGGGACCCAGCGGGTCAGTGCTGCCCTGAGCCTATGCATACCTGGCTGGGCTGCAACAGTGCCCGGGCTTGGCCCCAACCCCAATTGGAGACCAGAGCAGATGCTGGGAGTGGGGAGAGGCCAGGCAGCAGGAGCAGACACCCCTGAGCCTGTGGTGACAGGGGCTCTCCCAGGCCCCTGAGAGCATTGAGAGGCCTGGGCCCACAGCCATGACCTGAGTGGCTGGAGCTGTGCCTGGGGAGCTCCTGCCCTGCCAACTCAGGAGGGGTGGGACTCCTGCCTGTCCCCGGCTGCAGAGTACACAGCCTTAGCTGTGCTCCTTCTCTGTGTCTTCCCATAGCCACGGCAGGTAAGGTGCAGGTGGCATGGTGGCCCTGGCCAGCCCTGCACAAATGAACCTTTGGCTCCCAGGACACGGCCAGAAGTGAGGTTGAGGCTGCAGTGGCCTCAGGCCTGGGAGTGGGTCCTACCCAGCTGTGCCAGGGTGGGGGTGGCACAGTTGGCTTCCTTGGGGACATGGGCACAGGGGTCCTACTGCTGCTCCTACAGCCACTCCTGCTGCCCTGTCCCGCCTCCTTGCCACCTGGGGTGGGGCTCCAGGCCCTCACCGGGCCTGGACTGGCATCCAGGGCAGGGGTGATGTCGTTGCAGGGTCCCCCTGCAGCCCCAGGGCTCCCCCTTGCCTGGCTTACGACCCTGCCAGGGTGGCGCCTCTGGGAGCAGATTCTGGGCCCAGGCCCAGCCACCAGGAGTGCCAGGCTCAGCAGACACCCTGACATGGGGCAGATCCTGGGGACACGATCTCCGGTGGTGCCAATCTGAGCCTACTGCCGAAGTACGGGAACCTGGTACCATCCCAGGGCCACAGGCCCCATGTACCATTCGCCTTGGTGTCTATACCTGAGCACCTGTGGCCTGCGGCCGCACCCCACCTCTGCCAGTGCCATGTCAGCAGCCACTTTGTATGGTCCATCACTGCAATCACTAAGATAGTATTTCAGTTTACAGAGTATTATGTGAAATTGGTTTACTTGGCAAAATTGTCTCATACTATAATTCTGTTTTATAGTGATAAATATTTTTAGAGTTTGGTTGATAGAATGGCATCACAAATACAGCTGTTGAATGGGTGATGAATAATATTAAAGTGTACTTCAATTTGTGTAGAGTACTGCTCATTAAATATCTGTTTTTGAAGTAACAGAGTAAGAATAATTGGATGGTCGTAATGTAGAATAAAACACATACTGTGACTTAAATGAATGTTTTGAGTTGCTTAAAACATTCATTAAAAAATTTCCAAAAGTTACAATTAAGTAAGAGCAATATTTGTGGTAGATAACATTTAAAATACAGCCTTTTTTATTTTCAAGTACTAATGTCCCTGGTGTTGAAAAGAGATCCCATTCAGAAATAAATAATCTCTCTACTGGAGCTCTTCTTGAAGAGTCCTCAAGTACAGCCCAACAATTGAACTGTGATAAATTCCCAGAAAAAAATTTTCTTTGTTACTTTCAGACAGTCTCCCTCTGTCATCCAGGCTGGAGTGTGTTGTCATAATCATAGTTCTTGAACTCCTGGGCTCAAGGGATCCTCCCATCTCAGCCACCCTCACCTCAGCCTCCCAAGTAGTTAGTACTACAGGCACATACCAGCACACCCAGCTAATTTGTAAAATTTTTTTTTATAGAGGCAGGGTCTCACTGTATTGCCCAGGCTGGTCTTGAACTCACCTTAGTCTATCCTCCCTCCTTGGCCTCCTGAAGCGCTGGGATTACAGGCATAAGCTATCACGCGTGGCCTTTTTATTCTTATTGATCTAACTAGAAAGATTGATCATACAGTATTCCCGATGTTCTCTTCATCACCACCTTCAAACTATAAACTGTGGAAAAGAATTTTCAGTTTGCTATAGTATAAAGGCTGCATTACATAAAGTGAAGTATGTTTTCAAAACAGAGACCTGGCTGTGAATCACAGTTCTATCACTTACTAATTGTGAGATCTTTCATAAATTGAACCTTATTCCACGTGGAAGTCCTGCCATTTGTTCAATAGAAATAACAGTGCCTGCATCATAGGATGCTAAATAAATGTTCCTTGCCTGTCTTTTGTTGCAGTAGCTTTGGCGTATTTAACTTTTTTTTTTTTAAGTTCAGAATTCTAGAGAATGAATTCTTTATCTGCTCTGCTGTTAGGTTTCAATATCATGTTTCTGGAACTTTTTCTTAACTCTTTCATATCAGTTTATGATACTTTAATCATCATTACTGAAAACCAGATGTTACTAATAGGTATTTATATCATGAAATATTATTTCCTAATATTGTTAAAAGATTTCATTAGTTTGACTCTTACCGTATTTATTATGTGTGATTTATTTTTCCTGCATTGTTGTTTAAAAAATAAAAACAACAAAAACTTACACATCAGGTAAAACTGATATATAGAGTAGTTTAGAAATCCCAGGATAACCACTCAGAAAGTCATGGTGATTACCTTGATGTCATCTAGAAACATAGTGAGGTTACTGTGTAAAGTTTTCCAGAAATCATTCAGCAGTGTTAGCTGTTAAGCAAATATTAGAGCACATGAAAAGGAAAAATTCTGACTTAGTAGGCATATCTGTTACTAGTTTCTTTGAGAAGCAGTCCGTCATTGTATTATGATGGATTTGGGAAAGAGTTCAAGTGCTAAAATAGTTCATAAGGAAAAGAATTCATTTCTGGTTTATGTATGCCAGCTTTTATTTTGTGAGGTGGATTATGGCCTCTTGATCGTTATTCTGTACCATATTTTCACTCCCTTTTTTCACTCCGTTTTTTTTAAAAGCTATTTTTGTTCATAAACTCTGTAGAATTGTAGGCAGAAGAAATTACACATGACATCTGATCCATTGGTATTGCTTTTTGTTAGTAACTCTTCATAAATAGAATTCAAGATGAAAACATTTGAAGAACATAACCTGAAATAATGGTTTGGCCTTTCTGAAAAGTCTGGTTTTGCCCAGTCTTATTGTAAATCAGTATAAGACTTTTTTTTTTTAATGGCTGAAACATTTTTTCCTAACTAAATCAAATAAAACAATAATTTTTCATCTTCAAGGTAGATATGAGGAAGAAGATGAAGAGAGGATGCACTATCTATTAATATTTGGCTAGATTAATTGTATTTGTTTACATTGAAGTTTGATTCACATTTATCCCAAGTCATCCATTAGAACCATGCTGAGGATTAGATAGACTTTGAATTGTAATGTACATTTTTTAATTTATTAGATGAGCAGTGTCATGAGGAATGAATAGTTCTGCCAAAGATAACTAATAATTACTATTTTTCACCTTTCATGCCTATCCTTTTGCTGGATTTTATGAGGATAAAAAATTATAAGCAATCGGCTTGTCTGCAGGGAAACATCTGTGCTATAATTTCCAGCGTTAATGGATATAGTAGAAAAGTTGGAAATGATTTAAAAAGATGAAGTCCATGGAGGTTTATTTTGGTAAATAGGATTTATGTGTTTTGATTTCTCTTTAAACCTGTTTTTAAAGCTATTTTATTGAATACGTTTTCTTCCTCTCCACCTGAAGCAACAAATAGCAAGATTCTTTTAGAGGTCCATTCTTAATACAACTATTTGGATGCCTGGTATTTGTAGAGTACATACTGTATGTTAGATGTAAATTGATTTATTTGGGAAAGACCACCACACAAAGTTATTATTTTCCTTATGAACTGCCACTTGTATATTTAAGTCATTTGTTTCTCTGAGAAGAATATTCTAAAGTTTATGTGACTTTGTATTCTAAATTTCAGAAGAATTAGGAGCTTAGTCCTAGAATCAAGAAATTCTGCTTCTGCTATTTATTAGTTATCTGGATATACTTTTTATTTTATAGGGGTGAGATTGCTTGTAGAATCTCTCTCTGCTAACATCCTGTTACTGGACTTTTTGGCAAGTCCTTTTTGTTGTCATATTTTTTCCTTACACACTTTCTTTGAACTCTTCCTCCATCTCCTTACTCTGTGGAAATTTATGTAACACTACTTTCCTTAGAAATCCTTCCACTTCAACATTGTTAGTGTTCTTATATTCTTTATATCTTGGAAGGCAACTCAGCAACCTCCTGGCCCTTCACCGCTTTCTGTAGGTTGTTTGCCTGCAACCCTTGTGCCGAAAATGCATAAACAGCTCTCTCTCCCTCTTTTTTTTTTTTTTTTTTGCCATCATTCCTCATTTTTCTGGACCCATTTTCTCATTGTTTGAGAATTTTAGTGTCTGGCTCATAATTTACTTTTCTGTTTTGCTTTCTGCCATCCACAAAGATGACTTGTGACATTCATTGTTGTGCTGTCCAACCATTGCCTGTGGGCTCCTGGATCTACCCTGTTTGTTGTTGTTGTTGTTGTTGTGTTTTTTTTTTGAGACAGTCTCACTCTGCTGCACAGGCTGGAGTGCAGTGGTGTGATCTTGGCTCACTGCGGCCCACACCTCCTGGGTTCAAGTGATTCTCCTGCCTCAGCCACCCAAATAGCTGGGATTACAGGCATGTGCCACGCTGCCTGGCTAATTTTTGTATTTTTAGTAGGGGTGGAGTTTCACCATGTTGGCCAGGCTGATCTTGAACTCCTGACCTCAAGTGATCCACCCACTTCAGCCTCCCAAATTGCTGGGATTACAGGCATGAGCCACCACACCCGGCTGATCCTTTTTTCTTCCCATTCTTTGCCTCCCAATAGCAACTGTATATAGACACATATTCAGCAATCTATATGGACACAGTCTAGATCTGCACTGTCC
Source organism: Homo sapiens (assembly GCF_000001405.40). NCBI lineage: Eukaryota > Metazoa > Chordata > Mammalia > Primates > Hominidae > Homo > Homo sapiens. The sequence continues at coordinate 21,030,806 of NC_000001.11, read as the reverse complement.
AATGTGGTCGCTATTAGAGCCACTGTGGCTTTTGAGCACTTGAAACATAGTTTCTGCAAATTGAGATGTTTTGTAAGTGTAAAACACAAAATTAATTTCACCAGTTTTAAGTTTTTCTAATCTGGTGACCTAGAAAATTTTAAATTACTTACTTGTGTGGTTTGTATTGTATTTTTTATATTTTTGTTACGAGCACTGGCCTGGACCTGGTCTCTACTGATGTATTAGTCCATTTTCAGGGTGCTGGTAAAGATATACTTGACACTGGGCAATTTACAAAAGAAAGAGGTTTGTTGGACTTGGGCTCCACATGGCTGGGGAGGCCTCACAATCATGGCAGAAGGCAAGGGAGAGCAAGTCACATCTTACATGGATGGCAGCAGGCAAAAAGGGAGCTTGTGTAGGGCAACTCCCATTTCTAAAACCATCAGATCACGTGACACCCATTCACTATCAAGAGAACAGCACAGGAAAAGACCTGCCTCCATAATTCAGTCATCTCTCACTGGGTTCCCCCCATAACACATGGGAATTATGGGAGCTTACAAGATGAGATTTGGGTGGAGACACAGAGCCAAACCATATCAGCTGAGAACTGCTCTGCCTTTGAATTCTTGAAGTCTAAAATTTCTCCAACCAGCCCAGTGGCTCATACCTGTAATTCCAGCACTTTGGGAGGTTGAGGCAGGATGATCACTTGAAGCGAGGAGTTTGAGGCCATCCTGGGCCTCAAACATCTGGTCCAGCAAAGCAAGACCCTGTCTCCACAAAAAATTTTTAAAAATTAGTTGGGCATGGTGTTTTACACCTGTAGTCTCAGCTACTTGGGAGGCTGAGGTAGGAGGATCCCCTGAGCCCAGGAGTTCATGGCTCACTGCAGCATGATTGTGCCACTGTGCTCCAGCCTGGCAACAAAGTGAGACCCTGTCTCAAGAATAAAAAATAAAATAATAAATAAATAACATTTTTCTGACCATAGTCTTTGTTCCTTTTTCCTATCCCATGCCAGTCCTGTTATACCTATTTCACAGCCTACAACCTTTTAATTCTTTAATCCATTTCTTTTCTCAAGATGGCAGCCCCTTTCTGCCTTCACTTTCTCTTATTTACCCTTGATCCTATCACTAACTACTATAACTTTATTTTTATAAAACCACTAGTTCTCTTTGTTTTAAAAAAATCAAACTAATGGTTTATTTTGTAGTGATGAGGTCTTGCTATGTTGTGCAGGCTTGTCTCAAACTCCTGGCTTCAAGTGATCCTTCTGCCTTGGCCTCCCAAAGTGTTAGGATTACAGGCGTGAGCCACTGCACCTGGCCCACTAGTTCCCTTCCCCCCCCCGACTCAATTTCTCTTTCTTCCCAGTTCTCGTCCCTGAATCTAACTCAGCAGGTCTTTTCCTCTGTTCTTGCTCCCAGGATGGATGGCTCTGCTTTGGAAATTCCATTACCTGTGTTCGTGGAGTCTAATTAAAACTTTATGATTGGGGCCAGGCATGGTGGCTCATGCCTGTAATTCCAGCACTTTGGGAGGCTGAGGCAGGCGGATCACGTGAGGCCAGGAGTTCAAGACCAGCCTAGCCAAAGTGGTGAAACCTTGTCTCTACTAAAAAATATAAAACATTAGCTGGGTGTGGTTGTGTGCACCTGTGGTTTCAGCTACTCGGGAGGCTGAGGCATGAGAATCGCTTGGACCTAGGGGGTGGAGGTTGCAGTGAGCCGGGATCACGCCACTGTACCCCAGAGCGAGACTTTGTTTGGGCCAGGCGCATTGGCTCAAGCCAGTAATTCCAGCACTTTGGGAAGCTGAGGCTGGAGATTCACTTGCGGCATCCAGGAGTGAGAGGTTACGATGAGCTGTGATCATGAACTCCCGCTTGGGCAACAGCAAGACTGTATCTCAAACAAAAAATTAATGATTTATTAATACAGCTGGTCTAAACTCTATTTAGGTATAATATAGCTACAACTTAGCTGCTTGATAATCTTTTTAGTAATCACTAATTGACTTTCAGTCATATCCTGAACTGTGCTTACTTCAGTACTAGGTTGGTCACCAACAGCTCGACAGGCCATACACTGTATATAGCTTGTGAAGTTATGTATCATGAGTAGCTCTGCTTCACCTTGTCTAATTCTGCTGCTTACTGTTTGTTGAAACACCTGTGTTTTACAATTTATTATGACATGTTTAAGCTTATAAAAGTATATTGTAACGTGTTTGGTTTGAAAGGATAATCATAACACAACCAACCACCACTCACCTTAAGTCGATTATCAATATCTTTGAAGCCACTCTGTATTCCTCCTTTATCTCAGCTGCCTCTTTCTCCCTAGTGGTAACAATTATCCTGAGTTTTGTATAAGTAGATATTTGTTTTATAATTTCACTGGTGTCTGCATTTTGAGGTTTACATTTTGAATTAGCCATCATGTGTGACCTTGGGCAACTTACTTTATTATCTCTGAACCTTTCTCTTTTTTTTCCCAATTTAAAAAATTGTGTTAAAATGCAAATAGCACAAAGTTTAAAATCTTAACCCCATTTTTAAGTGTACATTTTAAGTATACATTGATAATATGCAGTGATCACACGATCCATCTTTATAACTCTTTTCTTTCATCTTGTAAAACTGAAAGTCTATACCCATTAAACAATAACTTCCCTTTGACCCCTCCCTTTGCACCCTGGCAACAGCCATTCTCCTGTCTGTCTGTGGCTTTGGCTATTCTTTAACTACATCATATAACTGTTATCATACAGTAGTTGTTTGTGCCTGGCTTATTTCACTTAGCATATTGTCCTCAAGTTCCATCCATTTTGTAGGATATGTCAGAATTCCCTTTCTTTTTAAGGCTAATGTTTCACTTTATCTATGGTACCATATTGTGCTTATCTATTCATTTGCTGATGCATACTTGGTTGGCTTTCATGTTTTACCAGTTATGAATAATAGTGATATGAATGTGGATGTACAAAGAACTCCCTTAAGACCTCGTTTTCATTTATTTAGAGTGGATACTTGGAAGTGGAATTGCAGAACTGTATGGTTATTCCTATTTTTTGTGAAAATGCCATACTGTTTTCCACAATGGCTGTACCTATTTTACATTCCTACCAACAGTGTGCAAGAGTTCCACTTTCTCCACATCTTTTACAACACTTTTCCTTTTTTTTGAGATGGAGTCTTGCTGTGTTGCCCAAGTTGAAGTGCAGTGGGGCGATCTCGGCTCACTGCAACCTCTGCCTCCTGAGTTCAAGCGATTCTCCTGCCTCAGCCTCCCAAGTATCTGGGACTACAGGCCCGTGCCACCATGCCCGGCTAATTTTTTGTATTTTTAGTAGACACAGGCTTTCACTGGGTTAGCCAGGATGGTCTCGAACTCCTGACCTTGTGATCTGCATGCCTTGGCCTACCAAAGTGCTGGGATTACAGGCACGAGCCACTGTGCTGAGCATGGTGGCACGCACCTGTAGTCTCAGCTACTTGGGAAGCTGAGGCAGGAGAATCACTTGAACCCGGGAGGTGGAGGTTGCAGGGAGCTGAGATCTTGCCACTGCACTCCAGCCTGGGCGACAGAGCGAGACTCTGTCTCAAAAAAAAAAAAAAAAATTGTATGTGTGTATGTACACATATATATACTAGCCATCTTGGTGTGAGGAGGTGATATATACCAATATAGTATTGATTTGTATTTCCTTAGGATTAGCATATTTTCATGGGCTTGTTGGCCATTTGTGTATGTCTTTTTAATAGAAATGTCTATTCGTGTCCTTTGCCCATTTCTGAATCTGATTGTTTGCTTTTTTGTGATTGAGTTTTAGGAGTTCTATATATTCAGGATATTAACTTTTTTTTTTTTTTTTTTTGAGACAGTGTCTCCCTCTGTCACGCAGGCTGGAGTGCAGTGGTGCGATCTCAGCTCACTGCAACCTCCGCCTCCTGGGTTTAAATGATTATCGTGCCTCAGCCACCTGAGTATCTGGGATTGCCATTCCTGGCTCATTTTTGTATTTTTAGTAGAGACAGGGTTTTGCCATGATGGTCAGGTTGGTCTCGAACTCCTGGCCTCAAGTGATTTCCCCACCTTGGCCTCCCAAAGTGCTGGGATTACAAACAGGCCATGGTGCCCAGCCCAGGATATTAACTTTTTAACAGGTGTACAGTTTACAAATATTTTCTCTTCTTCTGTAGGTTGCCTCTTGACTCTCTTGGTGTAATATCTTTCGATGCACAAAAATTTTAAATTGTTAATATGCCCAAGTTGTCTACTTTTTTTTTTTTTTGCTTCTGCCTTTGGTATTGTATCTAAGAAGTCATTGCCAAATCCAGTGTTTCAGAGCGTTTTCTCTCTGATTTCTTCTCAGATTTTTTTACTTTTAGCTCTTACATTTTGGTCTTAATCTATTTTGACTTAATTTTTGTATTTGGTGTTAAGTGAGGGTCTAACTTCATTCTTTTGCATATGTATATCTAATTTCTCCCAGAACCATTTGTTGAAAATGTCCTTTCCCCATTGAATGGTTTTGGTACCCTTTTCAAAAATCGTTTGAACATATATTTGTGGGTTTATTTCTGGGCCATTTTTTCCCATTTCTAATTACTTTTGGTTTATTTTTACACCAGTACTGCACTTTTCATTTTTGCAGATTTGTAATTTTGAAATCTGGAATTGTGAGGCCTCCAGCTTTTTTCTTTTCAGCTATTGTTTTGGCTATCCAGACTTCCTTGAGAATACATATGAATATCAGGATGGGGAGTTTTTCTGTTTTTGTAGAACACACCATTGGGATTTTGATAGAGATTGCATTGAATCTGTAAGTCACTTTGGGTTGTATTGGTATATTAACAATATTAAATCTTCCAGTTCATGAACAGGGGATAATTTTTTGTTATTGGGTTTTTAGGTTATCTCATCCACTCTCATGGCAAGGACTGTTGGTTATGTTTGCTGATTCTTAGTTCATTCTGGGTTGACTCTGCTCTCTTCATGCCTAATTACTCTGTAGACTTTTGTACCTAGAGATCTCTTTGACATTAAAACTCTCCATAATATAAATGAATTCATCACTTTTTTATTCAAAGCAGAGAAAACAACTATTGCAGAAGCCTTGAGAGAAAAAAAAGTTGATATATTTGAGAGAATAAAATAAGGCCAGTATGGCTGGACAGTAATGGTATGTGAAGTGAAGTCAATGATAGCCTGGGACCCAATCATTTTGGGTTCTGTAAGCATTCTTCACCATCTAATCCTCAAACCTTGGAGAAGCAGCTTTCTTCCCCTTATATTTAGGTGCTCAGAAAATCCTGCTGTTTCTATAATATATGAATTAACTCCCAAATCTGCCTTTTTTTTTTCTGTCGAGATCCACTGCTGTTATCAGGCCCTTATCACTATGTACCTGGGCTGTCGGAATAGATCCCTGTTTGATATCTTGACACCAGTATCTTCACTAAGAGTTCATATTGTTGTAATGGCTCTCTTTTTTAAACAAATTGGATGATATTTCTGCCCTGTTCAACATCTCCTAGGATTACCTTCATGGCGAAGTCCTTACTTGACCCGTCTTTTTAGTCTGGCCCTAATCTAATCCTCTGATGTCACCTCCTCTCACTCTACCTCATGCACTTCTATTCTCTGGCATTACTGACGTGTTTATGGTTCAGCAGACGTGCCCTAGTTTTTCAGGTCTTTGTGCTTCTGTTTAAAATATTCCTTGTTTTGCCTACACATGATCTCCTCTGCTTTTTATGGCTGACTGCAAGCTCACCATCTATCACTGTTGATCTGCCACCTTTGGAGGCTCCCTGGAACTCTTCTCCCAGGAAGAATTAATCACATTCTGCTCTGTACTTCTTGATATATTATTCATACTCCTTACACCACTTTCTTTTTTTTTTTTTAAATTTATTTTTTTATTGATAATTATTGGGTGTTTCTCACAGAGGGGGATTTGGCAGGGTCATGGGACAATAGTGGAGGGAAGGTCAGCAGATAAACAAGTGAACAAAGGTCTCTGGTTTTCCTAGGCAGAGGACCCTGCGGCCTTCTGCAGTGTTTGTGTCCCTGATTACTTGAGATTAGGGATTGGTGATGACTCTTAACGAGCATGCTGCCTTCAGGCATCTGTTTAACAAAGCACATCTTGCACCGCCCTTAATCCATTTAACCCTGAGTGGACACAGCACATGTTTCAGAGAGCACAGGGTTGGGGGTAAGGTCACAGATCAACAGGATCCCAAGGGAGAAGAATTTTTCTTAGTGCAGAACAAAATGAAAAGTCTCCCATGTCTACTTCTTTCTACACAGACACGGCAACCATCCGATTTCTCAATCTTTTCCCCACCTTTCCCCCCTTTCTATTCCACAAAGCCGCCATTGTCATCCTGGCCCATTCTCAATGAGCTGTTGGGCACACCTCCCAGACGGGGTGGCTGGCTGGGCAGGGGGCTGACCCCCCCACCTCCCTCACGGTCGGGGCGGCTGGCCGGGCAGAGGGGCTCTTCACTTCCCAGTAGGGGCGGCCGGGCAGAGGCGCCCCTCACCTCCCGGACGGGGCGGCTGGCCGGGCGGGGGGCTGAACCCCCACCTCCCTCCCGGATGGGGCGGCTGGCCGGGCGGGGGGCTGACCCCCCCCCACCTCCCTCCCGGACGGGGTGACTGCCGGGCGGAGACGCTCCTCACTTCCCAGATGGGGTGGCTGCTGGGCGGAGAGGCTCCTCACTTCTCAGACGGGGCAGCTGCCGGGCGGAGGGTCTCCTCACTTCTCAGACGGGGTGGTTGCCAGGCAGAGGGTCTCCTCACTTCTCAGACTGGGCGGCCGGGCAGAGACGCTCCTCACCTCCCAGATGGGGTCGTGGCCGGGCAGAGGCGCTCCTCACATCCCAGATGGGGCGGCGGGGCAGAGGCGCTCCCCACATCTCAGACGATGGGCGGCCGGGCAGAGACGCTCCTCACTTCGTAGATGTGATGGCGGCCGGGAAGAGGCGCTCCTCACTTCCTAGATGGGATGGCGGCCGGGCGGAGACGCTCCTCACTTTCCAGACTGGGCAGCCAGGCAGAGGGGCTCCTCACATCCCAGACGATGGGCGGCCAGGCAGAGACACTCCTCACTTCCCAGACGGGGTGGCGGCTGGGCAGAGGCTGCAATCTCGGCACTTTGGGAGGCCAAGGCAGACGGCTGGGAGGTGTAGGTTGTAGCGAGCCGAGATCACGCCACTGCACTCCAGCCTGGGCACCATTGAGCACTGAGTGAACAAGACTCCGTCTGCCATCCCGGCACCTCGGGAGGCCGAGGCTGGCGGATCACTCGCGGTTAGGGGCTGGAGACTGGCCCGGCCAACACAGCGAAACCCTGTCTCCACCAAAACCAGTCAGGCATGGCGGCGCGTGCCTGCAATCGCAGGCACTCGGCAGGCTGAGGCAGGAGAATCAGGCAGGGAGGTTGCAGTGAGCCGAGATGGCAGCAGTACAGTCCAGCTTTGGCTCCGCATGAGAGGGAGACGTGGAAAGAGAGGGAGACCGTGGGGAGAGGGAGAGGGAGGGGGAGGGGGGGAGGGGGAGGGGAGGGGGAGGGAGAGGGAGAGCCCTTACACCACTTTCTATGTCATTTTTACTGTTGTTAGGTAAATTGTAAATCCCTGTGCATAGGAATCGTGTCTTTTTCAACTTGATTTCCATGACTTAGAATTGCTACTGCAAACAAAAAAGAAAAACTCACAAACTTGTTAGATTGCTACATCTGAAGTCAAGTATAGTTTGAGAGTTTTTTTCATTCTAATGTGAGTAAAAGTTTTTGCGTGCCTAATGTTTTTAACTGAGGGTACTACTAATTAGCATCCTCGAAGGAAAGAAAACTGAAAGTGATTTTGCTTTAAAGCTTGTTATTCATAGTAAAAGAACATTTACCATGTAATTCAGGGAAGCTTTAGAAAGAAAACCTAGGGGATCTGTTGGCCATATCAAAAAAGTACAAGCTACATGGACAGTGAGGTGATACTGTAATACTTCCACCTGTAGGTCAACTGGAGAGACTTGGTTTTTTCCAAATAGACCTAGCTTAATTGTGATGACGCATGCCAACCTAATTAACCTCCTAATGTTACTTGTCTTTGTTTTTGTATTGTCAGGAACTTGGTGTGTGGGTTGGGAATATTAGAACATAATAGAACTATGTGATGTCTAAATTGAGCTTTAACACAAACTGGTTGGTGTTATTGAGGGAAAGTATAACTTATTAGTGGGAATGGGAAAAGAAGCCTGATGTTGTGGTGAGGTAGAAATTTCCACTGTGTTACTGTGAACAGGAAGTAAAGGGCTAATGGTCGGTGACTCAGCTGTTTTCTGAACCTGTCTCATATGATTCAGTGTGCATGATGTCTGTTTATTCTCGACAGAGTAAGTACTACGGGAGTCACATTACACAGGCAGACATAATGTTTATTTAACCAACTCAGTGATGACCTAAAAATAACTTGTGGGGTTTTTGTACTACATTTAGCATAATCAGATAGAAAAATCATAATGGACACCCATCATTGAGTGCTTTCCCTTATAAATAACTGGATATATAGTCAGCCAGTACTATTTCATTTCTTACATTGTTAAGGTGCAATCTTTGGTATTTAAATGAAAGGTAGCAAAAGAAGATAGCCTTTAAATTATCCATAAAATAATTCTGTACCATTTTAGATTATACTTTGGACAGATATGCATTTTCGGTGCTTAGTGCCATCGTTGAGGTATTTTTGCACCAAAATTTTCATATAGGAACCTTTTTGTGAGGCTATAGCAAATGTTGTTTTGAAATAGAAATTTACGTATTTGCTGGATTTTATGTTAATATTAAATTATAGTAGCAATAGTTTTACTTTGATTTTCTTGATTTATTCATCTTGTACTGAAGGTTTGTGCCTACCATGTACTGTAATTGAGTCTTAAATATGTCAGAGCCGGGCACGGTGGTTCATGGCTGTAATCCCAGCACTTTGGGAGGCTGAGGCAAGTGGATCACCTGAGTTCAGGAGTTCGAGACCAGCCTGCCCAACATGGTGAAATCCTGTCTCTACTAAAAATACAAAAATTAGCCAGGCATTGTGCTGCGCGCCTGTAGTCCCAGCTACTTGGAAGGCTGAGGTAGGAGAATCGCTTGAACCCAGGAGGCAGAGGTTGCAGTGAGCCGAGATTGCACCCCTGCACTCCAGCCTGGATGACAGAGCAAGACTCTGTCTCCACATAAAGAAAAAAAAAGAAAGAAAGAATCTTAAGTATGTCAGAGTATGGTTACTGTTATGCTGTATACCTGTTACATGCTTGGCTTTGAAGGAGAGAGCACTTGGAAGCCTGAGCTTACATAATAATCATAATCTGCTCATTGTCTGAGAAATTGTGAGTTGTTATGGTTTATTCTTTTTGACATTTGAGTATTCTTGCTCTCAGAGGTGCAGCATTTGTAGCATGTAAACTTTAATCAGAGATTATTTCAAAAGGGAAAGGGAAGCTAGAGTCACTAAGAAGAAATAGGCTGGGCACAGTGGTTTATGACTATAATCCCAGCACTTTGGGGGGCTGAGGTGGGCGGATCACTTGAGGCCAGGAGTTTGAGACCAATCTGGCCAACATGGCAAAACACTGTGTCTACTAAAAATTCAAAAATTAACTGGGGGTGGTGGTGCATACCCATAGTCCCAGGTATTCGGGAGGCTGAAGTATGAGGATGGCTTGAACCTGAGAGGTGAAGGTTGCCGTGAACAAAGGTCTCACCACTGCACTCCAGCCTGGCTGATAGAGGGAGACTCTGTCTCAAAATTAAAATAAATACATAAATAAGAAATAAATGCCAGCATTCTTTTTACAATAATGCTTTATGTAGTGGGAATGTGTGATCAATCTAATAGTCAGTAGAACTACCCAGTGGTTGATGCTATATATAAAGTAGGAAATACGTACCCTTTCTATAATTGATTTTAAAAGTTTCTGCATTAAGCTTACACTCTTTTATTTCACTCCATGTTTCAGTAAAAATCACAGGACTTGTTTTTATTTACAATATTATACCATTGTTTGAATATTTAATGGGATTTATATTTTAAAATGTTTTAGTTGGTATAGTTATTAGATATTCTGTATTAACCTAGAATGGAAAATTAAAGTATGTATCTTCTGATTCACTGCATGTAAATAGGACCTGACTTGGACATCGTTTGAAATGTATTCCAGTAATCGCGCTGGCTATACATGGTCCCATACCTGCCCTTATCCCAACAGATAAATGGTATTCTTCTTTATTTATTCATTTATTTATTTATTTATTTTTGAGACAGGGTCTCACTCTGTTGCCCAGGCTGGAGTGCAGTGACATGATCTTGGCTCACTGCAACCTCCTCCTCCTAGGCTGAAGCAGTTCTTCCACCTCAGCCTTGCAAGTAGCTCAGACCACAGGCATGCACCACCATGCCTGGGTAATTTTTAAATTTTTTTTGTAGAGACGGAGTCTTGCTGTGTTACCCAGGCTGGTCTTGAACTTTTAAGCTCAAGCAATCTTCTCACCTCCGCCTCCCAAAGTGCTAAGATTACAGATATGATCACTGTGCCTGGCCCCGCAAATTGGTCATTTCTGATGGTTGTCTGGGCCTCAAAGCCTGAGTTCAGCATAGTGTTTTGGCACGTTGCAAAGAATAAGTAAGAAAATGTTGTTAAGTGGACGCAACTATTCCACATGGGATGATGTTAGATTTGAAGAAGGAAAAAGTGGTTCCTCAATTCCTTTCAGATTGGCAGTTGCAATAGTAACAGAACCCTCATTGACATGAAGAGCCAATGTTTTCCTGTAGTAGAGGAATTATTTTCTTGTTTTATTTAATTATTTATAGTGTTTCTTGATTATGTTCATGGGGGCATTTTGTTTTGTTTTGTTTTGTTTTGAGACGGCGTCTTGCTCTGTTGCCAGGCTGGAGTGCAGTGGTGCAGTCTCGGCTCACTGCAAGCTCTGCCTCCTGGGTTCAAGCGATTCTCCTGCCTCAGCCTCCCTAGTTGCTGGGACTACAGGCATGTGCCACCACGCCCAGCTAATTTTTTGTATTTTTAGTAGAGACAGGGTTTCACCATGTTGGTCAGGATGGTCTCGATCTCTTGACCTTGTGATCCGTCTGCCTTGGCCTCCCATGGCATGTTGTTTTTAAATAACTTCTCTTGCTCTATGAGATGAGAAAATATGTATTCTGTTTGGGACTTTCTTACTCTCCCTCGATAATAAAAGATAAAAATTTTTATTTTTCATTCACTGAAACATAAAAAAGGCATCATGTTTTGTGCAGACTATTAAATGTTGATTTTAAGATCTGTGTTGGATGGTTTTATATAGCTGTCTACCATTTATGAGTTTCATGTGGAATATACTACCATATCAAGTTTTCATTGTTTAAACAGCTCTACTTTGTCAAGTATTGTTTACAATTCAACAAGAAACAAGCAAGCATTTACAAATATACGTGCAAATATGTATTCGTCTGACAACCAATTAGTGAAATTGAATAAGTGCTCTTGAAACAAACTTGTTTGATATCAAGCTTTTGTGCTAGAGTAATATTGTTGTTTTGACTACTTTAAAAGTGTTTTTATCTGGATGTGGTGACTCGTGCCTCTAGTCCCAGCTACTTGTGAGGCTGAGGCAGGGGAAGATCACTTAAACCCAGGAGTTCTAGGCTGCAGTGAGCTATGATTGTGCCACTGTACTCCACCCTGGGCAACAGAGTGAGACCTGTTCTCTTAAAAAAACTTTTTTTCAGTTGTGGTAAAATACACAAAATTTACCATCTTTCTGAGATCATTTGCTATAAAGGAATACCTAAGTCTGGATTATTTGGGGGTAAAAAAAAAAAAAGAGCTTTATTAGTCTCATGGTTCTGTAGGCTATACAAGAAGCATATTGCCAGACCAACACCTGCTTCAGATAAGGGCCTCAGGAAGCTTCTACTCATGGCAAAAGGTGAGGGGGAGGTGTGTTCAGAGATCACATGATGAGAGAACCAGGTGACAGGCTCTTCTAAATAACCAGTTCTTAAGGGAACTAAGTGAGAACTCACTCCAGCAAGGATGGCAGCAACTCATTCATGAGAGATCAACTCCCTTAATCCAAACACTTCCCATTAGACTCCAGCTCCAACATTGGGGGTCACATTTCAATATGAGATTTGGAGGGGTCAGTATTCAACCATAGTACCACCTTAATTTTTTTTTTTTTTTAAGAGAAGGAGTCTAGCTCTGTTGCCCAGGCTGGAGTGCAGTGGCGTGATCTCAGCTCACTGCAACCTCCACCTCCTGGGTTCAAGCGATTCTCCTGCCTCAACCTCCCGAGTAGCTGGGATTACAGGCATCCACCACCATGCCCTGTATTTTTAGTAGAGACTGTGTTGGCCAGGCTGGTCTTGAACTACTGACCTTGTGATCCGCCCGCCTCGGCCTCCCAAAGGGCTAGGATTACAAGCATGAGCCACTGTGCCCGGCTCACCTTAACCATTTTTAAGTTTATAGTTCCGTGGCATTAAGAACATTTACATTTGACTGGGCACATTGGCCCATACCTGTAATCCCAGTATTTAGGGATGTCAGTACAGGGGCATTGATTGAGCCCAGGAATTTGAGACCAGCCTGGGTGACATAGCAAGAATGTGTCTCTATAAAAGATTTTTTTTTTTTTTAATTACTGGGCATGGTGGCACATGCCTGTAGTCACAACTACTTGGGAGGCAGAGGTGGGAGGATCGCTTGAGCCTGGGAGATCAAGGCTGTGGTGAGCTATGGTTATGCCACTGCACTCCAGCCTGGGTAACAGAGTGAGACCTTGTCTCAAGGAAAAAAAAATATGTAATTGTCAACACTGTGTATCTTCATACCTCTTTTCATCTTGCAAAACTGAAACTTTTTGTCCATTAAATACAGATCTAGTGTCCCTTATCCAGAATGCTTGGGACCAGAAGAGTTTTGGATTTCAGATTTTTCTGAATTTTGGAGAATTACATTATTTACAGGTTCAGCATTCCTAGTCTGAAAATCTCAAGTGCTCCAATGAGCTTTTTAAATTTTTTTGTTTCATGCCAACTCTCACAAATTTACAGATTTTGGAGCATTTGGATTAAGGACACTAAACTTCTTTTTTTTTTTTTTTTTTTTTTTTTTTGAGACGGAGTCTTGCTCTGTCATCCAGGCTGGAGTGCAGTGGCACGATCTTGGCTCACTGCAAGCTCCACCTCCTGGGTTCACGCCATTCTCCTGCCTCAGCCTCCCGAGTAGCTGGAACTACAGGTGCCCGCCACCACGCCCAGCTAATTTTTTGCATTTTTAGTAGAGACGGAGTTTTGCCATGTTGGCCAGGATGGTCTCGATCTCTTGACCTCGTGATCCACCCACCTCGGCCTCCCAAAGTGCTGGGATTACAGGCGTGAGCCACTGCGCCCGGCCAAGGACACTAAACTTCTAACTCCCCATTATCTCCTCTCCCCATCCCTTGCCAACCACAATTTTATTTTCTTTCTCTGTGATTTGCCATGGTGTCGGTACCTCATAGAAGTGGAATCAAACAGTATTTGTTTTCTTGTGACTGGCTTATTTCATTTAGAATAATGTCCTCAAAGCTCATCCATGTTGTAATGTGTGAGAACTCGCTTCTTTTTAAAGGATGAATAATATTTTTTTGTATGTATGTGCCACATTTTGCTTGTCCATTCATCTGTCAGTGAACACTTGGGCTGCTCCTACCTTTTTAGCTATTGTGAATAATGCTGATATGAACATGGGTGTGGAAATATTTATTGTTTTGTTTCGTTTTGTTTTGTTTTTTAAATGAGAGTCTCGCTCTGTCACCAGGCTGGAGTGCAGTGGCGTGATCTCGGCTCACTGCAACCTCCGCCTCCTGGGTTCAAATGATTCTCCTGTCTCAGGCCCCCGAGTAGCTAGGACTACAGGTGCACACCACCATGCCCAGCTAATTTTTATATTTTTTAGTAGAGATGGAGTTTCACCGTATTGGTCAGGCTGGTCTTGAACTCCTGACCTCAGGTCTTGAACTCTTGACCACCTATCTCGGGCTCCCAGAGTGCTGGGATTACAGGCATGAGCCACCGTGCCCGTCCTTTTATTGTTTTTTTTTAAGACAGGGTCTCATACTGTCACCCATGCTGGAGTGCAGTGACGCGATCATGGCTCACTGTAGCCTTGACCTTCAGCCTCTGGAGTAGCTGAGACTACAGGAGTACATCACCACACCCAACTAATTATTTATTTTTGGTAGAGTTGAGTCTCACAGTGTTGACCAAGTTGGTCTCCAATTCCTGGGCTCAAGTAATCCTTCCACCTCCACCTCTCAAAGTGTTGGGATTACAGGTATGAGCCACCACACCTGGCCACAAGTATCTTTTTTAAGAGTCTGCCTCATTTCCTCCCTTACTGCCTTTTGTTGTGCTTAGTTGAGTTTTTGTAGTGACACATTTTGATTCTCTTTTTGTTTCATTTTATGTGTAGTCTACAGAATTTGTTTGGGATGATTATCAGAGGGATTTCATGTAAAATCATGAAGTTATAAATATGTATTTTAAGGTGATAATAATTTAACATCAGTTGGTTACAAAAACCGTACTTCTTTTCACCTCAGGCCTCTCCAACTTTGTTATTGATGTCACAAATCGCATCTTTATATAGTGTGTGCCCTTAGATTTTTATGCTTTTGTCTGTTAAAATCCTGTAAAAGAATAAAAACTGGACTTATGAACCAAAATTTTAATAATAGAGGCTTATATATTTGTCCATGTATTTATCTTTGCTGGAGAACTTTATATTTTCATACGGTTTTTAGTTACTGTCTAGTTCCCTTTCTTCTCAATTTGAAGAATCTTTGGTCATTTCTTGTAGGGCATGTCTTATGGTAATGAACTTTCTCAGCTTATTAATTTCATTAATTTAAAATTTGGGAATGTCTTAATTCTTCCCTCATTTTTGAATTAAAATTTTGCTGGATATAGAATTCTCATGTGATAGGGTTTTTTTTTTTTTTTTCTTTCCTTTCAGCATGTTGAATAATGTCATTCTACTACCTTCTGGTCTGCAAGTTTCTGCTGATAATCTTATTGAGGATCCCTTGCTTGTCATGATTCAGTTTGATCTTGCTGCTCTCGAAATTCTTTTCCATTGTTTTTTACCTTAAAAATTTGTTTTTTGTATAGACAGGTTCTTGCTGTGTTCCCCAGGCTGTTCTTGAACTCCTGTCTTGATCCCTCCAAAGTGGTGCAATTACAAGCATGAGCCACTGTACCTAGCCTGTCTTTTACTTTTGACATTTTGAATATGTGTTTCCATGTGGGTCTCTTTGGTTTTTTTTCCTATGTGGGGTTCATTGAGTATCTTGCTATCATATATCCATGTCTTCAAATGTGGGAAGTTTTCCCCCATTATTTTTTTTGAAATAATCTTTCTGTTCCTTTTCCTCTCTCTTCTTCTGTAATGTGAATATTGATTTGCTTGATGGTGTCTCATAAGTCCCTTCGGTTCTGTTACCTTTTCTTTATTCTTTTTAATTTTTGCTTCTCAGACTGGATTATTTCAAATAACTTTTCATTAAGTTCACTAATTCTTTGTTCTGTTATTAGAGACTGCTTTTGTACTCTTCTAGTGAATTTTTCAATTCAGTTATTTTTTCAGCTCCAGAATTTGTTTCTTTTCTTCCCCCCCTCCTTTTTTTTTTAAACTATTTCTATCTCTTTGTTAATATTCTCTATTTATGTATCTTTTTTCTGATTTCATTTAGGTCTCTCCTCCCCCCCACCACCTTTCTTTAGCTTATTGAGTGTATTTAGGACAGTTTAAAAGTCTTTGTCTAGAGGCTGGGCATGGTGGCTCACGCCTATAATCCCAGCACTTTGGGAGGCCAAGGCAGGCAGATCACTTGAGATCAGGAGTTCAAGACCAGCCTGGCCAACATGGCAAAAACCCCGTCTCTACTAAAAATACTAAAACTAGCCGGGTGTGGTAGTGCATGCCTCTTATCCCAGCTACTAGGGAGGCTGGGCAGGAGAATTGCTTGAACCCAGGGGACAGAGGTTGCAGTGAGCCAAGATTGTGCCACTGCACTCCAGCCAGGGTGACAGCATAGGACTCCATACCAAAAAAAAAAAAAAAAAGGTGTTTGTCTGGAGCTGAAAGCCATTATCCTAACTGAACTAACACAGGAACTGAAAACGAAATACTGCATCTTGTCACTTACAAGTGGGAGCTAAACACTGAGTACACATGGATGCAAAGAAAGGAACAACAGACCTTGGGGCCTACTTGACGATGGATGGTGGGAGGAGGGTGAGAATCAAAAAATTGCCTACCAGATACTGTGCTTATTACCCAAGTGACAAAATATCTGTACACACGCAACCCCTGTGACACACAATTTACCTGTTTAACAAAGCTGCACATGCACTCCTGAACCTAAAATAAGAGTTAAAAAGAAATAAAAACCAAATACCCCAGGAACTTGTCTTTAACTTTTGAACTGGGCCAGACAACCACAATCACAACATCCTTGAAAACAGCTGAATTATGCCAGCGCCTCCACCGGTGATAATTCTTTCAGAACAACAACAACTTGTTTTGTTTTGAGATGGAGTCTCGCTTTGTCACCCAGGCTGGAGTGCAGTGGCATGATCTCGGCTCACTGCAGCCTCCACCTCCCAGGTTCAAGCAATTCTCTTGCCTCAGCTCCCAAGTAGCTGGGATTATAGGCACCCACCACCATGCCCAGCTAATTTTTATATTTGTAGTAGAGACGGAGTTTCACCATGTAGGCCAGGCTGGTCTCGAACTCCTGATCTCAGGTGATCCACCCACCTCAGCCTCCCAAAGTGCTGGGATTACAGGCATGAGCTACTGTGCCCAGCCTATTTCTATACTTTATGATATTTGTTCAAAGTCGAGCACTTAAATAGCCAGCTGTTCTAATCTTTGTGGACTGATTCCATGATGGGTAACATCAGGAGTATCAGCCTGGTGTGAAGGCTTAAGGTCTTGTTGACCTTTTCTGTGTTTGTATATTCACTGGGCCTATGTGAACACTTTTCCCCAGATTCCTGGGATGTATCAGTGCTTTTAGCTGCCTTGATCTAAGAGTGGCATGTTAGATGTTCTGTTGTGTTCCTCTGCCCTTTGTCTTTTGTCCCTCTAGCACTGGCAGATCGGTGACATCCCTGTAGCTCTCAACTAAGCCACTCTTCCCATCCGAACTTTGCATCAGGTGAAACAGTAATCAGTCCCATGAGCAGCACCCCCAGACAAGCCAGAACGATGCAAACAAGTTCCACTCTTTTCCTTCTGTCATGATGGAGCATCTTAGAATTAGGTGGATTCCTCCCAACTTGGCCTCAATGAGGAGGGATTGGAGCAAGGGCAACCTCTAAATATACATACATATATACATTAAAAAAATTTTTTCTGTGGCTGCCTTACAAATTATTGTTCTTTATTTTAATATTTTAAAAAATTTCCTATATTGTTTTGAGTGTGGCTTTTTCTCGATGGGGCATTTAGTTGGCTGCCGCAGATTCTTAACTGCTTGAGAGAGTTTGCGTCTGGTTGAAATTATTACACAGTTGAGTTGGCAGCTTCTTTCACACTGTGATCCCTCCCAGATTCTGCCGGCTTCCTTCCCTGAGGGCCCCTCTGAGATATAGTCAGGGATAGCTTCCCTGGACTCTAGCTGGAGAATGTGAGTGCTTACAAAGCTCTTCTTGCTACTGCTTCTACTTTCATATTCCGCACTAAATCTGCTTTAGTTCTAGGTAAGGTTAAATCCTTCTCCTGTAATCTGGATTTTCAGTTTTTTCAGTGGGAATGTGTGTTCGGAGGCGGGTTTTCCTGCTTTTACACTTGGGGAACTCACGGTTTCTCACCTGTCTTGTGGAATTTACAGCGGCGTGCCACTTCTTTTAGAGGATCTGTGGATTCTTTCTGTTTTCCCGATATGTTCCTATGGTGGTTCTTGGCACAAAAGTCCATGGTGTGAATCTCCACATGTTGTTCTGTCCATCCAAGTGGGAGCTGCACGTTAATCCTGTCTCCTATCCGCCATCTTCCTCCCTACTTTTTGTTGGTCTGGACAGGGAGCTTGTTTGTTCAGTCACAAAAGTTTATTCTTTGTGAATCCTATTGGCTTCTGTTCTCCAGTTCTCCAGGTTCTTACCGGTTTCTTGAGTTTTTACAAAGGTACTTTGGTCGGTATGTTGTTCACTTGGTGTTTTCATTGGGTGATGTGGACCTGGATCATCGTAGTCTGTTATCTTGGTGATGTCCTGTGTTTTTGAAGCAGATACACATGTTTTTGAAGCAAAAAGTGTCCTGCTTTATGAAGCAGATATGCATCAATAGAATTTTTGCTACTTCTCTTATTTCAAGCATTTTATTGCAGTGGGATTTGAAATGTGCACTAATTATACAGACTTGGGGAAAAAATTTCTCATGAGGTTGCAGGTGCCTCTAAGCAATGTGAATGGAAAACCATTTTAGGGTCACAATAAAATAATGTGCCATACCTGTGGAAATATGGAATAGTAAACGACTGTCCCGAAACCCTTAGGAATGAGAATGTTGGATTTTTTTTTAAGACAAAAACTTAAGGATGGATAATGTAAATGTTTAATAATTAAATAGCAAGAGGTAAAGGAGGAAAACTTTTAGTTCTAATATCAATATAGGCCAGTGTTCTCAAACTTTTATACTTCAGGATCCCTTTATACTCTTAAATAGAACTCTTTGGGCTTCTCAATCCTATGTGCATTGTATCTACTAATAAAAATGTCTGCCACATACCCATGTGTATAAGCATAGTTTATCCTTCTTTCAAGTAAAATGGCATTGCAAGAAAAAGTGGCTAGTTCAGTTTATAACTCTAATGGTGTTACAAGTGCTTTTCCTTAGTACTACTAATTTACCTCTGAACTGTTTTATGTCTTCTCACTTGATCAATACAGTATACTAAAAAGACATGCTAAATTTTGTTAGTTTACTGTTTTATTTATATAACATTCTTTAAATGACCAAATTATAGAGATGGAGGATAAATTTGTGGTTGTCAAGGGAGAGGAGTGAGGCAAGAAGGAAGATATTTGTGGCTATTAATAGGGTAGGTAGGGTAGGGTAATACCACAGATCCTTGTCAAGGAATATTTTGTATTTTGACTGTAATGGTGGTTATATGAATTTATACATGTGATAAAATTGCATAGAACTAAATATACACACAGATGTGCATGCATCTGTAGTGAAACTCAGGAAATCTGAATAAGGTTGATGGATTGTATCGATGTGGTTTTTCTGGCTGTTGTACTGTACTGTAGTTAGATATTACCATTAGGGAAACTAGATGAAGAGTATATGGGAGCTCTGTTTTATTTCTCAAATTCCGTGTAAATCTATAATTATTTCAACTTAAAAAGTGATACATTCTGTTACAGAAGTGACATTCTTTTGTCAATTACCTGTAGAATAAGAAAAATTGAAAAGTTAAATAAAGAAGTGACATTCTTAAGAACTGGCTTTTTTTTTTCTTTCCTTTTTTTTTTTTTAAAAAAAAGTTTAATTTGTCGTGAAGGCTTAGGGATGAAGAATACAATGACTATCATTGCCTTGGTTTTCACTAAGTATATGTAAGATTTACTTAGTGAAATCTCAGATTTCCTGAGTATATATTTAAGATTTACTAGTAGCTACATCCACCTTGCTTTTCTATCATTGTTGAAAATATCAGCACAGGCCTGTGACATCTTAGTATTTATTTTACGAAAATATTTCACCTCCCACACCTGCTTTAATAGCATTACAGAGATGCCCAGGACTCTGTGGACCACACTGTGATAATCAGTAGCTTAAAGCTTCAGTCTTTATTAGCTGAGGAAAACAAGTGCTATGCTTAAGACTGTGTAGGAAATTCAGTGATAGGTCTCTGTCACTGTCTCCAGCGTTTTATATTGTGGTCTTGTTTGTTGGATATTATTGTACTTCTATGAAAGTAGAGTTGCAGAAGTTTAGAGTGATATAAAATATAGAACTCATAAAAGCAAAACATGGGAATTAACAGTTTGCTATACCTGTGTTGTGCAGTATGTTAGCCATGGGCTATGTATGTGGCTATTTACATTCTAAGGATTAAAATGTATATAAATACAATTTAAATGGAAATCAGTGGTTATAGAGTTTGTTTTTTGCAAGAAGAAAAAGTTCTAGACATCTGTTGTACTATGTGCATATAGTTAACAGTACTGTATACTTAGTGGTTAAGATAGTAAATTTTGTTACATGTTTTCTTTTTTCTTTTCTTTTTCTTTCTTTTTCTTTTTCTTTTTTTTTTTTTTTTTTGAGACAGAGTCTTGCTCTGTCACCCAGACTGGAGTGCAGTGGCACTATCTCAGCTTACTGCAACCTTCGCCTCCTGGGTTCAACTGATTCTTCTGCCTCAGCCTCCCGAGTAGCAGGGACTATGGGCGCAAGCCACCATGCCTGGCTAATTTTTGTATATTGGCCAGGCTGGTCTCGAACTCCTAGACCTCGTGATCCGCCTGCCTTAACTTTCCAAAGTGCTGGGATTACAGGTGTGAGCCATCGTGCCAGGCCTTGTTACATGTTTTCTACCACAAAATTTAAATTGAATAAAATTCATTTAAATAAACATTTATTTTTTCAGTTTCATCAGTCACATTTCAAGTGTTCAGTAGCCACATGTGGCTAATAGCTACCATTTTAGAGAGAGTAAATATGGAACATTTATAATTATCCCAGAAAGTTCTATTTGCATTGGTTGTGTAGCACTTAAGAAGACAGTTTTCAGCTGGGTGGGGTGGCTCACGTCTGTAATCCCAGCACTTTGGGAGGCCGAGGCGGGCAGATCACAAGGTCAGGAGTTTGAGACCAGCCTTGCCAATATGGTGAAACCCCGTCTCTACTAAAAATAGAAAAATTAGCAGGGTGTGGTGGCACGCACCTGTAGTCCCAGCTACTTGGGAGGCTGAGGCAGAAGAATCCCTTGAACCCGGGAGGTGGAGGTTGCAGTGAGCCGAGATCGTGCCACTGCACTCCAGCCTGGGCGACAGAGCAAAACTCCGTCCCCCCACTACCCCCCCAGCACCCCCCAAAAAAAGAAGAAGAAGACAGTTCTCAAGAGGTTGAAGGTACTTGGTCTGGACTTTAAGGTGCTATTTTTGTTTCTCTGGCCAGATTTAAGTGTCAAACATTTGTTAGGTGAACGAGTTTCTCTCAATTAATTTGTACCCTATAATATCTACTAATGAGAATGAACGGGGCTGGATGTGGTGGCTCACCCCTATAATCCCAACACTTTGGGAGGCTGAGGCAGGAGGATTGCTAGAAGCCAGGAATTTGAGACCAGACTGGGCAACATTGGCAAGACCCTATCTCCACGAAAAATTCAAAAATTAGTCAGGCATTGTGGTATGTGCCTATAGTCCTAGCTACTTGGAGGCTGAGGCAGGAAGATGGCTTAAGCCCAAGAGGCTGAGGCTGCAGTGAGCTGTGTTGGTAGCACTGCACTTTAGCGTAGGTGACAGAGCGAGACCCTGTCTCCAAGGAAAAAAGAAGAAAAATGAATAAACACACTTATATATGCATAAAGAGAAGTTTATAAAGAGAAATTTTAAAGCAAAATTAAGAACTTGTATAAATTAATAGGAATAGCCTATTTTAAAACTTATTGGTATAGCTATGTAGTCTTATTCAGATTTTAAGATTTTAAGTCTTTACCAGCTCTAAGATGATAGAGATAGATTTGCATCTAGCCCCTTTACAATTTCAAATTTTACATTCCAACATTGTAATCAATCTGGAATTTCTTTTGGTATAATGAGTTGAGGATGGTTAACCACCTTTCTTCTAAATGATTATTTAGTTTTCTCAACACAATTTATTAATTTTGGTATTTTTCTATTAATTTGAAATGTTTCTAATACATTCTGCATATATGTGGGATTATTTCAGCATTCTCTGTATTACTCATTCCATGTCATTAAATGTTCTTCTGTATCTTTTTTAATGACTGCAAAGGATTATACACTGTGGCTGAGTAAGTGCTTCTTACATCTATATCTCTTTATTGATTTAATAATAAATTTCTTAAAGATTAAGTAGCCAGGGCGCAGTGGCTCACGCCTATAATCCCAGCACTTTGGGAGGCTGAGCCCGGTGGATCACCTGAGGTCAGGAGTTTGAGACCAGCCTGACCAACATGATGAAACCCCATCTGTACTAAAAATATAAAAAAATTAGCCGGGCGTGGTGGCATGCATCTGTAATCCCAGCTACTCGGGAGGCTGAGGCAGGAGAATTGCTTGGACCCAGGAGGGGGAGGTTGCAGTGAGCCAAGATTATGCCATTGCACTCCAGTCTGGGTGACAGAGTGAGACTCCGTCTCAAAGAAGAAAAAAAAAAAGATTAAAATAAGTGAAACAGTCATCTATCTTAGGCCTTATTTACGCACATAGCCCACAGCACAGTGTTTTCTTTGTGCTAGATTTCTGCTAATGCTGTTGATTTAATTTTTATTATCAAAAATTATTTAGAACT
The DNA here is from genome assembly GCF_000001405.40 of Homo sapiens. NCBI lineage: Eukaryota > Metazoa > Chordata > Mammalia > Primates > Hominidae > Homo > Homo sapiens. The sequence goes on along the minus strand of NC_000001.11, from coordinate 21,008,202 downwards.
CTATAAAATAGCAGACTTCCTACTGGATATTCTGGTTTGCTTTGTATTTTGTTTGTTTGTTTGAGACAGGTTCTCACTCTGTCGCCCAGGCTGAAGTACAGTGGCACAATTACAGCTCACTACAGCCTGGGGTCAAGTGATCCTCCAGTCTTGGCCTCCCAAAGTGGGATTACAGGCATGAGCCACTGCACCCAGCTTGCTTGGCATATTTGTATTTCATGCAGGAGAAGCTGGAGGACAGAGGTTTTCTTTATTAAATTTTTATTATAAAATAATCCTACTGAACATTGGAAAGTAAAAACATAATACAGAAGTATATAAAATAAAACCTATAAGTTGTATCCTGTACACTCTTTATAACCGTCTCTGAAGTAGTCAATTTAAAATTTGCTACATATTTTCTTAAGACATTTATCTTCCTTGGTTGTTGTGTGTACTATGTGCATATATATAGTTTTTAAAGTTAAGACAGAGTCTTTTTATACTTAAAAATTCTACAATTTGCTTTTGTCACTTAATATTATTATGGACATCTTTCCATGATGTATGTTGACTTGATTCATTCTAAAGATTATTCTAAATTCTCTCAGTGACTAAGTACATAATCTCACCTTTTTTATATATAGACATTTAGAATATTTCCAGTTTTTTTGTTTTTGAGTGTGTTTTTTTTTTTTTTTTTTTTTTAAGGAGGGGCCCATTGTGAATATATTCACATAGTGAGCTCCCTGAAGTGGAATCATAGAATCAAAGGGATAAGCATGTTTAAAATGTGGTCAGTATTACCTTACAGTTTTTTGTTTTGAGATGAAGTTTCGCTTTTATCATCTAGGTTGGATTGCAGTGGTGCGATCTTGTTTCACTGCAACCTCTGCCTCCCGAGTTCAAGCAATTCTCCTGCCTCAGCCTCCCAAGTAGCTGGGATTACAGGTGCCCACCACCACACCCATCTAATTTTTGTATTTTTAGTAGAGACGAGGTTTCACCATGTTGGCCAGGCTGGTCTCGAGCTCCTGACCTCAGGTGATCTGCCTGTCTCTATCTCCCAAAGTGCTGGGATTACAGGCGTGAGCCACCACACCTGGTACCTTATACCTCTTTGAAAATTTGGCAGCTTAGTTTTTTAGTCAGATTTATGTTTGTTCACATACAGTGTGTACAATATTGAGTTTAATCTTTATGGCTGAATTTAGTTTAGGTGATGGCAGAATCTTAAAACGAGAAATGGCATTTCATCTCTGACTTATATGTAAAGTACTTAGAATAGTACCTGAAACCTAGTAAAAGCTGTATAAATGTTTTATGTTATAATTATTTTTGTTAGCTTATGTCCATTGTACTACATTGTGAAAATAGGAAATACAGATTAATTTTTTCACATGTCTATGGTTTGAAAACCATCACATCTGGAGTCTTGTTATACTTGATATGCTGTGTTTGTTTTGTCTTATAATGGAATTCACCATTTCTGCCTGTGGTTGACTGTCCAAATCACTGTTTTTAACATCATCATTAGAGATTTAAGGGTTATATGTACACCATAAGGACTGTTCTCATTGGCTTTTCTTCAGTAACATTATTAATTTACATCATTTGCTTGGTTTGCTGTCACTATTGTGTTCTTATCTCCCCAACAAATAAAAAGCATTCAAAAAGGTTTATTGAAACATAAAATTAATAATGAAAGTGAGAACAGATGTCTGTAACTCATCAACTTGGACAGTATACTGGATTGCAGAGTAAATTCTGTATGTTCACCCATATGTCCTTGAAGAAGTAAATATTTGGGATGACTTTGAAATTATTCGAAAAGGGAAAGTACAAACAGATGCTCTGATTATTATTGAAATGATCCTTCATTGATCTGTCCCTAGTTTTCTGTGCATTTGACATGAAACATGGTCAAAGTATGTTCCCACTGAAATTTTGCATTGTTTTTCAACAAAGCATGGTAGTAAATTAAGGAAATTATTCTAGAATAAGTCATTAAATGCAGAGAAGAGATCAAAAGAGTAGAGGCATCTTTTACAGTTGCACTGCTTACAGCAATGATAGGTAACAAGTCATACTGTTCCTAAGAAGTTTCTAAAGGCATCCACAGAGAATGGAAAAATGCTCTGAACGATCGTTGAATGATCTATTGGCAAAATTTCTTTGTCATGTGCCACCGTTAAGCATTCCATATTGCTAGTGGTATAATGGCATACATTGTGACAGAACAATTACTTGCATATGTGGCTGCATTAGAGATTGTGCTTTCCATTTGATGAAAGTACTTGTGTACAGAGTCTGAATTAGCTCTTGGCATATGTGCAATGTAAATATAAAAAGAAGTACTAGATTTTTATTTTTTAAGTCTGTTTAGAGTAGAAAGCCTATATAGAAAATAATTCTTTGTTTTTTTTAGTAATCACTTTCAGAGCAATGATATAATCTGGAAAAAGGCACATTGGGAACATTGTTGACAGAGCCCCAGCAATATCTGTGATCAGGAAGGGTGTTCTTTCTGAACAAAAGAACTTTATCTTTGAATGCCAATTCACATATTGCATTTTCAGTTGGCTCTATGTTCCCTTATTTGGCTTGAGTGTTGAAAATGTTGTTAAAATTTTGAGTGAAGTCAAATAAGGTTGTCATGTATATTTTTAGCATCTTCAATGAAATACAGTGGATTCCCTTTCTATTTCAATAGTACGACAGCTATGAGAGAACAAAGTGTTCCTCTAATTGAAGTATAGAAAGAGGTAACATTTCTTTATGTTTTTGTAAGTGATATATTTCAGTGTTATATTTAGTATCTTGACAGCTAGAAACTCCTGCTTCAGAATACCACCAAATTAAATGTGAATAGTGTCAAAATATATCCTAAGATCAAAGAGCCTCATTACTGAGAAATGACCTTATGAATACTTGATTTTTTTAAATTTAATGAAGAATTAAATTGGTGCTCTCTTTTAAAACTATATTCAGATTCTCAAATAGAAGTTGAAGAAATACTTTCCCTATCTCAGTGGAGCCAGAATTAATAAGAAATTCATTCCCTGTGTTTTCTTAAGTTAAAATAGTCAAACTTTCAGCCTTTCAGATTTCGGATGTGATACATACACATAAACGTTGTGTCTGAAACAGTGCTGAAACTAATCCATGATAAGAAAACTTTATTTTTAGATCCTGTTTGACCCATTTATTAATTATTTGATAGACATGAGATACTTTGCTGCCATATTTTTAGGTTAGTGGCTAGATTTAGTAGAACTAGAGTAGGAAAGGAAATCAATCTGATGTTGAACCTTAGTGTCAGCTACAGAGATGGCTATATTAAGATTACCACGTTGAAAGATTGCCGGATAGCCTCTGTGTCTAATATGAAGCCATTAATTTTGTTTTTTATAACTCATTAAAAAAAAGAAAAAGAAATTTTGTTTTGTTATTTGGAACGTATGATGAATCCTGTCAAGTATTTCCTTTAAAATTGGTGATCCCAGCTAAACGTTAAATGGTCAACAGATGCTAATACTTTCTAGATATATTATTTACTTTGTTATCTTAGGTAAGATACTTAAATTTTTCAGTCCTTGGTTTCCTCATTCATAGACGTGGGATAGTGATAAATAAAGGTGATTTGGGAATATTTTATCTCATTTAATCTTCACAAACTGCCTTGAGAGGTAGGTGTGTTGTTCCTTTTTACATTCGTGGGAAAGATAAATGAGTTGCCCAAACTAACAACAGTGTTCAGTAGCAATTGTTAGGATTTCAGTCCAAGTCTTGTGGATATGTCCATTGTTCTTGGTGGCATTTCATTTTAAATACGTTACAAGCAATTTTTTTATTCAGTAGCACACAGTATATTAGTCTATAACATTTGGCATGGATTTACAATGAAAAGCTTATGTTTTTATCTTCAGAAAATATATGGTAAATGAGCCGTGTGTATTACATTATCACTTATTCTAAGGTTTTATATAAGGTTCTTATTGGTTATTGATTTTTATGGGATCATGTAAAAGGATTAAGGTATGTAAGCTTTGGCAAGATTACAGCAATATATAACAGTTAACTGTGTGGACTGCTAATTGTGGCTCTGAGATGTCTTCCTCAAGGAAAGCACACCGTAGCAATAGCAAGTTTTCTCATCCATGTTTGATTTTGTTTGTGGTTTGGGCTATCCATTTCAGAACTAGATGAATTCACAGTAGGTCCTCTTAGCATTGATAATTTCAAATAATTGTACCTAGTCTTTCCTTCATCTTTTTGTGCTGCCATAATCGTGTATATGAATGTTCTGGTTGATGCTCTCAGGAGCGTCAGCAATACTGAATAGAGAGGTAACCACCAGAGTCTTACTAGGTCATGCTTTCCTGTTTCTAACCATGATGATGAGGCATGATAAGGCAATTTACATTGGCAAATTTGAAATCATTGATGATCAGAGAGCAGGGAAAATTGTTGTGAACCTCACAGGCAGGTTAAACAAGTGTGGAGTGATCAGCCTGAGATATGATGTGCAACTCAAAGATCTAGAAAAAAAATGGCAGAATAATCTGCTCTCATCCTGTCAGTTTTGTTTCATTGTACTGACAACCTTAGCTGGCATCATGGACCTTGAAGAGGCAAGGTGAAACACATAGGAGGGAAAGTTCTGGGATTCTTTTTCTAGCAACATAATACATACTTGTAAATAAAATGCCTTAATGCACAAAAAAGGAAAAATGGTTACACCTAGATTTTGGATTGCTAATGTCCTTTTATCAGGAGATTTATGGTAACTTAAAAAGTGTTGCATTAGCTGGTAAAGAAGCTCTTGCCTGTAGTCCCAGCTACTCAAGAGGATGAGGCGAGAGGATCTCTTTGAGCCCAGGAGTTTGAGACCAGCTTGGGCAAATATCAAGACTCTGTCTCTTAAAAAAAATTAAAAAGTTGTTCAGGTGCTTTGGGAAGCCAAGGCAGGAGTATTGCTTGAGGCCTGGAGTTTGAGCCCAGCCTGGGCAACAAAGTGAGACCCTGTCTCTGAAAAAAAAAAAAAAAAAAGAAAAAAATTAGTCCGGCACAGTGCTGCGTGCCGGTAGTCCCAGCTACTCCAGAGGCTGAGGTGGGAGGATCCACTTAAAACCATGAGTTTGAGGCTGCAGTGAGCCGTGATTGTGCCACTGCACTCTAGCCCGGGTGACAGAGCAAGACCCCAGTTCATTAATTTAAAAAAAAAAAAAAAGAAAGAAAAGGAACTGTACTGATTTTGAGTTACTGGATATTGTAATAAAGTTAAATTTTTAAAAAGTAGAATATAAACCACATTAATAACCACTTCTGTAAACTTTTATAAAACATCTTGAACTAGAATTGCCATGCCATATTTTTTCAAAATATTATATTGTTCTTGCCATTTTTTGACAGACCCCTTATCCCTCTGGACAGAATGCAGGTCCAACCACGCTGGTATACCCTCAAACCCCTCAGACAATGAATTCACAACCTCAAACCCGTTCTCCGGTAAGTAAGCAGAAGCTTGAACCAAATTACATTCTCTACCTGTGTTTGTGTGTGTAGTGGCTTGGGTTTCTTTGGCAAATATTTTTACTGGATTTTGGAAGTTTGTTCCAAAGATGATTTATTATTATGACTCCTACTATTATTTGTTAGCTTTGTATTTTCAGACCTTACCTATAGCAATAATTAAATTTATTGAGAAAAAGAAGAGGTGGAGCTTTTAACCCTCCACTCCCTTTTAATACTTTTCTATAGCATGATTTTTAAGTCTGGTTGCATTCAAGTTTACTTTATTTCAGCTTATAATTTTTGTTAGTTGTACTGTTCAAAATTCAGGTAAGAGTAAAATACAATGATTTTAGGAGTAAATTGAATTTCACTAATTAAATTCTCAAATTCCAGTGGTTTTGGGAAGCAGGACTTTTGAATCAGTGTTATTAGATCTGTTCTAACCATTTAACAGTGTGGGTATATGCATGACATATACCAGTGAGTGTATTCATTTATTCAAATGAGAAATAAATTGTGATACAAATGTAAATGCTATCATCCTCTTTGTTCATCCTTTACATGAATTGCAATAAGTACTGCCAAGACTGAGAATTTACACAAGGTTCATCCTTTGTTTCACAAAAGTATACAGTGGCTTCAGCTCTCCATTCCTTAGAACATCGTTTCCTGCCCTGCATGATTAGCTTTGGCTAGAAGGTGCTTCTGTAACATCTCACATTGTGTATCTCACATCCCTCTTTGTACCTCAGCTCTGTGTATTCTTCAGAATTCAGGGATATCTTTTTGTTCCCTGCCCCTGCCTTTTTGCCTGGAGTGCAGGAATACCTCATTGCATTAGCTCCTATTCATTTCATTTTATGCATGAACTTACAATTGTTTAAATATACCAAAGACTTACTTAAAGAACTAGGAGAGCATAGACTGCACCAAAATGTAATCTCTTTCTTATCCTTTTTCTATTTTCCTTTTCCCTGTTGCCCTGTTCTCCAATACCTGTTCTTAGATCCTGGTTCTCCCCAGTGGGTGGAGGAACCATTCTAAAGAGGTGGGACTTTGGTCCTAGTTGCCTGTTTGCTTGTCTCTTTTTTTGCTGAAATGGTCAATAAGATGTCTGATACAAGTTTTGTTATGAGAGTGGTTTGGGGATGTGTACACTTGACTTACTTGGGCCTGAGATCTCACCAGATCAATTTAGATAGGCCCTGGTTCTAATAATTAAACATGGAACATTATGGTAAGCTCCTATTGCAAAGAATTCTTTGGCCCTCTTTCTGTATACCCCCAACCCTAATTTCTGATTATCAAAAAAGAAAATGAATTAAATTTACATGGTTAGAACTGGCGCAGAACCTGACTGAAGAGCTGCATCTCTAAACCAGTTTTTTTGACAGCCCAGCAGAACAGTGCCAATACATTGCACAGACAACTGGAAGAGGAGGAAGGTTTTGGAACAGACTCCCGTTTACAGGTCCTTGGCTGGAAGAGGCTGGATAAAATACTGCATTGTAAGCAATATAACAAACTGTACTTCTTGCAGGCAGTGGTGCCTCTGGCACTTAGTATTTTTGACCACATCCATTTATTGGCTGATGAACAGAAATGCATTGATTGCTTCCTCTCTGAAAGTCTAACCTAGCATGGCAGTTTCTGCCAGGCATAGTGGGGAAAAGAATAACAAATTGGGTGGGTGTTCTCTATTGGGAATTAGTCAGGAAGAATTTGGGGGTTTAGATTTTTCTTTATTTTAAACTTGAAGTGAGATATCCCTTTCAGATAAATTTGAATTTAAAAGATAAATTTCGAGGCTTCTTTTTACTCCCTTTCAATTTTATAATTGAATATTAAGGAGGAAATTGTCTGTAGTTGTCAGCCATTTTTCTGTGGTCATAAACTCTTCAGATACTATCCTCTATACAATTTTTGCCATCTGCTCTGCTAGTGACCATTACCCACCCCATTACTAAAAATCACACACATAACATTCCATTACATACCCTAAAACAAGTGCAAGACTAGCAGACCCCAGACTACTCTTGCTTCTTGTTTTAGGTTTGATTTTCTTTATTTTGTTATGGGGTTTTTTTTTGTTTTTGTTTTTTGTTTTTTTTTTGTGCTGGGAGGGTGAAGTTGGGGTCTGAAATTTGGCAGGATTGCATTTTCTGTTTACGTCCCAAGTTGTCATAGTCTAGTCTCATCCATCTCACAGCTGTCCCATCTGGTGAGGAGAGGTAAGCTGTTACATTGAGGCAGGGCCTCTTCCTGTGGCTTTGTAGAGCAGCTAAAGCTTACTCCATTCTATTTCTGCATTAATAGGCCATTGGCAATTGCGCAGTTTTAGGCTTTTCTGTTCTTCCCTGGACAGCTGCCTTTGCAATCCAACTGGCTTCAAGTGGCCTCTGTCCTTCCTTCAGGTTATCTTTGTGCCTGTCTTTCTACTTGATGCTTAGAATCTTAGTTAAATTCATACTGTGGAAAGAAAATCTTTTTTAAAAATAATAACAACACTGATAAGCTATCTGTTCCATTTTCTCGTTTTACTGGAACTTTTAAACAGCAGTAGTTGTTTTTTTTTTTTAATAGCCTGTCTAAAGTAGTGAAGCTATTAAATACTTAATTTGGAGAGGGAGACAGTTTGGCTTTTGTAGTAACGTAACCATTGATTATTTTTATATTTTGTGGTGTTAAGTTTCAAAATTACATCAATGTTATGTTGGCCATGCTCAGTTACCAACTGTGCCCAGAAGGGGTGAGTAAGTGGGTGGGTGGCATTAACACTGGATCCAAGTTCACAGAAGGCTGCTTTCCTTTATATCAACAGTCCTCACCATCTTAAAGACCCTTCTTTAACAAAAAGAAAAGAAAAAAGAAAGAAAAATTTCTAGTTTTAATATGAGCCAGCAGCGACTACAGTTTGTTCTGTTGCTTACAGCTACCCATAGGATTAAGACTATTGTCATTTCAAATGAAAAACTCAATAGCCAATGGTGACTAGTGCAAAATAGACTAGGGTACTTTCCTAGGGCACTTTCCTACTAACTTAAGTTGGGGTTTTCTTTTTCGCTTTTGTTTTTATATATATGTAATTTTATAAGATACTCTTCTTGTTCATAGAAAATTCTCTTTTGACTGGAACATTCAAAATGTACAAAGTTTTAGCTTTTATTTTAGAGCCTTGAAAATGGGACATTTTCTGTGGAACAGTGATAAGACAGGTACTGCCATACTCAGGTTAATTTTGTAACATGGCCCCTCTCTTCCATTTTCTTCAAAAGTGTCATAAAGAAACATTTCACTCCACTCCCTACTTTCATACCACATGGGTGGTATTGCCTGTTCTTGTCCATAGTAGAAGTATGATGTTTTCTTCTCCTAATTGGAAAACTGAAAATACAAGACCTCAATTTCTTTGAAGAGAAAATTTTCTGCAAGAACTGTAACTGCCAGTTATCATCATTCTGAAAAACTATATTATATTGATTAGCCAAGTATGATGGCTGACCTAACATAACCCAAGCTTGTAGGTCATTAATGCACTTTTCATTACTTGAACAAAAGGTGACATTTTAGCTTCTGAGGTGAATTCTTGACAGAGCTGTTTTCAGCTGTCTCCTACATTGTGGCCATGTGTTCTACTGTAATTTGTTGAAATTTTAAAATGTGAACTAATGGTAGTTGGGGAAGTAATTCCAAATGTTTTGCAAATCACTATTGCACATAACTTAAATGCTGAGCATGAGAGATTGTTTCTTAATCTTCAATCTAATTCATCTGTAGTGTTAAGCTGACAGAAGGAAGTCTCTATAGAGGAAATAAGAGAGCCAAAGACATATATTTTTGCTCCTTAAATATATTAGATAAAAACCCTGTATATGGTTTACATTAAACACTGCTTTCTAAATATTTTCTTTTACTATTAAAGGGAGTGGTTAACATTACAATAGCTAACGTATTAGTATCCACAATATGGCTCTACATACCCCGGTTAATATTACAATAGTTAATGTATTAGTATCCAGAATATGGCTCTACATACCCCAATATTTTTGTCTGTTCCTTTCAGTTAAAATGTATTCAAACCCAAATTTGGCCTGGTGAATTGTTTGATCCTAGAGGTTTAGCAGTTAAAATTTGCATAGGTGAAAAAACTTTTTATTTTCTTCTGAGTTAGTAGAAGAGTTGGAATATATATTAGCCACTTTCAAGTACTCTATGATTTAGCTGAGGAATTACATTTCTTTGTGCTTTATTCTTAGGTAACAATAGGTACATATACACAGTGCTTTGCTGTTGTCTATAGTAATTAAGAGATTTGACTTATTTACTCTTTTTTCTTATCAAGCCTATAAGAATACCACTTGGATTAATCATGTTAGAGACTGATGTTCTTTACTAGCTGTTTGCCTTGACATGCCTTGTATTAAATTATATTAGTTAACCGCATTTAAACTTAAACTTGTGTGTGTGTGTGTGTGTGTGTGTGTGTGTGTGTGTAAAGTCATAAAAGATTTTTCTTTAACTCCAAGAAATTAAGATACTGAAACTTCCATTTCATGGATAAGATATCCCATTTAACTTAAGAAAATTTGCAGTTAATTGTGTTACGTTTTTTACTTCCTGCTGGACTTTATAATTATCTCCTGGCTAGGTCTTGTAATGTAAAAGCTTTCTCATTTCCTCCAGCTGTATCAGTTACATACAGCATACTTGATTTTCATGTTTGTCTTAATATAACCACTTAATTTTTCAAACTTGCTTTTGCCTTATTTTAGGGTTTTTTTTTTTTTTTAAATAATCCTATCAGAGAGTACCTTACATGCCTAACAGCATAGCCTGTTTCTCTCCCAGTTGATAAATGACAAACTATTCTGATAGTGCTGTTAACCTGTTGAATCTTAGTACCTGTCTGTCACTGTCCTGCAGCAAAGCTTTGACTGTTTTGTGTGTTGTTTTTTATTTCCCCACTGTGGGTTTTTTTTCTTTTGGCATATTGTGTGAAATTTTGGTTTTTGTTGTGGTGTTTCTGACTCTTTGTGCCTTTCCTTTTGTGTTTGTTTTCCCTCCTTTTCTCAGTTTGCAGCGGGGCCTCGACCTCCCCATCATCAGGTACTGTACCCTTGCCCCTTCACTATCACCCTTAACTAATAGATGGGGGCTTTAGTAGCTGCTGACTCTTAGAATGCTGCCATCCCATAGAACTACTCAAATTACTCATTTCAAGAGTAGCTTTTATCTGATATAATTCAGCTTTCTTTGTCCTTCATTAATCTCACTGCATTTTGTTATTAACAAATCCATTTGCCTCTGTTTATGGCACATTTAAAAAATGCTACAGTTTTTTTTTTCTTGCCAAGCATTGTTTTTAAATTTTACAATTTTGAAAAATTTAGATACTAAGTGTTTATAGATTTTGTGGATATTTGTAGTAAGTTAAATTTAACTGAATGAAGCAGGCAGCATTCTATGGGTTTTCTGTTAACATTCCGATATAACCTGTATTGATGTGTATAAAATAGCATTAGTATTTCTAAAACCACTTAAACTCAGTTACTAACTTAGATCTAGTAATAAATTGATTAAAAATCATGTACATCCATTTGCTGGATAGAATTATTTTTATTATTAGAACACATAGAAAATAGATATCTTAATTAATTTAAATAACTTTATCCTATTGGTTTTTTAAATGAAATAATTTTAATTTTTTAAATGAAATAATATTAATTCTATCCTATTGGTTTCATACTTCTATCCTATTGGAATCTATTTAGAGGTGGCAAGACAGAAGGACTTGCAGGGTTCTCCCTCCAACCCCCCAGTAGCTTTTTATGGGGTATTCTGAAACATTTTCTTCTGCTGAAAGAGCTTTGGTTTAGTCTGTTCATATTACAAGCTTTACTATGTAACCAGCTGGTTAGGCAAGTCTTTTTCTGCATCTTTGTTTCCTCATATGTAAAATGGAGATAAATAACCTCTGCCTTAGAAATAGTGTAAGCATCTGACACAAAACAAGCAGTCAGTAAGTGGTAACTGTCTTTAATATGATTGTTATGGAACAAAGTCTGGTTGGATAAAGTAAATGTTACCAGTATTTGCCTGTGTTATCATATTTACAATTCTTATTACTGAGTAAATGGATATTGTTTAGTTGAAGGCTTCCAGTGATTTAATACCTGACTCTGTTTTTCAAAATGTATTCCTTCCAATCTGGAGGATGTAAAGGCAAAGCAAATCTGAGTTATTAAAGGTACTTTGCAGGAGGATGGCTATATGGGGTGGATGGCTATTGTTTGGGTTTCATAGTGAAATAAAACCTCAGGGTATTTTTTTTAATTCAGAGATAATATTGTAAAGTATTAATACTTTAAGAGCTTGGACTTCGCCATCAGCTAGATCTAGGTTTGATTCTTCCATGTTAACCAAGTGTTCTTGGATAAATCATTTACTGCTCTCCACCTTAGTTTTCTCACCTGTAAAACGGAGACAGTAATACCATGTTGAAACTATTATGAAAAGTAAATTAGATAATGAAAATAAAATGATTAGCGGGGTGTTTGGCACATAGTAACTAGGACATAGAATTAGTATTACTACTACTAATAATAAAAATATTAGTTTCTTATGTAAAAGAGTGTTTATAATTGAAAATTTAGTCCAGTGCCATAGAAGCATGGCTTAAATTTTAATCCAGGGACAAGGCAAATACTCCTAAAAGAGAGAGACGTTGGGGATCTTTACTCAAGAAGCAGAGTGAAAAGAAACTATTTATTTGAGAAATAACTGCAAAGGAATTAGGGCAAAAACGTTTTCTGATCTCCTTTATGTAAGGCACCTGTTAATTTCTTTGTTCACATGCTTGTGTTTTTCAAACCTTGGTTTATTTTCATAAGTCATTTCAGATAAGCTAGCCTAAGGTAAACTGTTAGTAGAGGGAATTAACGTTACCATTGACCACAATTATTTTGGTGGATTTTATACACTGTAGATTGATGGAATGATGAGTGAATTTTGAAACAAAAACAGTATTGCTGAATAGGCCAGGTACGGTTGCTCAAACCTGTAATCCCAACACTTTGGGAGGCTGAGGTGGGTGGATCACTTGAGGTCACGAGTTCAAGACCAGCCTGGCCAACATGGTGAAATTCCGTCTCTACTAAAAATGCAAAAAGTAGCCGGGCGTGGTGGTGGGCACCTGTAATCCCAGTTACTTGGGAGGCTGAGGCAAGCGATCACTTGAACCCTGGAGGCAGAGTTTGCAGTGAGCCAAGATCACACCACTGCACTCCAGCCTGGGCGACAGAGCAAGACTCCCATCTCAAAACACAAAAACAAACAAAAAGAACCATGTTACTAAATAGCCTGGGCCTTTCTTATTAAGACTAGTAACTCTTTTAAAGACTGTTGATCAAAAAATTTAAGTTCTTAATGAAAATAGAAGAAACTTTAAGGTTATGTTTCTGCTACTTGGGTTCGATAATAGTGGTTCTAAAATTAGGATATTGTATTTAAGCATTTGTAGTGAGCTTTGGGAAATTCTGTTCTCTAAGAAAACTTTTATGAGCTTTAAAGTTATGTGGTACATTTTGTCTTTCTTTAATTCCAACAATCGGGGAAAATGTTCAGAAATCTCTGTGAGAAAAGGTTGATTTCAGCCCACATTTTCATGTGCAGTAGGACTCAGTAAAGTGTTAGCAGATTAGTCGTTTAACTGTATGATACTGCTCATGAATTTATGGCTAGTTTTGATTATTTTAAAAATAGAAGTATAAGCTGGATGCGGTGTTTGATGCCTGCAATCCCAGCAATTTGGGAGGCTGAGGCAGGTGGATCGCTTGAGCCCCAGAGTTAGAGATCAGCCTGAGCAACATGGCGAAACCTCATCTCTGCAAAATAAAAATAAAAATACAAAAATTAGTTGGGTGTGGTTGTGCATGCCTGTAGTCCCAGCTACTCTGGGAGGCTGAGGTAGGAGAATCACCTGAGCCCAGGTGGTCAAAGTTGCAGTGAGGTGTGATTGTGCCACTGTACTCAGCCTGGGTGAAAGAGTGAGACTTTATCTCAAAAAAAAAAAAAAAAAAGTATATATGTTTATTATATTTATTATTTATTTCTTACCAAGAAACATAATTATCATCTAACAATAGTTCTTGGAGGTAAGTTCCTAAGATACAGTATAAATTCAGAGCAATGATTTTTAATTCAGAAAATTCAGGTAGCTGGCACTTTTTTCTTTGTTATCCTTTTTTTCCTGAACACCAGTTAAATTCTTTTCATCATATCACAGAGAATTGAATAAGGATGTCTGTACCCTTGCCTCAGGCAGCAACAGTAATTACCTTGAATAGAGGAGAAGAAAGACATGGGGTTGGAGTGGCATAGCTGAGCAGGGCTAACTGAACCGGCATTATGTGTGGTATAGGATAAATTGTTAGAAAGAGTTTGCTATTTTGCATCCACAGGAGATGTGGGGTCAATTTGGTTTGTTTCACTATGGGATAGGTATTGGCATTTGGGTGGGATAACCAGTTATCAAAGCTGCCGTATATAATACAATTAATTTAGCATCGTTTGGGCTTTAAATGCCAGTAGAATTTCCCTAGTGACAATTAGAAAACAAAGCAAAACAAAAGAAAACCACCACTGTACATTTCCAAATACCCTCCATGGAAATGACAGCATTTCCCATTTGAGAATCGCTTACTGAATCTGTATTTCACAGTATCTTCTCTTCAGATCTAAAGTCAGGTAGCACCTAAACCCTGAAAGATTTACAGAGGAGTTGCTCATAATACAGAACAAGACATAGAGACTTGCATAATGAAATGAAAGCTGTTGGAGGAAACAAACATTGAGTGGTATACAGAGAATATACTTTTAAAGGGAAGACACTCATGTCCTGGGATATTTTGGGTTTTACATACTTAAGACTTAAAGTGGAATTGAAGGCAGAAATGGTTTTTTCATCGGTGGTAGTTTGCTTTGGCCAGTGAATAGATTTCTTTTTTGTCCTTTATTGCATTATTCATCAGTGGCTGCCTTTCTGATCACTTTACGTCCTTTCATGCTTTGATCTCAATTTATTTTTTGAAGGAATTTGTTGTTGGATGATGTTTTTAATGATTGTTGTTTCTAAAGTCCAATAGCAAATATAGTAACTTTTTGTTGATGCTTAGTAAAAATTGCAAAGTATGTTCTATAGCTGTTGCAAAGAAAAAATACAATTATTTAGGTAGGCTTTTTGGAATTAATTGCTTGTGAAAAGAAAACATCATCCAGTTTAGTAATCTTAGAACTTAAATATTTTTTCTGTGTAAGATGGAGTTACTTGAATTCAAGTAAACAAAAAATAACAAGATTTTAAATGGTAAACATTTTCTTTGTTCTTAATGGAATCAAGAAACTGCTTTGAGTGTATTCCTTGGAACTTCTTTTATTTAAAAGGTCTTTTAACTCTGTTTGGAGGGCTAGAGCTCTTTTTGAGTCCCCACAAATCAAGTGCGCCATGCTCCAGTTAGGATTATTTCAGCCACATCTTCTTCCTGATATTACTATTAGTTTTTGTCTTTTGTGGAGATTCTTCAGATTAATAAGGATGTGCTATTCTTTTGGCATTTTATAACCTGAAGAGCTTTTAGAATTACAGTTTTCTTCAAAGATAAAACAAGAAATACTAAGTCATTTTATATGCAAAACACTCTTGGCTTTAGAAATATGTCAACTATTTTTGCACTGATGCTTGAAAATCCCAAGGTAATTAGAAACTGAAAGAACAGAAAGTACACTCAGAATTATAGCAAGCCACTTGGTATAATTTGGATTCTGGCCTGTGTTGTTTATTTTGTGTATTTGGTCATTAAAATCTGTGTAGTTCTGGTTTAAAGTTACTTATGTTCCTGTCCTTATTTTACTTTGGGGTTTCACAATAGAGATCAAGTGTTGGTTATATACTATGACTAAGTAGTCTTTTCATTATGAGAAAGACCAGGGAAATAGTATTTTAAAGTGTTCATAGGACAAAACACTGTGCAGTTTTTTGATATATGATTTTGGTTCACATACTTTTCACAAATGCTGAAAAATATGCTGTATTCAAAGCAGTGGGATTTAGTGTAAACAAATAATGAGCTTCATAAAACCAGCGTACACTATCAGCAGGAGGAGGAGGAGGAGGAGTATGTGCCATAAAGAAATGTCTTACTTGGTGGCAAGCGTTGAAATTGTGCATGTTTTCCTCTTGTGGTTTGGTTCTTTTTGTGAAAAAGAAACTTTTGAAAAGAACTGCTGATTTATGTAGATTTCTTTTTCATTATGATCCCTAAAGGTTTCTTTACTGAAAGTTTGTGATGTTATATATTCCTAGTTGAGATATATTTGTGTTACTATAGGCAATTTATTAGATTTGGAAAGTAAAATAAATGGGCCAGACCTGGCACAACAGAGTTAAATGGATATGAATAGCAAGCCATCTCAAGCATCTATACGACCTTATGACATCTTAAATTATGATCTTATGAACTTTTTGTTTTTTGGAGCTTGGTACAAGTGAGTGATGGGTGGTTTTATCTGGTATCTCATTCACAAGGAGTTGTATAGTAGCAGCATAAATAATGAAGAAAATATATGTTGGGAGTCAGTAAAACTGGGATTCAATTTCAGCTTCACTACAAATTATCTTTGGGCCTCAAGTTTCTGATCTTCAAAATGGGTAAAATATGCTAATAAATGATATAATACTGAGATGTTTTAATAACTGCATATATTTCCTATGGGTGTGGTGAGGATAAAGTACCTGCCTATCACAGTGTCTGAAATGAAATAAGTCCTTGGTAGGTGTCAGTTTCCTTTAGCAGTGAGACTACCTGCCTTTCCCCTTTTCCCAAGCTATTTTTTAGCATGAGTGAAGTATTTTATAAGGATGCTCATTTCCAAGACTCTCCCTTATGATCTGACAGAACACCTCCTGTTCCTGACATAAACCTCTAGGGTAGCACTGTGTAATAGAATTTCTGTGATGATGAAAATGTTCTGTACTTGTGCTTTTCACTGCTGTAGCTCTACTAGCTATATACATGGCTATAGAGCACTTTAAATGTGGCTAATGCAGCTAAAGAACTGAATTTTTTCTTTTTTTTTTTTTATGAGACAGAGTCTCACTCTGTCACCTAGGCTGGAGTGCAGTGGCACGATCTCAGCTCTCTGCAACCTCCTCCTCCCAGGTTCAAGTGATTTTTGTGCCTCCGCCTCCTGAGTAGCTGGAACTACAGGTGTGAGCTACCACACCCTACTAACTTTTGTATTTTTTGTAGAGTCAGGATTTTGCCATGTTGGTCAGGCCAGTCTTGAGCTCCTGAGCTTAAGCGATCCGCCCATCTTAGCCTCCCAAAGTGCTGGGTTTAAAGGCGTGAGCCACTGTGCTTGACCCGGAACTGAATTTTTAGTACAAGTAGTTAAGTATGGCTTGTGGCTCCTGTATTGAACAACTCAGCTCTAGGGCTTCCATATCCCGATTCTTAGTGAAACCTAAATTATATAATATTGACCACATGCCGGGAAATATAGAAAAAATTTAGAATGGAATAATCTCCATTATAAATTACCATGGATTAACAGATTATCAAATTGACACCTGAGTGATGTCCCATTATGTGGACTCTTTAAAGCTTGTCCCTTTCTAACTTGCCAGCAAATCATAGCACTGTTCTTCAAGAGTACTTCAGACTTTTAAAAGATATTCACCAAGGAAATTTCTAATTGCAGATGTTAGTTTTTCATCTTCTAGTAGGCTGACCTATATACTGAAGCATATTTTGTATTGCTTTGCAAGTTAATAAATATAGGCATGCCTCGGAGATATTGCAGACTTGGTTTCAGACCACGACAATCAAGCAAATAACTGCAATAAAGCAAGTCGTGAATTTTTTGGTTTCCCAGTGTATATATGTTATGTTTCCACTGTGCTGTAGTCTACTAACTGAACAGTAGAATTATGTGTAAGAAAATGATGTACATATAGTAATTAAATACTTTCTCTTTTTTTTGAGATGGAGTCTTGCTCTGTCGCCCAGGCTGGAGTACAGTGGCGCGATCTCAGCTCACCGCAGCCTCTGCCTCCCGGGTTCAAGCAATTCTGCCTCAGCCTCCCGAGTAGCTGAGATTACAGGCATGTGCCACTACACTGGCTAATTTTTGTATTTCTGGTAGAGACGGGGTTTCACCATGTTGGCCAGGCTGGTCTTGAACTCCTGACCTCGTGATCCGCCCACCTCAGCCTCCTAAAGTGCTGGGATTACAGGTGTGTGCCACCGCACCCGGCTGGTAATTAAATACTTTCTGGCTAAAAAATGCTAATGATTTTCTCAGTCTTCAGTGAGTTGTAATCTTTTTGCTGGTGAAGTGTCTTCAATGTAGATGGGTGCTGACTGATCAGGGTAGTGGTTGCTGAGGATTGAGATGGCTGTGGCAATTTCTTGAAATAAGACAAAGTTTGTCACATTGATGGACTCTTCTTTTTTTTAATTTATTTGTTTGTTTTTGAGATGGAGTCTTGCTCTGTCACCCATGCTGGAGTGGAGTGGCATAATCTCTGCTCACTGCAATCTCCACCTCCTGGGTTCAGTTCTCCTGCATCAGCCTCCTGAGTTGCGGGGACTTTAGGCACATGCCACCACATCTGGCTAATTTTTTGTATTTTTAGTACAGCTGAGGTTTCACCATATTGGCCAGAGTGGTCTTAAACTCCTGACCTCAGGTGATCCGCCCGTTTCGGCCTCCCAAAGTGCTGGGATTACAGGCGTGAGCTACTGCACCCGGCCAGTGGACTCTTTATTTCATGAAAGATTTCTCTGCAGCATGTGATGCTGTTTAACAGCATTTTACGCAAAGTAGAACTTTCTTTTATCATTGGAGTCAATCTCAAACTCTGCTGCTGCTTTATCAACTAGGTTTATGTAATATTCTAAATCTTTTGTTGTCCTTTCAACAATGTTCACAGCTCCTTACCGGGAGTAGATTCCATCTCAGGAAATCACTTTTTTTTTGCTCCTCCATATGAAGCCAGTCCTCATTTGTTCAGGTTTTATCATGAGATTCTCATGATAAAGTCAGTCACATCTTCAGGCTCTACTTTTTTTTTTTTTTTTTTTTTTTTTTGAGTTGGAGTTTTGCTCTTGTTATCCAGGCTGCAGTGCAGTGGCATGATCTCGGCTCACTGCAACCTCCACCTCCCAGGTTCAAGTGATTCTCCTGGCTCACCCTCCCGAGTAGCTGGGATTACAGGCATCTCCCACCATGCGCAGCTAATTTTTTGTATTTTTAGTAGAGATAGGGTTTCACCATGTTGGGCAGGCTGGTCTCGAACTCGGGACCTCAGGTGATCCACCCGCCTCCACTTCCCGAAGTGTTGGGATTACAAGCGTGAGCCACTGTGCCCGGCCCAGGCACTACTTCTAATTCTAGTTCTTTTGCCATTTCCACCGTATCAGCACTTACTCCTTCCATTGAAGTCTTGAATCCCTCATAGTAATCCATGAGTATTGGAATCAGCTTCTTCCAAATGCTTGTGAATGTTGATATTTTGGCCTTCTCCCATGAATCACAAATCTCTCCTCTCCTCTCCTCTCCTCTCCCCTCCCCTCCCCTCCCCTCCCCTCCTCTCCTCTCCTCTCTTTTTGGGGGAATAGGGTCTCACGATGTTACCTGGGCTAGCCTCAAACTCCTGGGCTAGAACAATTCTGCAACCTCAGCCTCCTAAGTAGCTGGGACTCCAGTCGTACACCACTGCACCCAGGAATATTCTTAATGGCATCAGCAATGGTGAATCCTTTCCAGGAAGTTTTTTATGTAGTTTGCCCAGAACCATCAGAGAAATCAGTATGTGTGGCAGCTGTAGCCTTACAAAATATACTTCTTAAATAATAAGGCTTGAAAATCAAAACTACTCCTTGATCCATAGGCTGCAGAGTGGATGTTGTGTTAGCAGGCATGAAAGCAACATTAATCTCTGTATACATCTCCCTCAGAGCTCTTGGGTGACTAGGTGTTTTCCCAGTAAGCAGTAATATTTTGAAAGGAATCTAAGCTCTCTACAATGGCCTTAAAATAGCCAGCAAACCATGCTGCAAACAGATGTGCTATCATTCTGGCTTTGTTATTTTATTTATAGGGCATAGTCTGAGTAGATTTAGCATAATTCTTAAGGGCCCTAGGATTTTCCAGATAGTAAATAAGTATTGGCTTCAAATTAAAGTCACCAGCTACATTAGCCCCTAACAGTAGAGTCAGCCTGTTGAAGCTTTGAAGCTTTGATGCCAGGCATTGACTTCTCACTAGCTGTGAAAGTCCTAGCTAAAGAGAAGTCAATGCATGACATCTTGTTTCAATAGATGGCTGTTTCATCTACACTGAAAATCATGTGTTTAGTGTAGGCACTTTTATCAGTTTTCTTGGCTGGATCTTCTGGATAACTTGAAGCAGTTTCTCCATAAGTACTTGCTGCTTCACCTTGCACTTTCATGTTATGGAGACAGCTGCTTTCACTAAACCTCATGAGCTAAACTTTGCTAGCTTCAACTTTTCTTCTGTAGCTTTCTTACCTCTCAGCCTTCACAGAATTGAAATGAGAGTTAGGACTTTGCTTTGGATTACATTTTGGCTTAAGGGAATGTTGTGGCTGGTTTGATCTTCTATCCAAACTGCTCTTTCTCCATATCAGCAATAAGGCTGTTTTGCTTTATCATTTGTGTGTTCACTGGAGTAGCACTTTAAATTTCCTCCAAGAACTTATTCTTTGCATTTACAACTTGGCTTTTGAAGTAGCTTTCAGCCTATCTCAGCTTTTAACATGCCTTCCTCACTAAGTTTAGTCATTTATAGTTTTTATTTAAAGTGAGAGATGTGACACAAGACCATATAGAGGCCACTGTTCAGTTATTAATTTCCATATAATGGCCTAACTTCAATATTATTGTGTCTGCTGAATAGGAAGGTCTAAGGAGAGGAGAAAAATGGGAGAGGCGGGGGGACAACAGACAGTAGGTGGAGCAGTTAGAACACACAACTTTCTTAAGTTTGCTGTCTTCTATGGGTGCAGTTCATGGCGCTCCCAGTTACAATGATAACATAAAAGGTCAGTGATCACACATCACCATAACAGATATAATAATAATGAAAAAATTGAAATATTGGGAGAATTACCAAAATGTGACAAACACGAAATGAGCACATGCTGTTGGAAAAATGGTGCTGATAGACTTTCTCAACACAAGGATTTCACAAACTTTCAATTTGTAAAGAATGCAATATCTATAATGCACAATAAAGCAAAGCAGAATAAAATGAGCTATGCTTGTACTCAGAGCTTTTCCCCACATGGGAATATCTAATGTGATTAAATAGGATTTTTCTAGTTGCTGAAAATGAAAAGATGTTTTTCAGAGAATTTCTGTTATATAATTTGTTAGAGGTGTTTTTGTCTTTTCATGCTTTTACTGAGCAAAGTCATGAAAAACGATATTTCATAATTGCCAGCACGTTCAAACACCATTTGTTAGACGTTTTTGATGAGGAAGCTTTGGGTAATGATATGAATTATTGCATCTTTAGAAGGATTTTTCGAGAGGAAACATTTTTTATTCTGGCTTCTAGAGTGTTTCTGGGAAAGTAAGCAATTATAAGTATGCTAAGTTCAGCCTCTGTTTTAAAAGTATCCTATCTTGTTGGATCTGCCCAAAATACTGCCTCAAATGAGAGTTTTCACCTTCCTCTGCCATCCTTCTGGTGTATTAATAATAAATCCTTGAAAGATGAAAGAAGTAAAACAGATTGAAATGAAGTTTAGGAGGTGAATTTTATGTTGTACATGGCTCTCTTTTCTGTGCCTAGCTCTTTGCAGCATTTTTATCAGTTACTTGGATAAGTGACATTTATGTCAAGTTTTCTTTTTTTTTTTTTTTTTTTTTTTTTTTGGAGACAGAGCTCTGTCGCCCAGGCTGGAGTGCAGTGGCATGATCTTGGCTCACTGCAAGCTCTGCCTCCCGGGTTCACGCCATTCTCCTGCTTCAGCCTCCCAAGTAGCTGGGACTACAGGCGCATGCCACCACGCCCAGCTAATTTTTTTTGTATTTTTTTAGTGGAGACGGGGTTTCACCTTGTTAGCCAGGATGGGTCAGGTTTTCTAATGATCCTGTAGTTTGACACTGTCATGCAGTCGGTACAATCTGAAATGATGGCTTGTTTAGCCAGATAAATTTTCATAGTTACAAACTACAAAATCCTCTATATGAGCTTCAAAACACAATTGTAAGAGTACACACTGAAGTGAAGAACACAGCTTATTTAGCCAGGTTATGTATAAAGAGGATTTAAATGCTTTAAATGAGTGTCAGTACCAATCAGTAGTAAAATATCAAAACTGCTCCTGTGATTCTTGGTTTCATTAATGGAATTGGAGCTGGCAGGAATAAGAGAGGTATATTGCCTTTTCACTCAGCAACAAATATTTTTTTAGTGAGTGCCAGGTACATTCTGGGCAGACCCCACCTCGATACCTTTGTGTTGGAACAAGATTGAAAGAAAAGATCAAGCTCATTTGGGAATTAAAAATCTTGGTTGGAGGGACAGGATGCTAGGGAGAGGGTTATGATTGACTTGAAACAAAAAATAGTGGTGTGAAAATTGGCAGTAATGGCAGCGTTCACATAACTTAGTGGTCTGTTGCTGATGGAGAAGGATTTGACATCTGTGTGGTTTTAGGGATGGACACGAGACAAGTGGATAGGTGATATAGGGAGAAAAATTGGGGGCCAGTAGAAGGAAGAGTTTTACAGTATTAGAACTCCATTTAATTATGAAAAGAATTTGTATCTTAAGTTGCTGAAGTTTCTTATCCCTAGTGGTATATTATAAAAGATATTCAGACTTTAGGTGGATGGTGAGACTAAATGGCTCCTTCCATTCAGGAGAGTTTGACTCTTAATGATTGTTCATCACTCAGTTGAGAAGAAAAGAAATTTGAAGGATTGCAAGCAGTTTGGGAAATCCCATTTATATATTCCTTTTAATAACCTATGGATTACTGCTATGCTTGCCCAACTGAGAATCTGAATTTCTTGCATTACTATTAAATCTAATTATGCATTTGTAATTGAATGGTTTGGAAGGAGTACAAAAAGGATATATATTTTTTTTTTTTTTTGCATTTCTAGTCATTACGGCTTTTCTAGAATCTCTTCTGGTGCACGTGTGTGTGTGTAAGTGATCCTGTACTTTTAAGTGGAAAACACAAGCTCCAGATAGACTATTGTTGTAAAAAGTATTAATGCAGTGAAGTTGAGCAAAAGTAAGTCTGTAAAATGGTATGCCAAGGATACGCTTTTAGCATATGAACAAGTTTCAGTCACTTTTTGGGAGATAGAGAATTGGAGTTGTGTAGGTAGAAGAAATTTGTTTTCGTGAGTAAGCATGTGTTTTGTGAAGTAACTTGATGGAAAATTTTTCTTACCAGGAATCAGTCATGATTGAGGGACATGCCACCCGTTAGTATAGTTGGATAAAGATCCTGCTACATCCTTTCAGTGTTTGTAAAGAAAAGATTTCTGCTGGTTTATGTGAAAATATGGGGGTATTCCATTTCATGAGAGGTAATATGTGTAACAGTTAAAAGTACATGCCTATAATCTGACTGTGTTTTAGTTACAGATGGGGGAGGCTTCCAGCAAGTTATTTAATCTCCCTGTTCCTCAGTTTTTACATATATCTTATGACCTGTTAATAATAGTACTTGCCTTCAAGGTCATTTATGAGCATGAGTTAACATATATGTTGACTGGGCACGGTGGCTCACGCCTGTAATCCCAGCACTTTGGGAGGCCGAGGCGGGCGGATCACGAGGTCAGGAGATTGAGACCATCTTGGCTAACACGGTGAAACCCTGTCTGTACTAAAAATACAAAAATTAGCTGGGCGTGGTGGCATGTGGCTGTAGTCCCAGCTACTCAGGAGGCTGAGGCAGGAGAATCACTTGAACCTGGGAGGTGGAGGTTGCAGTGAGCCAAGATCACGCCACTGCACTCCAGCCTGGGAGACAGAGCAAGACTCCGTCTCAAAAAAAAAAAAAAGTGTATATATGTGTGTGTGTGTGTGTGTGTGTGTATATATATATATATAATGCTTAGGTTGGTGCTTTACAAATACATTTCTCTTTAGCTTCAAAGCTGAATTCTTAGTGTATAAAAATTAGTATATTGGCCAAGCGCAGTGGCTCATGTTTGTAATCCCAGCACTTTGGGGGAGGCCAAGGTGGGCGGATCCCAAGGTCAGGTATTCGAGACCAGCCTGGCCAATATGGTGAAACCCCGTCTCTACTAAAAATACAAAAATTATCCAGGTGTGGTGGTGGGCACCCATAGTCCCAGCTAGTCAGGAGGCTGAGGCAGGAGAATCGCTTGAACCCAGGAAGTGGAGGTTGCAGTGAGCCAAGATCAGCCACTGCACTCCAGCCTGGGCGACAGAGCAAGACTCCATCTCCCCCCGACAAAAGAAAAAAAAATTAGTATATCAATATAACTACATATTTAGTGGCTTTTTTTGGTTCAGCTATATGTTAATATTAGGAATATCATTAGAAACACTGTTTTTACTTCAAAGTTACTGAGGAAATTAGTTTCATACTGTTCAGAAACCTCATTGAATAAGATGTAACCTCAGTTATTCTGGACAGGCTGGTTAAAAGTTTTATCAGAACAGCTGGAAAATAGTGGTAAGAAAATATTTCACATACAGACTGTTAAAATTTTTGGAAAACATTGCCCGTATCTATTTTTCTTACTCTGCATAAGTTAATGGATTCATTTTCTTTCTCCTCTCCTTACCACCCCGTAACACCCTATTTCTTCAGGCAACATAGGAGTATTTTGACATTATTTGATGATAGTGTTACCATAATAGATGATCACCTGTGTTCATTTGATACGCCCTTTATCTTGGCTGGGCTGCCCTCTACAGTTGATTTCAAAGGATCTTTCAGTATTAAGATTTTTATCCTCTGCCTGTGTTATTTAGCAATGCCCAGTAAGTTGAACAGATAATGACTCTTCTCTACTTGAGGCTTGTATCATTCTTGTGGCTCCTGATATTAACTACATTATAAAAATACTTAAGTTTGTTCCTGAAGTGTTGTTTACAGATCACATGCATTGATGCATGATAGATTCTGTTTGCTTTGTAATTACGAGAAATGCAGTCCAGTAATGGGAGGTTTACTGCTTTATTGTTCCTTTTAGCAGCCAACAAAAAAATGTTGTCACCAAAACTGTGTCAGTGGAGATAACTAGAAGATGGTTCCTGTAGTTGTATTGCATCCCAGGTTCCTATGTTACCAACTTTGCCTCCTGTGCTTTCTTTTCATCTCCATCACCTACTCTCTGTGGCCTGCCCCTTTGGTTTCCCCCATTTATTCCGTTCTCCTGCTATACCTTTCTGGCTGTTGTTTTTCTGTGACTTAATTTCTTTAGGGCTATCTTTGCCATGGGGTAGGAAGGCTGAATGGGGATGAGCCTTGGACACTAGATCCCAGTTCTTCCTTTTGAGCACAAGATCAAGTTACTTATACCATCTGTGGGTGGTTTGATGCCTAAGAGTAGGACAAAATAAGACCAGAGTGGGCCCAAAGGTCGAAGCTTGGCTTTATTTGGACTGATAGCAACGAATATTTTGCTGCTTTATTTATTTTGGTGCAAGACCACATTTTAAGATTGTTATTATAGTTCTCCATTTTAGAGCTATAAGTGCCCTCTTATATACCTGATTAGTTAAAAAGAGCAAGCAAGTCTCTGTCATTAAGAGTCTGATATATATTGAAAAGTTTATTTCTTAGGACTTTTACAAAAATAACAAATGACACAGATGGCAAGTAGATCACAGAGATGCTAGACAATGCCAGATCATGAAATGGGTGATCATGAGATCCAAGAGTAAGAACCAGTAGTCACAACTGTACTTGTGCCACCAAGCAGACATTTCCTTGCACACTACTATAACTTGTGGCTATTAATAATCATAGAGGATTTTTGCCACTGGATTTCAGTTAAATGTAACTTGATTCTTTGATTCTATGTGTGGTTAAATTCTCAAGTGAAGAACTGTCATTCTGATTTTCTAGTCTTCTTTCTTCTCCTATTATTACTAAATAGAAAGATATTTTTGTTGAGCTGCATGCTATTTCCTGTCCCTTCCAACTGATCTGTAAGCTTTTCCATTGGCTTTCTTTCTGTTTCCTGCTGCTTTCTTGCTTCATATTTGAAGGGAGGATTCAGACCTATCCAGGTAACAAACTACTGGTTCTGCATGGCCTCTTTATAACTCAGTCTGCTTATTATTACATTGAGATTGATTGCTAATGAATGGATACATTCACATTGGAAATTTACTATTGGTATATTGTTTCAAGGCTTTTAATCTTGCAGTGAAAATTATAACTACAGGTACTGGTTGCCATTTTGAGAAATTTGAACTCTGCTGATTCCAGACCATTCTTAGGCCTGTCTAGATTGTCCACTTTTATTGCAAACTATTCTAGAAGGCTCAGTTTAGTATGGGATTGTGCCACCTTTTGGAGAGGAAAAAAACTGCTTAGTTCAGCATGTGACAACCCTACAGATGGTTTAATTTAGCTTGACCCTGATGGACTGGGTAAATATTTTATGATCAAAGAGATTCCTTGTTCTTCTAAGTATTTTATAAATTACTTGAACAGCAGTCTTTTAGGAGGCTACTTTTAATTTTTAATGATTTGATAATGAACCACTTACTCTTTATCAGAGTCAGTTCTTTTATATAATAGAGAAATATCAATATTAGCTACCCCTTTTGTTATACTTTATTATACATATATGTATGTATATATACAGTATGTGTGTATACATATATGTATGTATATATACAGTATGTGTGTATACATATATGTATGTGTATATACAGTATGTGCGTATACATGTATGTATACATACAGTATGTGCGTATACATGTATGTATACATACAGTATGTGCGTATACATGTATGTATACATACAGTATGTGCGTATACATGTATGTATACATACAGTATGTGCGTATACATGTATGTATACATACAGTATGTGCGTATACATGTATGTATGTATACATACAGTATGTGCGTATACATGTATGTATGTATATATACAGTATGTGCGTATACATGTATGTATGCATATATACATACGTATATATACAGTCGGGTCGAAACCACCCTACTGTTTTCAAATATGTGATGATACTGATAAGAGCTTGCCCTAGTGTGGTATATTTTTGGGAACCCAGCAATAGGTAATTTATTCTTTTTATGCATATTGTATTTGTAATTCAAGTTGACCAGATTTTTATTAGTGAAGAAAAGGAGACAGTAAAATTTATATATTCCCCTGTGTTAAAAAAAAAAAAAAATTTTTTTTTTCTCCCCTTCCCAGTTTTTCCAGAGGCCTCAAATACAGCCTCCTAGAGCTACCATCCCGAACAGCAGTCCTTCCATTCGTCCTGGTGCACAGACACCCACTGCAGTGTACCAGGCTAATCAGCACATCATGATGGTTAACCATCTGCCCATGCCGTACCCAGTGCCCCAGGGGCCTCAGTACTGTATACCACAGGTAAAGTATCTTTGAGGCCTAGGTGGTCCAGCAATAGAGTGGAAATTAACCCGGATTCACATCAGAGGGAGCTGGGTGGATGAATTGTGGTATTAGTTTTCGGTGACGTGTGAACTGTTTTGTTGGTTACAAATCTAGCCCTTTTGTGATTTTTCATTATGCTGTGTGAAGATATTTCTACATCTGTTTACTTAAAATTTTTTAAAATGATAAATTGTTTTTATCTACTTGCTTTCTCCCATCCCTTTGCCACAACCAACTGCTCTAAAATGGACTCAGTGATTATGCTGTTCCTGAAATCCTTTAATGTCATTGAAAAGCTACTAGCCTGAGATTATTTTACAGTGAGCTGATGTCTGCCTGTGCACTGATATGTTGTATGGCTTTACTAAGCTGCACCTTTCTCTTCATTCTCATTGTATCTTGATGGCAAGCAAGCATTTTTAATGTGTTTGACCCAATCGCTTTACCTCATTTAAATGATTCTCTTACACAGAGAACTTTACTTTCTGTAGTAAGCTACTTTCTTATTATTTTATTATGTTTTTCGCCCCCAGATACCATATTATTTATAAATATTCATACTTTCTCTTTTCTAGTACCGTCATAGTGGCCCTCCTTATGTTGGGCCCCCCCAACAATATCCAGTTCAACCACCGGGGCCAGGTCCTTTTTATCCTGGACCAGGACCTGGGGACTTCCCCAATGCTTATGGTAAGTAGGAAAAGTCAAGACATTTCTGCTAGTTTTTTGTGTTTATTTAATTTTGTTGCTTGGTGGGTTGGTTTATACAATGAGGTTTAGTGGTAAGAAGGATTTTTAAATAACATGCTGCTAACAGTTCTTTCTTGAAAGCTACTTTTTTTTTTTTCTTCCAGAAATGGGAGTCTCATTATGTTAGTCAGGCTGGTCTTAAACTCCTGGGCTCAAGTGATCATCCTGCCTTAGCTTCCCAAGTAGCTGGACCTACTGGCACATGCCACTCTGCCCAGCTTTAAAAGTAATTTTTTGGCTGGGCGCGGTGGCTCACGCCTGTAATCCCAGCACTTTAGGAGGCCGAGGCGGGCGAGGAGATTGAGACCATCCAGGCTAACATGGTGAAACCCCGTCTCTACTAAAAATACAAAAAATTAGCCGGGCATGGTGGCGGGTGCCTGTAGTCCCAGATATTCGGGAGGCTGAGGCAGGAGAATGGCTTGAACCCGGGAGGCAGAGCTTGCAGTGAGCCGAGATCACGCCACTGCACTCAGCCTGGGTGACAGAGCGAGACTCCATCTCAAAAAAAAAAAAAGACAGAAAAGTTACTTTTTAGAGAGTGGCTTACAAGAGGAGTATTATAGAAATATATTTAGTTAATGACATCTTCTTTACAAGCTGATAATTCTACTGGAAAGAATCATGTTTCAGAGTTCTGACATCTTCCACCAGTTCACTGTTACCTAGATTTTTACTGGATTTTTGCCAGTGGCATGAATATACCTTATCCTCCTTTCACAATCTCTTTTTCTCCAAACATTTCCTACCACCTTACACCTTAAAGATTTTGTTAATGTCTTTCTTAGTAGAATGCAATTTCCATGAAAGTAGAGATTTTTGTTTTGTTCACTGCTATATCCCCAGCCCCTAGAACAGTGACTGGCAGGCACTTGGAGAATATACATGCCATAACTAAATATAACTCAGTGAACCTGTGATTCTCCGCAAAATTGTGATAAGATCTATGGCATGGGGGAGGTTTTGGGTATTAGTTCCAATGAAAATGCCTTGAAAAATTAAAAGTGTTTTTAATTTAGAGAGAGCTGGGTTGCCAAGATTATTGGCATATGCGCCAATGCTGAACTAAAAATGATAAAAATTACTTACTTCATTCAACAAATTTTTACTTCATATTACATTTCTCTTATTCCATGGAAGGTGAATAATAAGGGATAAAATTAGTAGATACTAGAAAAATTAAGTTTTGAGATTCAGTAAGCATTGATCTGTTATATAACCAACAAAGCAAAAACTTATTAAATAATCTTAATATAACAGGATAACTTATCCATTAACCAGTTTCCTAAAATTGGGATTGTCTCAGTTAAGATTACAGCAGAATTGATTTGATTCAAGTAGCCCAAGAAGGTTTTTTTTTTTCAGTTTTGAGGTGAAGTAGGCAAAGCAACCAAATGTTACGTGGCTTTACTTCTTTTAGAGAAGGGAAAAGTTTTCTGTTACCTTGGTTGATATTGTCTTGGGAAACTGCTATTTCAAAGTGATACGCAATACCCTTCACTTATCCTCAGGGAATACATTCCAAGACCCCCAGTGGGCATCTGAAACCTCACATAGTACCCTATACATACCATGGGTTTTTTTTTTTTTTTTTTTGATCTGATAAAAGGGCTACTAAGTGACTAATTGGCATGTAGCGTGTACAGCATGGATACACTGGATAAAGGGATGATTCACATCCCTGGTGACATGAAGCAGGACAGTGCAAGATTTTATCATGCTATTCAGAATGGCTTGCAATTTAAATCTTATGAATTGTTAATTTCTGGAATCTTTTGTTTAGTATTTTCAGACTGGTTGACTGCAGGTAACTGAAATTGCAGAAAAGGGATTAATACTACATTTTATATAACCTCACTAAATGTCTCAAATATGTTTATTTAACTCAGCTTTATTAAGTTGTATCATTACTATGAAATTTGATATTTTCAGAACAATAATGTGTTACATATATGTGAGTTTAAAAGTTACACAATATATATATATATCACCCAATTTTTGACAGCATATTGCAAGTGCTGTTGAAGTATTCCTTGTGTAATCCTTGGACTTACCTTTGTCACCATTTTTATGTAATTCTAGTGCCTTTATTCTAGGTCCTTATTCTGAAAACTTAAATCCAAGTAATTATTTTTGAGAGTAACAATGGTTGTTACTATCTAGAATTTTTTAAATAGAAAACAATGGGATTATTAATCAGCATGAACATGCTGAAATAGACAGTGTCTCCCGTTAATTTCTGTGTTGCAAAGGGAATACAATTAGTCTTCTAATTTACAACATCATTTTTAAAGATGTCTTACTGAATTGTAATCTGCTTTTTTACTTAGTGATTATGCCAATCACTTTACTCAGAAAATGTCATCATTAAATTTCCTGCTGTAAGTCTGTGCCAGCCCTCTTTATTGCTTTTAATACTATTGTACAATATGTATAGAAACAGTAATGATGAATTTACTAGTAGAGACATAATGTGCAGATTTGAATGTACAATATTATAACATTTTGGCTTTATTTCTATTAGATATATACCATTTTTATTCATTTTTATGAAAAAGCAGTATGTTGAGGTATAATTGTATCTCAGATATTATTGATGTCTGTTCCCTTTCATAGATATGCTTTCTTCCCCAGTAAATTCTCATGCAGATCCAGTAGACATCAAGTGGGCAGTTAATCATCTAGATTAAAATATTGTTTCTCTAGTTTTCTTAATATTAGAAAAACAATCTTAAAATAATTTATTTCATTATGAAAGTAACTAAATTAATGATAAAAATTTAAAAAGGCCGGGTGTGGTGGCTCATGCCTGTAATCCCAGCACTTTGGGAGACCAAGGTGGGTGGATCACCCGAGGTCAGGAGTTCTAAACCAGCCTGGCCAACATGATGAAACCCCATCTCTACTTAAAATACAAAAATTAGCAGGGTGTGGTGGCGGGCGCCTGTAATCCCAGCTACTCGGGAGGCTGAGGCAGAAGAATTGCTTGAACCCAGGAGGCGGAGGTTGCAGTGGGCAGAGATCATGCCCCTGCACTCCAACCTGGGTGACAGAGCGAGACTCCATCTAAAAAAAAAAAAAATTTCAATAATATAGAGTGCATAAAGTTGAAATAGCCAGTTTCTCTCCCTTCCCATCCTTTAAAGCAATAACATTTAACAGTTTGATACGTATTTTTTTTTTCATTTATATTTAACAAGTTTTTTTAACTTAAATTAACATGGAATATTTATAGTAGTGTAAATAATAAAACTTCCTGGTTATTGTTTTCCTTTCATACTATATTCATGGGCATCTTTCTATTTCATTATCTATAGAACTTCTCTCATTTCTTTTAAAATATACATAATCTATTTTTGGAATGAATCACAATTTATGATACCTAATTTTTAGTACTTTAGTAGAGATGGTGTTTCACCGTGTACCAAGGCTGGTCTTGAACTCCTGAGCTCAGGCATTCTGCCTGCCTTGGCCTTCCAAAGTGCTAGGATTACAGGCATGAGCCACTGCGCCTGGCCATGTTTATTATTGTTTCTATGGAAAATTCAAGGTTTTGAATTTTTTTTAGAAGACAGGCAGTGTGCTAGTTATTTTGTGGAATACAGGTGTTAAGATACTCTTCCTGCCATTCAGTTTCTTATAGTAAGTCTGTTAGATATTGTGCTGAGGTTTAAACAGTGAGAAGAAATCTAAATATTGACTGCACCATTGGTTTCACATTATAGACAAGTAAAATGAATAAAAAGTAGAGTAAAATAAAGTAGAAAACATACATGACTATTAAATTTATAATTTGGCCAAGAAGACCTTTAAAGAAAACTGCCGTTTACTGCCAGTATCATTTCATGTTTTAACAACAAAAATCATCAAATAGGAGCAGTCCTTTATACAAATTTTAAGTTGTTAAACCTCTGTGTGACACTGGGGCCTGTTGTGGGGTGGGGGGAAGGGGGAGGGATAGCATTAGGAGATATACCTAATGTTAAATGACGAGTTGATGGGTGCAGCACACTAACATGGCACATGTATACATATGTAACTAACCTGCACGTTGTGCACATGTACCCTAAAACTTAAAGTATAATAAAAATAAATAAATAAATAAAATAAAAATACAAACCAAGGTTCACATAAAAAAAAAAACCTCTGTGTGTGTGTTTGTATTTCATGATTGTTATTGTATTCATTTTGCAATACATCATTGACACTTTTTATATAGACTGAGGTTTGGGAACCACTGATTTAGAACTGGGATCAGTAAACTTTTTTTTTCAGTAAAGGGCTAGATAGTAAATATCTCAGGTTTTGCAGGCTGTATGGTCTCTGTTGCAGCTGTTCAGCTGTGCCACTGTGATGTAAAATCAGCCATAGACAGTTGATAAACTACTGTACGTGGGTGTCTTCCAATAAAACTTTATTTAAAAAAATAAATAGTGGTGGACTAGATTTGGCTCTTAGACTGTAGTTGACAGATCTTTGATCTATACAAATGTACTTCATTCCATGCATAAGAAATTTGAGGTCCAGAGACATTAATTAACTTAACTAATTAATAAATGGTATGTAAAAATTACTCATTTCTAGTGGAATAAAAATGTTTTTAAATGTTTCTGACTAGCTTATTATAAATATTATATATTTATAATAATATACTATTATATTAGTAGTATAGGCAGTAGTATATTAGTAGTAGTAGGGCAGATTTTCTACTCTGCTAGAGCTCACAGTTAAGAAGACTTAATGTTTTGCTAATTGCATTTAATCCCACTATATTGAGATTATCTTGTTCTGTCACATTTATTGGATTAATGTGATATACCAGGCTCTTCCCCAATCATGTAGGCTCAAAAATGTTTCATGAGAAGAATCCAGGTTTTTTTTTTTTTTGTTTTTTGTTTTTTTTAAGAGATCACCTTTTGGATCTTATTTCACTTACCTCAAAAAATATGGTGAAGTGAGCAGATTGTGTTGCTTGCCTGGCAGCATTTGAAACCAATTTTGGGGATTTGTTTTCTGAGTTAATTTCTGAGCCAGTGACATAATAAAGTAGCACATAATTGCTAATTTGAGTTCTGCTTTGAGAATAGTTTACTCATTGTTAGAGGATGACTGAGATTTTTTTTTTGGTCTTTTTACATTGAACTTACTGAAATCATAGTCATGCCCTCTGCTTAGATCTTTTCCAAATCTGATTCAGCAAACCTGATTGATACCTACAGAATTCTGGTACTGCAAATCATGGTGCTTCCAACAACTTTACACTTGAAAAGTGTTATGGTGGTAGTGGGGATGTTGATGGTGATAATGAAAGTGGGCCAGCCTTATTTGACTGTTTGCTTAGTACCAAGGATTTTACCTGTGTGAACTACCCTCGTACATATTTTTTTCCTTCTTGTTACGGTGAATCAATTATCCATGTTCTATGGAAAGCCAATCTTTTATGTGTGTACTGGATCCCATCCTGTACCCATTTAAGGCTATTACTCTAGCAATTCTTTCTTTCCCACATTGACAATTTTCCCCCCTTCCTCTGCTGGATTAGTGTCATCTGTATATAGGAATAGGCACACTGTTTCATTGACATATTAAGGAAAGTTTTTCTGATTCCATATTTTTGTCCAGCTATAGCTCAATTTTTCTGCTTTTCTTTTACGGCAAAATTTTTAAGGAAAATATTTGTACTCATGGTTTTCATTTTCCGTCTTCTCTTTCACTATTGAACCCACTCAAATCAGGCTTCACACTCTTCACCTCTCTGCCCAAACAACTTTTGTCAAGGTCACTGGTGATTTGTACTTTGAAAAATCTTATTTGACCTCTTCAGCACCATTTGATGTGGTTAAGCACAGCCCTCATTCTTGAATAATTTTCTTGATTTCAACCACTGCCTTGGTTTTCATCTCTTTGGCTGGAGTTTTCCCAATTTCTGTGACCTCTAATAGACATGGAATGCCCCAAGATTTAACCACTGGGCTTCTTTTCTATCTGTATTCATTTCCTGAGTTATCTAGTCTTGTTTAAATGTTGTTTATATTCTGTGAATTCCAGAATGGATAACTGTAACTCATACCTATCCTCTGACTCCAGATTTGTGTCACTTTCTAACTACTTGATCTGTATTTGAAGATCTGGTAAGCACCCGAAACTTGACCTGTCTAAAACTGAACTCTTGATTTTTCTGCCCCAAACTCTATTCCTTCAGCATTCCTCATCTTAGCAAGTAGTACCTCTGTTCTTTCACTTGCTCAGGCATAAAACTGAAAGAGTTTTCCTTGAGTCTTCTTTCTCTCACACCAGTATCCAATTCATCAGCAAATCTATAGGCTCTACCCTCAAACCATCCAGTATTTGACCCCTTCTCCACACCTCTACTCCAAACAATTTGGCTTGATAGTAATTATAATAATAGTCTTAAGTTTTGAAAGTTAAAAACAGCTCATTGGGAGTACAAGGAGTGGGGGAAGAAGATAATTTCAGGCAGATGGGCAGTACAGTCAAAAGTTGAAGAGATTGGTGTACTCAAAGGATAGGAGTTAGGAGTAGGTTATAGCTAGAACAAAGATGTGGATTCAAGAATGATAGAAAATGTAATTTGGAACCTGGATTCTAAGTATCTGGACTTTATCTTAAGGCCATATGTTCTGAGCCTTTTTTCCACCCCAGTATTCGGAAATTTGCTAATCCTTTATGTACCTCCCTATGGCAGTAGTTCCCCATGAGTAAGGAGAAGAATTAGATCACCCCTACTTTCCAAGATGATCAGATATATTCCCTTCTGTCCCTGACAAAACCCATAAACAAACATACACATACACCCTTGTGTGAGAGTCACAGTTGCATGTGGTAAGCCTCAGAATAATATTTTTTAAAAGCATCACTATAGCATGATCCATGTTTTAGAAAGACAACTGTGGTGTGGATCTGTAGGAACCGAGTATTTAGTGGTTTTCATATTGGATGTTTGTGAATGTTTGAAGACATTACATATTTTGGGAATAATTTCTTGACCACTTCAGTAACTGGAGGAGAGCTAGTGGAAAAAGATGATGAAGAATGCTTAGTGTTTTTGTTTTTACCCTTTTAAGGGGATTGTGCAGAGACACAGTGTCATTGCTAGTTCTGTAGTGTTTGACAAAATAACTGAATGCCTATTTAATTTTTTCCAACTTTTTAGGAACGCCTTTTTACCCAAGTCAGCCGGTGTATCAGTCAGCACCTATCATAGTGCCTACGCAGCAACAGCCGCCTCCAGCCAAGAGAGAGAAAAAAACTGTAAGAGATTTTTATTACTTTTTCTTATTTTAAATCTAAAATCTATTCACTTATCAGATAAGTTTACGTAGTCATTATTCATCTCAATTCACAAATTACTGTGCCTTTTTTTTTTTTATTCTTCCCTTATAGTCACACCACTTCACCTGGAGGATTTGTATGGGCATGTAATTAGAAGTTGTTCATACCATTTGCATAATATCATCTTTAATTATTCACTGAGCTAGGTTTGCTACATGACAACATGTACTCCACCTTTAGAACTGGGAGGGTTTAGTGGGCTAAGGTTTTACTCAGTGTGAGGAATTTAAGCTCAGTTCTCACATCTAGACTCTCCTTTAACACCAGTCTTTTTCTTTTTTTTTTTGAGATGGAGTCTCACTCTGTAGCCCAAGCTGGAGTGCAGTGGCGCGATCTCAGCTGAACTGCACCCTCTGCTTCTGGGGCTCAAGCGATTCTCATGCCTCAGCCTCCCAAGTAGTTGGGACTACAGGCACAAGCCACCAGGCCCGGCTAATTTTTTGTATTTTAGTAGAGGTGGGATTTCGCCATGTTGCCCAGGGTGATCTCGAACTCCTGAGCTCAAGCAATCTGCCTACCTTGGCCTCCCAAAGTGCTGGGATTATAGGTGTGAGCCACCGTGCCTGGCCAACACCAGTTTTAATCAGCTCTCCATTCAAGTATGAATTGACAGAAGAAAAAAATAGCACAAGGAAAAAGAACTGAGATATTAAGGATAGCAAGAAAAATCCTTCCTGTGAAATAGATATCTTTTAAGAAACAAAAAACAGAGTTTAGAAAATGTATTCTAATTGTTTTTTATAATTTATAGGGGTTTTGTCTTTGTCTAATGAGGCAGGCCCAAGAGAATTGGAGTGTAGTAATATAAAAGTCAAATGGCAGAAAAATTGTAGAAGAGTGGCTTGCAATTCCTTACGCAACAGAACAGACAAAATGGGTGATCTTTTTATTCAAGAGAGACTCCCACATTCACACGAGTAAGATAGGTGGGGTGATTTATAGCAATACTCTTGAATTACTCTAACTTAATAAAAATTAATGAGGTTCAGGCCGGGTACAGTGGCTCACACCTGTAACCCCAGCACTTTGGAGGCCGAGATGGGTAGATCACTTGAGGTAAGGAGCTCGAGACCAACCTGGCCAACATGGCGAAAACCCATCTCTACTGAAAATACAAAAATTAGCTGGGTGTGGAGGCTCGTGCCTATAATTCCAGCTACTCGGGAGGCTGAGGCACGAGAATCACTTGAAACTGGGAGGGGGAGGTTGCAGTGAGATCGTGCCACTGCACTCCAGCCTGGGCAACAGTGTGAACTGTATCTCAAGTAAACAAACAAGAAAATAATAGTGAGGTTCAAGACTTTGGTTTAAAACTTGTTTTTATCATTAGAAACAAATTACTTGTGCATATATCATAATGAACAGGACATGACAATGTATCATGACACTACAGTCAAGAAACTATATGCTTTGGTAATGTTGAATCAGCATGATAGAAGTTGGACTTGAAGAACACTCTCAGAATGCAGAAAAATGAATAGAAGAAATGAAACCGGAAGACAGTAGTTACAGATGTTTCTAAAGAAGAAAGTAGAATAAATGAATTAAAGCTATACTTAAAACTTTATTAGAAATAATTTTCCATACCTAAACAATAGCTGGCATTAGAAGTCTTAATTGAAGGACTCCCCTAAAAGCGTCCAGATCCAGGTAGTTTCATTAGTGAATTCCTTGAAATTCTCA
Source organism: Homo sapiens (assembly GCF_000001405.40). Lineage (NCBI taxonomy): Eukaryota > Metazoa > Chordata > Mammalia > Primates > Hominidae > Homo > Homo sapiens. The sequence goes on along the minus strand of NC_000001.11, from coordinate 20,971,237 downwards.
AGAAGTGTGGACTGCCTTGATTAAGGTATGGTGGTAATAAACAACAGTGGGTCCTTTATATCTTAGCACTCTCCCAGAATAGAATGCCTAGTCGCAGACACTTACCTCCTTTACAGCACCAACTCCACTGACATCTTTAAGCATAGGGTAGCCTTTAAAAAAATTAAAATAAGACCATACACACTTTGTGCTTATTGCATTTTTTCACCTACCAGCACATCTTAATGATTATTCTGTGTCAGTTCATGTAGATCTGCCTCATTCTGTTTTTTTGAGACAAAGTCTCGCTCTTTTCCCCCAGGCTGGAGTGCAGTGGCGTGATCTCAGCTCACTGCAACCTCCGCCTCCTGGGTTCAAGCGATTCTCCTGCCTCAATCTCCCAAGTAGCTGGGATTACAGGCGCCTGCCACCGCACCCAGCTAATTTTTGTATTTTTAGTAGAGACAGGGTTTCACCATGTTGGCCAGGCTGGTCTCAAACTCCTGACCTCAGGTCATCCGCCCACCTCAGCCTCCCAAAGTGGTGGGATTACAGGCATGAGCCACTGCGCCCGGCCAGATCTGCCTCACTCTTTTTACTGGCTGTTAAGTATTTAATTGTAAGGACGTAAGATAATTTTTTTTTTTAAATGGAGTCTTGCCCTGTCGCCCAGGCTGGAGTGCAGTGGCGCGATCTTGGCTCACTGCAAGCTCCGCCTCTCAGGTTCAAGTGATTCTCCTGCCTCAGCCTCCTGAGTAGCTGAGACTACAGGCATGTGCTACCACGCCCAGCTAATTTTTTGTATTGTTAGTAGAGATGGAGTTTCATCGTGTTAGCCAGGCTGGTCTTGATCTCCTGACCTTATGATCCGCCCGCCTCAGCCTCCCAAAGTGCTGGGATTACAGGCGTGAGCCACCGCGCCTGGCCGACGTATGATAATTTTTGAGCTATTCTGTTCTCGATCAACCTTTTTCCAGTCTTTGCTGGAAAAGGCATGATTGCAGTCAGCATTATTACATTTGTATATAAGGTTGTTGTCAGAATAAATTATTCCTAACTCGTAGGGTATTTATATTTTTTATTTTGGTAAAGAACTTCAGAGAATTATTTACAGCGTTTAAAACTTTATTCTACGCCAGGTACCGTGGTTCACACCTGTAATCCTGGCACGGGAGGCTGAGGCACGAGAATCGCTTGAACCTGGGTGGCGGAGATTGCAGTGAGCCGAGATTGCGCCACTGCACTCCAGCCTGGGTGATAGAGCGAGACTGTCTCCAAAAAAGAAAAAAAAAGGAACTTTTATCTATGCAGTAACTTTCATATATTAAAAGTATTTTATGAAACTTGTATGTTAAATATGGTAAATAAAATCAGTCTTACAGGTTCTTACAAAACAAGTATAAATATTAATAGTTTGCCTTTTTGACCTAGAAATCCAGCCAACTAGGTTTCATTTTAGCTTGTTATTCTAATTAGTTCATGTCAGAGCTAATGGCCTACATTTATCTGATGGATCTGTGATTGAAATAAAGTCAAATGTGGTGATTATCACCTTTGATATTTGACAGGTTTCCCAGTTTGCACCTTTAACTCACTTATATGCCTATAAATTTGCTACACAGACACTCATCTGTACATATGTCATTTTATTTAACCTTATAGATAAGAATTCGGGATCCAAACCAGGGAGGTAAAGACATAACAGAGGAGATTATGTCTGGAGGTGGCAGCAGAAATCCTACTCCACCCATAGGAAGACCCACGTCCACACCTACTCCTCCTCAGGTAAGACAGAGTGAGCTGTAATGGATGGCACTATTTGTTCACTAACCTCTACTGAACTCTTCTTTCTTCTATAGCCACTTTCTGTACTTTTCATTTCCATCAGTTGTCTCGCAGCCTCGAATATCTAAATGGTATTTAAACAGACATGTTTTTTCTCTTTGCAAATTATAATATTTTTAAATTTTTATTGGTAATATATTTATGTATTGTTTTCACAATCAGAGCACAGGTGAGGTGCTGCCACTCTTCTTAATGAACTATCGCATGATGCCAAAAGGAGCTGCATTCTTGTAGAAACCTCATCATTAAATGAGTATTTCACATTTCACATGGAACCTTAGGATTTAAGTGCTGCACCTTTTGTTAACGCAAACATTAAGGTTGAGAATTTAACATTTTTACCAAACAGTGTTGCTTGAGATGATTTCCTGTGTTATTGAGAGCATATTAGGATGTATAACAGGTATACTTCTTACCTTTTAGAACTACATAAATGAGCTTCTTGAGTGCAGAGTGTCTTCTTTAATTACAGTCATCCCTTGGTATCTACAGGGGATTTGTTCAAAGATGCCCCCTCCACAGTACCAAAATTCGTGGTTGTTCAAGTTCATTATGTAAAATGGCGTAGTATTTGCATATAAACAGTGCACATCCTCCCATATACTTTAAATAATCTCTAAATTACTTATAATATCTAATACAGTGTAAGTAGTTGTCATACTGTAGTATTTTAAAATTTCTATTGTGTTTTTATTTAAAAATGTTTTTTTCTAAATATTTTTTATCCACCGTTGGTTGAATCTCTGAATGTGGAACTTATTAATAAATTGTCAGTTAGGCACCTTTTTCTTCCTGGTGAAGAATGTGGTTATCATAATCTCCTAAGATGTTACTTTCTTGTTTTTAGAAATCAAGATATTGTAGAGGAAACTGGAGTTTAGTAAACTATAATAGAGATTAGATTCCGCAAATCTGACAAGATTTGTATTTCAAGGCCGGGCGCGTTGGCTCATGCCTGTAATCCCACCACTTTGGGAGGCTGAGGTGGGCCAAATCACCCGAGGTCTGGAGTTCGAGACCAATCTAGCCAACATGGTGAAACCCCATCTGTACTAAAAATACAAAAATTAGCTGGGCGTGGTCGCACATGCCTGTAATCCCAGGTACTCAGGAAGCTGAGGCAGGAGAATCGTTTGAACCCAGGAGACGGAGGCTGTGGTGAGCCGAGATTGTGCTGCTGTACTCACCAGCCTGGGCAATAGAGAGAGAGAGACTCTGTCTTAAAAAAAAAAAAAAAAGATTTGTATTTCATTCCTCCTATGTCACTTTGCATTTTGATAAATGATATAGAGACACGTGGTTTTCAGATCTTAAAAATTATCTAAAGTGAAGCCAATTGCAGGTGCAGTGGCACATGCCGATAGTCCCAGCTATTTGGGAGGCTAAACAGGAGGATCCCTTGATTCCAGCTTGGGCAACATAGCAAGATCCTGTCCCTTAAAAAAAATTGTCTAAAGTGAAAGCCTAATGTCTAGAAACAGATAAAAAGAAAGCTATTAAGGAGTAGGGGGCTGCTCTCTTTGCTCTTTTATGCCTGGATGGTAAAGGGGTTCCTTGGAGCCCAGTTTACAGACAAGTGATATGGATGATCACATAGAAAGCATTTCAGAATGATAGACTATTGACTTCATTTTAGTAGTACAGACAAAAATAAAAAGTTCATAAAAATATTCTTAAATATCAAAATCACAAACAGCTGGCTGAGTTTAGAGCCCCTTGGAAATCTGTGGATTTGAGAAAGACTTAATTTTGGTCCTTTGTTGTAATGATATGTTTTCTCTTGGAAATGATGGTATCTGGCTGACATTTATCTCAGTCTTTCATTATCCAGATGAGTATATATGTCCATCTGGACATGTGTGTTGTAAGGTCATGTTAATAATTCTTCATCACTCCTCATTATTCCCCTAGGGACATTCCAATTTTGGAATGATTAAGCAGGTCTTATATTTAGTCTCTTCCCTGGAAGTGAGCATGGGATAAGCAAAATTTTCAAATTGAAGTAATCTATATATGTGCTCTGTTAGGTGGGGGCACACTATAGCAAAACTTTGCAATTAGTTGATCAGTGCAGTCAAATTTTAGTCTGTATTTTCAAACATATTAAAATGTTACTACTGTCAAGCCAGATAAAGGATAGACAATCCTTTGTTGATTTCTGTTTAAATTCTCAATTTGGACATGTATGTGTCTTTTTGCACTTAAATGCCCTGTGGGGTGTGATTGGTTTTCTGTAACTTTCCAAGCTTGGTTCCCACCCTCTTCTGGTATCCCTCTGTGTTTAGCTACAGACATCTTTTTGTTCTGTGTCTTTCCCCAGAGACTGTGGTTCTGAATATGAGTGTATATTTCTCTATAATCATAAAGCACATCGAATCTACACTTTCAACAGATGAAGGCCATCAGTCAATAGTAGTAATTTGGTAGTTCTTTTTGGGAAGTGTAACATCAGTTATAAAGCATAAGTTTATTAGGTGAATTTCATGCTTTTAAATCCAAATGCATGAAATTCATGGAATGAACGAATAGCTTTTTAACAGAGACGTGTACTAGAGATATTTCATTTTCCTCTTAAGAAAAACAGTAGCACAAGCATAATGATGACAACTGACATTTGACCTCATTTTCTGGAGCATCATAGAAAGGATGCAGTGGCTCACACCTGTAATCCTAGCACTTTGGGAGGCTGAGGCGGGCAGATCACTTGAGGTCAGAAGTTCGAAACCACCCTAGCCAACATGGTGAAACCTTGTCTCTGCTAAAAGTACAAAAAAACTAGCCAGGGGTGGTGGCAGGCACCTGTAATCCCAGCTACTCGGGAGGCTGAGACAGGAGAATCGCTTGAACCCGGGAGGCAGAGGTTGCAGTGAGCTGAGAGCACCACTGCATTCCAGCCTGGGCAACAGAGAGAGACTGTGTCTCAAAAAAAAAAAAAAAATGTTGACCCATTGTTTCAGAAGAAGCTAGAAATGTTTAGTTATGTGTAAAAAAGCTGCAAGTTATAAATATTGGCAACTAATTTCCTTAACAAAATAGCAATCTGCCAGCCAAAGAAGACTCATTAGATTTAACTTCAGTTTTACTAGTTTTCAATTTTGACATCAATCCAGATAAATACAGAATCATATCTGGTTAGAAGACTACAGATGAGACAGCCCTCTGCATCAGAATTTAGGATTCAACAGTAAATACTGTAGTATTGGCCTTAAAGTACCTGCTTTGAGTTAGACATAATTGCTTATGCTGTGGATAACCAAGCCTTTCCCTATCACCGAGGGAAGTCCCAGTCTCTGTAAAGGGAAACAGAAGACCTGTTACTAAGATCTGACTGGTGCAGAGGTGACCAAGTGGGGCAGAATTGTAGCACAGATACCAGAGACCCATTAATGGTGGTGGTACATGTGAAATAGAACAGGGAAGAGGTTTAAAACTTTGACTTGGAATCAGACATAACTGGGTTTCATGTGTGGGTTCCACTGCTTAGCTTTGTAACTTTAGCCCAATTACTTTATCCCAGAGCATTGCTTTCTACATTTAAAAAGTAAAACCTATCACACAGAGAGGATTAAATGAGACAAAATACTTAAAAATTGTTTAAGTTCAGTGCCTGGTGCGCAATGAATATTCAGCAAATATCTATTACTAATATTACAATTATTATTATTTCAGGAGGCACAGAGAATGACTGGAAGAACGTGGGAAGGCTTTACCACAGAGACACCATTTGATCTAATTTTCATGGGTATTCACAAAATGAAAGGGAAAGGGGTATTGAGGCAGAGGAACAGCATGTGCAAAAATGGGAAATTAGATGAAGGGAGGCTATTATTATCATATTTCAGGTGAGAAATTCATTGAAGGAGAGGAAGCCAGTTGGAGAGATGTTTAGCAATTAGTTACTAACTAGATAAGGACTCTAAAAAGGATGACCATATAATTTACCATCTAAATTGGGGTGATTGTGGAAATGAATGGCAATGCTATTGTTAATGCCAGCACAGCAGGCGTAATCAGTACTGCACATGTAAATGGGGATGCAAGTTTTCTCCAGATGTAAGGGAGAGAGAGAGTCAGGGATGCCTCTTCATGTTTAAAAATACGTCTTTTGTAGTGAAACATAATATTGAGTATACATGGGGAAGTTTAAAGAGCGGGATATAATGAGTTTGCTTTTGGCAGGTGGTCAAGCCATTGTGATTTTTATCTAATTTGGTCTTGAGGTTTCTCTGTCAAGAGTGGCCATAAACCAGGATAGCCACTCTCTAAGAGAGCCCTGACCAGGGAAAAGTTATGTTTGGGTGTGTTTGTCAGGTGAGACATAATGAGGAAGTGAAACCAAAATGCATGAAACAGAAAAAAATTTACTACTTCCTAATCCCAGAGAGGTTAGCAGTGCTGATGGGAGGCTGATAGGGGAGCTCTGAAGACAGCAGGGAACTCACCCAGCAGGTGGAGAGAGAGAGAAAGACGACTCGTGGGACTGTCCCTTTATTAAGGTCCATGTCCTCCCTTAGGCTTCCCCACTGGAGTTATGGATTTGCTAGTTTGAAGAAAACACTTTCAAAGGGTGAACTTACTTACAGGACTCTGGTGTTAACCATTAGGTTTTATCATGGTCAGCAGCTATGGGATATGTTGTGTTTTGGGTCAGTGAGATGAGGAACAAACGGCCTCTTTCACAAGCAACTACACAGGAAGGAAATATTTGAACTAGGCCAAATGTGAAAGGGTTTCAAAAACATATGCTAGCCCTAAAAGTGGATGCCGAGGGAGCAATTATATTAAATTTGTGACACAAGCTATGAGTTAATTGAGGGAAACTGCATTGGGTTTCTGTGAGGAGAATGGAGAGGAGAAACAAATTTTTGCTGCTGCTGTTTTTACCCTAATGAGAAGTAGACAGAATTTGAAACTGTTCTTCAAAGTCTTAAAATTTTCTGTGGGTTAGCTAGTAGAGATTTTGTATCTCACATATTTAGGAAATATGCATATGTGTATATACATGTTCCCTGTATATACACATTGGATCCCTGTATATGCACAGAGGATCACAGTGCGTAGATGGAGGTGCATGGCTGGATATCATGGCTCACGAGAACACTTGCTGCTGGTTTTCACTGTGTTACTTAGATTTATGACCTTGGGTCAGAACATTAAGTTCTTAAAACCCCTATTTTTTCATCTGTAAAATGAGGAATTGTACGAAATAATCTGAGAGTTCCCTTTTAGTTCTTACCTATTAAAGTGGGAAAGAAGGAAGAATTTTGTTACTCGCTCAGTATCAAATCTCTCAACTCCTGATGATGACAGTAAGGCATAAGGAATATCCCTGTATTTAGAAATATGCTAGCTATTATGCCTAATAGTCTTCATTGAAACCCGGTAGTGTAAAAATAAATACATGATGCCATGTCAAGATTGTCTACTTCCAAATAGGATGAATGGTGGATCAAAAATCACTTAATTTTTTTTTTTTTTTTTTGAGATGGAGTCTCACTCACTCTGTCACCCAGGCTAGAGTGCAAGTGCGGTGGCACAATCTCGGCTCACTGCAGCCTTTGCCTCCTGAGTAGCTGGAATTACAGGCATGTGCCACCACGCCAGCTAATTTTTGTATTTTTAGTAGAGACAGGGTTTCATCGTGTTGACCCAGGCTGGTCTCGAACACCTGACCTCAAGTGATCTGCTCGCCTCAGCCTCCCAAAGCTCTAGGATTACAGGCATGAGCCACCATGCCCGGCCAAAGATCACTTAATTTTTAAAAATGAATTATGTACCTTTCTTCCTTGATATACTCTTTTTCCCCCCTGCTTCTAGAATTATTATTGTAATGAAACACAGTTATGACATGGGAGAGAGTCCTATGCTATGGGGCTTTGGGGTAGGAAATTATGGATTGATAGCGTATCTTAGGAAAGATACAATCTCTCCTACCATTTGGGAAAATTACTAAAGTCAGCAGGTTATTCAGTCTTTTGTTGAGCTGCTTATGAAGTTGATACCTGCAAACCTTAAATTCCATGACCATTTATTAATTACAGTTGACCCTTGAACAAAATGGGTTCGTTTATATGATAATTTTTTTCAGTAAATACATTGGGAAATTTTTTGGACATTGTGATAATTTGAAAACTTCCAGATGACATATTGCCTAAAATTATCAAAAAAAGAAAAATTTAGGTATGTCATGAATACACAAAATATATGTAGATACTGGTCTGTGTTTTCATTTAGTGCCATAAAATATATACAAATCTATTATAAAAGTTAAAATTTATCAAAACTTAGGTACACAAATACAGACCATACAGAGAGACCATACAGACCATACAGAGAGAAGTGTCAACAGACACAAATATGCAATCTGGACATGGTGGTGCACGCCTGTAATCCCAGCACTTTGGAAAACTGAGGTGGAAGGGTTGCTTCAGCCCAGGAGTATGAGACCAGCCTGGGCAGCATAGCAAGACCTTGTCTCTCAAAAAAAAAAAAAACAAAAAAAAAACAAAACTACAAGAGGCAATATTACATCCTAACTTCATAAAATTAACTGTAGTACATACTGTACTAATGTAATTTTATAGCCACCTCCTGTTGCTATTTTAGTAAGCTCAAGGGTTGAGAGTATCCGCTTAAAATACCCTGTGACACTAATCATCTCCAGATGAGCAGTTCATCTCTCCTGTAAATTGTGCCTCATAGTAAAAAGTAATTTCTCTTTGTTGTTACATATTTTTTCATTGTGCTTAGTGCATTGCCATAAACCTTGAATAACACCATGGGACCCATACAGAGTGCCACCAGTGATGCTGGCAGTACTTCCAAGAGGCAGAGAAAAGTGCTAACATTACAAGAAAAAGTTGAGTTGCTTGATATCAACTTTTTGATATCAAGATATGCTTGATATCTACCATAGATTGAGATCTGCAGCTGTGGTTGACCACCATTTTAGACAGATGATTTATTTTATAAACAGATGATGTAAACTTATGATACTGATAAATACAGCATAGTATTGGAAATGTATTTTCTCTTCCTGATGGTTTTCTTAAACACATTTTCTTCTAGCTTACATTATTGTAAGAATATAGTATATAATATATAAAACATACATACTGAGAAAAAAATATGTTTTATCGGTAAGGCTTTCAGTCAGCAGTAGGCTGTTACCAGTTAAGTTTTTGGGGAGTCAAAAGTTATACACAGATTTTCAACTGTGTGGGGTCAGTTCCTCTAGCTCCTGAATTGTTCAAGGGTCAACTGTAGTTCATTTCATGGTTTAGCAGTAATAGTTTCCTAGAATTGGGTCTATAGCTTCGGTTATGATATTCATGTTATATGTTAATATGTGCAGTAAATAGTTACATTCCTGCATGAAGAATTTGAAGGTGATACCTAGTATAATGTAAACAAATCCAATCTTTTAAAATTTCATTTTGTCATCTCAGTCATAGGCACTGATAAATTAATAGCATTCTGTACCTTAAAGCATACAGGTATGGTTTTTGTTTTAGTGGTGACTACGATAAAAATAGTGGTTACTAAATTAAATTATATTTTTCTTTATCTTTAATGAAATAACTTATCATTAGTAACCTCCCTTGACTTAAATGGTTCTTTTCAATAATATGTAAAGCCTTGTAGACTTTAAATAGGTATCTAAACTGGGGTGGATTCTCTCAAAAGTTTTTAAATGGGACATTTGAAAAGTGTCCTATTCTCTGTTCGTCATGATGAGCAGAGATCCTTGCTTTGTTATGCTGTTTCATAGATTAAAATGAATTTGTATACACTATATGGTTTGATAGAGGAAATAAGATCTAGTGTTTGGTAGATCAGTAAGGTGACTATAGTTTACGATAATCCATTGTACATTTTGAAATAGCTAGCAGAGAAGAATTCAAATGCTCCTAGCATAAAGAAAAGACAAATATTTATCTTTGAATTATGTGAATGTGTTAAATTTTTGTGGGTACACTGAAACTGTGTACATCTGTTACGCAGTAATAAAAATTATTATTATTATTTTTTTGAGACGGAGTCTTGCTCTGTCACCAGGCTGGAGTGCAGTTGTGCAATCTTGGCTCTCTGCAACCTCTGCCTCCCTGGTTCAAGCGATTCTCCTGCCTCAGCCTCCCGAGTAGCTGGGATTACAGGCATGCACCACCATGCCCAGCTAATTTTTGTGTTTTTAGTAGAGACGGGGTTTCACCACATTGGCCAGGATGGTCTTGATCTCCTGACCTCATGATCCGCCCACCTCGGCCTCCCAAAGTGCTGGGATTACAGGCGTGAGCCACCACACCTGGCCAATAAAAATTATTTTTAAGGAATTTGCACACAGACCATCAAAGACCTACTCATTGCTTATCTGACAGAATAAAAAACAGTATCTTGTTTAATTTTTGTGTATTCTGTGAAGTTAAGAAGTTTTCGATGTTCACCAGTTATTTGTGGGTGTATGAATTATCTGTTGTACACGTTTCTTTTGGGTGATGATTTTTGTCTGACAGATTTATAAGAGGGCTTTACATGTTAAATAAATACTTTGACATATGTTAACATTTTTTTCTTGTTTGATGATTGTGTTTTAGCTTTGTTAATCGTGCCTTCTGTCATACGGAATTGTTAAATTTTCTGTTTCATTTATTTTTTTGAGACAGGGTCTTGTCTGTTGCCCTGGCTGGAGTGCTGTGACACAGTCACAGCTCACTGCAGCCTTGACATCCTGGGCTCAAGCAATCCTCCCACCTCCACCTCAGCCTTCTGAGTAGCTGGGACTACATGCACATGCCACCATGCCTGGCTAATGTTTTTTATTTTCAGTAAAGATGAGGTCTCGTTATGTTGCCCAGACTGGTCTCAAACTCCTGAATTCAAGCGATAATCCTGCCTCAGCCTCCCAGATTTCTGCTATGAGCCACTGCACCAGCTGAATTTTTTTTTTATTTTGAAACAGAGTCTCTGTTGCCCAGGCTAGAGTTCAGTGGCATGATCTTGGCTCACTGCAACCTCCGCCTCCTGGGTTCAAGTGATTCTTCTGTCTCAGCCTCCTGAGTAGCTGGGATTACAGGTGCCTGCCACCATGCCCGGCTAATTTTTGTATTTTTAGTAGAGACAGGGTTTCGCCTGTTGGCCAGGCTGGTTTTGAACTCCTGACCTCAGTTGATCTGCCCACCTCAGCCTCCCAAAGTGCTGGGATTACAGGCATGAGCCACCGTGCCCAGGCAGAATTTATTTTTGATATATACACTTATATATCAAAATGCACTTAGATTAGTTCCACATCTTTGCAATTGTGAATTGTACTGCTATAAACATACGTTTTCAAATCTCTTTTTCATATGATGACTTCGTTTCCTTTGTGTAGATACCCAGTAGTGGGGTTGCTGGATCAAATGGTAGATCTACTTTTAGCTCTTTAAGGAATCTTTGTACTGTTTTCCATAGAGGTTATACATTCCCACCAGTTTTACATTCCCACCAGCAGCATATAAGCATTCCCTTTTCCCCATATCCATGCCAGCATCTATTGTTTTTTGACTTTTTAATAATGGTCATTCTTGCAGCAGTAAGATGGTATCGCTTTGTGGTTTCAATTTGCATTTCCTTGATCATTAGTGATGTTAAGCATGCTTTCATGTTGTTTGTAGGCCAATTTATGTATCTTTTTTTGAGAAATGTCTATTCATGTCCTTTGCCCACTTTTTGATGGGATTATTATTATTATTATTATTATTATTATTATTATTATTATTGCTGATTTGTTTGAGTTCCTTGTAGATTTCCTTCATCAGATGTGTAGTTTGCATCTCTATGGGTTGTCTTTTTACTCTATTGTTTCTTTTGCTGTGCAAAAGGTTTTTAGTTTAATTAGGTTCTATTTATTTGCGTTTTTGTTGCATTTGCTTTGGGGTCTTACTCATGAATTATTTGCCTGGGCTGATGTCTAGAAGAGTTTTTTCCAATGTTATCTTCTAGAATTTTTACAGTTTCAGGTCTTATATTTAAGTCTTTGATCTATCTTGAGTTGACTTTTGTACAAGGTGAGAAATAGGGATCGTTTCATTCTTTTACATGAGGTTTGCCAGTTTTGCCAGCACCATTTGTTAAATAGGGTGTCTATTCCTCAATTTATGTTTTTATATGCTTTGTTGAAGATCAGTTGGCTGTACTTTCTTGGCTTTACTTCTGGGTTCTGTATTCTGTTCCATTAGTTATTTGCCTACTTTTATACCAGTACTACGCTGTTTTGTTAACTATAACCTTGTATGATTTGAAGTAATTGTGATGCCCCCAGATTTCTCCTTTTTGCCTAGGATTGCTTTGGCTACTTGGGCCCTTTTTTGGTTCCATATGAATTTTAGGATTTTTTTTTCTGATTCTGTGAAACGTTGGTATTTTGATGAGAATTACATTGAATCTGTAGATTGCTTTTAGTAGTATGGCCATTTTCACAACATTGATTCTTCCAGTCTATGATTATGGGATGCATTTCCATTTGTTTGTGTCATCTGTGATTTCTTTCAGCAGCGTTTTGTATTTCTCCTTGTAGAGATTTTCACCTCCTTAGTTAAGTATATTCCTAGGTATTTCATTTTATTTTTGCAGCTGTGGTAAAAGGTATTGAATTCTTGATTTAATTCTCAGCTTGGTCGTTGTTGGTGTATAGCAGTGCTACTGATTTGTGTACATTTATTTTGTAACCTGAGGCTTTACTGAACTCATTTATCAAATCTAGGAGTCTTTTGGAGGAGTCTCTAGGGTTTTCTAGGTATACAGTTATATCATCTGCAAACAGTGATAGTTTGACTTCCTCTTTTCCAATTTGGATGCCCTTTATTTCTTTCTCTTACCTAATTGCTCTAGCTAGGACTTCCAAAACTATGTTGAATAGAGGTGGTGAAATGTAGGCATCCTTGTCTTGTTCCTGTTGTCAGGGAGAATGCTTTCAACTTTTTCCCATTCAGTATGATATTGGCTGTGGTTTTGTCATATATGGATTTTACTATTTTGAGGTAAGTCCCTTTTTTGCCTACTTGGTTGAGGATTTTATCATAAAGGGATGCTGGATTTTGTTGAATGCTTTTTCAGCGTCTATTGAGATGGTCATATGGTTTTTGTTTATAATTCTTTTTATGTGATGTATCACATTTATTGACTTACATATGTTAAACCATCTCTGCATCCTTGAAATAAAACCCACTTGATCATGATAAATTATCTTTTTGATGTGCTGTTGCATTTGGTTAGCTAGTATTTTGTTGACAGTTTTTATATCTGTGTTCATCATGGAAATTGGTCTGTAGTTTTCTTTTTTTGTGTGTTCTTTCCTGGTTTAGGTATCAGGGTGATACTGGCTTCATAGAATGATTTAGGGAGGATTCTCTCTTTCCCAGTCACTTGGAATAGTTTCAGTAGGATTGGTACCAGTTCTTCTTTGAATGTCTGGTAGAATTTAGCCATGAATCCATCTGGTCCAGGCTTTTTTTGTGTGTTGGAAATTTTAAAATTACTGATTCAATCTTGCTGCTTGTCATTGGTCTGTTCAGGGTTTGTCTTTCCTCTGATTTAATGTAGGAGGGTGGTATGTTCCAGGAATTTATCCATTTCCTTTAGGTTTTATAGTTTGTATGCATAAAGTTGTTCATAGTAGTCTCGAGTGATGTTTTTTATTTCTCTGGTGTTTGTTGTAATGTCTCCAGTTTCATTTCTAATTGAGCTTATTTGGATCTTCTCTCTTTTCTTGGTTATTCTAGTGAATAGTCTATCTATTTTTTCAAAGAACCAATGTTTTGTTTCATTGATCTTTTGTAATGCTTTTTTTGTTTGTTTGTTTGAATTTCATTTAGTTTTGCTGCAATTTCTGTTATTTCTTTTTTTTTTTTTTTGAGACAGAGTCTTGTTTAGTTTGTGCTTGTGCTTGTTTTTCTAATTCCTTGAGGTATGACATTAGGTTGTCAGTTTGCACTCTTTCAGACTTTTTGATGTAGACATTTAGTGCTGTAAACTTTGCTCTTGGCACTTCTTTTGCTGTACTCCAGAGGTTTTGATAACTTGTATCATTATTATCATTTGATTCAGATAATTTTTCCATCTTGATTTCATTATTAACCCAGATACCATGTAGAAACAGATTATTTAATTTCCATGTATCTGTGTAGTTTTGAGGGTTCCTTTTGCCCCCAAGAACTTTAAAAATCATTTTCTTAAGCCCTCTTAAGTCTGCCTTCAAGCTTTTATTTTGAGTGTCCGGGTTTCCTCTCATCATTTCTGACCTTGGCAACCTTTCATTGCTTTCAAGGATGTTCTCTATTGCAGATGTGTATTGTCTTGTCAGGTCAGTGTTTAAAGAAAAAACAATATTTCATCAATCTGAATGCTGTTAGCCCAAGCATACACCCTCTAGTTTGTTAAGTTGTTCTGTTATTATTTACTCCCTTTTGCATCACATATTAAGGTTTCTGAAGGGATTTGAGTTTGTGACCCCTTCGTTATAAACTATTTCAGGGCTAGGCGCGGTGGCTCATGCCTGTAATCCCAGTACTTTGGGAGGCCAAGCTGGGGGGATTGCTTGAGCCCAGGAGTTCACCAGCCCTGGCAACATATCGATACCCTGTCTCTGAGGCAGGAGGATTGCTTGAGCCTGGGAGTTTGAGGCTACAGTGAGCTGTGGTCATGCTACTGCACTTCAGCCTGAGTGGCAGAGCGAGACCCTGTCTCAAAAAATTGAATAAAATAAAATATTTCAACAGGTGTTTGATGTGCTCTCCTTGTTTTTTTTTTTTTTTTTTTTGTAAATTATACTGTAGTCTACCTAAGTTGCTGAGGTTCTAAGCCTAGGACTCACCTTTAAATCCTCTTAATTTCACTCTCCACAGTCATTACATCAGCAAGTCCCATTTGACTCATTCCCACCACCTTCACTGCTGTTATTGTAGCCTAAGCCACTTTGCTCTCCTTAGACAACAGGAACTTTCTCACTCATCTCTCTGCTTCTGTCTTGCCTCTCCTCTGTTGATTCTGTACACAACAGCCCAAGTGAGTGATCTTTTTAAAACATAAATCATATCACACCGTTTCCCCACAAAATACTATCCAGTGTCTCTTCACTATTGACTAACTGTCCATACAAAAACATACAAAAGTCCATATTCATAGAATTTTTGAGGTGTGTAATGGGGATTATGGGAACTACAAGATGAGATTTGGGTGGGGACAGTCAAACCATATTAGTATAGAAAGAATTAGTATAGAAAGAACTGATCTATGTGGTTGATGCCTATTGTAGTCCTTACATCCTGTAATTCCTGCATTAGAATTCAGTGGAATTATTGTTACCATTATATTATTGCTATGGTCATTATTTATTGTTTTTTATTGCCTTTGTATTAAAGGAGGTGCTTGTTATGGCATGTCATATATTATTATATTATGAGAACACTTCAGAGCTTCAGGTTAGATACCCAATTTTTGACTTGATCTCTGTACTCAGTTATTTCACAAGCCCTACAACCTCAAAACTGGAGTTCATGGTTTTCCTCTAACCAAACCCATGACTTCCAAACCTTATGTCTCCTCCAGTGTTCCCTTTCTCAGACTGGCCCCTATCTCAGAAACCAGAAACCTAATGTTTTTCTTTTTACCCCTCTCTCCTCATAGATACCCTCTCTACCATGTGTCATCAGTTACCTAATCAAGCCCAGTCAGTTTACCCCCAACCTTTAAGTAAAATTAAGTAACTGCCCCCCATTATTACCACCAAAATTATTTCCCTTGGACTACTGAAGTAACCTTGAAAATTGCATTCTTGTAACTGCTGTTTCCTTGCTCTAGTTCATTCTCCATGCAGTGGTCAGAATTATCTTTATAAAATATCAGCCAGGTGTGATGGCTCATGCCTGTAATCTCCGCATTTTAGGAGGCTGAGGCGGGAGGATTACTTGAGCCCAGGAGTTCAAGACTAGCCCAGGCAAAATACTGGGACCCCATCTCTACAAAAGATAGAAGAAAAAATAGCTGGGCATGTTGGTACACACCTGTGGTCCTAGCTGCTTAGGAGGCTGAGGTGGAAGGAACACTTGAACTCAAGAGGTCGAGGCTGCAGTGAGCTGTGATTGCACCACTGCACTCCAGCCAAGGTGACAGAGTGAGATCCTGTCTCAAAAAAAAAAACTAAAAAATAAAACACAAATCTGATTATATCATATTGCTGCTTAAAACCTGGCCCTGGCTTGCCATTGCTATGGGGATAAAGACCAAAAACCCTTGGTCTGGCCTGTAAGGCCTGTCTGCCTGACTCCTGCCTGCCTCATTTCACACCAGATTCCCCTGTTCTTTCTGCATCCCTCTTACCTTTTACATAAGGGAGTTGATCATGGAATACTCTTCCTTTTAGAATCTTCGTACATGTGTTCTCTCTGCATGAGATGCATCTAACTGCCCTTCCTCCTACATGCCAACATTCACATTGATTTTTTGAAAGTCAACCTGAATGTTGCTTACTCAGAATATCTTCCTCACATACGTCACAAAGTCAGAACCCCAGATTATGGGTCATCTTTGTACTCTTAACTTTCCCAGTAAAGCATTTATACCTATAGTGATTAAATGATTAATTTTGTGGTCTATACCATATGTTTCCTTTGATAGAATATAAGCTCTGTGAACCCAGGAATGTTGTCTTAGCCATGAGTAGATTCATAGTGTTTTGTACAAGTTAAACATCAGGAGGAAATACACACATATTGACACACACCGTTCTAATGAGAGAATGGGAGAAATTCCTACGTAAGAAAGAAGCATGTTTTGGTAGTTTTTCCTGGCATCGTTAAGTATATTATTGTTTTGCTTCTTTTTTTTTTTTTTTTTTTTTTTTTGAGACGGGGTCTGACTCTCTCGCCAGGCTGGAATGCAGTGGCGCGATCTCGGCTCACTGCAACCTCCACCCCCCGAGTTCAAGCAATTCTCCTGCCTCAGCCTCCCGAGTAGCTGAGATTATAGGTGCCTGCCACTGTGTCCAGCTTATTTTTGTATTTTTAGTGGAGATGGGGTTTCACCATCTTGGCCAGGCTGGTCTTGAACTCTTAACGTCGTGATCCACCCGCCTTGGCCTCCCAAAGTGCTGGGATTAGAGGCGTGAGCCACCTTGCCTGGCCTTTGTTTTGCTTCTTAGCCTTCATAGTGTTTCTCAGTGGAGGCTATACTTGTTTATCCACAGATTTTATATATGTTAAATACATGAGGTATTTATACAGGATTATTTTAAAGTCATTGAATGGGATTCTTATGATGACAGTAAATCAACTCTTTGCTTATATTTATGTAACTATTTGAAGTCTCTGGCTTTCTCTAAATGAATTACAATACAGGTCAGCAAATATTTTCTCTAGTGGGCCAGATAGTAAATATTTTAGACTTTGCAGCCATATTGTCTCTTTTAGCACTCTTCGATTCTGCCATTGTGGCACAAAAGCAGTTATAGAAAATATGTAGATAGATGGGTGTGTCTCTTCCAATAACATGTTATTTATGGGCACCAAAATTTGAATTTTATATAATTTTCATGTGTCAAGAAATACTGTTTGTCTCTTGTTTTCCCCACCACCCCGCCAACATTTGAAATTGTAGAAACTTACCTTGTGGGCAGTACAAAATCAGGTATATGGCCCCAGGATTGTAGTTGTTGACCCTTGTCTATAACCACCTCTGTACTTAAGTATTCTGTCATTTATGTGATTAAAATAGAAGACAAAAGAAGGTGACCCCTTTTTTGTGCAAAACAATGTGCCTATGTAAAGAAAAATGAATTTTGAATTGTGCAAAGAAGTATTAAAGAACAAATTTAGATTCTGTTGCCTGTTTACTTAATAGGTAAACATTATGTTTTTAAAAAATGAATTCCTCCAGTATGTGGGCCTAAGCTTACCATGATCTCTTGAGGTCAATACTTTAAATTTAGTATATAAATCTTTGAGTAGGTTCTAAAGGAGAATTTATAAAGAATTTTTCTCAAACACTATCAGGAATCTAATATCTTGCCCTCCCTTAAACTCTTTTCACTCTAGTTTATAAGTGAGAAACACTTTATTTTTTTTCCTTGTACCAATCAGAACCTTGATTTTGAAAAATTTGACAGGGGAGTTTACCATTTACATAATTGATGAGCTGTTGCAACAGTGTGCGAAGACTTGCTAAATGACCCTGACCTTTTAACTCTGACTTCCTTAGCATCTTTATTGAGTTATTTTATATTTTGGTAGTGATTGCCTTTCCAGAATGATTTTATAAGTTTTCATTCCCACCAATAGTGAAAGTGACTAAAATGCAGTGGCTTTGAAATTCCTTAAATATATTCTTAACTGTCTAGCTTAATTTCTTCATATGTATCAAAATGCATACAGCATTGGATGTGATGTTTTGTGTCACAGTACTTGGTATGTTTCCTGATTTTTCTGACTTATTGATTAGTAAAATAGTTCATCATTATTTTTTCTTTGGGAAGATAAGGAACTCCTTTGTTATAGACTGTTTGTTTGTTTGTTTGTTTGTTTGCTTGTTTTCGAGACGGAGCCTTGCTCTTGTTGCCTAGGCTGGAGTGCAGTGGCGCGACCTCGGCTCACTGCAACCTCCACCTCCTGGGTTCAAGCAATTCTCCTGCCTCAGCCTCCCGAATAGCTGGAATTAACAGGCACCTGCCACCACTCCTGGCTAATTTTTGTATTTTTGGTAGAGACGGGGTTTCATCATGTTGGCCAGGCTGATCTCGAACTCTTGACCTCTGGTGATCTGTCTGCCTTGGCCTCCCAGAGTGCTGGGATTACAGGCATGAGCCACAACACCTGGCCTGGTTGAGTTACTTCTTTAGGAGAGAAGAGATGAAATTGGAGGTTAAACTACAATTTGACAAGATTATCCTAAATTAAAACTAATTCTGAACAAGACTAAAGTATTGAATTCTGGCGGGGCGCAGTGGCTTACGTCTGTAATCCCAGCACTTTGGGATGTCAAGGTAGGCGGATCACAAGGTCAGGAGATCAAGACCACCCTGGCTAACATGGTGAAACCCTGTCTCTACTAAAATACAAAAAATTAGTTTGGGTGTGGTGGCGCACACCTGTAGCCCCAGCTACTCAGGAGGCTGAGGCAGGGGAATCACTTGAACCTGGGAGGCAGAGGTTTCAGTAAGCCAAGGTTGTGCCACTGCACTCCTGCCTGGTGACAGAGCAAGACTCCGTCTCAAAAAAAAAAAAAAAAAAAGTGTTGAATTATATGTTAATACGTTATGATTTTATTAGTACTGTTGGAGGCTTATAAAATGATAAAGTTGAAGGAGACTGTAGGATCTTTAGTTCTACATTTCATAGCTGTGAGACCTGAGAAGTACTTTCCCAGCATTTGTGGCTATATACCTATGTACTGGATACTTGGATTTCAAATTGTAACTTAACAAACATATTATCTCACTCCTTTCTTACGACTCTTTATACATAGATTCTTTCTAGGACTTTGTTATTTTAAAATGTCCATCTTTTATATGATTGAAGGTATTTTAGATGGAAAAATCATTGACTCTAGTAGCCTTTTACTGTCTTAAACATCTTACTTTTTCTTTGAATGTCATTTTTGTGACCTACTTTTAGCACTTACCCTGCCCCCCCCTTTTTATTTGGTTATTAATTTCCCAGGCAATTGGAGTAGTTAATATTTTTTTCCTTTTAGGTAAATGATACAATTTACAAATCTTTTTTTCCTGGGAAATGTGGTTAACTGCTTAATGAATGCTAAATAACATGGAGTGTTTCCTTTGTTCCAGATCTCTTTTCAGCCTATAGAACTGAAAAATCGGTATTTTTAGTTTTAGCTGTGAACCTTTCTATTGAATTTCAGTAAGGCATTTTTTTCCCACTGAAACTAAGGATTCAGAGTAATTACAGCAGTGCTATTTTCTTTATTTGTCCCCGTGAAAACAGTAACTCTCCATTTTTTTATATAGAAATATAATTTTAGTAGTCTTCATTTAGAATTGTGGAATATGAACATTTTCTTGGTCTAATGAATAGGTGAAATGATAGCATTTTCCCTATTTCTGTCTATTATTCTATATAAGCCTTATATAGTCAAATATAAATTTCATGTTGTACATTCTGAAAAGCATAGTTACTTAAATGATATCTATCATCCTAAATTGTATGTGTCCATTTCATTTTATATTCCCATTTTAAGTGACACTTACTGACTTGAAAATATTTTTTATCAACTCTCACTTTTTAAGTGTCTCTGTTTGCCCACACTCACCCACATCTTAATCTCCCCATCCCTACTCCCCAGAAAAAAAAAAAGTAAAAAGAAAAATAGAATTGTGCAGGGAGCTCTACTCTGATAGCACTGATAGAATTCGTTGTAGGATATTATAGATACCAAAAAAATTGACCTTAGATCTCCGAGGAGAGACACTGCTTTGTTTCGTGGCTTGTGTAACCTCAAATCCTGAATGAATACCTGCCTAGAATGTGATGTAGAATGAATGTTCATGTCCTCTCTTGTGTAATTCTGTTCCCTCTAAGTTGAGCAATAGCTGTGATTTTTCTCAACCTATCCTGCTTGGATTTTGATGGCCATTTTTCATTCTAATACAATGCCTGAGTGAAAATGAGTTTCCTTATATCTCTGAAAAACCCAATATTTTAGTCAAGATTTCTGATTCTGAAAATACCATATTTGACCCAGAACCTGTAGACATTTTATGGTAAAATTGCTTTATTACATACTTTCAAAGTTGCATTTCACCTGTATGATTACATGGATAAGTAGCAGGAATCATTTTTCAATATTGTTTTCTTGAATCTGTAACCGCTTTTCAGCCTCATTACATTTTCTGTTTGTCCTGCTTTGCTAGGTAATTTATACATGAAGTTGACCAAATCCTTCTTGGTCTTTGGGAGGGTGTTAAATTCCTTCTCAGATGTGTCGTCTATTGTTAGGTTGACAAGTCGGCTTGTCCTTAGAAGGAACACTGGGGAATAAATTGTGCTAATGATTGTTGTGCTGTCTTCTCTTGCTGTGGTTAATAGTAATCATTTCTTTTCCTTCCTCTTTTTCTGCTGCCTCTTTCTTTATCTTCCCTGACTTCCCATGTACTTTTGAATTTATTAAATTGGACTATATATTTTTTCCTTGCTTTCCTTTTTTAATTTTGTGATCTCCTGTGCTCTACTGTCTTCCCTACTTGCTTGGGTTCCATGTTGCTAGTTTTTATGTTCGCACGCTCATTATCACCCTTTTTTGTACTTCAAATCCCAGCAGCTGCCCAGCCAGGTCCCCGAGCACAGCCCTGTGGTTTATGGGACTGTGGAGAGCGCTCATCTTGCTGCCAGCACCCCTGTCACTGCAGCTAGCGACCAGAAGCAAGGTTTGTGTATGACTGTTTTCCTCCCTCTTATCTTTAGTCTCTTTTTTATTAATTACATTGCCGTCAGCATTCAAGAGTAAGAGTACAGCATCCAAGGATTATTTAGACACCCACCTTTAAACAAAGCTTTGAGGCAGAAAATTAAAGTATTCTGCCTCTAGGAAACTAAAGTAGGGATGATTGGTAAAATTATTTCATACATTTGTTTAATCTCTCACTGTTAGTATCTGTATACAGTTTAAAGGTTAGCTGCCTTAAACTGCCCTTTAAAACAAGGTGGGAAGTGGAGGGAGAAATCCTAGCATATATTACTTTACAAGAACAATACAGTTTAGCTTATATATTCAGCATGTCCCTAGGTATCTTGCTATTTTAAAAAAGAAAAAAAGATAAAACATTTCTTCTTACAAGTTTGGGCTTCTATAGCCACATTTGGAGATGGAGCCAAGTTCCAATCCCGGCTCCATCATGCACTAGTTATTTGGTCTTGATTGAGCCACTGACCTTGTGTGTCTCAGTTTCTTCACTGATAG
Source organism: Homo sapiens (assembly GCF_000001405.40). Lineage (NCBI taxonomy): Eukaryota > Metazoa > Chordata > Mammalia > Primates > Hominidae > Homo > Homo sapiens. The sequence goes on along the minus strand of NC_000001.11, from coordinate 20,949,469 downwards.
AATGGAATAAAGACCTATGTGCTTGACAGGATTACTGTGGGAACATGCCTATCACAGGAAAAGTGCTTAGTAAATTATAGTCATTAATGCTGTATTAAGGAATAGTACACTAAGGTCTCTGCTCCTATTGAACTTGAACATGAAGGTGCCAAATGTTTGTTGAAATAAATACTGTGCCTTTGGGAATATAATAGAAAACTTAAAGGAAATCTAATACCAGAAAGTGGGATATCATAGTCTTTCTTTCCTGCCTAGTTGTATTTTAACTTGACCTTTGCTAAAATTGAGAGAGAATTCTAAACATAGTTCGGGGAAGCAAGTAACTTTGACCCTGCTTTATGTTTCAGATTTCTAAAAATGATTGGATATCAATATGGAAGCCATGTACCTTCTTACTTTCTTGAATTATTTATTCCTCCAAACTATTTGTTTATTCTATAGCTCTATAGTTAGTATATAGATTTTCTAAAAATTATTCTTTTTTTTTTTTTTTTTTTTTGAGACAGAGTCTTGACTCACTGCAACCTCCTCCTCCTGGGCTCAAGCTATTCTCCTGCCTCAGCCGCCCGAGTAGCTGGGATTACAGGCATGCACCACCATGCCCAGCTAATTTTTGTATTTTTAGTATAGACGGGGTTTCACCATGTTGGCCAGGCTGCTCTCAAATTCCTGACCTCAAATGATCTGCCTGCCTCAGCCTCCCAAAGTGCTGGGATTGCAGGCCTGAGGCACCATGCCCGGACTAAAAATTATCCTTTAAAAAATATTTAGGAATGGCCCATAAAATAGATATATTTAATATTAAAGGTTTTTGGGTAGACTGCAAGTTAGTCAATCACATTTATAAACTTTCTGAAAGATGTACTTCTAATACATGATTTCATTGATTTTTACATCAAACAAAGATTATGATATGTGTTTTTAGTATAGAAATTTCATTTTCCCCCTGAGTATTGAGAAGCCTGATACTCTTGAACAGACAGGTCCTATACTGTATTTGTTATATAAGATAGTTTTAAACCAAAAGATAGTTAGTGATCCCTAATGTGGCATGCTTCAAAAAACTGCACTGTCAAGAACTTCTTTCAGCAACATTTTGAGTTAAAGGAGAACTCCTGCATGCTTCAAGCGAATTCTTTAAATAGTAAAGCCATTTACCTTGCGAAATTACAGACTGTAGACCAAATGTGGAAGTCGACTTGCTACCTTCAATGATAAAGTCGTTTTGAGTCAAAATTCGGAATGTTTTTAATCTTAGTGGAGAATAATTCTCAGAGTATTTCCCTTCAAAACTTCATTGCACTTTCGCAAATGTGTAATCTTTTTGCTGGTTAGAATTATGCTAAGCATATTGAATACTTCCCATGCAAAGAGGCCTTAAAATATATCTTCTGTGCAGACTTTCTCTGTAGCTGTGCCAGGATTTTTAAAAAATTTATCACATACTTTGATGATGATAGTTCTGTCCTTCCTGAAGACAGTATTATTGCGTTTGCCATTATTTTGTGAAAAATAATGTTAAAATTTTTAGATTATGAGATCCCTGCATTTTGTCATATTTAGGCCCAGATTTCCAGACAAGGAATGCAGACTTGATTTCCTCTCAGGTTTTTGTTTTTGTTTTGCTTAGTGGAAATTTGAATAACAACATCAACATATCTAACTGGTGTATAATATAGGCTTAATTGGAAAGTATTCAGGTTACCTTGATGAAAAGAAAAACTTGTAGTATTTTAAGTGCATTTCAGAGGTTATAACTAATGCTCTGGAATTACTGTTATCTTCCTTTTAGTACCAACTATTCACCAGAAAACTAACTCTCTTTCTTTGTTTCTCTGTTTCTGCCTTACTCCCTTTCTCTCTCCCTTTCTCTTTCTTTCTTTCTTTCTCTTGCTCTCTCGTTCTTTCTTTCATCTCTCTCTCTCTCTTTTTTCTTTCTTGGCTAGTCAAACAGTAACATTTCTAATTTCTTCCATAGCCTGCCGATAGCTAAAATATTACTGTTTTCAGAGTTTTTTTTTTTTAACCAAATTTATGTAATGTTAGAAAGGGCTCACTATTTTTTTCAGAGAAAATGGTTTTTTTTCTTTACACTGAGGATTTTTTTTTCTTTTTTCTTCTATTTTGAGACAGGGTTTCGTTCTATCACCCAGGATGGAGTGCAGTGACACGATCATGGCTCACTGCAGCCTCCACCTCCCAGGCTCAAGCAGTCCTCTCACTTCAGCCTCCTGAGTAGCTGGAGCTACAGGCATGAACCACCATGACCAGCTAATTTTTGTATTTCTAGAGGCGAGGTTTTGCCATGTTGTGTAGGCTGGTCTCAAACTCCTGAGCTCAAGCGACCTGCCTGCTACGGCCTGCCAAGGTGCTGGGATTACGGGAGCTACCTCAGCCAGCCAAGGAGTTTTTAAAAATTTCCTTCTTCACTGTAGATTCCTTTTGAAATTAGCATATAAAAACTGACTTTTCTCAAAGATTGTTATATTACTCCCAGAAACAACAGTCTCTACATTTTGCAGATTGTTTTTTTCTTTCTCAATAGAAATGTCTTTACTGAGAGTTTGTACTCAGTTACACAATCTCATGTTAACTCTAAAGTCTCCCTCCTGCTTGATTGACTTAAGTACTTCTGTTTCCATAAGCCTCCCCTTTCCTCCAAAAAGTTGGAAGAATGTGGGATTTGAAATCATTCTCAGACTTGAGCACTTGCTACTTATATGACTTTGGGCCTGTGACTGATCTCTAAAACCCTCAGTTTCCTCATATGTAAAATAGGCAAATAATTTCTACCCCAACAATCGTGGTTGTGAGAATTAAAAGGGACAATGTATGTATGGTATTTGACCCAGTTCCTGGCACATAATAAGTGCTTAACAAATGTTAGCTGCCATTATTAAGCTTCCGGTTTCTCAGAGTTTTTGACATGAAGAGCTAGAATATTTACATGAAGGCCAAGGTTCCAGACAAATCTACCATTTTACATTTGTTTGGCACCTTATGAAGACATAGGGAATACTTCACATTGGTTTGTAGAGAGAACAACTGTTGAATGAATTAAAATTTTTGCTTGGTATTGATAGTACACAGCTGAAATGATTGCTATTTACTGAGTGAGAAAGAACATTAAATCCATTGTACTGAGGATATGGTATGGATAATTAAAGGAGTTAGTTGGTGCCTTAGTCTTAATCTTAGTGCCTGTTGAAAGCACCTAGTGTGTTCAGTGAATGGTATTCTGTTTGTAATTCAACCATTCATAGCAGTGTTGTTCATTTGGGACTCTGCTGGCATTTAGGACCTATTCTTTGTCAAGTGAGACTGTACCTCAAATTGCAGGATGCTCAGCATTCCTCTCTCTGCTTATTAAATGACAATAGCATCTTCTCAGTCATTGAGAGACTTGTGACAACCAAAAGACAACCCAGTCTTGGTCATTGATTCCACCACCATATGAGAATAAAAGGGAGCAATTTTATTCTTCTTATAAATTTGGCACTCTTTATGGAAACTACAGCTAAGCAAAATGAAAAAGTATGTGTCTGATTACTCAGAGCCATTATTAATAAGCTGACTTTCCCCTATGCACATATGTTAGTACTAAGCATTTTTTTAAGTTACCAAATTGGGTTCTACATAGAGTTTTGTGCCCCACTAAAAACAAACAAACAAACAAACAAATTCTTGCCAGATGCAGTGGCTCACGCCTGTAATCTAAGCACTTTGGGAGGACGAGGCAGGAGGATTGCTTACGAGGCAGGAGGATTGCTTGAGCTCAAGAATTCAAGACCAGCTGAGTAACATAGCGATACCCTGTCTCTACAAAAAATAAAAATATTAGCCAGGTATGGTGGCTCGTACATGTGGTCTCAGATACTTGGGAGGCTGAGGTAGGAGGATTGCTTGAGCCTGGGAGGTGGAGGTCACGGTGAGCTGAGATCACACCAGTGCACTCCAGCCTAGGCGACAGAGCAAGACTGTGTCTCAGAAACAGAACAAAACATATCTTTTATTACAAACAACTTTCCATATCATTAAATACTCTTTTAAAAACATATTTTAAATATTGCATAGTATGCCATTATATGCCCAGATTATCATTTCTTTAATAAATCTCTATTGTTGAACATTTAGTTGATTTCCTTTTTTCTCCTTTTTTCTTGTATTATAAATAGTGTTGCCTTAAATATTCTAGACATCTATCTTTGCTAACCCTTTCATGATTATTAGAAAAATTCTTAAAGCTGGAATTCCTGCAAATTCCTAAAGATGGCCAAACTTTTTATAATAGAAGTCTTTAGAGGGATAAAATAAGTGTTTTTTTTTTTAATTTAGCTCTACTGTGTTTTTAGCTTTCTGCATTTTCAGCTTTCTGTATTAAAGCTTTAATTAGTGGGTTAAAGGACTTTTATTTTAGAATGAAGAACTCACAATTTGTTTTGTTTTGTTTTGTTTTGTTTGAGATAGAGTCTCACTCCACTGTATCACCCAGGCTGAAGTACAGTGGTGCGATGACAGCTCCCTGCAGCCTCAACCTCCAGGGCTCAGGTGGTCCTCTCACCTTGGCCTCCTGAGTACCTGGGACCACGAATGCACACCACCATGCCCAGCTTGTAGAAATGAGGTCTTGTAGTTTGAGACCTCCTGGGCTCAAGTGATCCTCCCCCTTGGCCTCCCAAAGTGCTGGGATTTACAGGCATGAGCTCACCATGCCTGGCCTAAGTTTTTCAATACTAGATTTTTCTGAAGTGTGTATAGAAGTTTATCAATCATAGGTCTACTTTTGTTTGATTTTTTACTATCAGAAATTGTTTCCCAACATTAATAATTGAATTGACATACTCTTATTAGATATTTAATGTGAGAATCAATTTCTCTTTTTCTCTCTCTCTCTGTCCCCCCACCCCGCTCCCCCTCTCTCCTTCTCCCCACTTTTCTTTTCCCTTTTTCATTTTGAGACAGCGTCTTGCTCTATTGCCCAGGTTGGAGTGCAGTGGCATGATCACAGCTTGCTGCAGCCTCGACCTCCTGGGCTCAAACGATCCTTCCATCTTGGCCTCCCGAGTAGCTGGGTCTACAGGTCTGCGCCACCTCACCTGGCTAATCTTTTAATTTTTTGTAGACAAAAGGTCTCACTATGTTGCCGAGGCTTATCGCAAATTCCTAGGCTCAAGAGATCCTCCCGTCTCAGCCTCCTAAAGTGCTAGGATTACAGATGCGAGCCATCACACCCTGCCCTATTTTTAAATTTACTGCATCTAGGTTTCAGTCAGTGGTCATAAAGGGTGTTAGTCTGATAAGCTTTCACAGTGGTATTATGTAATCTGGGTGACTTATTTACTCCAGTGAGCTGGAAATTATTTTCATCAAAGATATTTTGATAAATACATATTTGTTATATATGGTGTGTTCCATCTAGAACGAACATACACACACACACACACACACACACACACACACACACACACACACACACACACACACACACACACACAAAAAAAATAAAGACAAGTTTTCCTGAAATATTTTTGTCTGTTGCCCTGTCAACTTAGTCTGAGGGATTTGGCAATGAGAGCCTATTGATTCTATTTCATCACTGCAGTAACTAAGAAAAGTCCAATTTTAGAAGCACCAGCTTCTGTGCCTATAAATAAAAGTATATTTTAAGGCTAATAAGTGTCATTACAGTGAATGAATTAATAATATCTTAATGGTAATATTTAATACCTATTTATCTGATAAACTGCATATTTGCTTTCACATAATTACAATTTATTGTAAAGACTCACTTTCATTGATGTATAAAAAATTCTGTTGGAGAAAGTAGTCTCAGTTTAGGTTGTCTTTTAATAGTGCTTGAATCTTTTGTTGTCATTTGATAAACATACTCATGAGTATATGTTTTTCCATGGAGCCTGTTTATTGTGCTAAGGAAGCACAAGGCTGGAAGCCAGTCTAAATCTCCTTTGGTTTCCTCCACTCAGGGATGAATCACATATCAATTTACCTGGAATTTATTAATAAAAATGTGGAAATTATTGTTAATTATTGTTCCTTGTGTTTTTCTGGTACCCGCATTATGATGACCAGCTTCTCTTCTCTCTCCGTCTCATTCTCTCTATATATACACAGATGCATTTTTGTATATTATATCAAACTATTTCATACTATGAAACACTAGTATTTTCATACTATATGTATATTGTTTTCTTTTTCATTGGATTTATTCGTGTATTAACTTTGTTTTCTCCTTAATTGTTTTACATGTAAAGACACAAGATATATTTTGTTTTTTTTGTTTTGTTTAGAGACAGGATCTTGTTCAGTTGCCCAGGCTGGAGTGCAGTGATGCATTCGTAGCTCAATGCAACCTCAAACTCCTGGGCTCAAGTGATCCTCCCACCTCAGCCTTTTGAGTAGTTGGGATTACAGGCATGTGCCACCAAGCCCAGCAATTTCCATTTTTATACCTTACATTATTTCTGGTTATATACTTCCATTGAGAATTGAAGGGTAAATTAATTTAGAAACTGATTTTTATCAGTTACTGAGAATAGTTTGATTTCACTGATAGTAAATTTCATTAAATAAAATGTGATGCTTTATCTTGAGTTTTTATACAAGTAATACTTTTTAAAATAAAAATTATCTCCCCAAATACAAAAATATATAGAATAAAAAATAACATCAGTCCCTTTATAATAATTTAATTTTTAATTGTTTGCCCTTGTACTGTTTTGCCACTGTAATATATCCTTGGAAAAAAAGTTTTTTAGGGAACGAGAAGTGGTAGAAATGAAGGTTTTCCTACCTTAAAGAAAAGCCTCACTCTTAAACCAAGAATGGTTTAGCCTCAGTTTTGGTGAGCTTTTCAGTTGTATTCTTGATATATAATTTTTTGGTGAATAGATTCCTTCTCTTACTCCAAAACAGACTTTATGTATTGGATACCAAGTAAATAGTAGGTTTAAGTAAAAAAAGAAAAGAGACAATGTTTTTGGCATACCAGAATAAGTCTAATATATTGGTCTCTGTTCTGTTACCTGTAATTTAGGGTAAGACATTGAAAGAATTGGCCCAAGGCAATATGTAGTCTCTGATCCAAGAATTATTCTTAAAACTTATTTTTTTTTCCCCAGAGGAGAAGCCAAAACCAGATCCAGTGTTAAAGTCTCCTTCCCCAGTCCTTAGGCTAGTCCTCAGTGGAGAGAAGAAAGAACAAGAAGGCCAGACATCTGAAACTACTGCAATAGTATCCATAGCAGAGCTTCCTCTGCCTCCATCACCTACCACTGTTTCTTCTGTTGCTCGAAGTACAATTGCAGCCCCCACCTCTTCTGCTCTTAGTAGCCAACCAATATTCACCACTGCTATAGATGACAGATGTGAACTCTCATCCCCAAGAGAAGACACAATTCCTATACCCAGCCTCACATCTTGCACAGAAACATCAGACCCTTTACCAACAAATGAAAATGATGATGATATATGCAAGAAACCCTGTAGTGTAGCACCTAATGATATTCCACTGGTTTCTAGTACTAACCTAATTAATGAAATAAATGGAGTTAGCGAAAAATTATCAGCCACGGAGAGCATTGTGGAAATAGTAAAACAGGAAGTATTGCCATTGACTCTTGAATTGGAGATTCTCGAAAATCCCCCAGAAGAAATGAAACTGGAGTGTATCCCAGCTCCCATCACCCCTTCCACAGTTCCTTCCTTTCCTCCAACTCCTCCAACTCCTCCAGCTTCTCCTCCTCACACTCCAGTCATTGTTCCTGCTGCTGCCACTACTGTTAGTTCTCCGAGTGCTGCCATCACAGTCCAGAGAGTCCTAGAGGAGGACGAGAGCATAAGAACTTGCCTTAGTGAAGATGCAAAAGAGATTCAGAACAAAATAGAGGTAGAAGCAGATGGGCAAACAGAAGAGATTTTGGATTCTCAAAACTTAAATTCAAGAAGGAGCCCTGTCCCAGGTAAGCCATTCTGCCATTAATCTCGTGCTTGCTGAACATGAAGAAGAGGCAGTGTTTGAGTTATTTTTTAATTGGCTACTTTCCTTGACTTCCAGAAACATCGAATGAATGCTGAAATTCCTAGTCTGGTTTCTTCAGTGGTGTGTTTGTGTTTTAGTACAACCTGCAAAAGAGTTACTCCATTGTCTAAAAATGCAAATGAGAATTTCCAAATATACAAAATGCCTCCAAGGTATATGTCACGAAACATGTTGGGTTTTGTTGTTGTTGTTGTTGCTATTGCCTCATTCATATGAATTGGTTTCTCAATGCTTAATTTTGCTGCTTTGGGGCTAGAAAACAAAAAACCAGGATGGTCTATAGTCCCTAATTCTGTCTTCCTAGAATTTTAAAACCCAGTCAATCCTAAAGGAACTCTTCTATGCATGACCAGTTTTTAAATCTTGGATGTAGGAAGATAGCAATCAGAACATCAAAGGTTTATAACTATTTTTGAAAATATAATGCTGTTGTTGATTCACTTGCAGGTAAGCTTAACGTTCTCTCACTTTGCCTTTTGAAACAGTTTTATTTTTTGTGTACATTTTTACATGGTCATTAATATCCTTGGAGTATTATATTCTTCCCAGTTCAAATTATTTCTTTTTAATGTAGCATCACCTGGGACCTTAGGAACTAACCATTGGGTTATTGTAAGTTTAATCAAAAGTTATCTGAGGCTTATCAGCTATTCTAGGATAAGTTAGCCCATAGGAATATTGAAGTTTTGGCTTTGAACAATTCAGCACAGCCTATCTTCTGCAACATTGCCCTATGCTATATAATTTCCTTTCTCTGTGCCTGTCAGATTAAGTAATGCGTATGTAAATTGGGCTTTTTGATAAATGAGTGCTCCTCCAGCAGTTGATCCTTGACATGCAGTGAATAGGTTTTGGTCACCATCATCCTCAGTATTTTTGTCTATTTTGAGGTGTATAATAAGGAAATTTGACAAACCCAAAAGCTGATCCCTACTTTTGAGATGTGGCTTTTCTACCCAGCTCAGTTCTTGAGACAATTTCCTCATCAGTGTCTGTAAGAGGTGTCTGGCCTTTTGGAACTGCAGAACATCTTGTAGAACACCATGAGCCAGCACAGGAAAGAAAACAATGCAAGGCAATTGGAACAGTGAGAAATTTTTCATAAATCTTTGTAAATTACCTGTTTCCTCAACTATCTGGCTTCCATTGACATCAGTATTCATAGTGCCATCACTGTTTTAGGAAACTTGTTCCTTGGTGGAGAGATGACCTTAGACCTTGTTTTGTCAGTTACCCTTTAGAAAAACAGCCTTGGGGCCGGGTGCAGTGGCTCATGCCTGTAATCCCTGCACTTTGGGAGGCCGAGGTAGGTGGATTGCCTGAGCTCAGGAGTTCGAGACCAGCCTTGGCAACACAGTGAAACCCCATCTCCACTGACATACAAAAAAAATAGCCAGGCATGGCAGTGTGGGCCTGTAGTCCCAGCTACTCGGGAGGCTGAGGCAGGAGAATTGCTTGAACCTGGGAGGCAGAGGTTGCAGTGAGCCAAGATCGTGCCGCCACACTCCAGCCTGGGCAACAGATCGAGACTCCATCTCAAAAAAAAAAAAAAAAAAAAAAAAACTAAACAACTTGGTGTTGGTGTGGCTGTAGGTAAATGCCCTCCGAAGAAACACGTGTTTGTTGGAGAACAGTAATTTGTTTGACACTTCAATGTTCATTTTCATTTGTAGTGATACGATAGTTACAAAAATGAGAGAAACTAATGAACAAAAATGTTTTTAAAATGTAAAAGCAAAGAAAAACAAAACAATCATAGGAAATATAAGTTGAAGATACAAACCATACCTCAGAATTGAAATAAGTGTAAAGTGAAAAGACCATGCATCAAAATCATACTTCACTCATTTCTGACATATATTCTTTTTTTAAACATCAGTTTGCCACTTAGATGACCTGATATTGCAAGACAGTGCCCAGGGATGGATGGGCAAACAGAATTTTGGTTTAAATAATGTTCATACCATGGTACATTTGTTTGAAATGCAGATGCTCTCAATATTAGTATTGTGAACACCAGCACCTTAATCAAAGAGTATAGACTCTTCAGTGGTAATCCAGAGAGCACTTAGAAAAGAAAGAACTGTTTTTTTAATGACTTGGAATAACAGAGGTTTGTGATGTTGGGAGGTAAAGTTTCTTGGCATTTTTCTAGTCTCCTGATTTTTTAACCTATGTGTTTAAGGGAATTACAAGTTTTATAATTTCCTTGTACATCTTAATAGTCTTCAAAATCCAACAGTAAATGAACTTCAAGAACCCCTGCAACTCTAGCTTTTTTTTTTTTTTTTTTTAATTTTTTTTAAGATGGAGTCTCGCTCCATCGCCCGGGCTGGAGTGCAGTGGTGCAATCTCGGCTCACTGCAACCTCTGGCTCCCAGGTTCAAGCAATTCTCCTGCCTCAGCCTCCTGAGTAGCTGGGATTATAGGCGTGTGCCACCACGCCTGGCTTATTTTTGTATTTTTAGTAGAGACGGGGTTTCACCTTGTTGGTCAGGCTGGTCTCGAACTACTGACCTTGTGATCCGCCCGCCTCAGCCTCCCAAAGTGCTGGGATTACAGGCATGAGCCACCACACCTGGCCAGCAGTTTGTAAATTATAAAGCCTCAGAAGCATTTCTGACCCATTCATTTCTGTCCGAATATTTTTTAATGGTTTTGTCACAAAAGTTAACAATGAAAATTAAAATTACCTCCAGTCTTTAAGTATATCCACCTGACGTGGTCATATGCTTAATGACTATAATTTATTTGCACTTATTCACATAATATTCACTTATTATACCTTGTTTACTTTGAGAAGTTAGTAAATCATAACAGCCGTTTACTTTGAGAAGTTAATAAATTGTAACACCAAAACAGTCTGGTTTGCCTATGAGTCTTTTGGTGGTGACTTTTGAGAATAGTTTTTACTTGTCTCTGCCTGAGGATGAAACACCTCAAAGCTGGCTTCAGAAACCTGATACATAAATAACATATCAGTTGGTATAGAGATAGTTGGTTAAAGCAGTAAAGTTATAACATAAGGGATATGGTATCTTTTAGTTCTGCTGCAAAACATTTTCTTGTAACTATTCTAGATCATATTTCTGAGTGAATAAAAATGCATCAGTTGAGGCCGGGCGCGGTGGCTCATGCCTGTAATCCCAGCACTTTGGGAGGCTGAGGAGGGTGGATCACCTGAGGTCACGAGTTTGGGACCAGCCTGGCCAACATGGTGAAACCCCGTATCTACTAAAAATACAAAAATTACCCAGGAGTGGTGATGCGCCTGTAATCCCAGCTATTCTGGAGGCTGAGGTGGGAGAATTGCTTGAACTTGGGAGATGGAGGCTGCAGTGATCCAACATCGCGCCACTTCACTCCAGCCTAGGCAACTGAGCAAGACCCCATCTTAAAAAAAAAAAGAAAGCATCAGTTGTTTTCGGATTGAAGAACAAGCTCTGTAAAATTAGAATTTGGTGTGTATATATCTTCAGTGTACTCTGAAAAGCCTCAGTTATTGGCCACACTTTTAATATCACCGTCACTTTAGTAATTAAATGCATAAAACTAGATATTAATTGGATGATATATTAAAGTCTTGGGAATTTTTATTGTTTATTCTCTGTATCTGGTGGGAGGAAAAAGGAGTGTTTTGAACTTGTGGGAAAGCATTCCCCATTAATCATCCAGGAGTTTGTTTTCTACAATTTTAGGAATGTATATGATGTATAGTATGTAACATTAACTTTCCCACTTTTTAAAAGAATTGTGACTTTTTTATTTTATTATTTTTACCTGTATCAGATATAAAACCATTATTTAAATTTTCTTAGGCAGAGGGAGATTTCTAATTTTTCTATTTATTTTGTTTTTTTGGCTCTTGCTTATAGTACATTTTTAATGTATATTTTGTAAGTTTGTTTTATGAACTTATCCAGATAAATTTTCCTGGATGTAGATTGATGGCAAGTTATTCTAAAGCAGATTTGTGTTTACTTTATCTGCTGCATGTCTTGGGGAAAGCATTTGCTGGAACTAAATCTGGGTTTAATGTTTGTTAGAACTAAATCTGGGTTTAATGTCCTAAAGCTACAGTTCTATCCCAAAGCCTAAGGACAGCCATACCGTATGGCTTGGATACTAATTTTCAGGGTAACAGCAATCTTCTCTCCATCCAGTTGAAACAACGTCCTTTCTCATCATCACTGTGTTGGTTCAGTGGTTTATTCCCTCTCTCTCTTTTTTAAGCTATCTTTTCACTGAGCATGTCACCCATTTGGGAGTCTCAGAGCTTTATGTGAGCATCTCAGTTCCAGGTTCCCACTTTGCAGGGATCCAAGATCTCTCTTTTCTTATGGGTGTTAAAAATACAAATTCATTGGTTATAGAGACTGGCACACCCTTCTACACCCCCAGGAATGTAAGGATGGCATCAGCCACTGACCTGTAGTTTACCTTATATTCTCGTAAGCTCAGCTAAGGATGTAGAAGGGTTTCCAGATTCTGTAGAATATAACATAGGAAGTTTATTTCTCAAATGGAGATACGATTATATGTTTTGGTAATGTTAACAAAATACTGATCCATGTAGCCAATCAAGTTGCTGCTTTCTCTTTTAGTTTAGACTTACTGAAGTGTAAAGGGAGCATACTTCAGTGCAAGAAAAATATTTTAATAACAACCCTTGCTTTATTCTCAACTGTGAGAGTATTCAGAGTACTTTCAAAGAAATAAACATAGCAAACATAAAACCAGAGATATAAAAGTCTATCAGTTTTCCTAGATTAAACTAAAAATGACTAATCTTTTAAATAATAAAATTTATTCTAACCTTTGCTCAACTTACATATTCTAAAATATATTTGAAATATCTCTGGAAGATTTAGTCGCTGGGGCCAAAAGTAGATTGCCAATGGTTTGAGTATCCTGTTGGCCTAATCACTATACTACTATGCATCCTTATAATTTAGCTTCTACAGAAACGTGTTCTGGAAACATGGAAACAGGACTCCTTACACATTCCTGGTTCTTTGTCATCTACCAAAACAAGCAGAGTGATCCTTAAAGCAAGGACCATTGGCTTCAGTTTTCAGAGGCTTGAGTCTGAGTGATCCTTAGGGATAAATAAAGGTTTTCTCCACCTTGTTTGTAAACTGTTTCCAACAAAGCTGCCTAAAAGGTATGTTTCTGCCATCCCATTCCTATTTTCTTGTTTCCCTCCCCAGTAAACTCTTAGGCATTCCTTGGAAAATACTGATGCTGGTCAAATTCTTTTATATACTGCAGAATGAGCCCAGACACCTGTTAGTTGAGCCTGTTGGCAAGTCCCTTACGTAGTTCTTCCTTGCCTCTTTATGTGGGATAGATTTCCCCATTTTTTACAGTAGTTCATGTCTTTCATCATGAGCCCTAAAGTCTCAGTCATTGGGTATTAACTTAGTTCTACATCTTTCTGAGTAGTTATACTTTGTTCAAAATGTAGCTCCCTTTTCCCCACATTTAGTAACTAATCCTCCTCCATGACAAAGGACTATTGTACTGACCTGCTTCCAGAGAAGGTAATTCAGTCAGCCTAGAGCTGTGCTCCCTCAGTCTTTTAAAGAAAACCTCTACAGGAAAACCTAGTCTTACTATAAGTTTTCCCTTTCTCTAATATCCATCATTACCTTGCACACAGTTGCCTTGAGAACTTTTCCTGATTGCCTTGGAAAAGATAACTTTCCATGTTCCTAACACAAAGAAATGATAAACACTTGAGGTGATGGATACCCCAATAACCCTGATTTGGTCATTACACATTATGTGCTTTTATCAAAATATCACATGTACCCCACAAATACGTATGACTATTATGTATCCTTAAAAATTTAGAATTAAAAAATAAAAGCACAAGTATGCCAAAATAAGGAAGATAAGTTTAGTAAGACTTTATTAAGAAAAAAGATAATTCTCTCTACTAATGCATAAAAATGCCCAAAATACATTTCCTTCAATATATTTCTTTTCTTCATTTTCTATTACTGTATTAAAATACTTGGTAATTTAGTCACAATCATAATAAAAATTATTGTACATTTTTCTGTTTCCAAAGGCTTTCCCAGGCATTTCAAGCATTATTCTTGTGATTTGAACAGTTATTCCTGGATATAGTTATTTCTGTTTTGCTGATGACAAAAATAAGCCTCAGAATGGTAAATCAGCTTTCTCAGGCTCACAGGAGAATTACAGCCCCTTCCTTTATACGTCATGTTTCTATTAATCTTTCAGAGATGGTATGTCAATACAAAATTACCTCAGGATTTGACAGTTATACTTTATGCTTGTGACCTAGGTTCATAGTGAAACATGAAAGCCCACCTGTTTGAACCACAGTAGTTACTGAAGGCCTACTGCGTGTCAGTCATTGTTCCATGCACTTGAGATTTATGAATGAGTAATACAAAGATCCCTGCCCTAGTGATGTATTAGGAAGTTTTAAGTGCTGTAAAAATAATAAAACAGGGTGAGGAATGCAAAGGGGCAGCAGGTTGTAGTATTTAAATAATATGATCAGAGTCATAGGCCTCAGTAGGAGGTAAGATTTGAGCAAAGACGAGGGGGATTATTTGAGCTACCCTGTACAAAATCTGTGATTTTCCTCTTTTTCCTTTTGAAAAACATACCTATCAAAACCCTTGAATCAGTACTATAACTCCTACTTTGTCTATTAAACTCCAGTAGGCAGAGCACTACTGGAGAAGATCACACCACTTACAGTGGTGTGAATGCAACTACAAATTCACACTGTCCATCCCAACCATTATTTTTATGGTTTTTCTGTTGAAAATCCTTTACTCTGCCCAGTGCTACTCACCTGCAGCACATGACCTCGTCTCCTTCTTTATTGAGAACATTGAGGACACTGGGTACGCCTTTTTTTTAACTTTCTGCCCCCTTACAAACCTGGCTATATTGAAACCTTCATCAGACTCTCTTAGTTGTCTCTTACAGTCTCGTATGTATTCACTGCCTCTCTACCACCTTCTTATTGTCTGTCTCATGCCAGAGACGCTCTCTGAGTCCCATATAACCATTTAGCTGCCACTTAAATGGTATCTTTTTCTTCTGACCCAAACTGTTTAAGAATAGTCTACCATGTCTTCTACTATTCTTTTCACTATTCAACTAACATATAGTCTGATTTATGCTCCTAATATGCTAGTGGAATCTTCCTCAGCAGGGTCATCAGTAGACACACATTTATCTTCCTAGTCTTTTTGCCTCATTTTACCACTATTGGTCTCTTTCTCTCTCTCTTTTAAGTTAGGTCGAGTGTAATTTATATGCAGTAAAATTCACCCTTGTTAGCTAGCATTCATTTCTGTGAGTTTTGACTAGCACAGAAAGCCATGTAATCACACCAGTCAAAATATAAAACAGTTCCATCAGCTGGGCGTAGTGGCTCATGCCTGTAATCCCCACATTTTGGGAGGCCAAAGTAGGATTTCCAAATTTTTATCTCTGTCCCAACTCCTCCTCTAAACTTCAATCTTAAATTTCCAATTATCTGACAAATATCTCCACTTGCAGAGTCATCTCAAATTCAGTACATCCAATACTAAACCAGTCACCTATTCCTCTAAACCTATTCTTTCATCTCAGGTTATACACTGGCTTTAATTAAACTAAAACCCTGAAGCCACTGTTGACGAACCTCCCTTTTGAGTCCCCTTTTTTCCCATCCAGTCATTTCACAAGGTGCCCTGTTTTTGTTTTTGTTTTTCCCCCCACAAGATAGAGTCTCACTCTGTTGCCCAGGCTGGAGTGCGGTGGTGTGATCTCAGCTCACTGCAACCTTCCGCCTCCCAGGTTCAAGTGATTCTCCTCCCTCAGCCCCCTGAGTAGCTGGGATTACAGGTGCGCACCACCACGCCCGGATAATTTTTGTATTTTTAGTAGAGACAGGATTTCACCATGTTTGTCAGGCTGATCTCAAACTCCTGACCTTGTGATCCACCCGGCTCAGCCTCCCAAAGTGCTGGGATTACAGGTGTGAGCCACCACGCCTGGCCGGTGCCCTGGTTTTATCTAATGTATTTGTGACATTTGTTCCCTCCTCTCCATTTCCTTCTTCCCCTGCCTTATCCCTGCACTTAGGTGTGGATGCTTGTCATTTCCTTGGTCCCAGTTTTGCCCCCACTTGAAATTGTTCTCCACCAAGTGGCCGAAATCATCTTTTAAAAATACAGATCTAGCTTTGTCACTCCTCTTTCACGTCTTTTTAAGCTCTTCAGGATGCTGTGAAGGATTGGGGGAAATATCCTGCAAGATGAACTCTAAACTTCTCAAGTTTTACCACCAGGTCTTCTGGTATCCATATCCTCTCATACCTCTGCATCGTCAGCTACAGTAATCCACCAGTGTTCTAGAAGCCTGGAGATTATTTCAAAAGCGCCATATAGTAGGAGTCTTCTGAGTATACGGGCATACCTCATTTTATTGCACTTCTCTTTATTGTGCTTTCACTGATACGGTTTTTTTTACAAATTGAAGGTTTGTGGTAACTCTGTGTTGAGAAAGCCTGTTAATGCCATTTTCCAACAGCATGTGCTCACTTCCTGTCTCTGTCACATTTTGATAATTCTCACAGTATTTCAGACCTTTCATTATTATAGGTGTTATAGTGATCTGTGATCAGTGATCTTTGATGTTACTGTTGTAATTGTTTTGGGGCACCACAAACCATGTAAGACGGCCAACTTGATCGAGAAATATGTATGTTCTGACTGCTCCACCAACCGGCAGTTCTTCCATCTCTCTCCCTCCCTCTTCTTGGGCCTTCTTATTTCCTGAGATACAACAATATTGAAATTAGGGTATTAATAACCCTGCAGTGACTTCTAAGTGTTCAAGTGAAAGGAAGAGTCATACGTCTCCCGCTTGAAATTAAAAGCTAGAAATGATTAAGCTTAGTGAGGAATATGTATCGAAAGCTGAGACAGAGTGAAAGCTAGGCCCCTTGAGACAGTAAAGTTGTGAATGCAAAGGAAAAGTTCTTGAAGGAAGTTTAAAGTGCTACTCCAGTGATCACACAAATGATACAAAAGCAAAACAGCCTTTTTGCTGACATGGAGAAAGTTTCAGTGGTCTGGATAGATCAAACCAGCCACAACATTCCCTTAAGTCAAAGCCTCATCCAAAACAGTGCCCTAAGTCTCTTCAGTTCTGTGAAGACTGAGTGAGGTGAGGAAGCTGCAGAAGAAAAGTTTGAAGCTAGCAGAGCTTGGCTCATGAGATTGAGGAAAGATGTCATCATAACGTAAAAGTGCAAGGTAGAAGCAGCAAGTGGTGATAGAGAAGCCACAGGAAGTTATCCAGATGATCTAGCTAAGATAATTGATGATAGTGGCTACCCTAAATTACACATTTTCAATATTTGTTGAAAACCAACAGATACTGATATTGTAGATGAAACCGCCTTATGTTAGAAGAAACCATCTACCTACTTTCTTTTTTTTTTTTTAAGACAGAGTCTTGCTCTGTCTCCAGCCTGGAGTGCAGTGGCACCATCTTGGCTCACTGCAACCTCCGCCTCCCGGGTTCAAGCGATTCTTCTGCCTCAGCCTCCTGAGTAGCTGGAACTACAGATGTGCATCACCACACCCAGCTAATTTTTGTATTTTTAGTAGAGACAGGGTTTCACCATGTTGGCCAGGATGGTCTCAATCTCTTGACCGCATGATCTGCCCACCTTGGCCTCCCAAAATGCTGGGATTATAGGAGTGAGCCACTGCGCCTGGCCCCATCCAGCACTTTCACAGTGAAAGAGAAGGGGAGAAGTCAATACCTGGCATTAAAGCTACAAAAGACAGGCTGACTCTCATTAGGGGCTTATGCAGCCGGTGACTTCTGTTTGAAGCCAGTGCTCATTTACCATATGGAAAGTCCTAAGGCCCTTAAGAATTCTGCTAAATCTATTCTTCCTATGCTCTATAAATGGAGCCACAAAGCCTGGATGATGACACATCTGTTTGCAGTGTGGCTTACCGACTCTTATAAGCCTACTGTAGAGACCTACTGCCCAGATAGCAAGATTCCTTTCAAAATACTACTGCACATTGGCAACACACCTAGTAACCTGAGATCAAAGAGTAATTTTGACTTTCAAGCCTTGTTATTTAATAAGTACATTTTGTATGTCTATAGCTGCCATAGATAGTGATTCCTGTGATGGATCTGGGCAAACTAAAAACCTCCTGGAAATCTGATTTGTTCGTGGCATTTGTTCCTTCCTCTTCATTTCCTTCTTCTGCCTTAGTTAGCCCTGCACTTATGTGTGGATGCTTGTCATTTCCCTGGCTCCAGTTTTGCCCCTACTTCAAATTTATTCTCCACCAAATAGCCAAAATAATTTCAGCATTCTAGATGCCATTAAAAACATTTGTGGGTGCAGTGGCGCACGCCTGTAGTCCCAGCTACTCAAGAGGCTGAAGTGGGATGATCATTTGAGCTCAGAACTTCAAAGTTCATCTGCACAAAAGAGGAGACACCTCAGCAAGATTCCTGTCTCTTAAAAAAAAAATTGTAATTCATGGGACAAGGAGGTTAATATATCAACATTAATAAGCATTTGGAAGAAGTTGATTCTAACCTTCATGGACAACTTTGAGGGGCTCAAGACTTCAGTAGAAGAAGTAAGTGCAGATGTGATGGAAATAGCAAAATAACTAGAATTAGAAGTGGAGCCTGGCTAGGCATGGTGGCATGTGCCTATAATCTCAGCATTTGGGAGGCTGAGGCAGGAGGATTGCTTGAGGCCAGGAGCTTGAGACTAGCCTGGGCAACATAGTGAGACCCCATCTCTAAGAAAACAAAAACATAGAACTAAAGCCTGAAAATGTGACTCAGTTACTGCAATCTCATGATAAAACTTGAATGGATAAGGAGTTGCTTCTTCATGGGTAAGCAAAGAAAATGGTTTCTTGAGTTGGAATCTATTCCTGTTGAGGATACTGTGAACATTATAGACATGACAACAAAGGATTTAGAATGTTACATAAACTTAGTTGATAAAACAGCGGAAGGGTATGAGAGGATTGGGTAAAATGCTATCAAATAGTATCACATGATACAGAGAAATCATTCATGAAAGGAGCAGTCAAGTGTTGGAGCAAACTTCATTGTTGTCTTATTTTAAGAAATTGCCACAGCCACTCTCATGCCTCAGCAACCACCATCCTGATGAGGGCAGCAGCCATCATCATCAAGGTAAGAACCTCCACCAACAAAAAGATTACACCTTGCTGAGGGCTGAGATGATCATTAGTATTTTTTAGCAATAAAGTATTATTTAATTCAGATAATATGCATTATTTTTAGACATAATGCTATTTCACACTTAATAGACTACAGTTTAGTAGAAACATAACTTTTATACGCACTGGGAAACCAAAAATTTGTGACTCGCTTTATTGCAATATTAACTTCATTGCCATGATCTGGAAACAAACCCACAATATCTTCAAAGTATGCCTGTGCCTACACAGGCATAGGATCTGAATGTAGTTTTTCATGTATTTGATTAAACACTGGCAGTAAAATTTAGTGGTAAGATCAAAGCAACAGCATCAAACACTCCTGAGTCTTACCCTTTTTCCTTGTCTATCTCTGTGACCATGGGTGAATTTCCTAACCTCTTTGAGTCTGTTTCTCATCTAGAAAAATGAAGATAATAATAGTATTTACATTATAGAATTGTAAAGATAAAATGTGATGTATGTAAAGTACTTAGCACAACATCTGACACATATTAAGCACTCTGAATGTTAAATAATATTGATAATTCTATTTTCAGCTTGTATTAAGAGCCCAAATGTTCCCTTTGAACTCTGCTAATACACAGAAGAGTTGGATATCATGATCTTTGCCCTGAGGAATTTATCTTCCAAAGAAAGGAAGCTCAAGGAGTTGATACCTTCTGAAATGTTTTTAATAAAATCTGGGACATGAGATGGTGGAAAATCCCTTAGGATAGGCCGTTTGCATGTATAATGTTGATTAAAAGTTTTTGTACCCATTATGTCATTTATCTTCACAGTAGACACATCTCAAGGTGACCTCTGCTGTGATTGGTAAAGGAGAAGGCCTCCTTAGAACAGTGAAGGAAAATCTGTAGTTGAGTTGAGGATGGTAATACCATCATTAACTTCCTGCTTTGGCAGGAGTGGAAAATTAGGAAGAAAGGCAAAGAAAGCTCAGAAGAATGGGGGGGAAAATGAATAGGGCAGCCATAAAGTGGTAACAACCCAAATCAGTTTATCAACTGATGCATGAATAAACAAAATGTGATATATACATACCATGAAATATCGGACCATGATAAGGAATGAAATTCACATGGTGTACAATGGATGAACCTTAAAAACATTACGCTAAGTGAAAAAAGTCACAAAAGACCACATTTTATATGATTCCATTTGTATGAAATGTCAGGAATAGGCAAATCCATAGAAGCAGAAAATAAATTAGTGCTCACCAGGGGTTGGGGAGAGAAGAGAGTGGGGAGACGGTGCTAATACATACCGAGCTTCTTTCTGGGGTGATGAAAATATTCTAAAGTTATATAGTGGTAGTGGTCACACAACTGTGGTTATACCACAGACCATTAAATTGTATAGTTTTAAAAGGTTAATTTTATGATACGTAAATTATATGTCAACAAATATTACATATATATTTTAAAAAGAGGGGCCTGGCGTGGTGGCTCACATCTGTAATCCCAGCACTTTGGGAGGCCGAGGGGCGGATCACGAGGTCAGGAGATCAAGACCATCCTGGCCAACATGGTGAAACCTGTCTCTACTAAAAATAGAAAAAAATAGCCAGGCATGGTGGTGCACGCCTATAGTCCCAGCTACTCAGGAGGCTGAGACAGGAGAATCTCTTGAACTCGGAAGGCGGAGGTTGCAGTGAGCCGAGATCACACCACTGCACTCCAGCTTGGACAACAGAGTGAGACTGTCTCAAATAAAAGAAAAATGAGTATGATATGGTGGTGCCACCAGCATCTATATAAGGATTTGCTTAGGGAAGTTATAGCTTAGAAATTGAGGAAGTAAATTTCAACAAGAACACCACAATTGACAGTATCGGAGATACAGGAGTATTTGTGTACAGCCAAAAATTATATCATCTTTTGACACATGCTATTGTTGTATAAATAAATTTATACAACAATTACTTATATAGTGTATACATAAAAACTGTATTGTTTTTATTCTGTCTTATTACTTTACTACTAGTTAAATTTTACCTCAGTTTGAGAGGGTGTTCTCAGCTTGGTATTGAATGTACCACCTGTAGAGTTCAAGACCAGCCTGGGCAACATATGGAGACCTTTCGTCCCTACAAAAAAATAAAAAATTAGCCAAGCATGGTGGTGTGTGCTTGTAGTCCCAGCTACTCTGGAGACTGAGATGGGAGGATTGCTTGAGCCTTTGAGATTGAGGCCGCACTGAGCCATGTTCACACCACTGCTCTCCAGCCTGGGTGACAGAGTAAGACCCTGTCAAAAAAACAAAACAAAAAACACCTGTAGCAATCATTCTAGAGGCATTGCTCGATGTCACAGATATGAAATATCCAGTTGGGCCGGCAAAGCAGAGTGGTTCTTCATGATCAGAACATAAGGGATCTGTGTTTTGGAAGTAGTGATTCTGCTGTTTCTTTGTTTGTAACTTGGTCCCTTATGTTTTTGGCCCAGTTCAGCCACCCTCTGTAACTCTTCCTTCAACTCTCCTACCTGAGACCCTTCTGGATCTGTCTCTTCTTTCCAGCTATCTAACCATTCATTTATTCACCCATCTGTTCAATCCCCATTTCTTTTCACTCCATTTCACAGACTGTCATTATCTTACACCTCAGCTATTACAACTCTGCTTTCAGACTTCTCTGGAAAAGTAAAGTGCACATTTTCCAGAAAATTCTTTCAGAGAAAATATTGCTGCTGGATGCCAGATATCTGTCTAAGACCTGTAGAAATAGTCGTTTCAAGGGTACAAGATCCAGGCTCCCAGATTAGCCTTGAAACTATCATTATTTCATCCTAGCTTTGCTTAATATTATTTTTTAATCTTTTTGCAAATCTCCCACACCTGTTTGATGAGTGTTAATTCCTGCATTGTTTCCTTGATGCTGTCTTCAACCTAGACCACATTAAGGAACCTGCTCAATTCAGTTAGCTGGGTGTGGTGCCTGGCACCTGTAATCCCAGCTACTCAGGAGGCTGAGGCAGGAGAATTGCTTGAACCCAGGAGGCGGATGTTGCAGTCAGCCGCAATTGCACCAGTGCACTCCAGCCTGGGCAACAGTGAGACTCCACCTCAAAAAAAAAAAAAAAAAGTATTTTTTTCAATTTTTCAATATGACTCTATTCACAAGGTTTTCTATTCTGATAATTCCTCGAACCCTTAAACATATAATTATGTCAATTTAAAATACTCGTAGTACTTTATGCATATTGATATGTGTACATTTTACCTCTCCAACTTCTTTTACATCTCCAGGATTAGTAAAGCTTTTATTTTTCTGTTATCCCCGAGAGCTTTTATTAAATGTTTATTTACTCATTTCTGCAAATGTATAGATTTGTGTTGTTTTTGTTGGGTTTTTGTTTTGTCTTGTTTTTTAGGGATCTGATAGTAACAAATCAGGTATATTTAAAATCACCACCCTGGTAAGAAAAAATTGTAGTTTTTTTTTTTTTTTCTTTTCTTTTTTCTGAGACAGGGTCTTGCTCTGTCACCCAGACTAGAGTGCAGTGGCATAAACATGGCTCACTGCAGAGTTGACCTCCTGGTCTCAGTCTTCCCACCTCAGCCACCTGAGTAGCTGGAACCACAGATGCGTGACACCACACCCAGCTAACTTTTTGTAGAGATAGAGTCTCGCCATATTGCCCAGCTGGTCTTTAACTCCTGGCCTCAAGCAGTCCTCCTGCCTTGGCCTTCCAAAGTGCTGGGGTTACAGGCATGAGCTACCATGCCTGGCCTGTTGATTTTAATAATAGTAGCTATCATTGATTAAATGCTTGCTATTTATTAGACACTGTGGTCAGTTCTTTAACCCTCACAACAACTCTTATCCTTACTTTACAGAAGAGGAGAATGAGGCATGGAGGAGATGATACTTGCTGAAGGTTATATAGTTAATAAGTGGTAGAATCAGAATTCAAATTTCAACTCTACAATTTATACTCATAGCCACGTCTTTATAATATTGCCTCTCAAATTAAGCTACATATCCTGTAAATAAATCTTAGACTTCAGCATTCAAAAGTTAAAATCATTTAAAATAGTTCTTACTAAAATAAGATATTTTTATATGAAAGATGAATATATACATAAAGCTACAGCTGGATAAACAGGTAGATGATAACAAGGGATACAAAGTCAAATGTGCTCACCCTGAATAATTAGGAAAAGCAAAAAGCACAGAATGTATCTTTCCCAGTTCATTAGTTAATACCTCTCTCCAAGTTTCTGCCAATTCCAGAATTCATGCATGTAACCTCGGAATCACCTTAATACTTAATGCAGTGTTTAAGAAATAAAAGTAGGCTGGCTGCTGTGGCTCACACGTATAATCCCAGCACTTTGCAAGGCTGAGGTGAGAAGATCACTTGAGGCCCAGAGTTCATGATCAGCCTTGGCAACAGAGAGACCCTTTCTCTACAAAAAATTTAAACATTAGCCAGGCTTGGTGGCGCATGCCTGTAGTCGCAGATACTCAGGAATCTGGGACAGAAAGATTGCTTGAGCCCAGGAGTTCGAGGCTGCAGTGAGGTATGATGGTGTCACCACACTCCAACTTGGGCAGCATAGCAAGACCCTGTTGCTAAAACGTATAGAAATAAAAATAGAAGTCATTATTTATGTGATAGCATTCAATGAGATGATTAATAGCATCCAAAAACTATTAGGGCTTTTGTAACATAATACCGTTATTAATAGTTGTCATTCATTCAACAGGTATTTATTGAGTCCCAGACTGTCATAATTTATATTAGTTTTTAACAGAATTCAAATAAGATTTGAGTGATATTTGAAATATTTAAATCAGTATACCTGATCATGTAGGGAAAACCTCCCTTTGACATGATATTATACACTGATGTTCCATAAATTGTATAAATCATGAATAACCCCTAAAACATGGCTTTTCTGTATATCTTACAAATGAGTTTTACTCTAATTTTAAAGCCATACCAAGGTGTAAAACAGTACGTATAGTATAAATAAAGGAGAAACCTGTATGCACATTCACATGTATAATGCACACATATATGTGCTTGCATATACACCAGTATTTTCTGAGGATAAGTAGGAAATACTTAATAATGATTTTCTCTGGGGAGAGAGACCTAAGAGCAAGATGGGGAAGACAAGACTTTTTCAGTTTTTCCTCGTTTGTTGTGAAATCTTTTTGTTCATATGAATTACTTTTGTCATAATTAAAGCCAGAAGCAAGTTTAATTATAAATTTTGCAGTAATATGTGTCTTAGGTCTCATTCAAATAATAATTTTCGGGTGGGTGAGGTGGTTCACACCTGTAATCCCAGCACTTTGGGAGGCCAAGGTGGGCAGATCACCTGAGGTCAGGAGTTCGAGACCAGCCTGGCCAACATGGTGAAACCCCATCTCTACTAAAAATATAGAAGTTAGCCAGGTGTGGTAGTGCACGTAGTTCCAGCTACGCGGGAGACTAAGGCAGGAGAATTGCTTGAACTGGGGAGGCTGAGTTGGCAGTAAGCCGACATCGTGCCACTGCATGCACTCCAGCCTGGGCGACCAGAGTGAGACTCCATCTCAAAAAACAAAACAAAAAGAACAATTCTCTCATGATTTATCTGATATATGTGAAACATAGATTGTCAAATTTCGAAAGGTACCTACCAGTCTGTTTTGAATGATTTCTAATATTCCTCAAGATTTGCAGTGCCTCACTTCTTATTAATATCAGTTATTCTTCAGTAATATAAATGCGGAGAACAGAAATATTTCTTAAGAATTTATTTTTTGTATTTCTGATACCATTTGTATCATGATGTTTTCATTAGAGTGCAGAAAAATTCCAGTTTTTTTGGATATAAGATTTAGTATTCAGTTCAACAAACATATCAGCAGATAAAGTTGGAATAAATAGATGCTGACAGTTCTTTAAATTTCAATAACAGACTCTAGATCTTCTCTAAAATGTCATGTTAAAATGAGTTATAAATTAGAATACCCTTTTGACTGCCTATTCTCCATATTTTGGGACACATTAGAGAAGATATTCAAACTGGAAACTGTCATGGAAAACCAAGAAATATGAATGACTTAACCATGAGTTTTTATGATGTGCCAAAAGAGATGTGATAAATCCATGCTTCACTATGTTTGGTACAAAATCCAGAATTAAATTGGTTAATAGATTGATTTCATTTGTTCTGGCAATGCTAATTTATATCTACCATGTGACAGGCCCTTTTCTGACCTCTAGCACCACAGAGATGAATGAGGCAAAGTCTTTTTCCACTGAGAACTTGATAATTTTGTAGAGAGACAGATAAATATATATATATATATATATATATAGGGATGGGTAAGGTGAAGAGAGGAGGGAGGAAGTGATGGTCCCTGTTAGAGTGTATTTTTTATTATTCATAGTAGCTCCCACATATTAAGGTTAAAGCAAATTTCTCTGTGCTTTGCAGTCTGGTAATGTAGACTCACTGATGGTCAGATGGAAAGTAGATTTTTTTTTTCCATCTAGAGTTATATATTCGAGGCAGTGAGCTGTAGCATTTTATTTGGAGATGAAAAGTGTTGAGTAGGTGTAAGGGTAACTGTATTATAGTCTCTTTCCTAATTAAATTACATATTTGTGCTGTAGTGATTGACTTTTTTGCATCTGTACTAGATTTACCTTGAATTAAATTGCAGTCTTTTTTGATGATGGTAGAAGTGGTTCAAAAGTGTCTTATTAAAATGCAAAAGTGCCTAAAACACAGAGCAGTAAAAACAGAGGCCTAGAAGATATGCCAGTGGTCTCATTGGAGTCATCTTTGTTCTCAGTGTCGACAATTGCTTAATGGACTGTCCTCCACTGAACTTTTTGGAGCAAACCTACTTAGTGTCACTTTGCCATTTTATTTTTTTAATGACATACTGTGCTGTTGGGGCAACAAACTGCACATCCTGTCATGCTACAAAAGCAAAAGACAACTTTAACCAAGATAAAAATGAAGCTGGAATTCAGGCAAGAAAGTGAAGGATAAGGCAGACTTGAGAGGTGGGGTATTGAGTGGGGAAGCGTTTTGAAGTTAGATCTGTGTTTCAGTTCTAGCCCCAACCTTTACTCTCTGTAAAGGGGAAACTTATAATCTCTCTGTTCTTCAGTTTCCTCATCTCTGAAATGGGAATACTGTAATACTACCTACACAAAGAGATTTAACCAGTATTGTTGTTCTAGAGAGACATTAACCTTGGGTTTAATTTTGATTGCAGGTCATTTATTCATTAACAGATTTGCCAGGCACTGTATTGGTTGCTGGGTAGATTGAAGAGACCAACAAAATACAATCCTTATCCTCAAAGAACTCAAACCCTAATAATTATTCTTAGCTTGTATCCAAGTCTTTGATTGTGTAGAGTAGCAAGGGTGCACACTAAGTGGGTTGGTAAAAATGTTGAAACTGTAGAGCAGTAAATGGGCCTGATGTTGACCAAAAGGTAAAAGCCAGATTTCTAACTTTGCTGTGTATCAGAAACCAGAGAAGCACATGTTCTTAAATAGGTAGACCTTGAATGCTGGACGTGGTGGCTCATGCCTGTAATCCCAGTACTTTGGGAGGCCCAGGCGGGCGGATTATCTGAGGTTGGGAGTTTGAGACCAGCCTGACCAACATGGAGAAACCCCATCTCTACTAAAAATACAAAATCAACCGGGCGTGGTGGTGCATGCCTGTAATCCCAGCTACTTGGGAGGCTGAGGCAGGAGAATCGCATGAACCCGGGAGGCAGAGGTGGCGGAGATCACGCCACTGTACTCCAGCCTGGGCAACAAGAGCAAAACTCCTTTTCAAAAAAAAAAGAGATAGACTTTGAAGCTAGTAGTAGAATCATTCTCATGCAAGTGAATTTACGTCAAAATTTTTGGATTTAAGTGGCACTTTGATAAGTATTTGAGATACCAAAAATTAGAGTTCAGTCAAGAGAAATTGATGTTTGAAACAAGATAGAGAGGTCTTCAGATTCTAAGAAGTTATGTTCGATATGGAAATAGGAAAAGCAGGACTTGGAGACTGATACGAATATAGGCCTAAGAGAACTTTTCAAAAAGAGTTTGTATCAGACAATACCAATACCAAATGCTGCAAAAATACTTGAGTGTAATGGTGAATTGAAAGGATGTTGAATTTGTGATAATTTTGTCATTTACTACTCTGAGACAAATTCCATCACCTAAGCAGATATAAGCACCAAAGATTTGGAGAAAGAATAGTGAAATCAAGAAAATAAAGATACAGGTATGTCCATGGCAGGGCAGAAGCCTGGGGATGTCAAAATACACACTGGACCTGCTGAAGCATGATGAGAAAAGCAGAAGCAGGTGCACGTTTTCTTCTACTTTCCATGCCACTTTGGAAAAGAGTCCAAACATTTAGCTAAGCGGGGGCTTTTAGGCTGCATACTTAAGTAAGCATTATCTCCTCACCTGGCAATATCAGAAGCTGGAGTATAATGACAAAAAATTGAATTCAACAGTATTCTTCCAGTTTAGCATATATGGCTGTGGAATCACCAGCTCAGATCTTGGTATAATTTGAGGGTCTGGTATCTAGTCCCTGGTACAGATGTCTCACATTGCAATCCTGTGACATAATCCATGACCTTAAAATCATGGTTTGGAATCCAACAGCTGTTCTTTCGGAATGGTCAAGGACTGAGGTCAGTTTATATAATGAGGCACACTGTTGGTTAAGCTGATACACCGCTTCAACACTGCATTCAGATTAATGGTTTCTATTGAGCCACTTCTTTTCTCTTTGCCTAACCTTGCATCAATAGCACAATTACCTTCGTTACTTTAGTTTTATAATATCCTAATATTACAAGCCCACTACCTTTAAATTCTACATCAAAATTGTATTGGCTTTTCTTGGCTTTTGCTTTTTCATTTCCAAATAACAACATATGGAATTGTTCTCTGCACAAAATAGGTATTTGATCAACGGAAAAATTAGAAGATTTTTTTTCTTTATGCATATGGTATATTTAGGGTTTCATATAGATTAACAATTTTCTTATAAATGTTTACATCACATAATTCTTAGAATTTTCAAACACACCCAAATATAATTTATACATAATTTTTATAAACAGTTCTATTATATAAAATAATTATTGCTGTTCAAATGAGTCAGTTATGTTGTTTGGAGGAGCAACAGAGAGGCAGACTTACTAAAATATATTTTAGCAGAAAAGGTTTTGAAAATAATATTGGGACTTTAGCTTTCTCTATAAATGGATGGTTCCTGCATTTACTATCAGGAAACCTGGGCCACTGCCATTCTGAAACAGTATTTCTAGAGAGTGACCAAAGAGAGTTGGTGTAAAAATCCTAAAGGCCCAGAACTGAGGTTAATGGGGAAAAAAAACCCAAGCTCTCGGTGGAAGTTTTGGTCAGAATAGGAGATGAAACAGAGTACAGTGAGAATCAGGTAGCTTCTGATCAGTAAGAAAGTCTACCATATATGTTACTGGAATTTTTAAGCCTCTTTCTCTTAGAATTCTCTCAGTTCCTATTACATGGTAGATTAATCGAAGAAAGTCATTCTGACTTCCTGTTCTTGGCAGTAGGAATCACCTTTCTCACTTAAAAGCAGAGAACAAGCCTAATATATTCTATTATTCTATTCTCTCTTCTATCCAACCACCAGTCATAATGTGATAATAATTTTCAGTTTTAGTTGTTGCCCTTTCTACTTACTTTTGTGCCATAATGATGCCTTATTAATAGGCTATCTCATATCTTTACTAATAAAAAAGAATGTGAATAAAATATATTAAATCAAAGTTTGCTTGAAAATTTACAGGAATTTGTCTACTTGAAATATGTGATTTAAAACATAAATTGCCTATTTTAAAAACTTAGTTAAATGTCACTATCAATTTTATTTGTACAATAAAATATCTCGACCGGACGCAGTGACTCACGCCTGTAATCCCAGCACTTTGGGAGGTCGAGGCGGGCAGATCACCTGAGGTTGGGAGTTTGAGACCAGCCTGACCAACATGGAGAAACCCTGTCTCTACAAAAAATACAAAATTAGCTGGGTGTGGTGGTGTGTGCCTGTAATCCCAGCTACTTGGGAGGCTTAGGCAGGAGAATCACTTGAACCCGGGAGGTGGAGGTTGTAGTGAGCCCAGATTGCGCCATTGCACTCCAGCCTGGGCAACGAGCAAAACTCCGTCTTAAAAAAAAAAAAGAATTATCTCCAGAGGGCTAACTGAAGTCATCACAAGAGAAAATAACATTCTGACTTTGGTGTCTTTAGAAGGATAGCCTACATCATTACAACATTCTGATTTTCTTCTCTATAAAAGGGTCTCTAAAAAATAGTATTGCTTCGTGATTCTCAAAATTCATAGCTAGAGTAAAATAGCTGAGGAGAAACATGCCAGATCATAGGCTTTGTAGACGCTGTGTCTCCCTTCTAATTTACTTTATGATATATATTAAAGGCAAGAGAAAAAAGACTTTTCCTTGCCTTAATTTCAGATTAGTTAAAATGGATATTTTCTTTGATTATTTTTTCTTTTGGTATTGTTTTCAAAGTTAGCATATATTGATTAGAGAAAATTCAATATAAACTGATGATGATAAGAAAAATATGGGGTCAGGCTTGGTGGCTCACACCTGTAATCCCATCACTACGGGAGGTCAAGTTGGGTGGATTGGTTGAGCCCAGTAGTTCAAGACCAGCCTGAACAATATAACGAAATCCTGTCTCTACAATACAAAAATTAGCCAGGTGTGGTGGCATGCACCTGTACTTCCAGCTATACGGGAGGCTGAGGTGGGAGGATCACCTGAACCAGGGAAGTTGAAGCTGCAGTCTGCCGTGATTGAGCCACTGTTCTTCAGCCTGGGCGACTAAGTGAGACCCTGTCTAAAAGAAAAGAATAAATAAATGTTGGGTTTTGTCTTGGCAGAAAGGAAATCAAAAGACAATATGTATAAGTTTAACCTGTCTGTAGGAAAATACCTGTCGGTTAAAAAGAAAACAAAGCATCTAATAAAAGATTGGATAAAGGATGAGAATAGGAAATTCACAGAAAAGAAAGAACAAATAACCAAAAACAAAAAAAGGAAAAAATGCTTAACCTCATTAGTGAGTGTAGAAATAGCCCATTTAAGCTATTAGTTTGCCAAATATAAAGTACTTGTGAGAATGGAGAAAATCCAACACACATTTATTTGTGAGAGGAGTATGAGTAACCTTTGTGGAACCAAATCTGACAATATCTATATTTGGAAATAAAATTACTAGTATAGGCTGGGTGCAGTGGCTCAGACCTATAATCTCAGCTGCTCAGGAGGCTGAGGCAGAGGATTACTTGAGCCCAGGAGTTGAAGACCAGCCTGGGCAACATAGTGAGAACCTGCCTCTTTAAAAAAAAAAAAAAAAAAAAAAAAAGATACTAGGAGGATATATTTAAAAGTTTTCGTGGTAAGAAAAATAGCAAAAACGTAAGATTTTTCAAAAGAAATGTTGCATACTAGTATTTGCATAATGACTACATGCTAGGAGGGATTTTAAGTGAAAATAAAGCATGTTGAAGAATAACTCATATAGTTATGACCCCATTTTTCTGTTTAAGATAAACTTGTGGCTAGGTGCTGTGGCTCATGCCTGTAATTCCAGCACTTTGGGAGGCTATGACGGAAGGATTGCTTGAGGCCAGGAGTTCGAGACCAGCCTAGGCAACATAGGGAGACCCATCTGTACAAAAAAACAAAAATTAGCAAAGTGTGCTGGTGCGTGACTGTGGTCCCAGCTACTCAAGAGGCCAAAGCAGGAGGACTGCTTGAACCCGGTAATTCAAGAGTGTAGTGAGCCGTGACTGCGCCAGTGCACTCCAGCCTGAGCCACAGAGAGATACCCTGTCTAAAAAATAAATAATAAACTTGTATATAGGGTTGTGATTATTTGTATGAGCCATGATGGTGTAGAAGACTATATATCAGACACAGAGTGCTGAGGCAAGGTTCACCTCAGGCAAGTAGAAATGGCTAGTTGGGAGAGAGGAATATTACCTTTGTTTAAGTGGACACATTTGTCATTAAAAACAAAAAGTAAAAGATAAAAGGCAACAGAAATTAGGAGGAAGAAAAAAAGCCCTTGGAATCCCACTACTTAGATGTACAGATTATATATTTACCTTTGTAAACGGAAAAATAACTATATATAATTTTAAAGCCTTGTAAAAACAGTATGTCATAGAAATGTTTTTATGTCAGTAAACATACATTATCGTATTTTGATAGTTGTGTAATAGATATATGGAAATGCTAATATTTTAGGTACTTCAGAAACCACCCAGAACACTTCAGTATTTCTATTGAGGTATAGTTGATGTAAGGTTAATGTACACATAAAATATTTGATCACTTTTAACAGGAACATGCTCTATATAAACGATAACTATAATCGTATTTATCACCCAAAATTTTTCTTATGCCTGTTTTGTAAATCCCTCCCTCCTGCACTACTACCCTCATCTTCATCGCCAGGCAAGCACTGATCTGTTTTTTGTCACTACAGATTAGTTTGCATTTTAGAAATCTTACGTAAATGAAAGCATAAACTGTTTTTTGTCTGGCTTCTTTCTGAGATAGGGTCTCACTCTGTTACCTAGGTTGGAATGCAGTGGCACGATCACAGCCCACTGCAGCCTTGACCTCCCAGGTTCAACACATCCTCCTGCCTCAGCCTCCCAAGTAGCTGGGACAACAGGCATGCACTACAATGTCTGGCTAATTTTTTGCTGTTTATTTGTTGTTGTTTGTAGAGACCGTTTCGCCATGTTGCCCAGGCTGATCTCAAACTCTGGGCTTAAGCAATCCACCTGCCTTGGCCTCCCAAAGTGATGGGATTAAAGGCATGAACCACCATGCCCAGCCTGACTGGCTTCTTTCATTCAGCATGTTTATATATGTTGTTGAGTATGTAAAGAGCTCATTTTTAAAAATTGCCGAGTATGGATTTGCCACAATTTGTCTGTTTGTTAACCTATTGATAGACATTTTGGCTGTTTCCAGTTTGGGGCTATTACAAATAAAGTTGCTGTGAGCACCTATGTACAAGTCTTTGTATGGACATAAGCTGTCATTTTTCTTGGGTGAATATGTATAGATGAAATGGCAGGGTTATATATAGGTGTATATTAATTTTTAAGAAATTGTAAGTCATTTTCCAAAGTACATTTGCCATTTTATATTCCCACCAGTAATGTCTGAAAATTTCAGGCTATCTTGTTTCTGCTAAATCTCCTTTGTACCACTTCTATAAATACGTTGTGCATACATAATGAGAGTCGATTGAATGGATTCTCTATTTTTTTCAATTGATCCGGTTGTCTTTTCTTGTTGCTCATACCACACGGTCGTGATAAAGAAGCTTTGTAATAAGTCTTAAAATCCGAGTATTAAGCCCTCCAACTTCATTCTTCTTTTTCAAAGTTGTTTTGGCCATTCTAGGTCCTTTGTTTTTCTAGATTCATTTTATAATCAGTTTTTTTCTATATTTTTTCCTGCAAAAAAAAGACAGTTGAAATTTGATTTGCATTGACACTGTAGACAGAATTGACATCTTGCAATATTGAGTCTTCTGACCCATGAACATGGTATATTTTGCTTTTGTTTTTTGTTTTTGTTTTTGTTTTTTTTTTTGAGACAGAGTCTCTCTCTATTGCTCAGGCTGGAGTGCAATGGCACGATCTCGGCTCACTGCAACCTCCGCCTCCCGGGTTCATGCCATTCTCCTGCCTCAGCCTCCCGAGTAGCTGGGACTACAGGTGTCCACCACCACGCCCGGGCTAATTTTTTGTATTTTTAGTAGAGATGGGGTTTCACCGTGTTAGCCGGGATGGTCTCGATCTCCTGACCTCGTGATCCGCCTGCCTCGGCCTCCCAGAGGCATTTTTTAAAGTATTCTTTAATTCTCTAAATAATGGTTTGGAGTTTCTAGTGTATAGGTTTTTTGTATCTTTTGTCAAATTTATATCTTTAGATGCTTGTGTACATGGTATTTTTTATTTCAATTTTTGTTACTAGTATATGGAAATACAATATATAATAGATTTTTATATATCAGTTTCATGTCCTGCAACCTTGCTAAGTATACTTCCTAGTCTTGTTAGCTGTTTCATAGAGATTCCTTTGGATTTTTCTATATGGATAATCATCTTGTTTGAACAAAGACAAATTTACTTCATTTCCAGCTGGATGCACCCTTTATTTCTCTTGACTTACTGCACTAGCTGGAACCTTCAATACAATGTTGAATAGAAGTGGTAAAAGTAAACATTGTCTTGTTCTGATCTCAGGGAGAAATCATTCAATCTTTTACCGTTAAGTATGATGTTAACTGTCAGTTTCTTATTATCTAGATGAGGAATTTCGTTTTTATTTCTAGATTGCTGAGAAATTATTTTAGTCAAGAATATAAATTGGATTTTATCAATTGCTTTTCCTACATTTGTTAGTAAATCATATGGTTTTTTTTGTTTATTAACTGCTTATTTGAAAATATTTGACATTTGAATATTAAACCAACCTGCTTCCCTGGGATAAAACTTGGCCATCACATTTTTTTTCTTTTTCTGTATTGTTCAATTTTACTTGCTAAAATTTTATTTAGTGTTTTTTTTTTCGGGGGCGGAGGGTTTGTATTTAAATTTATAAGGGATGTTCGCCTGTAGTTTTCTGGTGATTGTCATGTTTAGGTATCTGGGTAACGACGCAGACCTCAAATGATGAGTTAGTGAGTTTTCTCCTTCAATATTCTGGGAAAGTTGGTGTAAAATTGATATTGTTTCTTCCTCAAGTATTTGCAAAGAATCCAAACAGTCTCTAACAGATAAAAAAGACAAGGAAATAGATTCTTCCACAGAGCCTCCAGAGGAGTCACAGACCTGATGATATCTTCTTGCTTTTTGGCCCAGTGACACCATGAAAACAATATGACCCATGATGAGGAGAAAACAAATCGATTGAAACTCACAACTGACATGCTTAGAATTAGCAGACAAAATCATTAGAGGGTTATTAGATACGGTTGCTATAACTGTATTTCACATATTCAAAAAGTAGAGATAAGGAATCGACATAACTGGAAAACACAGAATTGGTAGAACCAGTAAACAGAAAACTAG
This sequence comes from Homo sapiens, assembly GCF_000001405.40. Lineage (NCBI taxonomy): Eukaryota > Metazoa > Chordata > Mammalia > Primates > Hominidae > Homo > Homo sapiens. The sequence continues at coordinate 20,914,962 of NC_000001.11, read as the reverse complement.
TAAGGACCTAGGAGCTGGAATAGCATAGTCAGCCAACTTGATTTAATTGACTAAACATTCAAACAGTAGATACACATTCTTTTCAAATACAAATTGAAGATTTACCAAGATAGACCATATTGTGGTTCCAGAAACGAGGCTTAATAACTTTAAAAGGATTCAAGTTGGAAATCAGTGAGAAAAATATCTCTGGAAAATCCCCCATATGTTTAGAAACTAACACACTTTTAAATAACGCAGAGGTCAAAGAAGAAATCAGAAATTATAAAATATTTTGAACCGAATGAAAATGAAAACCCACCCATTTTCTATTTTCTATTGCTGTTGTAATCACCACAAACATAATGGCTTAAACAATACACATTAATTATCTTACAGTTTTGGATGTCAGAAGTCCAAAATGGGTTTCATTTGGGCCAAAAATCAAGGTGTCATCAGGTCTGTGACTCCTCTGGAGGCTCTGTGGAAGAGTCTATTCCTTTGTCTTTTTTATCTGTTAGAGACTGCTTACATTCTTTGGCTGTGTCCCCTTCCTCCATCTTCAAAGCCAGCAACACAGCATCTTCAAATCTCTCTGTGTTTCTCCTACCTCCCTCTTTTGCTTGTAATGAGCCTTTCGATTACATTGGATCCACTGGGTTAATCTAGGATAATAGTCTCCTCATCACAAGATCCTTTATTATCACATTTGTAAAGTCAGTTTTGCCAGGTAGGGCTACGTATTCACAAGGTTAAAAGCATTAAGACATTGGCATCTTTGGTGTGGTCCATTATTCTGCCTACCACACTGCTAAAGCAGTACATAGATGGAAATTTACATCACTAACCGCAACTGTTAGAAAAGAAAAAAAAAAAGGCAGGGCGTGGTGGCTCATGCCTGTAATCCCAGCACTTTGGGAGGCCGAGGCGGGCAGATCACGAGGTCAGGAGATCGAGACCATCCTGGCTAACACGGTGAAACCCCGTCTCTACTAAAAATACAAAAAAAATTATCCAGGCGTGGCGGCATGCGCCTGTAGTCCCAGCTGCTGAGGAGGCTGAAGCAGGAGAATGGCGTGAACCCGGGAGGCGGAGCTTGCAGTGAGCCGAGATCGCACCACTGCACTCCAGGCTGGGTGACAGAGCAAGACTCCGTCTCAAAAAAAAAAAAAAAAAAAAAAAATTCTAATAATTGACCTCAACTTTCATCTTAAGAAATTATTAAAAGAAGAACAAACACAGAAAAAGTAGAAGAAAGGAAATAATACAGATAGGAAACAAATGTAACAAATAACAAGAAAACAGGGAAAAAATTTATAAAACCAAAAGGTGGTTATTGAGGATATAAATAAAATTACTAAACCTGGATTTGACTTTTACTTTGATATTTAACATGAAAGCTAGAAGTAAAACAATTTAAATTGTGTTATAGATATCTGGCTTCGTTGTTTTTAGAGACAGGTTCTTGCTCTGTCACACAGGGTGGGGTACAGTAATACGATCATATAACCATCAACCCTTGGGCTCAAGCAATCCTCCTGCCTCAGCCTCCTAAGCAGCTAGGACTAAAGACACATGCCACCACACCCAGCTAATTAAAAAAATTTTTTTTGTAGAGATGGTGTCTCACTATGTTGCTCAGGCTAGTCTTGGAACTCCTGGCCTCAAGCAATTCACTCACCTTGTCCTCCCCAAGTGAAATGGCTGTTTTTGATAGAATTTAAGTCTAGTTTCCTCATTTTATTATACTGTTTTGTTTCTAGTGCTAGGACCTCACCAAACTAACTCATGTAATTCAAGCTCTTTGTGAAGTAGTGATAGAGCAGAAAGATTTTGTCATACCATGGGAAGCCTAATTACCAAGTCAACATACATTTCAAATAACGACCTCTGAGAAGATGCGGAAAAACACTAGACCTAACTCTCAAGTGTTTCTTTTGGTTGCCATCTCTCAGTGGCCCATCATTCTTACATATTTCATCGCCATTGTTATTCTTTTCAGGTCATTACATCTTCATTGTAAAATTTATCCTCTCACCTGGGTTTCTTCTTTGTGCCACCTTAGTTTCTTAGATAAATCATCATATTTTCCTAGATTCCCATGAAGATCTGTGAAAGGAAAAGAGGTGGTGATTTGGGACAGAATAGGATTCACAGCCTATAGGAACTCTAGAGGGACAAAGTTCTTGCATATTATCTAATCAGAATGATTTAGTGCCAACTTGTAGATCTCAAAACTTGGAAAAAAGTAAAAATTGTCAAAATATATCAAGAATGGATGAGAAGGGATTAAAACCAGGTGATAAGGATGGGAACTCTCACTGAAAGTTCCATTATTAGAACATTCTACTTTGTTTATGCACAACTCTGTGGCAATGCACCGGGGCTGTTCCCTGAGCATTAGTGAAGTGTCTATAGTTGGAAAGTCTTCGCAGTCTCAGTTTTGTGTCACTTCAATCTAAGAGACCCAGACTCTGGACACATTAATTTCAAACCTTGGAACTAGGGAGTTTATGTTGTATTCCAAAAGCATGTGGAGCTACAAGGGAGACTTTTTTGTAATTCAGAGTCTCTTACTTAGCCGTTATGTGGCCACAAGATCTTCAGCTAATCTGCACAATTCAGGCGCTTCAGGCCAACCCAGAAAATTATCTCCACAAATGTAGAAAATAAAACAGCTTTATTAATTTTTTAAAAATTTTATCTTGAGACCAAGTCTCACTCTTTCACCCAGGCTAAAGTGCAGTGGTGTGATCACAGCTCACTGCAGCCTCAATGTCCCAGGCTTGGGCAATCTTCTTGCCTCAGCCTCCTGAGTAGCTTGGACCACAGGTGCATGACACTATACCTGGCTAATTTTTTAATTATTCTGTAGAGATGGGGTCTCCCTGTGTTGCCCAGGCTGGTCTTGAACTCCTAGGCTCAAGCAGTGCTCCAATCTTGACCTCATGGTGGCATGAGCCACCATACCTGGCCTTATTTTTTTAGAGACAGAGCCTCACTCTGTCATCCAGGCTGGAGTGCAGTATATTTTATTTTTATTTTATTTTTTTAAGTGACAGAGTCTAGCTATCTATATTTATATTTATATAAGGGGTAGAGGAAGTGTTTGCAATTAACCACAGGTGTTCTTTAGCTAAAGATCTAAGAAAAGGGAGAGAGAAAGGAAATAAAAGGAAAATAAAGATCTCTTTATTATACCAAGGAAATAGAAAAAATGTTAAACTCTTACAACTTACTTGGATGACTACCTGATTAATAAATAAGTTAGTAAAGAGAAGCAATATTAAGTTTATCTAAAAATTGCTGTCAGATTTATATTGTTGCATAGCTAATAGTAGGATACTCTGGGATTAAAGATTTACCTGTCTTATGTAGTTAGCGCTTTTACATTCTTTTTTTTTTTTTTTTTTTTTTTTTTTTGAGGCAGGGTCTCAGTCTGTTACCCAGGCTAGAGTACAGTGGCACGGTCATAGCTCCCTGCAACTCCAACTCCTGGGCTCAAGTGATCCACCTACTTTAGCCTCCTGAGAAGCTGGGATGACAAGCTTGTACCCCGTGCCTGGCTAATTTTTTAATTTTTTGTAGAGGTCTCACTTTTTTGCCTAGGCTGGTCTTGAACTCCTGGCCTCAAGCAGTCTTCCCTCCTCAGCCTCCAAAAGTGTTGGGATTACAGGCATGAGCCACTGCTCTCAACCTCTTTTACATTCTTTTAACCTACGTGGAATGATGCTATTTTTGGTTTTTCGTTTTTTCGGGTATAAAATGAGTACTCTCTATGAACTCCGTAAGTTCTCCAGATCCTCTGGAGATCAGAATCATACACAAAATTGTAATGTGCCCAGTAAAATTAACTGTTTTAAGAATGTGTTCCAATAGTATTTTTATAAAGAGCAATCTATCCTACAATCTATAACAAGACTAAAGTGGATTAGTCATACAGGATAAAACAGAATTTGAAATAGTGAATGAAAATCAACTTTAAAAGTTTTACTTTTTTATTTCTCCCAATTTAAAATTATCATTACAAGCATTGAAGAACAAAGAGAAACCACTTATTGTTCAAGTATGTAGCCTGCATATTAGCGTTAAACTTTTCTTTGTTTCCTTCCAGTTTTTACATAAATATTTTACATGATTATAAATGAAGTGTAGGTATAATTTTGTGTTTTTTACCCTTTTCTGTTTTTTAACCTTAACCTACTCTCTAAAAATCCCATTTAGTCTCATTAGCCTGAATCCAAATCCTTGCTACTAGAAGTGGCTCATAAAAATCTGTGCTGTGATTTGCCTGTTGACAGTAGATGTGAAACTTGACCAGTTTAATTTTATCCTTATGTGGATTTTCTAAAGATAATCAAGAAGGTTTTTGTTTTGTTTTGTTTTTGTTTTTGTTTTTTTGAGTCGGAGTCTCACACTGTCGCCCAGGCTGAGTGCAGTGGCATAATCTTGGCTCACTGCAACCTCCACCTCCCAGGTTCAAGTGATTCTCCTACCTCAGCCTCCTGAGTAGCTGGGATTACGGGGGCCTGCCACCACGCCTGGCTAATTTTTGTATTTTTAGTAGAGATGGGATTTCACTATGTTGGCCAGGCTGGTCTTGAACTCCTGACCTTGTGATCTGCCCACCTTGGCATCCCAAAGTGCTGGGATTCCAGGCGGGAGCCACCATGCCCAGCCAAGAAGGTTTTTTTAGTTCCTATTTACTTTTGAATAAAATGTCTTAATTTTTAGAATCATGTACATTTAGCTCTTTTATAGTTCTTCACTGCCTATTCATCTTTTTAGAATCTTTTTTAATTTTAATTGTCTCCCTATTAATTGATTGCTTTCAAATTATCCTGCTACGTAGCACTAATTACGAGCTTTTAACCACTTAATCAAAATTTAGCAGATTGGGTCAAGTGTGGCAGTGGCTCACTCCTGTAATCCCAGCACTTTGGGAGGCCAAGTCAGGAGGATCACTTGAGCCCAGGAGTTTCAGACTAGCCTGGACAACATGGTAAGAGACCATTTCTACAAAACATTAAAAAAATTAGCCGGGCATGGTTGCGGGTACCTGTGGTCCCAGCTACTGGGGAGGCTGAGGTGGGAGAATCACTTGGGCCCAGGAGTCTGGGGCTACAGTGAGCCAAGTTCATGCCACTGTACTCCAGCCTGGGCAACAAAGGAAGACCATGTCTCCAAAAAAAAAAAAAAAAAAAATTAGCAGATTGACTATATAAGAATTTTAACAGAGTTAATTTGTTGTTAGGACAGTCCCAAAGACCAAAACTATAAAGCTTAAATTCTTGTTTGAAGTTTTGTGGGGGAAAAAAACAAAAACAAACAAACAAAAAAAACAGTATAAAACTAAATAGGTGATGTGCCTATAATTATGCTTTTTAAATCTCGGAAATAAAATAACCCAAAATGTTTACAATGTCTCAAAAGATAACACATAGGTGTTTTTTTTAACTTTATATCTGTCTATACTTTATAAGTGCTCTTCAATGGGTGTATCTTTTTATGATTAGAATAAATAAATAATCTAGATAAAGGGAGATTATGCCAGTGATAGCAGTAACGTTTGTCATTCTTGTACTTACTGTGTAACATTTCTGAGTCAGGATTTTAGACTAAAAACCATGACTTAACTATTAGCAGTTTCTTTAAGAGCTGATATTTCTGCAAAGAAAAAGAGAGTGCATGTTCTAGATCATGTGTCTACACAGAATAGTTCCTCAGGATGCATTATATCCCTGTCTCTTAACTACTCTTGACTCTGCTATCCCTTTAAGACGTACAACAATTTTACATAAAAGTTTTTCTCCATATTCTTTTTTTTTTTTTGAAATGGAGTCTTGCTCGATCGCCCAGGCTGGAGTGCAGTGGCGTGATCTCTGCTCACTACAACCTCCATCTCCCAGGTTCAAGCGATTCTCCTGCCTCAGCCTCCCGAGTAGCTGGGATTACAGGCACATGCCACCATGCCTGGCTAATTTTTGTATTTTTAGTAGAGGCACGGTTTCACCATGTGTTGGCCAGGCTGGTCTCGAACTCTTGACCTCAAGTGATCTGCCTGCCTTGGCCTCCCAAAGTGCTGGGAATACAGACGTGAGCCACTGCGCCCAGCCTCCATATTCTAACTACCTCAGACTTCAGGGAAAACTATTTTTAAAAACACATGTGGGTTTTATAAAAACCGGTAAGTTTATGAAACTTTTACATTAGCCCTAGCCCTCAGTCTCCAAGTCCAGTGTTTATCTCTTAGGTTGTATAGGGATAGTTGTTAGGTCTTAATTTGCAGGAGTAACAATTTGAATCCAGTTAAGCCCACATAAAAAGTAAATGAAAAACTAAGAGACTCTTCCATTTATGGGGATGACTTGTATTACATCCTACAGATACCAGAAAAATGTTACTGTAAGGTGCGCTCTTTTTGAAATCTTAAGATGAAGTCCTTTCCAGTTACAGAATTTTTGATGTAACACATCAAAAATTGTTTCCCTCCAATTAACTGTAGGAACAGTAAACTGTAGCACAGTTTTAAAACTTACATAGAGAGAAGACAGAGAATCTCCCTAAAGCCCAATGATTAAACATGTCTGTTAATTTGTCCATTAGACGTTTTACAAAACAGCTCTGAAGAAAAACATTTTGTTCCAATAGCATAAAAATTTGCAAAAATCAACCTACTCATCTGACAAAGGGCTAATATCCAGAATCTACAATGAACTCAAACAAATTTACAAGAAAAAAACAACCCCATCAAAAAGTGGGCAAAGGATATGAACAGACACTTCTCAAAAGAAGACATTTATGCAGCCAAAAAACACATGAAAAAATGCTCATCATCACTGGCCATCAGAGAAATGCAAATCAAAACCACAATGAGATACTATCTCACACCAGTTAGAATGGCGATCATTAAAAAGTCAGGAAACAACAGGTGCTGGAGAGGATGTGGAGAAATAGGAACACTTTTACACTGTTGGTGGGACTGTAAACTAGTTCAACCATTGTGGAAGTCAGTGTGGCGATTCCTCAGGGATCTAGAACTGGAAATACCATTTGACCCAGCCATCCCATTACTGGGTATATACCCAAAGGATTATAAATCATGCTGCTATAAAGACACATGCACATGTATGTTTATAGCAGCACTATTCACAATAGCAAAGACTTGGAACCAACCTAAATGTCCAACAATGATAGACTGGATTAAGAAAATGTGGCACATATACACCATGGAATACTATGCAGCCATAAAAAATGATGAGTTCATGTCCTTTGTAGGGACATGGATGAAACTGGAAACCATCATTCTCAGCAAAATATCGCAAGGACAAAGAAAACCAAACACCACATGTTCTCACTCATAGGTGGGAATTGAACAGTGAGAACATATGGACACAGGAAGGGGAACATCACACACCGGGGACTGTTGTGGGGTTGGGGGAGGGGGGAGGGATAGCATTAGGAGATATACCTAATGCTAAATGACGAGTTAATGGGTGCAGCACACCAACATGGCACATGTATACATATGTAGCAAACCTGCAGGTTGTGCACATGTACCCTAAAACTTAAAGTATAATAATAATAAAATTTAAAAAAAAATTTGCAAAAATCTGGAAATCAGCATTACCTTTTTGTATTTTTGTTTTTATTCATATTTTAATGTAGTTGAAATTAAATGTGTCTGTAAGAGTTTAGTTCTTAGGTGGGGGAGTCCAGGTAATTATGAATCCTATGCAGAGACTGTCGCTTGTCCTGTCATGCTTTAATACAAGACAAGGAGGAAACAATCTATGTCTTTGCCTTGGGAAGTTTAATAATACTGCCTTTGCCTAGAACTGCTATTATTTGTTCAGTCAACAAATTCGAGTGCCCTCCCTGTGCAATGAACTAGAAAGTAAAGAACGAATCTAAGACAGTATCTTAAATTTAATTCCCCCATTCTAGTTTAATCAGTGTTAATTATCATGAAAATCTGTGTCACTCTCTGTCTTCCCTCTCCCTTTTTCTTCCTGACTGCTTCCCTTCTACTCCCTTTTCTCCCCCTTCATTCCTCAGCACACCCAAATTTTACTGCACCTTTCTATCAGTAATTGTAGGAGAAGGGATATATGCCCCAACCTCACTGGGCATTAGGGGTGTGTGTGTGTTTGTGTGTGTGTGTGTGTGTGTATCCAGTTTTTTTTAAGGACTAAGTGTCTCCTAAAGAAGTCTGTGCTCTTTCTGTCCCTCTTTTTCTGAATTATTGTTTTAAATCAAGACTTTAAATAGCCACTTAAACAAGATGAGTAACAATTCTCACTGGCTCAGTAGCTGTTTTTTTTCCAAGTATGTTAAATATGTTATATTACTGAAGGAAGAAATATTTTGTTTCATGTTTTGGGGTTGAGTATATTTGATATATTTGTGGAAAGAAAAGTTTATCTTTGTTTTTTGTTGTTTAGAGGAAGTTCCTTTTGAGCTTATATTTGAGCCCCAAAAATCCTCCAAAAAATTGTTCTTCCTCTTTTCCATGAATGAGATTTAGAGCTAAATTCATACAAATGCAAAACAAAATAAAATTACAGATTCTCTGAACTCTATAACTCCTAAAAAGATTCAGCTATGGAAGCAGAGTTGAAAATCACAAGAATTTTGGAGGAAATGCATTAAACAGACTGGTTATATCAAATCAGAAGATCCACAAAAAATGCAAAGAGACAACTGCTGAATATATGTATTCAGTAGAAGCCTGTGAGACAATAGCAAATTTAAACCCACCCATGGTTTCCATCCTTTGAAAAAATTTACCTTGAGTAGGACACAAAGGAAGAATGTCAGCTGGTCTATTAGTGTTTCCTTAATGGTTCCTGAGGGGAAGAAAAAAGAATAATTGGTGTGAGATGTGTATAACAAAGAAGACATGCAGAGTATTTTTTAAGATGGTACAGTAATTTTGAGGAAAAAAATTAATATTAAACGTCTCCTTTTTCTTGTTCCCCCAAAAAGTGTGTGTTCCACCAAAAAGTGTGTGTGCACGTTCTACTGTCATACCAAAAAAGATGAGACTGTCCCAGAGTCTCAGTGAATTATCTTATATTTCTGTAGGGAATCAGATTAGATGATACCCTTTAGCTTTGTGTTTATTTGCTTTTGGTAATGTTCCCTATTAAGTGGCCTTTCTTTAACTCTTCTCCTTGTTCATCCTTCTATAGTACCTCACTCTTGTCTATTGATTCATAAGTTGCCCTCTGTAGAAGCAGTTTAATATCATCAGCTTACTATCTGATGGTTAAAATGTCTTTCACTTATACACCCATGATTCTGTGGAATTTGTAAGCCAGATGAATTTTTTAAAGCCCTTTGTAAACTTAATCCTTTAATCTAGAAATCTGAAACAATGGAATAATTCAGTAAAAATTATCTATTTTCTTAGTTTTCACTCTATCAATATGAAAGGCTAGGCAAACAGTCCTGATCTGAGATGAAAACAGAATGTTTCAGAAATGCTGCCTATCTAATGAAACCTTAATTGAAGTATCCTTTTGTTGTCTAGAAAACTTAAAAATAACAGAATCCTGAGCGTATTATTTTTTATTGCTTGAAGTAACTTTAGATATCTAGTCTCACTCTTATACTTTATAGCTGAGTAATGTAGGGGCCTGAGACCTGTGACTTGCTTAAGTTCACATAGTTGATGAATAGAAGTAGACCCAGGTCTAGAACTGAATCACAAGTCAGTTTTCTTATGTATGTACTCATCACATGTTGAATTACATGCTGGGATATTTCTAACCATGAAATGGGAAGAACGCAGGCCACTGGTTAGAAAGCTACGAGTTTGTACCCACAACACTTGATGTTGCAATCTCTGGGCTACTACACAATTGTTCACTTGATCAGCCAACTATTTGTTTGGTATAGGTAAAGTTCTCTTTTATCCTGCTTAATTTGAATATAGGTATCACTTAGACCTAATATTTCTCAGAATGACTTTGCAGTGGCAAGTAATGGGCCTGATCTTGTATTTCAGCTCAAATAGCTATAACTGTACCAAAGACATGGAAGAAACCAAAAGATCGGACCCGAACCACTGAAGAGATGTTAGAGGCAGAATTGGAGGTAAGCAAATCTCTTAAGTTCATATTCAGAGCAGTGGTGCCATTTCATAGACAGGTATGTGTTTATACCTATTTATTGAAATAGTTTTCCAAGCAAAACTTAATATATCAAGCTCAGAGACTAATTGTTTTAAGTCCATTTTATATTAGAATTTTAAAAAGATTTTTAGTAACATGTTTGATTTCATTGAATACTTATTTTTCTTTCAAAATACCTCTTTTAAAATAACAAACTTGGCCAGGCACAGTGGCTAACAACTGTAATCCCAGCACTTTGTGAGGTGAAGGCAGGATGATCACTGCAACCCAGGAGTTTGAGACCACCTGGGCAACATAAGGAGACCCTGACTGTACAAAAATGTTTTAAAATACTAGCCACACATGGTGGCGCATACCTGTGGTCCCAGCTACTCGGGAGGCTCAGGTGGGAGGATTGCTTGAGCCCTGGAGGTGGAGGCTGCAGTGAGATGTGATCATGCCACTGCACTCCAGCCTGGGCAACACAGTGAAACATTATCTCAAATAAATAAATAAAATGACAATTTTTGGTTAACCTTCCTCTTCCCCCAACTAGAACTTTTGTTTGTATTAACTGGATAGAAAGATAATCTGGTAAACAAAAATGGAGAGTTTTTAAAAATACCATTAGTAATGGTGGTAGAATTCATCTAGTACATTATAAAGGAATTGATTTTGAATCTGTCATCTGTTAACTGCATCCCAGAAACATAACTTTTCTTCATATGGTTGTCTGTCTTAAAATAAGCCATGCGAGATTTTGCTTCAGATTAAAACATACCAAGTCCAAGAGATGAATGTGAGGAAGAAAAAGGACAAATCAGTCCTAAGGATTACTCTAACAATTTCCTTGTCTGTAATCTCAACATCCTTAGCATTATGTATTGAAGCTTATAAATGAAGAGCAATGTAAATCTGTATGTAGCTTTTTCCCTTTTTTTGACTATTCTTTTAGCTACTTTATTAAAATAATTTTACTCAAGGTTTAACATGATAAAATTAAAATTTTACTCAAGGTTTAACATGATAAAATATAAAAATTATCTTAAGATAACTTTGAGTGTGTTTACTTCATTCGGCTTTTTTAGCAAGTTATAATTCTTACCTTCTTTGGGTATCTAACAGTACCCCTTGGTTACCTCCCCTGTGCCTTCATTGCTGTTACATGATGCTGTGTTGATGTCACTGTTAGTCCCATAGCAACCACTAAAATGTTGATCGTTGTGATTTCATTGTGGTTATTAGGGTGTAAAACTTGGCAGTAAGGTATAGAGGTGCAAATAGTCATTGCACTCCTTTTGCAGCTGAACCTGAAAATGTTCCTCCTACAGAGAATAAAATACCTTCCAGAGGCATGGGAATCACATACATTCCTGCTGTGGCTGTTAAGAGCTTCATTAACTTCTTTCTTTTTAGATTCAGCTGGTTTTTTTGTTATTTTTCTTCTGTTATACTTCATGTTGGATTTCTAAGCATTATTGAATATTATATAGGCCACTCCTCCATTGCCTTCAAATATTCATCCTAATCTTCAGCTTGAGGTTCACCAAACTTTTTGTGTAAAGGTCCAGATAGTAAATATTTTAGGCTGTCACAATTCCTCAAATTTGCCGCTGTAGCTTAAAAGCAGCCATCAACAATGTGTAAATGAAAGAAGCAAGGTTGTATCTTCACAAAACTTTATTGGTGGACATTGAAATGTGAATTTGTATGCCAGGAAATATTTTTCCAGATTTTTTCAGATATTACAAATATAAATATCATCCTTACCTTGTATGCTGTGCAAAAGCAGGCGGTGAGCCAGAATTGGCCCTCGGGCCAGAGTTTGCTATAAAGCTTCTTTAGCTTGTTACTCTTGAAACACAAGAACTGTTTTGACTTATTTTGAACCAATCACTTTTTCTTAACTTTATAGTTTAAGACAAGGCTGGGCGCAGTGGCTCATGCCTATAATTCTAGCACTTTGGTAGGCTGAGGCAGGAGGATCACTTGAGGCCAGGATTTCGAGACCAGCCTGGCCAACATGACGAAACCCCATCTCTGTTAAAAATACAAAAAGTAGCTGGCCGTGGTGGCGCGCGCCTATAATCCCAGCTACTCAGGAAGCTGAGACAGGAGAATCACTTGAACCCAGAAGGCGGAGGTTGCAATGAGCCAAGATTGTGCCAGTGCACTCCAGCCTGGACAACAGAACGAGACTCTGTCTCAAAAAAATAAAATAACCTAAAAAATTTTTAAAAACTAAAGCAAGACAAAAAATATTTGCTTTTTACATAGTGACTTCTTTCAGAAATCCTTTTTTCTGTCTTTCCTAAAACTGAGCTTTTGTTGGCATAGTGTAGTAAATACTGGATGCCATTGTCTTCATTTCCACTAATCAGGCTCCCCCTTTCTTAGATTTATTTTGTCAGCTTTTAAAATAATTTGTTTCTGGTATCAGCTTATTTGGGTTACATATTAGGTTGTTGCATTATTAAAGATATTTATCAAAATTATAGTCTAGAGGCTGGGCATGGTGGCTTACGCCTGTAATCACAGCACTTTGGGAGGCCAAGAAGGGCAGATCACGAGGCCAGAAGTTTGAGACCAGCCTGACCAACATGGTGAAACCCTGTCTCTACTAAAAATACAAAAATTAGCCAGGCGTAGTAGTGTGCGCCTGTAATCCCAGCTACTCAGGAGGCTGAGGCAGGAGAATCGCTTGAACCTGGGAGGCGGAGATTGCAGTGAGCCGAGATCGCGCCACTGACTCCAGCCTGGGTGACAGAGCAAGACTCCGTCTCAAAAAAAAAAAAAAAATTATAGCCTAGAAAAGTAAGGATGAAGGATGATTTCATATTAAAATTGCTTGGCAAAGTATCTTAAAATAAGTTTTAAAATTTTAGAGCATTTCATCAATTATTATATACATAGTTGCCAGTCTGATTTTCTAGCACTTTTAAAAAACATTGCATTAAGCACAGAGTTCTGTCAAGTGAATTCTTAACAGATTCCTATAAAAGGTTTACCTTTGGCTGTCCAGCCAATGAAGTCATCTCTTTCTTAAATCTGTTTCTGCATAAACAATTTAGGAACTGTACAGACTAGTTGACTAGGATTTTATCCTGCTTTAAAAAAAACCCATAAATATTTAATTAAGCTATTTTTGTTATTCTCTTCAAATACCCCTCATAGTAATACACCTCAGATAATTCAGTGATTCTGTGTTCTCTGAATTATGGTTTGTTATTCATAGAACTAGTTTCTTTATACTTCTTTTTCCAGTTAGAAATTAAATTTCTAAGTAATACAGCCTCTGTTTATATATGATAGACTGTTGTTGATTGTAGGTACAGAGAAGAGGATGCACTGTATTCTCTAAAAAAAAGTTTCACATTTTATAAGATCTGAAATAAGAATTCTGTATAATTGTATAATTTGGTTATGTTGCTCTTTAATAAGTTTAAATACCATTTACATACTGATATCTCAGATTATTAAATGTCTTCTTGATGACCTGTACTTAATTATGAGATGGTATTATAAGATTATTATAATTAGACTATAGTAGAGTCTAAAATTTTTAAAAATGAGGCTGCTGATTCATGATTCAAATTTGGTAGATCTGGTTTTTTCAATGTTTAAATGATACCTACTTTCTGCCATGCTTTATAAAATAAATTGTTTCCAAACTTATTTTTTTGGAATATTATGTCTGTCTGTCTTTTGAGGGTTTTTATATACTATCTTTTTCCATGAATTAGTCGGGGGAATAGGTGTGGGGTGGTGTTTGTGCATATTTGCATGAACTTTTTATTTCCATTATTAGAAACAGAGTCTAAAAACCATCTGTTTCTGTTGATAACATTAAACAATTTATTGGCTTTTCAACCATGATCTGTTATATGGTAAAAGAAAATTTACTAGTATTATATCTGTTTTAATACTATCTAACAAAGAAGTATTTGTCACTCAAAAATTGTTTTAAACATAATTTCATAGATTATTTGGGGTGAACTTTTTTCTGCTATATATGACACTACTTTACACTATCCTCTGCTGAACCAGCTCCAGTTTTTGGCTCTTCTCCTCGTGTGAATTTATCAATTAGAACACCTCTGAGTAGTTGTTTCAGAGGATTGTTTTCAGAGTGCATACCCATCGTGAAAAGAGTTCACAGAGAACTTTGCCTCAAGGAGTTTTGAAGATTCATGAGGCCTTTACAGAGCCATTTGTGTTTGATATCTGACGCTAAGATGGTCAAAAATAATCTAGGGAATAACTTCAATTCTTTTTCGCCTTCTGAAAATAGGTGTGATACTCCATAACCCAGATTTCTCTTTTTTTTTTCTCTCTCTCTCTTTTTTTTTTTTTATATACAAGATTTTTCTATATGGTCACAGCCTCAGAGAAGTCTAAGAACGAATAACAAAATAGATTTTAACTAGCAAGTGGCCTTTTTGTAAAATGAGATATGATCAGTTTTATAGGACTTAGATGTTTTAAGCTATTCTCCAGACTGTCAATTTCACAGCCAGAAGACAGTGTAAAAAATACCCTCCAGTGTTTCTTTTTATATTTGTTGAGCTTTAATGGCAAGGGTAGTGTAGTGCTTGTTTTAGATTCTGACTAGGACTCTTTCATGTTCATAAAGTTCCATGGATTAACAGTTCTTTCCATTCTAACCTTTGGTATATTTGGATATTATTAGTCTCATGTTAAAGCATTTCAGCAGCCATTTGAATGGTCTTCCTTTTCCTAGGTGCTGAAATGAGAAAAGTATTTTTTTTAAACTCAGCATTCTAATACCACATGCTGAACACAGACATTCTTACCTTGAATGACATGTTTTCCTTTGCTTTTTGAAGGGAGTAGATGTAGGTTTTTATGTATATTTACACCCGTGGAAAAAAATGTAACCTCTTTGTTCATTTATTATTTAGCTTAAAGCTGAAGAGGAGCTTTCCATTGACAAAGTACTTGAATCTGAACAAGATAAAATGAGCCAGGGGTTTCATCCTGAAAGAGACCCCTCTGACCTAAAAAAAGTGAAAGCTGTGGAAGAAAATGGAGAAGAAGCTGAGCCAGTACGTAATGGTGCTGAGAGTGTTTCTGAGGGTGAAGGAATAGATGCTAATTCAGGCTCCACAGATAGTTCTGGTGATGGGGTTACATTTCCATTTAAACCAGGTAAGTTTATACCTGCCTTCCTATGTACCTCTTTATCCCTCTACTGCAACCTTAGAGAAATGTTGCCTCTTTTTAGAGAGATACTGGATGGAAGAAAGAGGTTTATCACAATATAATATTTACAGGACAGATCAGCAAGCCCAAGTTAGTGACTAGCAAATCCAGAGAGTTCTGTATTGCTGGAAATGATACCCGACACTGGTATTCCCCTTTTACTGGCATTGGAAGAGCATCTGGCAGAGGGAATCAGACAGTGCCATGCTAGTGGGTGCAGTTTGATTTTAAAAATTATTGCATTCGTTTTAATTGAAAGGGATATAGAGATATTACCACATTCCTCGAGATGGCGTTAGTCATCTTTCATAAGACTTGATCTCTGTTGACAGAAATCACTCTGTGGAACTGAATTCTGAAACAATGTATTGAGTACCTGCAGTATGGGAAGTTCCCTGTGGTAAATATGTATGATAAACAAGTAAATAAGGAATATATATGATAAACATATGGTAAACAAATATAAACCCTGGAGGATTTTTTTATCTTCAGATACCATCAAATGCATTAAACCTCTGTCATAATGCTATATAAACTGTGACTGACTTTGAGATATATGGAGAGATTTGGTATGGATCTGTAAGGAAAGATGGTTCCTTTGACAGAAAGTTTGGGCTGGGTGCGGTGGCTCACGCCTGTAATCCCAGCACTTAGGGAGGCCGAGGCGGGCGGATCACCTGAGGTTGGGAGTTCGAGACTAGCCTGACCAACATGGAGAAACCCCGTCTCGACTAAAAATACAAAATAAGCTGGGCGTGGTGGCACATGCCTGTAATTTCAGCTACTTGGGAAGCTGAGGCAGGAGAATCGCTTGAACCCGGAAGGCAGAGGTTGCAGTGAGCCAAGATTGTACCATTGCACTCCAGCCTGGGCAACAAGAGCGAAACTCCATCTCAAAAAAAGAAAGAAAGAAAGTTTGGAGTAGGTGAAAAGTTTTCCTTAGTCTGCCAAATCTAGACTAAGTTTTGCAGGAGGTGGGGTTTGAGTGTAAAATACCAGACCTCAAAGGTAATCTAGATCAATATTTTTCAAACTGTTGGATTTAATACATTTAATAGATTGTGAAATTAATAGGTCACAACCAACATTTTAAAAAAGGATAATATAATAAAAAATGTCAGTCTATTACATGTAAGTAAGAATAAGTATTGTTTTTAGAAACTTTGTAGTTATATATGTGTTTATAATTGTCCCGGGTCATGAAGTCATTATGTCTTACTGTGAGTTGTAGTCAGAGATGTTTGAAAACCAATGACTAGTACTTACCACTTTATTTTATATTATTTTTAAAAGTTTTTATTTATTGTTTATTTTTTACAGAGGGAGGGTCTCACTATGTTGCCCAGGCTGCTTTCAAACTCTTGTGCTCAAGCAGTCCTCCTGCCTCAGCCTCCCAAAGTGCTCCCATGCCCAGCCCTTACCACTTTGATATACTGATCTTTCACTACCAGTAAAATCCTGTTAATGGGCTTTATGAAATTGTAAATTTATGCTATCATAAAACTTTTTTTAAAAAAACCCTAGGACTCAGTGTACTCAATTGCTTTTGTCAACTTAGGCTTGTATACTGTGTTCAAAAATAAAGAAAAAGATCTAGGCTTGTACCAGGTCACAGAGTACTTGTAGCCATCACCAATGTGTCTTAAGAAAATGGAAACACTATTGCTATTTTTAGACTATGCAAATTATATTTTTATATTAATTTATTTTATGTTTTAATATTTTGTATATTGCATAATTTATGTTACTTATATTTTATATTATATTTTAATTCTTTTCATCCATCAGTTTTACAGTATAGGCCCTGACTATAATTGACCAACTACCTTTTGCCCTTGTAATATTTAACAGCAGTAATTGGAAAAAAGACAATAGTCATTGGAAAAAAAACAGTTTGAAATTTAGATCCCAATAAGCTGTCTACTTTTTAATAAATATAATAGGGTAATAAAGATATGGTGGAAAACATTTGGAATATTCTCAAAGACCCATCAGCGGGTCTATAACCTACACATTAGGAATCTCTAATGTAAGAAGGATCCAATCTGCTATCAGGAAGTAATCTGGAGTCTGATTTTGATGAGTTTTATTAATTAAAATAAGAAAACTGTGATTTTTTTTTAGATGAAATTATAGGCAGGAGAAAAAACTTAGTATCTAACTGCATAGACAGTTCATTATCTTAAATAAGTTGTTTCTGTGTTTTGTGTCCTTTTGCTTTTTTTTTTTTCTCTAAAATAACATTTCCTAGTGAACAACCAAAGTAGCCTTTTTTATGAAGCCAAGGGTTGTATCAGGTTCCTTATTTCTTAGTTATTTAAGTTATTTAGTTATTTAAGTCTTATTTCTAAGTTATTTATTTAATGAGGATTATTACATGTCCCTGGCCAAAGGTTACTTAGTGTGTATGTGAAGTGATTCCTACTTGCTTTAGATTATTTTACTACTCAAAGGTATTTAGAAGGGATGAAAGAACAAGTGATGGTTTAAAATCTTTACATATTTTCTGACTGTATTTCATTGTTCCCTTCTATTTTTTGTTTGTTCATGAAGAGATAAATACTGGAATGTGGTTTGTACTCTTAGGGAATGTAGGTCATGCATCATTTAATGACGGTGATTTGTTCTGAGAAATGCATCATTAGGCAATTTCTTCCTTGTGCAAACAAAAGAGTATTTGCACAAACCTAGATGTTCTAGCCTACTACACACCTAGGCTGTATAGTGTAGCCTACTGCTCTTAGGCTGCAAACCTGTACAGCATGTTGCTATACTGAATAGTAGGCAGTTGTAACATAATGGTAAGTATTTGTGTATCTAAATATAACTAAACATAGAAAAGGTATAGTAAAAATACTATATAAAAGATTTAAAATGGTACACTGTATAGGGCACTTACCATGAATGGAGACTGCAGGACTTGAAGTTGTTCTAGATGAGTGGTGAGTGAATGTAAAAGCCTAGGACATTACTGTGTGCTGGTGTGGATTTTATAAACATTAGGGCACACTACATTTATTTTAAAATGTGTACTTTCTCTAATAATGAATTAATCTTAGCTTACCTTAATCTTTTTACTTGATAAGCTTTTTAATTTTTTAACTTTTTGACTTTTATAATAATATTTAGCTTAAAACACACTGTATAGCTATGCAAAAATATTTCTTTTTCCTTTTTCTTTTTCTTTTTCTTTTTTTTTTTTTTTTTGAGATAGAATCTCACTCTGTTACCCAGGCTAGAGTGCAGTGGTGCAATCATAGCTCACTGCAGCCTCAGCCTCCTGGACTCAAGTGATCTTCCCACCTCAGCCACCTGATAGCTGGGACTACAGTTGCATGTCACCATGCCCAGCTAATTTTTTAAAATTTTTTTTCTAGAGATTAGGTCTTACTACATCGCCCAGGCTGGTCTCAAACTCTTGGCCTCCCAAAGTACTGGGATTATAGGTGTGAGCCACCATCCCTGGCCTTGTTTCTTTATATCCTTATTCTATATGCTTTTTTCTATTTTTAAAATTATTTATCTTTTTACTTGTTAAGGATTTTTCTTAAAAACTAAGACACAAACATATATTAGCCTAGGCCTATACACGGTCAAGATCATCAACATCACTGTCTTCTACTTCCAGATCTTGTCTCATTGGAAGGTCTTCCGGGGCAATAATATGCATAGAGCTGTCATCTATTATAACAGTGCCTTCCTCTGGAATAATTCCTGAAGGACTTGCTTGAGGCTGTTTTACAGTTAACTTTTTTTAATAAATAGAAGGAATATACTCTAGTGATTTAAAAGTATAGTACAGTAGATACATAAGCCAGTAACGTAGTTATTTCTTGTTACTATGAAATATTATGTGTTATACTTGATTGTATGTGCTATACTTTTAAATGACTGGCAGCACAGTAGGTTTGTTTACACTACCATTAACACATACATGTGAATAATGCATTGTGCTGCCACATGAGGATAGTTACAGTGTCATTAGGCAATAGGAACCTTTCAGCTTCATTATAGCCTTATGGGCTATAATGTTGTATATGCAGTTGTATATGCAGTTTGTTATTGATCGAAACATCGTTATGCAATGCATGACTGTATATAATGCCCTACAAACAGTGTCTGCCTATATTCCTCTTTCTAGAATCCTGGAAGCCTACTGATACTGAAGGTAAGAAGCAGTATGACAGGGAGTTTCTGCTGGACTTCCAGTTCATGCCTGCCTGTATACAAAAACCAGAGGGCCTGCCTCCTATCAGTGATGTGGTTCTTGACAAGGTAAGCTGCGTACTCAGAGAAAACTAGTTCTTTTTGGTGGGAACTGATTTTAACTATAAGAGCAAATATGTGAAGTATGAGCAGTTTTTAGTAATTGTTAGACCAAATGATGTAAAAATATCTAATGTTTAAGAATTTGTTTCCCTAAACACTGTTGGATTTTGAGTTTCTTATAGGTTACAGTCATTTTGGGATTTGGCCCATGTTGGAGTGGTGGTTTTTTTTAATGTTTATTGATTTATCTGCTTATTATGGCTGTTTTTTGGTGAAATAAAAAATTTTGTGTTTGTTGGGGGAAACATGGCTAAATTGATACGGAGGTCTTTCCTCATTGTTCTAAAAGTTCATTATGGAATTCTATTGGCATTGAAGACAGGTCAGAAATCTAGGAAGGTATTTGGCAGATCAAACATAAGTGAGAGTCAACATGATTCAAATAATATGTATCTCAAAGTTTCCCTAATAGATACCTCCAGTGATTGAATTCTCCAATCTTGTGCAAATAGGCATCCTTCCTCTTTGCATCTGATCTTTATGGTGCACACAGCAAATTAGTACAGTCAGTATTTGTTTACTAAATTAAAAGGAGTAAAGTCAGATCTACTAAAGTAATTTCATCAGAGCTGATGATTAAGCTTGAAGTATTTTTGTTTTGTAGAGGAACAGAAATGTAAAAGTAGAGATTAACTATCTTATGGAATCATATCTACCTCTTAACCGATTTATGCCTAGTGTTTCATTATTGGAATGCTAAGTTTGTGAGAGTTATTTATATCCTACTCTTCAAGGTCATAACCAAGGTCTGAATTTTCACGCAAAAAAATTTGCAGCCTCCGGCATAAATGGGTTAGTAAAGATGTCCAGCAGCTGCTTATCCAGAACTCATTTATACTATTTTACTTTCTTATAGCAACAGGTCTTCTTACTTCTATTGGTGGTATCTAAGTCTTCTCTCCTAGATACTTATGTGAGGACAGCTGAATGACTGATTAATGGTGCTAATTTGAGGCTACTTCAGTACCTCAGAAGTCAAGTGTTATATCCACCAAATTCAATTATCCTCTTAGAAAATATTCCTGCCTGTCCTGCTGCCTTATCTGTTTATGACTTTGGCCACTAATTAGTTGATTTCTCACTGATCTGCTTAACTTTATGTTGTCCATGGTCACATTACATGCTTATTCAAAGTCAGATATCTCAGATTAACAAGGCAGACAGTGAAATTTTAAATGAATCATCACCTATGAAACATGTCTCCTCTAAGACTTATTGTCCACTCATAGTACATTCTTTACTAACCATAAGTCTACAGCATCAAAACTAAAATGAGCAGTAGCAGGATTCGTATAGGCAAGTGCTCTATATCCTGATGAATATTTTTTTTTAATTCTAAAATTTGACCCTAGTATAGAGGATCTCAAAATATCTTGTCTTGTGCCATTCAGTTGGTCCTCAGTATCTAGTGAGCCAGTCTGCTGATTATGTATAGCCCCTACTTGGAAATTTAAGGCCTAAATCATTCCCAGCGTATCAGAAAACCATTGTTTTAGCCTAATGGCTCTAAGAGTAGCCCAGGAGAAGCTGCCATGGATGAGATTGGACTTCTGCGGGTTCCAAAGCTGGTGCTTACCGTTTCAGCTGATGTAACTTTTCAGTAAAAATTTTTGTTATCTTTTGTGGCAGGGAATGCTCTGGAACATGTATTAAGCTTTCTTTTGCTTTTTCATGCAGATCAACCAACCCAAATTGCCAATGCGAACTCTGGATCCTCGAATTTTGCCTCGAGGACCAGACTTTACACCAGCCTTTGCTGATTTTGGAAGGCAGACACCTGGTGGAAGAGGCGTACCTGTAAGTGCAAGTTCCCTACAACTCACTTAGTTAGACACTGGCACAGACTCCATGAAATCCTACCTCATGGCAAGACAGCAGCTTTTATTCGTTGATTCTAGTCAAGAAGAAGAAGAAGAGGCAAAGACTATCCTTTCCATACTCATATTAAAGCAGATAAAGAATACACTTGAGTTCTTTTTACTTGGCAGAAGCTAGTCTGCATTAATTTGGTCTTGATTTTTTTTTTCCCTATTTTTTCAATTGAGGTGACCTGCAAATAGGTTTAAAAATAGTGCCAACCATGGCCAGGGATGGTGGCTCAGGTCTGTAATGCTAGCACTTTGTGGGGTCAAGGCAGGAGGATCACTTGAGGTCAGGAGTTCAAGGTCAGCCTGACAACAAAGAGAGACCCTGTCTCTACCACAAAAAAAAAAAAAAAAAGAAAAGAAAAAAATAGGCCAGGCATGCTGGCGCATGCTTATAGTCCTAGTCCCAGCTACTCGGGAGACTGAGGTGAGAGAATTACTTGACCCCAGGAGGTCCAGGCTACAGTGAGCCATGATCATGCCACTGCACTCCAGTCTGGGTGACAAAACAAGAACAGGAAGTCCAGGCTTCAGTGAGCCATGATCATGCCACTGCACTCCAGTCTGGGCGACAAAGCAAGACCCTGTCTCTGAAAAAATATATATACAGAGCGAGCCAACCTTGATAAGATTCCTGTTTTGTTTTGAGGTGTCCTAAAATACTGGAGATCTCTGATGACATTCAGCTAATGATCATGTCTTTGTCTTTGTTTCTACAGATTTGCAAAGTGCAGAGCAGGCATGGATTGCCAATTCTGGAACAGAGCAAAGCCCCAACTTGCCCTCCACTGGTGATGTCACACCCACCCATGAAGAGCCTGCCTCTAGGGGTGCGCTGAACACTTTGTTTTTTGTAATAATAGTCTCTGGTGTTATAATATTTTCTGTTACGCTCTTTTTATTTACTATTGATTGTTAAGTCAAAATTTTAACAAATGACATGTACAAAAGAGTGCAGTATTGGTAAACTGCAGATTGCCATTACACCCCCAGTGGCAGGCTCTTTCAGCGGTGGAAGTGGCATCACCAGTGGAGTTATGCTGGGGCACTGCACTGTGCAGGATTCGGCAGGCTCTGCCTACTCCATGCTTTGTAGACTTGCAGAAAGCATGGGGAAAGTTGCCAATGATGTTGAATGTCTCTTTTCCCCAAGTTAGAATGGCATAGAGAGCAATAAATCTAACATTTTGGAGGAGCTTGGGGTTTGATGTACATTTGCAGATAACCGTGTTACTTCATTTTATGTAAGGTGACACTTTTTGTTTCCGCATCACCTTTTTATTTCTGAAATGGCAACTTTTGAAACCTGCTTTGAAATAAGACTACATTGTCTGAAAACAAATGTCACTTTGTAGATATTTAAATTATTTGATTATTTTCCTGCAACCGAACAGTGATGGCGTATACTTGAATGCCTACAGTGTGTTGGAGGCTTTGTAAAACTACCGAAAACCACCTGAATTTGAAGCATACTGTTTATTGAGCCATTAATCCATCACCATTTTAGAGACCTGTGTATGTGAGATACTCTGTTTCTCACACATTTATCTATTTTCAGGAAATACTAAATTAAAATTTTTCTAAATCTTGAGTTACCTCACCAGAAAGTCTTAGAAAGCAGCTTTCTAGAAACCATTTTATACCCTTTTTTTTTTTTTTGAGACAGAGTGTCGCTCTGTCGCCCAGGCTGGAGCGCAGTGGCGTGATCTCCACTCACTGCAAGCCCTGCCACCTCCTAGGTTCACGCCATTCTCCTGCCTTGGCCTCCCGAGTAGCTGGGACTATAGGTGCCTGCCACCACGCCCAGCTAATTTTTTTTTTTTTTTTTTTTTGTATTTTTAGTAGAGACGGGGTTTCACCGTGTTAGCCAGGATGGTCTTGATCTCCTGACCTCGTGATCCACCCGCCTCGGCCTCCCAAAGTGCTGGGATGACAGGCGTGAGCCACTGTGCCCGGCCCATTTTATACCTTTTTTTTCAGTATTATTTCCCTTTTTAATGTTGAAATTTTTATTTGTGTTACTGTTCATTTTGGTTTTGGTTTATATCTTTGTTTTGCCAAATATTTGAAATAATGTTGATGCTATTTTGAATATTCTGTGGATAATAGCATCTGTGGTTATTATCATATTGCCCAATGTTGTTGATATGTGACTCACAAAATGTATAAATCCTCTTCCAGTGTCACTTTTCACTAACAGCTTGCTAGTCATTGTTTGCTAATAACTAGTTATAACAAAAAGGAAATATTGTGAGTTTAGAATAAGCAATGTCTCTTTTAAATTATTGAAAATAGAAAATGATTTTCAAAAGTAACTTTATCACAGCATATACCACTCCTCTGTATACCTACGTATGTGAGATCAGTGAGTTATTCTGGTACACTCAAAGTAATGTGACTAGAAGTGAGATGTTATCTAGAATTTGTAGTAGCTCCAAAAAGATCAACTTTAATTATTTAATTTACTTTTATTAAGCAGCTTTGTTCTGTGTCAGAAGCTAGTTTTTAAGAGAAATTTTGATGTCTCAGGGTAATGTTGATATGTTAAGCCTTAACACAAGTTATTCTTCCAGCCTATCTCCTAGATAACAGACATTCTCCACTTAATTTGCCCAGCTTACCTTGGTATATTGATGTAGATACAGATGGGAATGTCATAGGACATAAATATCAACATATAAAGGAACAAAAATGGCCAGGCACAGTGACTCATGCCTGTAATCCCAGCACTTTGGGAGGCCAAAGCGGGTGGATTGCTAGAGTCCCGGAGTTCAAGACCAGCCTGGGCAACATGGTAAAATCCTGTCCCTACAAAAAATACAAAAATTTGCCGGGCATGAGGGCACACACCTGTAGTGCCATCTACTTGAGAGACTGAGGTGGGAGGATTGCCTGAGCCTGGGAAACAGAGGTTGGAGACAGAGGCTGCAGTGAGCCAAGATTGTACCACTGCACTCCAGCCTGGGCAACAGAGTGAGGCTCTGTCTCAAAAAAACAGGACAGAAATAATGCTGTTTGGAAAAAAGCAACAGCCCTACTCTTTGCAGTTTCTGATTCCATACTTCAAATAACTTTTTCCAGTTCTCCAAATTATCTTATAATTAATTATCACTTAATGATATTAAAATCTATGAGGTATGCCCCATTATTATCTTAAGTAGCCATGACTTCTAATATAAACTTTTCTACAGCTCATGCCTGTAATCCCAGCACTTTGGGAGGCTGAGGTGGGCAGATTACATGAGGCCAGGAGTTCGAGACCAGCCTGGCCAACATGACAAAACCGTGTGTCTACTAAAAATGTGAAAATTAGCCAGGCGTGGTGGTACATGTCTGTAATCCCAGCTACTCAGAAGACTGAGGCACAAGAATCGCTTGAACCCGGGAGGCGGAGGCTGTAGTGAGCCAAGATCACGCCACTGCACTCCAGCCTGGGTGACAAAGCAAGACTCTGTCTAAAAAAAAAAACAAAAAACCAAAAACTTTGCTGTAACAGACTTGCTATAAAATATTTTTAATGTATGCCAATGATTTTAAAATGTCATATGCAGCTACGTAGTTTTCAAACCTAAGTGTCCTTCACTGGATAGTAAAGTGCATATCTGTTGGAAATTACCATGAAATATCATGTCTTTAGTTATTTTTAAAATAAAATTATGGGCCGGGCGTGGTGGTTCACGCCTGTAATTCCAGCACTTTGGGAGGCCGAGGCAGGTGGATCGCAAGGCCAGGAGATCAAGACCATCCTGGCTAACACGGTGAAACCCCGTCTCCACTAAAAATACAAAAAATTAGCCGGGTGTGGTGGCGGGCGCCTGTAGTCCCAGCTACTCGGGAGGCTGAGGCAGGAGAATGGTGTAAGCCCGGGAGCTTATAGTGAGCCGAGATCGTGCCACTGCACTCCATCCTGGGCGAAAGAGCAAGACTCCGTCTCAAAAAATAAAAAAAATAAATAAAATTACTTATCAGTTGTGTTAGTAGTCTTTTTGCGGACATCACAGAAAGCACTCCAAAAAATATATCTTAAGAGGAGCATTGGACCTATATAAGTAATTTGCCATTTATACTTATTTTAACTAACTTTTGAGATAAACTGATCAATCATAAAAATCCTAGCAGCAAAGAAGAATCCTAGGAGTAAAGTCTTTCTTTAAAGGAACACTTGGTTGTCTTCCTTCTTTAAAAATTTAGGTGTATATTGATTCTCTTTTCTTTGGTTATCCAAGTAGGCAGTGGAATTTAAGATTACAGTCTCTGAATAAGATAGGAATGATGTATATTAAATTGCAAAACGGAGATGGGTATAATTTCATAATACATTTTTGAAAACTGACAGTGGGTAAAAAATGCAAACTTTAACGTCACCTGAAAAAAGAAAATGGCTCACTAATCAACCCCAGACTTTGAGATTTTTAGTTTTGACATTGTGGACCTTGAGCACATTATACCTTAAAGTTCCTTAAAGTACTGTCTTTCAAAGAAAGAAACCAGGTGTCGTTTCTTTTTGTGTAGCCCATACCTCTTAGCACAGGATCCTAGATTTTTTGTGTGTTTAGTATATAAATCATTCATCATATGTTGCTACTTCTGAAGGATACCATAAATTTGATTATCTGTATTAAGATTTTCACACACAAAAAGGGACATGAAATGTTTAAATTTATGTATCAGTTTTTTAAAAGTTCCTTTTGATCCTTTGGTGTTGATGATAATATAGTTTTTAGGGTCCTTTTACATGGTTTATATCCTATAATCACAATAATGTTTTCAGGTAGGGCTGGCATTGTATATATGAGAAAACAACAAAACTAAGAGACTTGCCTATAGTAACTTTGCTCATATATAGCAGATTTGGACTCTAGATTCTGATTCTTTTGTCTCCTAAGTTCACTACACCACAGTTTTCCAGGCATTGCTATTCCAAACAGTGAATTCATTCTCAGAGTGTAAATATGGGCACATTAGAGATTGATTAATTGAACATATTAAGAATTTGTAAGTATAGTAGATCTATTAATAGCTAGATAAATATTTGAGAACAGTGTCTTTATCTTAGTTATAACCAGAGATACAATTATAATTTAAAATTTTTTCTTGGGTGCTTTCACGTGGGTTATAATTTTAACTATTTTATCCTGGACTAACAATTTATCAGTTAGCTTTTCAAAGTTTTTTTTCCTTTGAAGCATTATTGTTACTTTCTCACGTCTCTCTGTTGCTCATTTGAAACTCACACATATTTGTCTTGGGTCAGGTAAAGAGGTGTGGAATAAATCATATTGCCATTTTCCAGATTCAAATCTCAAGGCATATTTATTCATTGGTGTTTGCAGTAGGTTTTGGTAATGGGCATTTTCTGACTTTGTCTCCTAATGTGCATCTATGGCTCTTAATTGGTTTTGACATAATTTCCTTTCATTGCATCCAGAAACATTTGTTCTTGACAATGTTTATGTACAAATGCATGGATTAAATTAAATATCTTGTGATATAATTGTTTACCTGAGGTTTAGCCAACCATTTAGTAAGTTATTAATCCATATAAGTCAACACTAGAATATAACTTGAATTATAAAAATCAGGCATTACTTGATTACCACATTTTTCTATCAGAATTGTTTCTTCTGGGCTACTATATTAAAGTTTCAGTTACAATTTATGTTCTTATAGTAGTACTGTCTGGTTTAACAACTGTTCCCTGTTGGTATTTTTCCAATCTGATGATCTTTATTTCCTTTCAGTTATACCATGTGTCTCATACCTCTGGGTTTATCTGACCTGTTTGTTTTTTTTTTTTAATGTTTATCAAATAATCTGTGATATCATCAGTACTGTATCCTTAGCTGGATGCATTTGACAAGATTGGTGTGAAATTTTGCAGAAACCCTAACTTTTGATCCTGATGCATTCTTGATACTACCATTTCTAATTGGGGCAGATGGTGAAGCATAAAGGAATAATTCTGAGAATGATTGATGTGTAAAGGTGTTTGAGCTTATCAGCTTAGGCCCCAGACTGTGTTATCGCCTAGAAACTGTATTTTTATGTAATGAATGACATTAAAGTCTAGACTTTTTTCTCTGAAGCGTTAAATGAATTCAAAAGGGCAGCATTGGGGCCTTAAGTGAGAAATGATTCTCATCTATGTGTGCTTTGTATGAAGTTTTTATTCTCTCTTGAAATCTAATGGCTAGCCCTTCAGTGCAACTCAGAAAGAAAAAAAAAAAAATCTGGTGGCAGTATTTGCCCAGCACTAACAGAATGATATATCAGAAAAAGTAAAGGTTGTCAACATGCAGCAGGTCTGCTTGAAGGTAGCAGAGCTTAGTATCAACCCAAATATTTAACCTTGAAAAATTATTTCCAAGCATTTAAGATAGTAATTATGAATATTTTGATACACAAAATGCAACTTTTAACTTACTCTGTTATCTCTACTTAGTGTGCTGGCAGTATAACATGGCAACATACATTGGTTTTAACATAAGGGTATAGTGGGAATCCAGCAGGAACAGAGCAGACAAATAAAAGGAAGCCTTTTTTTTCAGGGAGTAATTTAGTTTGACTCTCATTGATGATATATAACGGGCTTATTTTAGTATTTCTGACCCAGCATAATGAGTGGAATCTTTTATGATCTACAGTAAGGCTTAGTGATGATATTAAATTTGCATTTTACCCTGGGATTGTAGAAACCCAGTTTTAGCAGATTTGTAACTATGATGATACCTACCTGTGAATTTTTGTAATTATTGAAGTGACCAGTCCACAGTTATTCAACTAATAAAAGATAAGCTTAAATTAGGACTAGTCTTTCTCATTAGAAGTAACGGCTTTGTCAAACATCTGGTTCAAAAAGGCCTCTTGTTCAAAAGTTGTAGTGGTGGAGAACATTACATTGATGGTATTCTGAAGTTATTTTTTTTACCCCCAAAAAAGATTACCTCCAGTTTGAGTACCTAGTACCCAATCTTTGCATCTAGCATTGCTTGGCGTAGTCATCAGACTTGACTTGAACAGCACAACAAAGCCAATAAATTGTAAGTACTCTGAATAGCTGTAATATTCTTGTCCTAGTTGTTGAATGTTGGGTCACGAAGATCTCAACCTGGCCAAAGAAGAGAACCCAGAAAGATCATCACAGTTTCTGTAAAAGAAGATGTACACCTGAAAAAGGCAGAAAATGCCTGGAAGCCAAGCCAAAAACGAGACAGCCAAGCCGATGATCCCGAAAACATTAAAACCCAGGTGAGAACAAAAGCATATCCTAACATTCTTTTGAAATTATATTGATTTTGTTTTAACTTATTTTGCTTTGCTAATGTTTCTAGAGATAATCAGTTTAAGACTTTTTATAACATTTTCCTATTAAAAGAATTATTCTAAAAGCCATTATGGATGCCAGGCAACCTACTGTTTTCTCTTGAAATTGCTTTATGTGTATTTTTTCAGAATAGTTACCAGGTCTAGAGGGTTCATGTGTCATAGACTTATGTAATTCAGGCTTAAGTTAATATTTGCTTTTCTTTAAAATACATTTTTAGATTCTCAGTGATTGAGTCTCTTTATCCTATTTATCCTAATTATTACATTGCTTTATGTTCCTTGTCAGGCCTTCATTGCCAATAAGCTAGAATTTAGAAACTCATCTTGTTTTGAAGCCTTTTGGAATAAAATTTAATTCTTTGAATCTTTTTATGCATATCCTGCCCTCAGAACTATGAGGATAAATTGAATGGATTTATTTTATTGACACAAAATTAATTTTTATGTATCAGATTATATAAAGCCTTTATTTATCTTTTGCTTTATACACAATGTCAATTCCTATCCCCAAGTTACCTCTGCGACTTGAGATGTTTTTGCTTCTAGGCACCAAAACTGGAGTCTCTTAAAATTCACACTTGTACCAGAGCCAGGCATCACAGATCACATACTAACTTTTCAGCATCTGGATTCCTTATATATCTTTTCTCTCACCATGAACAGTTAAGTGTAGCAGTTCAAAGTTCCAGCTCTGGAGGCAGAGTCCTGACTCTGTTAGGCAGGTTCTTAATCTCAACTATAAAATGAAGTTACAAACATTGAGTGCCTCATAGGGCCAGTGTTAAGATTAAATGAAATAAATATAAACCATTTGGCATGGTTCCTGGAGCGTGGTTAAGTGCTCAGTACGATGATGTCCCTGAGATCAGAGATGTGCCTTAGATATCTTTTTGATTCAGTACCATCACATAACCTCAGAGAGCAGGGGATCCCCAACCCCTAGTACCAGTCAGTGGCCTGTTGGGAACGGGGCCACACAGCAGGAGGTAAGTGGTGGCAAAAGAGCATTACCACCTGAGCTCCGCCTCCTGTCAGATCAGTGGCAGCCCCAGATTCTCATAGGAGTGGAACCCTATTGTGAACTGTACATGGAAGCGATCTAGGTTGCACGCTCCTTATGAGAATCTAACTAATACCTGATGATCTGAGGTGGAACAATTTTATCCTAAAAACCACTTTCCTCTTCCCCGCTCAACCCCACCCCCAACCCTGGTCTGTGGAAAAATTATCTTCCACAAAACCAGTTCCTAGTGCCAAAAGGTTGAGGACCACTGTTAGAGAGAGTAAATTCTCAGTAAATAATTGTTCAGTAAATAAGCGAACCCACAGAGTAGTTAATACAAAACAAAGATGAAGATGAGGCAATCCAACAACTAGCCATGCTGTCAAACTGTACTTGGCGGTTTGCTTTTGTTTATCTCTTTAGTGATTATCCCCAAACATTTGCCACAGGGTTCCTAAGGACATCCTTCATCACATTGCTGAGATAATTCTCTCCATTTCAACATATCTCAACCTTTTTTGGAAAAAAGAAAAAAAAGTCTTTTTTGTCCTTCTCTCCAATCTCCGTGAGAAATGCTTAATGATAATGGGCCTAAATGGCTTATAAAGATAGTTAAAACTTCCTACTGGATCTTCATCATTGACAGTGAAGATGTATTTAAGGCACTTGGATTAATGCTTTACTTTATTAAATTCTTACTGTACCTATAATGAGGAAATAGATGTTATCCTTTTTTTTCATGAGGAAACTGAAGCTTCAAAAGTTGTCAAGCGTCATGAAAGATACTAAATAGTCCAGTTGTTATAACTCGTAATCTGTTTCTGTTTATAACAGAGTCCTCTCCGTTATTGTCTTATTTCAGAAACAGAATAATTATCTTGATATGAGGCAGCATTAATTAATAGGTTTTCTTTAGTAAGTAGATAAAACAAATCTAATGGAGAATTTTTAAAATTCCTTTACAGAGCCAGTACAACCTTCTTTTTTCTTGACACTTTCTTTTAAATATGGACTTGCTTTGTTGCCTTCCCTTACGTTCCTACTACTATATTAAATCAGCATTGTGAACGACCACTGTTGATGACCTTATTCTCATCTTCTTGAAGCATTTTTAGGATATCATTGCCTCAGGACATGTCTGGGCTTCTACCCCTAGGATTCCCTGCATTCTCTTTCTTCTTTCTCCTCTATTACAACATTTCTACTGATGCTGCCTGAGTCATCTACCTGAAACACTGATTTTTGTCTTTCCATTCGAGCTTTTTAACCTAGCATTCAATATGTCATTTTCACTCACAGCCAGTGAAAACTAGTCTTCTGATATTTCCAGCTTGTTCTCTCAATTAGCAAGCTAGAAAATCCTCATTAACAATTCCTTCCTAAAGTGTTTTCTCCTTCATAAAATATCTACTTTATTTTTTTTCTTCCCTTTACCTAGCTCTTTCTGTCCTTTATTATCTGGCCCAATTCTCATTTCCTTCTTTTTTTTTTTCTTTTAAGATGGAGTCTCGCTCTCGCTCTGTCACCCAGCCTGGAGTGCAGTGGTGCGATCTTGGCTCACTGCAGCCTCCGCCTCCCAGGTTCAAGTGATTCTTCTGCCTCAACCTCCCAAGTAGTTGGTATTACAGGCGTGTCCACCATGCCTGGCTAACTTTTTATATTTTTAGTAGAGACCAGGTTTCACCGTGTAAGCCAGGATGGTCTCTATCTCCTGAACTCGTGATCTGCCCACCTCGGCCTCCCAAAGTGCGGGGATTACAGGCGTGAGCCACCACCCCCGGCCCTCATTTCCTTCTAAAGGCATTCCTCGACTAATCCAGTTCCTCTGACCTCATGTACCTAAACTATTCCCCTTTCTGGTCTCTAATCAACCCTAGTACTTGCTTTATCACTTCGTTTTTAAATGTATTGTCCCTGCAACTAGATTTTGATTCTGTAGAAGGCAATAACTGTGTTTCGTGCTTCATTTGTACCTAACACAGAATTTACTGGACATCAACTAGATATTTAGTTATAGCGAAATGTTTTTTTTTTTTTTGAGACAGGGTTTCACTCTGTCACCAAGGTTAAAGTTCAGTGGCTCTGTCACAGCTCACTGTAGCCTTGACCTGCTGGGCTCAAGCGATCCTCCCTCCTCAGCATCTCAAGTATCTGGGACTACAGGCATGTGCCACCATGCCTGGCTGATTTTTTTGTAGAGACCAGGTCTCATTCTGTTGCCCAGGCTGGTCTTGAACTCCTGGGCTCAAGCGGTCCTCCTGCTTTAGCCTCCCAATTGCTGGGATTCCAGGTATGAACTACCATGCCCAGGCTTTTTTTTTTTGAAAGAGGGTCTTAAATCTATTGCCCAGGCTGGAGTGCAGTGGCACAATGATGGCTCGCTGAAGCTTCAACCTCCTGGGCTCCCACCTCAGCCTTCCAAGTAGCTGGGACTATAGGCATGGACCACTATACCTGGCTAATTTGTTAATTTTTTTTTGTTTTTTTTTGTTTTTTTTTGAGATGGAGTCTCACTGTGTCGCCCTGGCTGGAGTACAGTGACGCGATCTCAGCTCACTGCAACCTCCGCCTCCTGGGTTCAAGCGATTCTCCTGCCTCAGCCTCCCGAGTAGTTGGGACTACAGGCATGCCCCACCATGCCCGGCTAATTTTTTGTATTTTTAGTAGAGACGGGGTTTCACCACATTGACCAGGCTACTCTGGAACTCCGGGCCTCAAGTGATCTGCCCTCCTTGGCCTCCCAAAGTGCTGGGATTACAGGCGTGAGCCACTGCTCCTGGGCCTAAAAATTTTTTAGAGGCAGTGTTGCCCAAACTCCTGGCCTCCTGCAGTCCTCCTGCCTTGGCCTCCCAAAGTGTTGGGATTACAGGCATGAGCTCCTGTAGCTTATCCAATAAATGATTTTGTGTGTGTGTGTGTGTGTGTGTGTGTGTGTGTGTGTGTAATTTTTCTTTTTTTGGAGACAGGGTCTCACTGTTACCCATGCTGGAGTGCAGAGGCATGATCTCAGCTCACTGAAGGCTTGACCTCCCAGGCTCAAGCGATCTTCCTGCCTCAGCCCCACAAGTAGCTAGGACTACAGGTGCTTACTACACACCCAGCTAATTTTTGTATTTTTTATAGTGATGGGGTTTCGCCATGTTGCTCAGGCTGGTCTCGAAACCCCTGAGCTCAAGCAATCTGCCCTCCTCTGCCTTCCAAAGAGCTGGGATTATAGGCATGAGCCACTGCACCCGGCCTCATTTCATTCTTTCAGCAGTGTCTTTCACAGAGCAGTTGTTTTTATTTTTATTTTATTTTATTTTATTTTATTTTCATTATTATTATTTTTTGAGACAGGGTCTCACTTTGTTGCCCAGGCTGGAGTGCAGTGGCACAATCACAGCTCACTGTAACCTCAGCCTCCCCTGGCTCAGGCAGTCCTCCCTCCTAAACCTCCCAAGTAGCTGGAACTACAGGTGCGTGCCACCGTGCTCAGCTGATTTTTGTATTTTTTGTAGGGACAGGGTTTTGCCATGTTGCCCAGGCTGGTCTTGAACTCCTGGGCTCAAACAGTGCACCCACCCCAGCCTCTTAAAGTGCTGGGATTATAGGCATGAGCCACCATACCTAGCCTGTTTTTAATTTTGATAATATTGAATTAGTCAACCTTTTCTTTCATGATTGTGCTTTTGCTGTCATATCTAAGAAATACTTGCGTAAACCCAAGAAAACAACACTTTTCTACTATGTTGTCTTTTAGAAGTTTATAGTTTTAGGTTTCACATTTAGCTTTGTGATCCAGTTTTTGTTGAGTTTTGTACAAGGTGCAAGATAATAGGTCAGGGTTCTTTTTCTCCCCTTTCTTGTGGATGTCCAGTTGTTCCAGCACCATTTGTTGAAAAGATTATCCTTTCTCCATTGAAATGTTTTGGCATCTTTGTTGAAAATCAGTTCATCGTATATGTGTGCATCTATTTCTAGACTCTACATTCTTCTTCATCTAGCTATGTGTCTGTCCTCTGGCCAACACCACTCTGTCTTTATATAGAAAGTTTTGAAATCTGGTTGTGTGAATTCAATTCTCCAACTTTTTGTTTTTCTTCAAAATTATTTAGGCTCTTCTAGGGTTTTGTATTTGTGTGTGTGTGTTCATATAAATTTTAGAATCAGCTCCTTGTTTTCTACCCAAAACAAAAAACAAAAGGCCCTATTAGGATTTGGATTATGATGATATATCTGCAGATCACTTTGGGGAAAACTGACATCTTAACAATAATGAATCTTCTAATACAAGAACATGATATATATCTTCATTTATTTAAGCCCTCTTTGATTTCCTTCATCAGTGATTTATAGTTTTCATATTTTTTTCCATCTTTTTTGTTTTGAGACAGAGTCTCACTCTGTTGCGCAAGCTGCAGTGCAGTGGTGCGATCTCAGCTCATTGCAACCGCTGCCTCCCAGGTTCAAGTGTTTCTTCTGCCTCAGCCTCCCGAGTAGCTGGGATTACAGGCATGCACCACCACACCCAGCTAATTTTTCTATTTTTAGTACAGATGGGGTTTTGCCATGTCGGCCAGGCTGGTCTCGAACCTCTGGCCTCAAGTGATCCACCCAACCTCGGTCTCCCAAGTTGAGATTAAAGGTGTGAGCCACCACGCCTGACCTTTTGCTAGTTTTTGGCTAAATATTTTGTAGATTTTGGTGCTGCTGTAAATGGTACTTAAAAAAATTAATTTCTGGTTATTTATTGCTAATACATAGAAAAGCAGTTGATGTTTGCATTTTGACATTGTATCCTACAATTGCTAGACTGACTTATTCTGGTCTTTTTGCAGATTCCTTATGATTGTCTATGTAGACAATTATATCTTCTCTGCATAGAGTTTTATTTCTTCCTTTACAATCTACGTACCTTTTATTGCTTTTTCTTTGCTTTATTTCATTGATTAGGACCTCTGGTATGATACTGAATGGGAATGGTGAAAAGAAACATTTTTTGCATTATTCTCAATCTTAGGGGCAAAAATCATTTTGCCTTTCACCTTTAAGTGGAGTTGTATATCTCCTTTTACTAGTCTAGGAAGATCTCTTCTATTCCTGTTTTTTTTTTTTAGAGTTTTTACAACATTATTTTAAAAGACTCCTGCCTAGTGTTTCATACCATTATTTATATTATACCATAATTTAGACAAATTTCTATTTTTTTACATCAAAGTTATTTTCTGTAATGAGTTATGTGGCTAAAGTATTTTTACGTATCTCTAAATATAAATACATTTCTAAAAGTGTAATTACTGGTTCAAAGGTTACATACACAGTTTTAAAGCTTTTGATACACGTTGTCAAATTGCCCTTAGAAATGTTAACAGATAATGCTCCCACCAGCTAAGTGTGTATATACCTATTTCTAGAATTCTCCTCAGTAGTGAAAAGAAGGTAATTTTTGACTATTTGTTAAAATAGATTAGTTTAATTATTTCTGTCACTAGTTCACAGTCCTTGTTAATAATTTGAGAAGTTGAACTTATATATTATTTTTAAAATTAATCATTACAGAAAGCACCATATTGTCACAGTTACTCTAATGCTTTTTTCTTTTTTGTGGCCCTTCTAGGAGCTTTTTAGAAAAGTTCGAAGTATCTTAAATAAATTGACACCACAGATGTTCAATCAACTGATGAAGCAAGTGTCAGGACTTACTGTTGACACAGAGGAGCGGCTGAAAGGAGTTATTGACCTGGTCTTTGAGAAGGCTATTGATGAACCCAGTTTCTCTGTGGCTTACGCAAACATGTGTCGATGTCTAGTAACGGTAAGAAGAGAGGAAGGAGTAAAACGAGAAATCTTCAAGAGGTATATTCTCCCCTCACTACACATTCTTCCCAGAAGTGTTATTGGGGCAACATAAAGGGGAGAATATATTTTTAGTATTTATTGATATAATATTCTCATTATTAAAGACAATCTTGCTTTATTAAAACGTATACTCCCCTCTGGAGGGGATATGAAGTCTGGACTGAAATGGGCATGAGATGGGCCCATTCAGCGTAAGAAAGATAGAGTCAGGTTTAAATTAGTAATGTAAAATTATCGTCATGGGCAACAAATTTTTCCCGTGTGTCTCTTATGGAAAGCAAGCAAATGCGTGCTTTCACATTTAATTAAGTTTGAAATTTAAAAACACGTTGATTCTAATTCTAATCTCTGTGAAAATGAAAGGATAGTTGTTCTGTAGTCAAAAAGGTTTCAAAGCTGATAATTTCATGTCATAGAAACTGTTAGGTTTCTCTCCGTTTACATTATCTGAAGCCATTTAATCTCCACAGCCTGTCAAACCTAGGGCAAGACAGAGAGGGAGACCAAAGAGCTTCTGGTTAGTGTTCATTGTCCTCTATTCCACAGTCATAAACTGCCATGTATCATCTGTTTTCTCTTCCTGTTATTGTTACCGAGGTACTTGTGTCAGAAATGTCTGTCCTTTAACATTTGGATTTTTTCTTAATTATTACAACTCATTGTCGTGCCTTGCTGCTTAGAAACAAGCTATGAAAATGCAAAATTCTCTCATTCTACCAATATTTTTGACTACCTATGTCAAAGGTAGGTAAGTCTTTTGGGGTTTGGAAAAGTCACATCTTCTGTCTTAAAGGAATTCAAAATCCATTTGAAAATAAGTATTTCCAAGAAAAAAATTACTTAAAAGGTATTTTGTGATGTAGCAGTATCTCAATGCCTGAATGGATGGTTAGACCGAAAAATAAGTTGGAAGAAAAAGAAAACACTATGTTGGTGGGAGAGTCACAAAACTTTTATAAAGCAAATAGAGTTTGAGTTGGACCTGACACAATGGGGAATACACATTTGGAGAAGAAAGAACACATTCTAAGCAGGCTCAAGTCTGAAGCAGTAAGTGTGGCTTTGGAGTCACAGCTCTAGGTTTAAAATTTAAAGTTTAAAATTAAATTCCAGGCTGGGCAAGGTGGCTTATGCCTGTAATCTCAGCACTTTGGGAGGCTGAGGTGGGCAGATCACCTGAGATCAGGAGTTTGAGACCAGCCTGGGCAACATGGGGAAACTTCGTCT
Source organism: Homo sapiens (assembly GCF_000001405.40). Taxonomy (NCBI): domain Eukaryota; kingdom Metazoa; phylum Chordata; class Mammalia; order Primates; family Hominidae; genus Homo; species Homo sapiens. The sequence continues at coordinate 20,878,051 of NC_000001.11, read as the reverse complement.
CTACTAAAAATACAAAAATTAGCTGGGTGTGGTAACAAAAATTAGCCAGGCATGGTAGCGTGCGCCTGTAATCCCAGCTACTTGAGAGGCTGAGGCAGGAGAATCACTTGAACTCAGGAGGCTGAGGTTGCAGTGAGCAGAGATTGCACCACAACACTCCAGCCTGGGCGACAAGAGTGAGACTCTGTCTCAAAATAAAATAAAATTGAGATAAGAGAAGATAGTTTCTACTCTGCCACTTCCTAACTTTATGACCTTAGAATAGTTACTGATCTCTTTAAGCCCCTGTTTTTAATCCATAAAATGAGATTAATTCATACCACTTGTAATATTATAAGGATAAAATTAATTAAAATAAATGAGATTACAAAATTTCTAGCCCAGTGTTTGGCCTGTAGTAAGCCCTAAATAAATTGAAACTATGTTAGACCTTTTAGGTCCAATTTGTGAAGGTTTTGAATGTTGGCTATAGAATGAGGATGATTATTATAATAAAAATAGTCTATTCAGCACCTACTAAGTTGCAATATGGATAGAGGCTTTATATATACATATTATTTTTAATGGTTATTCTAATCCTGAATGGTCAGTGTTACTAGCCCCACTTTATTGAACCAAAAGCTGAGCTTGAAAAGGAAAAATAACTTCTCAGGGTGATGTAACTAGTAAGTGGCATTGCTAGAATTCAAATCAGGGATTATTTAACTCAATCACTTGCCATAGTGCCTCCTGATGTGCCATAGTTATATGGAAGCAAACTAATTCTCCATTTCTGGGCTCTCATTTTCATTGTGGTAGCCATGACATCCATGACTCATTAAAATTAGGACTAGATCCCAGATCCTCTGGATCACACTTTAATGCTCTTTCCCAGTTTTGAATTTTATCAGATAGGCAGTTAAGTGGTGTTTAGGTAGTTTAATGGAGGAGTGATATTGATGAAAATGGCCTTTGAAATGATCTGGCAATAAGTACAAATTGGATTGGAATATGAAGAAATTATAGACAAGCCACCCACTTATGAGACTTTTGAAAACTTTATTGGATTGTTTTATTTATGTATTTTGCTTGAGACAAGGTCTTTTGCTCTGTTGCCCAGGCTGGAGTCCAGTAGCATGATCATAGCTCACTGAGGCTTCAAACTCCTGGGCTCAAGCAGTCCTCCTCCTTGACTATAGGCACACACCACCACCAGGCCTGGCTATTTTTTTATTTTTGGTAGAGATGAGGTCTTACTATTTGCCCAGATTGGTCTCAAAAACTCCTAGGCTCAAGTGCTCTTCCCGCCTTGGCCTCCCAAAGTGCAGGGATTACAGGCAGGAGCCACCTCCTGGCCTCCTGGATTATTTTAAATTATAAGATAACAACCTATTTGAACAAGTCAAATGGTATAGTTAATACAGTTATTACTCTCTGCTTGCAGCCCCAGCCAGTTAATCTTCCTTCCCTATCAGATGGTCACTGTGAATGGTTTTGATGTAATCATCTATAGTTTTCTTCATGTTTATAAAATCACATGAAAATATGAGTATGTATAAAGAGGTTTTTTTGGTTTTGCTTTAATTGAATTATATAAATTATTTTCAGTTTGTTTTTTTTTTTTTTTTTACTTAATAAATGTTTTGGGCAGCCGTCTAGGTCATTACAGATAGATTTTACTCATACTTTTATACTAATTGCATAATATTTCATAATATGCATATACCATAACTTGTTCAACCATCTCTCTTCTCTCTCTATCTCTCTCTCTCATATGTTCATTTATCCTTGTATTCTGGAGCCTGCCTCCCTCCCTCCTTGTCTTTTTTTTTTTTTTTTTTTTTTTTTTTGAGACAGGCTCTCACTCTATATCCCAGGCTGGAGTACAGTGGTGTGATCACAGCTCACTGCAGCTTCAAACTCCTGGGTCCAAGCAATCCTCTCATCTCTGCCTCCCAAGTAGCTGGGACTACAGGCACATGCTCAGCTAATTTTTGTATTTTTTTGTACATGTAGGGTTTTGGGGTTTCGCCATGTTGTCCAGGCTGATCTGGAACTCCTGAGCTCAAGTGATCTGCTTGCCTCAGCCTTCCAAAGTGTTGGCACCATAGACGTGAGCCACCATGCCTGGCCTCTTTCTTCTTTTCCTTCCCCTTCCCTTTCCTTTTTGTCTTGCTCTGTCACCCAGGCTAGAGTGCAGTGGCAGGATCTGGGCTTACTGCACCCTCAACCTTCTGAGGTCACATGATCCTCCCACCTCAGCTTCCTGAGTAGCTGGGACCATAAACATGCACCACCATGTCCAGTTAATCTTTAAATTTTTTATAGAGACAGAATCTCAATATGTTGCCCAGACTGGTCGTAAACTCCTGGGCTCAAGCAATCTTCCTGCCTCCTTCCCAGAGTGCTGGGATTATAGGCGTTAGCCATTGCACCTGACTTTTATTTCTTTAGTGTATGTTTTTAATGTTTTAAACTTTTTTATTGAAATATGACTAACATATGTGCTTTCTGGGTTGAAATTCTTCATTTGTTGCATTTGCCAAATTTAATGATGTAAATGCTGTCCTCAGGACTATTTGTAATCTACTGACAGTTTGACAAGACTCACAAAATTACTGTTAAACAGTTGTCTGTCATAAACCAATATGAACCAGCTTCAACACACCAATGCAACATGCTTACAGAAAGGTATACAAATCATTACTGTACAGCTCATTGTATGTCAGTGAAGTGAATACACCTTAGACCCTTTTCAATACTCTTTAGTCTTTTTTAAAGGTAACTAGGACCAGGTGCAGTGGCTCATGCCTACAGTGTCAACACTTTGGAAAGCTGAGGCAGGAGGATCGCTTGAGCCTAGGAGTTTGAGGCCAGACTGGGCAACATAATGAGACTCTGACTCTACAAATAAAAAATTAAAAAATGAGCCAGGCATGATAGTAGTCCACCTGTAGTCCCAGCTACTAGGGAGGCTCAGGTGGGAGGATCCCTTGAGTCCAGGAGGTCACGGCTGCAGTGGACCATGATAATACTATGGTACTTACTCCAGCCTGGTGACAGAGTGAGACCTAGTCTCAGGGAAAGCAAAAAAGGTAACCACTGTCCTGACTTCTGACACTGTAGTTGATTACTTTTGAGGGATTGAGAGACTGAAATAAAATGGTAACAGTGAACATAGAAACATAGAATCCTACTACACACATCAAACATTATGGGATTATTAAATATCTAAATTTGAAAAGCTAACCTTTTATAAGAATATCAAGGAGGCTATTTTCATGAACTTTTGAGTAGGGAAAGATTTCTTTAGCAAAATTCAAAACATGAAGGATAAAGGTATAAGATTTGACTGTTAAAATTTATAATCTTTGATGCAGCAAAAGATACTATAAATAAATACAAAGATAAAACCACAACCTAGGAGTATCTGTTTGGAGTGCATTAACTGACAGAATATTAGAATCCAGGATTAAGGAAGAAAAAGAAGCAAATCAGTAGGAAAAAAACAGCCTAATAAAAATATGGGCAGTTCATAGAAATGAAAATCCACTGGGTGATAAACTTTAGAAAAGATAATCAATGACAGCACTTCTCAAAATAAGACATTTACGCGGCCAACAAATATATGAAAAAAAGTTCAACATCACTGATCATCGGAGAAATGCAAATCAAAACCACAATGAGATACCATCTCATGCCAGTCAGAATGGCGATTATTAAAAAGGAAACAATAGATGCTAGCAAGGCTGTGGAGAAACAGAATGCTTTTACACTGTTGGTGGGAACGTAAGTTGGTTCAACAGTATGACGATTCCTCAAGGATCTAGAACCAGAAGTACCATTTGACCCAACAATCCCATTACTAGGTGTATAATCAAAAGAATATAAATCATTCTACTATAAAGACACATGCACACGTGTGTTTATTGCAGCACTATTTACAATAGCAAAGACATGAAACCAACCCAAATGCCCATCAATGATAGACTGGATAAAGAAAATGTGGTACATATACACCATGGAATACTATGCAGCCATAAAAAGAAATGAGATCATGTCCTTTTCAGGGACGTGGATGAAGCTGGAAGCCATCATCCTCAGCAAAATAACACTGGAACAGAAAACTAAGCACTGCATGTTCTCACTCATAAGTGGTAGTTTCACATTGAGAACACATGGACACAGAGAGGGGAACAACACACACCAGGGCTTTTTGGGGGATGGGGGTTGAGGGGAGGGAACTTAAAGGACAGGTCAGTAGGTATAGCAAACCACCATGGCACATGTATACCTATGTAACAAACCTGCACATCCTGCACCTGTATCTCGTGGTTTTTTTTTTTTTTTAAGGAAAAAAAAAAGACATTCAATGTTATTCATTATTAGGGAAGTGATAAACTAAGAAAAGATAAACCATAGTTCTGTAAAATTCACCCCCACTAGATTGAAAAAAAAATCCCATTTTAAATGTTTTTAAAGACGAATATAACCATTTATGAGGGCAATTGGGCAATAATGTTGAAGATGTTCATGTACTATGCAATAACATCAAATTGCTAAATGTACCAGATATTTACAAACGTGAAACAACAAGAACTCTCGCATACTGATTGCAACAGCCACTTTGGAAATTGTTTAGCATTATATACTAAAGCTGAAGTTTTTCTGCCATAACTAGCATTTCAATTCTTAGGTATATACACAACCAATAAACATACATATCTCATATGCTAGGAAATATATACAAAAATGTTGTAGCATTTTTTATACAGGAAAGAAAAATGAAAAAATGCCTGTTGATAGTAGAATGGATAAATCGTAGCATGTTTATACAAGGACAGTGAATCTGAAGTACAACTACATGGGCATGGATTCTCACAAGAGTAAGTTTGAGTAAAAGAGGGCAGACCCAAAAAGATACTACATGATTTGTTATTTAATGTTCAAAAATGAAACAAAAACTAACTTTGGTGTTTGGGGATACCTGTCTATAGTGTTAAAGGTTGCATGTTTTCTTTGTGAAACAAAAGCAAGGCTGGGCGCAGTGGCTCACAGCTGTAATTCCAGCACTTTGGGAGGCCAGGGCAGGCGGATTACCTGAGGTCAGGAGTTCAAGGCCAGCCTGGCCAACATGGTGAAACCCCATCTCTACTAAAAATACAAAAATTAGCTGGGCATGGTGGCGCATGCCTGTAATCCCAGCTACTTGGGAGGCTGAGGCAGGAGAATTGCTTGAGGCAGGAGAATTGCTTGAGGCAGGGAGGTTGAGGTTGCAGTGAGCTGAGATCATGCCACTGCACTCCAGCCTGGCCGACAGAGTGAGGCTCTGTCTCAAAAAAAAAAAAAAAAAAAAAAAGGCAAGAAAGTTATAAAAGTCTAGGAGGCTTTTGTATAACTTTGGAGACAAGGGGTTGTGGATGTGCTTTGGAAGGAAATTTAAGTGGAGCTTCTGAGAAGCTTTCAGTGTTCTGTATCTTGACCTGGTTACCATACCTGGTGGTATTTATGGAGTTTGCTTTTTCATAATTTATTGCTGAACCTTAAAAAATTTTTGAAACAAAAACAAGCAATAGAGTGAAAAGCTTAAAAACCACTATAGGCTTTTAAGTTTTACTGTAATATTTAGTTTCTTAAAAACTGAAAAAGTGGCCAGCTGTGGTGGCTCATGCCAATAATCCCAGTTGGGGAGGTCAAGATGGAAGGATCACTTGAGCCTAGGAGTTGGAGACCAGTCTGGGCAACATAGTGAGACCCTGTCTCAAAAAAAAAAAAAGTGTGAAAAAGCTGGGTGTGGTGGCATGCACCTGTACTCCCAGCTACTCCAAAGGCTGAGGCAAGAGGATCACTTGAGCCCAGGAGTTCAAGGATGCAGTGAGCTATGATGGCACTGTTGCATTCTAGCCTGGGTGACAGAGCAAGACCCCGTCTCTAATATATGTGTATACACACACACACACAGATTTTTTTTTTAAGCAAAAGATCTAAAACAAATATGGCAAAATGGTAAGATTTGACACATTTGGACAATGGATACCTGAGTGTGTGCTATGTTATTTTGTACTGTTGGAAAAGAAATGAATTAGCTGGGCATGGTGGCGCATGCCTATCACGCCAGCTACTTGGGAGGCTGAGGCACGAGAATCACTTGAACCCAGGAGGTGGAGGTTGCAGTAAGCCAAGATTGCACCACTGCACTCCAGTCTGGGTGACAGAGCGAGACCCTGTCTCAAAAAAAAAAGACAGAGAAAAGAAAAGAAATGGAGTCTACCCAATTGCTTTTTCAAGATGACATGTCCACGGGCCAGTGTTGCCCAAAAGTGAAATGCCCAAAATTGAGCTGTTAGTATGTGTTTCAGCAATGCTGGCATAAGCAGATTTGTTTCCTTCAAGCCCCTGTTTACTATGCTAATGTTTCCTGTGAAGTCAGACAGGAAAGATCTACTGTATACAACATTTTCCAAACCTCTAGACCACAGGCATTTAAAAGAATTCCCTTAAGGTAATTATTAGCTTGAAAAATAATACCTCCCAACAGAATCAAAGAAACTGAAGACAGTGAATAAAAAATTGAACTAGTATCTGGGAGTCTGATCTCAACCAGGGACATTCCCTCCCACCCCCACTTCAGGACATTTGGCAGTGTCTGGAGGCCTTCTTGGTTATTGGTATGGCATCTTAGTGGGTATGGGGTGAGGATGCTGCTGAGCTTTCTATAGTGCACAGGAGAGCCCTCCACAAGAAATAATTATCCTACCCCAAATGTCAGTAGTGTTGAGGTTTAAAAACCCAGCCTAGATTGTTGAGATTGTAAGATTTAGGAGAATATGTGTTCTCATTGTTTAGAGCAGTTGTTAAGCCATTTTTCTCTTTCCATGTCATTCACATTGATTGCACACCTCCATTTAAAACCTCTTTTGTAACTTTGCAGTGATTAGGTGAATCCTAGAGTATAAAATTATTTTGTTTGTTAATTTTTTCTTGAAGTCTTAAAGGGTAGGCCTTTAAGAAAGATTCTTTTAGATTTATAGAGGAAATTGATATAATGGATTCAGCTTTCCCTCGTTGCTCTGTAGTACTGTATACACACACATACAGATACATATGTACATATCCATCCATATATGCAGCTGCCTGTGTCCACCAAGCTCTACTAAGGCATACCATACAAGGCTTGAGGGAATCATAAGACATGGTCAACTCCACCTCTGGAGTATTTTGCTGCTTCTGCTAGTTCAACTGGAAATGACTGAAGAGGCCTGTGAGACTCCCTTCATGAATAATAAAGCATTTAACTAGAATTCAGCATTTCTTTTTGGAGGAGGACATCTGAATTAAGTGGCAGGTGAGGAAGAGTGGACAAGAGAAATGTTGTCCTGTATCTAAATCTGTACTTAAGTACAATTTTAAATTGGATTATTGAAACTTTAAATTGCTGTGCTTTTGTCTTAATTATAATTGAAATGAGAATCCTCATCTCAGAACCCCTCTAGAATATAAACTCCAAGGAAAGGGACTTTTTCTGTTTTGTTCACTGCTGAATTCCCAGTGCTTAGAATGATTCTTGGCAGGTAATAGTTGTGAGTGAGTAGGTAAATGCCTGAATGAAAGAATAACCAACTTGAATGAGTTTCTTTTATGCCCTGAGACTGTAGTTTTGTTACTTTTTGTCTGTGCTGTGGGAGACATACATACCTCAGCTACAAAGAATGGCACTAAAGGCAGATTTTTAAGCATTCTGTATACTGTTATGCCAGATACAGAGCTTGTAGTATTGCCACTTTAAGTGTTTAAAAGCAAAGCATGAGGAGAATGACAGGACTGAGAATAGGAAGAGACACCGAGAGAAAAAGAGAGGCAGTTAAATCCCATAAAAAATAAAGCCCGGAATTGCAGACATGACAAGTCAGCCTTGGGCAACAGCGAGTGACCGGTCAACTGGAGGAGGAGGGATTTGTAACTGTCCTGATGGAAGATTTTATAATGTGTTGAAGAAAAAATGATCAGAGATGACTTATACTTTCATAACTGACCACTCCCTTTTGAATCTTGTGCATATCCTTTAACACTATACCTCTTCAGGTATATCTAACAGAGATCCATTTTGATAGATGTGTTCATAGTATGCAGAGTATTATGTACAGTTTTGGCAGGTTAAATTGCCTAAGGTCACGATATAACCACTGATAGAAAATAGTATGTCACCATGGACCTGAGAGTTATGTTGGTTTATTAAACAATTTTTTTTTAATTACCATATTGCTGTTTACTTCACTTTTTTTTTTTTTTTTTTTTTTTGAGACGTAGTCTTGCTCTTTCACCCAGGCTAGAGTGCAGTGGCACAATCTCGGCTCACTGCAAGCTTCGCCTCCCGGGTTCAAGCCATTCTCCTGCCTCAGCCTCCCGAATAGCTGGGACTACAGGCGCCCGCCACCACGCCCAGCTAATTTTTTGTATTTTTAGTAGAGACTGGGTTTCACCATGTTAGCCAAGATGGTCTCAATCTCCTGACCTCGTGATCCACCCGCCTCAGCTTCCCAAAGTGCTGGGATTACAGGCGTGAGCCACTGCACCCGGCCTATTTACTTCACATTTAAGAGCAAACTGTCCTTGGCCAGGAGTAGTGACACATGCCTATAATCCCAGCTACTCAGGAGACAGGTACTCAGGAGACAGATGGGAGGATCACTTGAGCCCCGAAGTTTGAGACTAGCCTTGGCAACATAGGGAGACACTGTCTCCAAAAAAAAAAAAAAAAAAAAAAAATTTTAAAGTAAACTATCCTCTAGAAACCAGAGTTTTAGAGTTAGCACAGAGGTGCCATTTGCTTACATTATCCTATTCATTACAAATACTTTACTTCAGACTAGCACATGATTTGGGGGCAAAACTACTGCTGGGCCATGGGTTGCCATTAACATCTTTATGTTCTGAGACAGCATTGAAAATCCTGAACATGCCAAGCCAAGGCCAGGACTTACCATTCCATTTTCATTTCTGTTTGATTACCATAATTACTACACTGCTGACAACCCTTGATGATTCTCTAGAATTTGATCCTTTTGGGGATAAGCATGTCCACCCTCAATACTAACAAATATGTCAGCAGTATAGGCCCTGTTGCTTGAAGAAAATTACTACCTGATGCTGACAACATTCATATCTAAGATTGCTGAGTGACCTGTATGTGGATGGGTCTCTTTACACTAATGCCACATTGTTAGTTTACTACTGTGTAAAAATAAAAAGCTAGGTGCTTTCTAGTGAATTCAGCTTATCAAGCAGCCTTCCTAAAACATTCTCACCGACTCCCTTGCTCCCTGAGAAAAAGAAACCCGTCCCGAACAACCCATTTAAACACACACATTTTAGTGCTGATCATGGACTGTTAAGTGAAAATTGCAGTTGTCTAAATAGATCCTTTTCCCACTGTCACATACCTTTCATTCTTGCTATTATCCATGATCATATTTGCATGCATCTGCCTTGTCCACTGTTGTGTCTCTGAAAAATCATAGTTTGAAGCCCTGACTCTTACTATAATTACATTAGGAGGTGGGTGGGGGGCAGTAACTAGGTTTAGTTGAGGTCATGAGGGTGGAGCCCACACAATGGGATTAGTGCCCTTGGAAGAGGAAACACCTGAGCTGTTTCTCTCCCTGTCATGTAAGGATACAGTGAGAAGTCAGCCATTTACGAGCCAGGAAGAGGGTCCTCACCAAGAACTTAATCTGCCAGTACATTGATTTTGGACTTCGCAGCTTTCAGTACTATGAGAAATAAACTTCCATTGTTTAAGCCACCCAGTCTATGGTATTTTGTTATAGCAGCCCAAGCAGATTAAGGTATCCACTCTTCATGTTCTGTTCCAACTAACCAATCTCAGTGGGTCTCTTGACCACCCAGTGTCCAGCAGACAACAAGTGCTCACTTACAGCCCTGTCAAATTTACCATCCCCTAAGGACAAAAAAAAAAAAAAAAGAAAATCACCATGAATCACTATTCTCAGAGGATATGTTCTCACTGGCCCCTTTCCATATTTCCACAGCCCTGTTAACCATCCCCAGAGGGTATTAAGATCATATTCCAAAACAAGTCTTCAAGGAGCTGTATAGCTAGGTATTCATTCATTCAGAGATACATTTTTGTAAATCTGTAGTCATTCTGCTAGTTATTCAGTTTTAATACTTCCATGTGAATATATCTGAAAAGTTTATGCATGATTACATGTTCTTTATGCCCCAATTCATGTGAAATTCCTCTTGACCATTATTTTGGGATAGCAGACTTTTGTTTCTCTTGCATTTTGTGATTTTCTCTTTATTGCTTAGTGAGCTAACTTTGCTTTATCCTTTCTTTGATAGCTATGTTATTACAATATACGTTACTCTTAATGTTTAATCATAGGCCTGTCAAATGAAGTGTTTAATATAGCCATACTAGTTGTTTATTGGGCCCTTACTGTGTGTCAGCCACTATTTGCTTTTCCTTAGATACCTCATTTGATCCTCCCAATAACACCTCCTAAGAGATAGGTATAATACCTCACCCCATTTTTGAAATAGAGGTTTGGGGAAACTGAGTGACTTGGCCAAAGTCACATGGCAGAGCTGGGATTGTGACTATGTCCAGAGCTCCCTTTTCACCAGCTATTTTATCATGTTCCTTAATCTACAGTCATTTTGGAATATCTCATTCTGCAGGTGTAGGGGCTGAGGTTCAGTGAGGTAACTTGCTCAAATTTACATAGTAGATTAAAGAGCTGGGATTCAGTTTCTGATTTTGTGACTCATATTCCAGCACTCTTTCGATTTCAGTTACAGCTTATTTATCTGTGGCTTATTAAAGTGCTTCCATGCTGAATGCTCAAGCTGCCCTCTCAGATGGACATAGAGGCTGTACCTCCCTTGTTTTAGATGACAAAACTGAAACTTGGATTAAAAGAATTGCCTTTGTTTATATAGCAAGTAAGCAAAACTTTTGATACTTAACCCAGCTCTTCTAAAATAGTCTTCCCTGCACTTCTCACCATATGGCAGTGGCTTAGATTTTCATATTGTTTGTTGTCCTCATTTCTCTCTTTTCTACACAGTAAATCTGTAATGTAGGAAACTTCTCTTTAGAGATGATAGATTGTGGGCCGGACTATTATTTTCTTGTCAGTCAGTTATACACTTAATGTCAATACAGATGATGGAGGTAAATATGCCAAGATGCTGGCTAGGATTTTGTGGCTGGTTTAACTTATGTTCCTATAAAGCAGCAAATTGGATATAACTGCTGATGTTTAGAACCTTTAGTTCTAAAATCTAATGTCATGTTGGTGCTCTTGTATGCCAACCTGCTTTTGAATATACTTCTTGGTTCTCTTTTGTATTTCTTAGTCCATTATTGTGTATTCTGGGTCTTATATAAGAGAAGGTAGAATCAACTTTTGGCTTTTGCTTTGGAAAACTCTTGCTTTCATGTAGCATTTCTTTTCTTGAAGGCTGACTTGTGTGACTTTAGAATAGGCCTGACTGTGAAATTATCTATAGTTGCTTGCATTTATGTAGCCTAAATTTGGAGTTAAGGATACAGTAGCCTTTTCTCTGGTTGTCTAAAAAATTATCTGAAAATGTTCCCCTCTTCCTAAGATAATGTCTCCTGCTGAAAGGAAATATGCAGTGTAACACATGGTTGATTATTACTGGATCTGTTAAATGATCTTTCATACATCGTAGGGAATACATTGGAGAGTGTGCCATCAGTTCTAGTACAAATATTCTAGCATCATCATCGTCAGTTCTCAGGAAGTTTCTCTAGCCATCCAGCCTTGATCAACAGCTGACCAAGTGCATTCTGGTTGATAACATTAATTATTTTGTGAGTATGGATGCAGTGTACCCAGTTTTCACAAAGATCTTCTGTTATACCTAGGGCAAAGACCATACATACATTTCAGAACTTTGGGAGCCACTTTGTCATCCCAGAAAAACTGTTGTATCATATTATGAAATAGCTGTTCAAAATGGTGCTCAGAGGGATGTCATCTGTAAATTAGAATATTTTAGTAGAATCCCTGCTGCAGTCTACTGTCTTTATATTCTAAATATGTTCATAAGAATGTCTCTGTGTTTGGTTACAAGTAACCTTGAGCTATTACAACTATTAGAAAACAATTATTATTGGATTTGGATGGAAACCTTGTAAGGATCTTGCTTCCAAACTTTTGGAGAACTAGTATATTCTCATGGCACATAAGCAATAAGCAGTAAACATACTATATTTATAGTCAAGGTAAGTGCTAACATTATGACATTCCCCAATGAAAAGATATCTCAAAAATCCCCCAGTATCCCAACTTCTGCATAAATACAATAAGGATCTCACCTACAACAGTTTTGCGATAACCAGCAAATTCTCCCTTGTCTTATGTCATTTTTGTGTGTTCTATTAAACCAAAATACTTATTACAACGGTACTTCTTAAAAAAAGAAGTAATAACTCTACACAGTTTTTTTTTTTTTTAAATAAGGTCTAGATAAGTTCAGAGTTATAGTTGCAATGATATGACAAGGGTTTCCATGTTAGCTAGTAGCATGGCTAAAAAAGAGTACATTTATATGAGAGGAATGTGTGTCTTTTCTAAATAAAATTTAAGACATATTACTGTTGAATCATGAAATGCCTGAAGCTATATTGTTTGCCTCTTATAGAATGCTTACCTGTGGTTCAGTCAGCATTATTTCATACAATAAAGCAAACAGATATTTTTAATGTCTTTAAGTAATCTTGTTGATTTTTTTTATTTTCCTGTCTGGATGTAGCTGAAAGTACCCATGGCAGACAAGCCTGGTAACACAGTGAATTTCCGGAAGCTGCTACTGAACCGTTGCCAGAAGGAGTTTGAAAAAGATAAAGCAGATGATGATGTCTTTGAGAAGAAGCAGAAAGAACTTGAGGCTGCCAGTGCTGTAAGTATTTTCATAGAAAGACAGTGCTTGTACACTTTGAGCACTGTAAAGTAGAAATTTCAGGAAGCTAGATACAGCATCTCCCTGCTACCTTAAGAGGGACCTATGGCCTTTTTTTTTCCATGTAGAAACAACATATTAATGTTTAGGGGAATGCTTTGTTCCTTTTAGTGCCTAATATAGGGGACAGCTAAATTTTCCATGCCAGCCATTCAATCTAAGCCTGAGTCAGGTCACTGAGTTCCAAAAATCTGAAATGGATGGGTATAGTTCAGTTTTCTGAGCAGTAGATTCTACACTTGCTATCAGATTCTCACGGGGATTCTGACCCCATGAATCTCAGTGTTTATTGTGCAGTACAACTTTCATCATCAAGATGCTATTATTCCTCCTTACACAACAGCCAGAGGAGAGGACAAGGCTTCATGATGAACTGGAAGAAGCCAAGGACAAAGCCCGGCGGAGATCCATTGGCAACATCAAGTTTATTGGAGAACTCTTTAAACTCAAAATGCTGACTGAAGCCATCATGCATGACTGTGTGGTGAAGCTGCTAAAGAACCATGATGAAGAATCCCTGGAGTGCCTGTGTCGCCTGCTCACCACCATTGGCAAAGACTTGGACTTTGAAAAAGCAAAGGTAAAAATCCAAAAGCTCAGAAACCTTCGCAAAGGCTCCTTGTCAGTTGCAAAAGAACTTAGACTGTCAACAGAATAGTTCTATCTTTTCCCAAAGGTCTGGGCTGTTTATTTTTCTTCTTTTGCCCGTCTCATTGTCAGTGTTCAACCATCGTGCTCCTTACATTTCCATCAGAGTCAGAGATGAGGAGGGTCCCAAATTGTGTAAAAGCCAGTTTGTAGATTCTTCAGATTATTTGTCCCATATTCTTTTTTCTTCTTCTGTAACCATTTCCCAATTTGGGAACAGAAATATGCAAAGAAAAACTATGGCCTAAGGGTAGTGCAGAAATGAAGACCCAGTAGTGCTTCTAGAGTTTATACTCTAATTGATGACACAGCCATCTAACCATAATATAAGAAATCATTAAAAATACTGTAATAATGTATGCTATTTAAGGGGTATAGAAATTAGAAATGCTTCAAAGAAATAATGTCAGAAACGCTCCATAACATCTGATTCAGCTAGGATTATGCTTAGCTGTGACAGAAAACCCAGTGGTTTATACAAGATTGAGGTTTACTTCTTATTTATGTAAACAAAGCTCTGAGGTAAGTCCTTTCAGCTTAACATTCTGTGACTCCTAAAGTTTAACCCTTGTCCTAATTATTCTCACCAGAGAAGGTAGGAAAAGGGGCAAAAGACACAGCCACCTCTCTCTCTCTCTCTTTTTTTTTTTTAAGTAACAGGGTCAGCCGGGCACGGTGGCTCATGCTTGTAATCCCAGCACTTTGGGAGGCTGAGGCGGGCAGATCACCTGAGGTCAGGAGTTCGTGACCAGCCTGACCAACATGGAGAAATCCCGTCTCTACTAAAAATACAGAATTAGCCAGGCATGGTGGCGCATGCCTGTAATCCCAGCTACTTGGGAGGCTGAGGCAGGAGAATTGCTTGAACCCGGGAGGCAGAGGTTGCAGTGAGCCAAGATTGCGCCATCGCACTCCAGGCTGGGCAACAAGAGTGAAACTCCATCTGAAAAAAAAAAAAAAAGGAAAAAAAAAAAAAAGGTAACAGGGTCTTGCCCTGTCACCCAATTTTTTTTTTTTTTTTTTTTTTTTACTTTTTGTAGAGATGATGGGTCTCACTTAGTTGCCTAGGCTGGTCTTAAACTCCTGGCTTCAAGCAGTCCTTTTGCCTTGGCCTCCCTAATTGCTAGGATTACAGGTATCAGTCACTATGCCTGGCCCCTCTGGTCTCTTTAGGAAGGCCCTAGGAAGCTATAGCATAACATTTCCATTTATATTATTGCCTATCATTAATCACGTGACCAAAGCCAGCTGCCAGGAGCCTAGAAAAATGTAGTCTTTATTTTAGGTGGTCATATGAACAACTAAAAATTCTACCATATGGCCGGGCACAGTGGCTCACACCTATAATCCTAATACTTTGGGAGGCTGAGGCAGAAGGATTGTTTGAGCTCAGCAGTTTGAGACCAGCCTGGGTAACATAGTGAGATTTCCTATGTCCAAAAAATCATACACACAGAAAAATTTAGCTGGGTGTAGTGGCATATGCCTGTCTGTGGTCCCAGCTACTTGGGAAGCTGAGGCAGGAGGATCACTTAAGCCCAGGAGATTGAGGCTGCAATGAGGCATAATTGAGCCATTGCACTCCCAACTGGGTGACAGAACAAGACCCTGTCTCAAAAAAATACAAATAAAAATTCTACCACATTATATTTTGGCTATAAATTGATATTCCTAGACCATTTAGAAAACTACATGGGCTGGACGCAGTGGCTAATGCCTGAAATTCCAGCACGTTGAGAGGCCAAGGCTGGAGGATTGCTTGAGCCCAGGAGTTCAAGACCAGCCTGAGCAACATAATGAGACCCTGTCTCTACAAAAAATTAAAAGATTAGCCAGGCACGGTGGCACGTGCCTGTAGTCCCAGCTACTCGAGAGGCTGAGGTGGGATCGGTTGAGCCTGAGAGGTTGAAGCTGCAGTGAGCCGTGATTGTGCTACTGCACTCCAGCCTGGGCAACGGAGTGAAACCCCATCTCTAAAAAAATAAATAGATAACTACATAAATAAATAACTGTAAATTGGTAAAATTACGTTTAAGTTTCTCAGACAGGAGTACTAATGATTTTGTCTCTTGCAGCCACGTATGGACCAGTACTTTAATCAGATGGAGAAAATTGTGAAAGAAAGAAAAACCTCATCTAGGATTCGGTTCATGCTTCAAGATGTTATAGACCTAAGGCTGGTGAGTGGGAAAAAAAATAATAATAAGCCTGCTGGTCCAGTCTCTTTAAAGGAATTGGGTTGGGGAAGGATGTCCTGTTGTTTACATGTGTAAAGATAGTGCTTTTGCTTCAGGACTCAGAATTTGGATTGGCAAACTTTCCGTGGGAGAGTTCTGAGAAGGGACAAAAGGCCTATTGCCAGTTACGTGCTTCTTCTCCTTATTCTGATTATCAAACCATATTGCAATTTTGTTTGCGCTTTGTTTTTTTTTTTGAGATAGAGTCTCACTCTGTCGCCCAGGCTGGAGTGCAGTGGCTCAATCTCGGCTCACTGCAGCCTCCGCCTCCCAGGTTCAGATGATTCTTCTGCCTCAGCCTCTGGAATAGCTGGGATTACAGGCACATGCCCCCACACCTGGGCAATTTTTGTATTTTTAGTAGAGACAGGATTTCACGCTGTTGGCCAGGCTGGTCTGGAACTCCTGACCTCAAATGATCTGCCCACCTCAGCCTCCCAAAGTGCTGGGATTACAGGCGTGAGCCACCACGCCCAGCCACTTGCAATTTGTAATCAGCCATTCTGAATTCAAACTCCATTCAAATGTAAATTCAATTAAATTTAGTCTTTGTGAGCTAAATAATCAGCAAGTCTCATCTCCACAGTAAATACCTTTAACTCTCTGAGCCTTACATTTTTAATCTCTAAAATGAGGATGTTGCCTACCTTGCAGATTTGTTGAAGAGTCAATGGAATAATTACGTAAGGTGCCCAGCTCAGATATTGGTGTTTTCTTCTCTTTCGTTTTTCCTGTGACCCTCCTATTCTGCTGCTGGGTTTTTTTTGTTTTTTTGTTTTTTTGTTTTTCTCATTTCTCTTACCGGGTGCAGTTTTTGTTACTACTACTTTTCTCTGTTTTAAGTTTAACTCCTACAGGGAGTTACTCTTTTGTAAGTTTCACTCCTACAGGGAATATACTACATCAAGCCCTACACTAGAGAAAGTGAACAAAGCCCTACCTCTTATTTCTCCTCCACCCAGGCCAGATAGCATTGATGATGATTCTTTATCTTGCTAAGACTAGATGTGGTTGTCTTCACCCATGTTATCAACCACTTATATCAGATGTTGGGACTGTTGCTAGAAAGAGAAGGGAGAAGTATAAAGTGACAACTTATTTTGTCCTTAATACAGGGGATAACCAAAGGGCAGAGTGGTATGGACCTTTGTGTAGAATATCAGAACCATGATATTGGAGAAATAAAAGCATGAGTCATCCTTGACTTAGAACCCCTATGGAATGTGATATGATCTGAGTAGTAATCCCACAGATTAAGGCAAGGCCAAGGAATCCTCATCATTTTTATTTTTCTCTCCTCCTTTCAAATGTACAAAATACTGATACAGATAAAATCCATTTAGTCCACAGAGAAATATATGCCATGCTTAAAAATATAATAATAAATTTGGGCCAGTCTTTCACCCTGTTCTTTGTATCCATTGGCTATTGGAATATGTAGTATACAATTGGCCAGTTTTGACTGAGAAGATTTTAATCCTTCAGCTCTAATCCTAAACTGCTCATAGTGTCATCTATAAGATACATGAGAAACTGCCATAATACAGCTTTTGTAGGTATTTTGTACTTTTCCAGTAGTAAAAATTGCTAATTTTTAAATTTTAAAAAATGTTCAGTTTATCTGGCAGATAACCTTATTTTCTGCTTTTATAGTGCAATTGGGTATCTCGAAGAGCAGATCAAGGGCCTAAAACTATCGAACAGATTCACAAAGAGGCTAAAATAGAAGAACAAGAAGAGCAAAGGAAGGTCCAGCAACTCATGACCAAAGAGAAGAGAAGACCAGGTGAGGCCGGAATCCACCAGGGTTTAGAGAACTTGGAAGTTTCAGGAATACATATTAAGAATTATGTATTTAGGTATAAAATGAGATCAGAAAGAACAGCCCAAAGAATAGAGTGGTGATTGTTAGGTGAAGCAGTTTCACCTGAAGAGTAAAGTTACTGAGTAAAAGTAGAGAATGCAGGAACAAAGCATGATTTCTTTCACTACTTAAAAGCCAGTAAGCAATAAGACTTTATTGAGCATCTTCTATATACTCAGAATTGGTGAGACGAGAAAAGGAAGTGGAAAATGTAGTTACTTCCCTCTCAAAGTGTACAGTTTATCTGGTAAGGTAAAACTTTTGACAAGCAAAAGAGGAACATTTGTTAAGCAAATGGAAGATAGTATATCAATTATGAAATGTGTTCTCCATTAACTGTTAAAATTTAGAGAAAAAGAAGAGAGACAGAAAGCTGAAAGAAAACTTTATTTAAGAAAGGGGCACTTTGTAGCAGGCCGGACGCAGTGGCTCATGCCTGTAATCCCAGCACTTCGGGAGGCTGAGGTGGGTGGATCAATTGAGGTCAGGAGTTTGAGACCAGCCTGACCAACATGATGAAACCCCGTCTCTACTAAAAAATTTGCTGGACATAGTGATGTGTGCCTGTAGTCCCAGCTATTCAGGAGGTTGAGGCAGAAGAATCACTTGAACCTGGGAGGTGGAGGTTGCGGTGAGCCGCGATCGCGCCACTGCACTCCAGCCTGGGGAACAGAGTGAGACTACATCTCAAAACAAAACAAAACAAAAATAGAGACATGCAAAAAAAGTGAAAGATGAAGTAGAAGGCATTTTAAACCTGAGACGATAGTCCATTTACTAAGTTTAGGAACGTTGGAAAAGAAAACCTTTTTCAGAGGGAAATGATAATTTTCTGGCTGATAGTAAATACTCAGTAACCATTAGTTATTGTCACAGACACAGTAGAGCTCATAGTGAAGTTGTTAGGAGAGATGAATTCTGCATGGAAGAAAGTTTACTTTTAAGTTTCTTGAGATACCACACTTACCTTCCTCGCTCTAGTACCTAGTGCAGTGCCTTTTGGGTAATAACTTTTATTTATTATTGAACCAGATTGAGAGGGAAAAGGAGAAGATACCAAAGCCTAATTCATGGAGGATATTCACATATGACTAAAGGAAGAAAAGAACTCTTGGAAAAGTGCCAGACAAGTGGAGAGAAAGGACTAAGATACAAGTGTCATAGAGACAAGGAAGAAGCAAGTCTGTTTATGATCAGTAATATCAGATAGCACGGAGAAAATCAAGACGTTATGTTAGGACCAGAAAAGCTTTTGGATAGACAGTTCGGTGATCTTTCAATTTATTAATTCATTCAGCAAGTATTTTTTTTTGAGATGAGTCTCGCTCTGTCGCCCAGGCTGGAGTGCAGTAGCGCGATCTCGGCTCACTGCAACCTCCGCCTCCCGGATTCAAGCAGTTCTCTGCCTCAGCCTCCCGAGTGGCTGGGATTACAGGCGCCCACCACCACGCCTGGCTAATTTTTTTGTATTTTTAGTAGAGACAGGGTTTCACCATCTTGGCCAGGCTGGTGTTGAACTCCTGACCTTGTGATCCACCTGCCTCGGCCTCCCAAAGTGCTGGGATTACAGGCGTGAGCCACCGCACACGGCCCTCATTCAGCAAGTATTTATTGTCTGTCACTTAACAAGGCACTCAAAGTCCCTTCCATCATGCGGCTTACATCTTATGGTAGAGGGGAGAGAGGAGACAATAAATAATAAATACTTAAATAAAATATATCATTTGTCAAATAAATTTGTAGAAAAACAAAGAAGGGAGAAGGGACTAGGGAGTGCAAATCTTGGTGAGTAGGGTGCAGTTTTAAACAGGAAAACTGGGGAAACTATAAAAGTTGGTATTGTTTGAGCAAAGACCTGAAGCAAGTGAGGGTGTTAAATCATGTGGAAATCTGGGGAAAGAGACTTTTAGGCAAAGGGAGTAGTAAGTACAAAGACCCTGAAGCAGCATTTTCAAGGAATAGCAAGGGGGCCAGTGCAGCTGAACCTAAGAAGGGCCTGACGGGGAGAGTGGTAGAAGATGGGGACTTAGAGGCAGCAGGAGCCAGATTATTTAGAGGCCATTTGTAAGGAATCTTCTCTTTTTCTCTGAATGAGACAGAAAGGTATCAGAAGTGTTTTGAACAAAAAAGTGACGAATTTTGTACTTTACTAGGATCACACTGGCTGCCATGATGAGCACAGCTGAAGGTAGAAGCAGGAAGGCCAAAACACGTCTCTGCAGTAATCTAGGAAAGGGGTGTTGGTGGCTTAAACAAAACTGCTAATGTTGGTAGTAGATTCTGAATGTATTGTATAGGTTTAACTGGCAAGGTTTACTGACAAAAATTGGATGTGAAGTGTGAAAGAGGAGTCAAGGTTTTCCACCTGTGCAGCTGAAATGTTGGAGAAGCAGATTTGGGAAATAAAGCATACTTCTGTCATTTGATCCCATTAAATACAATATACTTTAGAATAAATAATTTCCATCTGACTTCTCCGAAAGTGTTCTAGTCATTAATTCTGTGAATACTGGATTTAGCCCTGCCTTCTCCAGCACCAGGTATTCATTTGTGTCAGTTGTTTGTTTCTAGGTCAGTAATGTTTCATGGGTGATCCAAAATAAGCAGTGCTTCTGCTGATACAGGGTGCTTCTGCTGATACAGGGTGCTTCTGCTTATATTTTCCTGCCATGGGATTAAAGATATTGTCATCAATGCTTTAACATCTTCTGTTGTCTTTCTCCTTGGTTTTGATGAAAATATTGCTCACTCTTTCAATGTAAAACTGACTTGAGACAGATGAGAGACTCCCACTCTGTTCTCCCTGCAGGTGTCCAGAGAGTGGACGAAGGTGGGTGGAACACTGTACAAGGGGCCAAGAACAGTCGGGTACTGGACCCCTCAAAATTCCTAAAAATCACTAAGGTGAGTCTGACATTTAAAGTACAATTTACGCTCTCCTTTGATGCCTTTGATATTAAAACACACACACACACACACAATTTACAATAGTTGCAAAACGTGTCTCAAAAGTACTTATTAAAGTAAAACAGCAATATTGCAAATCCATGGGGTGGTTATTTTTTAATGCATTTTTCTTCAAGTTACTATTGATCAATGTATTCTACAAACTCATTTCTACATTTTCTTTTTTTTTTTTTTTTTGAGATGGAGTCTCACTCTGTCGCCCAGGCTGGAGTGCAGTGGCACGATCTTGGCTCACTGCAGGCTCCACCTCCCGAGTTCACAACATTCTCATGCCTCAGCCTCCCAAGTAGCTGGGACTACAGGTGCCCGTCACCACACCCGGCTAATTTTTTGTATTTTTTAGTAGAGACGGGGTTTCACCGTGTTAGCCAGGATGGTCTCGATCTCCTGACCTTGTGATCCACCCACCTCGGCCTCCCAAAGTGCTGGGATTACAGGCGTGAGCCACCGCGCCCGGCCTCATTTCTACTTCTATAAGGATTTACTAAAGAGGAAAAGACTAGGTTACTTCTTAGACATAAGATGCTTAATATACAAGAGGTAATAACAAAGATATTTTAGAAGCCTAAGTCAATTGCAGGCTTTTACACAATGTATCCGTAGCTCTGGGGAAAAAAGCAATCACCTGTTTAAACCTAACCATGAAAGATTTGCCTTATCCAAGGCGTAAAGGAAACCACAGAGGGCCTACTAGAAATCATTCTGTAATAAGGATTTAAGAGACTCTGTCTGCTTTCCTCTCTTTTTGAGAGTCTGTGGGCAGTAAGAGGAAAAAACTTTCTGTAGCAGGTATTTTCAGCAGTAAAAGTTGATCATTGTAAGGAGGATGAAGAACTTTGGAGAATGTAGAGAAAGCAGAATTAAATATGATAAGAGTGGAAACTTCTAAAGTCCAGTGGGTTTTCCAAATCATTTGCAAGTCTAGTTTGATCCTTATACTTCCCATAGTTCTGAAAATCGGCACCCTGCTAGCAAAATACTGAAGACAATCAAAACTAATGTGAAAATACTACATGAAAGAAGATAACTGACAAGAAGTATTAAGAAAAGTCTTTAAGAAAATTGGAATAAAATGGGCTATGTCATTTGCATCTTCACAGTTTTGTCAAAGCTTTGCTTCATGATAGAAAATTCTCCTTCTGAATCTCTCTTAATAATGTAATTAGCTAGGATCCTTTTCTCCAAGATTCTGGTACTTTCTTCTAGTTGTTTATATCTCAGAGTAGGAATTCCATTGCTGAATACAATTTGAGTCTTACCCATCTCCATTTCCATCTAGAGACAGTTTTAACTAAAAGTTTATGTTTAAAGAAGTCCTCCAGCATTTTGAAAAATGTGTCGGTATTTAATAACAACATTTGTATTTTTAAATATTATGCTTTCCGTGCTTGGATACTATAAAAACAGTGCTGGTATCAAACCTCCAACATTACTACCTTAATATTTTTAAGTATGTAAATTGCTAATAAACTTTGTGTATTCAGATAGTTATACTGGAGGTACTATACATGGGTATCCTAGAACAAAACCGTTATACATATTTATTGTTAATTGGGAGTGGTTTGTGTGAAAGCATATTACATAGCATAGCAACATATATATTATGAGCTGTCAGACCATAGAAATACCTTTTTTACAAAGCGCTACATTACAGCTTTTATGTTATATGTATTTTATAATAATATGCATTACAGCGTAATTTTATTTCACTTGTAGTAAAGTTGTGCTTGGAAGATTAAACATGAGATATCAGGCACCTTAACTTCCTGTGCTCCCTGCCTAACATTCCAATCTCTTTCTTCTTATTCTTTATTGAATACTCACATCCCACTGCCTGTCTCTAGCCAACATGAAATTTTTATGTCTGTTGATCTGTTTTCTGACAGTCATGTAAAGACACTAATGAATTAATTTTGTAGTATTTGTATTTTTTATTTTTAAAATTAATGGGTATTGTACAAGAAGAATGATTAGAAACTGCTTATTACAGTTAGCAAATTCATAAACCATCTTAAACAGGAGGACCTGGATGCATTCTCTAGACCAAACAGTTTTTTGTGGAAACTGGAGTCCAGGGAAGTGCTTCAGGGGCCACATGGATCCCAGTTTAATGAGAACAGCTCCAATTTCTGTTTCTATTAAATTGGCATTCCAAACAAATTTTTGTTGCTAAAATTGGTTCTACTTCACTGAAGAAGAAAAAAATAAAAGAAAAACTATTCTTCTAGAATATTTCCTATAATTGACTTGTGGTCCCTTATGTTACAGCCTACAATTGATGAAAAAATTCAGCTGGTACCTAAAGCACAGCTAGGCAGCTGGGGAAAAGGCAGCAGTGGTGGAGCAAAGGCAAGTGAGACTGGTAAGTGTGTGTGTCCCTTCTCAAACCTGGCTGTGGCTTGTTAGCATTTGCCTTACAGCGCATTCCCATAGTCATCGAATGATGGTTTTTGGGAAAGATGTGTAGACTAATCATGCCTAAAATTTTATTGGTAGCCCTTTCCTTTCAACATAGATCCTTTCTCAGGATCCTTAAATAATTTTAAGTATTTTTTTAATTTCAATTCATTCATTTAGACTATTTAATTAAGACCTTTATTTATTTATTTATTTATTTATTTATTTATATATTTTTGAGATGGGATCCCGCTCTGTCACCCAGGCTGGAGTGTAGTGGCATGATCACAACTCACCACAGCCTCAACCACCTAGGTTCAAGCAATCTTCCTGCCTCAGTCTCCTGAGTAGCTGGGACTACAGGTGCACGCCATCACACCTGGCTGATTTTTTTTTTTTTTTTTAATTTTTTGTAGAGATGGAGTCTCACTGTGTTGCCTAGGCTAGTCTTGCACTCGTGGGCTGCAGTGATCCTCCCACCTTGGCCTCCTGCGTGCTGGGATTACAGTTATGAGCCACACTCAGCCACTAAGACCTTAATTTTTTAGGTTCCCTTTTTGTTGTTGTTCACAAATTTAATATAGCTAGAGAAATTACTGGGACCCTAAATTAAAAGGGAAACT
The DNA here is from genome assembly GCF_000001405.40 of Homo sapiens. NCBI lineage: Eukaryota > Metazoa > Chordata > Mammalia > Primates > Hominidae > Homo > Homo sapiens. The sequence goes on along the minus strand of NC_000001.11, from coordinate 20,854,319 downwards.
CATTATGCTGATAAAAGAATCTTAATATGCAGAGCATTTACTATAATTTTAGGGAGCTGTAAAAGAATAAAGAAACATTGTTCAAAATCTTTTTCGAAAATCAGATTTTGAGAGATTTGACCTCAGGACCAAAGATGTTTGGATCTCACAAACACATCTTACTAGCTTGAGGAAGCCCAATGGAAAGAAAAAAAATTTAATGTTAACCTACTTCCTATATGTCCCTTCTACTAAGTAATTTCAACCTTTTTTTCTTTAAATTTTAAAAAATGTCATTATTCAGTAAAACCCACATGCATATTTGTGCACAAATGAGATTGGAGCATTTGTGCTGGTTAGCTTTGTTAAAGTTTTGTTCTGTTTTCGCTTGCCTTCCTCCTCCTATATGCCACTCCCACCCCTGTTTACTATGTTTTTAAAGGAACCAATGGTTGAAATAAATAAAGACTTCTAAACTCTATTATGTGCAAATTCCCTCTAACACTTTGCTTCTCAGAATATGGTAGAGGGACCAGGAGATGGGCGTCACCTAAGCTTGTTAGGAATGCCTGGTCTCAGGCCTCACCTAGGGATGCAGATGACTGATTATTTGCATTTTAGTCATGTGATTTGTATTTTTTTCTAAATCCTCGACATGTGTAGATGCCTTACGGTCAAGTGCTTCCAGTTTAAACAGATTCTCTGCCCTGCAACCTCCAGCACCCTCAGGGTCCACGCCATCCACGCCTGTAGAGTTTGATTCCCGAAGGACCTTAACTAGGTGAGAACCCTGCTTTTTATGTCTACTCAAGGCTGGCCCGCTTGCCAGTATGTGTGGCAAGATAAGAACAAGGGTTTTGATAGCAATCCTTATGGATGCATTCCTTTTATTCCTAAAGTTGATTTCTTTAATCTTCACACACTATAATTTCTAAGATAGGAACATAATTGGGTGGTGAATTTGGGATGGGATGGGAGGGAAGGGATTCTTAAGAAAGCTAGGCCCACCCAAACAGCCCTGGAGGCATGTCTAGGGGCTCCGCAAGCTAATCCTCCAGATGTTCTAGAAGCACCTAGCATTCTCAACCATGGGAATTAAAGAACATGACAATCCACCCATACATTTCTCTGTCACACTCTTCATGTTATATTTGAGGTTGTCCTTCAGTTTTTGCTAGTCTCCATATTTCACTATCTTTCTGCTTTTGCTTTTCTAGGATTGATACAGTCAAGTATCCTGTTGGCTGGTTTACATAAAATGAATGGGCACCCTGTAGTGCAGTCACAAAAAATAACATTTTTTACATAAGCACTTTCAGAATTGAAGTTTCTTTAAGCTCTAAAACTTTTTTTTTTTAATTATTATTTTTTAGAGATGGCATCTTGCTATGTTGCCCAGGCTGGCATTGAACTCCTGGTCTCAAGCGATGCTCCCATCAGGCTTTTTATTATTATTATTGTAATAAGTTTGATTAGGTAGACTTTGTAAACTGTGTTCTTATTCCCTTGACTTCTATTGAAACAAAGTATAGTTAGCACAAGGCAGCTTTTCATGATGATTCAGGTTGTCATTGAGTATCACTTGTGGCGCTTTGCCCTGTCATAAATGTCCCCTAATGGTTCTGCTTCCTAAGCACTTGTGTATGTTCTTTCACAATAGTTAGACCATTTTCCTGCCCGAGTCTCTCCTTTTCCCTTTTAATTTGCTGCTTCTGGTCTGCCACGGGCCAACGAACTGTTTGCTCAGCTGGTTAGAATTGTCTAAAAGAAGACGAATCAGGAAATATGGAGAGTCTCTCTTAAAAGGAATAAAATATATAGCGTTGGCTAATCCAAGACAGCTTCTTCTTGATTCTCAAATATTTTCCATATGTTTAAAGATTCTAAATAAAAAGGTATCATTGCATAATTTCTGAGATAGTGATACCATGTTCTTATAATATTTGTTTCCCTTTCATTTATGTAACTCATACTTTATCATTGTCTTCTTTATTCCTGAAAGATTTTTTAAAACTAAAAAAAGAAATTGCCAAAATTAAGGCCGGGCACAGTGGCTCACGCCTGTAATCCCAGCAGTTTGGGAGGCCGAGGTGGGCAGATCACCTGAGATCGGGAGTTCGAGACCAGCCTGACCAACATGGAGAAACCCTGTCTGTAATCCCAGCTACTCAGGAGGTTGAGGCAAGAGAATCACTTGAACCCGTAGGCGGAGGTTGCAGTGAGCCGAGATTACGCCATTGCACTCCAGCCTGGGCAACAAGAGTAAAACTCCATCTCAAAAAAGAAAAGAGAAAGAAATTACCAAAATTATCACTGGCTTTTTTTGAGACAGAGTCTCACTGTCACCCAGGCTAGAGTGCAGTGGCGCAATCTTGGCTCACTGCTACTTCCTCCTCGCAGTTTCAGGCCAGTCTCATGCCTCAGCCTCCCAAGTAGCTGGGATTACAGGCACCCGCCACCAAACCCGGCTAATTTTTGTATTTTTAGTAGAAACACAGTTTCACCATGTTGGCCAGGCTGGTCTTGAACTCCTGACCTCAAGTAATCTGCCCTGCTCGGCCTCCCAAAGCGCTGGGATTACAGGTGTGAGCCACCATGCCTGGCCACCACTGACATGTTAAAGTGTTAAATAGTATCCCTTCAGAGAAAAAAGTTAAAACATCTTAATAAATATTCCCTTTAAAGCACTCTTTTACTTGTTTGTTGAATAAACTTTGAAATATAATTGGTGCCTCACACATCTAATGTTATCTGTGAAAAATTCTGTATACTTTCAGAAAGTCTTAGTGTTATTTTATAATTTGAATATGTGGGGGACATGGGCTTGTCTTTCCTTTGAAAAGTGTTGTTTTGTCTTTTAAGTCGTGGAAGTATGGGCAGGGAGAAGAATGACAAGCCCCTTCCATCTGCAACAGCTCGGCCAAATACTTTCATGAGGGGTGGCAGCAGTAAAGACCTGCTAGACAATCAGTCTCAAGAAGAGCAGCGGAGAGAGATGCTGGAGACCGTGAAGCAGCTCACAGGAGGTGTGGATGTGGAGAGGAACAGCACTGAGGCTGAGCGAAATAAAACAAGGGAGTCAGGTGAGAGACTTGGCTTAAACAGATGCAGATTTGGGTTTTAAATTTGGAAGGAAAAATAAAAAAGAGACTGTGCCTGAGTAGATTTTAGAATTAACACATAATAGCAACACATACCAGCATCTGAAGAGTTAAAGGGTACTTCATAGTTTTATAACAGTTCTCATTCCCTAGGTATGCCTTAGCTGAACAGTTTGTAAATTTTCTCCTTTCTCTATTAAATGTTATGGTGAGGAGGTCCTCCTGCTGTATTTTAAGCAATCTGAATTTCTTACAAGTCCCTGTAACATCCCACACTTGACGTTGCTGTTAGATTGTGTATGCTGTGTAGAGCTCCTCAAATGTGTGAAAATTCTCATTGAGCCACTGCAAGACAAACCAAAGAGAAGGTATTAGGTTATCTTTAGCTGACTTCATCTTCCGTGGTAACCTGTTGTTTTTGTATGCATTTAGCATGTATATACTTAGAGGACTTGCTCGGATAATGCTCTAAAAATTGCTTCATGTATTTAACCTGTGTTTCAGTTTCCTTATCTGTTAAATGGGGATAAGTTGTACCTACCTTTTCAGGATATTATGAAAATTAAATAAGAAGTTAATACACGTAAACACTTAGAACATTACGTGATAAATACAAGGTTTTCAAAAAGTATTAAATGTTGTGATGACGAATATAGCAATGGAAAACAGTTTAAATTGAAGATTATTTTCAGCCTCTTTTAAATATTAGTCATGAAGTAATAGCAGTTTTAGTTTTTTAGTATTTATATAGCTTTCTAATTTGTTTCACTATATAAATTGTATCTCTTAACTGTAGTCCCTAAATGGATCTCAGAGACAAATTGAAGTGTCTTCTCCCAATTGGTGTAACTTTAGATAATACAGCTTTAGGGACATATGGCTTTTTTAAAATCTGTGCTAGATACTTTTGAAATATAACAGGATAGGACATAAAATATCTTGGGTGTAATGAATAATGTAGCACAGCTGCCCTATGTGTTTTTATTGTCTGGTTCATTTGTACACTTACCAGATGCACAGTGAATGTGAGGCCCTTGATCCCTGTTCTCGGCCTTCAGTCTGCTGAGTCAGAAAGACCTTTTTTAGTAATTCCACGAAAGACACAAACTGAGAAAGGTGCTATGAAGGAAGGAATTTAGTTCTAAGAGAATACTTAGAACTATCTGGTACCAAGGAGCTATGTAGAATAGGGGCAAGGGGAGGTTTCCTTCATCCGAAGGACCAGTAGGAATGAAACAGGTTCGTAGGCAAGGATGGGTGTGAAACAGAGGGAAAGAGCACTCCAGACAGGATTACTGTGAGCAGAGCTGTAGTAGGAATAGCCACGGTTTGTTCAAGCAGCTGCCCAAGATCAGTGTGGCTCAAGCTTAGTGGCGAGCAGGGCCCTGACCTGTGCAGGATTGTGAAGACCTCATGTACTCTTCATCTTTGAAGCAATGGGGAGCAATCATAATACAGAAAGGAACAAAAAAGCTTTAATTAGGAAAGTTTATCATGTTCCTAAATCTTGTTCATTGTTATTGTAGATTATAAAGTTACTTAGTGCGAATCTATTCTAAAACAAAAGGTTTCTGTATTCTGTTTTTATCTATTAAATGTCTTGTAGCTATTAAAATAATGTAATAGCACATAATATTGTCAACCATAATCTCACTATTTTAATAGTAATTTTTATTATTTTTACTTTTTTTGGGGGGCCTCACTAATAGCAAAACCAGAAATTTCAGCAATGTCAGCTCATGACAAGGCTGCATTATCAGAAGAGGAACTGGAGAGGAAGTCGAAATCTATCATTGATGAATTTCTACACATTAATGATTTTAAGGTAAATGAGATTAAAAAAAAAACACACACACAGTAAGTCCTTTGATAGTATAGAATAACTTGGTTCTGGTCTAAATCAGGTGTCATTGTGAACTGATAAGACTTAGGTTGAGTAATACAAGTCCTACACAATTCAGTTTGCTTAACGCTGATGCATTTCTGCCAAGTACTCTCTTTTAATTTGATACTATAATTTACAACATAGAGTGGTGGGCAGAGAGTATGAGTACCAATCCATCCCCACTAAGGGAAAACCAAATTGATTTCTATATTAAGGAACAAAAACAACACATTATCATTATGAAGCATTTCTGGCACCCTGTATATAGCTGTCATGGTCTTTTTTTTTTTTTTTTTTTTTTTTTTTTTGAGACAGAGTCTTGCTGTGTTGCCCAGGCTGGAGTGCAGTGGCACGATCTCGGCTCACTGCAACCTCCGCCTCCCAAGTTCAAGCAATTCTCCTACCTCATCCTCCTAAGTAGCTGGGACTACAGGTGCCCGTCACCATGCTGAGCTAATTTTTGTATTTTTAGTAGAGGCGGGGTTTCACCATTTTGGCCAGGCTGGTCTTGAACTCCTGACCTCAAATGATCACCCACCTCGGACTCCCAAAGTGCTGAGATTACAGGCGTGAGCCACCACACCTGGCCTGTCATGGTCTTTATAATCATTCTGTTATCATTCTCATATTAATCTTGAAATATGGCCAGCATTACTTTTTCTTTATTTCATAAAACTGAGGCATAAAGAAACAAGCAATGTGCCAGGTCAGACAGCCTAAGCCAGAGATTTCAAGACAAGGCCTTGAATTTGCCCTTTAACCCTTACCTTCTCTTTAATCTTCATTTTGAGATAGTAGTGAATAAGACATTTCTACCTGACCTTGTGAACCCTATAGTCTAGTGGCAGAGACAAACCATAAACAAATAACTCCACTAGCAGTTACTTAACTGTAGTTATGATAAATGCTAGTAGACCTATAGGTCTTAGGAGAAATCCATTAATGGGATCTGATTAAGTGATGTGAGGTCAGGAAAGGCTAATCTGTTAAAACAGTCTTATCTGTTAAAGTATTTGTCAGATATATTAACTACTTTTGCTGCTTTGGCACTATATTATTAAAAATTCTTTCAAGATTATTTGTTTTCTTGGCCGGGTGCAGTGACTCATGCCTGTAATCCCAGCACCTTGGGAGCTGAGGCAGGAGGATCACTTAAGCTCAAGAGTTTGAGACCAGCCTGGGCAACATGATAAAGCCCCATCTCTACAAAAAATACAAAAATTAGCCAGGTGTGGTGGCACGCATCTGTAGTCCCAGCTACTCAGGAGGCTGAGATGGGAGGATCACTTGAAGCCCGGGAGGCAGAGGTTGCAGTGAGCCGAGATCATCCACTGCATTCCATCCTGGGTGACAGAGTGAGACTGTCTCAAACAAACAAAAAAAAAGAAAATATTACTTGTTTTCTTAACAGTGTAATCATCATCTGCTTTCCACATATAAAAATCACCTTGGTTATCTATAGTTCAATCTTCTAAAGCCTTCAAGCCTCTGAAATTCTTCAAAATTCAGAAGAAGTAGAAGGAAGTTTTTGATGATGAGTGAGGTGGAGGTGAGTGCTTTGCAGAAACTGTTGGAAATGTACCAAAGTAAATGAACATTAACGGGAAATAGCCAAAGAATAAACCTGATGTACTGTGATTCATCAGTTAGCCTCCTGGAAAATTAGGGGTATTCTTATAAATTGGCAGCATAGCCTTTTTCTTGCATGGAAGTAGGGAAATGTGAACGAATTGCAAAAAAATTAGAATGGCCAAGAAAGATGAAACGCCAAGACAGTAAGGAAGAAAACAGTGGAGATTGGCTTCAGATGTAATTTGAAGGATGTACAAAGTCAATGAATAACCCTTTAAAAGGGGAAAAATATGATCCTGTGATGAACTGGAGGTATAGGGAGTAAAAGACCTTAGTAACACCTAAAGAGTACAATAGGAGGACTCTTTGGAGAATCATGAGCCCTGGGCCAGGCTTGCAATACAGAAGGGGCAGAATCGTTGTATCTTTAGAATTTCATTGTGCAGTGTACAAAGCAACTGTGCCTGCAATATGGTTAAAACAGGTATTAACATTGGGCATTTACTGAGGACTTACTCTGCGTTGGGTGCTGTTGTACATATTCGGCATGTATTAGTTTGTATTGTCCTCGTAACATTCTCCTGAAGTTGATGTTATTATCATACCCATTTTTCAGATAAGGAAACTGAGGTGCAAAGATGTAAATCAACTTGTTCAAAATCTTAACTGCTAATAAGTGCCAGATTGAGGATTCAAAGCTAAGTTTCTAGCTTCAGAGGAGAAAATGCTTTATCTCATTACCTTTGGGGTATTAGTGTGTCAGGCTAAAGACTTAAAGAGCTGATCTTAAAAATATTTTTTCCAAATATCTTCCTATTAGGTGCTATTGTTTTTAACAGTGATTCAAATTAATATTTATTGAGGGTTTATTTTGTGCCTGGCACTGTGCCAAGTTCTTATACCTATATTTTATATACATTCCTCACGGTAACTCTAAAAAGTTAAGCCCAAGAGATTAAGTTAAACTCCTAAACTCTAAAGTAGTAAGTGGCAGAGCCAGGGTTCAAATGCACCTCTGTCTGACCCCACCGTGCATGTTTTAGCCTCTATGCTATTTATTTATTGAATACCTAAGTGTGCTAGCCACATTTTAGGGGTTATGACTGGGTATACCATATTTGTAGTGAACAACAAAATCTGCTTCCATGGAGCTTACATTCCAGTGGGGAGATACAGACAAGTCTGGCCCTAAAGATAGGTAGTAAATTAATAAATAAACAGTAGCTACCAAAAAAATGTTTTCAGTGCCAAAAACTAAAATTATGTGATTTGATGGAGTCAGGGAAGACAGGAAGTATCATTTCAACTAAAAGCTCAAAGACAAAAAGAAGCAAACCATAAGAAAACCAGATGGAAGGGCGAGGTTATGAACTGCTATGACACTGTGAGTATAATGATATAGCTGGAAGTATTACCCTTGAAAACCAGTGCAAGACAAGAATGTCCTCTCTCACCACTCCTATTCAACATAGTACTGGCCAGGGTAATCAGGCTAGAGAAAGAAATAAAGCATATTCAGATAGGAAGAGAGGAAGTCAAACTCTCCCTGTTTGCAGATGACATGAACCTGTATCTAGAAAACCCCATCATCTCAGCCCAAAAGCTTATTAAGCTGATAAGCAACTTCAGCAAAGACTCAGGATACAAAATCAAAGTGCAAAAATCACTAGCATCAGTCAAGCTGAAAGCCAAATCTCCAGTGAACTCCCATTCACAATTGCCACAAAAAGAATAAAATACCTAGGAATACAGCTAACAAGGGAAGTGAAGGATCACTACAAGGAGAACTACAAACCACTATTCAAAGAAATCAGAGATGACACAAACAACTGGAAAAACATCCCATGCTTGTGGATAGGAAGAATCACTGTCATGAAAATGGCTATGCGACCCAAAGCAATTTATAGATTCAGTGCTATTCCCATTAAACTCCCACTGACATTCTACAAAGAACTAGAAAAAAGTATTTAAAAATTCATATGGAACCAAAAAAAGGAGCCCAAATAGCCAAGGCAGTCGTAAGCAAAAAGAACAAAACTGGAGGCATCACACTGCCCTACTTCAAACTATATATATGTATTTTTTTTATTTTTTATTTATTTATTATTTATTTTTTTTCTTGAGATGGAGTCTTGCACTGTTGCCCAGGCTGGAGTGCAGTGGCGCGATCTCGGCTCACTGCAAGCTCCACCTCCTGGGTTCACACCATTCTCCTGCCTCAGCCTCCCAAGTAGCTCAGACTACAGGCGCCCGCCACCATGCCCGGCTAATTTTTTGTACTTTTAGTAGAAACGGGGTTTCACGGTGTTAGCCAGGATGGTCTTGATCTCCTGACCTTGTGATCCGCCCTCCTTGGCCTCCCAAAGTGCTGGGATTACAGGCGTGAGCCACCGCGCCCAGCCTACTTCAAACTATATTACAGGGCTACAGTAACCAAAACAACGTGGTGTGGTACAAGAACAGACACATAGACCAGTGGAACGGAATAGAGAACCCAGAAATAAGACTACACACCTACAATTATCTTATCTTCAACAAACCTGACAAAAACAAGCAATGGGGAAAGGATTCCCTTTTTAATAAATGGTATTGGGATACCTGGCTAGTCATAAGCGGAAAATTGAAACTGGAGCCTTTCTTTATACCATATACAAAAATCAACTAAAGATGGATTAAAATGTAAAACTCAAAACTATGAAGAAGAAAACTTACACAATACCATTCAGGACATAGGCACAGGCAAAGATTTCATGATGAAGATGCCAAAAACAGTGCAACGAAAGCAAAAATTGACAAATGGGATCTAATTAAACTATAGAGCTTCTGCACAGCAAAATAAACTATCAATCAACAGAATAAACAGACAACTTACAGAATAGGAGGAAATGTTTGCAATATACACATCCGACAAAGGTTTTTTTTGTTGTTGTCTTTTTTTTGTTTGTTTTTTGAGATGGAGTGTTGCTCTTGTCGCCCAGGCTGGAGTGCAGTGGCGCAATCTTGGCTCACTGCAACCTCTGCCTCCCGGGTTCAAGTGATTCTCCTGCCTCAGCCTCCCGAGTAGCTGGGATTACAGGCGCCCGCCACTACACCCAGCTAATTTTTTGTATTTTTAGTAGAGACGGGGTTTCGCCACGTTGGCCAGGTTGATCTCAAACTCCTAACCTCAGGTGATCCGCATCCCAAATACTGGGATTACAGGCGTAAGCCACCATGCCCGGCCCCCGACAAAGGTCTTATGTGCAGCATCTGTAAGGAGCTTAAACAAATTTACAAGAAAAAAAAAACACACACTAAAAAGTAGACAAAGGACATGAACAGACAGTACTCAAAGGAAGACATACATGTGGCCAACAATCACAAGATAAAAAAGCTCAATATCACTGATTATTAGAGAAATACAAATCAAAACCACAATGAGATACCATCTAATACCAGTCAGAATGACTATTATTAAAAAGTCAAAAAATAATAGGTGTTGGCGAGGTTGTGGAGAAAAAGGAACACTTTTACACTGTTGGAGGGTAAATTAGTTCAACCATTGTGGAAGTGTGGCGATTCCTGAGAGACCTAGAGACAGAAATACCATTTCACCCAGCAATCCCATTACTGTGTATATACCCAAAGGAATATAAATTGTTCTCTTATAAAGACACATGCACACGTATGTTCATTGTAGCACTATTCACAATAGCAAAAACATGCAATCAACCTAAATGCCCATCAACGATAGAGTGGATAAAGAAAATGCGGTACATAGACACCATGAAATATTATACAGCCATACAAAGGACCAAGATCCTTTCCTTTGCAGGGACATGGATAGAGCTGGAGGCCATTATCCTTAGCAAACTAATGCAGGAACAGAAAAGCAAATACTTCATGTTCTCACTTATAAGTGGAAACTAAATGATGAGAACACATGGACACGTAGAGGAGAAAAATGCACACTGGGGCCTACTGGAGGACAGAAGGTGGAAGGAGAGAGACAGGATCAGGAAAAATAACTAATGGATACTAGGCTTAGTATCTGGGTGATGAAATAATCCGTACAGCAAACCCCCATGACACACATTTACCTATGTAGCAAAGCTGCACATCCTGCACATGTACCCCTGATCTTAAAAGTTTAAAAAATATATATCATGATATAGCTAATTGACCCTTTATGCAAACACAGTGAATGAATTCCCATTAGAAGACATTTAATCACTTCCATTTAAATACTGAGGAATGATTTTTATTTATTTATTTATTTATTTTTTGGAGACAGAGTCTCACCGTGTCGCCCAGGCTGGAGTGCAGTGGGGTGATTACAGCTCACTGCAACCTCCGCCTCCCGGGTTCAAGCGATTTTCCTGTCTCAGCCTCCCGAGTGGCTGAGATTACAGGCGTGTGCCACTACACACGGCTAATTTTTGTATTTTTGGTAGACACGGGGTTTTACCTTCTTGGCCAGGCTGGTCTCATACTGCTGAACCTCAAATGATCTGCCCGCCTTGGCCTCCCAACGTGCTGGGATTACAGGTGTGAGCCACCGCTTCCAGCCTGAGGATTGAATATTTGCATTCATTTACAAGTCCTCTTGAAAAGGCATAACAATGATGTTGATTGGCTTAAAATAAGGTTAAAAAACCCACAAGGGGCCAGGTATGGTGGCTCACACCTGTAATCCCAGCACTTTTGGAGGCTAAGGCTAGAGGATCACTTGAGCCCAGGAATTTGAGACCAGCCTGGGCAAGATATCCATCTTTACAAAAAAATTTTTTTAAATTAGCCGGGCATGGTGGCATGCCTGTGGTCCCAGCTACTTGGGAGGCTGAGGCGGGAGGATTGCCTGAGCCTGGGAATTTGAAGCAGCAGTGATCTATAATCATGCCACTACACTCTAGCCTGGGTAACTAAGTGAGACCTTCTCTCTTTAAAAAAAAAAAAAAACTAAAAGACCCACAAGGATGAAGAGACCAGGGAATAGACAGAAGCAACGTTCTGGAAGTTGGAAATAAGAAGGATGAGTGGTAATTTATTTAACAAACTAAGACTGTCTGTGAGGTACAGATGTGGCCAGAAACAAAAGGGAATTAGTTGGTTAAAAGCATATATAAGAAACATTTTACAGCCGGGCGCGGTGGCTCACGCCTATAATCCCAGCATTTTGGGAGGCTGAGGCAGGCGATTACCTGAGGTCAGGAGTTTGAAACCTGCCTGGCCAGCATGAAGAAACCTTGTCTCTACTAAAAATACAAAATTAGCCAGGCGTAGTGGCTCATGCCTATAATCCCAGCTACTTGGGAGACTGAGGCAGGAGAATCTCTTGAACCTGGGAGGCAAAGGTAACAGTGAGCCAAGATTACGTCATTGCACTCCAGCCTGGGCAACAAGAGTGAAACTCTGTCTCAAAAGAAAAAAGAAACCATTTTACATGATAATTGTCTTGAATGTTTCAAAAATGGCAATGTCATGAAAAGACAAAAAAGAGAAAGGACGATTTTAGATTAAAGGAATCTGAACAACATAACATGTAAAGTCGGGTTCTCAACTGGACTCAGCAACAACAAAAAGCTATATTAGACATTCAGAGACAGTTGTGGAAATTTGAATATGTACTATATATCAAATATTTTTATTGACATTATAGTAAATCTCTTGGACATTCAGAAAGAAAACAACAATTGATGAATCTAAAAGTGAAGATATGTAGTTGTATATTGTATGACTCTTTAATTTTTCTGTAGGCTTGAAATTTTGTTAGATAAAAAGTTAATGTGAGGGAGGTATTAAATAAAGGAGCAGGGAGGAAAAAGCGGCAGTGGTGAGACACCTAGATGAGCCTTCTCCCTTCTGCATCAGTTCATCACCCTTCCTACCTACATCCTCCCCCTTCCTACCTACATCCTCCCCCTTCCTACCTACATCCTCCCCCTTGGAAGAGCTACTTTGCTGCAAAGGTTGAACCAAAAGATTGTGAATTCAGGGCACCAGACTAATTTCCAGTAGCTGAGAACAGAGAGATACACTGCTTTATTGGTGTATCAGCAACTCTGGCTGACCGACTTTCACCCTTCAGACCAAAGATATTGACTTGGCTGGATACTCTATAGTAAACACCAGTTAACAAGCACAAATTAAGAAGCATACCACAAGAACTTACTAAAAGAATTTTAATGCTTAACCTAACCATATCACTTAAATTTAACTTTCATATGAAGGAAGACCTTTTTCATTGAAGATTGTGCAAATATTAACCTACACAGACACAGTAACCTCTGTTGACACATTAAGGCTTTTGAATCATGACATTAAATTTCTATTTCATAATATACCATTTTCAATTTTTTAAATCAGTGATCATAAAATAAGTAAATATTATGTAGAAAAATACATTTGACTCACCCTTTGAGTGATGTTTAATAAAATTGTTAAACTAAACATGTTAGCTTTGTAAAGATGCATCATTATAAAATTTTTTTTATTTATAAAAACAGTTCTCTGGTAAAAACTGGAAAACCTACTAGATAAATTTGAAAAGGGCTGTAATGCTCTTTTTTTGTATGACTTTTAATATTGCCCATATCAGCCTGTAATTTACTGAGCTATAAATTATGTTAAACAAATATAAACTTATATTTGAAAACTGTCCTGTTCATGGAAGTTTCTACTGATTCTGTTGTAAGTAAAAGATTTTAAAGTTATCTTAACATTCTGGTAACACTATTCAGATTTTGGAGTAAACCTTTCTTTGCTGTTGGAACAGGAAGCCATGCAGTGTGTGGAAGAGCTGAATGCCCAGGGCCTACTACATGTTTTTGTGAGAGTGGGAGTGGAGTCCACCCTGGAAAGGAGCCAGATCACCAGGGATCACATGGGCCAATTACTCTATCAGCTGGTACAGTCAGAAAAACTCAGCAAACAGGACTTTTTCAAAGGGTCAGTATCCTCTTCAAGAGTGGTATTCAGTTACTAGGCTCTTGGGTACCAGTTAATTTTCAAAGTACTTACCTCTTTAAGTATTTAGTTTTTTCCATAGATGAAAATTGTATCCACTGTAATATGTTGATATGATGCAATTAATATATTGATATGTTGGTTGATGTGATGGCATTTTATAGATTGTGCTAGGGCATAAAGGTTATCTTTTGGTTTTCTGAATATTATTGTTAGATCTCTATCATGATGTAAGTAAGGTAACAGAGACCCCTTAGCCTCAGGGAAACTCTGAGGCCTTTAGCAGCCCATTTACATGTGATCCCCAAATGTTCTTTGAGGAAAAAAGCTTTTCTTTGTGAGAACAATTCTGAAAAATTGTCTTAAATTTAAAAACCATATTCTTTCAATAAACCATGGTTATTGTGGCTAGGAAGCACTTGTGTGCCCACTCTAGCCTCATGGAGAAGGTTATGTAACTTGGTGTTCTTAATGATTTAGTCTATTTCAGGTTGGTTTCATTATGATTCTTGTCAATGGATGGTTTGATAAGGTCTGCCTATCTGCCTGTCACTGGTGGTGAATCCTCATTTGATCAGGTTCTGGTATATTTGTGATATACCATCATCACAAGTACATGGATCAGGTTCCTTGTGGTTCAGCCACAAAATCTTACCCAGGCATAGGGTGTATAACCAATGTTTAAAGTGAAATTTGCATTGGTAAAAAATTTTGTTTTAGGAGCCATGTTGTATCAAATATAAACACAGAGTCACACCCAGCACTGACAGATGCCCACTCTCTAAGGGAATAGCAACTAGGATCTCCTAAGGTCTGGACATTGGATTAACATCTGCCATCTCATCCTCACCTGGACATATGCTTATTGAATCAAATGGCAGTAAGAATTCTGTACTACTTGTAATTTTCCTCTTTTTTTTTTTTTTTTGCCAAGCTCATGTTCTCATAAATTAAATGCACATATGATTAAATGCCACTGTATATTTTTCCGTAGTCATTTCACATATGGCAATCCTTTTAGAATAAGGTAACCATTAAATGTCATTGTTGGCCAGGTGCAGTGGCTCACACCTGTAATCCCAGCACTTTGGGAGGCTGAGGCGGGTGGATCACTTGAGATCAGGAGTCTGAAACCAGCCACGGCCAACATGCCAACATCTACTAAAAATACAAAAATTAGCCCAACGTGGTGGCGTGAGCCTGCAATCCCAGCTACTTGCGAGGCTGAGGCATAAGAATCGCTTGAACCCGGGAGGCAGAGGTTGCAGTGAGCCAAGGTTGCACCACTGCACTCCGCCTGTCTCAGTCTCTAAAAAACAAAAAAGTCATTGTTGAATTTATTCGTTTGACTTTGCAAGCAATGACAGCGTTGTCTTCTAGGTCCTAGAAAATTTATACTTGCCCCTAGGACCATTAAAAAGTTTTCTTGCCAGGCGTGGTGACTCACGCCTGTAATCCCAGTATTTTGGGAGGCCGAGGTGGGCAGATCACGAGGTCAGGAGTTCGAGACCAGCCTGAACAACGTGGTGAAACCCCGTCTCTACTAAAAATATGAAAATTAGGCTGGGCACCGTAGCTCACACCTGTAATCCCAGCACTTTGGGAGGCCGAGGCGGGTGGATCACAAGGTCAGGAGATCGAGACCATCCTGGCTAACATGGTGAAACCCCGCCTCTACTAAAAATACAAAAAATTAGCCGGGCGTGGTGGCACGCACCTGTAATCCCAGCTACCCGGAGACCAAGGCAAGAGAATCTCTTGAACCAGGGAGGTGGAGGTTGCAGTGAGCTGAAATTGCGCCACTGCACTCCATTCTGGGCGACAGAGCAAGACTCCCTCTCAAAAAAGAAGTTTTCTTTCAGGCTGGGCATGGTGGCTCACACCTGTAATGCTAGCACTTTGGAAGGCTGAGGCAGGAAGATTGCTTGAGCCCAGGAGTTTAAGACCAGCCTGGGCAGCATGGTGAAACTCCATCTATACTAAAAATATAAAAATTAGCTAGGCATGGTGGTGTGCCGCTATAGTCCCAGCTACTTGGGAGGTTGAGGCAGAAGGATTGCACCTGGGAGGTCCAGACTGCAGTAAGCCATGATCACACCACTGCACTCCAGCCTAGGTGACAGAATGAGACCACGTCTGGGGAAAAAAAAAAGTTTTCTTTCAGCAATAAGCTAGATTGCTCTGAATTAAGGCCATTTGAACCAGTTAGTAAGACACTTTGGCAAAAGTTGCTGTGGTTATTGGTTTTTAAGGCCAGGATGGTTTCCCAGTTTTAAAAGAGAAGCCTCCAATTCAGTCCAGTAACTAGCCAGTGCAAATGGTAAGAGCAAATAAAGGTATGTACACCCTCACAATCAGATTGAATATGGTCCTCCCAGCAGACTTGAAACTATAATTTCCTAGAAATAATACTGTTGGAGTGACGAGGATATCCATTTATAAATAGTTACTTATTACCCAGATATTATGCTACATTCCTCAGAAAATTCTGGAAATGATAATGGTAAATTATCATTTACCATTTTCTGTCTCTTCAAACTATACTCGGAAGTTGATTCATATCTATAAAGATGCCCAGAAGCATAGTCTACCTTTATTGGCTATAATTGAACTTGTGAGATACTAGCTTAGTCTCTCGGATATCTCAGACATTTGCATTTCTCCCTTTGTGGGATTCTCTGAAGAAAAAATATCATAACCAGACGTGGCTACAGTTTTGTTGTTGGTGTTAGAATTGCTGTTGCCGGCAATAATTACCACACTACTACCTTTTATTTAGACATAAAATGAGGTTAACACTTCTGTGTCTCAGCAATTACTTCATGTTTCACCATACCTGCTTCCGTCTGCAGCTAGAGGCAGTGCAGTGACTCCAGGCCTAACCTTCGATGCTTAGACCTAACCAGTCTTGGACCTTAGACCAAGACATGTAAAAGTTGTACTATTTTATTCTAAATGGAGAGGCCTGACAATTTAGTGCCACCTTTTTCTAAGAGGGAAATGTAGGGATTGCTTCATGTCAGTGTCCACCAAGAGCTTTCTTGCAAGCAGAT
Organism: Homo sapiens; assembly: GCF_000001405.40. Taxonomy (NCBI): domain Eukaryota; kingdom Metazoa; phylum Chordata; class Mammalia; order Primates; family Hominidae; genus Homo; species Homo sapiens. Next base: position 20,837,784 of record NC_000001.11, on the reverse strand, counting down.
CAGAATTTCACAATCCCTTCTAAAGCCTGAGTTATAAATGGTTCATACTGTCTAGAGAGGCCATTTCATTGGAGCCATGAAGATACCCTGTCTTTTGCTTCTTTATTCTTAACCTACAAAGATAGTATTGTCCTTCCATAGTATTGTGGAAGAGCCTCTGAGATCAGCTGTTTTGGGTGCTGCTACTGCTTAGATGTCAACTTCTGAACAGTTGGGGAAGCAGTTTCTGCCTAGCTCGCCAAGCCAATGATAACTCTGGGAAGGTTAGAAAGCAGAAAGCCAGCCAGGCGCGGTGGCTCACGCCTGTAATCCCAGCACTTTGGGAGGCCGAGGCAGGTGGATCACGAGGTCAGGAGATCGAGACCATCCTGGCTAACATGGTGAAACCCCGTCTCTGCTAAAAATACAAAAATTAGCTGGGCATGGTGGCGCATGCCTGTAATCCCAGCTGCTCGGGAGGCTGAGACAGGAGAATTGCTTGAACCAGGGAGTCAGAGGTTGCAGTGAGCTGAGATTGTGCCATGGCACTCCAGCCTGGCAACAGAGACTCCTTCTCAAAAAAAAAAAGAAAAGCAGAAAGCCTCCAGGTATACTGGTCCCTGGTGAGGTAGCTACTAATCTGCCATTTCTCCCTATAGCTCTTTAGAGTATGCACTGCTGCAAAGTAGTAAAATAGACAAAAGTTTCAAATAGGCTTTATGAATATAGCTTTTAGGTCCTTTGGAATTTTCCTTACAAGATGTTATATCAACTGTGAGCATAATAGTTGCTGTATGTGAAACATATCTCCGCAAAGAAAACATCAAGCCATCGTCCTGATATTTTCAGGACTTGAATCTAAATACTTTATGACCCTAGTTAGGTTGGTAGGTAGATAGGTAGAAGCATTATTGTATAGGTACATGCACTTCAAACAGTGTGTTGATAGTCTTTTTATATCATGATTTCAGAAAACTTCTTTTTAAAAACTGTCTAGTAAATATAGTTGAGTGCAGTTTGCTGTTAGTCACAGAACTGGAATGACTTTGAAAGTATAATAAACAAATGAAGACCAAGGTTGTAAAAATTAGAGTGGACAATAGACACAAAATATGTACCCTAGAGGAAGATTGATACATTAATATTTCACTTTGGGAGATGTTTTGTTAGAGAGGAAATTCTTATCTCTTCCTTGAATACTTTTCTGGAACCTTTATTACTGCTTACGGCAATTCTACATTGGTAAAAGACCCTATGTAGGCTGGACACAGTGATTCATTCCTGTAATCTCAGCTACCAGGGAGGCTAAGATGGGAGGATGGCTTAAGGCCAGGAGTTCAAGACCAGCCTGGGCAACATAGCAAGACCCCATCTGTAAAAAAAATTAACAAAAAAATTGGCTGTGCATGGTGGCACGTGCCAATAATTACAGCTACTTGGGAGGCTGAGGCAGGAAGATTGCTTGAGCCCGGGAGTTCAAGCTGTAGTGAACTGCGAGAGCATCACTGCACCCCAGCCTGGGCAACAGAGTGAGATCCTATCTTTAAAAATAAAAAACACTTTGGGAGGCCAAAGTGGGCAAATTGCTTGAGCCTAGGAGTTTGAGACTAGCCTGGGCAACATGGTGAAACCCTATCTCTACCAAAAAATACAAAAACTCTCTGGGCATGGTGGTGGGTGCCTATAGCTGCAGCTACTCAGGAAGCTGAGGTAGGAGGATTGCCATACTGATCTTGTAAAATGACTTGGGAAGTATTTTCTCCACTTCAATTTTTTGGAAGAATTTGAGAAGAATTTGTTCTTCTTCAAGTGTTTGGTAGAATTCAGCAGTGAAGCCATCTAGTCCTGGGCTTTTTTTTTTTTCTCTCTGAGATAGGGTCTTGCTCTGTCACCCAGGTTGGAGTGCAGTGGCTTCATCGTGGCTCACTGCAACCTCAACCTCCTGGGCTCAAGTGATCCTCCCATCTCAACCTCTCAAGTAGCTGGGACAGTAGGTGCATGCCACTGTGCTCAGCTGATTTTTTATTTTTTGTAGAGATGGTGTCTCACTATGTTGCCCAGGCTGGTCTTGCACTCCTAGACAAATGATCCTTCCACCTTGGCCTCTCAAAGTGCTGGGATTACAGGTTTAAGGCAGTGCACCTGGCCATGATTCAGTCTTGATTTGTTGTATATATCTATGAGTTTATCTGTTTTTTTCTAGATTATCCATTTATTGTTCATAGTAGTTTCTTATGATCCTTTGTATTTCTGTGGTATCAGTTGTAATATCTCCTCTTTCATTTCTTATTTTGAGTCTTCTGTCTTTTCTCCTAGTCTAGATAAGGGTTTCTTGATTTTCTTCATTTTTCCAAAAATACAACTCCGAGTATCATTGATTTTTTTCTTTCATTTTTTAAGTGTCTATTTCATTTATTTCTGTTTAGATGTTTGTTATTTCCTTCCCTGTGCTAATTTGGGGCTTAGTTTGTTCTTCTTTTTCTAGTTCCTTGATGTGTAATGAATGGTATATTGTTTGAGATCTTTTTTCTTTTTTGATATAGATGCTCATTGCTATACATTTCCCTCTTAGGAGCACTTTTGCTGCATTCTATAAGTGTCGGTATGTTGTGTTTCCATTTTCATTTGTCTCAAGATATTTTTTAAAAATTCCTTTCTAATTTCTTCTGTGACCTATTGGTTGTTTAGGCAGATGTTGTTTAATATTCACATATTTGGATATTTTCCAAGGTTTCTCCTGTTAACTGAGTTCAAGTTTTATTGCATTGTGATCCAAAAAGATACTTGATATGATTTCAGTCCTCTTAAATTTGTTAAGTCTTGTTTTGTGGTCTAACATATGATCTATTGGGGAGAATGTTTTATTTGCACTTTAGAAGAATATGTATTCTGCTGCTGTTTAATGGAATGTTCTGTATATTTTTGTTTGGTTTAAAGTATAATTCAAGCCCAATGTTTCCTTACTGATTTTCTGTCTAGATGAGTTGTTCATTGTCTAAAGAAGGGTATTGAGGTCCCCTGCTCTTGCTGTATTGTAGTCTGTCTTTCCCTTCAGATAATCAATTGCCCTATGTTTTTAGGTACTCCAATTTGAGGTGCATATGTATTTATAACTGTTATATCCTCTTAGTAAATGGATTCCTTTATCATTACATAATGACCTTTGTCTCTTTTTATAGTTTTTGACTTAATGTCCTTTTTGTCTCATATAAGTATAGCTACCCCTGCCCTCTTTTGATTTCTATTTTCATGAAATATCTTTTTCCTTCTCTTCCTTTTCAGTCTATGAATGTCCTTAGTAGTAAAGTGAATCTCTTATAAGCAGCATATGGTTGGATCTCATTTTTCATTTATTTATTTTTTAGATTTTGTGAGAGTCACACTCTCTCACCCAGGCTGGAGTGCAGTGGCGCAATCAAGGCTCACTGCAACCTCTACCTTCTGGACTCAAGCAATCCTCCTGGGTAGTTGGGACCACAGCCATGCATCATGATGCCTGGCTAATTTTTTTTATTTTTTTATAGAGACAGATTCTCCCTACAATGCCCAGGCTGGTCTCCAACAACTAGGCTCAATTGATCCTCCTGCCTTGACCTCTTCAAGTGTTGGGATTACAGGCATGAGCCATTGCGCCTGGCCGGATCTTATTTTTTAATCTATTTAGCCACTCAGTCTTTTGATTGGAAAATTTAATCCATTTACATGTGACATAATTATTGATAGATAAGGACTTGCTACTGCCATTTTGTAATTTGTTTTCTGGTTATTTTTGACAATACCACTTTCAATTGTGGTAGCATTATTTTGCTTTTTTGAAAGATTTCTTATCAGAACTTTACTGCGTTAAAATTTTTAAATATTTTTCTTCCAACACTATGTTGAATAGGAGTGGTGAGAGAGGGCATCCCTGTCTTGTGCCCGTTTTCAAAGGGAATGCTTCCAGTTTTTGCCCATTCAGTATGATATTGGCTGTGGGTTTGTCATAGATAGCTCTTATTATGTTGAAATACGTCCCATCAATACCTAATTTATTGAGAGTTTTTAGCATGAAGCGTTGTTGAATTTTGTCAAAGGCTTTTTCTGCATCTATTGATATAATCATGTGGTTTTTGTCTTTGGCTCTGTTTATATGCTGGATTACATTTATTGATTTCCTATTCAACATAGTGTTGGAAGTTCTGGCCAGGGCAATTAGGCAGGAGAAGGAAATAAAGGGTATTCAGTTAGGAAAAGGGAAGTTAAATTGTCCCTGTTTGCAGACGACATGATTGTATATCTAGAAAACCCCTTTGTCTCAGCCCAAAATCTCCTTAAGCTGATAAGCAACTTCAGCAAAGTCTCAGGATACAAAATCAATGTACAAAAATCACAAGCATTCTTATACACCAACAACAGACAGAGAGCCAAATCATGAGTGAACTCCCATTCACAATTGCTTCAAAAAGAATAAAATACCTAGGAATCCAACTTACAAGGGACTTGAAGGACCTCTTCAAGGAGAACTACAAACCACTGCTCAAGGAAATAAAAGAGGATACAAACAAATGGAAGAACATTCCATGCTCATGGGTAGGAAGAATCAATATCGTGAAAATGGCCATACTGCCCAAGGTAATTTACAGATTCAGTGCCATCCCCATCAAGCTACCAATGACTTTCTTCACAGAATTGGAAAAAACTACTTTAAAGTTCATATGGAACCAAAAAAGAGCCCGCATCGCCAAGTCAATCCTAAGCCAAAAGAACAAAGCTGGAGGCATCACACTACCTGACTTCAAACTATACTACAAGGCTACAGTAACCAAAACAGCATGGTACTGGTACCAAAACAGAGATATAGATCAATGGAACAGAACAGAGCCCTCAGAAATAACGCCGCATATCTACAACTATCTGATCTTTGACAAACCTGAGAAAAACAAGCAATGGGGAAAGGATTCCCTATTTAATAAATGGTGCTGGGAAAACTGGCTAGCCATATGTAGAAAGCTGAAACTGGATCCCTTCCTTACACCTTATACAAAAATCAATTCAAGATGGATTAAAGACTTAAACGTTAGACCTAAAACCATAAAAACCCTAGAAGAAAACCTAGGCATTACCATTCAGGACATAGGCACGGGCAAGGACTTCATGTCTAAAACATCAAAAGCAATGGCAACAAAAGACAAAATTGACAAATGGGATCTAATTAAACTAAAGAGCTTCTGCACAGCAAAAGAAACTACCATCAGAGTGAACAGGCAACCTACAAAATGGGAGAAAATTTTCGCAACCTACTCATCTGACAAAGGGGCTAATATCCAGAATCTACAATGAACTCAAACAAATTTACAAGAAAAAAACAAACAACCCCATCAAAAAGTGGGTGAAGGACATGAACAGACACTTCTCAAAAGAAGACATTTATGCAGCCAAAAAACACATGAAAAAATGCTCATCATCACTGGCCATCAGAGAAATGCAAATCAAAACCACAATGAGATACCATCTCACACCAGTTAGAATGGCAATCATTAAAAAGTCAGGAAACAACAGGTGCTGGAGAGGATGTGGAGAAATAAGAACACTTTTACACTGTTGGTGGGACTGTAAACTAGTTCAACCATTGTGGAAGTCAGTGTGGCGATTCCTCAGGGATCTAGAACTGGAAATACCATTTGACCCAGCCATCCCATTACTGGGTATATACCTAAAGGACTATGAATCATGCTGCTGTAAAGACACATGCACACGTGTGTTTATTGCGGCATTATTCACAATAGCAAAGACTTGGAACCAACCCAAATGTCCAACAATGATAGACTGGATTAAGAAAATGTGGCACATATACACCATGGAATACTATGCAGCCATAAAAAATGATGAGTTCATGTCCTTTGTAGGGACATGGATGAAATTGGAAATCATCATTCTCAGTAAACTATCGCAAGAACAAAAAACCAAACACCGCATATTCTCACTCATAGGTGGGAATTGAACAATGAGATCACATGGACACAGGAAGGAGAATATCACACTCTGGGGACTGTTGTGGGGTCGGGGGAGGGGGGAGGGATAGCATCGGGAGATATACCTAATGCTAGATGACGAGTTAGTGGGTGCAGCACACCAGCATGGCTCATGTATACATATGTAACTAACCTGCACAATGTGCACATGTACCCTAAAACTTAAAGTATAAAAAAAAAAAAGAAAAAGTAAGATGATTGGAAGGAAAACAATAAAATGATCCTTATTTTCTGGTAACATAAAAAAAAAAAAAGAAAAATGCAAAGGCAAAGAATCGATCAGGTTGGCAGAAGCTGTTCCCTGGCTTATGGGCAGGAGGGAGCTGGTGAGGCTTTGGAAATTCTATTGCTAACACTAACACGGGAGATCTTTCTGGCCTTTCTGGTTTTGGCAATGGCTCTTTTTCTCCTGCCTTCTAAGGTACTACAGGAAAAAATATTTCCTCTACCTCCATCCCACATTGCCCAGGAACATTTTAAAGATTGAAGGCTTTCTCAAAAAAAAAAAAAAAAAAATTAATATTTTTCTTTTAATCATGTATCCCTTTCTTCAATTAAAATTTTACACAAAAACCCAGTAAATAAAATGAAGTGGAGCTTTTGTAGTTGAAATGGGCGGAGGGATATCTGCAGTCTCATCTATGTAGACCTTACCAAAGTTCAGTCCAGTGGCTGTGGTTTTTTCCTTCCACCCAAAGAAAAGCCTGACAGTCCAATGACTGTGATGGTCACTACATGCCAAGAGGCAAGGGTATGATGTAGCTCTGTTTCATTTTTTCAGCTTTTAGAAAATAACGTGTGGTGCAAAGCATTAATATAGGCTATGTAGTAGTGCAAAGACATAAAGACAGTTATTACCTAGGTGCTTCAGCACACTCAAGATTTTTCTTTTAGAATCATGCAACAGGATTTAAGAACTGTAAACCTGAAAAAAAAATAAGCTTCTTACAGGCTTGTTCTATGGAAATCCTATGTTCAGCCAAAAAAGTTTTTTGTTAGCAGTATAGATTTGACCACTGATTGTGTTCTGTGGACTGTCCCATGATGAACTGACTGATCAAGGCATAAAAAACCAAAGCAAGAATATGGGTATATTTTATTTGTAATGAGATAAAATATATGAGATAAAAATAGCAGCAGGTACACTGCTGAAAGACCAGCATGGCTACAGTTGTCTCTTGGGCCCATTAAACAGCTTAATTTATGCTGCTAGCCCACAGAGCATGAGTTGGCAGGATCAGGTGGTTAACCTAGAAATCCTGGAGTCCAGCTAGATTATATTTCATCAGTGGTACATTAACTGAACCCAAAGTATGCACATAATGAGAGAACCTGCAATTATTTGACATCTATTTGCCATAGCACAGACACCGTCCTCGGCATCAAATAATTGCAAGCTGTGAGGTCAGAAAGTTGGAATTAAGGATTCATGAAGCCCAGAGTTAGATAATATGGCTGAGCTGCAAACTGTTTTGAAGTGGCAGCTTCAGAATGGTGACCCTGCCTATGGTGGTAGCTCTTTTTAAGTGAAAAGTTTTAGTGAGATGTAGGCCTCTGAAAAAAGGGTGGCATACTTTGGCTAGAACCTGGAACTGCAGTGGAAAAGCACACGTTTTACAATTGTAGAGATCTGAAAGGGCATGCATACAATTACCACCTGCTCTTAGCTCTTCAATTCATTCCTCCCTTTCCTTATGACTTGCAATTATGTGTATGTCTCCTGTAGTTAAATTCATTTGCTTTTGTACTTTATTATATATTGTATGTGGAAATAATTAACAAAGTCTTGAGTTGTTTGTTTATACTTCCAAATGAACAGCTATGATTTTTAGCCTACATAAGAGTGCTGGTATTTTATATTTGATTTTCCTAAGTTTTATATTTAATTCCCATTTGCTTGACATTGAGAAATATTTATAATTCATAGCACAAAAGCCTGAAACCATTAGCTTTTCTGTAGAGATAGAACAGTTCGTAACATGTAATAATGATGATAGTGTTAGTAATGTTGCCAGACTCTTTTATATCCATCCAGTTTTTTCCCCATTGTAAGATTCCTCAAGGACACAGATTTTTGTGTTTTACAGTAAGTGTTTAGTCAGTGCTTTTGACTGACTCAGAGAATATGATATTCAACTGTGGTGAATTCTTTATAGTGCAGGATTAAATGGATAATTTTTCCCCTAGAACTTCACAGGACTGTCCTTCTTTTCATCATTTAAGGCTTTCAAATGTCACCTTTATATGGAGGTATTTTCTGACCTCCTTCTTGTACATAGTTCATGTTCTTCAGAGTATTAGCCCTATTTGCAAGTATGCTTTTGTCTGTTCTAGTCTTTTTCCCCCACGCTAACATAATCTCTTTGAGAATGGTAATGTATTTACCAGTCACTTTGTGGCTAGACTGTACCTAACATAGCAGGTGATTAATATGTATTTGTTGACTGATTTTTTATCTCTTTATTTAATTTTAACTTTTGAATTACATTTGCATGTGATTTTTACCCCCTGTTCCTTTTCAGTTTTTCAGAAACTTTGGAATTGGCAGATGACATGGCCATTGATATTCCCCATATTTGGTTGTACCTTGCTGAACTGGTGACCCCCATGTTAAAAGAAGGTGGAATCTCCATGAGAGAACTTACCATGTAAGTTATACTTGTTTCTCTTGATATATATCAGGTAGAACTGACTAATAACTCACTTGCTAGCTCTCTATCATAGTACTGTCCCATTATCGCCTTTGGAGACTCATGAATGCAGGCTGTGACTCTTTAAGACTTCTGATTTCAGTGTAAAAATGTTACCTTATGCTAGGTCTACACCTGAGATATTCTGGGGATATGATAGCCCTGTGGTCTGTTGAGGGTAGTGGCGATGATAGATTGGCTCCAGAATCGTGTAACTGGAAGATGACTGCTTCTAGAAGCTTAATGTTCATCTGGCTTTTGTGTCTATCATTGCAGTAGTGCTGTAAGTAGTTATATTTTCCCATTGTAACTTGTCAGACTGCATTACCCCATAGTACATGCTCATGATTATAATAAAAGGATGATTATAATAAAACAAACTGAGATCTCAAGTATTCCTACGTTTGGATGTGAGTGGGGAATGGATGCTACGTTATATAGACCGGTGGTTCCCAAACTCTGTTCTTCGAAACACTAGTGTTTCCACAAAAGTTGTTTATATAGTCAAACTTTGCACATGGTCATGTCCCTTTTCTTTGAGATTAACAAAACATACTTAGCATATTAAAGTTTATGACAGTCCTATAGTAAAGCAATAAATAAAAACTAGTTAGCTTTGTTTAATTCAGCATTGCCTCACTTAGAGTATAGATATCCTATGGAACACAGTTTGGTAAATGCTGATTTAGACTGTTACAAAATTGGCCCCTTTGCTGTTTCATCCATAATTTCATCTATAAAGAAAAGCTTCCTTTCTTAAAAATACTTTATATATGGCCAGACGCAATAGCTTACACCTGTAATCCCAGCACTTTGGGAGGCCGAGGCAGGCGGATCACAAGGTCAGGAAATCAAAACCATCCTGGCCAACATGGTGAAACCCTGTCTCTACTAAAATGCAAAAATTATCTGGGCATGGTGTTACGTGCCTGTAATCCCAGCTACTTGGGAAGCTGAGGCAGGAGAATCGCTTGAACCAGGGAATTGGAGATTGCAGTGAGCCAAGATTGCGCCACTGCACTCCAGCCTGGCGACAGAGTGAGACTCTGTCTCAAAAAAAAAAAAAAAAAAAAAACTTTATAAAAGCATCACAACTCCCTGTTACCTAAGGTGCTTCTCATTTTAGCTTGAAGCAGAACTTACATAAACAAACAGATTACCACATCTGATCTTTGTGTTGCTTCTGTCACTGAAGTGGTTAAAGAAAAAGGTAAAAACCAAGAACTCACATGTACCTTTTCAGGAACTTCTCCTGAAAATGACTTAGAGCATGTCCTGGAGCTTTGGCTTGCCCAGTATTATGTAGGTTGCACAGTATCTGGTTTTTGGTCACACATTGTTTGCCTCTTGTTCTAGAAGAAAGGATTTCTTTAGAGATACTTAATCACTGCTCCTATCTTTTACAGAGAATTTAGCAAACCTTTACTTCCTGTTGGAAGAGCTGGGGTCTTGCTATCTGAAATATTGCACCTACTATGCAAACAAATGGTGAGTGTTACACTGAGTGTCAGACTCAACAGTATTATTAGGAAGGGCAGTGATCTTGATCTTGGGTTATCTGTGAATAGCTTAGGTCTCAGGGTGCAAGTAATTAAGAATGAGGTCTCTGCTTCAACCCAGTTTCTTTCTGAGGTGCATTTGTCCTTCTGTTTGCTAATATCTTGGGGCAGAATTATCAAATCTCGACTAGATTTGGTATAATTCTAAAGAATCTCAAGTCATGTTTTATTTGTAGTTGATTTTTTCTTCCTTTGAAACAAAATGGATATATCATTTATATGTTTTAATAGATTTCAACGAAAAGCTCCATAGAGCTGGAGGCTGTCAGTCTATGGCAGGCTGTCAGTCTATAAAGTGGGAACAGATAAATCTAAACCAATAATTTCAAAAGAGTGAAAGTGCTTTGTTAGAAGTCTAAGAGGTTTGGGGAAGTGTTGTGGCATCACAAAGGGAATAAAATGTCTAGGATGAGAGGGATGAGAGATGTCAAAACAAAACAGAACTCAGAAATGAAGATTCTGGAGTGATTTCTGACTTACTTACGCCTGACTCAAAGATATTGGATGATAGATTTTAATGTTTAAAGTCAGTGTTTCATTCCTCCCTCTGATACAGAAGTCCTTCTGTATCCCATTTGTGTGGTAGTTATTCATAAACAGATGTACTAAATATCCTGGTCTCTAGTTCTGTTGACTATTTGTTAATACTACTCTTTGCTTAATGGCACTAAAATTTTTACTGAACCCTAGTTTTTATGTCCAAAATTTCCTCCTCTCCGACCTACTTGACTTTAGTCCTTATTTAAAACTCACATTCTGGCCGGGCGCAGTGATTCACACCTGTAATCCCAGCACTTTGGGAGGCCAAGGTGGGCAGATCACGAGGTTAAGAGATCGAGACCATCCTGGCCAACATGGTGAAACCCTGTCTCTACTAAAAATACAAAAATTAGCCAGGCATGGTGGCACGCACCTGTAGTCCCAGCTACTTAGGAGGCTGAGGCAGGAGAATAGCTTGAACCCGGGAGGCAGAGGTTGCAGTTAGCCGAGATCATGCCACTGCGCTCCAGCCTGGCAACAGAGCAAGACTCTGTCTCAAAAAAAAAAAAAAAAAAAAAAAAAAAGAAAGACTCACATTCTGGCTGGCACAGTGGCTCACGCCTGTAATCCCAGCACTTTGGGAGGCCGAGGCGGGTGGATCACTTGAGGTCAGGAGTTGGAGACCAGTCTGGCCAACATGGCAAAATCCCATCTCTACTAAAAATACAAAAATTAGCCAGGCATGGTGACAGGCACCTGTAATCCCAGCTACTTGGGAGGCTGAGGCAGGAGAATCGCTTGAATCTGGGAGGTGGAGGTTGGAGTGAGCCAAGATTGTGCCACTGCATTTCAACCTGAGCTACAGAGAGAGACTCTGTCTCAAAAATTAATAATAATAACTAAAAACTCACATTCTTATTAACTTTGATGTGTAGAAACAGCACAACCCTACTTCCAAATAAAACTAAATTCTCATATAGTATAAGCTTTGGAGCCAGATGGCCGAGTTCAAATTCTGGTTCAACTATATTTTCAGCTATGCCTTGGACAAGTTACTCTATGAAGTAATTAATACATACCTCTCAGATGACAGCAACAGCCTCAAACCTGGCATTTTCCGTTGTCACTGTAACTTTCTTCAGGTAGAGGACTTGTACCTCTTCACTTTTTTCTACCTGACAACAGCTCTTCTTTATTCTCTCTCTTGGGCTCAACCTTGTGCTTCTTGCCCTTGAAACACTTCTCATTCCTGGTTCAGGAGCAACAACTGCTTTAAGCCTCCTTGTATCAGGCAGCATGGCTGTGATCTATTATGAAGAGGGATTCTAGTGAGGCTTCTTGAATGGCTTTAATAGCAGATACATACAGAGCTATCTAGGAAAAGACACAGTGTGGAATTTATAAACTCTGTGTATTGGACTTTTTTTGATGTTTATAAATCCCAAATAACCAGCTGTAGCTCCCCAGATTAGTCACCTCATAAATCAATTATTTAATCTTAAGCAGCTGTACTTCAATTATTCACCATTGTATTTATGTGCATTCAGACATCTTAGTTTGAAAGTCACAAGTCTTAAGAGATTAACTTTTTATCAGTGAGGAAAAGTTTGTTTTCGAGACTGGTCTTGCTGTGTGTGTTGCCTGGGCCAGACCTCATACTCCTGGGTGAAAGCTGTCTTCCCACCTCAGCCTCCCTAGTAGCTAGGACTATACAGGTGTGCACCACCATGCCCTGCTGGAAACGTTTTGATTTTTCAGCTTTTTGGGGTTTGCACTGTTTGACTTCAAGCAAATCTTTTTTTTTTTTTTTTTTTCTGTTTCTTCTTCCACTGTGAAAGTAAATGGATTGGATTTATCTCTATTTTAGAGCCATAAGAAAGTGGGAGCCTTATGGAGGGAGGCTGACCTCAGCTGGAAGGACTTTTTACCAGAAGGAGAAGATGTACATAATTTTCTTTTGGAGCAGGTAAGAACAAGGCTTATGTTTTGCTGTTTGATAGTAGTTGATCTATTTCATAGAGGAAGTGAAGGTAATTTCCTTCGTATTCCAGTCGTTAAAATTGCATCAAAATAGGAATCTTGGTAAAGATGTCCTTTTAAGTTCATGCTTTTAAAGCCACTCCAACTGTGTGGTCATCAGATGATTGATATTTAAAAAAAGAAAATGTAAAAGACTTAGCAACCTATAGAAAAACAAGCTACAGCAAGCAGAAATGAAGTTAACAAATAAAGCAGGGTGACAGGGCCAAAGCTGTCTCCTGATTTCTGGGTCTGATGGCAGGCCAGAAGCAGCCAGAAGTTATTCTGTGGGGAATGGAGACCATTAATACCCTTATAAGGTAGAAGATTAGAGACAAGCTTATAGCTTGAAACTACACAGGTAAATAAGTGCAAGGAAGTAGACACAGTCTTATACCCAGAACCTTAGCTATCCTGCCTACTGACTGGTAACTAGATCCAGAAATCTACAAAACAGAAGACCCCATGATCAGTATAATCTGGTCCTATAGGAGGATTTGTGGGCTGTTAGGTTGAGGTAACCATAAAACAAATTAGATCAAGAAAAGTAACAGAAAGAAAACAAAACTCTCTCAAAACGTTACTGAAAATCAAAATCCTAAAACTCATGAGGAAAACTAAAGCTAAGACAGCCAACAAAATCAGGAATAAGGAGAAAAAAAATCACCATAGGTAAAAAGAGAACAAGAATGCAATCTGAAAATGACTTTAAAATAAGTATTTTGTTCTGGATAAAGATATTATATTAGGTTGCTACAGACATTAGCTTTCTTTTTGGTTGTAGTCTGGAACACTGAAGAGCATTCTTGCCACAGCAATAAGAACCTGCATGAAGCATAACTTCTGATGTGTTACTGGACTTAGAAGAGGTGGAAGTAATTTCCTTCAAAGGGACAAAAAGAATTAATGAGGGGGAAAAGCCAGAGATGAAACCTGAACTGTGAATAGTAATTACATGTGAAGGGCATATTGCCCAAAGGACACATAGCCCAGTGGGAAGATACTATTACAAATGCTGTCAGATGTCATGGAAAAAGTTGACTTAGTCCCAGTTCAGTATTACCTTGGCTCCCAGAAGCAGCAAATCAAAATGCTCTTTGGAGAAACATCCTCAACTTAGGTCCCCTTATTTTCTACAAATCCAAATTATTTAAATATATGAGTTGACACTTGGTGTTCATTTAACATACAATTAAAGAAGTAAAGATAAAAGTAAACAGACAATAAGTAGTAGATTTAGACCCCATGGACTTGAGGTAATGGAATTATCATTCAGAGTATAAAATAACACTATAGTAAAAGAAAGAATCACAAAAATGAGCAAACAAGAGACTAGTCAAAATGGTTAAAGAGATTTGAAAAGAAAAGAAAAGGTTGGGTGCAGTGGCTCATGCCTATAATCCTAGCACTTTGGGAGGCTGAAGCAAGAGAATCTCTTGAAGCCAGGAGTTGGAGATCAGCCTGAACAACATAGTGAGACCTGTCTCTACTAAAAAAAAATAGCTAGGTGTATTGGTGCACCTGTAGTCGTAAGCTACTCGAGAGACTGAGGCAGAAGGATCACTAGAGCGTGGGAGTTTAAGGCTGCAGTGAGATACGATCACACCACTGCACTCCAACCTGAGAGACAAAGTGAGAGCCTATCAAAAATAAAAAATAAAATAAATAAACAAAAGCCACACACACACACACCAAAATCTGTAGGTAGCTATCTAAGATATGTTAATATGTTAGGAGATTTGGAGGAAAGAATGAGAGAACATCTAACCTATCTAATTGGAGTCCCAGAAGGAAAATTAGCCTAAATGGAGAAGAGGCAATATTTGAAGAGACAGTGGCTGAGACTTCTAGAAGTGATAAAATATACAAATCTATAATGAAAGCCCATATATGCAATACAGGATAATTATATTTTAGTGAAACTGCATAATACCAAAGACAGATGAAAGATTTTAAAGAAGCTGGGAAGAAGAAGCACATTACTTACCTGCCTCCCCCTCAAAAAAAAAATACACAAAAAATTAGACTTTGCAGTAGCAACCATGAAAGCCAGAAGATGGTAGAATAATCTCAGAGTGCTGAGAAACGAGCAGTAAATGTAGAATTCCCTGTGCAGCTGAACTAACCTTTAAGAATTAGGGCAATGCATACTGAGAAACTTAACAACATACTTCTAAATACCCATGGGTCAAAGAAGAAATCAAACATGATAGTAAAAAACATTTTTAACTGAATGAAAACAAAACCACAACATATCATCGATATTTAGAAAAGAAGAAAGGTCAATAACCTCAGCTTCAACCTTAAAGAATTAGAAAAATAAGGCCAGACACAATGGCTCATGCCTATAATCCCAACACTTTGGGAGGCCAAGGCAGGAAGATTGCTTGAGCCCAGGAGCTTGAGAGACCAGCCCAGGCAACAGAGCAAGACCCTATCACCAAAAAAAAAAAAAAAAGAAATTAGAACAATAAGAACAAATGAAGCTCCAAGCAAATAGAATAAAGGAAATAATAAACATTATATCAGAAATCAATGAAATAGAAAAATTTTTAGAGAAAGACCAGTGAAATCAAAAGCTGGTTCTCCAGGAGGTGGAGGTTGCAGTGAGCCAAGATTGCACCATTGCACTCCAGCCTGGACAAAAGGGCGAGACTCCGTCTCAAAAAAAAAAAAAAAAAAAAAAAAAAAGCTGGTTCTTTGAGAAGATAAAAGTGATAAACCTCTAGCCAGATTGATCGTGAAAAAAAGTTTGAAAAGAAGGTACATATTACTAATATCTGGAATGAAAGCGGTAACATCAGCACAGATTCTATACATAAAAGTGGGTGAGGAAATTTTATGAATAATCTTTATGTCAATAAATACATCAGCCAGGCGTGGTGGCTCATGCCTATAATTCCAGCACTTTGAGAGGCCGAGGCGGGCGGATCACGAGGTCAGGAGTTCGAGACCAGCCTGGCCAACATGGTGAATCCCCGTCTCTACTAAAAATACAAAAATTAGCCAGGTGTGGTAGCACACGCCTGTAATCCCAGCTACTCAGGAGGCTGAGGCAGGAAAATTGCTTGAACCCAGGAGGCAGAGGTTGCAATGAGCCAAGATCACATTATTGCACTCCAGCTCTGGGTGACAGAGCAAGACTCCATATTGGGAAAATAATAATAATAATAATGTAGGGTTTATCCTAGAAATGTAAGGTGGGTTTAATATTTGAAAACTGATGTATACATAATAGGGAAGATGGTGAAGTATACATAATAGAGAAGTATACATAATAGAGAAGTATACATAATAGGGAAGATGGTGAAGTATACATAATAGGGAAGTATACATAATAGGGAAGATGGTGAAGTATACATAATAGGGAAGTATACGTAATAGGGAAGGTGGTGAAGTATACATAACAGAAGTATACATAATAGGGAAGATGGTGATGTATACATAATAGGGAAGATGGTGATGTATACATAATAGAGAAGTATACGTAATAGGGAAGATGGTGAGGTTCCAGGATTCAATCCCTCCACTGACACAACTATTGAACTGGCAAGATCTGTTAGAGCCAACTGTTTTAGAACTGTGGAGTCTCGTTAAATACATGCATTATCAACACCAGGGGATTGCATAATGAAAAAAGAGTCTGATAAATTTCAGTGAATTTGGGAATTTTGCATAGAACTTACCAGTACCCAGCCCAGTGGCAGACCACCAGGAAACTGGCATCACACCATTTCTGGTGCAGCTTGCTGGTGCCAGGTTGAACAATAAGGACTTCATTTTCCAAGGATTGGGGTTGTGTCTTTTAATTGACTTTTAGTTGACTGAGAGGCCAGTGCTGGGGCTGGCTGTTATTTCAACTCTTTCATGCTGAAGTATCTTTTAGGGCTGTGACTATCAAAAGTATTTAAGCAGTAGTGTTAACGGGATCTCTGGAGTGTCGATTTTTTTGGCCAGAAACCTCTGTGGCCATGGCACCTTTGCCCGAGTTCTTTTCCTGTGTCCAGGAAGAATGAGGTACGCAAACAAATGAAGGGTGAAGAAGAGTTTTATTTAGTGTTAGAACAGCTCAGAGGAGTGGGTAGCTCCTCTCTAGTAGGCAGGTTGTCCCATGGAGTGTTCAGCTCTCTGTAGAGAGGAGGCTCTGGAGAGGATAGCTCCTCTCCACAGGCAGGTCGTTTGGACATTTCTGCAGGTCTCTGAAGCTCTCAGAGGAGAGGGTACCTCCTCTCTCCTGGCAGGTCATCTCTGCAGCTCTCAGCAGAGAAGGCATTCTTCTCTGCAGCTGGTCCTCCAATCGTCTCTCTACCCTCTTTGTCCTCTGCCCATCTGCTACCCTGTTCTGGCTGAGTCCAGGGCTTTTATACCTCAGAGGGGAAGAAATGCATGCCAATTGGTCCATAGGCAGCCATGGTTGGGCCTGGAAGAGGCACCATGAGCCCCTACTCCACTCTGCTGGACTGGCATCCCAGCCCCCAGCCTTCAGGTCCTCCCTGGCCTGAGGGTGGGGCCTTACTGGGGACCCTGCCCCCTTCCACCCAGGACTCTGTCTGCCTCCTGCTGCCATTCATGGCCCTGGGGCTTGGTCCCAACCCCACTCCAAGATCAGAGAGCAGGCAACTCTGAGCCTGCAGGGACAGGGGGTCTTTCCTGGGACACCCGAGGGTGCTGACTGCAGAGACGCCCAGGTGCTGCATGCCTAGGAGGGCAGCCACAGCTGCACCCCAGAGCTCCCACCCCACCAACTCAGAAGAGGCAGGGCTCCCCCTTTTCCCGTCCCCTGCCTGCTTTGTGGAACGGGAGGCCCAGGTCTGCAGCCGCAGGTCAGGCAGCTGCGACAGCACCCAGGAGGGGAGATCCTGCCTGCTCCCTCAAGAAAGGCTCGAATCCACAGCTGCAGTTTGGGTGGGAGGGCAGGGCTCCTGCCTGCTCCAAAGAGCAGGAGGCTTGGGTCCGCAGCTATGGTTTGGGTGGCTGCAGTAGCACAGGCAGCTTCCATCCCAACTCAGAAGGGGCAGGGCTCCCACCGGCTCCATGCAGTGTACGGCCCCAGCTGCACCTCCCTGCTGCAGCCAATAGTATCTCTCTCTCTGTCTCTCTCTCTTTCTTTCTGTCTCCAGTCTCTCTGTCTCCTCTCCTCTCCCCTCTCTCCTCTTTCCTCCTTCTCCACTCCCTCTCCCTGAGTCCTCTTTTTTTGTTAATTTAACTTTTATTTTAAGGTCAGGGGTACATGTGCAGGTTTGTTCTATAGGTAAACTTGTGTCATGGGGGTTTGCTTTACAGATTATTTTGTCACCCAGGTATTAAGCCTAGTACCTATTAGTTATTTTTCCTGATCTTCTCCCTTCTCCCAACCTCTGCCCTCTGATAGGTTCGTGTGTGTTGTTCCCCTCTATGTGTCCATGTATTGTCACCATTTAGCTCCCACCTATAAGTGAGAACACGCAGTATTTGGTTTTTTGTTCCTGCATTAGTTCGCTAAGGATCACTTGGCCTGGGAGGTCAAGGCTGCAGTGAGCCATGATAGTGCCATTGCACTGCAACCCGGGCAAAAGAGCAAGACCCTGTCTAAATAAATAAATAAATAAATAAATAAATAAATATGAGACTTCAGTTTAAAAGAAAAAAAAAGCAATCGGAGGTCAAGGCTGCAGTGAGCCTTGATAGTGCCACTGCACTGTAACCTGAGCGAAAGAGCAAGACCCTGTCTAAATAAATAAATATGAGACTTCAGTTTAAAAGAAAAAAAAGGCAAAATAATATATATATAATAAAATGAATATATAAAAATGTTTATAGTTTGAAAAATGAGGTTGAAAAATACTTGGCCTGTATCTTGACTTACAGTTTGCTTAAACAGCTTATGGCCTTCATGTTGTGCTTTTTTGCATATATTGGAGCATCATGGATTGGATGTATAGTTAACCAATACTAAATCAGAAAAATTGTAATATTGAGCCATGTTTCTAAAATCTTATGGAGCTGGGTGCAGTGGTGCACACTGTAGTCTCAGCTGCTCGGGAGGCTGAGGCAGAAGGATCTTTGAGCCCCAGAGTTCAAGTCCAACTTGGCAACATAGTGAGACCCCAAGTCAAAAATAAATAAATAATAAAACCTTATTGGGAAATATAATTTAGAGATGCTACGTAAGTGGTAGAAACGGAACAATCAGATGACAGAACTCAAGACTGTGGTTTTCACTTTGTGGATTGGGGATAGGGTATAGGACCATACCAGAGTATTCAAGAGTATTAGAGAAAACCTTATGTGAGTAATCCTTAATATTTTCATCTTTATGGTTTTTGTATAATGAAGCCACATAAAGCAAGGCATACCTATGTACTTCATTTCTTTAGTCCTTTGAAAATTATGAATAATTTTGATTATAGATTTTTTTTTTCTTTTTGAGACAGGATCTCGCCCTATTGCCAGGCTGCAGAGCAGTGGCACAATGACAATTCACTGCAGCCTCAACCTCCCATGCTCAAGCAATCCTCCCATCTCAGCCTCCTGAGTAGCTGGGACCACAGGCGCATGCCACAACACCTGGCTAATTTTGGTATTTGTGTTGGTAGAGACGGGGTTTTGCCATGTTGCCCAGGCTGGTCTCAAACTCCTGAACTCATACACTCCTCCTGCCTTGGCCTCCCAAAGTGCTGGGATTACTGGTGTGAGCCACTGCGCCCAGCCTGATTATAGATTTTTTAAAACTATGTATCTAAGTGCTAAACAATTATAGCATCATTTCTCACACCTATATTCGAAATGGCCACAACTTAACAAAGCCAAAACTATCTAGTTTTGATAGCTGCTGAGTACCAATACTAATATTAAACCATAGGTTGCAGAAAGAGAGTGAAATTGTACCCTTTTCTAGGGCTCCTATCCTGCCTTAAAGAGCTATGTTGCAGCTAAGGGGAAGATTGAAGCTCAAGATTATTTGCGTGTAACCATAGCCTAGAGATAATTATAGGGGGTTATTACCTTCTTTTTTAAGATACACGGTATGAGAAGTTGGAAAAATATTCAGAAGGATAATGGACTGACAGTTTTTCAAAACTATAATACGAACAGGTTGGGCGTGGTGAGTCATGCCTGTAATCCCGTCTTTGGGAGGCCAAGGAGGGCGGATTGCTTGAGCTCAGGAGTTCAAGACCAGCCTGGGCAGCATGGCAAGACCCCTTCTCTACTAAAAACACAAAAAAATAGCCAAGTGTGGTGGTGTGGGTCTGGAGTCCCAGCTACTCAGGAGGCTGAGGTGGGAGGATTGCTTGAGCCCGTGATGTGGAAGTTGCAGTAAGCCAAACTACTCCAGCCTGGATGACAGAGCAAGACCCTGTCTCAAAAAAAAAAAAAAAAAAAAAACTACAAACATAAAATAGCCTCTGCTGATCATTTTGATTCCATGTAAAATAGAAGACGTAACCTATGACTTTGTTCTTCTCTCAGGATGACAATAACATAGAATTATATTAATATATTAATATGTTCCACCTTTTATGTTTCAGAAGTTGGACTTCATAGAGTCTGACAGTCCCTGTTCCTCTGAAGCACTTTCAAAGAAAGAACTGTCTGCCGAAGAGCTGTATAAGCGACTCGAGAAACTCATTATTGAGGACAAAGCGAATGATGAACAGATCTTTGACTGGGTAGAGGTATAAAGACTATGTCACCTTCCCTGATACCTCTACAGGAAAGATTCTTGTGGGATCCCCTTAATTCGCTTACCTATCAGTTCACTTCATGAATTTTTATTTTTATTTTTTTTTATTTATTTATTTTTTTATTTATTTATTTTTTTTTTTTAATTGATCATTCTTGGGTGTTTCTCGCAGAGGGGGATTTGGCAGGGTCACAGGACAATAGTGGAGGGAAGGTCAGCAGATAAACAAGTGAACAAAGGTCTCTGGTTTTCCTAGGCAGAGGACCCTGCGGCCTTCCGCAGTGTTTGTGTCCCTGGGTACTTAAGATTAGGGAGTGGTGATGACTCTTAACGAGCATGCTGCCTTCAAGCATCTGTTTAACAAAGCACATCTTGCACCGCCCTTAATCCATTTAACCCTGAGTGGACACAGCACGTGTTTCAGAGAGCACAGGGTTGGGGTTAAGGTCACAGATCAACAGGATCCCAAGGCAGAAGAATTTTTCTTAGTACAGAACAAAATGAAAAGTCTCCCATGTCTACTTCTTTCTACACAGACCCGGCAACCATCCGATTTCTCAATTTTTTCCCCACCCTTCCCGCCTTTCTATTCCACAAAACCGCCATTGTCATCATGGCCCATCCCCAATGAGCCGCTGGGCACACCTCCCAGACGGGGTGGTGGCCGGGCGGAGGGGCTCCTCACTTCCCAGTAGGGGCGGCCGGGCAGAAGCGCCCCTCACCTCCTGGATAGGGCGGCTGGCCGGGCGGGGGGCTGACCCCCCCACCACCCTCCCGGACAGGGCGGCTGGCCAGACAGAGGGGTCCTCACTTCCCAGTAGGGGCGGCCGGGCAGAGGCGCCCCTCACCTCCTGGATAGGGCGGCTGGCCGGGCGGGGGGCTGACCCCCCCACCTCCCTCCCGGACGGGGCGACTGGCCGGGCAGAGGGGTCCTCACTTCCCAGTAGGGGCGGCCGGGCAGAGGCGCCCCCACCTCCCGGACGGGGCGGCCGGCCGGGCGGGGGGCTGACCCCCCCACCTCCCTCCCGGACGGGGCGGCTGGCCGACCCCCCCCCCCCCCGCCTCCCTCCCGGACGGGGCGGCTGGCCGGGCAGGGGGCTGACCTCCCCACCTCCCTCCCGGATGGGGTGGCTGGCCAGGCGGGGGGCTGACCCCCCCACCTCCCTCCCGGACGGGGCGGCTGGCCGGGCAGAGGCGCTCCTCACTTCCCAGTAGGGGCGGCCGGGCAGAGGCGCCCCTCACCTCCCGGACGGGGCGGCTGGCCGGGCGGGGGGCTGATCCCCCCACCTCCCTTCCGGACGGGGCGGCTGGCCGGGCGGGGGGCTGACCCCCCTCCTCCCTCCCGGACGGGGCGGCTGGCCGGGCAGAGGGATCCTCACTTCCCAGTAGGGGCGGCCGGGCAGAGGCGCCCCTCACCTCCCGGACGGGGCGGCTGGCCAGGCGGGGGGCTGATCCCCCCACCTCCCTCCCGGACGGGGCGGCTGGCCGGGCAGGGGGCTGACCCCCCCTCCCCCCTCCCGGACGGGGCGGCTGGCCGGGCGGGGGGCTGACCCCCCACCTCCCTCCCGGACTGGGCGGCTGGCCGGGTGGGGGGCTGACCCCCCCACCTCCCTCCTGGACGGGGCAACTGGCCGGGCAGAGGGGCTCCTCACTTCCCAGTAGGGGCGGCCGGGCAGAGGATCCCCTCACCTCCCGGACGGGGCGGCTGGCCGGGCGGGGGGCTGACCCCCCCCCACCTCCCTCCCGGACGGGGTGGCTGCCGGGCGGAGAGGCTCCTCACTTCCCAGACGGGGTGGCTGCCGGACGGAGGGGCTCCCCACTTCTCAGACGGGGCGGTTGCCAGGCAGAGGGTTTCCTCACTTCTCAGACGGGGCGGCCGGGCAGAGACGCTCCTCACCTCCCAGACAGGGTTGCGGCCCAGCAGAGGCGCTCCTCACATCCTAGACAGGGCGGCGGGGCAGAGGCGCTCCCCACTCAGACGATGGGCGGGTCAGGCAGAGATGCTCCTCACTTCCTAGATGGGATGGCAGCCGGGCAGAGACGCTCCTAACTTCCTAGATGGGATGGCGGCTGGGCAGAGACGCTCCTCACTTTCCAGACTGGGCAGCCAGGCAGAGGGGCTCCTCACCTCCCAGACGATGGGCGGCCAGGCAGAGACGCTCCTCACTTCCCAGACGGGGTGGCGGCCGGGCAGAGGCTGCAATCTCGGCTCTTTGGGAGGCCAAGGCAGGCGGCTGGGAGGTGTAGGTTGTAGTGAGCTGAGATCACGCCACTGCACTCCAGCCTGGGCACCATTGAGCACTGAGTGAACGAGACTCCGTCTGCAATCCCGGCACCTCGGGAGGCCGAGGCTGGCGGATCACTCGCGGTTAGGAGCTGGAGACCAGCCCGGCCAACACAGCAAAACCCAGTCTCCACCAAAAAAAAACGAAAACCAGTCAGGCGTGGCAGCGCGCGCCTGCAATCGCAGGCACTCGGCAGGCTGAGGCAGGAGAATCAGGCAGGGAGGTTGCAGTGAGCCGAGATGGCAGCAGTACCGTCCAGCTTTGGCTCGGCATCAGAGGGAGACCGTGGAAGGAGACTGTGGGGAGAGGGAGAGGGGGAGGGGGAGGGGGAGGGGGAGGGGGAGGGGGAGATGAATTTTTAACCTTAATTAAATTAGTTTTTAAATGCTTTTGTTTTGCCTTCCTTAGAAAAGAGTAACATTTTTCTCACCACTTAAGGGGTTAAGTAATGCTTGAGATTAACTTCTAATTCACATTAAAATTAAGATGAAAAAGCAGTGTTGGCACATGTAAAAATAGTTACATGCTTCTGAGTAAGTAGTCATTAAAATACACTGCAGTTGTGGTGTTGTTCTTTCATAGATTGAGTAGATGATCTTAATATGGATTATTTATTGAGGAATAAAATATGTTTTTAAGTGGTTATACTTCCAAATGTACAAGTACATAACACTGTATAATTGAATGAGTAAAGGATAGGCAGTGGGAAGGACCCTGAAAAGTAAATACTGCTAATTCAAATATTTGCACATAGAACTGGCAATAGCCAAATTATTTTTCAATGAATTGGACATTTAATTTTAGCAAGAATGTGCAAAAATGTGATTCATCTGGTCTGGGTGTGATGGTTCATGCCTGTAATCCCAGCACTTTGGGAGGCTGAGGTAGGCAGATCACGAGGTCAGAGTTTGAGACTAGCCTGGCCAACATAGTGAAACCCCATCTCTACTAAAAGTACTAAAAAATTAGCTGAGTAGTCCCAGCTACTCGGGAGGCTGAGGCAGGGATCCTGTAGTCCCAGCTACTCAGGAGGCTGAGGCAGGAGAATCGCTTGAACCTGGGAGGCAGAGGTTGCAGTGAGCTGAGATCGCACCACTGCACTCCAGCCCGGGTGACAGTGCAAAGTCTCAAAAAAAAAAAAAAAAAAAAAACAGTGACTCATCTGTTCTTAGTGCCAGATCAGTCCTGATGTTCAAGAGATCATTTATCTGATACGCAAGGGTATCTTTTTTTGTTTTTTGTTTTTTGTTTTGAGATGGAGTTTTGCACTTGTCGCCCAGTCTGGAGTGCAGTGGTGCAATCTTGGCTCACTGCAGCCTCCACCTCCCAGGTTCAAACGATTCTCCTGCCTCAGCCTCTGCCTGCCACCATACCCAGCTGATTTTTGTGTTTTTAGTAGAGACACGGTTTCACCATGTTGGCCAGATTGGTCTCGAACTCCTGACCTCAGGTGATCCATCCTCTTCAGCCTCCCAAAGTGCTGGGATTACAGGCATGAGCCACTGCACCTGGCCTGTTTTTTGTTTTCTCAAGACAAGGTCTCGCTCTGTCACCCATGCTGGAGTGCAGTGGTGCAGTCATTGCTTACTGCAGCCTCAAACCCTTGGGATCAAGCAGTCCTCCCACCTTAGTCTCCCAGGTAGCTGGGAACACAGGCATGTGCCACCATACCCAGCTTTTTTTTTTTTTTTTTTTTTTTTAAGAGATAGGGTCTTACTATATTGCCCAGACTGGTCTCAACTCCTAGCCTCAAGTGATCCTCCTGTCTCGGCCTCCCAAAGTGTTGGGATTACAGGCATGAGCCTCTGTGCCTGGCTGAGCAAGGTATCTTTAATTGTTTTATTTCTTTTTGACTTCAGGCTAATCTAGACGAAATCCAGATGAGTTCACCTACATTCCTTAGAGCTTTAATGACTGCTGTTTGTAAAGCAGCTATTATAGGTAAGTAACATTTCTGAAGGCAGCTCATAACATCTGAAATCCCCATTATGTCAACTACTAAGTATACAGTTTGATTTTACATTGTTTTCAAAACTTCTCCTATGTAGCTCACTTTTCTGTGCACTGTCCTTTCTGTCTGTGATGCCTGGTTGTCTCAAGCGTGGAGACAAATAGCTGCTCCGCCTACAGAGAACCCAGATCTAACCAGCTACCACATGCCTTGCATGCTCCTTGGGTTGTTTTTCACTACGTTGCGTGTAGCTTTTTCTTTATCTTTTCACTTCTAACATTCAGGGCCGCCTCCTCCTTCCAATAATGAATTATAATGAACAGGTTGAATATTCTTAATCTAATTATCAGTATAGGGTTATTCTCATCAAAAAAGTCATGTTATATAAGTACATACATGAAGAAAAAAATATCAACAGTTTGTCCTGTTCTTTGTTGACTTTATTTGATATGATAAGACAATTTTATTGGCTTATGAATTGTTAATATTGATAGGATTAGGGTCAGTAGAAATCCCAAATATTCCAAGCTGTATACAATGTTTAACATTATTCAATGAAGACATCTCTTTAGTTTCAGATAGAAATTCATACTTCTGTCACTGAAGCGAGAAAAAAAAATTCATCAGTGCAAAGGTGTCTCAGAATTTCAAGTCTGTCTCTATTTTGAAGATGGCTTTCTGCCACTTAATATAGCTTCAGAATTGTAATTTAAGATTTGCAATGAATTTATTTTCAATGTTCTTTAATGAGATAAATAACAAAGCTAAGTAGAAAGTCTTCATGAAATTTTTAAAAATCATTTTCAGTATCCATAGAACCATCATAAGACTTTCATGTTTTAAAATTCGAGTTGGGAAGTCCAAAAGCTGTTTGGTTTTTGTTTTCTTGAGATGGTGGGGGTCACTGTGTTGCCCAGGCTGGACCTGAACTCCTGGGCTTAAGCGGATCCTATCGCCTCAGCCTCTTGAGTAACTGGAATTACAGGCATGAGCCACGATGGCCAGATTTTAAAAGCAAAATCTGCTTTTAAAAACAAAATTGTGTCTTAGTGATAACTTACAGATAATATAAACCCGTATGTGTCTTTGTACTGAGGATGCTTTTCATTTCTCAGCCCCTTTTTATCATTCCTTTCCCTCAAAAGGCCTAGATTAGGTATGTTATCTGCCACTGCCACAGTTAGTTTTTATCCTAGTAATAACAAAATGGTTCCAATTATTTTAGCCTTCTGAAAAGATTTGTATTAAGTGTCACTTTAATTTCCTTTTCTAATGTTGCTTTTTTATGTTGCTTTTTTTAAATACTCACTTGAAATTCCTACTCCATGTTTCATTTATTTTTGATTGACAAATTATAATTGTATATGTTTATGGGGTACAATGTGATGTTTTGATATACATGTCCAATGTGGAATGATTGAATCAAATTAATTAACATATCTATCACCTCACTTACCTTTTTTTATGGTAAGACATTTGATTAATTTTGCTTTTGTAGTTTGTCATAAAACCACAGTCACTGTTTCATTACAATTAAAGATAATTGGGTACGCTACTCCTGAGGGAAACCAGCATTCAAAATGCATCCCCTCCATAGTTTTTATTATTTGTGAGAGAATGTCTCATTAATAATTTCAGAGCATTTTGGATTTCAAAATATTTGCCTTAGACCTTCTTGCCTCCTCTTCTCTTGTAGAGCCATATGGGTCCTTTGTACTCAGAAAATTGAAAATGAGCCAGGTTGCAGTGGCTCATGCCTGTAATCCCAGCATTTTGGGAGGCCAAGGCAGAAGGATTGCTTGAGCCCAAGAGTTCAAGACCAGCTTGGGCAATATAGCGAGACCCTGTCTCTATTATTTAAAATCTAAAATAGAAGAAGAAGAAGAAGAAGAAAGGCCAGGAGCAGTGGCTCATGCCTGTAATCCCAGCAGTTTGGGAGGCTGAGGCGGGTGGATCGCCTGAGGTCAGGAGTTCGAGACAAGTCTGACCAACATGGTGAAACCCTGTCTCTGCTAAAAATACACAAAAAAATTAGTCAGGCCTGGGAGCAGGCGCCTGTAGTCCCAACAACTTGGGAGGCTGAGACAGGAGAATAGCTTGAACCTGGGAGACGGAGGTTGCAGTGAGCTTAGATTGTGCCACTGCACTCCAGCCTGGGCAATAGAGTGAGGCTCTGTCTCAAAAAAAGAAAAAAGAAAGAAAATTAAAGATAATTCTATGTTAACTCCTTAAATGTAATTCCTAGTTCTTCTATCACCTTTAGCCGACTCTTCTACCTTCAGAGTGGACACTGCTGTTATCAAGCAGAGAGTGCCGATCTTACTCAAGTACCTAGACTCAGATACAGAGAAGGAACTGCAAGCACTTTATGCACTACAAGCATCGATAGTAAAACTTGATCAACCTGCCAGTAAGTTTATCTCATGTTACAGTTAATCTAACCAATGAGTGAGATTTATCCAAGCCAGGACTTAGAGATGATTTAGGGTTCGAACAAAGGACAATAAAAGAATCACTAATAACACAAACTCATATAACTAACTTTAATAAATTTGAATTTGGCCGGGTGCAGTGGCTTGCGCCTATAATCCCAGCACTTTGGGAGGCCACGGCAGGCAGATCACTTGAGGTCAAGAGTTCAAGACCAGCCTGGCCAACATGGTGAAACCCTATCCCTACTAAAAATACAGAAATGGCTGAGCACGGTGGCTCACACCTGTAATCCCAGCACTTTGGGAGGCCGAGGCAGATGGATCATGAGGTCAGGAGATCGAGACCATCCTGGCTAACACAGTGAAACCCTGTCTCTACTAAAAATACAAAAAATTAGCTGGGTGTGGTGGCGGGCACCTGTAATCCCAGCTACTTGGGAGGCTGAGGCAGGAGAATCGCTTGAACCCAGGAGGCGGAGGTTACAGTGATCCAAGAGCATGCCACTGCACTCCAGCCTGGCGACAGAGCGAGACTCTATCTCAAAAAAAAAAAAAATACAAAAATACAAAAATTGGCTAGGTGTGGTGGCATGTGCCTGTAGTCCCAGCTACAGCTACTCAGAAAGCTGAAGCACGAGAATCACTTGAACCTGGGAGGCGGAGTTTGCACTAAGCCAAGATGGCGCCACTGCACTCCGGCCTGGACAACAGAGCAAGACTCTGTCCAAAAAAAAAAAAATGAATTTGTTATATGTTTGTATGAAAATATCACAACAAGAAAACTATTTAGATTAGGTTATTTCATCCCCATTCCAGGGCAGGCCTAATAAAACTTTCCACAGTGATGGTAGTATATATCCATACCATTGAGTATGGTAATCATGAGCCACATGTGGCAATTCTATACTTAAATATGTCTGTTGTGACTTAGGAACTGAATTATTGACTTTAAATTTAAATAACCATGTTTGACTAATAGCTTCCATATTGGACAACACAGGTCTAGGGCATGAAAATGGTTAATGATGTTGAGGATGATACTCTAGAATCTTTAGACACCCAACAAAGACCCTAAGTGTAGTGTATTTACCATGCTATATTTACTAAGGAGTTTCAGAATAGTTTTTAGTTAAGGGTTATGATTAATTCTTGGCTAATGAAACAAAGTAACCTGTACACTTAAGTCTTAGTGATACTTGGTGTTAACTAATGATTTTTATTACATCTTGAAAATTCAGTTGGTATTTGTTAAAGCGGGCAGTACATAGCTATTAGAGAGAGCACTCAAGTAGTTCTTTGGTACTTCCTTATTTTCGCTTTTGTAAAATTCCTTCTTTCCTAGTCCTGAATCGCTCTTGGAGATAAAGGAAAAGATGAAAGCAAATTATCCTTATAGTGTAACTGAAGAGACAATCTACCATGAATCAGATAATTTGATAATATTAGCTTAACTAATATAATTACAAAGATAAGTCTTTTTAAAAAAAGGCCGAGGCATGCAGATCACCCGAGGTCAGGAGTTTGAGACCAGCCTGGCCAACATGGTGAAACCCCGTCTCTACTAAAACTACAAAATTAGCTGGGCGTGGTGGCGCATGCCTGTAATCCCAGCTACTTGGGAGGCTGAGGCAGGAGAATCACTTGAACCCATGAGGCGGTGGTTGCAATGAGCCGAGATCATGCCACTGCACTCCAGCCTGGGCAAAAAGAGCAAAACTCCATTTAAAAAAAAAAAAGTTAATACGACTCATGATAAACCTAATATTGATTAGCATTTATTGTTTATTCCACTGCCTCCCTCCATTAATATAAATGATCGGAGAGCTGACTATAATAACTATAAGCTAATAACTTATTATATATGATAACTATAATTCTCAGTTTTACTATGAGAGTAAAACCGAGAATTAAAATCACACGGATAGTTTGGACGTTTAAAACAGTAAATAACAGGTGTAGTTTCACTGGATAAAATCCAGATGAGATAGCTTTTACTCATGTTTTCCATGTGAATGATCACCTCTTGTTCTTTTTTGAGACGGACTCTCGCTCTGTCACCCAGGCTGGAGTGCAGTGATGCAATCTCAGCTCACTGCAAGCTCCGCCTGCCGGGTTCACGCCATTCTCCTGTCTCAGCCTCCCTAGTAGCTGAGACTACAGGCACCCGCCACCATGCCCGGCTAATTTTTTGTATGTTTAGTAGAGACGGGGTTTCACTGTGTTAGCCAGGATGGTCTCGATCTCCTGACCTCGTGATCCGCCTGTCTCGGCCTCCCAAAGTGCTAGGATTAAAGGTGTGAGCCACCGCGCCCGGCCACCTCTTCATTTTTAAAACAACATTACAAGGAATAAAAAGCATATCCTGCCTTTCTCCCTTCCCCCAAATTTTGTAAAAATAATACAGTAAACTTGCAGCGCAGAAAATAGTAAAAAGAAAGTAAAAAACTACTCGTATTTAAATTTTATAGGGTTTAGATTGAGATAAACATGATATGAAACAGCTTCACTGGTATCAGAAGATAGTTCAGATTGGGCCGGGCACGGTGGCTCACGCCTGTAATCCCAGCACTTTGGGAGGCCAAGATGAGCGGATCACCTGAGGTCAGGAGTTCGAGACCAGCCTGGCCAACATGGTGAAATCCCTTCTCTACTTAAAATACAAAAATTAGCTGACTGTGGTGGCCGGCGCCTGTAATCCCAGGTACTTGGGAGGCTGAGGCAGGAAAATTGCTTCAACCCAGGCAGGCGCCTGTAATCCCAGGTACTTGAGAGGCTGAGGCAGGAAAAATTGCTTAAACCCAGGCAGGCGCCTATAATCCCAGGTACTTAGGAGGCTGAGGCAGGAAAATTGCTTAAACCCAGGAGGTAGAGGTTGCAGTGAGCCAAGATCGCACCACTGCACTCCAGCCTGGGGACAGAACAAGATTGTCTCTCAAAAAAAAAAAAAAAAAAAAAAAAAACAGAAAAAAAGTTCAAATTGTACAAAATAATAGGAATAAAAAAGAATTTAGACTGCTTCAATCTTTTTTTCCTCTTCTTTAAACAAGTTGTTGGGCTGTTTATACTGTCAAGAGCAAGTATGGTGAATTGTCATTATTGCTTTTTTCTGGGGGAATTAATGCACATTTATTCAGTCATTCATTATTTTGAAATATATTCTTTTCCTCATAACTACAGTGTCCCAAAGCTTATAGTTTATTTTCACCTCCTTGCAGATTTGCTGCGGATGTTTTTTGATTGTCTATATGACGAGGAGGTGATCTCCGAGGATGCCTTCTACAAATGGGAGAGCAGCAAGGACCCTGCAGAGCAGAATGGGAAGGGCGTGGCTCTGAAATCTGTCACGGCATTCTTCACGTGGCTGCGGGAAGCAGAAGAGGAGTCTGAGGATAACTAAAACTTCAAATACACAAAATGAAACAAAAGAAACAATTTAAGTATTTTTTTAAAAAGTTTCACGTCTTCGCCAATCACAGTGCAGCAAGGCCAATTCTCGCAGAAACCCCCACGTGTGCACGAGTGGGAGAGGGGAAAGAGAAAAAAAGGTGATCATGGAGGAAAAAGGTACTGGATAAAAGTAAACTTCAAACCTTAGGGCGGGAGCACTAAAACCAAAATACATGTATTATTTATAGAAAATATTTTCTGTTTTAATCTTTTCTTTTTAAACAAGGACTCATACTTAAAAAAATGTTTAGCAAAAAAAAAAAAAGTTGAGAACTTTTAATTTATTTTAAGGACTGCAAATGCCAGTGTAATTTTTTAATTTGCAGTTTCTGTAAACAACTTGTATAATAGAAAAGCAGAGAAATAAATTTCCCTCCCCTTCAAGATGCACCTCATGTTTGTTTTAAGGTATAGCATTTAGTCCAGATTTGAGAAAGTTTGGGGTGAACAAGGTAAGAAAGATTTTTTTTTTTTTGGCATCAAATCTTTCTGCCTGCCTCTCAGCTTGCTTCAGAAAATTTAAAAAATCACAATAGTAATCAAAACATACATAACATTGAAACAGAAGGAAATGCTGTGGACCACAGAACTCCAAGAATTGTTTAAAAAAAAAAAAGTGCTACCCTGAGAAAAGTACTCTTAATACTCTTGAAATCTTTAGAGCAACTTTAAGGCTTGTAAATACATAGAACAAATATTTAAAAAAACAAAAAGAAATTGACTCAGTACTATTTCTTTTCACTTTGAAAATATAAAGAACAAAATAAAGACAAACATTGCAAGTTTAAAAGAAAGTAAAGTGACTTCTCCTTTGGACAGCTGCTGCATGTGTGCCCATTCCTGGGGGTGCTGTCTGGCTATTTATTGTCTAATTCAAATCACTCCTGAGGGGAGAGAGATAAAACGAGAGAGAGTGAGAGAGTGTGTGTATGTGCGTGTATGCGCACGTATGTGCATGCACATGTATGTATGTATATGTCTCTACTCACTGAAAAGGCAAGCTACTTTGTGGGTAAGGAGGGCACTTGTGCTTGGGTGGGAATGCCCCACTGGGAGTCCAGTGAAACTTGTTTCCAACACTAACTAAAAATGCATTCAGGACAGTAGGCCTCAAGGGCAGTCCTTTAGATAACTAAGTTTTCCACTCTGTGTATCAGGACTCAGGACAATAATTCACTTTGAGACTGCCACTACCACTGATTTTAAAATCTTCCATCAATTGCCTGCAATGCTTAAGAAACCCAAAGATGTCCTCTAAAGAATGAATAAAACCAAAAGCTATATTATGCTTTTACAAAAGTGGGGGTGGGATTTTTATAAAAGTGGGGGTGGGGTTTAAAATCAAGCCAATACCATGTATGCAAATCACATTGTCTGCCAACTCCAACCTCATTCAAGCCATTCTGGTGAGTATAAAGCTGACTGTGGGCCTCTGCTTGGGCCTCTGCTTCTCCTACAGATATTGGAGTGCTGTGCTTTCTAATTTTCCCACCCTTTCATGAAGTCGCAGTCTCTACAGATGGTTTTCCATTTCAGTTGTTTGTGGGCCATCAACCTACAAAATGTATTTATGAAGAAAGCCAGACTACTCCCAGATAAATAGTCTTTTTCTTTTGTATCTGGATAACAAGAGATTTCTGCTGGCTTCCATCTCTGAAGAAATACCACATTAAGAGACTTGGCAAGACTTGTGAAACACAAGAACAAAATTTTCTATAGCAATAAAATGTTTCTCTGAAGTGTAGTTGAACACAATACAAGATCCCACTACATAAGCCCACAGAGGCCATTTTTCAGTGGTGGAATGCTGTATGCCACTGGTCCCCAATGCACAACCTAGATCCCTCACATGTGCAGTTCACAATGGGTTCGCGCTCCTGTGAGAATCTAATGCCACCACTGATCTGACAGGAGGCGGAGCTCAGGTGGAAATGCTTGCTCACACACCACTCACCTTCTGTTGTGCAGCCCAGTTTCTAACAGGCCATGGACCAGTACGTGTCCTTGGCCCAGGGGCTGGGGACCCCTGCTGTATGCTGCTTTTGTTTTGTTTTGAGACAGGGTGTTGCTCTGTCACCCAGGTTGGAGTGCAGTGGCTTGATCATGGCTCACTGTAGCCTCAAACTCCTGGGCTCAAGCGATCCTCCTGCCTCACCCTCCCCAGTAGCTGGGACTACAGGCACACACCACCACAGAATACTATTGTTGAAGGACCAAGTCCTGAAAGTCTTTTGAAGGGTATGCGACAGCATCAGCTGTAAAAGATGGGGCCTGAAAAGCTGTTTTGGAGCCTGACCACAGGCTTTGCCTGGGATCCCTCAATTGGGAGAAGCAGCCTGGTTCTATGATCAACTGAGTAAACAACCTCCAGAATCAAAGTGCAGAGGATTATGATCAAGGAATCGTCTCTGAGTGATAGAAGTTTTTAGAAGGTATTGACAGCACTCAAGAGGTTGAGGGAGGGGAGTTTAGGGGAATACAGGATGGTAACTGCCTCTTGAGAATCAGTAGCTGTTTTTTGCAGGGGTCTGACCAGGGAGGGATTTCAGGTAGTAGAGATGGCCTAGTTATCAGTATTTTACATATTAACAAGTGTAAGGAATGGAGGAAAGAGAGAAATATTTTTGAAAGAACAATTAAAGGGTTGAAAAATATCTTAAGATATAAACATCTCTAGTACAATGACAGAAATAATGTTTGAAATCTTACCTATAACATGAAGTATGTTGAAGAGACTACAAAGTAAGCTTTGAGTATCTTGTTGCTGTGGACACGGAATGTGTGCTAGGATTAGAAGTTGCCTAATGACAAAATATGAGCAAAGTAAGATAATTGCCCCCTACTAATATCCACTGAACTGCAAAACAGTGTCAAGATTATTACCCTCTCTAGTCTTTTTACTGGAAAATAGGGTTTGGCAATTTTTGTTTTAATATAATAGGTGACATTGCCAACATTGATATGCCAGCACTCCTTTGAGCTGTAGCAAAAGCTCCTTCACCGATTTCAAATTTGGGAGCAGGTCCAATGCCTTTTTTTTTTTTTTTTTTTTGAGATGGAGTCTGGCTCTGTTGCCCAGGCTGGAGTGCAGTGGCGTGATCTCTACTCACTGCAAACTCCGCCTCCCAGGTTCAAGCAGTTCTGCCTCAGCCTCCCGAGTAGCTGGGATTATAGGAAGCGCCACCACGCCCGGCTAATTTTTTTGTATTTTAAGTAGAGATGGGGTTTCACCATATTTGTTTTGCCAGGCTGGTCTTGAACTCCCAACTCCAGGTGAACCGCCCACCTCGGCCTCCCAAAGTGCTGGGATTACAGGCATGAGCCACCGCACCTGGCCCAATACCTCTTTTAGTGCATTTATTAAGGTGCTTATACCTATTTTCTAACCAGTCAACTTATGGCTATTCAGTAAATGAACATTTTTTCATTTCTAACAAAGGAAAATGATACTAATTTTCAAAATGAACTTATTTTGGGTTCTTGTGTAGGCCAATAAGCTAGCCCATAACTGCATCATGAGCTTGTTTTGTTCAACCAATATTTAACTCAACATCTACTGTGCACTAAGTGGAGATAGGATAACAGTGACCACAGTAGGCTCTGCTTTCATGGATCTCATATTCTTCATGAAAACAGAAAGCTAGAGGTCGTTAACATGCTGCATCAGCATCGCATCCCACTAAGAAGTATCTGCTCCTTATTACTTTGGCAGATCTTTGTTTGTTTTTTCTTTATATTTCAAAATTCATTCTAGGCTGTTTGCAACAATTAAATCCAAAGATAGCTTTAAAACCACTCTCCAAACAAGTTATTTTGGAGTTTTTGACATACTATCTTGTTTCAAATGGCTCTTTTTAAGTCAATAGAATTCTAAGTTGGTTGGGGAAAGATCCTAGGCTACTGTATCTAATTCTGTTTTCATCACTCAAGTTTTATTATTTAAAAAAAAAATAGAGGAATCCAGTTTTTCAATTTCAACTATGTCATTAGCATGTACTTCCATATTCTCCATTTTGTAGGGAGTAACATTTTACATTACTTTTTGTTTGCTTTTTCTTTTCTTGAGACAGTCTTGATCTGTCGCCCAGGCGGGAGTTCAGTGGTGTGATCTTGGCTCACTGCAGCCTCCACCTCCCAGGTTCAAGTGATTCTCCTGCCTCAGCCTCCCGAGTAGCTGGGATTACAGGCTCAGGCCAGGTAGGGAGGGATATGCTACATGCCCACTGGCATAAAATATCCCATATGTCCCTCAAAAGGAAAAATGATCATCTGTTAGTTTGGGGACTTAAAAAAAAAACCTGACATCACTGTGTATTACCAAATCATGAGATGATTTATACATTAAGCTACAGAGAATCATATGCCAAATGTTATTCAGTTAAAGTTTTATTTTGAAATAATTTCAGACTTACAGAAAAGTTGCAGATTTTACAGAAAGTTCTATATACCCCTCATCCAGTTCCCTTTATAATAACATCTTATATTGCCATAGGACATTTGTCAAAACTAAGAAACCAGCTTTGGTATGTTGCTTGTAACTAAACTTAAGAGTATTTAGATTTTCACCAATGTCCCTTTTCTGGTCCAAGATGCAGTCCATGATACTACATTGCATCTAAGGAATCATTTCCTTAGTGTCCTCTGGACTTTGACAGTTTTTTGGTCTTTTTCATGACTTTGACAATTTTGAGGAGTAATAATGGGACATTTTGTAGAATGTCTGTCAATTTGTATTTGTCTGGTGTTTTTCTCATGATTAAAGTGGGGTTATGTATTTTGGATAAAAATAACTGTATATTGTAATCCCAGCTCTTTGGGAGACCAAGGCAGGAGGATTACTTGAAGCTAGGAGTTTGAGACCAGCCTGGGCAATATAGGAAGACCCCCCCATCTCTACAAAAATACTTAAAAATTAGCCAGGCATGGTGATGCACACCTGTAGTCCCAGCTGCTCAGGAAGCTAAGGCAGGAGAATCACTTGAGCCCAGGAGATCAAGGCTGCAGTGAGCTATGATCATGCCACTGCATTTCAGCTTGGGCAGCAGAATGAGACCCTGTCTCTAAAAAATAAAAACACAAATACCATATAAATGAAGTTCTCTTCTCATATATCAGCAGGTACAAGATACTCACATGATAACTTTATTTGGCTAAGTTGGTGTTTGCCAGGTTTCTCTATAGTTACTTTTCTTTCCCCCCTTTCTTACTCTAGTCTATATGAAAGCCAGTCACTAAATCCAACCCACACTTGGGAAGAGAGATGGGAGTAAGAGAGAATTAAGCTTTACTTCCTTTCTAGAGTGGGAAGCGTCTACTTAAATTATTTGGAATTTTCCCACAAGGAAGATGTCTCTCTTCTCTATTTGTTTGTTTAGTCACTCATATGTATTTATATGTGTGTATGTATAAATGTACACACATGGGTATGTATATATCAGTATGGGCTCATGTATATTTCATACTTTGAATTATAACCCAATAGTACATGATTTTGTTGTTCACATTGTTCCAGCTTTAGCCATTAGGGGCTCTTTCAAGTTGGCTTATGTGTCCCTTGACATTCCCTGATACTTTTGTTTTTAGAGCACGTACTTTCTGCCATCACAAGATGCCACAGACATATCTTGTATTTTCCCTGCCTCAGTCCTAGAATCAGCCATTTCTACAAGAATCCCTGGTTTCTTCTAGGAGAATGGGATTTAGAAACCAAGCTTTTACTCACTGGGTTTGCATGTTGCTATTGGGGCATCTCAGCCTCTTGGTCTGCCAACATTTTAAACTTCATTTTCTTGCCAGGCGAGTAAGCTGCTTTCACATGGAGCACTATGACCATTAGAAAACATAGTTCTGGGCTGGGCGCAGTGGCTCACCCCTGTAATCCCAGCACTTTGGGAGGCCACAATAGGCGGATCATGAGGTCAGGAGATCGAGACCATCCTGGCCAACATGCCGAAACACCGTCTCTACTAAAAATACAAAAATTACTGTGCATGGTAGCGCGTGCCTGTAATCCCAGCTACTTGGGAGGCTGAGGCAGGAGAATCGCTTGAACCAGGGAGTCGAAGGTTTCAGTGAGCCAAGATCACGCCACAGCACTCCAGCCTGACGACAGAGCAAGACTCTGTCTCAAAAAAAAAAAAAGAAAACATAGTTCTGGTGTGTGTGTGTGTGTGTGTATTACTTTGGGCCAAGCGCAGTGGCTCACACCTGTAATCCTAGCACTTTGGGAGGCCGAGGTGGGTAGATGACTTGAGGTCAGGAGTTTGAGACCAGCTTGTGCAACATGGTAAAACCCCATCTCTACTAAAAACATACAAAATTAGCCAGGTGTGGTGGTGGGCACCTGTAGTCCCAGATACTCGGGAGACTGAGGCAGGAGAACTGCTTGACCCCGGGAGGCAGAGGTTGCAATGAGCCAAGATCCCACCATTGCCCTCCAGCCTGGGTAACAGCAAGACTGTCTAAAATATAATAATAATAAAATAAAACACTCTGGTACCCAAAAGACTCAAGCCTATAGATACTTCATTCATTTTCTGCTCATCTTACATAGGAAAAAGTAGAGGGCCAGGTACTGTGGCTCACGGCTATAATCCCAGCACTTCGGGAGGCCAAGGTGGCCAGATCACTTGAGGCCAGGAGTTCAAGACCAGTCTGGCCAACATGGCAAGACTCTCTCTCTACTAAAAAATACAAAAATTAGTTGGGCCTGGTGGCGCATGCCTGTAATCCCAGCTACTCAGAAGGTTGAGGCACGAGAATCACTTGAACCTGGGAGGCGGAGGTTGCAGTGAACCAAGATAGGGTCACTGCACTCCAGCCTGGGTGACAGAGTGAGACTCTCTCAAATAAATAAATCAATAAATATTGAACTGTTTCTCTCTTTCCCCATTATGATTATTTGTTTTAATTTCCCTTAGCTAGTAATATTTAGAGTCTACTAAGGTACCAATACAGAGCAGTGTTAAAATGTTAACTCAGTTAAACAATAATAATGGAAATCGCGAAATAATGAAAAGTTAACTGATGATAAAAGCGCTGCGTATCAAAACTTGAGATAAACCTAAAGTAAGCCCAAGAGTTCGAGGTTACAGTGAGCTTTGATTGTGCCACTGCACTCCAGCCTGGGTGACAAGAGTTAAGACCCTGTCTCTTAAAGCAAAAAAGCTGAGTAATACTTTTAGGTAAATGTAAAGTCTTTAAATACATTTGTTTAGAAACCATACCAGTTTAAAGTAAATGAATTAGGGTATCAGAAGAACCAACTGGGGGCAGGGGGATGCCACCTAAGTGAATATCAAGAGTTTACTCTTCCTTCTATAGGAAGAAGTTGTGTGCTGAGAGGAAGGAGGTATAGACTAGAATTGGGAGATCTGTGCTCTAATGCTAACATTGCTGTTCACGGAATATTTGACTACCTGCTTGGTATGGGCCTTCCTCTCTTCTCTAGAAAGGGCTTACTCTTGCCAACCATATGAGCACATCCAGAATCACTTTAAATACTGCCTACCAAGCTTAACAAAGACAAAAGGTTTTGGTAATAATAGGATATTACCAGCTTTTCAATGAAGTAAAAATATCAAGAATTTCTGAAATTTCAAGTCACCATGAGTTGAACTTGTACTATCAGTATTCCTTTTCAATCCTTCTGTCATATTTACCTCTTATTGGTAAATACATGTCCTCTGACCTGAAGTCCTGGGAAACTATCTTTGCCAAATTTCAAAAAGCCACCCTGCCATAGCTTCTTCCTACATTGTAGAATAAATAGTGCTCAACACTGGCTGTGTGTTAGAAGTACCTGGAAAGCTTTTAAAAATACAAATCCTGGAGCCCCACCTCAGACTAATTATTTCAGGATCTCTGGGGATGAGACCTGGGCATCTCTCTCTCTCTCTCTCTCATTTTTTAAATTTAAATTCCTTAGGTGATCATAATATGACCCAGGGTTGAGACGACACTGAAATGGTGAAAATAACCTGATTCAGCTAACAATATAGATAACAATTTATATTTTCAGGTATTTCAGAAATATATTTTAACTGCAAGATGTTGGACAAACAAATGGACTTACATATGGCACATACTTTGAAAATACAGTGTTAGGAGAGCATATAATGGGGACCCTGTATACACTGGGGGATTAGGGAATGTTGCCCTTAGGAGTAGAATTTTAAACAAAAATGTGAAGAATCAAATAGTTAAGGGGTCTGTTGAAATAGAGGAGATCTTGTGTGCAAAGTCCATGGTTGGGGGAACGCATGGTGTATTTGAGAATGAAGAAAGGGTGACAGTATGGCGAGAGTTCATTCTCACATGCAAAAGTCAAATCTGAACGTGCCCAGTGACAAATTAATCCAGACAAACTTTTTCTGGACAAATAGAGGGAAAGAACCTTTTTTTTTTTTTTTTTTTTTTTTTTTTTTTTGACAGAGTCTTGCTCTATCACCCAGGCTGGAGTGCGATGGCACAATCTCAGCTCATTGCAACCTCCACCTCCCGGATTCAAGCGATTCTCTTGCCTCAGCCTCCCAAGTAGCTGGGACTACAGGCATGCACCATCACACCCGGCTAGTTTTTGTATTTTTAGTAGAGACGGGGTTTTACCATTTGACCAGGCTAGTCTCGAGCTCCTGACCTCAGGTGATCCACCTGCCTTGGCCTTCCATAGTGCTGAGATTACGGCATGAGCCACTGCGCCCAGCCATGGAAAGAACTTTTGAAAGCTGCCTTATACTTTCACTTAGCAGAATTCACTAGAGATGAACTTTAGTTGGTTTTTTTAATAGTTACTCAGCAAAAAGAATAACGATGCTTTCAATCATTTCCAATTCGCAATTAGCCACACAGCATGTTAGAATAACTGTAGGCTCTTTGGAGTAACTAGTTATATCTAACCTCAGGGTTAGTCAAAGTATGGGCCTTGGACTAGCAGCATCAACATCACCTGTGAGCTTCTTAGAATGCAAATTCACAGGCCCCAGCCTACTAAAACCGAATCTGAAGAGATGGAAGATCCCAAGAAATCGCTATAAGCGCTTCAGATGATTTTTAGGCACACTGAAGTTTAAGAACCACTGCCTAGGAGTATTTCACATCTCTGCCAGAGTATAGTCCTCTTCAAAAAGCTAACACAAAACAAGTTGTATGCTGCTTTTAGAACCTTTCGGCTTGTACTTTCGCATCTACAACACAGAAACAATAAGCCCTTCCTGATTTCCTTAGTAAACTAATAGTAAATTAATTTCCTAGGCAATGCAGGATGGCATCTAATTGGTCTTCATACTAGGCTTCTGACATGTAAGGTGGTGCTGCTTCCTTTTACCAGGTAGGGAACTGAGTAACACAGAAGTCATGTACCTAGCAAGTGTCAGAAGCAAGACTGGCACTTGGTTTTCTGGGAGGCAGTATTGTCCGAAAAATAACTCTCACCACCAAGAGTTTTCTTTTGGGGAAAATGACGTAGTGGATATAGTTTGGAATATTGGCATTGGAAAAATAGGAGCATTAGTATAGCCCTGCTGGGGTTGCTGAAACCTCGGCTTCCATTTATTTATTTATTTTTTTATGAGACAGGGTCTCACTGTCGCCCAGGCAGTAGCTTAGTGCTGTGATCTCGGCTCATTGCAACCTGTCTCCTGGGCTCAAGGGAGCCTCCAGAGTAGCTGGGACTGTGGCTAATTCTTGTATTTTTTGTAGAGATGGGTTTTCACCATGTTGCCCAGGCTGGTTTTGAACACCTGAGCTCAAGCCATCAACCCACCTTAGCCTCCCAAAGTGCTGGGGTCGCAGGCATGAGTTACTGCGCCCGGCCAGTTGCCTCATCTATAAAACAAAAGTAACATCCACTTCATGGGGTTGTCTTGAGGAATTAAAGGAGATCGGATAAAGTGCCCAGCATTCTGCCTGAAATACCTAGGGCCCTTCCTGTCTGCGTCCAGTGTTCTTTTTCTGCCACACTCTTACTACCTTAGTCATAATCAGTTACATACAGTTAGGCTATGCCATTTTCAGAACTGTAGGAGATTATAGCTTACCTATCCACATT
The DNA here is from genome assembly GCF_000001405.40 of Homo sapiens. Classification (NCBI taxonomy): domain Eukaryota; kingdom Metazoa; phylum Chordata; class Mammalia; order Primates; family Hominidae; genus Homo; species Homo sapiens. The sequence continues at coordinate 20,797,220 of NC_000001.11, read as the reverse complement.
TCTTTCTTTTTTTTTTTTTTTTTTTTTTTTTTTGAGACGGAGTCTCACTCTGTCACCCAGGCTGGGGTGCAGTGGTGTGATCTTGGCTCAGTGCAGCCTCCACCTCCGGAGTTCAAGCGATTCTCCTGCCTCAGCCTCCCAAGTAGCTGGGACTACAGGCATGCGCCACCACGCCTGGCTAATTTTTTTGTATTTTCAGTAGAGATGGGGTTTCATCATGTTGGCCAGGCTGGTCTCGAACTCCTGACCTCAGGTGATCTGCCCGCCTCAGCCTCCCAAAGTGCTGGGATTACAGGCGTGAGCCACCGTGCCCAGCCCACATTTATTTAATATTCTATTGATCAAATTTTTAAAATTGTTTTACTTTCCCTAGAAAATACTATGAAGTCTTTTTTTTTTTTTTTTTTTGAGACGGAGTCTCGCTCTGTTGCCCAGGCTGGAATTCAGTGGCACCATCTCGGCTCACTGCAAGCTCCGCCTCCCAGGTTCACGCCATTCTCCCGCCTCAGCCTTCCGAGTAGCTGGGACTACAGACGCCCGCCACCATACCCGGCTAATTTTTTTGTATTTTTAGTAGAGATGGGGTTTTACCTATCATGTTAGCCAGGATGGTCTCAATCTTCTGACCTCGTGATCTGCCCGCCTTGGCCTCCCAAAGTGCTGGGATTACAGGCGTGAACCACCGTGCCCAGCAATACTATGAAGTCTTAAGTGTCTATCCCTACTGCTAACAGACCTGGGAATAGAGGCTTTTAGCTCCCACTTCTCCTGGGATTCAATAGAACATTGCAAAATCCTTTTTTTTTTTTTTTTAACACAAGGATCAATGCTTAGTGTCCTTTTCAAGTTGTTTATTGCCCTACCTAGAAAGAAAATGACTATTTTCCTACAAAATCATAATGAACTCCTAAAAATACCAGGTACTTAGAAATGCATGTTCTGTCACATCCAGCTCTGGCTTTGTTCCTAATTTAGGGGATGCCAACTACTTTGGGCAAAGAGACAGCTATACCAAACAAGCTGGCTGCTCAGAATAAATTCTAGGCCGGGCGCGATGGCTCACGCCTGTAATCCCAGCACTTCGGGAGGCTGAGGCAGGCGGATCACGAGGTCAGGAGATCGAGACCATCCTGGCTAACAGGGTGAAACCCTGTCTCTACTAAAAATACAAAAAATTAGCCAGGCCTGGTGGTGGGTGCCTGTAGTCCCAGCTACTTGGGAGGCTGAGGCAGGAGAATCGCTTGAACCTGGGAGGTGGAGGTTGCAGTGAGCCGAGATCACACCACTGCACTCCAGCCTAGGCGACAGAGTGAGACTCCATCTCATAAATAAATAAATAAATAAATAAATTCCAGCTTTTTCTTATTAAGTGTCATAGACTCAACCAGCAGAGTGTAAAACAGAGACACAAAGATTAGGATAATCATGTGGGGGTTTCTTCTTGCTCAAAATGTTTTATCTTTTGAGAAGAGCAGGAATATCACCAATAAAATGTCAGGTTTTAAAGTTGAACAATCCTGGGTCTTGATATACATGGTTCTCAAGAATTATGCTACTAATTCCAAAGTTTGGATGGTTGAAAATTTACAGCCTTGTGCAAGTGTCTTAAGAGTACTCAGAGCCAGCCAGGCGCGGTGGCTCACGCCAGTAATCCCAGCACTTTGGGGAGGCCGAGGCAGGCAGATCACGAGGTCAAGAGATCGAGACCATCCTGGCCAACATGGTGAAACCCTGTCTCTACTAGAAATACAAAAATTAGGTGGGCGTGGTGGCGTGTGCCTGTAGTTCCAGCTACTCAGGAGGCTGAGGCAGGAGAATCCCTTGAACCCGGGAGGTGGAGGTTACAATGAGCCGAGATCTCGCCACTACACTCCAGCCTGGCAAGAGAGCGAGACGCCGTCTCAAAAAAAACAAAACTCAGAGCCAGTATGTATTGGTTTTTGAAAAGTTTGCATTTTCTCATCACCATGCAGTTGCGTTTTGATTTATAAAAGGAAATGATCCTTTTCATCACCATCTTTTTAAAACTCTTTTCGTCTCTTTATTTTTTAAATAAATGGATCCAATTTCGTGATTCTGATTTTTAAAATTCAATCTTATTCCCAACCACAGATTTTGACTCATGTTTTCCTTTAAATTACTGGTTGTTTTTTTGTTCTTTTGAGACGGAGTCTTGCTCTGTCGCCCAGGCTGGAGTGCAGTGGTGGGATCTCTGCTCATTGCAACCTCCGCCTCCCAGGTTAAAGCGATTCTCCTGCCTCAGCCTCCCGAGTAGCCAGGACTACAGGCGTGCACCACCATGCCCAGCTAATTATTTATTTATTTATTTATTTTTGAGGTGGAGTCTCCTTCTGTCACCCAGGCTGGAGTGCAGTGGCATGATCTTGGCTCACTGCAGCCTCCGCCTCCTGGGTTGAGGAGGCTAATTTTTTTTTTAATTTTTAGTAGAGACAAGGTTTCACCATGTTGGCCAGGCTGGTCTCAAACTCTTGACCTCAGGTGATCCGCCCACCTCGGCCTCCCAAAGTGCTGGGATTACAGGTGTGAGCCCCCGAGCCAGGCCAATTTTTGTATTCTTAGTAGAGACGGGGTTTCAACATGTTGGCCAGGCTGGTCCTGAACTCCTAACATCAGGTGATCCACCCACCTCAGCCTCCCAAGGTGCTATGATTACAGGCGTCAGCCACCGTGCCCAGCCCAAATTACTGGTTTTATTGAAAAGAAAAATATTCCCCTTTACACTTAAACTTTCTCCAACTACTCCGTATCTACAAAACAAATGTCCTAGGGTAGCCAACTTGGTTTGCTGGGACTTTTCTGGTTTAAAAACTGAAAGTCTGGCTGGTTATGGTGGCTCACGCATGTAATCCCAGCAATTTGGGAGGCCAAGGCGGGTGGATCACAAGGTCAGGAGTTCAAGACCAACCTGGCCAACATGGTGAAACCCCGTCTCTACTGAAAATACAAAAATTAGCCAGGCATGGTGGCACGTGCCTCTAGTCCCAGCTACTCAGGAGGCTGAAGCAGGAGAATTACTTGAACCCAAGGCAGAGGTTGCAGTGAGCCGAGATTGCGCCAGTGCACTCCAGCATGGGCGACAGGGCAAGACTCCATCTCAAGGGAAAAAAAAAAAACAAACAAACTGAAAGTTCAACCCCCACCCTACCCTCAATGGATAAACTGGGACAGTTGGTCACCCTGGATGTCACTGAGCTGACACTAATTTCTGGTCACCCTCAGAGGCCTGGTTGCCCTGCAAAGAAGGGAATCCTCCTGCAAAGATTTGCCTGTAAAGCCACAAAGCAGGAGTGAAAGGGGAGGAACAGTGCTGTTAGTACATTTACTTCACATTACACCATCAAAACAAAACTGGATATATTCTGCTTTTAGTAAATCTGGCAAGTAGTGTCTCTTCAGTCTAAAAAGCGGCTGGTTTGCCTCTGGCATTGAAAGCGGGAAAAGACCTATCAACACAAATCCCAGAACCTGACATGAATACAGGCTTGAAAGCAAGTTCCCTGAAGTTTCCCTGAAGATGGCGGGACTAAGTACTTTACTCCTCTTGGTTTTAGATTCCATCCCTATGGAAAGACTCTTGTAATAACATTCTCAAATGTTTCTGTTCCCTTGAGTGCTGAATTGTAACTCTACTCAGTATGTCAGATGCTACAAACTCAAGGATAACTATTATTTAAAACTTCTATCCTCAAAATGATAGGAAATTTTTGGCACACTTTTCAAACTCCCTCAGGTAAGAGCTGTAGGTGGAAAAGTTGACTCCCACTGAGCGCTGGGTGGAGGCTGCTGACACCTATAGGATAGAGTTTCTCTAACTGAATGGCAGAATTAACTTTTAAAAATGCAGTTGGCATTTTAAAAAAATAGAACATACAAATACACCTTAAGGTAAATGTTATTTAGTAAAACATTTTGGCTTTTATATATAGTAGTACCCCCTATATTCGCGGTTTCACTTTTCGAGGTTTCAGGGACCCCACAGTTAAAATTCTTTGGTAGAGACCTACAGTTTCACCATTTTGCCCAGACTGGTCTTGACTCCTAGGCTCAAGCAATCTGCCAGCCTCAGCTTCCCAAAGTGCTGGGATTACAGGCATGAGCCACCGTGCCCGACCACAGTTCAAAAATATTTTGAGAGAACCACTTCCACATAACTTTTTTAACAGTACATTGTTATAATTATTCTATTATTTATTGTTGTTAATCTTACTGCACCTAATTTATAAATGAAACTTTCTTACAGGTATGTAGGTATAGGAAAAAACATAGTATATATAAGGTTTTGTACTATCCGTGGTTTCAGGCATCTACTGGGGTTCTTGGAACGTATCCCGCATGGGCAAGAGGCAATTACTGTACTGATTCACAATCTTTTATCCAAAACTGTTGGGACAAGATGTGTTTCAGAATTCTTCAGTTTAAGAAAATGTTTCAAAGTTGGATGACTGCTAGGCTAAGTGGAGTTCAAGCTATTGTCACCAGTGAATAGAGAAAAGTGCAACACTGGCAAGGGAGGATCCAAGGGTGTTCCTGCCTTTAAACCAACATCTTGGCCCTCAGGTAACACTACAAAAAGTAAGAGAAAATCACTGGGAGTGGGAGAGTCATATTAAATGTTTTTATCAGCCTCCATTTCTTGTTAAGCAGTATAAATTGTTCCTTCTCCTACCATCCCTTTCCAAGCTGCAGCTAAGTTAGGGACTGTTTCCAGTCCTTCTGGCTGGAAACCACAAAAGTCAAGTAACCTTCACCCCTGCCAAGACCATACATTCTGATGAGATCCAAGCCCTGGCCTGGATTTTTTGTTACTTCTGTGTGAAATTGCAATCCACCAGACCTGACTCATGGAAAGAATACAGATCAGCTGGGCTAGGAACAGAAACCTCCTCTTCCCACCAGCCAATCAAGAATTATTCTTCAAGTGTTGGCCAGGCACAGTAGCTCACAGCTGTAATTGCAGCGCTTTGGGAGGCCAAGGTTGGAGGATCACTGGATCCCAGTTCGAGACTAGCCTAGGCAATATAGTGAGACTCCATACAAAATAAAAAAAAACTTAACTGGGCATGGTGGTGGGTGCCTGTAATCCCAACTACTCAGGAGGCTGAGGCAGGAGGATTACCTGAGCCCAGGAGTTCGATGCTGCGATTGTGCCACTGCACTCCAGTCTGGGCGACAGAATAAGAGCCTGTCTCAATAATAATTTTTTTAAAAATTTATTTGACTGTTAACAGCGCTTTTAGAATTCGTTTTCTGATTTTTACCAGAAAACCCCCATGGGGGGAAAAATTCTTCAAACCTGTCCTTGTTAACACAAGGTGGTATGTAAGTAAAATAGGTAGATATATCTTTCGATGCTCAGCCCAGTGACTGTGATGTCATAGCTCTGGTCTGGAATATTCTTAGAATCTGAATCTGCAGTTGCTTTGTGCGCAGTGGCTCATGCCTGCAATCCCAGCATTTTAGGAGGCCAGGCGGGTGGATCATCTGAGGTTAGGAGTTGGAGACCAGCCTGGCCAACATGGTGAAACCCCATCTCTACTAAAAATACAAAAATTAGGCAGGCATGGTGGTGGGCACCCAGCTACTCGGGAGGCTGAGGCAGGAGAATCGCTTGAACCCGGGAGGCGGAGGTTGCAGTGAGCCCAAATCATGCCACTGCATTCCAGTCTGGGCGACAGAGCGAGATTCTTGTCTCAAAAATAAATAAATAAATAAAATTTGAGGAACAGGAAAAAAACAAAAAGCAACCAATCTATTACCTTCACAACAGGCTGTAAAGTCTGCAAAGCTAGCTTTATGCTAAAGTTTCAACAGGGACTTGGCCTCTGAAAAAGTGGGTGTTGAAAATTAGAGATGATACAGTTAGATTGTGAGGACTTCTTAACGCTTGCACTCCTAGTTCACAAACCACTAGGTTTCCTCATCTTTCTGGGACTCCCTAGGCAAGGACTCCCTGAGAATGGATAGCCTTGGGCAGAACTGTGAAGTCATCACAGACAGCCCCTCATTTACTCCTTTCTCTCCCCAGAAGTTCCTACCCTAGTCAGACCTCCGGGGTTCTTATCTTCCGATCCATCCGGAAAGAGGTTTAAAGTAGGAAATCTCAATTATCACTTTAAAAGTGCTATAGAAGAATGGCTGGGAGAGGTGGTGTGCCTATAGTCACAGCTGCTTTGGAGACTGAAGCAGGAGAACTGCTTGAGCCCAGGAGTTTGAGTCCATCCTGGGCAGTACAGCAAGACCCCATCTCTAAAAAAAAAATTCTAGGTGCTGTAGAAGAGAGTGAAGATTAAACCAAAGGAATGAATCTCTGAGTGGCAGAACTTCAGGGACTTTGATGAGTGTGGGAGGTCTCTGAGTGAGAGGGTCTTCCCAGTGCCTGGAAGCTCAGTCTTTGATGGCAGCCTTCTCTAATACACCCCATAAGAGCTGAGCTGCTCTTCTAAACTTGTCAAGGTGGGTCTTTCCACCAATGCAGTTTGTTTACCTTTAGGTAAATGGTACAAAAATCATCATGTAATTGTTGGCTGGGTGTGATGGCTCACGCCTGTAATGCCAGCACTTTGGGAGGCTGAGGCGGGCAGATCACCTGAGGTCAGGAGTTCAAGACCAGCCTGGCCAACATGGTGAAACCCCGTCTCTACTAAAAATACAAAAATTAGCCAGGCATGGTGATGCACATCGGTAATCCCAGCTACTTGGAAGGCTGCGGCATAAGAATCACTTGAACCCAGGAGGTGGAGGTTGCAGTGAGCCGAGATCCCGCCAGTGCACTCCAGCCTGGGTGACAGAGAGAGACTCCATCTCAAAACAAAACAAAACCTATTACATAACACACTTCAATGATCTGTGACTAGTATAGCTTAAATAAAGCCAAGTGAAATAAACTATAAAACTATACCCCTATGGAATCTTTTGATTCAGAGGCAGGTACATACAAAAATCAAAACTGGCCAGATATTAAATATTACATTGAGCAAAGGTAAAGTGCTTTAACTAATAGACATGTACAATAAAAATTTCAGATTCCTGAGTAGAAAACTTTCAACTTCAGTCTTCAGTAAGTGGTAGCCTTAATGCCTGCCCGTGTGTGTGTGTGTGCACTCTCTTGTGGAAAAAAATGTGTTTCAGGATTTTTCCTCCTTTGGTGTTCATGTGGTGAACAACAAAGTAAGATTGATTTTTTGTTGTTGTTTTTTGTTTGTTTGTTTTTGAGACAGAGTCTTGCTCTGTCACCCAGGCTGGAGTGCAACGGCACGATCTCTGCTCACTGCAGTCTCCGCCTCCCAGGCTCAAGGGATTCTCCCCCCTCAGCCTCCTGAGTAGCTGGGATTACAGGCACCCACCACCATGCCCAGCTAAATTTTGTATTTTTGTAGAGACGGTGTTTCATCATGTTGGCCAGGATGGCCTTGAACTCCTGACCTCACGTGATTCCCCTGCCTGTGCCTCCCAAAATGCTGGGATTACAGGTGTGAGCCACTACGCCCAGCCTTGATTTTTTTTTTTTTTTTTTTTTTTTTTTAGACAGGGACTTGCTCTGTCGGACAGGCTAGAGTGCAGTGGTGCAATCTTGGCTCGCTGCAGCCTCCGCCTCCTGGGTTCAAGGGGTTCTCCTGCCCTCAGCCTCTCGAATAGCTGGGATTGCAGGCACGTGCCACACGCCCGGCTAATTTTTGTATTTTTAGTAGGGACAGGGTTTCACCATGTTGGCCAGGCTGGTCTCGAACTCCTGACCTAGGCCTCCCAAAGTGCTGGGATTACAGGCATGAGCCACGACACCCGGCCTGATTGATTTTTGAAACACCTTGTTGCCCACGCTGGAGTGCAGTGTCATCATCACGGCTCACTACAGCCTCGACCACCTGTGCTTAAGTGACCCTCCCATCTCAGCCTCCCATGTAGGTGACCACAGGCGTGTGTCACCACGCCCAGCTAATTTTTTTTTTTTTTTTTGATATGGAGCCTGTCACCCAGGCTGGAGTGCAGTGGCGCGATCTCAGCTCACTGCAACCTCCCTCTCCTGGGTTCAAGTGATTCTCCTTCCTCAGCCTCCCGCGAGTAGCTGGGACTACAGGCTCGTGCAACCATGCTCAGCTAATTTTTTGTATTTTTAGTAGAGACGGGGTTTCACCGTGTTAGTCAGGACGGTCTTGATCTCCTGACCTCGTGATCCGCCCACCTCGGCCTCCCAAAATGCTGGGATTACAAGCTTGAGCCACCGCGCCCGGCCTAATATTTTTATCATATATAGAAAGGGGGTTTCTCCATGTTGCTCCAGGGTGGTCTTAAACCTCCTGGGCTAAAGAGATCCTCCTTTTGGGAACCTAGGCTTCCCAGAGTGCTGGGATTACAGGCATGAGCTACCGTACCCCACCAAGATTGTTTTGAGACAGGGTCTTGCTCTCTCTGGGTGGAGCGCAGTGGTGATCATAGCTCACTGTTGCCTCAAATCCTCGGCTTCAGCGATCCTCCTGCCTCAGCCTCCCGAGTAGCTGGGACTAAAGGCCTTTGCCACCATTCCTGGCTTATTTATTTATTTAGAGATGGGGTCTAATTATGTTGCCCTGGCTGGCCTCGAACTCCTGGCCCCAAGCCTCATGCAATCCTCCCACCTCGGCCTCCCAAAGTGCAGGGACTACAGGCGTAAACCACCATGCTCGGCCTAAGTTTTGTTGTTGTTGTTTTAAGCAAAAATCTGTGGAGGAGGAAACATCTCCCAGTTTGCTCTCATCTGAGTCTGCTTCTTACATGAGATGGGTCTAAAGACATTTTAGGGTAAAAGAAGAACGGTAGGATGTTTTAAATGTACGAATACATAAAAATGGAAGTCTTTGAAAAGGAAGACAACAGAAACGTTAACAACGAAGGGAGTGAGCAGAATGAAGAATGGCATAAAAGAGCAAAACCCCTTCTGAACAGCTGGAATATGACACCAGAGTACTAAAGACTGGTAATGCCATCAGGATATGAATGATAACGCACACCTCGTAAAGAATTTTTTATGCTGGCTGTGAAATTTGAACTGATAGAGTGGGGTGGCTGTGGCAGGGAAAGCTGGTGAGACAATTATGCTAATGGCAGGGCCAGACGACTGGGTGAGTGCTTAAATGGTGTCGTAAGTCTTTATAAACCTTGGCACATACGTTTGAGTACTGGTCATCTACTGTAAGCTTGGGACAATTCTACTGGTATTTCCTTACATTTATTACCCAGTCCCTCCCCTGTCCCCCAACACCTGAAACTTTAAAAACAATCTTTCCAAACTAGCTTTGAAGAGCTGTACTTTTCCTTCGTATGTACGTTGTTTAAGTACGCTGATAGCAACGCAATATGACAATTCAAAGGGAATCCCGTCTTCTAATCTCAGGGTTTTCATTCTGGGGAACTCTCCCTGCATGTGAGGATTAGGGAGCCCGGAAAGCCCGTTTCAACTTTTCAGTTCTGAGTCCCGAGTCACTACTCTGCCCTGTACCGTCTGGAGACTTAATGGGAGCGAGTGCGAGGCAGTGAATTCTCCGCTCTCTAGTTTTCCAATTCTACGGTCTTCAAAAAAAGGTTTGCTCTTGAGCTGCGCCTAAACTGAGAAGCGGGAAAGGCTAGCCCCGCTAAAGGCGGACGAGTGGCAGAAGCGGAAACCCAGTTAAGAGAAGGGACTGCCCTGGAGAGCACAGAAAGCGAAGGTTAGCGGGGGAAAGCGGCGCCCCTCCGAGGAAACCGACACCGCCCCGCCACGCCAAGGCAATGGGCGCCACCACGCAGCGCCGGGAACGCGCGCCGACGCCCCGCGCTCCGCCGGCGTCCGCCCGTCCCCGCGCGCCCCCTCGCACCCCACGCGCGGGAGGCGGGGCCGGCGGGGGCGCGCGCGGGGCCGCGGGTAGGGGGGCGGGGCGGCAGAGCTCGGCGGCTGGGACTGGAGGACAGCGGTGGCGGAGGCGACTAGCGGCGGCGGGAGCGGCGCCGAGAGGCCGTGCGGGACGCGGGCGCCAGGACCGGCCGAACGCAGAGGTAACGCAGGACCGAACAGGCGGCCGGGGAGTGGGCGCGGGCTCGCTGGGCCCCGAAGGCGAGTGGCGGAGGCCGCTCGCCCGGGGCGCCGACGCCGCTCCCAGAGAGGAGGGGGCGGGGCGCCCGGGTCCCCGGAGGTGGCGCCTTTTGTCTGCCTTACCCGGCCGCTCCGCCCCGCTCCCTTCCTCTCTCCTGCGACCTAGCCCCCTGCCCTTTTGGTGGACTCCTCCTCAGGGGCCCTCCGGCGCGCGCGCTCCCGCCCTTGTTTTGTTTGGATTTGGGGGAGGAGGGGGAGCTCTTCTCTGGCCGTGCGACCCTGCGTCCCAGCGCGCCTGCGTCGGCGTCCTCTGCCCGCCCCGATTGGCTGAGGGCTGCGCATGCTCCGAGGCCCGCCGCGGTCCGGCGTCCGCCCGCGCCCTCCCCTCACCCCACTCCCTCAGCGGTTTTCGGAGCCGGTTCGAAAGATGCCGGCGGCGGTGACTGGCTGCGGCGGGCCCGCCCCCCGGGTTCTCCGCCCCCGCCGCCGCCATTACGGAGCTCCCAGTGGTGAGTGTGCGGAGCGCCGAGGCTCGCGTTCCGCCGCTGCTTCCGTCGCCGGGGCGGGCGCCGCGGTGTCCCTGCCGAGCGTGAGCCCCGAACTGTCACCGCGCCGAGCCCCAGCCTCATCCGTCGGTGTCCGCGGTCCGAGCTTTCCCCGCCTCGCTGGCGGCCCGCGCTCTCCCCCGCCGTGCGCGTTCGCCGCTGTGGCCTGTAGCTACCTCGCCTCGCTGCTTTGTCTCCGCTGCTCTTGCCGTCCTTCCCGCGGCCTTCTGCGGGCGGGGCTGTCGGCTGTCGCTTTGCTGCTCCGCGACGGCGGCCTTGAGTCTCGCTCCCCCGGTGGGAAACGTAGAACTGGTTACTCGCCACCTTAGGCGGTGGGGTTTGAATGAGAGCGGTGCCTCGGTAGGTCGTCAGAAAGTTACAGTCGCCCATCTGAGCGTTTGTAAGAGATGGAGGCAGGAGTGGTGAGGTGAGAGCCCCAGATCTGAGGGTTGGTACTGCATTAACAGCTGTGACCGGGGACAGCCACTTAACCTTTTTGAGAAAGAGTTGTCTCCCGTACGGAGACCGGACCGGGTGAACTGTGCTGCCGCATCCGCGTGCACGTTCTCTCTGTTGTTTATTGTGCTTCCTGACTTTGCATTGCATTAAAAAGTGAGAATCCAATTCGAAATAACGTCTAAAAATCGCCTGGGGCTTTTTGAGCACGCTGTCTTGTCTTAGAGTGAAATTAGAGGTGACTAGTGTCATTTTTGAAAGGTGCTCTAATTTTGTTTAACCTGACATAGGCAAAAAACTTGTTAGCTTTTTGATTTTTCATTGCTCTTCTCAAAAGTTTAGTGTAATTTGTTTCAAAATAGAAGTAACATTTTAAAGTTTGCTGGGTTGGTTGGTTTTGGCTTTGTTTTTAAGCTTGCTTGGAAGATTGTAGGGCTGGAAGTTAGTGGAGAACGTATACTGAACTCTTCATTTCCGGATGAAAGTTTTAACTCCTTACCCAGTTAGATTGTGATTTTATTGAGATGAGACACTGTAGTGTCCTTAGTATCTATGCCCAAAACAGACACTGAGTATATGTTTGCTTATATAACTTACATTTGAAAATGAAAAACAAGTGGTGTCAGCAGTCAAATTACAGGCATGCTTTTTGTGACATGACTCGTTAAATCTGAGTGTAGTGAATGACTTAAGATTGGGAACAATGTGAGGTGTTCAGCGCATCACTAATGACATGTATTACATATATTTTATGGTAAAATGTGAAATTATAGTGCTTTCCCTAAAATGCATATTATCAAGGATATCAGTAAACTGAAATACGTTGTTAAACTCCTCACTTTTCTACAGCCTTCTCTTAATGTAGAGGAAATAAATTAAAACTGAAATTTGGGGCTTTTTATTTCTACAATACTTTTTTTTATTGCTTGCATTCAAATAATTTAAAGCCGTGCATGGTGGCTCACACCTGTAATCCTAACACTTTGGGAGGCCAAAGAGGAGGATCGCTTGAATCCAGGAGTTAGAGACCAGCTTGGGCAACCCTGTCTCTACAGAAAATACAAAAACTATCCGGCTGTGGTGGCGCATACCTGAAGTCCCAGCTACTCAGGTGGCTGAGGTGGGAGGAGATCGCTTGAGCCCAGGAGGTCGAGGCTACAGTGATCCCTGGTCATGCCACTGTACTCCAGACTGAGACTCTGTCTCAAAATAAACAACCGATTTAATTTAAGCATTTCCCTTGACAAAAAGCAAATATTTGTTATTGTTGTAACATTAAGTTTAAGCAAGCTGATGTTCATAAGAGGACCATGTAAACCACAAGTAAACTCAGACTGTTTATTTTTGGCACATATAAAAACCAAGATGAAAAACATGAATAGGCCGGGCACGGTGGCTCACGCCTGTAATCCCAGCCCTTTGGGAGGCTGAGGTGGGCGGATCACGAGGTCAGGAGATCGAGACCATCCTGGCTAACACGGTGAAACCCCGTCTCTACTGAAAATACAAAAAATTAGCTGGGTGTCGTGGCGGACGCCTGTAGTCCCAGCTACTCAGGAGGCTGAGGCAGGAGAATGGCGTGAACCGGGAGGGGAGGTTGCAGTGAGCCGAGATCGCGCCACCGCACTCCAGCCTGGGCGACAGAGCAAGACTCGGTCTCAAAAAAAAAAAAAAAAAAAAGGGAAAACACAAATAAGTTTTATTTGTTCATCCTTTAGTTTAACAAATATTAATTGAGCATCTATTCTGTGCCTGGTATGTTCTTAGGCATCAGGTATGCAGCAAATGAACCAGGTAGATAAGATCCCTGCCAGGAACAAGTGTGGCAGCCTCAAAATTTGATCATTCAGAGTGCAATAGTAAAAAGTTTAGTTAATAGGTACACTGGGTCAGATGCAGTGGCTTACACCTGTAATCCCAACACGTTGAGAGGCCGAGGCAGATGGATCGCTTGAGCCCAGGAGTTTGTGACCAGCCTGGGCAACATGGCAAAACCCTGTTGATACAAAAAAGAGAAAAATTAGCCGGGCATGGCGGTGCGTGCCTGTAGTCCCAGCTACTAGGGAGACTAAGGTGGGAGAGTCGCTTGAGCCTGGGAGGTTGAGGCTGCAGTGAGCTGTGATACTACAACCTGAGCATCAGAGTGAGACCGTGTCTTAAAACAAACAAACAAAAAACATAGGTACAGTGATGTTAAGGCAGTGTGAATTAACGTTGCATATACTTAGCTCTGTAATGAACAGTGAGTTTATTAAATAGCCAATTAACCCAACTATTCTAAAGCAGGTACTACAGATTGAAGCTTTGAAGTTCTATGACTTTGACTTTTATTAAGGAAATGCAGAGCTGAGGCTAACATCTCTTTTTTTTTTTTTTTTTTTTTTTTTGAGACAGAGTCTCACACTGTTACCCAGGCTGGAGTGCAGTGGCATGATCTCGGCTCACTGCAACTTCGGATTCCCGGGTTCAAGTGATTCTCCTGCCTGAGCCTCCCGAGTAGCTGGGACTAACCCAACTATTCTAAAGAAAGTACTACAGATTGAACCTTTGAAGTTCTACAGCTTTTACTAAGGAAATGCAGAGCTCTAACATCTCTATTTTTTTTGTTTTTTTTTTAAATTGTTGTTGTTTGTTTTTTGAGATGGAGTCTCACTCTTCACCCAGGCTTGGAGTGCAGTGGCATGATCTCAGGTCACTGCAACCTCCGCCTCCCAGGTTCAAGTGATTCTTCTCCCTCAGCCTCCTGAGTAGCTGAGACTACAGGTGTACACCACAGCGCCTGGCTAACTTTTGTGTTTTTAGTAGAGATGGGGTTTCACCATGTTGGCCAGGCTGGTCTCGGACTCCTGACCTCAGGTGATCCCTGCCTCAGCCTACCAAAGTGCTGGGATTACAGGCATGAGCCACTGTACCCAGCCCTAACGTCTCTTAATATTTATCCCAAATAACTGGGTTTTAAGTGTTCTTCACACATAATGAATGTAGTCATAAGTACTACCAGATGTCTTTGTTCATTCAACTTTTATTATTATTATTATTATTATTGAGCCAAGGTCTTACTCTGTCACCCAGACTGGAGTGCCGTGGTGCAATTCTAGCTCACTGTAGCCTGGAACTCCTGGACACTGGCAGTCCTCCCATCTCAGTCTTCCAAGTAGCTGGGACTACGGGCATGTGCCACAGTGACCAGCTAATTTTTTATCTTTTGTGTGTGTGGGTTTTTTCTTTCTTTTTTTTTTTTTTTTTTTCTTTTTTTTGAGAAGGAGTCTTGCTCTGTCGCCCAGGCTGGAGTGCAGTGGCACAATCTCGGCTCACTGCAATCTCCGCCTCCCAGGTTCAAGTGATTCTTCTGCCTCAGCCTCCCAAGTATCTGGGATTACAGGCGCGCACCACCACACCCGGCTAATTTTTGTATTTTTAGTAGAGACGGGGTTTCACCATACTGGCCAGGCTGGTCTCGAACTCCTGACCTTGTGATCTATCCGCCTCGGCCTCCCAAAGTGCTGAGATACAGGCGTGAGCCACCATGCCTGGCCCTTTTGTGTTTTTTTTTAAATTATTATTTTTTTTTCTTGAGGCAGGCTCTGCTCTGTCACCTAGGCTGGAATGCAGTGGCTCGATTTCAGGTTACTGCATCCAAAACCTTCTGGGCTCAAGCAGTCCTCCCAGTCTCAGCTTCCCAAGTAGCTGGGACTACAGGCGCATGCCACCATTCCCAGCTGATTTTTAATTTTTTTTTTTTAGAGACAACGTCTGTATTGCCCAGGCTGGTCTTGAACTCCTGGGCTCGAGTGAACCTCCTACCTTAGCCTCCCAAAGTGCTGGGATTACAGGTGTGAGCCACCACACCTGGCCTGTTTTTAAATTTTAATTTATTTACTTTTGGTAAAGACCAAGTCTAATGTTGACTAGGCTAGTTTTGAATTTCTAGCTTCAAGGGATCCTCCCACCTCTGCCTCCCAAAGTGCTGGGGTTGCAGGCATGAGCTACTACACCAAATGGGAAAGTATTTTTTTAAAGATGCCTATGAACGGAGACTCCTGAAGGTTGTTGACTTCACGGTAGCATTTTCAGCCTAGCTAGTGTTATCGTGGGTTAAGAAAGATAAATTCATTAGCAATATAACTTTACTAAGGATAACCTGATTGTGATATTGTTTTATTTCCATATCATATTTGCATGTAAAAATACCAGCAGATTTGCATAAGGCTTTTTATCATTAAGAAAAATGGGCCGGGTGCGGTGGGTCACGCCTGCCATCCCAGCACTTTGGGAGGCTGAGGCGGGCAGATCATCTGAGATCAGGAGCTCGAGACCAGCCTGACCAACATGGTGAAACCCCATCTCTACTAAAAATACAAAATTAGCTGGGCATGGTGGCGCATGCCTGTAATCCCAGCTACTCAGGAAGGTGAGGCAGGAGAATCGCTTGAACCAAGGAGGCGGAGGTTGCAGCGAGCTGAGATCGTGCCACCGCACTCCAGCCTGGGCAACAGAGCAAGACTCCGTCTCAAAAAAAGAAAAAAAAAATTTAATATTAATGGATATTCTGGTTCCCTAAGTATGAGTGTGTTACACTGCACTGAATTCTTTCAGCTGACTGAAAGATTTCCTTGCAGCTGACTGACAATTGACAAGTCTGGTATTGTTCTTGGTGTTCCCATAAAAATATTTTCCCGATAAGTGTGAATGCATCCTCTTTGTTTCAATCTTCCGGATTTATCCTAGTTGTTGTAGGTTGGGACTGTTACTTGCCAAGTTGAAAGCTCTTCAATTCTTAGACAAGGTTAGACCTTAATGTAGAAGTTGCATGACTGTCATTCCCTACTCATTGTTAATAGTTCATTAGCACAGAGATCTAGATACTTAAGTGGTCTTTTTTTTTTATATTGAGGAATTTTTGTATAAAATGTCATTGAGTCTCAGATGAGATTTTTGGGGAAGAGGGGGTGTTAGTGATCAGGTAAACTTGGGTGACTGCATGGGTTTTTATCTTTGAATATTTAATTATATTCTTCTGTACTAGTTTTCCTTACATTAAAAATATGACAGTCTTAGAAGCATACTTTTATTCTCCTAGGTGATGGTCTAAATTTGCTTCTGTGGGTCTGGAAGCTATTAGAATGTCATGTTATTCAGCAGTATTTTTCCCCTTGTGTTTTCCCTTAATAGAAGGAAAAAAAAAGTACTTTAATAGAGATAGAGTTTAAGATTACAGTTAATTTTCCTGACTCTTTCGAGAACAGTAACAACAAAAGCCTTCTCTTGGTAAACTGATCTTTGACTAACTGTTCCTTAGTCTCTTTATTCTATCCTTCTAAGTTCCTGATGGTGGCAGGAGGGGATGGGGTTAGGTTCCTTAGGAGCTTCCTTGCCCTTGTTGTCTTTGTTCATGTGGAAGGTGCAACAGCTGCCGTGGCTTATGCATTCGTCTTAGTTGCTGCTTTATGTAGTCTATATTTTGGTAGTTTTATCTTTCTGAGTAACCAAATCATCTGTCACTTACCTATAAATTTTATAGTTATATTTTTTCCCTTTGGATGTGTATTAAATTTAGACGTTTTAGTTTAGTTTTGTTTCTGTTAATCTTCACACCAGGTCTTTTCTGTGCTTTAGGTTGATTCTTCACCACACTGAAACCATTAGGAAAAATCCTTGTGGTTAACAGCAGAGGCTTCAGAGTGTAACCTGTACTCGGGCCTAGAAATTATTTAAAATGGCGACTGATACGTCTCAAGGTGAACTCGTCCATCCTAAGGCACTCCCACTTATAGTAGGAGCTCAGCTGATCCACGCGGACAAGTTAGGTGAGGTAGGGGCTGACACATTCTTGAAGCTCACTCTTGGATCAATCCCTGACTTCAGGCCCTGCTGGGTCCTTCTTGGTACATGTTCCTTCCCTTACTTTGGGGAGTCTAGGTTGTGAATTTGAAACAAAATCAGATTCTTTTCATCTTCCCTTTCCCCTCAAATTCCTGAGAAAACCTCCAACCTTCTAAATTTATAGCAAATCAACTATAATTATGTGTTTCCATTTGAAATTCAAGCTAAAATAACATACTTTAAAAAGTGTATCTTAAAAATCATATTTCACTTCAAAAAAAACTTGTTAAAAGTAATTTGCATCAGATCCTGGAGTCGACTTGAAGAATTCTCCTACATCTGACACCCAGTTAGGCCCTTTGAGAAAGAGAGAAAAGAGAATTTTTTAATGCATGTTTGATTATGGCCATCTCTTTTCTTAGAAGGTAGAAGATAGCACCATGCCGATTCGTCGAACTGTGAATTCTACCCGGGAAACTCCTCCCAAAAGCAAGCTTGCTGAAGGGGAGGAAGAAAAGCCAGGTAAAGTAAAATGGTGACACAGCTTAAAACATCAAAAGTTATACTGCAATTTGGAGTGTCCCATAAATTCCTTTGAACTTAATTGTTTTTTTTTTTTTTTCATGGCTAAGTGTTTTGGGGAAACATTTAGAGAGAATCAGTAGCTATTGGTATGTCATTGCCAGACCATGAGGGCAAAGTAAGGTTTCATCTTCTCTATAAAGGTTTTTGGAAGGTGAAAATGTTATGTTGGAATTAAAAACAAAAATGTTTGGGGATGACAGGAATGGCCAGAGAGTAGCATTCTGGACATAAAGTGTCATGGGGATCAGTGCAGTGTGGGAGAATGGAAAACGTGGGCCTTTAGAATAGACAGTGGAAGGTTCATCCAGAAATCATCTGGAGGCCTTCAGAGAAGCAAATGGTGATCTGTTGATCTATAACAGGTATTGGTAGAGAGAAGATTGGCCAGTCAGTGGTGGGAGCATAACAAATGGAAAGAAACATAGACCCATCAACATGGAGTACTAATGCTCCTTTATGGCATGTATAACCACCTCTTCTCCTTTTCCCGTCTTTATTTTTCTTCTCATGATCTTTTTGGTTTTTTTCCTTATCTTTTCCCTTTTTTCCTTTCTCTCTTGCCTTTTATCTCAGGTTTTTCAGGGATAAGCACACTGTGCTGCCTCTGTTGTGGCTGTTAGAATCAATTATTTGCTGACCAGCATGTATTAGGAATAGAGGGCCGGGCACAGTGGCTCACACCTGTAATCCCAGCACTTTGGGAGGCCAAGGAGGGCAGATCACCTGAGGTCAGGAGTTCGAGACCAGCCTGGCCATCATGGTGAAACCCCATCTCTACTAAAATTATAAACATTATCTGGGCATGGTGGTGCATGCCTGTAATCCCTGCTACTCAGGAGGCTGAGGCACAAGAATTGCTTGAGCCCAGGAGGCAGAGGTTGCAGTGAGCTGAGATCACGCCATTGTATTCCAGCCTGGGCAACAGAGGGAAACTGTCTCCAAAAAAAAGAAAAAAAAAAAAAAGAGGAGTAGAAAATACATGCATCCTTGGTGCATCAGGGCAGACATCAATAACCAGTCAATATACTCTTTTCTGGCTGAGCCTGGATTTTTTCTCTAAATCCTTAGATGAATGCTATAAGCAATTTGGGCACCCTGGCCTAAGGCAGTTAAGAAACACGGGAATCCAAATATTTAAAAAAGTAAACGGGTGCTGGTAAGTTGAAGATAGGTTATCTTGTCCAGCACTGGGATAAGCCACTTGGTGGTCCATCTTAATCCATGTTTAACAGCCAGCTGAAGCCACTAAATCACTAATAACATCAGTTTTCAGAATATATGCCAGAGGGTTCAGATGTAAAGTATTAGAAAACTCAACCAGAAGTTTATGAAGAAACAGTGTCACTTCACAAGTTGTATGTTTGTTTAATCTTCTCTCTATCCCATTTTGTACACAGTATTTTGTACATAGAAATTAGACTTCACTTATTTTAAATTTTGTAAACTCTATGTTTTACACAGAAACACAGTAGTTTAATGAGTTGGAAACAGTCTTATACATAATACATATTCAATATCTGTTGAGTGACTGAACTTTATTAAGCCATAACTCTTGAGCAGTTATTCTTGAGAAGAGAAAATAATGTAAATTTATAAGTCTTACTACCGTAAAACCCCTGAATGATTCTTAGCTTTTCATCTTTTTTAGAATAAGACAAAGTGTAAATAAACATGACTAACTAATAGTAAATTCTTGCCCATGCAGCCATTTAGGTCAAATTGTTGGGTTGAGGGGCAGTAAAAGATATATCATGATGAAAAATACATTTTATTGTGGAAAACCTAAATGTAGTTATTATCTTTATCCCCAGATACCATTGTTATAGTGAAGTTCTATCCATAATACTTTGTCATCCTAAGCATATGGGAAACAATTCTAGAAGCAGAGAATTCCAAAGGAGGATGGAAATCACTCGCTTAGTATAAGTGTTAGAATTGTACTTATGTGATTTGGTTTTAAGAAAGAAGTGGCATTTTAAAATTCTCTTTATAGCTGGGCGCGGTGGCTCACGCCTGTAATCCCAGAATTTTGGGAGGCTGAGGCGGGTGGATCACGAGGTCAGGAGATCGAGACCATCCTGGCTAACACAATGAAACCCTGTCACTACTAAAAATACAAAAAATCAGCTGGGCATGGCGGCACGCACCTGTAGTCCCAGCTACTAGGGAGGCTGAGGCAGGAGAATCGCTTGAACCTGGGGAGGTGGAAGTTGCAGTGAGCCAAGATTGCGCCACAGCACTCTAGCCTGGGAGACAGAGCGAGACTCCGTCTCAAAAAAAAAATAAATAAATAAATAAAATTCTCTTTATGGGAAGGCCACAAAGAAGTCCTCGTCATTATTGCAATAATTAGTTCACATAATTTAAATGATCAAATTCTTCAAGCATATACTTTGGCTTGAAGTATATGCTTGCCACTGGAGTCCTTTTTCTTTCATGTTTTTTTTATTTTTTTTATTTTTATTTTTTTTTGGAGTTCTCTGAAGTCCCTGCATAACCAGTGCCTGGGGTTCTGTGTTTTATAGTAGCTACTCAGAGACATGCTGTGAAGGAAAGGCACAAATAGCAGCAGACCTCCATGTTCCCCTCATATTTCTACTCTTGCTTCAGTCATTCCTCTTGGAGAATACATGAGTTTTTAAATTACTTATTCTCTGAGATTTGCCTGTTGAATTATAAAATGGCTAGTTTCTTAATTATGAGTCTCATGAATATTGCAAAGTAGAATAATTAAACAATTGGGGATGAAATGAGTTTTCCTTTCTATGTAATTTCCTGGTCTATTTTTCTAATAATAGATAAATAACCACCTGACCAGGAAACTTGAGTGACATAAAGAATGTAAGAAAACTGCATTAGTGGTCATTCATTTTCATTTTAGAATTCATTTGTTAATTGGAGACTTTGGCTGGTCCGTTTAATAAGATAAGCTTTTACCTTTTATTGACTCAGATTGGAATACATCTGCTTATGCAATTCTGCTCACCTGATTTTTTAGAACCAGACATAAGTTCAGAGGAATCTGTCTCCACTGTAGAAGAACAAGAGAATGAAACTCCACCTGCTACTTCGAGTGAGGCAGAGCAGCCAAAGGGGGAACCTGAGAATGAAGAGAAGGAAGAAAATAAGTCTTCTGAGGAAACCAAAAAGGAGTAAGGAGTTATGTCTTCTTGCTATTTATATTTGAAGAATGTGTAAAAGGACTTTAGATTAGATTGTTTTAAAGTGTTATAACATTGGTTTATGCTAGGTATTTGCTATTTGGATTTAATTTTTAGAATTACCATTTGAAATAGGTTTATTATATAGTTGTTTGACCTGTTAGAATATGCTGTAGTTAGCAGAACACAATGGTTTGAATAATCCAAAAGTCTTTGTCATTGGCTTTGGAATGTGTTTTTGAGCTTGTAATTTATTGTGGGAGTATCTGATATTTTAAGCATTGGCAAGACTTCAATAAGAAATGAAACATAACTATAAAAATCTGACCTAGAAGACATTTCACTATTTTATTCCTACTTCTGTGCCAGGAGTGGGTTGTTTTTGTGTGCTTATGTTAGAAGGCATTGATTTGTATCAAGCCATTGGTAGTGTGACCTAAAAGTCTATATATGTTTGATGAAATATTCAGTTGAAGAATTGGCTTTGAGAATCTGAAAGTAAAATTTGCTATTGATGTGTATCTATATAAAGTGATGGCAGTTACTTTTTAATTTTTAATTTTTTTTTTTTTTTTTTTGCAGGAGAGCTGATAGTATTCATTCCACTCTTTTCATAATTGGTCAGAACAGTTAGAAATTGCTTTTAACTATAGTCATGCATTGCTTAACAATGGGTATACATTCTGAGAGATACATCTTTAGGCGATTTCATCATCGTGCCAACATCATAAAGTGTACTTACACAAACCTACGTGGTACAGCCTACTACATACCTAGGCTTTATGGGATAGTCTGTTGCTTCTAGGCTACAAACCTGTACAGCATGTTACTGTACTAAATACTGTAGGCAGTTATAACACAACGGTAAGTATTTGTGTATTTAAACATAGAAAAGGTACAGTAAAAATATAATATAAAAGATAAAAAATGGTATACCTGTGTAGGACACCTACCATGAATGGACCTTAAAGGATTGGAAGTTGTTTGGGTGAGTGAGTGAGTGGTAAGTGAATGCAAAGGCCTAGGACTACTGTGTGCAACTTTTAAAACTAAAAAGTTTTTATTTTTAGCAACTTTTAAAACTAAAAAGTTTTTATTTTTAAAAACTTTTAAAACTTTACCAAAAACAAAGACACAAGCCGGACGCAATGGTGCACAGCTGTAGCCCTAGCTACTTAGGAAGCTGAGGTGGGGGGATTGCTTGAGTCCTGAAATTTGAATCTAGATTGGGCAACGTTGTGAGACCTCATATTTATAAAAAAACAAAACTAAGACACATACACACACCTTAACCTAGGCCTGCACAAGGTCAGGGTCATCAATATCACTGTCTTCCACCTCCAGATCTTGTCCCACTCAAGGCCTTCAGGGGCAGCAACACACATGGACCTGTCATTTCCTATGATAACAGTGCTGTCTTTTGGAATACCTTCTGAAGGACCTGCTTGAGGCTGTTTTACAGTTAACTTTTTTTTTGTAGGTAGAAAACATATACTCTAATGATAAAAAGTATAGTATAGTAAACACATAAACTAGTAGCATAGCTGTTTATTATCAGGTATTATGTATAATTGTAATGTGCTTTTTTTTTTTTTTTGAGATGGAGTCTTACTCTGTCACCCAGGTTGGAGTGTGGAGTGCAGTGGCGCGATCTGGGCTCACTGCAACCTCCACCTCCCAGGTTCAAGCGATTCTCCTGCCTCAACCTGCCAAGTAGCTGGGACTACAGGCGTGCACCTCCACACCTAGCTAATTTTTGTATTTTCAGGAGAGACGGGGGTTTCACCATGTTGGCCAGGATGGTCTCAATCTTTTGACCTTGTGATCCGCCCACCTTGGCCTCCCAAAGTGCTGGGATTACAGGCATGAGTCACCGCGCCCAGCCAATATGCTATATTTTTGTATGACTGGCAGCACTGTAGGTTTGTTTACACCAATGTCACCACAAACAAGTGAGTAACGTGCTGCGCTGTGATATTACCACAGCTATCATGTTAACCAGGTAATAGGAGGTTTTCAGTTCCATTATAATCTTAAGGGACCACCATTGTATATGTGGTCTGTTGACCAAATATTGTTACACAGCACATGACCATAAAAGAATAACTTAGTAATAACTATACCTTCTAGCTATAATCTTCAGGGTATTCTTTATCTGAGTTTCATAAGTATAGCTAAGGTCTGTGGAATTTATAGCAACTATCGTGTGTGGGTGTGGGTGTGTTTGTGTGTGTGTGTGTGTGTTTAATGGAGATGGCGTCTCACTATGTTGGCTAGGTTGGGCTTGAACTCCTGGCCTCAAGCTGTCCTCCCTCCTCAGCCTCCTAAATTGCTGGGATTACAGGCATGAGCCACTGCACCCAGCCTATCGTCTGTTGTTAAATGTTCTAATGCACCTATTAGGTGCACAGAGTACTGTTATATACTCAGAATAAAATTTACA
The DNA here is from genome assembly GCF_000001405.40 of Homo sapiens. Lineage (NCBI taxonomy): Eukaryota > Metazoa > Chordata > Mammalia > Primates > Hominidae > Homo > Homo sapiens. The sequence goes on along the minus strand of NC_000001.11, from coordinate 20,774,144 downwards.
TAATGCTTTAAATCTCACAAAATTGTTTTGATAAACATACTCTTATAATTCTTGCAACACCTTGGGAAATAGTTGGTTCTATATTACTGTTTTATAGCTGAGGAGAAAGACTCACATCATTTACTAAGATCATATAGCTAGCTAGTAAATGTTTGAGTGAAAATACAAACAAAGGTTTTCTGACTTTAAGAGCTTGAGTTTTTTCCACTATACCATATTGCATCTGTTGTAATTGTTAACTAATGTGCATTTTAAAATTCTCATTTGTCTTATGTACTGAGCCCTTATACCAGTGCTAATTTATGTGACTCCTTTCTCCTGCAGCTAAGAGAAAAATACCTTTTTAATTCATTTATAGTACCCAGTTTTTAAAGAAGATTTATTTTGTAAAATTTTGCTTATGGTACATGTCATCTTAGCCTGTAAATAAATTAAAGCATTAATTTTTATCCCTCCCTGGTCTTTTCCTCCTTCTGACTTTATACGTCTTTCTAGAGAGCTTATCTTCTATAATAACAATTCTTTGTTTTAAAGTGAGAAAGATCAGTCTAAAGAAAAGGAGAAGAAAGTGAAAAAAACAATTCCTTCCTGGGCTACCCTTTCTGCCAGCCAGCTAGCCAGGGCCCAGAAACAAACACCGATGGCTTCTTCCCCACGTCCCAAGATGGATGCAATCTTAACTGAGGCCATTAAGGCAAGTTTTTATTTCAAGCAATTCATCTTAGATTTATTATGTTCATTTTTTTCTTATTTGAAAATGGCATATATCTGTCTAGACATCATAAATCTTGTTCTGCTTCCTAAAGGAGTTTTAAAGAGAGGAAAGTCATTATAAGTTCATGTTTTTCTAATATAATCACATTTGGTGAACACTGTTAATTTTTTTAAAAAAATTATATTTAATATAGCAAATATTTTAACTTTAGAATTTTTAAATGCAGTTTATCGATTAAGTACAGTTTTTATTTGAAGGCTGAAAATGTTAATTCATTGAACAAACATTTAAGGACTACCTTCCTCTGTTGGGCGCCCCTGCTAGTGGTGAATTAACTAAGGCTAGCAAAGTCCTTGCCCTTATAAATCTAATTGTGACTCAGTAACTGAAAAATATTGAGAATTTTTGTTTAAAAAATATCTCTAGGTTCATTTCTAAAGCTAAGTGATCTTGGTAGTGGTTATCTTTCACACCTGAACCCTGTTAATAAACACTGCTTTATTACCTAGACATTCCAAAATGCTTACAAAAATTATCCTCCTTACATAGATTTATGATTTCATTGACTTTCATTAGATGTAGTTTTCCTATTTTAATTTTTAAAGGTTATCTTCTAATTTGACATTGCCTTTATTGTATAAGTCTTTTCATTTAATTTTGCCTTGTTTAGTTCATATGATCAGATGATAAGAGGAGTTAGAACAGACCCATCTTTCAGGGACCCTGTTGTTAGGATCTGAGGCAGGACTGGGGAGACAGGGATACAGATGATTTTAACCAGAAAAGGGGGGATGTGTACGAAAAGGAGCAGCCTGGTTGTCATTCTCAGAATATGAGAAGATAGCACTAACACATAAACTGGAAAAAGGGTTTGCCTTCAGACTTCTCCCTTTACTCCTTCAAGACTTCTTATGCTCTCACCTCATTAAGAAAACTTTATTGGTCTAGATTACCTCACTGTAGTGAAATCTCTGTTCTTTGTATAGCCTTTCTTCAAGGATTTCACTTGATGACCACTCAGCCTGGGTTTGAAGGAGCAGCATCATAGTGAGGATGGAAAAAGGGCTGAAACTTTAAAATAGTGAAATAAAAAATTAAAACAATATCAATTTGGCTTAAAGAATGGTTTGAATATAATTGTGCATATTTATGGAGATGATTGATTTTATATAGATAATGTGTATTCCATGCAATATGACAAATTATTGTTTCAGACCATGGATACCATTTTCTGTATTGAACAGGAATCATGATGTCTACTACCATCTCACTGTCGGATTGGTGGAGCAAAAGATTATTTGTTTCAGCATTAGTGTTCTTTTCTGCTTGATTTTCTTTGCTCTGTGTTTTCTTTTAAGATCAGGAGTAAACCTCAGTAGGTCATTAATAGTTCAGAGACATAGACTTGAATTACATGACCCATATTAATACAACTTGTTTCGTGTTGTGCAATCTTTTCTGGACCATCTACCTGTGAGTTATTTTTCTTTGTTGTCAAAATGTATAAAAACATTCAACGAAGTTCTTATCCAATGAGAATGAATAAGTGCTACATTGATTTAATAGACACTGTGGCAGTACAAAATTGATGGACTAGCTCATTAGATAAATGACAGATGCTACTTTTGTGTGTTTCAAAATTTAAAGTATTTGATTTCAAGTCAGTGACCAGTTGGAAAACAAAATTTTAAGCATTTGAAAAAAATTAAGTATTTGCTGCCTTTGTGACATAATGAGCTACTTAATTCTTCCAGGTGCATTAGTCAAATGGAGTATAAGTAAAATAGGATGGAAATGGAAGAGGGCACATTAAATTCAAATAGAACACCTTCACTATTACCCAAAACTCTCCTTCAGCACTTTGCCATCTGTAAACCCATTTTTATGCCACTTATTCAGATTATCTTTGATTCTTCTTTCTGCTGACATTCATACAGAGCCTTCAGGGAAATGTCCTGGCATGCTCATTCCTTAAGCTCGTGCCTTAAAATGGGACAGATCTGTGATCCTGTAAGTGATAGGTTTGTTCTGCTTTTCTCATTTTGATGCCAAAGATTCATCTTCTAAATACAGAATGGAATTAAAATGGAAAGAGGTTCTTCATTATACATAGAATGTTGTTCGTGTTCAGTATGGTCTCTTAGGCTGTTTTGAACAATTTAAAATTGTAGTAGAAATATTTAGTAATTCTGTTACTTCTCTGTAGTCATTATGAACTGAAGTCTTCTGAAGTTCATTCTTCCCTACCGTTTTTGTCATCTATCATCAAATTCACTTCCAAAATAATTTATTTTGAAAATATATGTCAGGCTCTATCTAATAAAAAAAAACAACTAGTTTAATAAATCTTTTCTAGGCATGCTTCCAGAAGAGTGGTGCATCAGTGGTTGCTATTCGAAAATACATCATCCATAAGTATCCTTCTCTGGAGCTGGAGAGAAGGGGTTATCTCCTTAAACAAGCACTGAAAAGAGAATTAAATAGAGGAGTCATCAAACAGGTATTACACAATTGTTAGTAGTAAGATCATTTCATTGTGTATTAGCTTTAAGTCTACAGTTAGTAACATTTAGGCTTTTTGTGCCTTTTTTGTTAAAAATAAGTTTCATGATGATGAAATTCCTTAAGTTTAACCTAGTTGAATTATCTGAGGCTAGGTTTCGAAAATGCTGGTGCCATTAAGATAGTGTAACTTTTTTCTAGCTTACTTTGCTCTTAATTGGATATTTTTTGGGGGGCTGCTTGTGCTTGAAATCATGTAGCACTGAACATGAAAAAGAGGTAAGGAATCCTACTACTGAAACAGCAAAAATGAGGCTAGGGATGGTGGCCTACACCTGTAGTCCCAGCACCTTGGGAGGCTTAGTTGGGAGGATCACTTGAGCCCAGGAGTTCGAGACCAGCCTGGGCAACATAGCAAGACCCCTTCTCTACAAAAAATACAAAATCAGCAGGGTTTGGTGACACATGCCTCTAGTCCCAGGTACTTGGAAGGCAGAGGCAGGAGGACCGCTTGAGCCTGGGAGGTTGAGGCTATTGTGAGTTACGATCTCACCACTCCAGCCTCGGTGAGAGTGAGACCCTGTCTGAAAACAAAAAGGAATAACAGAAATAATAATTGCCCTTGTCTTAGGTTTGTTTCCTTTAAAGCCTAACTTACATGATAGACTTGTTACTATTAATTTTTAGCTTCATAAATGTGCTCACCTTAACTGATTAGTATCTAAACTATTAAAGCCTGTTAAGAGTATCAGAGAAACCCGAGTGAAATGTGACTAGTACTAGAACAAATGTTGATTTCAGGCATAAATCTACTTTATCTTGCATAGTGCATGGAAACTTAGAACCATAGAAATCTAAAGCTAGAATAAACTTTATATTATGTTACCCTCTTCAGAGGTCCAGAGTGATGAAATAACTGCTAAGGTCTTACGGTAGTGGCAAAAATTTTAAAAACCTAGTTCACCCCATTCCTAGAGTCTTGTTAAGTTTTTTCTATACCCCCTGCCTGTTTGATCAGAACAGAATTCTGTGCCACTCAGGCATTTCAGCTCTGCTTAGGGACTTCCAACTAGTACTTAATTGCACAGATACGTCTTGTCTCCTATGTGCCAGTTGCCTGGAGGTCTGTTAGTGAATAAAACAGATTGCTGCTCTGTGGAGCTAGGAGTCCAGCTTTCTCAAAATGTAAAACTGATATTTAAATGGCCTTTAAAATTATCACTGACGGCCAGGCACAGTGGCTCATACCTGTACGCTGAGGTGGGAGGGTTGCTTCAGGCCAGGAGTTTGAGACCAGCCTGGGCAACATAGCAAGGTGAGGCCCTGTCTCTACAAAAAAATTATTTCTTTATTCTATTTTATTTTACTTTTTGAGACAGGATCTCACTCTGGCCCAGGCTGGGGTGCAGAGGTGCAATGTCAGCTCACCGCACTCTCTACCTGCTGGGCTCCAGCCGTCTTCCCACCTCAGCCTCCCGAGTACCTGGGACTATAGGTGTGCACCAGCACACCCAGCTAATTTTTGTATTCTTTGTAGAGACAAGGTTTTGCCATGTTGCCCAGGCTGGTCTCAAGCTCCTGGGCCCAAGTGATTCACCCACCTCAGCCTCCCAAAGTGCTGGGATTACAGACGTGAGCCACCATGCCCAGCCTTTACAAAAAACTTAAAAATTAGCCAAATGTAGGGGTGCATGCCTCTAGTCCCAACTCATGAGGCTGAGGCAGGAGGATCGCTTGAGTTGAGCTATGAGCTAACATAGCAATGAGCTATGATTGTGCCACTGCACTCCAGCATGGGTGACAGAGTGAGACCCTGTCTCTAAAATAAAACAAAATTATCGTTGACTAAAAAGTCTTACCTAGTTAATATAATTATTAGAGCCAAGGACCTGTTGTGTAACATGTCAGCAAAGCTTATGAGATGGCTTCATGTTTTAGTTTATGACCTGCTCTAGCCTACATAGCCTGACCACCCTTGGTTTGATGCCTAAACAACTCTTAGTAGGCTAAAAGCATTCCAGCTTGATTGCTGCATTGATAGCAGTGTAGGTAAAACTAAGCTGTGGAGGACTTTAGTTATTGTGAATCAACTTTTTTTTTGAGATGGAGTCTCGCTCTGTTACACAATGGCATGGTCTCAGCTCACTACACCCTCTGCCTCCCGTGTTCAAGCAATTCTCCTGCCTTAGTCTCCTGAGTAGCTGGGATTACAGGCGCCCGCTACCACACCCAGCTAATTTTTGTATTTTTAGTGGAGATGGGGTTTTACCACATTGGCCAGGCTGGTTTCAAACTCTTGACCTCAAGTGATCTGCCCACCTCGGCCTTCCAAAATGCTGGGATTATAGGAATGAACCACCGTGCCTGGCCTATTGTGAATCAACTTTAAAATTTTATGAAAGTGCTTTGTGAACTGGAAATATGTGGTAAAACTTAACATACCATTGTGTGCAGTGGCTAAAAAATTGTTTGTTTGTTTTTTGAGACGGAGTATCGCTCTGTCACCCAGGTTGGAGTGGAGTGGAGCGATCTCAGCTCACTGCAAGCTCTGCCTCCTGGGTTCACGCCATTCTCCTGCCTCAGCCTCCCGAATAGCTGGGACTACAGGCACCCGCCACCACGCCCGGCTAATTTTTTGTATTTTTAGTAGAGACGGGGTTTCACTGTGTTAGCCAGGATGGTGTCGATCTCCTGACCTCGTGATTCGCCCGCCTCGGCCTCCCAAAGTGCTGGGATTACAGGCATGAGCCACCGCGCCCAGCCAAAAAATTGTTGGATAACCCTTCCCATAAGGAATAATGTATCATTGGTAAACTGTGGGAAGTTACGTGGTCTGAGACTAATTAGGCTCTAAACTTTTTCCAAGGTGCTTTTAAGACAGTGAGGGCTTTTCTTATTTCCCTAAGAGATTGTGTCCCTTCCTTTTTTGGGACATTTTTGTTTTGATTTTTTATTTCATTTTGAAAGTTTTTAATAAACTGTTTAACGTGGTATCACAGTAGCATTCTTCCCAAAATTTTGTAGATGAGAAAACAAAAGCTCAGAGGGTTAACTGGGTTGTCCAGTATTACTCAGCATCAGCTAGATGGTATATAAAGGAGCTTTCATCTGAAGTCTTTTGACTCTGCATTGACTGTTTTTTTTTTTTTCTCTGAAGAAGTAAACACCACTTTACATTAGCTCTTGCATTACCATGGCCTGTAATTTCCTTAGCCTACTGTAAAGTTATGAATACTAGAATAACAAAAATTAATTTACTTTAGGTTAAAGGAAAAGGTGCTTCTGGAAGTTTTGTTGTGGTTCAGAAATCAAGAAAAACACCTCAGAAATCCAGAAACAGAAAGGTAAGACATCTATACCACAGTTTGAGTGCTGTGGAGCTGTTACTGCTACTAAAAATAGCAACATTCATTGAGTGTTTGCTGTGTGCCTGGCACTATGCAAGGTTCAGCCTTTCTGCTAAGGCCTAGGGAAGTTATAAATAATTTGTTCCTCTAGTGAGTAGAATAGCCAAGGTGCAGATCCAAGCAGTCCAACCTGGTTAAGCCTGTGCTCTTAAGTGCCTTATATTAAATTATGGGCAGCTATATAAATTACACTGTTTTTTGTTTTGAGATGGAGTCTTGCTCTGTTGCCCATGCTGTAGTGCAGTGACATGATCTCAGCTAGCTGCAACCTCCGCCTCCTGGATTCAAGCAATTCTCCTGCCTCAGCCTCCTGAGTAGCTGGGATTACAGGCACTCGCCACAGTGCCTGACTAATTTTTTTTGTTAGTAGAGACAGGGTTTTACCGTGTTGGCCAGGCTGGTCTTGAACTCTTGACCTCAGTGATCTGCCCGCCTCTGCCTCCCAAAGTGCTGGGATTTACAGGGTGAGCCATTGCTCCCAGCTGAATTATACTGCTTTTTGTGAAATATCTTTTAAACTAGAGGAGGTATAAGAGTCCTCTGTTTTTTTGTTTGTTTGTTTGTTTGTTTTCTTTTCTAAGATAGAATCTTGCTCTATTGCCCGGGCTGGAGTGCAGTGGCACGATCTTGGCTCACTGCAACCTCTGCTTCCCGGATTCAAGTGCTTGTCCTGCCTCAGCCTCCCCAGTAGCTGGGACTGCTACAGGCATGTGCCACCGTTCCCAGCTAATGTTTGTATTTTTAGTAGAGATGGAGTTTCACTATGTTGGCCAGGCTGGCCTCCACCTCCTGACCTCAGGTGATCTGCCTGCCTCCGCCTCCCAACGTGCTGGGATGATAGATGTGAACCACACCATGCCCAGCCTAAAAGTACATTTTTACCAAATACTAGACCCAAAAACAATACCCAGATCCAATTTTTCTTCCTGTTTTTGTAAATACTAACATTCTTCTTCCCAACACATATAATTTCATTTGTGTAAAGTATTTCTACAATAATAAAGTGAAATGTCTTGTACTCATTTATATCAGAAATTGAAATAATATTTTTCTACACCTTTTTTTTTTGTTTTACAACTCTGAAGCTTTTTATCCTTTTTTCATAGACTTTTCAAACACTTTCAAAATGAACTTTATGCATTTTTTTCTGGTGCTGTACTTCATAAATTAGGACCTTTAAAATCTACACTCCTTTTTACTTTTATGTGTGTTTTTTGTGTGTGTGTTTTGAGACGGAGTTTCGCTCTTGTTGCTCAGGCTGGAGTGCAATAATGCAATCTCGGATCTCTGCAACCTCCGCCTTCCGGGTTCAAGTGATTCTCCTGCCTCAGCCTCCTGAGTAAATGAGATTGCAGGTGCATGCCACCATGCCTGGCTAATTATGTATTTTTATTAGAGACAGAGTTTTACCATGTTGGTCAGGCTGGTCTCAAACTTGAGACCTCAGGTTATCAGCCCACCTCAGCCCCCCAAAGTGCTGGGATTACAGACGTGAGCCACCACACCTGGCTCCTTTTTCTTGTTTTGTTGTGTTTTTTTTGTTTTTTTTTTTTTTTGAGACGGAGTCTCGTTCTGTCACCCAGGCTGGAGTGCGGTGGCTCCATCTTGCATCACTGCAATCTCCACCTCCCGGGTTCAAGCAGTTCTTGTGCCTCAGCCTTCCAAGTATCTGGGATTACAGGCTACGACGTCTGGCTAATTTTTGTATTTTTAGTAGAGAGGAGGTTTTGCAATGTTGGCCAGGCTGGTCTTTAACTCCTGACCTCAGGTGATCTGCCCACCTCGGCCTCCCAAAGTGCTGGGATTACAGGTGTGAGCCACCACACCCAGCTTTTATATGTATTTTTAATGCTGTCCATTGAAAATTTTATATCAAAGAAATTGCCATAAAATTGACAAATTTGGTAATCAACTGAGGAAAGCCCTTGAGTTGTATGTAGAAACATTTACGTTCTATAATGATCATAATTTTTGATAATTACTTTTCAGAATAGGAGCTCTGCAGTGGATCCAGAACCACAAGTAAAATTGGAGGATGTCCTCCCACTGGCCTTTACTCGCCTTTGTGAACCTAAAGAAGCTTCCTACAGTCTCATCAGGAAATATGTGTCTCAGTATTATCCTAAGCTTAGAGTGGACATCAGGTATGAGCCATTGGCCTGGCCTTTAAAACATGATGTGTTACTTCCTTTAGCTCCCTTTTCATGGGAAAAGAGATAGATTAAATACTGAGGAAGGATTACTTTCAGCTAAAAATAAATCTTTTTTATTGGTTTTATTTTTTTGCCCCATTATGTTTTTATTTTCATATCTCCATGTATAATTTTTTTTTTTTTTTTTTTTTTAGTTTTTTGAGACAGATTTGTTCTTGTCACCCAGGCTGGAGTGCAGTGGCACCATCTCAACTCACTGCAGCCTCTGCCTCCCGGGTTCAAAGGATTCTCCTGCCTCCGCCTCCCGGGTAGCTGCGCCTACAGGCACCCGCCACGACACCCAGCTAATTTTTGTATTTTTAGTAGAGCCAAGGTTTCATCATGTTGGCCAGGCTGGTCTCGAACTCTTGAACTCAAGTGATCCACCTGCCTCGGCCTCCCAAAGTGCTAGGATTACAGGCGTGAGCCGCTGTGGCCAGCCTTTTTTTTTTTGAGATGAAGTCTTGCTCTTGTTACCCAGGCTGGAGTGCAATAGCGCAGTCTCAGCTCACTGCAGCCTCTAACTCCCGGGTTCAAGCGATTTTCCTGCCACAGCCTCCGAATAGCTGGGATTACAGGCCCCGGTTACCGTGCCTGGCCTAGTTTTGTTTTTTGTGTGGTTTTTTTTTTTTTTTTTCCAAACCCAAATCTTATCTTTCTTTGTAAGATCCTGGTAGAGTAACTCTTTTAAATGTTGTCAGCTGTTAAGATATGTAGTATTGAACTGTGTATCTTCTCAGATATGAAATATCTTAACAGTTGACAACATTAAAAGAGTTACTCTACCAGGTTTAAAAGAAAAAAAACAAAAAAAAAACTAGGCTGGCTGTGGTGGTGGGCATGTGCAGTCTCAGCTACTCAGGAGGCTGAGGCAGGAGAATCGCTTGAACCCAGGAGGTGGAGTTCGCAGTGAGCCGAGATTGCGCCATTGCACTCCAGCCTGGGCACCAAGAGCAAAACTCCGTCTCAAAAAAAAAACCATAAGAGTAAAAAGGAGTGTAGACTTTAAGGGTCCTAATTTATTCTTAGCCTTTAATAACTAAATAATGAAGTACAGCACCAGAAAGTAATACATAAAGTTCATTTTGAAAATGTTTGAAAAGTCTGTGAAAAAAAGGATAGAAAGCTTCAGGGTTGTAAGAAAAAAAAGTGTAGAAAATACTATTTCAATTTCTGATATAAATGAGTACAAGACATTTCATTTTATTATAGAAATACTTTACACAAATGAAATTATATGTGTTGGGAAGAAGAATGTTAGTATTTACAAAAACAGGAAGAAAAATTGCATCTGGGTATAGTTTTTGAGTCTAGTATTGGGTTAAAATGTACTTTTAGGCTGGGCACGGTGGCTCACGCCTGTAATCCTAGCACTCCAGCCTGGGTGACAGAGTGAGACTCAGTCTCAAAAAACATATATATGATAGATATATGCATACATATGTACATACATATACATCATATATATATTTCATGAGAATTCAGGCTTCAATAACACCTGTACATAGAAATAGCATAATGTTTCCATCATTTAAACATGCAGCATAAAATTCTGAGATAATTTTGTTAGTAATTGATACGTAAAATTTGCCATTTAACGTCTTGACAGATCATTTAGATTGTCACATTTGCTCAGTTGTAGATTCATGCAGATATATCAATTTGTTTAAATTTGTAATTCACAGACTCTGAGAGTGTTTGTGTGAGATGACTTCTAGAAAATTATGTTTAATCCAGATTTCTGTCTACAGAAGACTACCATATTGAATGCACATTGTCCCGATACAGTGTAGTACCAGTATTTACTTGCATTACTGAGGCATGCAATTAGAAGTGCTGAGGTTTCAGTCCAGAAGCCACATTTTCAGAAAATCAGTAGTGGTCATCAGAATGCCAAATTAAAGAGCTAGTGAAATAGTGCAAAAGAAAAGGGAATTATAGAAGCAGAAAGTTCTAAATTAATGTGCTGATATTTTCATGCTTCTTATATGCTGAGTATAGTGGTAGTAGGCAGACACAATTGTGGATCAAAAATGCGTTATATGATGCATTTAAAGATGGAAACATATTTCACTATTCTTTAACAAAGAATAAAGTTTATTTGGCTCATGGTACTGCAGGCTGTACAAGAAGCATAGTGCAGGCGTCTGCTTCTAGTGAGGGCTTCAGGAAACTTACAATCATGGTGGAAGGAGGAGCTATCGTATCACATGGCAAAAAAGGGAGCAAGAGAGGAGGGAAAGGTGCCACACTCTTAACCAGATCTCACACTCTTAAAACAACCAGTTGTTTTAAACAACCCGCTCATTACGGCCAGGAAGGCACGAAGCCATTCACGAAGCCATCCCTATAACTCAGACACCTCCCACTAGGCCCCACCTGCAACACTGGGGATCATATTTCACTTTTATCTCCTTTGTGTGACCCCAAAATATCTGAGACAGGTCTCAGTCAATTTAGAAAGTTTATTTTGCCAAGGTTAAGATTGTGCCCGTGACACAGCCTCAGGAGGTTCTGAAAACTTGTGCCCAGGGTGGTCTGGGCACAGCTTGGTTTTACACATTTTAGGGAAACATGAGACATTAATATATGTAAGGTGTATGTTGGTTTGGTCTGGAAAGGTGGGACAACTCAAATCAGGGAGGGGGCTTCTAGGTCATAGGTAAATAAAAGACAAAGAATTTCATTATTTTTGAGTTTCTGATTAGCTTTTTCAAAGGAGGCAATCAGATATGCATTTATCTCAGCAGATGAATGACTTGAAGTTCTGTCTGTCGTTTGTCTGCAAGGATTTTCCTTGTGATTAGGGGATTCGTGATTAGGGTTTGTGATTAGGGGATCCCAAGATTTATTTTCTTTTCACAGCCTTTATTCTCTGCTTTTTGGTGAGTGGAGACCATATCTTCCCCCATTTTTTTTTCTTGTAGTTCTACTCTACTTACATAAGGTAGTGTGTTGCTACCAGTGTGCCTTTGCTGCACTTCTTTTGAAACATATTGTCATGACCTTAGGCTGAAACAAAATTTACCTGATAATGGATGGGTTGTCAACCCAAAGGTGCTAATGAACCTGAAGACCTTTTCTCATGGCCTTTTTAATGGTAATTTTTTCCATTGAAACTTTTTTCTCTTATGTGAAACCATATTGATTTTCTCTAATTCTTGATTATAATGGAGTCCTTTCATATACACATTTAACTTGAAAATTCAGCCATTCTTGCTTGGCCAAACAAAAGAGGAAGAAAAATACAGTTTCACCAAAGTGTAAGTTGTCTATACTGGTATCTACAATGTCTCCCCTTCCACTTTCTCCACTTTAGTCAGACTTTATCCCCACCACTTTACCTGAATATTTTCTGTCAGTCTCCACGTTGGAAATTTCAGTGGTCAATTCATAGTCCTTACCAGCTGCCCTCTCAATGGCATTTGACACAGTTGATGACTCCTACCTGCTTGAAACATTTTCTTCACTTGCCTTCCAGGACACCACACTTTCCTGATTTTTCTGTAACCTTTTTACCCTTCGTTTCTCAATCTCCTAAGGATTTCTGCTTTACCTCTTAATAGAAAGGAGCCCTCAGGGTTATACCTTAGGCCTCTCATCTTTTATGTCCACATTCACTTGGTGATTCCTTTCACTTGCAAAACTGTAAATACCAGCTATAAACTATTAATTCACAAATGTATGAATCTAGCCCATACCTCCCTTCTAACTTCAGATTCGTGTATACGGATGCCTGTTCAGCATCAGCACTTGGATGTCTGATTTAAATGTTGAAAACATTTAATGATCCCCACTCTGCTCCCTCTCCCCCCAAAAATCCCTGCATTTCCCACATTATCTTCATTTCAGTTCATGACAATATTATCCTTCCATGTGCTGAAACCAAAAACCCTGACTTTGTGCTGGTCTCTTCTCTTTATCAGACACCTTTATCTAATCTATAAGCAATTATTTTTGCTCTGTCTTTAAAATATATCAGTAAACAGGCTGGGTACTGTGGCTCATGCCTGTAATCCCAGCACTTTGGGAGGCAGGTGGATCACATGAGGTCAGGAGTTCGAGACCAGCCTGGCCAACATGGTGAAACCCCATCTCTACTAAAAATACAAAAAAATTAGCCATGCATGGTGGCACGTGCCTGTAGTTCCAGCTACTCAAGAGGCCAAGGCAAGAGAATCACTTAAACCTGGGAGGCATAGTCTGCAGTGAGCCAAGATCACACCACTGCACTCCAGCCTGGGCGACAGAGTGAGGCTCCGTCTCCAAATAAATAAATAAAATAAAATATATCAGTAAACAGACTACTTGTCATCACCTGCACTACCATTCTCTTCCAGGCCACCATCATCTCTCACCTGTATTAGAGCAATAACTTCTTAACTGCTTTTTTCATGCTCCCTTTCAGTATGTTCTTACCATCATAGTGAGAGTGAGACTTTTTTAAAAATGTAAGTTCTATCACTTTTTAAAATTTATTTATTTATTTATTTGAGAAGGAATCTTGTTCTGTTGCCCAGGCTGGAGTGCAGTGGCATGATCTCGGCTCACTGCAACCTCCGCCTCCTCGGTTCAAGCGATTTTCCTGTCTCAGCCTCCCGAGTAGCTGGGATTACAGGCTGTGCCACCACACCCGGGTAATTTTTGTATTTTTAGTAGAGACAGAGTTTCACCATGTTGGCCAGGCTGGTCTCAAATTCCTGGCCTCCAGTGATCTGACCGCCTTGGCCTACCAAAGGATTACAGACGTGAGCCACTGTGCCCAGCCTGTCACTTTTTTTTTTTTCCAAGCTGGGGTCTTGCTCTGTTGCCCAGACTGGAGTATAGTGGCAAGATCGTGGCTCATGGCAACCTCGAACTCCTAGGCTCAAACGATCCTCCCACTGTGGCCTCAAAAGTAGCTGGGACTGCAGGAATGTGTCACCACACACAGCTAGTAGTTTTTAAATTGTTAATAGAGACAGAATCTCCCTACATTGCCCAGACTGGTCTTTAACTCCTGGCCTCAAGTGATCCTCCTGCTTCGGCCACCCAGGTGTTGGGATTACAGGTGTGAGCCACTGTGTCCAGTGTCATGTCGCCTTTCTACTCAAACATTCAGTGTCTTCCCAATCCCGTCACAGTTAAAAAATCAGTCTGTAGGGCTGGGTGTGGTGGCTCACGTCTGTAATCCCAGCACTTTGGGAGTCTGAGGCGGGTGGATCACAAGGTCAAGAGTTGGAGACCTTCCTGGCCAACATGGTGAAACCCCATCTCTACTAAGCATACAAAAATTAGCCGGGCATGGTGGCACATGCCTGTAATCCCAGCTACTCAGGAGGCTGAGGCAGGAGAATTGCTTGAACCCAGGAGGCAGAGGTTGCAGTGAGCCGAGATTGTGCCACTGCACTCCAGCCTGGGCGACAGAGCAAGACTCTGTCTCGGGGCAAAAAAAAAAAAAAAAAAAAATCGGTCTTTAAAATGGCCCACAAGGCACTACACTCACTTGTATCTCTGACCTAAGCTACTCCTCTTCACTCTCTCACTGGTCTCAGAGCCTTTGTGTTGCATTCCCTTTACCTGAATGTATTTTTCCCCATAAGCCACTTTGCCAGTTCCTTTACTTCCTTAAGTTTTTAGTCTGATGTCATCACCAAAGGCCTGCCTTGACTATTTTTATTATTCTTGTTACTTGGGCATATAAACAAGAGAAATGTATTTCTCACAGTTGTGCAGACTCGAAGTCTGAGATCAGGGTGCCAGCATGGTTGGGTTCTGTGAGGGCCTCTTCTGGGTGTCAGAGTGCCTTCTTCTCATTGTATCCTCACATGACAGAAGGAGCCCTTAATACTTTCTTAAATGTTTTATTTTGGAAATTTTCAAACATATACAAAGAAGGATAGAGAACATTAACCATCATACTTAAATCATTCTTTTTTTTGTTTGGAGACAGAGTTTTGCTCTTGTTGCCCAGGCTGGAGTGCAATGGCACGATCTTGGCTCACCGCAACCTCCGTCTCCTGGGTTCAAGCAATTCTTCTGCCTCATCAGCCTCCCAAGTAGCTGGGATTACAGGCATGCGCCACCACACCTGACTAATTTTGTATTTTTAGTACAAATGGGGTTTCTCCATGTTGGTCAAGCTGGTGTCAAACTCCCAACCTCAGGTGATCTGCCGGCCTCGGCCCCCCAGAGTTCTGGGATTACAGGTGTGAGCCACCTCGCCCGGCCACTTAAATCATTCTTAACAAAATTAATAATTTCTTAGTATTATCTAGTACCCAGTCCATGTTCAAATGTCCTTAATTGTCTCCAGAATGATATTTTACAGTTGTTTTTCCTAACATGGCCCACACGTTGTATTTGGTTGATAATGACCAACCAAAACCTCTCTCCCAGCCAGGTGCTGCGGTTCACATGTGTAATCCCAGCACTTTGGGAGGCCGAAGCGGGAGGATCGCTTGAACCTACAAGTTCGAGACCAGGCTGGGCAACATAGTGGAACCCCCTCTGTACAAAAAAAAAATAACAAAAATTAGCTGGTGTAGTGGCATGTGCCTATAGTCCCAACTACTCGGGAGGCTGAAGCAGCGGAAGGGTTGCTTGAGCCTGGGAGATCAAGGCTACAGTGAGCCATGGTCATACCACTGCACTCCATCCAGAGTGACACAGTGAGATCCTCTCTCAGAAAAAAAAAAAAAAAAGGCCAGGTGTGGTGGCTCACACCTGTAATCCCAGCACTTTGGGAGGCTGAGGCGGGCAGATCATGAGGTCGGAAGATCAAGACCATCCTTGCTAACACAGTGAAACCCCGTCTTTACTAAAAGTACAAAAAATTAGCCGGGCGTGGTGGCACGCGCCTGTAGTCCCAGCTACTTAGGAGGCTGAGGCAGGAGAATCACTTGAACCTGAGGGGGCGGAGGTTGCAGTGACCTGAGATCGCGCCACTGCACTCCAGCCTGGGTGACAGAGGGAGAATGCGTCTCAAAAAAAAAAAGGAGTGTTTAACCCATAGGGTTTAAGTCTCTTAGTATGTGCGAAGCACTTCTTAGAATAGTCCTTGGTACCTAGTAAATGTTCAACTAATGTTATTCTTACTAGTCTCAGTTCCAGCTTCTCATAGTATGACCATTACAGCATGCTAAATAGGATTCTAATATTTAAAGACATAATTTTTTTGTTTTGTTTTTTATTTTTTATTTTTGAGACAGAGTCTTGCTCCGTTGCCTAGGTTGGATTGCAATGGCATGGTCTCAGCTCACTGCAACCTCCGCCTCCCGGGTTCAAATGATTCTCCTGCTTCAGCCTCCTGAGTAGCTGGGACTACAGTTGCCTGACACCACGCCCCGTTAATTTTTTTGTATTTTTAGTAGAGCTGAGGTTTCACTATGTTGGCCAGGCTGGTCTCGAACTCCTGATCTCGTGATCCACCCGCCTCGGCCTCCCAAAGTATTGGGATTACAAGCGTGAGCCACCGCGCCTGGCCAAGACATTGGTTTTTAATATAACATGCAAGTCACCTTCTTAATTTGATAACAGTGATTTTTTTGCAACCCTAGAAGAAGAACTGGGCATATTGGGTATATAGAGACTCAGAGTTGGCCTTGAAGAAGGTGTCTTTGGAAATTTTCTAGGTCTGTCATACAGCGTTAGAAGTCAAATGTTAAAATCTAATCTTCAGCCAGGCGTGGTGCCTCATACCTGTAATCCCAGCACTTTGGGAGGCCGAGTCAGGCAGATCACCTGAGGTCGGGAGTTCGAGACCAGCCTGACCAATATGGAGAAACCCCGTCTCTACTAAAAATGCAAAATTAGCCGGGTGTGGTGGCGCATGCCTGTTATCCCAGCTACTCGGGAGGCTGAGGCAGGAGAATTGCTTGAACCTGGGAAGTGAAGGTTGCAGTGAGCCAATATCGTGCCATTGCACTCCAGCCTGGGCAACAAGGGCAAAACTCCACCTCAAAAAAAAAAAAAAAATAATAATAATAATAGTAATCAGAACTCTAGATCTGGGAATAACCCTGTATCTATTTCTTTACATTTTTCTTTCATTAATGTATTTATCACTATTTTTTTTTTGTTTTTCTTTGCAGGCCTCAGCTGTTGAAGAACGCTCTGCAGAGAGCAGTAGAGAGGGGCCAGTTAGAACAGATAACTGGCAAAGGTGCTTCGGGGACATTCCAGGTTAGAGATCAGAGGCCTGGTTGTGGAGAAGTGCTTCTTAAAGTTTTTGGTTTCAGGACCTCCTTATACTGTAAAAATTTATTGAGGACCTCAAAGAACTTTTGTTTATGTGGGTTATATCTGTCAACATTTACTATGTTAGAAATTAACATTGAGGTCTGGGTGCGGTGGCTCACACCTGTAATCCCAGCACTTTGGGAGGCTAAGGCAGGTGGATCACCTGCGGTTGGGAGTTCGAGACCAGCCTGGTGAAACCCTGTCGTCTCCACTAAAAATACAAAAATGAGCTGGGCGTGGGGGCACATGCCTGTGGTCCCAACTACTTGGGAGGCTGAGGCAGGAGAATCACTTGAACGCGGGAGGTGGAGGTTGCATTGAGCCAAGATTGCACCACTGTGCTCTAGGCTAGGTGACAGAGCGAGATGCCATCTCAAACAAACAAAAAAACACAAAGAAATTAACACTGAGGAAAAATTTAAATATTTATTGATTTACTTTAAAATACTAGTAGAAAACCCATTACATATTAACATAAATGACATATTTTTTAGTGAAAAATAGCTGTCCTCCCCCTGCCACCTCCCGGCCTTTTTTTTGAGACAGTGTTTCTCTCTGTTTCCCAGGCTGGAGTGCAGTGGCACAATCACAGCTCACTGTAGCCTCTATCTCCCAGGTTCAAGGGGTCCTCCAGCGTCAGCCTCCCAAAGTGCTGGGATTGTAGGTGTGAGCCTATAATCCGTCTTCCCCAATTTTTTTTTTTTAATGAGAAGTCGTCAGGCACTGTTTACATTTTTGCAAACATCTTTAACATCTAGCATAACAGAAGACAGCTAGTATCTGTTCCAGTTTATTTTGGGTTACTTATTTGAAGAAAATCTAACCTTACACAGAAATACAATTAGAAAAGGATGGAATATTTTAAGATAACTTTGAGATAGTTGTAGAAATTATTCTTTGATACTACACCAAAACTCAACAAATCGTTATTTTTTTAACAGCTTTATTGAGGTTGATTTGCATACCTTATACAATTTAATTTATATAATTACAGTTTATAACTCAGTGATTTTCAGTAACTTTATAGAATTGTACAACTATCACAGTCCAATTTTCGGACATTTCTGTCACCCAAAAAAGATCCCTTGTAGCCATTTGCAGTCACTCCCTATTCCACCAGCAGCCTCAGGCAACCTCTAGTCTGTTCTGTCTCTCTGCAGATTTGCATTTTGTTCACATTTCATATGGATAGAATCTAGAATCATGTACTATATGATCTTTTGTGTCTGGCTTCTTTTGGCATGATGTTTTTGAATTTTATCCACGTTGCAGCATGTACCAGTGCTTTCATTCTTTTTTATTGTCCAATAGTATTTCATTCTATGGATGTCACATTTTGTTTATCCATTCATGAGATGATGATGGACATTTGGATTATTTCTACTTTTCAGCTAATTATGAATAATACTGCCTATGAACATTTATGTTCAAGTCTGCGTGGATATGTTTTTAGGACTTGCTGGGCCATATGGTAAATTTATGTTCTAAGAAACTGGCAGTGTTTATAAGGGCTCAAGTCGTTTTGTTTTGTTTTGAGATAGGGTCTCACTCTGTCACCCAGGCTAGAGTGCAGTGGTGTGATCTTGGCTCACTGCAACCTCCACCTCCCTGGCTCAAGCAATCCTCCCATCTTAGCCTCCCTAATAGCTGGGATTATAGGCGTGCACCACCACCATGCCTGATTAATTTTTGTATTTTTTGTAGAAATGGGGTTTCGCCGTGTTGCCCAGGCTACTCTTGAACTCCTGGGTTCAGTGAAGTAGTCTGCCTGCCTCAGCTTCCCAAAGTGTTGGAATTACAGGTGTGATCCACCACACCTGACCAGGGCTCGAGTTTCTCCATATCCTCCTCAACGTTTGTTACTCTTTTTTATTATAGCCATACTAGTGGATATAGGGTATCTCGTTGTAGTTTTGATTGGCATTTCCCTAATAATTACTGATGTTGAGCATCTCTTGTGCTTAAGGCCATTTGTTTATTGTCTGTAGTGAAATGTTTATTCAAATCTTTTGCCCATTTTTAAAAGGGGGTTGGTTATTCGTTAACAAGAATTCATTACTCTAGACATAAAGTCTCATCAGATTTTTTCTCCTATTCTGTGACTTTCTCAGTAGTATCTTTTGAAGCGTTTACTTTTTGATGAAGTCCTATTTATCATTTTTAAAAATTGCTTTTGCAGTTTTATGGTTATCTAAGAAACATTGCCTAATTAAAGGTAATGAAAATTTACTCGTACGTTTTAAGAGTTTTATAATTTTGGCTCCTACATTTAGGTCTGTGATCTATATTGTTTTGTTTATAGTGAGAGGTAAGGGTATAATTTATCTTTTTGCATGTGGGTGTGTGATTATTCCAGCACCTTTTATTGAAAAGACTGTCCCTTCCCTATTGAATTGCCGTAGCATCTTATGAAAATCAATTGACCATAAATATAAGGGTTTATTTCCGGATTCTGAGTTCTCTTTTGTTCTGTAGGTGTATCCTTCATGCTAATACTGCACTGTCTTACTGACTGTAGCTTTATAGTGAATTTTGAAATTTGGAATTATAAGCCCTCTAACTTTTTCAGGAATGTTTTGACTATGCCGGGTCCTGTACAGTTCCATACAAATTGTCCATTTCTGCCAAAAAAAAAAAACCAAAAAAACAGCTGGAGTTTTGGTAGGAATTGCCTTGAACCTATAGATCAATTTGGGGAGACTCACTGTCAACAACGTTGAGTTTTCCAATCCATGACACAGAGGTCTCTTTATTTAATTTCTCTCAGCAGTGTTTTGTAGTTGTTCGGTGTACGAGTCTTGAATTTTTTTTGTTAAATTTATTGCCAAGTATTTTATTCTTTTTCCATGCTGTCTTGAATGGTGGAAGTGTTTTCTAATTTTCGTTTTCAGGTTGTTAACGCTAACCTGTAGAAATACAATCGATTTGTCCATTGCTCTTGTATCCTTCGCCCTTGCTGAACTCACCAGTTGTAGTAGTTTCTTTGTGAATTCCTTACAGTTTTCTACATACAGGATCTGTTATCTGCAAATAAAGAGCATTTTACTTCTTTGTTTCTAGTCTGGATGTCTTTTACTTCTTCTGATTGCCTGATTGCTCTAGATTAACCTCCATTACAGTGTTGAGTAGAAGTGGTAACAGCAGACATCTTCGCCTTGTTCCACATCCTGGAGAGAAAGCATTCAGTCCTTCACAAGTTAGCTATAGGTTTTTCATAGATGCCTATTGTCAGGTTGAGCAAGTTCCCTTCTATATATACTACTAGTTTCCTGGGAGTTTTTATCATGAATGGCTATTGGATTTGTCAAGTGGTTTTTCAGTGTCTGTTGAGATGATTGTGTGGTTTGTGTCCTTTGTTCGTGTGGTCTGTTAACATTATTTGTTTTGTGGTAAATTCTTTAAAGTTTAGTTGCCATGTGAAACCTGAAACCCTAATCAGTGAATTTCTTGGACTGTGTTACCTTAAAATTCATTGAACTTTGAATAGGTATTTTAATCCTTCATAATTTTGTAGCACGATACATTGGTCATTTGAAAAATAGTGGCACAGAGTTACATAGATTTTCCAAATGTTGGCATTTCATTATATACGACAACAAAAATTACAATCATTGGTGTTGGCCACTGATCTTATAAGAACAGTATTTAAGTATTGGGAAGATAACAGACTCACAGTGATGGACACAAGTTTTTCAGGATTTAAATTTTCTCTTGAAAGGTTGAATTTTATCATTGGCAACAAATACTATTATTTTTTTACATGACAGGCTCTTTTAGTTCATTTGCAAGATACTGTCTACCTCATAACCAAGTCTGAATAATGATAGGTTAGCTGTCAGTTATTTCTTTAAGTAAAAAAGTATTACAGGTCAGGCGCGGTGGCTCATGCCTGTAATCCCAGCACTTTGGGGAGGCCGAGGTGGGCGAATCACGAGGTCAGGAGATCCAGACCATCCTGGCTAACATGGTGAAACCCAATCTCTAGTAAAAATACAAGAAATTAGCCGGGCATGGTGGCACATGCCTGCAATCCCAGCTACTCGGGAGGCTGAGGCAGGAGAATCCCTTGAACCCAGGAGGCAGAGGTTGCAGTAAGCCAAGATCACGCCACTGCACTCCAGCCTGGGTGACAGAATGAGACTCCGTCTCAAAAAAAAAAAACGTGTTCCAAGAAAAATGCAGCTAATTCAGCTCATAACTTTAACAATTACACAAGTGCTTTTCCTGGATACCATCATGTCTACATATGTAGCAGATACGGATTATGTGGTTCTTCCTGTTTCATCCCATAAAATATTCTAAAGACATTCAAAAGTTGAGATTTAATAAAATAATTTTTAGTACTTTATCAAGGGCATTCTAAGTGAATTCGTGCTCTTTTTTTTAAACCATAAGTACATAGCAGTAAAGAAGACAATAACCACATTTTTGTGTCTCTGCCTTTATCTGTGGTAAGCTGACAGCAGTTTTACCCACCATTGCTTCTGCACCATCAGTGCAAATGTCAAAATAGTGAAAAGGCCAGGTGCAGTGGCTCACACCTGTAATCCTAGCAATTTGGGATGCTGAGGCGGGTGGTTTACCTGGTCAGGAGTTTGAGGCCAGCCTGGCCAACATGGTGAAACCCCATCTCTACTGAAAATACAAAAATTAGCCAGGTGTGGTGGGCGCCTGTAGTCCCAGCTACTCGGGAGGTAGACGCAGGAGAATCGCTGGAATCCGGGAGGCGGAGGTTGCAGTGAGCCGAGACCGCGCCATTACACTCCAGCCTGGGCAACACAGCGAAACTCTGTCTCCAAAAAAAAAAAGACAGTGAAAAAGCAAATCGCATCTTAGGTTTTTGTTTGTTTGTTTTTTGAGATGGAGTCTTGTTGCAGTGAGTACAGTGGCTTGATCTCGGCTTACTGCAACCTCCACCTCCCGGGTTCAAGCGATTCTCCTGCCCCAGCCTTGCCCAAGTAGCTGGGATTACAGGCATGCACCACCATGCCCGGCTAATTTTTGTATTTTTAGTAGAGATGGGGTTTCACCATGTTGGCCAGGCTGGTCTTGAGCTCCTGACCTCAGCTGATCCACCCGCCTCAGCCTCCCAAAGTGCTGGGATTACAGGCATGAGCCACTGCGTCTGGCATATCTTAGTTTTATTATGCAAATAGTTTTGACCTTGCAGATCCTCTGAAAGGGTCTCAGGAACCCAGACAATTGTAACCAGACCATTCTTTAAGAACCACTAAACAGTTTTGTAGAGCATTTCTGGTTTTCTCCTTTTCCCTTTTTGCATATTATTTGCTAACCTTTGTTACCACACCTTTCATTTTCAAAGTATGCTATGTAATTTTCTTTTGTATGATACTTTTTTTTTTTTTTAGTTTATTATTTATTTTTAGAGACAGAGTCTTGGTCTGTCACTCAGGCTGGAGTATAGTGATGTAATCATAGCTCACTAATAGCCTCAACTTCCTGGGCTTAAGCCATCCTCCCCCCTCACCCTTTCATGTAGGTAGGCTACAGGCATGCCGCCATTCATAGCTAGTTTTTTTATTTTTAGTAGAGAGAGAGTCTCACTATGTTGCCGAGGTTGGTCTTGAACTCTTGGCCTCAAGCAGTCCTCCCCCATTAGCCTCCCAAAGTACTGGGATTACAGATATGAACTACCGTGCTCCCTGATACCCTAAATATTTATCAAAATTTTTCACTGCTATTTTCCTCATAGGATTAAAAGGGCTATTTATTATTTTTTATAACTACAGCTGACCCTTGAACAACATAGGGGTTAAAGGTGCAGATCCCCCGTGCAGTAAAAAAAAAAAATCATAAAAAACTTTAGATTCCCAGAAAACTTGACTATTAATAGCCTACTGTTGACCGGAAGCCTTACAAACAGTTAATACACATTTTGTATGTTGTATGTATTATATAATGTACTCTTATAATAAAGCAAGCTAGAGAAAAGAAAATGTTATTGAGAAAATCTTAAGAAAGAGGAAATAATGGCCGGCCACAGTGGGTCACACCTATAATCCCAGCACGTCAGGAGGCCGAGGCAGGCAGATCTCCTGAGGTCTGGAGTTCGAGACTAGCCTGGCCAACATGGTGAAACCGTGTCTCTACTAAAAATAAAAAATTAGCGAGACCTGGTGGTGGGCGCCTGTAATCCCAGCTACTCGGGAAGTTGAGGCAGGAGAATTGCTTAAACCCAGGAGACCGAGGTTGCAGTGAGCTGAAACCACGTCATTGCAATCCAGCCTGGGCAACAGAGCGAGACTCTGTCTCAAAAAAAAAAAAAAAAAAAGAGAGAAAATATATTTATTGTTCATTAAGTGGAAGTGGATGATCGTACATGTCTTTATCCTTGTCATCTTTGAGTTGAGTAGGCTGAGGAGGACAAGGAGGTGTTGGTCTTGCTGTCTTGGGGTGGCGGGCAGAGGCAGAAGAAAATCCACATATAAGTGGACCAGCACAGATAAAATTGTGTTGTGTTCAAGGGTCAGCTATACTTCATTTTTCAGATTCAGAAAAGTGAAGTATTCTCAAATAAAATAATCTTTTTTTTTTTAAATTTATTTTATTTATTTATTTTTTTAGACAGAATCTTACTCTGTCGCCGAGGCTGGAGTTCAGTGGCATGATTTCGGCACACTGCAACCCCGCGTCTTGGGTTCAAGTGACTCTCCTGCCTCAGCCTCCCAAGTAGCTGAGACCACAGGCACCTGCCACACCTGGCTATTTTGTGTGTGTGTGTGTGTGTGTGTGTGTGTGTGTGTGTGTGTGTGTGTGTGTGTGTGTTTTTAGTAGAGACAGGTTTCGCCATGTTGGCCAGGCTGGTCTCGAACTCCTGGCCTTAAGTGATCTGCCTGCCTCTGCCTCCCAAAGTGCTGGGGCTATAGGTGTGAGCACCCAGCCAAAAGAATCTTAATTTTTAGGGACATAACTGGTTAACCTGCTTATTGGGTACAGTTGTCAGTATCTTTGGGTTAGGTTGGCTATTATTTTAGGGTGGATGGAGGGTAGATGGAAGGAGAAAATATCCATAGGAGGGTTGGGACTTCTCAGTTAGATTGAATACCTGTTGAATGGGAAGAGAAAGTCCCTAAGCTGACAATTTATTGTAAAACATATCTGTGCTAATGCAGGAACTCCGACCCACCTGGTGCAGAGGAGTCTTGTCTTGACCTGCTTTGGGAGAGTGTTGTCTTGATGCTTTTCTCTTCCTCCTTGGAAAACAGCTGAAGAAATCAGGGGAGAAACCCCTGCTTGGTGGAAGCCTGATGGAATATGCAATCTTGTCTGCCATTGCTGCCATGAATGAGCCGAAGACCTGCTCTACCACTGCTCTGAAGAAGTATGTCCTAGAGAATCACCCAGGAACCAATTCTAACTATCAAAGTAAGACTCGGTTGTGTATATTTAACTGGGATTAGGAGAATTTTCTTTTGAAAAAACCGTGGAGGGCCAGGCACTGTGGCTCACGCCTGTAATCCCAGCACTTTGGGAGGCTGAGGCGGGTGGATCACGAGGTCGGGAGTTTGAGACCAGTCTGGCCAACATAGTGAAACCCCATCTCTACTACAAATACAAAAAAATTAGCAGGGTGTAGTGGTGTGCATCTGTAGTCCCAGCTACTCGGGAGGCTGAGGCAGGAGAAACGCATGAACCCAGGAGGTGGAGGTTGCAGTGAGCCGAGATTGCACCATTGTACTCCAATCCGGACAATAGTTGCGAGACTATGTATCAAAAAAAAAGAAAAGAAAAGAAAAGAAAAAAAAATCATAGAGATCATGCTATTAATGTCAAAGTATTAACTACTGACTGAAAACCAAGAGGGAACAGCTTTACAAATTTCATATTTACAAAAAGAAAAACAAATAATCAAAACTGAATTCTTAATTTAAAGCATCTGCTTATAAGAAGTTGCTTTTACTGTAAAGATTTTTCTGATATTTATTGTAATTTAGATAAATCTCTAGGTTCAAAGCAACTCTAAATTATAGTGTATTTTTTCCTACTTTTGAATGTTCACCAAAAACATCTAATTTTACTTTGAAACAAAGCCAGGATTTTAGAGTACTTACTACTTATATTATTTCTTATTAACCTAAGCCCCACAACAGACAATACTTTATTTCAGTAAAGTATATTTACTCTAGGAGGTGGTGATTTGAGATGAGACACCCTGCCTTATCAGCATTATCGTGTGGATTGGTGAGACTGGGTGACTTCTCAATGAACTATTAGAAGAGGCACAATGTTGTAGGGTGAGGGATATGGAAATTAAGTAACAGAAGAAGACAATCCAGAATATATTATTGTAATTAAAAGGTAATTTTGAAGTCTTTTTTTTTTTTTAGACGGAGTCTCGCTGTGTTGCCCAGGCTGGGGGGCGCAGTGGTGCGATCTTGGCTCACTGCAAGCTCCGCCTCCCCTGGGTTCACGCCATTCTCCTACCTCCACCCCCTGAGTAGCTGGGACTACAGGCACCTGCCACCACCCCTGGCTAATTTTTTTGTTTTTGTATTATTTGTTTTTAGTAGAGACAGGGTTTCACCGTATTAGCCAAGATGATCTCAATCTCCTTACCTCGTGATCTGCCGGCCTCGGCCTCCCAAAGTGCTGGGATTACAGGCGTGAGCCGCCACGCCCGGCCTATTTCTATATGCCAGATGTTTTAAGAGAAGATGAATTTGGTTAACAAGCCTTTCAGTTTCACTGATATTTGCAGCTGTTTTTTGGATACTGAATCACCATAAAATATATTTTGGATATGTCTCTGTAAGAAAGATGAGAATGAAGGACTTCAGGAACCATGATATTGTTTTGTTACTGTTTACTGATTTATGAATAATTAGTTCTGTTCATCTTTATAAGAGATTCTCCTAGATGATTATCAATACCTATAGGTACACAATAGATGTTTAAGTGAATGGAAATAATTAAATACTTAGTTTTAGGTCTGCTGTTTATGTGCTACCTTAGAGCAAGTCACTTAACTACTTTGAGCTCAAGTCACTTAACCACTCTGGGCTTTTTTTTTTTCCCTGTGAAATAAGGTATTTGACTCAATGGTCTCTAATGTGTCTTTTCATTATAACTCTTGCCAGGTATGGTGGCTCATGCCTGGAGTCCCAGCAGTCTGGGAAGCCAAGGTGGGAGTATTGCTTGAGCCCAGGAGTTTGAGACCAGCCTGGGCAACATAGTGAGACTTTGTCTCTATATTTTGCAAAATTTTAAAATATAGATATATGTATGTATGTATGTATATAATTTAACTCTTGCCAAACTTATGGGCAATAAGTAAATGTTTAATTAAATACCTTTGAACACATAGGATTCACTTAGTGTATGTCAATTACCGTATGTGACAGGATATTAAATTGATGGGCATCTGTTTGTGGTTGAGGGAATTATCTAATCTGAATAACTAGATAACTTTCATTTCTGAATTTTTTTTTTCAGTGCATTTGCTGAAAAAAACCCTGCAGAAATGCGAAAAGAATGGGTGGATGGAACAGATCTCTGGGAAAGGGTTCAGTGGCACCTTCCAGCTCTGTTTTCCCTATTATCCCAGGTAAGTACTTAGCCTATAATAGATCACTGTAAATTTATAGTCTAAGTTACACACTCAGTTTAATTTATTTTACCCTTATTACTGTTTTAGTGAACTGGAAATACAGTCGTCCTTTGTTACATATAGGGGATTGGTTACAGAACTGCCCGCATACCCAAATGCGCATGTACTCAGCCCTGTGGAATCCATGTATCTGAAAAGTCTGTCCTCTTTGTATGCAGGCTTCGCATCCTGTGGATGTTGTATTTCTGATCTGTGTCTGGTTGAAAAAAAAAAGTCCACATATAAAGTGGGCTAATGCGTTGCCAACCTGTGTTGTTCAAGGGACAACTGTATTTGAAAATAAAGATGACTTTTAAGGCAGTATTATTTTGGAGTAAAAGGTTTTGTATAAAAATAGTGATTTTAGCCAGGCATAAGATTATTTGAGATCCTCGGATGGTCATTTTGATGTTCATTCCTTCTTTATCAAGTAAATGATAATGACAGATTCTTAGAGGATTATGTATAAGTTTTTGTTTTTGTTTTTTGAGACAGGGTCTCACTCTATCGCCCAGGCTGGAGCAGTGGTATAATCTCGGCTCACTGCAATCTCCGCCTCCTGGGCTCAAGTGATCCTCCCACCTCAATATCCCACGTAGCTGGGACTACAGGTGCGCGCCACCACACCCAGCTAATTTTTGTGTTTTTTGTAGAGATGGGGGTCTTACCATATTATCTAGGCTGGCCTTGAACTCCTGGCTCAAGCAGTCCTCTCGCCTCAGCCTCCCAAAGTGATGGGATTATATGCATAAGTTTTAATTGTCCAATACCAAGTGGGGAGAACATTGACTGTTTTCAAGAATCTTAACTCTACCTCCATACTGTAGAGACAGGAACACTTATCTGAAAATTTGTTTCTTGCAAATACCTTATTTATTCTTTGAAACAAAAAAATATATTGATCACCTCCTGTGGTCCAAGCATTGTTTCATGCACTGGGTTTAAAGCCTTTTGATTTCCAGTAAAGTACATAACATATACCACTAAGACCCTGTTTTAGCAAGACTATTGTGTAACTTTCTTATATTATTATTTCTGTACAAACATAAGTGTTACTTGGCTTAATACATATTATATAAATTTTTCGAACATTAAACATTAAATTTAATTCCCAAAGTCACACACACACAAAATGTTACATTCTGCCAGGTGTGGTGGGATGCACCTGTAGTCCTAACTACTTGGGAAGGTGAGGTGGGAGGATCCCTTGAGCCTAGGAGTTTGATTCCAGCCTGGGCAGCATAGCAAGACCCTGTGTCTGAAAAAGGCAAGAAACACACACACACACACACACACACACACACACACACACACATATATGTATGTATGTTATCATTTAAGGATATGTTAATCAAAGGAATCAAGGTTCATACCACCAAGGACAAAAAAGAGTTTAGGAGATCCTTGCCGAATACCTTTGAAGCTTTGAACAGATTTAGGCCTTTGAGGTCTTTTTTTTTAAGACTTGGAGGTCTTTTGCCAGTATTATGAGGCTGAAGTGTGTATTCCATGCAGACTGTTCATTGCTGTGTACTCATTGGCTAATACAGTGCCAGATACATATTAGGAGTTTAAGTAATTGTTTACTAAATAAATGACTATGGATTAATTTTATTAAATAGTGGGTATAGAATTAGGTATGGTGCAGGACTTTTATAGATTTGGCATAACTTTATATGTATGTTCAAAATACGGTAAATTGTAACCTGATACGTGTAACCTAGCTTGACATTTTTGGGAAGGGTGGGAAGAAGTGGGATATGTCCAGGTAAGAGCATCTAGGTTCACATTATTTTTCTTGTTTTATATGGGACTTGTGTTTTAATCTAATTTTTCCCCGTATAGCCCAGGAGTTCTGTTTCCGAAGAAAGAGCCAGATGATTCTAGAGATGAGGATGAAGATGAAGATGAGTCATCAGAAGAAGACTCTGAGGATGAAGAGCCGCCACCTAAGAGAAGGTGTGGACATGTGAAAACCCCTTGTGGGGAGGACACTAAATACCTCAGAGCTGAAAAATAGTGCTATAGGAGGGGCTAAAGCTAAAAAGCATTTCAGAAACTCAGGATCCTTCTCAAGTTCTTTATATAAATTTGGATTGATCTTCTCCTTTGAAAATCAAGGGCTCCAGACTTTTAGGGCAAGCCTGTGTGTATCCATAGTTTAGTTATTCAAAGAAAAATAATTACATATTTCCCTAGGAACAACGTCATGAAATTGTGTCTAGACTTCATGAATTGGTTGAATTTTTATACAATTTTAGTAAAATCTCTAGTAAAAAATTGTCACATTCCTATTCTTAACGTAAGTGACCACTTCATATGCCGTTTCTCTTTAGAAAGCATCTGGTTGTCCCAACAAAACGAATCTCTTAAGTACTAAATGACGGCCTTTGCTCTTTGGTTCTCACAGGTTGCAGAAGAAAACCCCAGCCAAGTCCCCAGGGAAGGCCGCATCTGTGAAGCAGAGAGGGTCCAAACCTGCACCTAAAGTCTCAGCTGCCCAGCGGGGGAAAGCTAGGCCCTTGCCTAAGAAAGCACCTCCTAAGGCCAAAACGCCTGCCAAGAAGACCAGACCCTCATCCACAGTCATCAAGAAACCTAGTGGTGGCTCCTCAAAGAAGCCTGCAACCAGTGCAAGAAAGGAAGTAAAATTGCCGGGCAAGGGCAAATCCACCATGAAGAAGTCTTTCAGAGTGAAAAAGTAAATTTTATAGGAAAAAAGGGTATCATGATGAAATTCAAAATCTTATTTTCTAAGGTCAGTGTGCATTTGTTTAGTTTTGATGCTTTTCAAATTACATTATTTTCCTCCCCTATGAACATTGTGGGGAGGGACTCTAAATAAACCAGTTTAGGCATTTGCTAGCTTTAGGTGCTTTTATTGGTGCCTGCCCTTTTCCTTGTTCATTTTAATTTCTGCAATAATCCTGGACTTTCCTAAACTATGTAATGTATACTTGTCCTTTTTCTCTGCCTCCCCCAACCCCCTGTTGTTTTTATGGTCAGCTTTGCCTTTTTTTTTTCTTCCAATTTTATCTAAACAGTTGCAGAGATTTTTATATTTGTAGAAAGCATCAAGAACGGTATGCCAGTCAGGTCCTGGAAGTAAAATGGAGGCACAATATAGCACTGACTGAGTTGTAAAGCCTCCTGCCTGGAGACTTCAGTTATAGCTGTAATAATTAATCTTATTTATAAAAGCCACTCCACTAACCTTTTCTCTCCAACTGTAAACACAGAGACAGCTTTGGGAATAAGCCAAAAACAGGGTGATCTCATTAGATTTTGAAGATATATGACTCCTTTGGGCTACATTTCATATTGATCAATTTCTAGGTATTTTTCACTGGCCCAAAGTATTGCATTCCCTTAACAGCAAGCACAAGTTCTCTATATCACTTGTTTTTTGTTGTTGTTGTTGTTGTCGTCGTTGTTTTGAGACGGAGTCTTGCTCAGGTGCCCCGGAGTGCAGTGGTGCAATCTCAGCTCACTGCAACCTCCACCTCCTGGGTTCAAGCAATTCTCCTGCTTCAGCCTCCCGAGTAGCTGGGATTACAGGTGTGTACCACCACGCCTGGCAATTTTTTTGTATTTTTAGTAGAGATGGGGTTTCGCCGTGTTGGTCAGGCTGGTCTCGAACTCCTGACCTCAGGTGATCCGCCTGCCTCGGCCTCCCAAAGTGCTGGGATTACAGGAGTGAGCCACTGTGCCTGGCCTATCCCACTTGGTTTTTGACTGAAGGGGAAGTGTAGAAATATATTGATTTGTGATTTCTGGTGTCACCTGTGTTACCAAAAATCAAAACAAATCTTTTTTATTTTTTATTATTATTATTATTTTTGAGACAGAGTCTCGCTCTGTCGCCCAGTGTGGAGTGCAGTGGTGTGATCTTGGCTCACTGCAAACTCCGCCTCCCAGGTTCAAGCGATTCTCCCACCTCAGCCTCCTGAGTTGGGTCCTACAGGCGCACACGACCACGCCCAGCTAATTTTTTGTATTTTTAGTAGAGTTGGGGTTTCACCATGTTAGCCAGGATGGTCTCGATCTCCTGACCTCGTGATCCACTCACCTCAGCCTCCCAAAATCCTGGGGTTACAGATGTGAGCTACCACTCACGGCCCAAATCTTCTTGATCATATGTTTAAATATATTTTTTAATATTTGGAGCATGAGTTGTCACTTCTTGTTTGCCTTTTTTATAAGGAAATGTTGGAGAGTTACATCATTGCTAATGTAGAAATGTTAAGTGGAAAAATATACAGTTTGGTAAAATAAACTAGATTCTACATTTATTTGTGGGTTTTTTTCCCCTCCTTTCTTTCCACAGCACTTTTGATATCAAGCAAGTGGCTTCCTTTTTGAGATATTAAAAAAAAAAAGAAAAGGAAAAAAGTAAATGAAGCCCAACTACCTAACCCTTTCTTATTTGTATTTGTTTTAGTATTGTGAAGTTGTGTTAAATAGTACTAGCTAGAAATACAAATTTCTGGTTATCATTTCTCTTCCCTGTGGCACTTGACATTTTAATTGTCTTAAAGTTTTTGAAGTACATCTTCTGGCCCCTTGAGTACTGCCAGAGGCAAAAGATGTTTGTTTCTTATTCATTCCACTTTTGTCTCCTGGGATCCCTTCTGTAGCCTAAAGTATGGCTGGGAAATGGACTTGAGAAGATTGGCTTGAATTAGATCATAATCATGTGTGATCCCATCATGAATTCATTGGAATTTGTGTTGCATGTAAGGCAATCTTTCCTGTTGTAAATCTTCCTTTTTTAATGTACATATATTTTGAAAAATATGAATAAACATGAAATTTTAAAAGCTGCTGAACCGTAGCTTATATTTAAAGGTTTTGAGTATAGTATATCCTCAGAAGTAGCTAAGTGTCGCCCTCACTTTAAGTCTTTTCTACTCCTTGAAATGAACACCATCATTTTCCTTTTTAAATACAAGCTCCAGTTCATGTGTTTTGGAATTCTTATAGAGGGTAAACGATGTTTCCAGATACATTGAATGCTAATTACTTAATGAATCAAAGGTTTAAAAAATCATTTTGTATTTTATTAAAGACTGCTTCCAAGATCATAGAGTACAATCATGTTCAATAAATGTTCAATATTCAGATAAGTCCTTGGACTAGAAAAAATTACAGTACTGCAAAAGATAACAGATAAATCCTAGACATCAAATTCTAGAAGTAATTGTAGTAATTACTCCTGTGCTCTCTAGCAAGTAATGATTCTTAATAGTATGGATGTTAGGTACCTGTGCTCAGAATTCTGTACTCTTCTGGAATCAAAAGTTGGGAGATTTTGGTTGGTTTCTTTGCTTTATGATACTGCTTTTAAAGAGACTTACTGAATAATCACCTGGTGGCTGTATTGCACACCAGGCACTTAAGCACAGGCTGAGAAGTTTAGATCATTTAAAGTTTCTTCCAACTCTAACGTTCTGTTAACTATAAGGACAGTTTGTTTCAGTGTGATGTAAAGGGAAAAGACAGGAAGGTCATCGCACTCTTCCACGAACATCCACAACTGTCAAAGACATACGCCTTACTTACATTGAGATAAAAGAATGTTTGATTTTTCCCTTCCAGGCATTCCAAAGGAGCAGAACACATTTATAATTTTTACTTCCATGTTCAGAAAGGGGAACAACAAACCCCAGAGGTAATCCCAGAAATCTCTAGCATGGATCAATAGCTTCAGTACTCTGTTGGTGGCTTAGTGACCTCATTTACAGTGTTTCATACACTCTGAAACTACCTACAAGCTACCTTTGATAAATGAGTCTCAGAAAGTGCTGGGAGAGAGATTGTTGGCTTCTTAACCTACAAAATGAGGAAGGAAAGATACTATTGTTGAGAAATGTGGAGACCTTTCCTTAGCACTATGACAGAAGCATTCATTGCACATGGATTCTGACTATGCATCCACATGGACTTAATTAAAGGAAACCTGGTCCTGTATAAATCTTAGGAAACAGGTGTATGTTTTAATCATGTCTTTTGGGTATAATTAACAGGAAAATGACATGAAAACAAAACTAAACAATCTGCTAACACCTTTTGACATTTGTTTTTTCATCATTGCTGTTTTTCCAAATTTTGTTAGCCCTTGTCAAGGTTTGCTAACCAATTCTTAATTAATACTTACTTTAAAGAGCCTGTGAAATTATTCTCTCTCAGGCTGTGACCCTCTTGCCATCTTGATACGTCATGAGAACGAAACTCACCAGCCATGTTCATTAAATACTGCATTTAACTAAGAGAAACTTTAAAAATTTGGGATTATAGTTAAGGTCTCCTATCTTTGGAACCTGATTAATTTATCTTTCTTTGGATTAAGCAAAAATTCTAATTTTAGCTATGAAAGAAAAGAAATTCTATTCTTAATTGGAAAAGACCATTAAACTGTTTCCCCAGAGGTTCTGGTTGACATTACTTTCTAGCATGTAGATTTTGCTTTTGCATTTTCATGGTGGAACAGATGGTCACTCACTTCTGCAGAGCCAAAGCCAAGGAAGCAGAACTGTTGAAGTTTTGGCTTAGGAACCACTTGACAAAGATTTGTTTAGAAGCCATTACAGATGGTTAAACAGTACCCCTAATCAGCTGCATTATTTTCTTAAGAAATTAATCTCTACCGTCTTTATAACTATATTCTTTTACTTATTATTTTTTTGAGATGGAGTTTGCTGTGTCACTAAGGCTGCAGCGCAGTGGTGTGATCTTGGCTCACTGCAGCTTTGAACTCGTGTGCTCAAGCAGTTCTCCCCACCTCAGCCTCCCAAGTAGCCAGGACTACAGGCAAGCTAATAAATGCCTGGCTAATTTATCTTTTCTAGAGATGGGGCCTCACTGTGTTGCCCAGGCTGGTCTTGAACTCGTGGCCTCACGTGATCTTCCCACCTGGGCTTTCCAAAGTGCCAGGATTACAGGCGTGAGTCGCCATACCTGGCCCTATTCTTTCTTCTGTTCTTTTCCACAAGACTGTTAACTTCAGTGGCTTTTTTCCTGTTGGAAAACTTTCTACCTTTGATGATTTAATTTTATCAGCTTTTTAACTGTTTTAACTGTTCTTAATTCTGTCTTGTCAACCACTGGTATGTCAAAGGAGGCCTCAAAAGGCTGAAGCGATTTTCCTCAAAAATTACAACTCTTTTTTTTCCTGATATTGTATATAATGTATAATTAACACTGTTCACTATTAAATCTTTGCTTAGCAAAAGAGAACTCTGTGGTGCCTAGAGTATGTCTCATAAAGTATAGTTGTAAGTTTGGCTTATTAATGTAAGTAGTAATAGTCATAACGATTAACACTAGCTGAGCTTCTTCCACATCGGGCTCTGTACAGATACTATTTTTATTTTATTTTTGAGATGGAGTCTCACTCTTTCACCCAGGCTGGAGTGAAGTGGTGTAATCTTGGCTCACTGCAGCCCCCGCCTCCCGGGTTCAAGCAACCCTCCTGCCTCAGCCTCCCGAGTAGCTGGGACTACAGGCATGTGCCACCACGCCCAGCTAATTTTTGTATTTTTAGTAGAGACAGGGTTTCACCAGGTTGGCCAGGCATATTACGAATTCCTGACCTCAGTTGATCTCCTGCCTTGGCCTCACAAAGTGTTGGAATTACAGGTGTGAGCCACTGTGCCCAGCCAAGCACATGTTTAAGAGAGCAGAGGGCTTGGAAATGAAATTATTGCCAACTTTGCCAATAGTCAAGTCAGTGTGGCTTTTGTTTTAATTTTGGTAACTGTCAAAATTAGACCTTGGATTACTGGAAAATACTATCTTGGCTACACTTTGGGTTTTTTGTTTGTTTGTTTGTTTTTATGTCACAAGTTACTAAGCAATCCCTTAAGTCTTTTTTTAGGACACTCCAGGTATTTGGTCATTCTCATATCCTAGTTGTGGGACACTCAGAATTCATCCTGTGAATTCATCCAGTTTGCAGGATGCTGATACTCGTGAGAGCTTTTCCCCTCACAGGAGCCACAGCTTCTATCAGAACTTTATGTTGCTAAATGAGCAGCTTCATTTTAGGAAGCAAGAGAAATTCCAGAATGGGGATTTTCTCAGACAGCTGAATTTTTTGGAGATGGGATCTGCTTAGTAATCATGAGCTGGAATGTTAGAAATCCTTGCTCTTTTATTTATGATTCGGAAAGAAACCTTAGTCATTCAGTCTCTCCTATCTTTGTGTGCTTTGTTTGCCTAATACCAACAAATAAATACTCTTTTTCCTAATTCCCAGAGTTTCACATCCTGCTCATCCATTCTACTGTTTTGAGAACTTTTGCTCTGATGAATTTATTCTGTCAGACCTAAATTCCTTGTTACCTGTTTGTGTAACTCAAACTTGCTGATACAGTCTATAGAATAATAAATGTTCTTCAGTTTCAAATAGAGATTGACTCCCTGTCAGAGTATACCGTTGAGTCCAGTGTCCTAACATCTGTGGCTGTGGTCCTGCACGGTGGTCTTTGAGGACTGCGTCACTTACCAGCTGTGTGACCCTGGTCACCCACTTAATCTCCCTGAGCCTTGATTTCCTCATCTTTAAAATGATGGGCTTCATGTTGACAATCCTTGTTTTTTCAGAATAACACCTAGAAGCAATGTGAGAGTCTTCAATTCCAAAGAAATATTGAACTATGTTTACTACACTACAGTTAGGAATGCATTTAGTATTTTAGGAAAGACTTTTTAAAAAATAAGAGAGCCAAAACGTCCAGTTTCACAAAAGTTCTGTTTTGTTTAAACTACATTGTAGTTTCTTATTGCTAGATGCTTTAAATCACATTATCTCAAATTCTCACAGATACATTTTCAAAGATATATGAAATTATCCTCAATTTTCAGAAGCAAATAAATTTAGTTGATTTCCCCCAAATTAAAGATGTAATAAGTTGATGGGGTTAGATTGAAGCCAGGCTAGACCACTCATCCTTCTTCCAGGCCTCCTCTAGTGGTTTTGTACACTGATAGCTCAAGCAGCAAACTCTGACAGCAAGGATGAGAGGGTCATGCCATGAAATTAATGGGCATTGGTTAGCATATTTTTTTTTTTTGATCCACAGATTTTAAAATCAGGTTATTAAACTGTTAGAAGCTTACTTGGCACAAGATGAACAAGAACAAAGGAAGCATATACAGCCTTGAGTTTCAAAAGCCAGGGAGCAGGGAAGAGAAGCCAGGTGAGCAAGAGACATGAGTTCCTTCTGAGCTGTGGCCACCAGATGCCTAGGCAGCCATCTGCTGCCACCCGGGTCAAAGCTGGTGCCTCAATTGGCTCACCTGTCCGTGTAGATGAAGAGCAGAGCTGCAGAGAAAACTGAAACTACTTGTGCAATCTTTATTTCTTAAAATCTCCATTAAAGAATACCAGCTTCAGTTTTTCAGCATAGGCATTATTTTAATACTGGGTAATACCTGCCTTACTGTACTTTCTGGAATGCATTTCAAGACCTCCTATTTTATTTGTCTGTGGTAACAAACTTTGTAAAAAGTGTTTCTGGGAAGGAGCCATCTTTTTCCAGACCTGTGCTTTTCAGTTGGGAAGGTACTATAAACCATTCCTCTTTTCTCTGCATCTCAAATGGGATACGCGTAGGAGCAAAATAAATATGGTGCCTCTTTCTGGGGCATCAGTTTTATTCAAAGATACTGCAGGGAGTGGCTTCATGGTAATATTGACACAAATAGAAGGTAGTATGGAGCCCACAAGAGTTGGTAAGAGGAAACGAGATTTCCCGGAAATAAAGCAGCAGGAGTGCTTCAGGTAGGCTCTGCTGTCTGATCCCCAAGACGTGTACATTCACTCACTCTCCTTGGAAAACACGAGAAGCAGTGGCTGGGACCCTCCAAGAGTGTACAGCTACATATAGTCTGTCCACATGTCCACTTTGGAACCAGGACTAGCAGTGCGACCTTGGGCAAGTCACTTAACCTTCTGATTCTCTGGAAAAGTGAGTTGAACTCAGATCATCTGTTGTAGCCCCTCCAGCTCTGACATTTTTCTGTATAACCTCCACACTTTCTGCCAACCAGAAGAATACACAGGGAAGAAGAGCCAAGCAATACCATGTTGTGGCCCATTTCCTGATGGATAAGGAGCCTTATGTTTCTTAGAGATGGGGGTCTCACTGTGTTACCTAGGCTAGACTCACTCCTGGCTCAAGCAATTCTCCTGCACCAGCCTCCCAAGTAGCTGGGACTACAGGCACGTGCCACCATGCCTGGCTGGGAATCTTATTTTAATCACTGTATCAGTTTCCTAGGGGGGCCATAACAAAGTACCACAGACAGGTTTAAACAAAAATGTATTAATATTTTCTCCAGTTCTGAAGGCTAGAGGTCCAACATCAAGGAGTCAGCAGGGTTGGTTTCTCCTGAGGCCCCTGAGGGAAGGATCTGTTCTAGGCCTTTCTCCTTGGCTTGCAAATGGCTGTCTTTTCCCTGTGTGTTTATGTCACCTTACCTCTGTACTTGTCTGTGTCCAAATTTCCTCTTCCTATAAGGACACCAGTGTTACTGGATTAGGACCCACACTAATGAACTCTTAATTTACCTCCTTAAAGACCCGGTCTCCCAATATGATTCCAAGGTACTGGAGATTAGGACTTCAACATAAGAATTTGGGGAGGACAGTTCATGACATTGTCTCTGAATTTTTTTTATATTTTATTTTTGGAGACGGGATCTTGCTCTGTCACCCAGGCTGGTGTGCAGTGGCACAATCATAGCTCACTGCAGCCTCAAACTCCTGGGCTCAAGCAATCCTTCCACCTCTGCCTTCCAAATCTTCCAAATGCTAATTGCTAAATTTTCTTTTCTTTTTTTGGAGATTCTTGCTGTGTTGCCCGGGCTGGTTTGGAACTCCTGGCCTCAGGTGATCCTCCCACCTCAGCCTCCCAAAACGTTGAGATTACAAGTATGAGCCACTGTGCCTGGTTTGGAATTTTTTTTTTCTTTTTTTTTTTGAGACGGAGTTTCGCTCTTGTTGCCCAGGCTGGAGTGCAATGGCATGATCTCGGCTCACCGCAACCTCCGCTTCCTGGGTTCAAGTGATTCTCCTGCCTTAGCCTCCTGAGTAGCTGGGATTACAGGTGTGCGCCACCACACCCGGCGAATTTTGTATTTTTAGTAGAGACGGGGTTTCTCCATGTTGGTCAGGCTGGTCTCGAACTCCCGACCTCAGGCGATCTGCCCGCCTCAGCCTCCCAAAGTGCTGGGATTACAGGTGTGAGCCACGGCACCTGGCCGGAATGTTTTTTAAAATCGCTGTTCTAGGTCACCTATTTTTGGGGGACAATGTTGATAAATTGCAGGGATGGCCGCCAGGACACATCTGAGAGAACAGAATGATAGTGTTCAAAGGTGAAATAACTCAACATGTGAAGGTGTTGGAGACTGGGATGGAGTGTGCGCTGTCAAAAGTGGATGTGGATGAGCTGTTGCTGTGCGAGGCCTGTTGGGAGCTTACCATCTTGGCTCTGGTTTTCAGTCCTGTTGTTAGAGAACAGCTTCTCAGTGATGTGTTACTTCCCACACACATTCGTCAGCTGCCAACTCCAGCCCATGATTCTGGGATTTTAGAGAAAAGGGAAGATTGATAGCAAGCTCACACCTGTATGGTTTAGTCATTGTCATTAACTCATCAGGAAATACCATGACATGGCATGTGCACCAACATGTTCAGCAGTCATGACTCCCACCCCCACCCCAGCTTGCCTTTTTGTCATCCTTCCCTGCTCAATATGGGTCCTTGGGTTTCCTGTACACATAAGTCATTAATCCAGTGGTTGAAGTTTTGCACCTGGTGGCTCCCAAGAGCGCTTGTGTTGTCATGAATGTGAGATCACAGACATTTGGCAGATGAAGCAGTGATGGCCGTTTTACGCTGCAATCCTGAGCGGAACCCAGGAAATGGCTGATACCGACTGAAGTTTGTTACATTTGATGTAAACTTTTCAGTTTGTACATGGAATATACCTTTATGTACCTTTAGTGAGGCTACATCTGTGGTACAAGTTTGGTGTTTCTGCGCTTTTAGGATAAGACCAACTGAATTTGGTAACCTGGGGGAGTAGCCCAGATAAGCAGTTACATTACTTTGATGCATAAATAAAAATGAAAGCCGGGCACAGTGGCTCATGCCTATAATCCCAGCACTTTGGGAGGCTGAGGCAGGTGGTTCACTTGCCGTCAGGAGTTCAAGACCAGCCTGGGCCATCTCTACCAAAAAGATGAAAATTAGCCAAGCGTGGTGGCGTGCACATGTAATAGGCTACTTGGGAGGCAGAGGCAGGAGAATTGCTTCAACCTGGGAGGCGGAGGTTGCAGTGAGCCGAGATTGCACCCCTGTACTCCAGCCTGGGCGACACAGCAAGACTCTGTCTCAAAAGTCTCGCTTGTCGACCAGGCTGGAGTGCAGTGGCACGATCTTGGCTCACTGCAAGCTCCGCCTCCCGGGTTCACGCCATTCTCCTGCCTCAGCCTCCCAAGTAGCTGGGACTACAGGCGCCCGCCACCATGCCTGGCTAATTTTTTTGTATTTTTTAGTAGAGATGGGGTTTCACTGTGTTAGCCAGGATGGTCTCGATCTCCTGACCTCGTGATCTGCCTGCCTCCGCTTCCCAAAGTGCTGGGATTACAGGCGTGAGCCACCGCGCCCGGCCAAAAAACATTTTTTTTAAGTAAAACTAAAAACCTTCAAATATATAAATGCACTTGGTTTTGAAACCTTGTATTTCTGAGTCGGACTGAAGACCAACAAAAAGAAGACCCTTCTTGGTAGTAGAAGTCAGTAGTCAATGTCACACACTTTGAACATACTTATCTTTCTAGATTTTTTTTTTTTTTTTTGAGACGGAGTCTTGCTCTTGTTGCCCAGGCTGGAGTGCAGTGATGGGATCTCAGCTCACTGCAATCTCCACCTCCTGGGTTTAAGCGATTCTCCTGCCTCAGCCTCTCAAGTAGCTGGGATTACAGGCGCCCACCACCATGCCCAGCTAATTTTTGTATTTTTAGTAGAGACAGGGTTTCACCATGTTGGCCAAGCTAGTCTCGAACTCCTGACCTCAGGTGATCTACCTGCCTTGGCCTCCCAAGTGATGGGAATACAGGTGTGAGCCACCGCACCCGGCCTCTAGATCTGGTTTTTGCAGCGCTTTGTATGTTTTATTGTAAATCTCTGTGTCCCTGGGATCTAGCACAGTGCCTGCCACTCAAATCTTGACCCTCTGTTTCCTTCTGAGAAAGGTTTAGAAAGCAGGATTCTCCCTCTGGTTTTGACTATTTCATTATCTGAATTTAAGCTTTTGTCATTTTGACCTCAAACAAATTCCTGCCACTATTTTAAAAATTGCATGTATCAGAATGAATTGTATGCATCAGAAAACTTGTTAGAGTTAGTATTTAATGGAGCTTGCCTCGTGTTGCTGTCTCTGAATATTCTCAAAACGGGGACTGTGGAGCTAGAAATTGTCGAGTCCTCTATTTAAAACTTACGCGCTTTTCTCCCCCTGCCCCCACCCAAGAAAGCTAGGAATTAACCGTTTATTCTTTGTGAACTCCAAGTTTAATAAACTGGATTTGCAGAGAATAGGGGTGACTTGTAAACCATCTTGTTCCCTCTTGTCACTGGACTCAAGGCTGGCAGATGGCTGTGGTGAAGTGTTGCCCAGAGCACTTACATCTAGAAGTCAAAGAGCCCTTGCTTCAGCCTAGGCAATATAGTGAGACCTCGTTTCTACTAAAAAACAAACAAAAAAATTAGCTGGGTGTGGTGGCATGCACCTGTAGTCCCAGCTGCTTGGTGGCTGAGACAGGAGGATCACTTGAGCCTGAGAGATGGAGGAGTGAGCATTGATTGTGATTGTGCCACTGTCACTCCAGCCTGGGCGACAGAGTCAGACCCTATCTTAAACCCTTGCTGTACTGTCGCTCCAGCCTGGGCGACAGAGTCAGACGCTGTCTTAAACCCTTGCTGTACTGCACTCCAGCCTGGGCGACAGAGTTAGACCCTATCTTAAACCCTTGCTGTACTGTCACTGCAGCCTGAGTGACAGAGTCATACCCTATCTTAAACAAACCCTTGCTGTACTGTCACATACAAAAGAAAATCAAGACTAAAAGTAAGGTCTAATGTCAGCTAATATTTATTGGGTGCCTCACTTCCTGTGGGTCAGGTACTGCGCTACGCACTTTGCTCGTTGGAATCCTCACGTGGCTGTGAGTCAGGCGTTAGTAACTCTCCTTTCCACACGAGGCGCTCAAAGAATGAAAGTGATGAAGGCGTTTGCCCAAAGCCCCACGTTTGTAAGAAGAAGAGCCCAGATTTGGGGCCACGCCTCACTGCTGCCTCTGGGTTTCCAGATCCCCTGAGGAGGAGTGGCCAGCATGGCCTCTTGGCGCAAACCCGCCTCCCCTGGAACTCCAGGGGCCCTCAGGCCCTCTGCGCTGTGCCCACCTGTCAGGGTGCCCCGCTCCCGGTCTGCAGCCTTTGCGCCCCCACTGGCCCTGAGCCCCTGTGTCCTGGTTTCTCTGTGGTGTGGTGCATGGGCAGGTTCCGGGGGGGTTTCCTGCAGATGTCAGGTTGGATACACAGCAGCCTTGGCTCATCGCCCGGTCTCCTGGGACGATAGCGCTCCCCGTCCCAGTGCCGTGGCTGGAGCTGCTAGCCCGATTCCCCACCTAAAGGGCCCGAAGGATGGGGCCACGGCCCATGTGCGGTGAGCAACGTTCCTTCCCAGATTTCTCAGTGCTGGGCCCCGGGCTAAGCAGGATCTGTCAGTTCCCGGCTGAGAACGTCCCGGCAGGAAGAAAGTGAGGAGGAGGATGCGCAACGACCCTCCACTCACAAGGGCCGGGCCCGAACCACCCTGAGCGCCTCCTCCGAGCCAGGCTCGATCCTTCACACTGGGAACGGAGACACTCCGGTCCAGTGTCACTTGTCCTCGAGTAAGAGGAGAGGGATGACAGGCGAGCAACGGAGTCACAAGGGCTCTGCAGAGAATGAAGCGTGAGTGGTGGTCGTGGAAGGCTTCCCGGAGGAGGCGGTGCGGTAGCCGCGGCTCGGATGACGCGGAGGAGCCAGCCAGAGAGGGGAGGGGCAGAGGCCCTCCAGGAGGAGGGACCCGTGAGTGAGGCGCGGGGGATTCAGCGCCCCCAGCCCGGGAGGAGGTGCCTTCTGAGCTCCGGGCGAGCCCCTCCCGCCCTTCCAGGCGGAGCGCCGGGCGTGGGCAGTGCCAGGGCCCCTCGCGGCCGCTGATTGGGTGGTGCGGCCGAGCGGAGCGGCTCCGCGGGCGCCGATTGGTGAGTGAGGCGGGTCGCCGCCGCCAGGTGATCCGGGGGTCGGTTCCCGCGGCCACGTGTGGGGGCGCGGGGACCGGGGTCGGGGGCGGCGGGAAGCGGGCACCCAGGCGCGGGGCTGCGGCGGCGGGAGACGCGGGGGTCGCGGGCCGGAGCGGCCGGGACCGGACTCGAGAGGCGGTGAGCGAGCGCCGGGAGCCGGGCAGGGGCGGGGGGCTTGGTACGCTGACACG
Organism: Homo sapiens; assembly: GCF_000001405.40. NCBI lineage: Eukaryota > Metazoa > Chordata > Mammalia > Primates > Hominidae > Homo > Homo sapiens. The sequence continues at coordinate 20,731,950 of NC_000001.11, read as the reverse complement.
GGCGCGGGAGGGTCTCGGGAGTGAGGGGCGCCCGTCACCCGCTCCGTCGTCATCTGCCCTCCCTGCCACTGTAGCCTCCTCCGTCCCCTGCAGCGGAGCCCAGCACGCTCCTGGGTCCGGGGACTCTGCCGGGGCCCCTGGCCGTTCCCCGCAGCGCCCCGAGCGAGGTAGCGCAGCGGGACCGGCAGCCCACTCTGGAGCGCTTCGCACCCCCGCGCCCGCCCCTCAGGGGCCTCGGCCCACCCGCCCCTGGAACAGCGCTTCCCGCTCCCGTGTCGCCTGTTTCGAGAGGCCGTGAAGCAGCACCCCCAGCACACGCACGCACCTCGCCTTCTCCTCACCCCGCTGTTCTCTTCTCATCACTTTACCCCCCATGCCGCCTCCACCACCCCAGCTGGGTGCCCCCAGAGGGCGGGCACCTTCGTCCACCGGCGGCGGGGCCTGACACACAGTCAGCCTCGGAAACATTCCAAGAAGGACCAGAGCTACGAGCACCCCAGGAGGTAGTGCTGGGGGATCCCCACCCTACAGCTGAGGACCTGGAGGCTGAGAGCTTAAGTGACTTGCCCAAGGTCACGCCAGCCAACCATGTTAGACCCCACAATCTAAGTTCTTGACCCCTGGCTGGGTGGCCTTGGGTTTTCCCGACCCTGTGGCCCAGGGCAGGTGGACGCGTGTTGGGGCAGTGGGAGTAGACTGGGCGCTCTGGCAGCCCCAGACCCTCCGGCCAGGAGGCAGCACCTGAGTTCGCCAGCCAGCGGCTTCCTTGCCTCACCTCCTCGTGGACTGGCAGGGACCCCCACCAAACTCCAAGAGTGGACACCCTACTTATCTGTGGGAGGGGAGTCCGAGCAGAAAGGCACCGCCATGGCCTGAGGAAACAGCTCCAGAGACATGGATTTGCTTCCCTGCTCTCCCACTGAAGCTGTGTGACTATGGGCAAGTGACTTCACTCCTCTGAGCCACCCTTTGCTGACCCAGGGTCTGCGGGCTGGTGGTCTCCCCCTGACACAACTCAGCTATGGTGCAGTGCCCCAGAGGGCTTCTGCGCCTGACCCACGAGGCAGGTCAGCCCATCCAGTCTCCTGTCTCTGAGCAGGGCCACCTGGAAAACCTCAGAGGACAGCTCCAGCCTCATTCCAAGTGTGTCCCCTTCGGAAGGTGCTGGCCCAGCCAGACTCCAGTGTAAAGCCTCAGAAAAGCAGGTCTGCCCCAAAGAGACAAGTGGGTGTTTTGTGCCTGGAATTGGGTAATGTCTGTTTCCAGGATTAGAGTGAGCTCCATGCCCTCCCTGGTCCCCCGGGAGCCCCCCACCCCAACTCCAGGCCTGGGCTGAATGCACTGTGCTCCTCAGGCTTAGGAAGGAGGGAGGAACTTCCAGTTTCCAAGGAGGCTAAGGACCAGGGAGATGGGGAAAGGATCAGGTGATGGTAGGTGGGCTGGGGCCCCTAAGAGGGCCAGTGGTTGGCCTCTGCACCCCCACCGCTGGGACACTGGGGACGCTGAAAGCTGCAGCTTTGGGTGTGGAGGGAGGGACTGCAGCAGCCCTGGACACAGCTGTGTGCGCGTGTGAGTGTGAGATGCCCGCACGGCTCCTCCCCATCTCACACTTGGTGCCTGAGGGGCTGCGTCCCCCCCCCCCCCGAGCAGGATGGGAAACGTGCCCTTCCCCTCTCCTCCCCACAGCTCTCCTTTCTCTCTTTTGCTTTGTCTTTCTCGCCCTTCTCTGTTCCTGCCTCTGTCCCCGGCCACCCCTCCATCGTCCGTACCTTCCCTCTCCTTTTCTCCGTGTTTTGTGGTCTTTGCCTCCTCCCTCCCCACTGCCCGCCATCCTGGCCGATCCTGGCCCCAGGATGTGACTGTGAAGTTGAAAGGCGGCTTCACTGGAAGCCCCCCTCCCCACCTCCTTACCTGGAAGCAATGTCATGTGGCTTTAGTGCCGGTTGCACATGTAACTTTGCTTTATTTAAACATAAAAGATACAGTAGGTAAAGGATATGACATGAAAATGATCCGGGTGCAATAGCCCAGAAAAGCAGGAGGGCAGCCAGGATAGGAGGGAGCGCCAGGAATTCTCAAGGGGATGGTGCAGGTGCAGCATTTTTTTTCTGGCTCCTGGCTGCTCACTGAAAGTGGATCGGTGCAGGCACCTCCACCCTGGCCTGAGCCTGAGGTTAAAGGTCATGGGCAGGCAGAGACAGGGTCCCTTCCCGGGCTCTTGGTGCTAACAGAGTCAGTTCCAAAGCACCCCAGCCCTCCTCCTTGAGTGGGAGCACACCCGGGACCCGTCGTTGCTGCCCAGGGCTCTGTTGGATACCTGCTCTCTGTGGGCGCCTGTCGGTGTGGCCAAGGACAAGGAGGGGAGCAGAAGTGGTCAGACCCCGCTGTCCTCCCAAGCTCCCTCCTGAGCAGCAGGCTTTGTTGAGCTTTGGATCCAAGCCTGGCTGGCGTCGGGCTGGGCGCTGCCTCCTCCATTCTGTCCCCATCTACTCCTCACATGATCCCAGGTTTGCAGATGAGGAAGGGGAGGCTCAGAGGGTTGAGGCAGCTGGTCCAAAGTCACACAGGATTTGGACCCAGGACTCTCTGATCCCAAGTCAGTGATGACAAGCAGGCTGGTGAGTGAAGCCAGCCAGGGTAGGACACAGAGGTGGCTTTCTCACTGGTCCCAGGAGAGACCGAGGGAGCTGAGTCCTGGGGGACCTCGCCAGAGGCATTTAGCCATTCTTTCTTGGAATCATGGGGCCATGATATGTTAATTCCACATTAATTGAACACCAGCTGTGTCCTGGGCTCTCATGGGAAATAGTGTGTTCCCTGCCCTTGAGGACAGTCACCTAAGGGGGGTCCACTCCTCTCTTCCACGACTGGATGTGGGAGAGGGGTCCCAGGAAAGACCAGAACCTGGCTGGGCTGGACGGTGGGGGGTGGTCCTCAGCCCCCAGGGCAGTTGTCCTCCTTCCCCACATCCTGTCTGCATCAGCGCACTGTCTGACTGAGTTCTGGTTTTCATGATCTGCAAGGGGTTGGGGGGTTCAGGAAGGGGCTGGGGTCTGTTTGGGCTGAGTGAGGCAGGGTCCCATGCAGCAGGTCCCTGGCCTCATCAGCTCTGGCCATCCAGCTTGCAGCCACCTTCATGAACTACAGAGCTCCTGCCCTAGAACCTGCTATAGCTCCCCACTACCCACAGGGTGGGGTCTGAATTCCTGAGCCTGGCGTCTAAGGCTGATCCCAAACTGGATCCAGCCTGCCCTTCTGATAAGGGCTGAGGTCGGCCTGCGGGCCCCCACTGCCTGCCTTCCTTTGTGTCTTTGCAGTCTCTGTTTCTGCCGCTGTCACTGCCCTTCTCTTTGATGGCGCCCTCTCAGGTGGCCCTCCCTTCCCTCTGGCACTTTGTGCAATCTGGTTACAGGTCTTCCTGTAACCAGCCCCTGGGGCAGGCCCCAGCCCAGAACACCAGGATCCTCAGTGCTTGCTGAGTTTTTGAGTGACCCTGGGCATGTACCGCCACACCCTTCAGATCTTGACCCAGACCTCCCCTCCTCAGTGAGGGCTTCCCAGCAACAGTCAGCCCTTAAGCTGACGTTTCCCATTCTCCTCCCTGCTCCATCCCCATCTCACGTATGATCTATCTTACTATTTAGTTCAATGTCTTTCTCCCCAGCAACAATGTAAGTAAGCTCCCTGAGGGCAGTCAGAGACGTCATCATTTTCTTCTGGGCTGGCTCCCCAGGGCCCGGGACATTGCGCAGCCGTGCTGCACACATAGCAGCTGCTCAGGAAGCCAGTGAATGAATGGCCTGTGGGGGGCACTCTGTGGCTTGCCTGCCTCGAAAGCAGCCCTTCCCCCCCTGCCCTTTGCAGCCTCCCCTCCCGTGGAGCTGGAAGCCAGGCACCCTGGGGGCCATGCAGAAGGCGGGGGCTGGGGGCCGCAGGGCCTCTGACTGCGGGCTGGCCCCTCACCGGCCCAGGTGCATCACCAAGTTTGCCCAGGTGGGTGGGGCCACCCTGTCCAGGTGTGCTCTGGTGGGTGGCCCTCAGGTAGCAGGCGCTGGTGATTGGGAAGTGCTGCGGGCCTAGGACCTATTTCCACCTCTTTCTTGCCTGACTTGGGCTGGGGAGTGTGTGTGTGCCCCGATGAGGGACTGGGACTTCAGAGAGCTTCAGTGACCTGACCAAGGTCTCCTGCTGGGGAAGCAGCAGAGCCTGGGCTCCGAGAATCGAGCTCTGTCTGTCCACAGACACGCCTGGCAGAGCAGATGTGTGTTTGGGGGGAATTTGGAGGATGGGGTTAGGAGCCACGGGCCTGACTCCCCGCCTTACTCCCTTCACCCCACTGCCGAGCAGTACGTGGGCTCCTTCCCTGTGGATGACCTGGACACCCAGGAGAGCGTGTGGCTGGTGCAGCAGCAGCTGTGGGCGCTGAAGGTGGGTGGCCTGGGAGGGCACTTCCCTAGTGGAAGTCACAGCCTTGAAGACCAGGTAACCCCCTAGACCAGATCCACTCTCCCCACAGTTAGAGAGGGGCAGGACACAGGCCCTGTTTGTGGTGGGCTGGTCAGGACACACACCCAGGCTCCAGGGGCCCCATCCCTTATGCCCTGGGCTACTGTGACCTGGGCCCCACAGCTGGAAGCCACAGATGGAGATGTGGGTGATAGTCACAGCCTGGCCAGCGGTGGCCCTAGCTAGGGGTCATCTGCCAGGAGCCATCCCCACTTCCCCAGCGCCAGGGGGGTCCACCAGCCAGGGCCCCACCCCCTGCCAGGGGTGGTGGAGTGGGCTGACCAGCCTTTGGTGGATGGTCCTGAGGCTGGGCAGGCCAAGGCAGGGTCTGGGAGGTGGTGCCTGTCCCCACTACTCTTTTCCACCCAGGACTGTCCCCGACGCCGGGCCGTCATCCTGAAATTCAGCCTTCAGGGTCTCAAGATCTACAGCGGGGAGGGTGAGGTAGGAACCCCTGTGGGTGCAGGTGAGGACTGGAGGGGTACAGGTGTCTCCACCCTCAGGATGCGCTCTCCTCTGCCTAGGTCCTGGCCTTAGCTCGGCCCCCGTGCTTCCCCTGGGGTCCCCCTGGCGCGCCAGCCTACCTGCTCTGGGCCTTTGGATTTGCACCAGGGGCCGCCTCCTCCCAGGGCTGGCTCAGGCCACAGCTTCCCACCCCTGGGCCTCCAGAATCCCTCTGGGGCCACCTCCCCACCTGAGCATCAGGAACATCCAGCCCACTGAGGCTCTCGCAGCTGCCCTGCCCCGCCCTGGCTGGTGGGCCGTGGGCAGCTTCACCCAGGTGCGGTAGGCTGCTCCTGGCCACTGCTCCTCCTCCCTGCCCTGCTGCAGGCTCGTCCTGCTGCTGAACCAGCGTGGGGCGGACACTGATTGCGCGCCAGACTGTACCCCACAGCTGCAGGCATCAGTCGCCTACCACTGAGGCACACCTGGTGTCCCCAGAGCTGGGCATTGCGGGGCCCTGGGGTCAGGTCCTGTGCCACTCACATGAGGTCCCACTGATCCCCACCTACAGCCCTATCGAGAGGCCCTCATATCTCCCTACCTGACACGTCACAACAGGCGCTCAGAGGACTGCCCTCACCTGCCCAAGTCACACAAATGAGTGGCAGAGCCAGGATTCGCACCCCAGTCACCTGCCTCCAGGGACCAGGCGTGTCACCCCAGTGCCTGCTGCCACTCCCATTCTCTGTGCTCCCGGCAGGCCGAGCATCACATGGGGGTGGCGATCTTAAGCCCCAGGGCCCATGTGAAGGATGAGGGCTTGAGACTGGGCGGGCCTGGAAGGAGGGAGGGTTTCTTCACCCCTGCAGGCTGGCAAGCAGGGGTGGGGCTGCCCGGTGGGTCTGATGGGGGCCTCACACTGCTGCCTCGCCAGGTGCTGCTGATGGCTCATGCCCTGAGGCGCATACTCTACTCCACCTGGTGCCCTGCCGACTGCCAGTTTGCCTTCATGGCTCGAAACCCACGGAGCCCAGCCAGCAAGCTCTTCTGCCACCTCTTTGTGGGCAGCCAGCCAGGAGAGGTATCTGGGGCTTGAGGCAGGGGACCGCCACGGAGGCCGGAGGGGCTGTGCGCCAGGCATCAGGGTGGGTTCCTTGAGGGCTTTGCCAGGGCGGCCTGATCCCCCTCCAGGCATGCACCCCTCACCACATTGGCTCTTTCTGTGGCTCTTCCCACTGAGGACACCACAAAGCAAGTCAGTGGCCTCAGCATTCCCTAGGGCCCAGGGGCGGGAATCTGGCCACGCGCTTAGAGAGTGGAGAGTCACACCTCCAGGCCTTCGCTCATGCCGTTCTGTCTGGCATCCCCTCCCCTTCTCATCCTAGCACATTCCACTCACTCTTCAAGGCTCAGCCCATGTGTCTGAACCCCGCCTTGACTCCTCTGGATGGCCACTCTCTCTGGGGTCCTGTGACATGAACTGCACGCTACCATCGTCTGCCCTAATTACAGGCACCTGAGTTCTTTGAGAGCCGAGTCTGGGTCCAGGTCTTGAGAGAGTGCTTGGCCCAGAGCGGTCGGGGTGGGCGGGTAGATCAGAAAGTCAAAGCCAGCCTGGCTGTTGTGAAGGACAGAGCCTTGGCAGCTAGGCGCTTGGCAGGCAGACGCTGGGTTTGGTTCTGACCAGCAACCATTTGCTGTCATCCTGTATATCCAGGCCATGTGCTGGATACTGGGGTGACACGTGGCTGAGTCATGTTCCTTGAGCTGACGCTCACGGTTCTAACTCGTTGGGTCTGGATGGTGTGTGTGGCGGTTGGGATGCGCTGCTCCCGACAAGCACTGGGCCTGTGCTGGGAACTTCCTGTGCTCTATTTCACTGACTCCTCAAAGGGGCACAGGGAGGTGGGGATGAGGAAACCGAGGCACAGAGAGGTGCCATGCTCTGCCCAGGGTCACACAGCAGCTCCTACATGACAGAGCCAGGATTGGAACCCAAGTTCTGACTTCAGGACCTGGGCTCTTGGCCATTCCTGGAAGAGGGCGCTGATGTGGCATGCAGGGTGGGGCTGGTAAGCCTGGGGGCAGGAGTGCATGAGCTCACGCTTCCATTCTCTGCTCCAAGCGTGATGCCTGGACCACAGTAGGTCCTCAGTGTTTGTTAAATATATAAAGGAAGCTGGTAAGGGAGCCTGCATGGTGGTGAGGTTTTGAAGGGTAAGTAGGAGCTTTCCCAGGAAGAATGGGAAGAGCCTCCGAAGCCAAGGGGCTGCATGCACCCATGGTGAGTGGGCTGAGGCCCAGGGAGTTCACTGGGAGATGGAGACCTCCTCCAGCTGAGCCCACCTCTCTCCCTCCCTCCCAGGTCCAGATCCTGCACCTGCTGCTGTGCCGCTCTTTCCAGCTGGCTTACCTCTTGCAGCACCCTGAGGAGCGGGCACAGCCAGAGCCCTGCCCAGGGCCCACAGGGGAGGTGCCCCTGAAGCCACTGTCCAGCTCTGGGGGCCTGGTGCGGGAGCCCTTCGGCCGTGATCAGCTCTCTCAGAACGTCCATGCCCTGGTCTCCTTTCGGCGGCTGCCAGCAGAGGGGCTGGTGGGCAGTGGGGTACGCAGCACCCCAGCCAAGGAGTGGGCAGTGGACAAGGGAACTGGGTATGGGTTTGGGGGGCATGTCAGGGCAGGGGCTTCACTTGGCCTGACATGGCTAGACCTGAGTCTGCCTGCCTGTGGGCCCCTCTTGGTGCCCTAGAAGGAGCTGCCAGAGTCGGAAGGCCGTGCCCGCCATGCCCGCCTGGGGAATCCCTACTGCTCGCCCACGCTGGTGCGCAAGAAGGCCATTCGCAGCAAGGTGATCCGCTCGGGGGCCTACCGCGGCTGCACCTATGAGACCCAGCTGCAGCTGTCGGCTCGGGAGGCCTGTGAGTTGTGGGAACATGCCTGCCCTGTGTGTACCTGGGACACGTGCCCGTGCGCTCCTGGACCAGCCAGAGGTGGGCGTGAGTGCCCGTTCCTGCAAGGCTGTGGCCGCACCTCCAAGTGATGCCTGTGCACTGTGTGTGTTTGCCTGCATCCGTGTCTGTGCAAAGGGGACTGTGTACAGCCGTGTATGGACCAGAACTGTCGGGCGGAAGGCCCGTGTGCAGATATGTCTGCTGAGCAGGGTAGAGAGGCTTGGGGAGGACACCACCCTGGGTGATGAGGCCTGCGGCCGCAGGGAATGGGAGGGCTCGGCCACTCTCCTTCTGACTCCTGGATGGTCTCCACAGTTCCTGCCGCATGGGAGGCATGGCCCCGGGGTCCTGGTGGCCACTCGTGCCTGGTGGAGAGCGAGGGCAGCCTGACGGAGAACATCTGGGCCTTCGCTGGCATCTCCAGGTAGGAAGGGCCTGGCCTGGCCTGACGCCCAGTCCCTTGGGGTGGGCAGAGAAATATGGGCTTCCCAGGCCCCTGAGGCACACACTCCCGTGCACGGGCAGAGCGCTCCCAACCTCAGTGACCTCAGGCCTGGGACTTCACCACCCTGGGCCTCCATTTTCTCTAAGGTAAAATGGGGTTAATGAAAGGAGCTTCATCTTAAGGCTGTGGAGAGGGTCAAATGAGGTGATTTGAGTAGAGCCCTCAGCACCTGGCCTGAACAGGGCGAGGCCCCTAAGCGTCAGCTCTTTAAGCCTCTCTCCTGAGAGAGTCTTGACATTGCTAACAATTACAGACTCTGGAGAAACCTTCTAAGCTTCTAAAAGCTTCTTTCTGTTGAGCCAGACTCTGAGTCAGACCCCATGTTGGGTTTTTGCTGTTGCTTTTGTTTTGAAATTTCATTTTAGAGACAGGGTCTCATTCTGTCACCCGTGCTGAAGTGCAGTAGCATGGTCATGGCTCACTGCAGCCTCAAACTCCTGTGCTCAAGGGATCCTCCTGCCTGGGCCTCCCAAAGTGCTGGGATTACAGGCATGAGCCACTGAGCCCGGCCAACGCACCGTGTGTTTAAGGGCATTTAATCCGCAGGCTGCCTCGATGCTGCTGGGGTCCTCATGACCATTGCCCAGGAGAGCAGTCCAGCCTTTACTCTCTCCCCTCTGTGCTCCTAGGCCCTGTGCCCTGGCCCTGTTGCGGAGAGACGTGCTGGGGGCCTTCCTGCTGTGGCCTGAGCTGGGTGCTAGCGGCCAGTGGTGTCTGTCCGTGCGCACGCAGTGCGGCGTGGTGCCCCACCAGGTCTTCCGGAACCACCTGGGCCGCTACTGCTTGGAGGTAAGAGCGCAGCAGCCAGAGGGGCCTGGGCCCTGCCGCATCATTGGCTCCATCCCTGGCCCTTCCTGCCTGCCCTTTTCTAACTGCTGAGGTCCTGAATGTGCCTCACCCCCATCCCTGTCTCCCATTGGCTCTCCCTGGCCTCGCCCCTCATCCAATTCCATCCTGCCTCTACTGTCCTGCTCCTTCCTCATTGGCCCTGCTGGCCTCACCCCCAGCTGGCCCACTTGGCCCCACCTCTGTTGACTCCGCTCTGCTCTGACCTGAAGGCTCTTGGAGGGGAAGGGAGGTGCCTGGTCACCGAGGACCCTTCTCTCCAGAGGTGGCTTCAAAGGGTACCTCTAATAGAGTCTTGAGCTGGGGTCATGTCTAACATTTCTACAGGAATCCTGGCTTTCCCACACCCTAGCCCATCTTAGCAGAGGAGGAAACTGACTCAGAGAGGGCAGGGGGTGCCTAAGCTCAACAGCCTGAGTCTCCAGTGTGATGTCTTGTCCTGCCCCCCAGTTTCTAGGGATGGGAGGGGGTGGCGAGGCTTTTCACATGTGTACCCTTACTTCCAAGCTAAACATCTCATTCCTATCCAGGCTGGGAAGAGAGAGAGGGAATGGTGTTTGGCTCTGCCACGATAGCACATGTGAAGCCTCTGGGCTCCGTTCCCTGCTCTCCAAAATGTGCAGGCTCCTGTGGGAGCGGGTGGCTGGTGCCTGGCGTGAGCCCTGGGGAAGGGGACTGGAGCTGAAGTCCCTTCCTCCCCTAGCACCTGCCGGCAGAGTTCCCCAGCCTGGAGGCTCTGGTGGAGAACCACGCGGTTACTGAACGTAGCCTCTTCTGTCCCCTCGACATGGGCCGCCTGAACCCCACCTACGAGGAGCAGGACTGTGGGCCCCCAGGCAGGCCGCCCCGGACTCTCCGGCCCCTCAGCCATGCCAAGTCCGAGGCAGAGCTGCAGGGCCTGGGCTAAGAGGTAGGGCCCCGGTCCCACAGGCCCCGCCTCACCCCGGCTCCTGGGCCCCAGCAGCATCTCTGCCCGTCCTGCACCCCTCTGGTTGCCAGTTCCATCCAGTCACCCTGCCCTTGGAGCAGTCTTCCATCGCGTCACTGTCCGTGGGAGGGGAGCCCTGAGGGTGGGTATCGCCAATGGCTTCTTGGAGAACATGTGGCCTGCTGAGATTCCAGGAGGGCAGGTGGAGTTGCAGGCTTCGGATAACCCTTTGGGTGGCTTCGGATGACCTGCTGTGTGGCTTCGGATGCTTTGGGACTTCTGGGCTTCTGCTTTACTCCTGGGGCAGGAGCTTGTTCACGGCAAAGCTGCAGCCCTCTCCTAAGGAGGCTAGGCCTTGGGGCGCTGACTGGGAGTCTCCAGAAAGAGGGTTTTGGGGAGGCAGGAGTGAGCTTTTACTCTGGGCAAAGACCTGGAGTGAGCCACCCTGTCTATGAGAGCAGAGATGACTCCATGGAGCTTGTGGGCAGGAGGCTGGGGATGAGCCCCATCTAGGCTGACAGAGCAGGGCTGTTTCTCATATGTATCTGAGAGTGAAGGAGGGGTGGGAAGGTGCAGAGAGGGCAGGAGGGACAGAGGGCTGTACCTAACGCTCACGCACGGTGGACTCCTGTGTGCAGAAAGGGATGCGCACCAGCAGACAGGGCCAAGAATCTCCATGCTGTCTCCACTCAAAACCTCAGGGCTGTGACTCCCGCTTTCTCAGAAGGGATGCGCAGGCTCACCCCTTCCCCCTAGGAATCACCAGGGCACCCCCACCCCCAGCTCATCTCCTTTAGCCATTTGACAGGGAGGGGCCAGCAGTGAGCTGCAGGCTTAGAGGGGTGACCAGGGCCCTTCCTAACTCGACCGCATGTGGTTTGGTGGCTGCCTTGGGAGGGAGGCTGTCCGATGCTGACATTCCCCTTAGCATGGCCCTGACCGTGGCTGTCAGGGGCCACCTTGCCTCACCAGGCCAGCCCCACTGGGAATGGGGTCAGTCACAGCAGAACCGTCGAAAGGTGGACCTGATGTGGGCCCTGCCGGGGGCGCTTGGCCTCAGCGGGCCATGGGAGACCCAGGGAAACGACTCTAGTGTGAGGCAGTGGTCCTGCCAGTGACTGACAAACCCTCTTTGTAAGCAAACTTGACAAATAATGAATCTACTGAACTCTGTTATAGAACAAGTTCATTTTGCATGAACTTCTCTTATTGAAGCAGAAGCCACGTCATGAGCCTGGGGGCTGCCCTCTCCCCGTCTGGGAGTGGGACAGAACTGTTCAGTGCCTTGAAAGTCACAGATTTCTGACTCCTGGAAGGAACTGGGCAGTCCCACCAGAGCAGAAAGAAAGGAGGCAAACTTGGGGAGTGAGAAGCCAGCCTCCCAGAGGCCCAGGCCTCGTGTTCCCCACCTCCAACCCTCCCGTGAGGAGAGGGGCTTGGCCTGGGACCTTGTAACTTCCTTGCAAGTTAAGTGAGCTATCCTGTCACAAAAGATAGAAGGAACTGCCCTTTGGGACTTCTTTTCACTGGAAACCCAGCACTGGTTTTATGTTGAGTGAGTGGGAAGCTGGGACTCTGTTTTACAGCCATCTGTACTGGAGCCTGGACAAACCACTGGTCTCTATGGGAGGCCCCAGCCTCACATTTCCCTGGCAAGGAGAGAGAGGTTTAGCCATGTCCTGGGTCTAGGATTACAGCCCAGAGATGGGCACTTAAGAAGACCTGGTCATTGGTCCAGACTTGGGCCAAGGCTCTCCTCTGTGAGGGATGGGTTTTACTGGTGAATTACCTGTGTGGAGAAGCTATCAGGGCCATGTTTAGCACACTGAAGGGACCAGTCTCCACCAAGCACTTTAACATCCCTCCAGCCAGCATAGATTGATCTCGTGTTACAGAGAGGGCAAGGTTTTTGGCCCCTGTTTGCAGACTCCATGTCTTAATCAGAGACCACAGTTTTCTCTTTGTTCCAATCTGCGCCACCTCGGTAGCCCCACTTTCCTTGCTGTGTGGACTTGAAACAAAATAAAATGTGTTGCTTCAGATTGTCTGCTACAGACTTTTCTTTCCTTCGAAAGGTGAGGTTTTTGTCGTTTCCCTATTTCGTTTTTGCCAAACGTATCTTCAGCTGGTGCTGAATGGTGAACCAGAGGTCCTGTCCTCAAGGGCTCAGAAGGAATTGCGCAGGGAGACTCAATCAATTTACGTTCCTCTTCTGCTGCAACTTTCAGTGGATATATCTATAGGAAAAAGACTCAAGTCCTTCTGCACTGGCAACCTGGGCTTGCTTTCTGCTTCTGCAATGTGCCACAGGACCTCCGCACAGCCCAGACCGGCGTCCTCCTCCTCCTCCCTTCCCTTCACCTTGTTAACCACTCAGCCATCATATTTCAGCTCCAGTCAATCTCAGGATGCCTGCCCTACACCCTGGGCTGAGTGAGGTTCCTTTTTTAGATGTTCCATAGGCTGGGTGCAGTGATTCGTGCTAGTAATCCCAGCACTTTTGGAGGCCGAGGTGAGAGGATCGTTTGAGTCCAGAAATTGGAGACCAGCCTGGGCAACAAAATGAGATCCCATCTCTACAAAAAATTAGCCACTCGGGAGGCTGAGTTAGGAGGATCGCTTGAGACCTCCTGAGGTTGAGGCAGCAGTGAGCTATGATTGCACTCCAGCCTCAGTGACAGGGCAAGACCCTGTCTCAAAAAAAGATATGTTGCATGGAACTGATTATTCAGCTTGTAATTACATTTTCGTTTTCGGGATTTTGTTTGTGGGATTTTGTTTCCTGTGTCTGTCTCTCCAGCTAGATCATGCAGGAGGGCTGTCTCCCTAACATCTGTCACGGTGCCTGACATGTAGCCGACACTCAGTGTTTCAGTGCAAGGAAGAGCCCAGCGCCCAGAGGTGTGACGGAGGTGCTCTTTTGGCTGGGGAACTTGCACTGAGCCAGGAGGGATAGGCCAGGCAGCCTTCCATCCAAAAGACTTGTTTTTGTTTGTTTGTTTGTTTTAGATGGAATTTTGCTCTTGTTGCCCAGGCTGGAGTGCAATGATGCAATCTCAGCTCACTGCAACCTCTGCCTCCCGGGTTCAAGTGATTCTCCCGCCTTAGCCTCCTGAGTAGCTGGGATTACAGGTGCCCACCACCAGAGACGCGGGTTTCACCATGTTAGCCAGGCTGGTCTCGAACTCCTGATGTCAGGTGATCCACCCGCCTTGGCCTCCCAAAGTGCTGGGATTACAGACGTGAGCCACCGCGCCCGGCCCAAAAGACTTGCTCCCAAAGTGTTTGTTTTACAATCTCGGGTCTTAGAAATAACACGGGTGGCATGAGAGGAAGCTGTCCAGGGGCTGTGGGTGGTGGGCAGCCTTTCCCTGAGCCAGTACGGGGACGTGGATAAGGGGCAACAGGTCCTTGCCGCTTTTCCTAGGTCCCTGGCCCGTGCCTGAGGCCTGGGATCTCTGTAGCCCCGAGGTGGAGTCAAGCCTGGGGCCCCGGGCCCCAGTCTTAGCCGCAGCCTCGGGCAAGCTGCGTAACATCTCTGAACTGGGACTGTGCGGATTCGAGAAGGCAGCGGACGCGAAAGGAGCCCAGCCAGGGCTGGCGCTTCCCGCAAGCGGCCGCGCGTGGCTGCGGGGATCACTCGGGCGAAGCTCGCGGGCCAGGCGGGGCGTTCCCGGGGCCGCTCTTGTGACGCCACGGGCGTTGCCCAGCAACCGCGAACGCCGCGGCGGTGAGCTTGCGGGCAGGCGGCTGGGGCGGCTCCGGGCTCGGGTTCTGCGGCGGCGCCTGCAGCGCGGATCCCCCACGTCCCCGCTCGGGCCGGGCCTCAGAAACGGGCGAGCCCGGGCGCGGGAGGAAGCGGCGGCCCCGGCTCGGGTCCTGCGACGCCCAGCTCCCCTCCGGGGCGCCCCCCGAGGGGTCCCCGCCCCCCGCCGCGGCCCCGCCCCTGCCTCAAGGCCCCGCCCCCCGTGGCCGGCGCTGGCCCCGCCCCTTGGCCCGGGCTGCTGGGAGTCCCCGGCGGGGCGGGGGTCAGCTCTGGTCCCGTTGGTCCTGGGCGCGGCGCCATGGCCTCCGAGGCGGTGAAGGTTGTCGTGCGCTGCCGTCCCATGAACCAGCGGGAGCGAGAGCTGCGCTGCCAGCCCGTGGTGACTGTGGACTGCGCGCGCGCCCAGTGCTGCATCCAGAACCCGGGCGCCGCCGACGAGCCGCCCAAGCAGTTCACCTTCGACGGCGCCTACCACGTGGACCACGTCACCGAGCAGATCTACAACGAGATCGCCTATCCGCTGGTGGAGGTGAGGGCGCCCGGCAGGCCGCCCTGCAGGCGGCAGGGCATGAGGCCGCCCCGAGAGTCCCCAGGGGGCTGCGCTGCCCCCCAGCCAGGAGGAAAGGCCCTCGAGGGGCGCAGGCGGACGGGAACAGGTAGGTCCGGAGGCTTTTGTCCAGGCGGGACACAACCAGAGCCTGCCTCTAATGTCGCCTCCGGGTCTGCACTATCCCCAGCGTCTCCGCCTCCCGGGTTCAAGCGATTCTCCTGCCTCAGCCTCCCAAGTAGCTGGGATTACAGGTGCCTGCCACCACGCCCGTCTAATTTTTGTGTTTTTAGTACAGATGGGGTTTCACCATGTTGGCCAGGCTGGTCTCGAACTCCTGACCTCAAGTGATCCGCCCGCCAAGTGCTGGGATCACAGGCATGAGGCACCGCGTCCGGCCGAATGGTGACTTTTTATCTTCCCTCACTGGCAAGATGGGGCACACCTAGCCCTGTTTTGGTTACAGCATGGGTCTTTGCAGTGGAACCGGGCATAGATGCCATGTGGGCCCTTGGGGTCTCAGAACAATTCTCTGGGCCAATCTACCCATACAGGATCCACCCCAAGCCCACACTAAGGTCTAGAATTTGCAAGCTCATGAGCTCTGCAAGGGCAGGAACTGTGTCTGCCTCGTTCACCACTTTGTCCGTAGGCTGAGCATAGTCCCTGTCGAATGAATAGAAACAGCGATGAATGAAGAATGACTTTGGGAATGACTTTGGGAACAGCACCGGGTTTGCCTCCTCTCTTCCTTCCAGGCCTCATCTTCCACCCCTCCCCTAGTCCCTCCTGCTCTCCACACCTCATCTGTGTGGCTTTACTCAAGCTGACCCCTCAGCCTGGAATGCCTTCCTCTTCCTGTCACCTGGCAAAGTACGAGCCCCACTCCCAGCTCCCCCAGTTCTCCCTGTCTTTGCCGCCTGGAAAGCTGTGCTTCGTTCTTCCTGTGCCATCCTGTTTTCGCTTCTTTGTACTCCCTGTCCCTGCCGGCTGGCTGCCTGGACTCTTGTCGCTGTGTGCCCCGCCCCATAGCCCGCCACGAGAATCACCTGTACGTGTCCAGCTCCCTGCATTGCAGGCAGACATTGGGCCATCACCTGTGTATGGCAGTGCTTCCTGTGCCCATGCACGAAAGAAGCCCTGTATGCACCCTGTGAGAGCCCCGCAGGTGCTGCTCTTACCCTTTAAGATATTGATTTTTTTTTTTTTTTTTTTTGAGACGGAGTCTCGCGCTGTCGCCCAGGCTGGGGTGCAGTGGCACGACCTCGGCTCACTGCAATCTCCTGGGTTCAATAAATTCTCCTGCCTCAGCCTCCCGAGTAGCTGGGACTGCAGGAGCTCACCACCACACCCGGCTAATTTTTCGTATTTTTAGTAGAGACAGGGTTTCACCGTGTTGCCAAGGCTGGTTTTGAACTCCTGACCTCAGGTAATCTGCCCACCTCAGCCTTCCAAAGTGCTGGGATTACAGGCATGAGCCACCCCGCCTGGCCCAAGGTGTTTTTCTTATCATCTTATCAATTTGCCTCAGTAAGGCCAGCCCAAGGGCACACGGTCAGTAAAGTGGAGATGGATGTGAGCCCAGGGGGCCAAGCCCACAGCTCAGGCTCTTCCCCATCCACACACAGGGACAGCTCCTACCCCACCAGAGAGTCAACTCCTTGAGGACAGAGCTGCGCCTTGTTTATCTCCACAGTCCAGTGCCATTGTTGGTGGGGGGACCAGGAAGGGCCCTGAGTCTGTGGGTTAGGGAGCCCTGTCCCGAGCCCTGCTGTGCCTGCTCCACTGAGCACGGGGTCCTGCCTTCCTCCCATGCAGGGCGTCACTGAGGGCTACAATGGCACCATCTTTGCCTACGGCCAGACAGGCAGCGGGAAGTCCTTCACCATGCAGGGCCTGCCGGATCCGCCCTCCCAGAGAGGCATCATCCCCAGGGCCTTCGAGCACGTGTTCGAGAGCGTCCAGGTACGGGCCTCGCAGAGGGAAGGGGCAGGGCCAGAGCTGCAGCTGGGCCCAGAGCACTTCTGACAGGTGGCAGAGACACGGGAAGTCTTTGGAGCCCGGCCTGACCCGTGCAGATCAGCAGAGAAGGCTCTGGGTTCTGAAAAGGTGGTGGGAAAAAAACTTAGAACAGAGAAAATTCTGTCCATGCTTTTCTCTCACCATTTTTGCCTTCTAACCCTTAGTTGAGCATTTCCCATGGATCTGCTGACCCTGTGCACTGGGCCAGGAAGTGGTTGTAACAATCACAGCTTCCCTCTTTATTGAGCAATTGTTATGGACCAAGTCATATGTGAAGCCCTTGGCATCCTTATCTCACTGAATCTCCAGCCTGACCCAGGAGGTAGCTGATAACCCCATTTTTGAGATAGGGAGGTTGAGACTGAGCCTTTATTGGCCAAGTTGAGACTGGACTCTGAATTCATCCCGGCATCCAGGCTGCAGGTGAGAATTACCTGGCGACCATTTGTGGCAGTGCACGGGGAATGGCGGATGGGGACAACCCTGATCAGCTGCAGAACCCACTGTGCCACTCTCAGGACTCATCATGGTGGCCACAGCAACATGTAGGGCCTTGGAGAGCTGCCAGGGACCAGCCCAGAGCCAGTGCTTGGCCCAGGCCTTCCCTGTGGCCTCAGGTGTTTTTTTTTTTTTTTTTTTGAGACGGAGTCTTGCTCTGTCACCCAGGCTGGAGTACAATGGCATGACCTTGGCTCACTGCAACCTCTGCCTCCCAGATTCAAGCAATTCTCCTGCCTCAGCTTCCCGAGTAGCTGGGATTACAGGCGCCCATCACCACACCTGGCTAATTTTTGTACTTTTAGTAGAGATGGAGTTTCGCCATGTTGGCCAGGTTGGTCTTGAACTCCTGGTCTCAGGTGATTCATTGGCCTCGGCCTCCCAAAGTGTTGGGATTACAGGTGTCAGCCACCGCACTTTTTCTTTGTTTGTTTTTGTTTTTGTTTTTGAGACGGAGTCTTGCTCTTTCGCCCAGGCTGGAGTGCAATGGCGCGATCTTGGCTCACTGCAACCTCTGCCTCCCGGGTTCGAGCAATTCTCATGCCTCAGCCTCCTGAGTAGCTGGGATTACAGGTGTCCACCACCATGCGCAGCTAATTTTTTTTTTTTTTGAGACGGAGTCTCGCTCTGTTGTCCAGGCTGGAGTGCAGTGGCGTGATCTCAGCTCACTGCAAGCTCCGCCTCCTGGGTTCACGCCATTCTCCTGCCTCAGCCTCCTGAGTAGCTGGGACTACAGGCACCCACCACCATGCCTGGCTAATTTTTTGTATTTTTAGTAGCGACAGGGTTTCACCGTGTTAGCCAGGATGATCTCGATCTCCTGACCTTGTGATGTGCCTGCCTTGGCCTCCCAAAGTGCTGGGATTGCAGGCGTGAGCCACCGCGCTTGGCCTAGCTAATTTTTGTATTTTTAGTAGAGACGGGGGTTTCACCTTGTTGGTCAGGCTGGTCTCGAACTCCTGACCTCAGGTGATCCAACCACCTAGGCCTCCGAAAGTGCTGGGATTACAGGCATGAGCAGCGCCCCGCCCTGTTTTTTTTGTTTTGTTTTGTTTGTTTTTTGTTTGTTTTTGTTTTTGTTTTTAACCTGAATAACGAGGAGGCCTCTGTTTCCTTTCCCATGAGGCTTGTAGACAGAGCATTAGACAGCAATATGAAGATTATGCAACTCAAAGAGGCCTGAGCGCCCACCAAGCTGGAGACAGGAGAGAGCTTGCCAGGAAGGCCAGCAGGGCGGGTTGGGTTGGAGACTCCTCTTGCCCCGATGTCCCTTCTCCTCCCATGATGTCCTGGTGGCAGAGGGCCCAGGCCCCAGGGTCAGACCTGGCAGCAGGTGGACTTCGAGCTCTGAGGTCTAGGTTCTTTCTGTGTACTCCCTGCAGTGTGCAGAGAACACTAAGTTCCTGGTCCGGGCCTCCTACCTGGAGATCTACAATGAAGATGTCCGGGACCTCCTTGGGGCTGACACCAAGCAGAAGCTGGAGGTGGGTGCAGACCCATTGTGGGCAGGTGGGGCTGGTAGGGGGGAGGTTGGCATTGGTGCTGCTCCCTCAGAAATATGGGAAAGTGTCCTGAGGGTGCCGGCACTGGGAGGCTAGAGTCGGGACTTTTTTTTTTTTTTTTAATTAAAAAAAACTTTTTTAGGCAGGTGCAGTGGCTCTTGCCCGTAATCCTAACACTTTGGGAGGCCAAGGTGGGCAGATCACTTGAGGTCAGGAGTTCGAAACCAGCCTGGCCAACATGGTGAAAACCCATCTCTACTAAAAATACAAAAACTAGCTGGGCGTGGTGGTGCATGCCTACAGTCCCAGCTACTGGGGAGGCTAAGGCAGGAGAATCACTTGAACCCAGGAGGTAGAGGTTGCAGTGAGCTGAGATTGTGCCACTGCACTCCAGCCTGGGCAACACAGTGAGACTCCGTCTCAAAATATATATATCTATATTATATATAGTATCTATATATAGATAATATATATATAATATAGATAATATAGATAATATTATAGATAATATAGATATATTATATATATAATATAGATAATATTATCTATATTATATATAGATAATATCTATAATATAGATAATATTATCTATATCTATAATATAGATAATATCTATATTATATATATAGATATTATCTATTTATATATAGATATTATCTATATTATATATAGATATAATATAATTTTATATATATAATATATATAGATATAATATAATTTTATATATAGATAATATTATCTATATTATATATAGATAATATTATCTATATTATATATAGATAATATTATCTATATTATATATATAGATATTATCTATATTATATATATATAGATATATATAGATATATATATAGATAATATTATCTATATATATAATATAGATAATATCTATAATATAGATATATATATGACAAGGTCTCGCTGCGTTGCCCAAGCTGGCTTCGAACTCCTGGCCTTGAGCCTTCCACCTCAGCGCCCCCGGTAGCTGGGACTACAGGCATGCACCACCACATGCACCCAGCCACTTGGTGTTTTTTATGCAGGAGCCTCCAGCCTCCCACCTAGAGTTTTTCTACTGCGTTCCCTCTCCTAGTGCAGCTGAATCATAGCTCAGCCCCCAGACAGGGAAGCAGAGACAGGAGGCAACAGAGGGTGTTGCTCCCACATGTCAGCCCCAGAAGGCCAGCCTGTGGAGTTAGGGCACTCTGGCCCCCTGCAAACCTTCTGCTAACCCGCACTGGAGCAGCAGGGAGCCCTCCTCCCCTTCGTCACTACCCTGGACCCTAGAAAGGCCTCAGTTACCCGGGCCTAGAGGGGCCGAAGGCTGGCAGCTGCTCACACTTGCTGCAGCTGAGCCATGGGTCTCAGGCCTATTGAACCAGCTGCCTTGGGGGCTGCAGTGACAGATGCGCTTGCTGAAACACACTCCAGAGGTCACCGGGCTTTAGACACGCTCCCTCGTGGAGGATGTGCAGATGGCTCTCATGTAAACCTCCTGGCAGTCCAGGAGGAGGCACCGTTCCTATTCCTTGTAACAACAGATGAGGAAACTGAGGCTCCATGTGCCTAAGTAAGACCAACCCAAGGACACACAGTCAGTAAAGAGTGGCGATGGGATTTGAACCCGGGGGCTCCACAGCACACACTCTTAACCCGTGCTTAACACAGGCCCGATCGTGGTTGTAATCAGAGGTTATTACATCACCTAAGGCCAGCAAGAGGTTTGGGGAAGCAGAGTTCTATCCCCTCCCCCTAGCCACTGTAAACTACCATCACAGAACCCAGCCCTGAACTGCCTGATCTGGTGAGGCCTGAGGGGGCCTCTCCAGCGGGTTCTTCCCACCCATGTCCAGGCAAAGTGTCAAGGGCTCCCCTCCCCGTGGCAGCGATGGACACATTCCTGCCATGCTCCCCTCTCTCATCCTTGCCGCATCCCAGCTGGTTGCCATGGTGACCCGGCTCTGGCCTCTCCGCAGCAGAGATGAGCAGTTACCAAGGAACCTGGTGCGCGGCTGAGGGCTGTCACTCAGCGCCTCCCCAGGCGTCGGGGGTGGAGTGGGGTTGGGAGCGCGGTGGAGGGGGACCCCTGAGGCCATCACAAGTGTGGGAGCAGAGAGCCTTCCTAGGCTGGAAAATATCGTGGCGGGAGACCCCTCGGGTGAGGTGTTGTCTCCTGGGGTTGCTCAGGCCCGAGATGGCGACCTCATCCTCTTTGTAACTGAGCCCCCACTGAGTACCCGCAGAACCGTTTTTTAGATCTGTTCTCTTCCTAATCCTCATAATAATCTTGTAGAAATAGGAGTTATCATCCCCATTTTATGGAAGAGAAAATTGAGGCTTAGAGAGGCATATTAACCTCCCCAACCAGCAAGTCACAGAACAAGGTGCCCTCAGGCCACACGCGGCTCCGTCCTCTGGGCTCCCTCCTCACAGCTGCCGCCTGGGCCGAGACCTGCCCTCTGTCATCTCAAGCTTCAGCTCCTGCAGGATGCTCTGGCCTCTCTCTGTGCCCTGAACCCTGGAGCCTTCCATCGGCTGTGACCCCACTAACAGCTATGACCCCACTAACAAACAGCTGTGACCTTCACCTTCTCCTTTCTGGGTGTCAGTTACTCCTCTATTCCATGAAGCCCAGTCCCTTGGTGGGGCTTGGCTGTTTCTCCACGCTTCAGCAGATAGGACCAGCTGTGCCTCGCCCCGACCCCCACCCACGCCTCTCCCACAGCAGGGGCCTGAGCCCACCTGGGACCCCCCTAGAGCTGCTGGGAGCAAAGCAGCTGAGCCTCCTGTGGCTCTGACCCACAGGACCACTTGGCAGACAAATGCCTTTTGTCCTCATTCATTCTGCTCTGGTGCCAGAGTGGTTTTATTTCCTCTCACACTTGAAAAATACCGTGTTTCACAGCTCCGTGTCCGCAGCAAAATGACTTTGCTGCCTGGAAAGCCAGCAGGGAGCCATCAGATAAATTAATTTACTGCTGCCATCGCCCTGAGGGCTGGGGGCCTCTGGGCTGTGAGCCTGCGGGGTTCTGGGGAGCAAGTGGGCTCACCTGTGATCTGAGGGTTTGGGGATATTCCTGTTGTTCTAGAGCCACGGCAGAGGGGATCTGGAGCCTTAGCAACGGGCAAAGGGAGACAGCACTCAGGGCTCATGGGTGACGACAGGCTCAGCCCCTGGGATCTGAAGCTCCCTAAAGGAAACCCACCTTTGTAATCATAGCACTAACAACAACAGCACAGACAGTGGCTGGCATCTATGGGGCACTTAGGTGCTGGCACCATGCTAAGCATTGTGTGTGCCTTATTTTACGGATTCCTCCCCATATCCTATGAGATAGCTGTCTCATGCCCATTTTACAGATGTGGAAACTGAGTCTTAGGTTGTCATTGGCTGAAGGTCCCATAGCAAGTAGGAGGCAGGGGTAGGTCTGAGGCTGGCTGGGCCTGGAACACACCCCTCCCTGTGACAGGCATGTGAGGTGCCAGCCTGCATT
Organism: Homo sapiens; assembly: GCF_000001405.40. Classification (NCBI taxonomy): domain Eukaryota; kingdom Metazoa; phylum Chordata; class Mammalia; order Primates; family Hominidae; genus Homo; species Homo sapiens. Next base: position 20,709,941 of record NC_000001.11, on the reverse strand, counting down.
ACAGGAGGGCGAGGGCGGTCTGGATGGGGCCCTTCTCTCTGGTTCCTTGACCATCCCTGGTCCTAACCCTTGGCGGCTGGAGGTTCCGCCCCTGACTGTTCCTCCTCCCTCAGCTGAAGGAGCACCCAGAGAAGGGCGTGTACGTGAAGGGGCTGTCCATGCACACGGTGCACAGCGTGGCCCAGTGTGAGCACATCATGGAGACTGGCTGGAAGAACCGTTCGGTCGGCTACACGCTGATGAACAAGGATTCCTCACGCTCGCACTCCATCTTCACCATCAGCATCGAGATGTCTGCCGTGGGTATGCGAGGCCATTGTTGGGGGCAGGGGGACAGATGACCCAGCCACTCCCACTAGCCAAGGCACGCCACCTCTCGGGGCCGCAGGAGCCCCTGGAAAGTGGGAAGAGATGCTCTAACAGCCTGGAGGAAACCCAAGAGGACCCTTGGGATGCTGGGACCCGTGTTCCCAGGATAAACAGCAGCAAACACAGTAACACTGGGAGCCAACATTGAGCGCTCACTGTGTGCCAGACAATTTTTATTTATTTATTTGTTTTTTGAGACAAAGTGTCACCCTGTCACCCAGGCTGGAGTGCAGTGGTGATCTCGGCTCACTGCAACCTCTGCCTCCCAGGCTCGGGCGAGCCTCCCACCTCAGCCTCCTGAGCAGCTGGGACTACATGCACACCACCATGCCTGGCTAATTTTTTGTAGAGACGGGGTCTTGCTGTGTTGCCCAGGTTGGTCTTGAACTCCTGAGCTCAAGCAATACTCCCGCCTTGGCCTCCCAAAGTGTTAGGATTACAGGCTTGAGCCACTGCGCCCGGCCAGTGTGCCAGGCAATGTGTGTGCATTATCTCACTTACTCCTACAGCACTCCCATGAGGTGGATACTGAATCATCCCCATTTTACAGAGGAAGAAATTGAGGCCACACAACTAGGAACTAGTGTCAGAGCCTGGCTTCTATCCCAGGGTCTTCCTCTGGAGTGTGTGTCACTCCAACCTTGTGGATTCTCCTCTCCCTCTGTAACGTTCTCTACTCCTCAGTCATCTCATTATTATTTTTTTCTGGAAATGCTGCCGAGAAAGCAAAGAGGAAGGAAAGAAATCCATGTTTATTTGGGGGCCCCATTGGCCATCTGCAGTGCCAAACCCTTTATACCCTTCATTCCATTTAAATCTCACGACAGTCTTAGAGACAGGCACTAGAATCCTCATTTTATAGACGAGGAAACAGAGGCTCTGAGAGGTAAAGTGATTTGCTTGTTCAAGGTCTCACCGCCGCTAATTGGTGGAGCTGGGATTTGAACCCGGGTCTCCGTGATGTCTGGGTTTTCCCATGAATGCTGCAGCTGCCTCCAAGCTGTGGTCCATCATGACTAGAACTCCAAAGAGCAGTGGAGCAGGAGGTGGCCTCAGCCCAACTGGGAACATAATTCTGGAGAGATCCCTGACCCAGGGATCAGGGTCAGGAATTAGCTGGGTGTGATGGTACATGCCTGTAGTCCCAGCTACTTGGGAGGCTGAGGTGAGAGGATTGGTTGAGCCCGGGAGACCGAGGGTGCAGTGATCTGAGATCGCACCACTGCACTACCCAGGGTCAAGGCCTGAGTAGATGGAACCTCCTGGACGCATTGCCCAGCTGGTGTGGTGACCTGGCCTTGGGCCAAGCCCCAGTGCTTGCTTAGGTATGAGGCCATGAGTCTGAGTGTCCCGGGGATGCTGATATAGGGAGGGTTGAGACCAGAGTGGTCACAGCCTCAATACTGCAGCTCAGGGAGGGGCAGAGACCAGGGCAACTGAGGACAGATCAGGAGGGAGGAGGAGGGAGCGGGTTTAGGGGGCACCTCTTGGTCTTTGCAGGAGGATTTGAAGGATGAGGCAGGCTGGTTGCACATTCACCTTATAAAATAATGTGAGCTCAGTGATGATGGTAAAGTAGGGAATGGTAGGGAACAGTTACTCATAGTTCTGACACCTAAATACCACTAACATTTAAGCATTATATTAATATCTAATAATTATTTATATTTATAATTCTTTATATGTTTATTTATATATAAATGTATATATTATATATATACATATATATTTTTTATACACACACACACACACACACACACACACACACACACACACACACACACATACACATTGGTTTGTTTTTTTTTTTGAGACAGCTCTGTTGCCCAGGCTGGAGTGCAGTGGTGCAATCTCAGATCACTGCAACCTTGGTCTCCCAGGCTCAACCAATCCTCCCACCTCAGCCTCCCAAGTAGCTTGGAACTACAGGCATGCACCACCACACCCAGCTAATTTTTATGTTTTGTAGCGACAGGATCTCGCCATGTTGCCCAGGCTGGTCTCGAACTCCTGGATTCAAGCAATCCACCTCAGCCTCCCAAACTGCTGGGATTACAGACATGAGCCACTGCGCCCAGCCCATATTTTCTTTTGATCCTTTTTTCCTGTGAATGTTTTAAACATAACTGAAATCTTACGCCATGTAGGTTTCCCCTGGTTCCATCTCCCTTGCTGTCACTAAGCATTTCTGCACTTTACTGTCACCGTGTCTTCATGACCATGTGTGGTGGCCTGGCTCATGCCATTTTCCAACCGGTCCTTGACAATTGGTTTCCAGTTTCCCAGTGCTGCAAGTCATGCCACGATGGACATCTGTGTGCACAAAGCTTTTTCTCATCTGAGAGTCATTTCCTCAGACTCGGTTCCCTGCAATGGAGTCCTGGAGCAAAGATAACAAACGTGGTTAAGGCTTCTGGTCCGTTCTGCAAAGAGCTTCCCAAAGAGGCAGCACCAAGTTCCTTCCTGTCCTTTTTTGAGAGGCAGAGTCTCACTCTGCCACCTAGGCTGGAGTGCAGTGGTGCAATCATAGCTCATTGTAGCCTTGAACTTCTGGGCTCAAGCATCCCTCCCACCTCAGCCTCCTGAGTAGCTGGGACAACAGGCACACGACACTACACACCCAGCTGTTTTTGGTGGTGTTTTTGTTTGTTTGTTTTCTTTTACTTTTCTTTCTTTTTTTTTTTGAGACAGGATTTTATTTTGCTGCCCAGGCTAGAATGCGGTGGCATGATCACAGCTCACTGCAACCTTAACCTCCTAGGCTCAGGTGATCATCCCACCTCAGCCTCTGAAGTAGCTGAGACCACAGGCATGCACCACCACACCCTGCTAATTTTTATACTTTTTTTTGTAGAGACGGGGTTTTGCCATGTTTTCCAGGCTGGTCTCGAACTCCTGGGGTCAAGCAATCCTCCCATCTCCCAAAGTGCTGGGATTACAGGTGTGAGCTACTGCCCCTGGCCTGTTGTTGTTGTTGTTGTTGAGACAGAATCTTGCTCTGTCGCCCAGGCTGAAGTGCAGTGTTGCAATCTCGGCTCACTGCAACCTTTGTCTCCCAGGTTCAAGCAATTCTTGTGCCTCAGCCTCCTGAGTAGCTGGGATTACAGGCATGTGCCACCACGCCCGGCTAATTTTTGTATTTTTAGTAGATACAAGGTTTCACCATGTTGGCCAGGCTGGTCTTGAACTCCTGACCTCAGGTGATCCGCCTGCCTTGGCCTCCCAAAGTGCTGGGATTACAGGCATGAGCCACCGCACCCAGCCTGTTGTTTTTTAATAGCCTAAAGAACCAGCTGGCTACGAATGCGCTGTCTGTTTACCTTACTTCTCCAGACCACCAACCTGTCAACTAAAGAAAAATCAACAAGTCTGGGCACAGTGGCTCATGCCTGTAATCCCAGCACGTTGGGAGGCCAAGGCAGGATGATCACTTGAGGCCAGCAGTTCGAGACCAGCCTGGGCAACATAGGGACACCGTATCTCTAAAAAGAAAGAAATTAGCCAGGCGTGGTGATGTACGCCTTCAGTCCCAGCTACTCGGGAGACTGAAGCAGGAGGATTGCTTGAGCCTGGGAGTTCGAGGCTGTATTGAGCTAGGATTGCACCACTGCACTCCAGCCTGGGCGACAGAGTGAGACCCTGTCCCAAAGGCAAAAAAAAAAAAAAAAAAAAAAAAAAAGAGACATCCTACTGAGGATTATAGACTGAGGCCTACAGCCCAGAGCGGCTCTGTCAGTATTTCAGTTCACAGTTTATATACAGGTGGTGAAGACTCAGCACCTGCAGAATCACATCTGACTTGCTCAGAATCACATCAAGGTTTGGGTGCAAGAGCACATCTGGTGATAGATTCCAGAGGCTTCCGCACGAACCCCGGCAGACATTATCTCATGTGTAGGAAAAGGCATGGCCTAGGCTCTGTCTTTAAGTGATGTGGTGACTCAGCGACAGACATGGGGGACCGTAGACTCCATCCTGTTTTGTCTTCAAAGCGTGTCTGTGGAGCTCTGCACAGTTCTGCGCGCCGGCACAGAGGCAGCGGCTTTGTGAGCTGATTATGCTGGCAAGCGGAAAAGAGCAAATGTGGCTTCTAACATCTGCCGCTTTGTCTCACAAACCCTAATGGGGAACCATGGGTAGTCTCATTTTGTTGATGTGGGGAATTGAGAATCTGGGAGGTAGGTGGCTCTGCTAATGCCACACTGCAAGGAGAAGACACGACTGGGTTGGGAACCGGGTCTGGGAGTCTCCAAAGCAGATGTTTTCTGTTTTGAATGACATCACTCCCTGGTGATCCAGCCCACACCCCTGCCCTTCTCTACCTTGACCTTGCAGGAAGCCTTCGGGAGCTGCTGTGGCAGCCAGAGGCCCTATTGCACTCAGAATGGTCTGCAACTCCAGGCCCTGCTCCTGGAGACAGCCTGCCCTGGGTTCTGATGGTGGCTATAGCTCTTAGCAGCTGTGTGACCTTGGACAAGTTCCATGCCCTCTCTGAACCTCAGTCTACCCATCTGTAAGATGAACCCAATAATAGCACCTGCTTCCTGGGGCTCCTGTGCAGCTGAGGGGAACCCTCGGTGGGTGGGCATTGAGCACCCAGTGCCTGGCACTGATTGCCCTCGATACATAGGGCTCACCCGAGGCCCTCGCCACTTTGCCTGGTCTGTGTGCAGATGAGCGGGGCAAGGACCACCTCCGGGCGGGCAAGCTGAACCTGGTGGACCTGGCGGGCAGCGAGCGGCAGTCCAAGACCGGGGCCACGGGCGAGCGGCTCAAGGAGGCCACCAAGATCAACCTGTCGCTCTCGGCACTGGGCAATGTCATCTCGGCGCTGGTGGACGGGCGCTGTAAGCACGTCCCCTACCGTGACTCGAAGCTGACGCGGCTGCTGCAGGACTCACTGGGCGGCAACACCAAGACGCTCATGGTGGCCTGCCTGTCGCCTGCGGACAACAACTACGATGAGACACTCAGCACGCTGCGCTACGCCAACCGGGCCAAGAACATCAGGAACAAGCCGCGCATCAATGAGGACCCCAAGGATGCGCTGCTTCGCGAGTACCAGGAGGAGATCAAGAAGCTCAAGGCCATCCTGACACAGCAGATGAGCCCCAGCAGCCTGTCAGGTGGGACCACGTTGGGGTAGTGGCGGGAGGGCCAGGTCCCCAGGAGAAAGCTTCCTTCCCTCTGTCTTCTCGCCTCCAACTTCCCACCTAAAAGACAGTGGGAGCAGCATCCTCCCACCCCTCAGCCCCATGTGAGCGCAGGGCCCTGGTTGGAGACGGCCCAGATGGTATCTGCTTGTCAGTGTCCTGGGAGGAGGGCAGTCCGTCTGGCCTGTCCCATCTGACGCAGGCTGTTGCCCACTCCCCGCCTCTCATCTGCTCATCCATTATCCCCCCCACCCCCACCACACCCCCCACCACACCCCCGTCTGCTGCTGTCTGTGGCATTGTCGCAATGCGTGTTCGCTGCTCAGCAGCTGGCAACTCACTCCCCACGGCCACACCTGCTCCTCGCAGGCACCTTGTTACTGCAGCTTTTGCGCCCTGGCATTTGCCTGTCACCTGGCAGGTGGAAATCCACACTTGGAGCATTGGCCTGAAGGGGCTTTGGAACTGAAGGACTCTTTTTTTTTTTTTGAGACGGAGTCTCGCTCTGTCGCCCAGGCTGGAGGGCAGTGGCATGATCTCGGCTCATTGCAACCTCTGCCTCCCGGGTTCACGCCATTCTCCTGCCTCAGCCTTCTGAGTAGCTGTGAAGGACTCTTAAGATTTTCTTATCTCAGAAGCTCTTGGGGAAGGGAACACAAAATACTTGGGTCTGTCTGTCCATTCATCCCCCTCGCACCCACCTTCCTCTCCATCTATTCATTCTACACACACCCATTCACCTACCCGCTCATCCACCCATCTGTCCATCCTCCCACTTACCCATTCATCCACCCACCTTTTCTTCCACCTACCCACCTTCCCACCCACCCCATTACTTATCCATCTGCACACTCATCCATCCATCCACCCACTCACCCACCTATACATCTATCCATCCATCCATCCATCCATCCATCCATGCATCCATCCATCTATCCATCTATCCATCCTCCCATCTACCCATCTCTCCCTCCATTCCATCAATCCATTTCTTCCTTCCATCCATCCATCTACACAGCCACCCACCCACCCATCCATACTGACCCTTCCTTCCTTTCTTCCATCCATTCATCTGTCATCCATCCATGCATCCATTCATCCACTGATCCTTTCTTCCATCCATTTGTCCATGCATCCATCTATTCATCGATCTTCCTTTCATCCACTCATCTATTCATCCAGAGATCCTTTCTTCCTTTTTTCCTTCCATCCTTCCATCTCCCATCCATCCGTCCATCCATTCATCCATCCATCTCCATCCTTCCTTCTATCTACCCACCTACCCATCTTCCATTCATTTTATCTACCCATCCATTCACCCATTCTAATCACCCACCCCATCCACCCTACCATCCATATACCCACCCATTCATTCACTCCATCCTATCATCCATTCTTTTATCTATTTTTCCACTCACCTACCCATCTATCCACTGAAGGTTCCCTGAGCTGCTCCTCTGTGTGGACACGTGCTGGGTACTGGATACACAGAGATGAATCAGATGCAGGCTGTGCCTCGTGGGGTACCTAATCTCCTGAGGAAGAAGGACACTCCAATGGACCATCACATGCAACGAGACACACTCTAGGGCAGACAGCTGTACAGGGCAGAGAGGAGTGCATGGTCAGCCAGGTCTATCTGTGGGTGGGATAAGGTCAGTGAGGGAAAGCTTCCCGGAGGAGGCAGTAATTGAGCAGTCTTGGAAGAGGAGAAATTTCCCTGTTAGGATGAGAGTGTCCAGTGTGTGCAGAGATGCATAAAACTCTAAGGTGCATTTGGGGAACTACAAAGCCCTCTGCTGGCTGCCTTGGGCATAGGGGTGATGGGAGGTGGTCAGGCAGGACTGGGGTGGAGAGGGCCTTGAACACCATTGCAAGGCATTCCACCTCAGCCATCTGCCTTCCTCCTCTTTCCCTACTCTTCACCCCAACCCTACTCACCCCCAAGATTGGTAAGGGGGAAGACAAGAATGGTGAGGGTACCAGGAGGGAGTGGGGGAGGCTCGGCCCGCGGCCCCCGCACCCAGCAGCTAACACCTGTGCAGTCCTTCCAGTGGTGATGGAGGCAGCCCCCAGGATAGCTGTTAGCATCCCTTCTCCCTGGATTAGGAGCAAGGAGCCCAGCCAGCAGCATGACTGAGGTGGTGCTGGGTGGATAGCTGAGCACTGAGCAGTTATCACCAGCTCCCTCCCAGCTCCTCAGACAAGCAACTCAGCCACTGAGAACCTCAGTCTCTTCATCTGTAAAGGGGACATCATAGCGACACCTGCCTTGTGTGTGCTGTGAGGCAACTGGGAAAATTGCCTGAGGTCATGCATGTGTGGGCTCAGCACGAGGCCTGGCACGGTGGGCTCCAGAGACAATGCATGCGGCCTTCACTTTGGAGCTGGGCCTTCAGACCAGGCGTGCCTGACCCAAAGCTCCCTGTGTTTGCCCCTCCCTGGACTCACTTTAGACATTTCCCCCTTAGCCCTGGTTCTCCCTCTAGCATATCCCTCTTTTTCCCTTTCAACAAAACTTGAAACATCTGTCTACTTTTACTGGTCCCACTCTCTCTCCCTCTGCTCTCTCTTGCCCCTACCCAGGCAGGCCCTGTCCTGGCCCATTGACGTTGTCCTTGTCACCGATGGCCTCCTGTCGTGGAGCCCGGTGACTGTCCTGGGGCAGGCCTCACCTTGCCGTCTCAGCACCAGTTGGCTCAGCAGATCCCCTCCCTTCATGAGACCTTTGCTTCCTACATGCCCTCTGCCCTGGCTCCCTTCCTGCCTCCCCACCCACCTCTCCTCAGTTCCCAAGGGCGAGTCGTCCCTGCTCCCTGGCCTCTTAACCCTGGGCTGTCCCAGGCTGGTCCTCTGCTGTCCTCTCTCTGCACTCGCTGCTCAGGTGGCTTCGCCTGGGTCCCTGGTGTTATCACCACCTCTGCATTCCTGACTTCCCAAATGCACCCTGCAGCCTGGCCATGCAATTTGTGTTTGTGTCTTTTTTTTTGAGACGGAGTCTTGCTCTGCCGCCCAGGCTGGAGTGCAGTGGCGCGATCTCCGCTCACTGCAACCTCCACCTCCCGGGTTCAAGCGATTCTCCTGCCTCAGCCTCCCAAGTAGCTGGGACTACAGGCACGCACCACCATGCCCAGCTAATTTTTTGTATTTTTAGTAGAGATGGGGTTTTACCGTGTTAGCCAGGATGGTCTCAATCAGGACCTCGTGATTCGCCCGCCTCAGCCTCCCAAAGTGCTGAGATTACAGGCATGAGCCACCTCGCCTGGCCTCGTGTCTTAATTTATAAAGGTGACTGGGTGACAGCACAGAGATCCGCGCCACTGAAAGGAAAGCCCATCGTGACTCACAGTGCTCCTGGAAACCCGGGGTCAGGCACACACACATGGGGAAGCACCAGCATCGGTCTGGAGGGAGAAGGGAGTGGGGGCCCGGGCCACAGCCTTTACTGGGCTTCCTGTGGGAAACACACAGCAAGGCCTGGGAGGCAGGTTGGGACCAGCTGATCTGAATAATTCTGGTGGGCGTTGGGGTTGAGGGGCTGTTCCTGGTTGTCTCTGCCTGGCCCTGGGCCTGTTCAGGGCAGGGGGAATCTTGGCTTGGTGTGAGAGTTACATACAGCAGGTGGCTTGGGGTGTGGACTCGGGTTCGGCTGGTTTATATACCAAAGATGGACTCACTGACTCGTGGTTTACGGTTTCTAGGAATTCGCTCGCCCTGAAGGGCAGTCTAACCCTGCCCAGCAAGTCCCTCAAGATAATAGAACATAAAGCAATGTAGAAAAGAAGTAAAACATACTATACCATGTCCTCTGAATTCCGGACTTGAATCTGTAGCTGTGTAATAAGCATTTCAAACCCAACATATCCCACTGTCAACTCGATGGGCCCCCAAATCTGCTAGGCTGCAGCTCCCCCCAACAGCTGACAGAGGCAACTCAGGTGTTCAAACCAGACACTTGGGGTCGCCCCTGGCTTCTCACGTTCTCTCAAATCTACATCCAGTTGGTCAGCAGATCCTGCCATCTCCACCTTCAAAACTGGCTACAGCCTGGCCGGGCGCAGTGGTTCACGCCTGTAATCCTAGTACTTTGGGAGGCCGAGGTGGGCAGATCACTTGAGGTCAGGAGTTGGAGACCAGCCTGGCCAACATAGTGAAACCCCATCTCTACTAAAATAGAAAATATTAGCCAGGCGTAGTGGCGCACACCTGTAGTCGCAGCTACTCGGGAGGCTGAGGCAGGAGAATCACTTGAACCTGGGAGAGGGAGGTTGCAGTGAGCCGAGATCACACGATTGCATCTAGCCTAGGCGACAGAGCAAAGACCCCGTCTCAAAAAACAAAACAAAACAAAACAAAAACTGGCTACAGCCAGTTCACTGCTGCCCTCCAGACTGAGTTTCTGCACGCCCCCGCAACGGGTCTCCTCGTGCCTAACCCTGGTTCCCCTCAGTGCACTCTCCACGCAGCAGCCAGGGAGAGCCTGTTCAAATGCAAGGCCTGTGACTGCCCTGTGCACACCTGCCTCGTTCAACCCAGAGTCACAGCCAAAGCCCTCACCCGGCCCTCCACAGCTGTCACAATCTGGCATTATCCCTCTTGGACTTCTCCACCTGTCCTGCCCATCACTCCCTCCCCTCCAGCCACACTGGCCTCCTGGCTGGGCCAGGAACAGTGCAGTCTCACAACCGCCTCAGGGCCCTCGCACTCACCGCTCCCCCTGTCTAGCAAGCTCCCCCTGTCTAGCAAGCGCCTCCTGTCTAGCAAGCTCCTCCTGTGCCCGCCCTCTCCTCGCTGCTTCCTTCATGCCTTGACTAAAAGGCCTTCAATAAATAAGCTATTTATTTATTTATTTTTGAGACGGAGTCTTGCTCTTTCGCCCAGGCTGGAGTGCAGTGGCGCCATCTCAGCTCACTGCAACCTCCGCCCATCTGGTTCAAGCAATCCTCCTGCCTCAGCCTCCTGAGTAGCTGGGATTACAGGCTCCCGCCACCATGCCTAGCTAATTTTTGTATTTTTTTGGTAGAGACGGGGTTTTACTATGTTGGCTGTTGGCTGGGCTTTTCTTGAACTCCTGACCTCAAGTGATCCACCCGCCTAGGCCTCCCAAAGTGCTGGGGTTACAGACATGAGACACTGTGCCCAGCCTAACACACTATTTAAATGGCAACTTGGGCCGGGCAAGGCAGCTCACCCCTGTAATCCCAGCACTTTCGCAGGCCGAGATGAGAAGATTGCTTGATCCCAGGAGTTTGAGACCAGCCTGGACAACATGGCGAGACCCCATCTCTACAAAAAATAAAAGATTAGCTGGGTGTGGTGGTGTGTGTCTGTAGTCCCAGCTACTCAGGAGGCTCAGGTGGGAGGATCATTTGAGCCCAGGAATTTGAGGCCTCAGTGAGTTATAATCCCACCACTGCACTCCGGCTTGGGTGGCAGAGCAAGACCCTGTCTCGATAAATATATAAGTAAAAAAATTGCAACCCTTCTAACTGCTTCTGACTCCCAAGCACCCTCCCTACTTGCTTTTTCTTCTCAGTACACATCGCCTTGTAACGTGTTACCCATTTTGCTTATTTATTTTGATGGGAGGTGCTTAGGCAGGGCTGGAGTGGAGAGGGCCTCGAACACCACCACGAGGCATTTCACCTTGTCCATCTGCTTTTCTCCTCTTTTTCCCAGTGGAAAACTCAGCGTGGGTGTGGAGTTTTTGTCTTTGTTCAATGCCGCATCCTCAGAGTCTGGAACATCGAGGTGCTCCATAAATATTTGTTGGATGACTAACAGCCTTTTACATGGAGATGTGTTTGAAATAAGCTGAATACTTTAAAGTCTTCTTGAATGACCATGAGGTCGTCTTTTTATAGATTTCTGCTTAGTTCCTGCACACAATGTGCCCCTCATCCTGGCTGCTAATTTCTGTTTCTCCCCCAGCCCTGCTGTCCAGGCAGGTGCCCCCAGACCCTGTGCAGGTGGAGGAGAAGCTGTTGCCCCAACCTGTGATCCAGCATGACGTGGAGGCCGAGAAGCAGCTGATCCGGGAGGTGAGACCCAAGCGGGTGGGAACATGGAGAAGGGACAGGCAGGTGGGGCCCAGCGGGAAGGGCAGGGCTGCCGCTGGGGTCCAACGCGATATCACCGTACCTTCACCGTGGGTTTGGTCCTGAGAAAGCTGAAGCTCAAAGAGATGCCAGGACTTGCCCAAGGTCACACAGCAAAGAGTCTGAGCCAGGATTTGAACTTGAGTTCTTGACTCCAGACTGCATTCAATGCCGCCTTAGGGCCTGCGTGGTGAGAACAGAGGGGTGTGGAGGTGTCTCCAGGGGCGTGGTCTCCCCTCCGTTTTGAAGGAAGGGGTGGCTGTGCATTGATGGAAGCAGAAAAGGCATCCCTGGCTGTGGAAATGGCCTGTGCAGAGGCGAGGCAGTCAGGGTGGGGAGGAGTCTGTCCCCCAGCAGCCGACGACAAGTCTGAGAGCCAGGCAGCCCGTTTGACCAGCGGGTGAGTGTGGTGTTGGCCTCCTGGAAAAAGCTGTCACCTGGGGCACCTCTCATCTGAGTGCCTCCCAACACCCCTGGGAAGCAGCGGGTCAGACGATGCCTGATTTCCAGAGGCGGAGCTGATCCCCAGAGCGGGACTTCCACAGCCAGGCATGGCGGGGGCCCCCCCACTCCTGCCTTTGGCTCCATCCCTGACTCCACGCTCTGTTGGTTTCCAGAGATTCCCGCCTAAATGCTGCATCCTGAGACCTGAGCATGCCGTGGAGTTTGACATGTGGCAGTCCCTTTATTCATTTATTTATTTACTTACTTATTTTTGAGACAGCGTCTTGTTGTCACCCAGGCTGGAGTGCAGTGGTGCAATCTCAACTCACTGCACCTTCAAACTCCCTGGCTCAGGTGCTCCTCCCACCTCAGCTTCCCAAGTAGCTGGGACCACAGGTGCATGTCATAACGCCTGGCTAATTTTTAAATTTTTTTGTAGAGATAGGGTCTCTATGTTGCCTAGGCTGGTCTTGAACTCCTGGGCTCAAGAGATCCTCCCACCTCAACCTCCCAAAGTGTTGGGATTACAGGCGTGAGCCACTGTGCCGGGCCTGATAGTCCCTTTAGAACCCTGGCTTTTCCTGATGTGAAACCTGATGCCAGGCAGGACGAGCTATCCCGGGGCTAGGCCTGGATGTATCCGCTGCTGGACCCCTGCCACTCACCTACCACCTCCCACTGGGGTCCGTCCTCAGGCCCCAGAAGCCCCTGTTGGGCTGTGGGTACCTGGGGCCCAGCCTCTGGGGCAGACAGGAGAAGGACTGTGGAGATCTCTGTCCTGTGGGCCGGAGGCGTGGGAGAAATCCATCCAAGAGCCTCGGGCGCTGCACGTGACGGGCGGGGCCTGTGCTGTTTGGGGAGAGGCTCGATGGTGCCCCCAGTGAACGCCGTCCGCCCCTGCAGGCTCTGGAGCTCGGCAGCGGGCACTGCCTTTCTCCCTCCACTGCCGTTTCCAGCCCGGGTGTCAGGTCCCTTCCTGTAGCTCTGGGGAGGCTCCCGGGGAGGCTTTAGCAAGGAGGGGCCCTGGGGGATGGCTGAGCTCAGACAAGCCCGCAGAAACCAGAGAAGTCAGCCTGCTGTTGTTCGGAGTGGGCATGGAGTCACACAGCGGGGCTCGGAGGCTGGGAGTCACACACGGAGTCACAGCCCGGGGGGCTCTGGTCACAGATGGAGGGGTGGGGCGGGCTGTGCAGGACGGGGACGGAGGCTTCCTTCCCGGGAAGCCCGGTGGGGCCGGCGGCCCCCGCTGTCCAGTAAGTAGGGCACTGCCTCCCCCTGGTGGTCACCAGGGAGTAGCGACGCCGTTCCTGGCGGGTCCCTGGAGTGCCACGGATGGGGGTGCCTTCTGCCCTGGGGATGGGGTCGCCTGCCTCCTTCTCGTGGGGCGGCCTAGTGGACACTGCGTCAGAGTGGTGCTGGCTGACGCCACCGCCACCAGGATTCCAAGAAACCCTGAGGTTTCTTCTGTGAGCCATGCTTGGAGGAAGCGTTGAAGATGTCTGTGCCCCTCCCCCACCCCGCTATCCCTGCGTCCCTCCTGCCTGCCATTTGTTCTTTTTCTCAACTCTCATATTTATTGAGCACCTGCTATGCTCCTGGGACCGTGTTTCCCTTTGTATTCCAGAACCATTCAGGGAAAGGGAGGAGCCCCCTCTGTGTAGGGAAGAGGACACGGGCCAGGAGCCGGGTTCCGGTCCCCAGTCTGAACCAGGGGTTTGGACCAGAAGATTCCTAGGGTCCGTCCAGCCTTCTGCAAGTCCATCCTTATGGGCTCTGTGACCTTGGGCAGGTTGTTTGAGCTCTCTGAGCCTCTGTCTCATCTGCAGAACAGGCATCATAGCGGATTTCCTGCTGCTTCTTAGGGATGTAAGAGGATGAAATGAAGGGCCATCATCTCCTTGGCGGGCTGTGTATCATGTACCAAGCAAGAGCTGGGGGTCAGCTCCGCCATTCAGTCCTTAACAGGCATATTGTGAGCGCGTGCTGGGTGCTGGACACTCTAGCCGGAGGGGGATGTGGGGCCAAGGAAGGGTTTTTCATGCTTTAAATGTTGGAAGTAAGAGAGCATGTGTTGTAGACTGTCGGGAATTATCCAGCACAGAAGGAGAAGTCGAGGTTATAGGAAGGAGGGGGCGGATTGCAAGCACAAGGTCCTGGAGCTGGGTGGCGTGGGTTCAGAGGAGGTGGAGCTTCCGGGTAGATCTCCAGGTGGGTGGGAAGGTGAGGGAGTCCTGTACCTCCCTGTTCTCTGTGACTTACCAGGCAGGGGATGTGGGGGGAGAGGAGGGTTGGGAAGACAGAGCTAAAGGGTAGGACTGGGGCTGTGGGCTCAGCCATGTCGAAACCCGCCTGCCTGAGATTCAGGTCCCATGTTTAAAAGTGAGAATGGGGTTGGGTGCAGTGGCTCATGCCTGTAATCCCAGCACTTTGGGAGGCCGAGGCGGGCGGATCACTGGAGGTCAGGAGTTCAAGACCAAGCCTGGCCAACATGGCGAAACCCCGTCTCTACTACAAATACAAAAATTAGTCGGGAGTGATGGCACGTGCCTGTGATCCCAGCTACTTGGGCGACTGAGGCAGGAGAATCGGTTGAACCCAGGAGGTGGAGGTTGCAGTGAGCCGAGATGGCGCCACTGCACTCCAGCCTGGGCGACAGAGTGAGACTCTGACTCAAAAAAAAAATTAAAAATTAAAAAAAGAATGGAGATTGGTGGTGCTGTGCACATGCATGTGTGTGTGCGTGTGTGTGCGTGTGTGTATGCGTGTGCGTGCATGTGCATGTGTGCCTGAGGGTGCATGTGTGTCTGTGGGTGCATGTGTATGCATGTGTGCACATGTGTGCCTGCATGTGTGTGCCTGCATGTGTGTGTGCGCATATATGTGTGTTTCCATCCACGTATTGCTAAGGTGAGGCCTGGGTTTAACCAGGGTCAGGGCTGTGCTGGGAGAAAACAATAGAGGGGCTGGGTGAGGGAGTCAGGGATGTTTGCTGACTCGAGTCATGGGCCCTGGGATGCCAGCTGGTGAGGAGGGCAGTGAGAGCAGGGGGCAGTGGAGGAGAGGGCTGCAGGGCTCTGAGGAGCTGCCTGGTCATGGAACCTCCCTGGGCCTCAGTAACACTGTGGGCATTGCTTTGAGGTTCAAGTGTATCTAAAAATGTACTAAAGAATGCGTGGTTACATCTGAATTATTCTCCGTCCCCTTCTCTCCCTCCCTAGGAGCCTAAATCAGTGCTGTCCATGCCAGTTTCTATTTGCCAAAGGGATCTGGAGAGGTGGGAGTATGACATGGTGCTTGCCCACGCCATCCCTGTCCTTGTCCCCTCTCTCTGGCTTACTACAGTGGCAGGCACCTCTGTCAGCAGTGGCTCCAGGAGACAAAGGATCCCAGACTATCTTTAATTCATAAATGCCTTGCCCTTCTCTTGAGCCATGTGTGTCAGAGGCCTGAATATGTTGCATGCCCATTAACCTGCAGTTCTGCTCTGCCATTTACTGGCTCCGCAGGTGTTTCTTGAATCCCTCCTCTGGCAGGATCTGAGGTTACAAGACAGGATGGTCCTTCCAGCCTGGCCAAGATGGTGAAACCCTGTTTCTACCAAAAATATAAAAAATTAGCTGGGTGTGGTGGTGTGCACCTGTAGTCCCAGCTACTCAGGAGGCTGAGGCAGGAGAATCGCTTGAACCTGGGAGGTGGAGGTTACAGTGAGCCGAGATCATGCCACTGCACTCTAGCCTGGGGAACAGAGCGAGACTCTGTCTGAAAAAAAAAAAAGGACAGGATGGTCCTTGCTCTTTGGAGGGTGCCTTCTGATAGGGGAGACCAAGGAGACCAACAATAAACTGTAATCAAATAAGTAGAGACTATCATGAAGGAAGCAATGGTTCAGAAAGAAAAAGCAGCTCCTGAGATTACTAGGAAGCTGGAGAGACAGAAGAGACCCAAGGAAGGAAAAGAAGCAACTGGCGGCCCTTGCCCTGGTGTCAGAAGACAGCAGCTGTAGAGGGCTGTGAGGAAGGAGGGTGCTGCTGAGAGAGCTCACACACCATTCACACCCATTCACACCCATTCACACCCTTCCCTGGGCAAGTGTGTCCTGCCCTTGGCTGTCTCCCAGGAGTCCTCATCCTGGAGTAGTGAAATGGTTGAAAACCCCCAAAAGAAGCAAAAGCCAAAGCCCCAGGGGTCTCCTCAGGAGAATAAAATGGGAGACTCGTCTCTCCAAACCCAAGAAGAAGAAATCTTTCCCAAGGAGGAGCAGGCTAGTGGTGATCCTGGGGAGACAGCTGGCAGCATGTCTTCCCAAGGTGGAGGCTGGGTGCGGTGGCTCACTCCTGTAATCCCAGCGCTTTGGGAGGCTGAGGTGGTGGATTGCTTGAGGTCAGGAGTTAGAGACCAGCCTGGGCAACATGGCGAGACCCCCATCTTTACCAAAAATACAAAAAATTAGCCGAGTGTGGTGGTGGGTGCCTGTGGTCCCAGCTTCTCGGGAGGCTGAGGTGGGAGAATTGCTTGAGCCGGGGTTGGGGTTCGGGTTCACTGGAACTTGAGGTGGCAATGAGCTGAGACTGCGTCACTGCACTCCAGCCTGGGTGACAGAGTGACACCTTGTCTAAAAAAAAAAAAAAAAAGATGAGGACGTAATCATCCAAGGAGGAAACAGTTAGTGACCCTGAGGGAGAGGCAATAGGAGCATTGCCAAGAAAAAGAGGAGATTCTCTTCCAAGGAGAAACCATCAGCAATGGGCCTGGAGAGGCCACTGGTAGCAAGATCAGCTCCAAGAAGAAGAAAAAGACCCACAAACAGGCCAGGCGTGATGGCTCATGCCTGTAATCCCAGAACTTTGGGAGGCCAAGGAGGGTGGATCACGAGGTCAGGAGTTTGAGACCAGCCTGGCCAACATAGTGAAACCCCGTCTCTACTAAAAATACAAAAATTAGCCAGGCGTGGTGGCATGCGCCTGTAGTCCCAGCTACTCAGGAGGCTGAGGCAGGAGAATTGCTGCAACCTGGGAGGTGGAGGTTGCAGTGAGCTGAGATCACACCACTGCACTACAGCTTGGGTGACAGAGTGAGACTTTGTCTCAAAAAAAAAAAAAAAGAAAGAGTCCCACAAACCATCCCAGGAAGATCAGAATGAACATTTCCTGGGGGAGAAGCATGCCCCCAAGGTGGCATTTTCCAACCCTACACCCCAGTAAAAACAAATTCATGAGCACACACACAGAAAATAAATAGCATAATAGAAGCTCAGGAAGTGTGTTAAGAAGAAATAGAAGCCGGGCACAGTGGCTCACGCCTCTAATCCCATCACTTTGCAAGACCGACAAGGCGAAACCCCATCTCTGCCAAAAATACGAAAATTAGCCAGGCATGGTGGCATGCACATGTAATAGGCTACTTGGGAGGCAGAGGCAGGAGAATCAGGAGAATCACTTGAACCTGGGAAGTGGAGGTTGCAGTGAGCTGAAATTGAGCCACTGCACTCCAGCCCAGGTGACAGAGCGATACTCTGTCTCCAGAGGAAAAAAAAAAAGCAATAGAGGAAGGGACAGGGAGCAGTGCAGGAGGCCTTCTGCTTCTGAGAGTATGGTCAGGGAAGGCCTCTCTGAGGGATGTTACTAAGCTGAGGCCTGGGAAGGTGCTTGCCAGGGAGCAGGGCAAAGGCCTTGGGGCAGGGAGGAAGTGGGTGTGTCTAGGAGTCCCCAAATGTGCATCATAGCAGTTGAGGGGGAGGCAGGGCCAAATCACTTGGGTCTCAGGTCAAGTTGAGGAGCTTAGATTTCATCCATGAACATGGGATACCATTAGCAGATCCTAAGCAGGGGAGACACCTGGGTGGGCACTATGGCTGTGTCAGAGAGAGGTTGGGGCCAGAGTGAGAACAGAGGTGAGAACCAGGTGGCTGTTTGGACGAGAGCTGGCAGTGATAGCAAAGATGGAGAGAAGTGGGTGAATAAAAACATATTTTGTCATTGATGGGTTGAGGACCATTAGGCAGAAAGGTATTTGCCAACATGGAAAGGTGTTCATGATATATTGCTGTGTGGATAAAATAGATTGCAAACAAATGCATATATTATTCGTCTGTTAAAAAATGCACTGAGCAGGCTGGGCATGGTGGCTCATGCCTGTAATCCCAGCACTTTGGGAGGCTGAGGCTGGTGGATCACCTGAGGTCAGGAGTTCGAGACCAGCCTAGCCAACATGGTGAAACTCCGTCTCTACTAAAAAAAAAAAAAAAAAAAAAAAATAGCCAGACGTGGTGGTGGACAACTGAACTGTAATCCCAGCTACTTGGGAGGCTGAGGCAGGAGAATCGCTTGAACCTGGGAGTTGGAGGTTGCAGTGAGCCAAGATCATGCCATTGCACTCCAACCTGGGCAACAACAGTGAAACTCCATCTCAAAAAAAAAAAAGAAGCACTGAGAGGCTGGGTGTGGTGGCTTATGCCTGTAATCCCAACACTCTGGGAGGCTGGGGTGGGAGGATCACTTGAGGCCAGGAGTTTAAGACCAAGCTGGGCAACACAGTGAGACCCCTACTCTATAAATTTTTTATTTATTTCTGTTTTATTTTTATTTTTGAGACGGAGTATCACTCTGTCACCCAGGCTGGAGTGCAGTGGTGTGATCTCGGCTCACTGCAACCTCCACTTCCCAGGTTCAAGTGGTCTCATGCCTCAGCCTCCCCAGTAACAGATTACAGGCAAGCCACCACGCTTGGCTAATTTTTGCATTTTTAGTAGAGGCGGGGTTTCGCCATGTTGGCCAGGCTGGTCTTGAACTCCTGGCCTCAAGCGATCTGCCTCAGCTTCCCAAAGTGCTGGGGTTACAGGCATGAGCCACCACGCCCGGCCTACAAAATTTTTTTAAAAAATTAGCTGATGGTGGCCGGGCGTGGTGTCTCACGCCTGTAATCCCAGCACTTTGGGAGGCCAAGGCGGGTGGATCACGAGGTCAGGAGATCGAAACCATCCTGGCTAACACAGTGAAACCCCGTCTCTACTAAAAATACAAAAAAATTAGCTGAGCGTGGTGGCGGATGCTTGTAGTCCCAGCTACTTGGGAGGCTGAGGCAGGAGAATGGTGTGAACCTGGGAGGCAGAGCTTGCAGTGAGCCGAGATGGCGCCACTGCACTCCAGCCTGGGCGACAGAGCGAGACTCCGTCTCAAAAAAAAAAAAAATTTTTTTTTGCTGATGGTGGCATGCCCATAGTCCCAGCTATTTGGGAGGCTGAGGCAGGAGGATCACTTGAGCCTGGGAGTTCGAGGCTGGAATGAGCCATGATTATGCCATTGCACTCCAGCCTGGGGGACAGAGTGAGACCCTGTCTCAAAAACAAAACAAAACAAAAAAGCATTGAGAACAGTTTGGAAAGGTCTTCACCGGCAAGTAATTATCACAGTGTTGTACCATTGGATTCTCTTGGCTTACTTATAGGTTCTGTATTGTTTGAATAACCAAAAAGGAATACTGAAAGCTGGGTTTCAAAATGATGATAAAATGCTGCCTGCCCTCTGGTCCCTCCCACCCCCCCAGGAGTATGAAGAGCGCCTGGCCCGGCTGAAAGCCGACTATAAGGCCGAGCAGGAGTCTCGGGCCAGGCTGGAGGAAGACATCACTGCCATGCGCAACTCATATGACGTCAGGCTGTCCACGCTGGAGGAGAACCTGCGGAAGGAGACAGGTGGGCACCCCTTGCCCCCCGAGGCTGTCTCCAGGGAAGGTGGCCTCCTTTCCGCCTCACTGCAGTAACTGCATCACAGAGCATTTTCTACACCCGAGGATCAGGTCTGTTTTATCCTCACAATGGTCCAGTAAGGTAGGTACCACAATTATGCTCGCTATATAGATGAGGAAACTGAGGCACAGAGAGGGTAGGTAACTTGCCCATGGTCACACAGCTGGTAAAGGAGAGCCAGGATTTGAACCCAAGCAGTCTGGCCCCAGAGCCAGTGTTCTCACCCACAGCACTGCACTGGGATGGCTTAGCCATGGACTGGGCCCCAGCTCAAGGCTGACTGTGAGCTGTGAAGTGCCACCCTTTCTTTAGAGGCCAGTCCCTGCCCCGAATTGCTGTGTTTTCCGGTCTCCTCTTACTTTTGAGCCTCTCTGTTAGCAAAGCAAACACATTCCATAATAAGGATTTAATCCTTAGCCACAGCTGTTTACCTATCTGGAGGTTTTTGTGTTCTTTTTTTTTAAAAAAAAATTTCTTTGTTTTGAGATGGAGTCTTGCTCCATCGCCCAGGCTGGAGTGCAGTGGCATGACCTTGGCTTACTGCAACCTCCCCATCCCGGATTTAAGCAATTCTCGTGCCTCAGTCTCCTGAGTAGCTGGGATTACAGGTGCACACTACCACACCCGGCTAATTTTTGTGTTTTCAGTAGAGACGGGATTTCGTCATGTTGGCCAGGCTGGTCTCGAACTCCTGGGCTCAAGCGATCCACCTGCCTTGGCCTCCCAAAGTGCTGGGCTTACAGGCATGAGCCACTGCACTCAGCCTTTAGTTTTTGTCTTCTTTTTGCCACCCTAGGATATTCTGCCATACCAGTGTCAGTCAAACACGCATGCTGCCTGGAGGTCCAGACTTCCTAGCACTCATGAATAGTGTAGAATCCAGGCCTGGAATGATGATGATACTGATCGCACCGTCGGTACCGCTTGTTGGCACATTACCACGTGCCGGGTACTGTGTGGGTGCTTTACCTGCACCTCCTCACTGAGCCTCTGGTCTCCCCAGTCCAGCGAGGTAGGACTCCCTGAATCCTCCCATAACTGTGTGGAAACCAAGGCTGAGAGAGATCCAGGCCATTTAGCTAGGGAGTGGGTGCCATATTTCAGCAAAGGGAAAAATCAAGACCCTCTTACAGGAGTCTGGGACATAACGATAAAGAAATGGGTGGGAGGTATGAGAGGCGCCGGGAGCCCCCTGAACTGGAGCACTAAGGGGCCCATGTGAATGCAGCCCTGTCTCCGCTGCAAGGGAGACGCGCTCCTGGAGGAGACCCAGGGGAAGGGGAGGGAGCAGATTCTAGCATTTTATGCCCTTTGGAGTGTTCCCTCCAGTCCAGATTGAATATGAGGCCTCCAGCAGATCTTCGTCTGGCTTCTGGAGCTCTGACATTCATCCACAGCATTCATTTAGCTCCCGTGGATCTAGCATATCCAGTGGACAAGAGCCCTGGGCTGGCCACTCCAGTGAGGGCTCCGAGGGCACCCGGGCATGAAATCTGCTGAGCTCTCAGCCTTGGAAGGCAACAAGGCCCCAGGAAGCCTGCCAGTGTGCGAAGAGTGGTCCCAAGGCTGGGTGTGACTTAAGAGCCCAGCACTCAGTGGCTGTGGAGGTCAGAAAATGGAGGAATCCCAGCGTTGGTCAGGGAAGGCTTCCTGGAAGAGGTGGAAGGTGGTAGGGTTTGGGTTCTGATAAAAGCAGAGATGGGAAGGCAGGCAGGCTGTAGCCAGCCTCTGGAGGGTCTGGGAGGCTCTGACTCTTAAGCTGGTCTTTTAGAAACAGTGGGCTTGGGCCAGGCGCGGTGGCTCATGCCTGTAATCCCAGCACTTTGGGAGGCCGAGTGGGGGCGGATCACGAGGTCAGGAGATCGAGACCATCCTGGCTAACATGGTGAAACCCTGTCTCTACTAAAAATACAAAAAAAATTAGCCAGGCATGGTGGCGGGTGCCTGTACTCCCAGCTACTCGGGAGGCCGAGGCAGGAGAATGGCATGAACCTGGGAGGCAGAGCTTTCAGTGAGCTGAGATCGCACCACTGCACTCCAGCCCGGGCGACAGAGCAAGACTCTGTCTCAAAAAAAAACAAAAAAAAAACAAACAAAAAAAACAACACACTGGGCTTGGAGCCACCTTCTAGGGAAGGGTCTCTCATTCTGACCCTTTAAAAACCTGAAGGAAGTTCTCCATTTTGCAGAGGCTGTCCTGCAGGTGGGAGTCCTCTACAAGGCTGAGGTCATGTCCAGGGCTGAGTTTGCCAGCAGCGCTGAGTACCCGCCTGCTTTTCAGTATGAGACAGTGGTGAAACCCAAGGTCTTCTCCACGACTGACACTCTGCCCAGTGACGATGTCTCCAAGACTCAGGTTTCCTCCAGGTTTGCGGAGCTGCCCAAGGTGGAACCCTCCAAATCTGAGATTTCTCTGGGCTCCAGTGAGTCATCCTCGCTCGAAGAAACCTCTGTGTCCGAGGCTTTCCCTGGGCCTGAGGAGCCCTCCAACGTGGAGGTCTCCATGCCCACTGAGGAGTCCAGGAGCAGATACTTCCTGGATGAGTGCCTCGGGCAGGAGGCCGCTGGGCACCTGCTGGGGGAACAGAACTACCTCCCGCAAGAGGAGCCGCAGGAGGTGCCCCTGCAGGGGTTACTAGGCCTGCAGGACCCGTTTGCCGAGGTGGAAGCCAAGCTGGCCAGACTCTCCTCCACCGTGGCCAGGACAGATGCACCCCAGGCAGACGTCCCCAAGGTCCCTGTGCAGGTAGCTGATGTCACGCATGGTGCCATGTGAACACTGAGCAGGCAGAGCTTGCCCAGGGCCCGGAGCTCACTGTGCACACACTGTTCACACACATGGCCTCCGACACTCAGGCCGTGGCTCCACTGTGTCTGCTGCGGCTCTGGCACTGGTGGCTGGCTCAGGGGCACTGGTGTCCAGGGGTTAGGGAAGGAGAAGCTCTGTCTCATGCTCTGTAATTCAATAAGAAAGTTGGGGTCGCGATGCAAGGTTATGCCAGGTGGGCTCCCGTTCTGCAGATGGAGGGACAGCTGTACAGGGCGTTTGCCCAGTTGCCATGGTTACAGTGAGTGTCCAGGCCTGACGGAGCCCTGGGCGACGCTCACTGGCTCGTGAGCTCTGTAGTGAGCTGGGTGGGGGGTCTGTGGGAATCCAGCCACCTTTCAGTGACCACGAGGCTTCTGGGATACTGCTCTTCCTCCATCTGGCCCCCTGACCAACATCTTCTCCCTTTTCAACAACCCTCTTGTTTTTAAAACAATGTTCCTCTTGGCCAGGCACATTGGCTCACGCCTGTAATCCCAGAACTTTGGGAGACCGAGGTGGGTGGATCACCTGAGGCCAGGAGTTCAAGACCGGCCTGGCCAACATGGTGAAGTGAAACCCCATTTCTACCTAAAATATAAAAATTAGCCAGGTGTGGTGGCGTGCACCTGTAATCCCAGCTACTCAGGAGGCTGAGGCAGGAGGATCACTTGAACCCGGGAGACGGAGGTTGCAGTGAGCCAAGATCGCACCACTGTGCTCCAGCCTGGGCGACAGAGCGAGACTCCATCTCAAAGAAAAAAAAAGTCCTATTTTCTCCTCTCTTTGTTCTCTGCTTTCCTTTCCTCTGTGTGTGTGTGTGTGTATTTTGTGTGTGTGTGTCTGTGTGTGTGTATTTAGAGAGAGAGATCCCAGGTCTACCACTTCCTTGGTTGTGTGACCTTTCTGGGCTGGGTTTCCTCATCTGTAAAATGAGGTTGCTTCAGAGGAGTGGATGCAGGCAACGCTCCTGGCACACAGCAGGTGCCCACCACACGCCTGTCTTCCGTTTCCTCTCTTCCCTGTTCTCTCCCTCATCTCTTCCCTCCTTTGTGCTCCTTCTCTCGGGAGTGACAGGCAGGGGAGGTTGGGGGGTGGTGGGAGGCCTTGGGGAGTTGAAGTGAGGCCAGGGGTGAGGGAGTAAAGGATGGTTCTGGCCCAAATCAGCCTTCTTTCTCCTCCATCCCCTCTTTCCTCCCAGGTCCCTGCGCCGACAGACCTGCTGGAGCCCAGTGATGCCAGGCCCGAAGCCGAGGCGGCTGATGACTTCCCGCCCAGGCCTGTGAGTACCTCCCCGGGCCTCCATGTGGGGGACGGGGTTCTCTTCAACTTCCTGGGAAACTCCAGCTTGTCTTCTCCCTCCCTGAGCTTCAGTTTCCTCATCCATGAGCTGAGAACAACAACTCCAGCCTTCCCCGGGCTTGTGGCCCGTGGCCAGGCAGTGTGCAGTGGGAGGAACCATCATCTTCTTCTTATGGAGTGAAAGTGGCCTGTTGTTCTAGATGGTGGCTTTCAAACCTTCCTTAGCCTTGTCGCCCTTTGTGTAAAGGAATTGAGGCCCAGTGTGTGCAAAGGACGAGGGCTGCAGGTCAGGGCTGGTGGCCCCTATGACACCATCGGGGAACCCAATTTGAACACCCCAGGGGAGCAAAAGGAGAGGAAGCTTTAAATCTCCCTACATTTATAGAGGAAGAAGACAGTTTGGACTCAAGTGTGGGCTGGGCACCGGGCCTGCAGCAGGCTCTCAGCAGGGCGTAGATGGAGCAGCCGGGGCAGCCCTGGCTAGGAAGTGACTCTGGGGTGGGACCCAGGCGTGAAGGAGGGACGGGGGGAAGCAGCAAGCAGAGGGGATAGCAAGTGCCAAGGTCCTATGGCTGGAAAGACCTTGACTTTCTTAGCAATGGAAAAGGAGGCCACGGTGGCGGGGGAGGCCGTGGAGGCAGGGAGCCGGCAGGGAGGAAAGTGGACTTTCCTGCGAACGTGACGGGAAGTCACATGGGGCTCATCGGGAACGGGATGTGATCGGTTTCTATTTTAAGATGGCCCTGGCTGCCTGTGGAGACTGGATTGTGGGAGGTGAGAGAGGAAGCTGGGAGCCTTCCTCCTAGCGTGGGGGTGTCAGTGGGAATAGCGGCAGTAAGAACTCAACAGGGCGTGTTTTTGTGTCACTGGTGTCCCTGAGCTGGAGGTGATCTGTCGGGGCTGCAGCAGGCGGAATGGCCCCGTCTGGGATTGAGCCACCTGGGAGCTGTCGGCGGGGGTTGGGGCGGCCTTCCCACCTCCACCTGGGTTTCTCTTCACACTCAGGAGGTAGATCTGGCCTCGGAAGTGGCCTTAGAGGTGGTGCGGACAGCAGAGCCTGGCGTGTGGTTGGAGGCTCAGGCCCCGGTGGCCCTGGTGGCTCAGCCTGAGCCCCTGCCGGCCACAGCTGGTGTGAAGAGGGAGAGCGTGGGCATGGAGGTGGCAGTGCTGACTGATGACCCGCTGCCCGTTGTGGACCAGCAGCAGGTGCTGGCCCGGTAAGCAGCAGAGCATGGGGCTGGCGGGACCCCACGGTGAGGTGGGAAGGGGCTGCCTTCCAGGATGGAGGCGGGGGTGCCATAGCTTCCTCCCAGCTCTCCCTTCTAACTTGGCAGGGCGGCCCTGATCCTCTCTCCAGGCGCAGTGGGGACTAGGCGGGCAGGGCTCTGCTCCAGACACAGGCTGCCACCAGCATCCCTTGTCAGGCCTGCTGGCCTTCAGGTTTCAGGAGTCCCAGGGCAGAGTGTCGCAGGCTTTTCTCCCATCCCAGCCAAGCCCCCAGCCCCCTGGCCTCCAGTGCCCTCCTGAATGTGAGACCCACTCACCCACAGGACAAGCCATCCCCAGGCACTCTCTGGGACCGCCGGGGGAGCTGGGCTTTCCTCACTTGCCGTGTGGCTTTGTTAGGTTACTTAACTTTTCTGAGCCTCGGTTCTCACTTCCGTTAATGATGATGTCAGCCCGACCTCCATGTCGTGGTCATCCAGGGGTTCAACAGGCGGAGACCCAGTCCCAGAGGCCACAGTTCAAACACTGAGCGACCCCTGAGTGCTGGGCCCAGGACACAAGGATGAGCAAGCTGCTGCCTCAGCCCCAAGGGCCCACAGGCCAGGGCGGAGGACAGGCAGGGCCAAGAGGGTCCTGTTCTCTAGCAGTTCCCAGCCTGCCTCCTCCACTAGCTCTGCCACCTCGGGCCAACTTGCAACCTCTCTGTGCCTTCACTGCCCATCTTCAGAATGGGCGATATCAGTAGTCCCAGTGTGAGAAGCTTGTGGTGAGGGTCAAAATGGGCATTGCCTGCAGCGTGGCAGCCCCGCGCTGGGCACGCAGTAAACACTTGGCACATGTCCTGGCTGTTTTCACAGTGTGGTGTGGAGGGAAGGCTGGGGGGCCTTCACAGAAGTGGAGACAGCTGAAAAAGGTTTGCTGCAGGGGTGGCATCCTAGAGAAAGGGCACAGCACCTGCAAAGGTGTGGAGGTGGGACCCGGCCCGGGCATTTGGAGACGTGCCAGCCGTGAGTGAAAGCTGGAGTGAACCGCAGAGTGGGGTGCAGGGGAGATAGAGGGAAGACCCTATGTGCCCTCCTCGGGTGCTTGGGCTCCATCCTGATGGAGACCCACAGCAGGATGTTTTTTTCTTTCTTTTTTTTTTGAGATGAAGCCTTGCTCTGTTGCTCAGGCTGGAGTGCAGTGGTGCGATCTCGGCTCACTGCAACCTCTGCCTCCTGGGTTCAAGCAATTCTCGTGCCTCAGCCTCCCAAGTAGCTGGGATTACAGGTGTGCACCATCACGCCCGGCTAATTTTTGTATTTTTAGTAGAGATGGGGTTTAACCATGTTGGTCAAGCTAGTCTCAAACTCCTGACCTCAAATGATTTGCCTGCCTAGGCCTCCCAAAGTGCTGGGATTACAGGCGTGAGCCACTGCACCCAGCCAAAAATTTGTACCTCTAAAGGACAAAACTCTAAACGTTTTTGAGCATTTTGGACATAAATAGTCTTAACAATGTATTGTGCATGTCCCTGCCTGATTAAATATTGTGCGCTGAGTGTATTGAACATTTTTCACAACCCAGGGTTCTTCTCATCATGCCAGTGGCCTTAGACACAGAACTAGCCTGCTCAGCTGCAGGGAGCACCAGCGTGGGAAGTCCACGGGTCAGGGGTGGGTTAGCTGAGCCCACAGGAAGATTCCCGCCCTGACCTGCCACTGTGGTCAAGTGCACAGGCAGGGAGTTGGGCAGGAATCCTGGTTGTGACCCTGAGCAAGCAGCGTCCTGTCGCCGAGCCTCGGTTTCCCTCCCTGTGAAGTGGGGTTGTTGGAAGGATCTGGGGGGCCCACGCATAGCCTGGAGCCTGCTGGATGGCACGTGCTCGGTGATGGGCAGATATTGTCTTGTTTGCTTTCTCCTCCACGCCGGCAGTCTGCAGCTGTTGGAGCAGCAGGTTGTGGGTGGAGAGCAGGCCAAGAACAAGGACCTGAAGGAGAAGCACAAGCGGCGCAAGCGCTACGCAGACGAGCGCAGGAAGCAGCTGGTGGCTGCCCTGCAGAACTCGGATGAGGACAGCGGGGACTGGGTGCTGCTTAACGTCTACGACTCCATCCAGGAGGAAGTGCGGGCCAAGAGCAAGCTGCTGGAGAAGATGCAGAGGAAGGTGAGGCCCAGATGCAGCCCCCCATGCCCAGCTGCCCAGAGATGGGTGAGACCCCCCGATCCAGGCATCCCTACACCTTGTAGGAAGCCAGGCAGCCCTCTACTCTTTACACAGCAGGCATGCATGCATTTATTATTTATTTTTAGAGACAGGGTCTCTCTGTCGCCCAGGCTGCAGTGCAGTGGTACAATCAGCTCACCTCCCAGAATCAAGCCATCTTCCTGTCTCAGTCTCCCGAGTAGCTGAGACTACAGATGTGCACCACCACACCTGGCTACTTTATTAAATTTTTTGGACAGGCAGGGTCTCACCATATTGCCCAGGCTGGAAAGCACTTATTAAGTGCCTGCAGTGTGACACACCCTGTTCTGATGCTGGCAGGCAGAGCAGTCACAGTGACAGATGTGTCCCTGTCGCTGTGGAGCTTGCCTCCCAGTGTGTGTGTTGTGTGTGTGCACGCATGCGGGTATGTTGTATGTGTGTGCACGCATGCGGGTATGTTGTATGTGTGTGCATGCATGCGGGTATGTGTTGTGTGTGTGTGTGGGTGTGCGTGTGTGTAAGAAATAACACAGGAGAGAAATAAGTAAGAGAATATTGAGGAGTGGTCAGTACTGTGAAGAGAATACCAGGGCGAGACAACTCCGTTTTTATGTTCTCATTTTTGTTGATGGTTAAGTGCACAAATTACAAACGCACAACTTGATTCATTTCTACGAAGTGCTTTCCACAAAGCATGCCCATGAAACGAGCACCCAGACTGGGAACCTCAGAAGGACCTGGGCTACCACAGGTGGGGGACAGGGACATTCTCCTGGAGGTAGAGACTTCTGGGGGAACTGAGAGAGAGAACCAGTGCTGGGTGGCATGAGGAGGAGCATTGGGATGGAGCCTGAAGCAGGAGTGAGGTCAGCATCTTCTAGGAGCAGAGAATGGGCAGATGTGGCTGGAGAAAGGGAGTGAGGCCTGAGTCAGGGAGAGCGTGATTCTGCCCACGGTGAGGGTCATGTGCACTGCCTTTGGAGCTTTCTCTGTGCTGTCCGGGTCTCCTGATCCTCATGATGGCTCCTTGGCCATCTGCAGGGTCCTCCCCACCCCCTCGCCCCCACCACCGTCCTGGCATCCTAAGGATCTTGCCAAGCATAAAACTTTGCCTCTTTTGGCTGGGCGCGGTGGCTCTCGCCTGTAATCCCAGCACTTTGGGAGGCTGAGATGGGAGGGTCACTGGAGGTCAGGAGTTCAAGACCAGCCTGGCCAACATGGTGAAATGCCGTCTCTACTAAAAAAAATACAAAAATTAGTCCGGCGTGGTGGCGCATGCTGTAATCCCAGCTACTCAGGAGGCTGAGGCAGGAGAATCCCTTGAACCTGGGAGGTGGAGGTTGCAGTGAGCTGACATCACGCCACTGCACTTCAGCCTGGGTGACAGTGCGAGACTCTGTCTCAAAAACAAAACAAAACAAAACAAAACCTTTTTGCCTCTTTAACCTCTTTAGTTTTTTATTTTCCTGGATTTTTTTTTTTTTTGAGACAGAGTCTTGCTCTGTCACCCAGGCTGGAGTGCAGTGGCGAGATCTCAGCTCACTGCAAGCTCCGCCTCCTGGGTTCATGCCATTCTCCTGCCTCAGCCTCCCGAGTAGCTGGGACTACAGGCGCCCGCCACCACACCCAGCTAATTTTTTTGTATTTTTTTAGTAGAGACGGGGTTTCACTGTATTAGCCAGGATGGTCTCAATCTCCTGACCTCATGATTCGCCCACCTCAGCCTCCCAAAGTGCTGGGATTACAGGTGTGAGCCACCATGCCTGGCCTTTCTTGGCTATTTTTATATCTTTTCTTAATGCTCCTTGTTATATTTCCAGTTGAATTCATTCTCCCGTAGATATCTTGAATTAGGTCTACATTTCTAATATTTTTTCCTTTCTTTTCATTGATGTCCTATTTCATATCTTCTTGATTTTTTTGTCCCTTTCTAAGTTTTTCAATTTTGGATTAGAAATGTTCATACCTGTGAATGCCTGTTTAAGAACGTTTTATTCAAATGTATTCTAATTGGAGTTATTTTTTATTTCTTATTTTTAAGAGTCTCACTCTGTCACCCAGGCTGAAGTGCAGTGGCACGATCATAGCTCACCATAACCTTGAACCCTTGGGCTCAAACAATCCTCCCGCCTCGGCCTTCCAAACTGCTGGGATTACAGGTGTGAGCCACTGCACTTGGCCTTGTGTTACATTTTTATCTGCTGGCTTGGTTCTGTGAGCTTGTGCTTTCGGGGAGAATTTTCTTCACTGAAATGTTTTGATTTTTATTTTCTGTTTCTTCTGGTAGCTTTGGTTAGACACATCTGTTCTTTTCTGTTTACTTTGTAAACAGTCATGTTTTTCTGGACTATCAATAACAGCTGAAGGCAGAGATGAAGTTTGAGGTGGTATCTTAGTTTTCTTCATTCGATAGCACACTCTTCTCTTTGTATAGTGAAGTGTAGTTTTAAATAGAACTCTAGGCCAAGCACGGTGGCTTATGCCTGTAATCTCAGCACTTTGGGAGGCTGAGGTGGGCGAATCGCTTGAGCCTGGGAGGTGGAGGTTGCAGTGAGCGGAGATCGTGACATTGCACTCCAGCCTGGATAGCAGCATGAGACCCTGTCTCAAATCAATCAATCAATCGATCTCTGATTTGTTTCCTATTGCTGTGTTAACAAATTACTATAAATTTACTTACTTAATATACACAAACATATCATCTCACAGTTCTGTAGGTCAGAGTCCAGGTACAGTGGGGCTGGCTTCTCTGCTTAGAATTCCACAAGGCTGAAATCAAGGTGTTAGCAGGGCTGGACTTCTTTCAGGAGGTTCTAGGGGAAGAATCCTTGTCCACACTCATTTCAGGTGTTGGCACAATTTAGTCCAATGAGGTTGGTTGCGGGACTGAAGTCCCCATCTTTTTGCTGACTGTCGACTGTGGGTCACTCTTGGCTTCTAGACACCGCCTGCATTCCTGGGCTCCTGGATCCCTGCAAAGACAGCCAGAGTGGGAAGCAGTCCCTCTCACGCGTGGAATGTCTCTGACTCCACTCCTGCCTCATCTTTCAGAAGCATCTCTTCTACCACATCTCTCCTGCCTGCCTCTCTGCCTTCTCTGTTGCTTTTATTTTTATTTTTCATTTTATTTTGAGATAGGGTCTCACTCTGTCGCCCAGGCTGGAGTGCAGTGGCACAATCATAGCTCACTGCAGCCTTGACCTCCTGGGCTCAAGAAATCCTCCTGCCTCAGCCTCCTGAGTAGCTGGGACTACAGGTATGCACCACCACGCCTGGCTAATTTTTTTATTATTATTATTTTTTGTAGCGGAGGGGTCTTGCTATGTTACCCAGGCTGGTCTCAAACTCCTGGGGGTCTTGCTGTGTTACGCTGGCTGTCCCAGGCTCAAACGATTCTCTTGCCTCAGCCTCCCAGGTAGCTGGGACTGCAGGCGCATGCCACTGCACCCAGCTAATTGTTTTGTAGAGAAGGGGTTTTGCCATGTTGCCCAGGCTGGTCTCGAACTCCTGAGTTCAAATGATCTGCCGGCCTCAGCCTCCCAAAGTGCCGGGATTACAGGCATCAGCCACTGCACCTGGCTGCAAAGTCCTTTTTTTTTTTTTTTTTTTGCCAAGGAAGATACCATATTCACAGGCACAAAAACAGGGGGCAAAAATCTTGGGGGTGAAAGCTTATTTTTTTGGTGGTGGTTGTCTTTTGTGGTTTTCTCTTGTTTCTGCAGGACTTTCAGTTTCCACCTCAAGGGCGCTTCCCACTTCTAAATGCAGCACCTTCCGGAGACTAACTCCTCTGGTCCTGCACACGTACTGGTCTCTTCCATCAGTTTCTCATTTTCAGGTTTCAGATCCGTTTTTAGGATTGTCTTGCTCCTTGTGGAGGGACTGCACCCTGCCTTCCATCACCTCATTCCTCCTCGCCCCATGCTGTCCTGGATGCTCTCTGCTTACCTCCCCATGGGGTGGCTCCGGGGCTGTCTGCTGCACTTGGGGGTTTATCTCTGTACTTCCATGTAATTCAAAGGTTCCAGCGTTCTCTGTCTTCAGGTCATGCTGTAGGCTGGTTAAGGGTGGCTTTATTTTTCTCTCCTGGTTCTTCTGCATGTTTTTTTGGAGGTCTTGTTGGAGAGATTCAGGCTTAGATGGATGTTTTCATCCTCAGGTACCTAGGATGCTGTTTATTTTATTTTATTTTTAAATTTTTTTTGTATAAGGAAATATGTACGTATGTGTGTATACACACTGTTATGGTTTGGCTGTGTCCCCACCCAAATCTTATCTTGAATTATAGCTCCCATAATTCTCATGTGTTGTGGGAGGGACCCAGTGGGAGATAATTCAGTCATGGGGTCGGTTTCCCCCATACTGTTCTTGTGGTAGTGAATAAGTTTCATGAGATCTGATGGTTTTATAAGGGGAAACCCCTTTCTCTTGGTTCTGATTTTCCTTTTGCCTGCCACCATGTAAGATGTGCCTTTCACCTTCCACCATGATTGTGAGGCCGCCCCAGCCATGTGGAACTGTGAGTCCATTAAACTTCTTTTTCTTTATAAATTACCCAGTGTCGGGTATGTCTTTATGAGCATTGTAAAAACAGACCAATATACACACACACAAGAACACACGTGCCATCTCTTTCTTAGATAAAAGTAGCTCTAGTGCACGCTTTCTTCTACCTAGCTTTTCTCACACAACAATGTATAGTATCCTGAAGGTCACAGCAGTATGGAGAGATACTCCTCATTCTTTTCTGTTTTTGAGACGGAGTCTCGCTCTGTTGCTCAGGCTGGAGTGCAGTGGCCTGAGCTCGGCTCACTGCAATCTCCACCTCCTGGGTTCAAGAGATTCTCCCACCTCAGCCTCCCGAGTAGCTGGGACTACAGGCGTGCACCACCCATGCCCGGCTAATTTTTGTATTTTTTAGTAGAGATGAGGTTTCACTGTGGTGGCCAGGCTGGTCTTGAACTCCTGATCTCAGGTGATCCACCCACCTCGGCCTCTCAAAGTGCTGGGATTACAGACGTGAGCCACTACGCCTGGCCTCCTCATTCTTTGACAACTACATAGCTCTCCATTGTGAGGCTGGATCATTGCTTATTGAGTCAGTCCTCTCTTGATAAACACTTGGGGTGTTTCCAATATCTTGTAATAATAAAGGCTGCTGTAGTAAACAGCCTGTGCATATGACTTCTGTATTCTTGGTAGGTTTCTTTGGAATCTATTCCTCCAACTAGGGATGCTGGGACAAAGGGTAATGCAAGTGTGATTTTGCTCGATGTCACTAGACATGCCAACTTCTCCTCCATAAGGATTGTATTGTTTGGCATTTCCACTAGCATGTATCCATGTGTTTCTCACCAACAGAGTATATTTACAAAAACCTGGATTTTCCTTTTCTTTATTGAGACGAGGTCTCACCCTGTTGCTCATGCTAGAGTGCAGTGGCACGATCACAGCTCACTGCAACTTCAACCTCCTGGGCTCAGGTGATCCTCCTACCTCAGCCTCCCGAATAGCTGGGACTACAGGCATGCACCACCATGCCTGGCTAATTTTTGTATTTTTTGTAGCGACGGGGTTTCACCATGTTGCGCAGGCTGGTCCCAAACTCCTGGGCTCAAGTGATCCTCCTGCCTTGGCTTCCCAAAGTGCTGGGATTACAGGCATGAGCCACTGCATACAGCCCCTAAAACTTGGATTTTTACCACTTTGTTAGGTGAGAAATAATATCTCAGTGTAGTTTTTTGTTGTTGTTGTTGTTGTTTATTTTATTTTATTTTTCTGAGATGGAGTTTCGTTCTTTTGCCCAGGCTGGAGTGCAATGGTGCAATCTCGACTCACTGCAACCTTCGCCCCCCAGGTTCAAGTGATTCTCCTGCCTCAGCCTCCCAAGTAGCTGGCATTACAGGCATGTGCCACCACGCCTGGCTAATTTTTTGTATTTAGTAGAGATAAGGTTTCACCATGTTGGCCAGGCTGGTCTCGAACTCCTGACCTCAAGTGATCCGCCCCACCTTGGCCTCCCAAAGTGCTGGGATTACAGGCGTGAGCCACTGTGCCCAGCATCAATTTTAATTTGCATTTTTCTTATTGTGAGCAGTGTTGAATAGTTTTTCATATGTTTTGTGGCCATTTGCAGTTTTTCTCCAAATTATTTTTATTTCTTTTGCTCATTTCTCTATTAGCATGTTTGTTCTTTTTCTTTTCTACATGTAGAAACTCTTTATACATTAGGAATATTAGCTCTTGGTCTGTGATATAAATTGTAAATTTTTTTCCAGTTTGTCTTTTACTGTGCTTTATGATATTTTTGCCATATGAAAATTTTCAATTTTTAGATTTTGTCAAATTGACCAACTGTTAAAAAATTATTGCATATTAATTTTCAATCATGGGAAAATTCCCTCATGTTTTTTTTCTAGAACTTCTATGGTTTCGTCTTTTTTACATTTAAATCTCTGATCCTTAATCTGTCACAGGGGTAGAGAAAAAAGAGTAAATTAATGATCTAGTTAGAGTTTATCTTGGTACATGTGTGAGGAGCTGCTTCGATATTGTCTTTTCTTTTTTTCTTTTTCCTTTTTTTGAGACAGAGTCTCAGGCTGGAGTGCAGTGGCACAATTTCCGCTCACTGCAACCTCCATCTCCTGGGTTCAAGTGATTCTCATGCCTCAGCCTCCTGAGTAGCTGGGATTACAGATGTGCACCACCACGCCCAGCTATACAAAAAGAAGTACAAAACTTACATTCCAAAAACAATGAAAAAATGTGAAAGTAATTAAGAAGACCAAAATAAATGGAAAGACATCTCATGTTCATATGAATTGGCAGACTCATATTGGTGAGAGGTCAGTACTCCTCAAATTGATCTACAGATTCAAGGCAATACCCATTAGAGTTCCCGCTGGTTTCTTTGCAGAAATTGATAAGCTGATCCTAAAGTTTACAATGAAATTCAAGGGACTCAAAATAGCCAAAACAATCTTGAAAAGAACAAAGTGAGGGGAATCACACTTCCTGGTTGCAAAGCTTTGCTACAAAGCTACCGTAATCAAGACTGTGTGGTACTGGCATGAGGACAGACACACAGATCAAAGGAATACAAATGAGCATCCGGAAATAAACCCTCATATTTACAGTCATCAATTAATTTTTTTTTTTTTTTTGAGACAGAGTCTCGCTTTGTCGCCCAGGCTGGAGTGCAATGGCGTGATCTCAGCTCACTGCAAGCTCCGCCTCCGGGGTTCACGCCATTCTCCTGCTTCAGCCTCCCGAGTAGCTGGGACTACAGGCACCCACCAAGATGCCCGGCTAATTTTTTGTATTTTTTAGTAGAGACGGGGTTTCATTGTGTTAGCCAGGATGGTCTTGATCTCCTGGCCTTGTGATCCGCCCTCCTCAGCCTCCCAAAGTGCTGGGATTATAGGCATGAGCCACCGCACCCGGCCCTTTTTTTTTTTTTTGAGATGGAGTCTTGCTCTGTCACCCAGGCTGGAGTGCAGTGGCGTGATCTTGGCTCACTGCAACCTCTGCCTCCCAGGTTCAAGCAATTCTCCTGTCTCAGCCTCCCAAGTAGCTGGGACTACAGGCACATGCCACCATGTCCGGCTAATTTTAGTATTTTTTAGTAGAGATGGGATTTCACCATATTGGTCAGGCTGGTCTCGAACTCCTGACCTCAGGTGATCCATCCACCTCGGCCTCCCAAAGTGCTGGGATTACAGGAGTGAGACACCACGCCCAGCCTGTCAATTGATTTTTGATAAGGATGCCAAGATAATTCAGTGGTGAAAGGACAGTCTTGTCAATAAATGGTGCGGGGACAACTGGATATTCACATGCCAATGAATAATGTTGGACACCTACCTCACACTCCATACAAAAATTAACTCAAAATGGATCCAAACCTAAATGTAAGAGCCAAAACTGTAAAACTCTTGGAAGAAAACGTAGGTGTAAATCTTTGCTACCTTGGATTAGGCAGTGGTTTCTTAGGTATGACACCAAAAGCACAAGTTACTTAAAAAAAAAAAAAAAAGAGGGATAAATTGGATGGTGCAGTGGCTCATGCCTATAATCCCAGCACTTTGGGAGGCCGAAGTGGGAGGATCGCTTGAACCCAGGAGTTCAAGACCAGCCTGGACAACATGGGGGAAACCCTGCCTCTACAACAAATTTTAAAAATATTAGCCAGATGTGGTGGCATGCACCTGGAGTCCCTGCTACTCAGGAGGCTGAGGACTGGAAGAGAGGGAGGACTGGGAGGTCGAGGCTACAGTGAACCAAGATCATGCCACTGCACTCCAGCTTGGTGACAGAGTGAGAATTTTATGGCATATGAATTATATGAATTATGTCTCAAGAAAACTGTCACAAAAATTATCGTGCTGGGTGCAGTGGCTCACACCTGTAATCCCAGGACTTTGAGGGGCCGAGGCAGAAAGACTGCTTGAGGCCAGGAACTCCAGACAAGCCTGGGCAACACAGGGAGATCCTGTCTTTACAGTAAATTAAAAAATTAGCTAGGCGTGGTGGCTCACACCTGTAGTCCCAGCTATTTGGGAGGCTGAGGTGGGAAGATTGCTTGAGCCCAGAACGTCGAGGCCACAGTGAGCTGAGAAGGTGCCGCTGCACTCCAGCCTGGGCAACAGAGTGAGACCCTGTCTCTAAAAAAATAACAACAAACAAAAATTATTGTTAGTGATTCCAGATGTACAAAAACATATAATGATTATTATACCCACTAACACCACGTGCTTACTACCCAGTCTAAGAAATGGAGCAGGGCCGGGCGCGGTGGCTCACCTGTAATCCCAACACTTTGGGAGGCCGAGGTGGGTGGATCACCTGAGGTCAGGAGTTTGAGATCAGCCTGGCCAACATGGTGAAACCCCGTCTCTGCTAAAAATACAAAAAATGAGCTGAGCGTGGTGACTCAAACCTGTAATCCCAGCTTCTTGGGAGTTGAGGCATAACAATCGCTCAAACCCTGGAGTCAGAAGTTGTAGTGAGCTGAGATCATGCCACCGCACTCCAGCCTGGGCGACAGAGTGAATCTGTCTCAAAAAAAAAAAAAAAAATGGAGCAGGCTGGGCCACTGTAGCTCACACCTGTAATCCCAGCACTTCAGAAAGCTGAGATGGGAGAACTGCTTGAGTCCAGGAGTTTGAGACCAGCCTGGTCAACAAAGTGAGCCTCGTATCTATTTAAAACAAACAAACAAACAAACAAACAAAAGAAATGGAACATTGTTAATCCAGTTGAAACCCCTGTGCACCAGCCTCTCTGTGGCTGTCCTGCCCACCCATGTCCTGCCAGCTGTTCTCAAATGGGTATCAGTGCATGAATTCAAACATCCTTCTTTTATTTTTATTTATCTATTTATTTATTTATTTATTTTGAGACAGAGTCTCACTCTGTCGCCCAGGCTGGAGTGCACTGGTGTGATCTTCACCTTCACCTCCCGGGTTCACGTAATTCTACCTCAGCCTCCTGAACAGCTGGGATTACAGGCGTGTGCCAGCAGACCTGGCTAATTTTTTTGTATTTTTAGTAGAGATGGGGTTTCACCATGTTGGCCAGGCTGGTTTCAAACTCCTGACCTCAAGTGATCCGCCCGCTTCGGCCTTCCAAAGTGCTGGGATTACAGGTGTGAGCCACCACGCCCTGCCTCAAACATCCTTCTTTACTAATCAGACTGTACCTGCTCTTTGAGGAAACAGACTGTGCACCAGGTAGTCTTGGGGCTCAGGGAGAGGGTGGTTATGGCTGGGGCTGGCAGTCACCTGTGCTCAGGAGGGACCGGGGGACCGGTCTGGCAGACTTGAGCAGGAGACCAAAAGAATCTGGAACCCTTGATCAGATCAAGGTGGGTCTTACTCTTAGGTCCATTGTTTAGGTCCAGTGTTTGTCACACCGTCACACAGGGCTGTGGCAGTGGGAGAGTGAGGATTGTCAAGTCGGAGAGTTTGTGCCTGTTGTCCTCCTTAGAGATGTCACTTGTGCAATTCTCTGATATCCTTTAGAACGGTGGTGTTGGATGTGGGGACTTCTCAAAGGCTCCTGAATAAAATGTACAATGGGAGATAGTGACTGAGGGGCTGGCTGTTGGGATTGCTGATCAACTTTTCCCCTACATTTTGCAGGGCTGGGGGGACACATTAGGTGCTCATTTAAATGCTGGGTGGAGAGACAGCAGGGTGATTGGATAGACGGAAGGATCAGTGGGTGTGAGAGGAGGTGGATGGATGGATGGAGGGAAGGATGGCTGGATGGATGGTGGGGATGAGAATGGATGGCTGATCAGGCCAATGAACAGACGATGCGTGGCTGCTGGCAGGACAGTGAGTGGACAGGGTGGTTAGATGGAAGGGGAGGTATCTTTCCCTGCTCACTGCTTGTCATCCTTTGCTTTCAGCTTCGGGCAGCAGAGGTGGAGATCAAAGATCTGCAGTCCGAGTTTCAGCTGGAGAAGATCGATTACTTGGCCACCATCCGCCGGCAGGAGCGTGACTCCATGCTCTTGCAGCAGCTCCTGGAGCAGGTGCAGCCCCTGATTCGCAGGGACTGTAACTACAGCAACCTGGAGAAGATTCTGCGTGAGTCCTGCTGGGACGAAGATAACGGCTTCTGGAAGATCCCACATCCCGTCATCACAAAAACCAGCCTCCCAGTAGGTCAGGAGCTTGGCTGGCCCTTGCCCTCCCCTCCCTCCTTCACGGCTTACCATCCTGCAGACTGGCAGGGAGTGTGGGCCTCTCCTTGCAGGCTGTGGGTGTAGAAGACACGTGACCCTGGGTACCTGATGCGTCAGGACTCTGAGAAAGTGGTGTGTTCTGGAGGCAGACAGATGTGGGTTGGAATTCTGGCAGCACCGTTCCCTGTGTGCCCTTTTTGGGACTCGGTGTCTTCATCTGTGAAATGGGGATGAATAACAGCACCTTTCTTAAAGTTGCTGTAAGGTTTGAAATGTGTTAATAGGCCAGGTATGGTGGCTCACGCCTGTAATCCCAGCACTTTGGGAGGCTAAGGCTGGCAGATTGCTTGAGTCCAGGAGTTCGAGACCAGCCTGGCCAACATGGTGAAACCCTGTCTCTAAAAAAAAAAAATAGAAAAATTAGCCAGGCATGGCAGCATGTACCTGTAGTCCCAGCTACTATGGGGGCTGAGGCGAGAGGATCGCTTGAGCCTGGGAAGTCAAGGCTGCAGTGAGCCAAGATCGTGCCACTGCACTCCAGCCTGGGTAACAAAGTGCGACCCTGTCTCAAAACAAACCCCGAAAAAACAAAAACCAGAAATGTGTTAATACACAGAAAACCCTTACAGCAGTGCCTGGCACATAGTGATGCTCGCTGCATGTCATTGTTATCCTAATCAGCATTGTCACTGGTTCATCCTTACGACAGCCCTGAGAAGACAGGTTTTCTACCCATTTCACATAGGAGGACACAATCTCAGAGGGTCCAAAGTCACAGTCACAGCAGTGAGTGGGAGGACCATGGATCAAAACCCACAGTTCAGAGTTTCAGGCCTGGTTCCACTTCCGCTCTTGCTGCTGACCTCCCGTATGGCCTTCCGAAGATCACTGTCCCTCTCTGGGCTTCTTTACAAAGAAGGGGTTGGATCAGATGACCTTGAAAGCCTCCTCACCTCTGATGAGTCTCAGAGTAAAGCCAGACATGCTGTGGCTCTTTCTCCAGCCGTGGACCTGACTCTGCCCATTTGGGGAGCCCGCAGTGCCCCCCAGGAGTCCTCCCTCTTGCTCAGCGTGTTCATCCAGGTCCAACATCTCTGATGTTTATTGACACCATCCCTGCTGAGACCCCAGCCCGCCTCCATTTCCCACATGCTCTGGGATGCAGCAGCCTTCCTGTCTGTCCCCACCCTCGCCTGCTGTCTTGCCTGGAAGCCCCTTGGCTGCTGTCTTGCCTGCAAGCAGATGAGGGTCTTCTCTGGTGCCTGAGCCCCTCCTGCTGTCTGTTTCTTAAAATTATCCCTTGGCTTGGGCTGGGAAGTGTCCTCCCCTGTTTAAGCCTGAGCCAGGCCTGACCCCCACCTCCACCTGTGCCCTCCTCTAGGCCTTGCACCAGGCAGCAGTGACTTCAGCTTTTGTTTTCTCATAGCAGTTTCAACTGGGCCACAGAACAAACCAGCCCGCAAAACCTCTGCAGCAGACAATGGCGAGCCGAACATGGTGAGGACCGCGGGAGAGGGAGTGGGGTGTCGGGGGCTGGGAGGGCTTTGCCCCCAGTGCTGTGGGTCAGTGTTACTGTGGAGAGCTGGTTTTCCACTTTCCTCCCGCCTAAGGATTAAAGAAGGGGCCAAGGCTGGATCCTTTTCATGCCCCTCCATTGGCACCTAGACCCTCAACCCCCTCTGGCCCTCATTCAAAGGTACTCACAGTCATAAATACCAAGGGAAAGTAGATGGTTCGGTGGCCCATCTTGCCGGTGAAGGACAGAGACTTCAGCCTCAAACTCAGAGGACAAGCAGCACATTCTGGTTTCCTGCTGGTAATCCTCAGACCAAGAGGGTCCTCACAGGGTTCATGAAGCAGTAATTGGGATTCCTAAGTCACTTTATTTTCCCGTCTCTCATATTCTGTCTTTTTTTTTTTTTTTCTTTTTCTAAGCTCAGTGGCAAGACCTATCTCCTATATTTTATAGTGCAACAGAAATGCATGTTCTTAAAGCATGGGTGGTGGTGGTTGTTTTTTTTTTTTTTTTTTTTTTTTTTTTTTTTTTTTTTTTGAGATGGAGTCTCGCTCTGTCACCAGGCCGGAGTGCAGTGGT
The DNA here is from genome assembly GCF_000001405.40 of Homo sapiens. NCBI lineage: Eukaryota > Metazoa > Chordata > Mammalia > Primates > Hominidae > Homo > Homo sapiens. The sequence continues at coordinate 20,669,822 of NC_000001.11, read as the reverse complement.
GCGATCTTGGCTCACTGCAACCTCTGCCTCCCAGGTTCAAGCAATTCTCCTGCCTTGGCCTCAGCTGGGACTACAGGCGCGCACCACCATGCCCAGCTAATTTTTGTATTTTTAGTAGAGACAGAGTTTCACCGGGTTGGCCAGGATGGTCTCGATCTCTTGACCTTGTGATCCTCCTGCCTCAGCCTCCCAGAGTGCTGGGATTTCAGGCATGAGCCACCACGCCCGGCCTCTATTTTATTTTATTTTATTTTATTTATTATTATTATTATTATTATTATTATTTCGAGACAGAGTCTCGCTCTGTCGCCCATGCTAGAGTGCAGTGGTGCGATCTCGGCTCACTGAAAGCTCTGCCTCCCAGGTTCAGCCATTCTCCGGCCTCAGCCTCCCAAGTAGCTGGGACTACAGGCACCCGCCACCAAGCCCGGCTAATTTTTTGTATTTTTAGTAGAGACGGGGTTTCACTGTGTTAGCCAGGATGGTCTCGATCTCCTGACCTCGTGATCTGCCCGCTTCAGCCTTCCAAAGTGCTGGGATTATAGGCGTGAGCCACTGTGCCCAGCTAAGCGGGGTGTTTTCAACGAAACTCTTCCAGTTTTTTAAGTTAGCTGGGAGCTACTGTCCCCAGCAGCCACCAGAGGCCCAGACAGAAGGGCACCAGCGGGAGTCCACCAGTCCCTTGGGGTGGCCTGGTCAGCAGGCACAGCTTCCATGACACAACTCCATGAACAATGATATGAAAGTTGTTATTATTTACAGATCCTCAGGCTAGGCAGGGCCACCAGAGAGGGACCCAAGCAGCTGGACCCCCTCTTGGTGTCCTTGTGTCTGGGCCTCTGGTGGCTGCTGGGGACAATAACTACCAGCTAAGTTAACAGAGAAACTCTAAGAGTTTTGTTCAAAACAAGGGGTCAACAAAATTTTTCTGTAAAGGACCCGATCATAAATATCTTGGGCTTTGTGAACTATGTGGTCTCTGTCACAGCCACTCAACTCTGCCACTGTAGCACAAAAACAGCCACAGGTAATACACAAATGAATGGTGTTCCAATAAAACTTTATTTACAAAAATAGCCTGCAGGCCAGATTTGGTCTGTATGCCATAATTAGCTGATTCTGCCTTAAGCCATTACAAATATTTCAGAAAACCCACATAGAATATACCTTTACAGTTATGATAAGACCACTCCTAGGCTAATGAATTCCAACCAAACATCTCTGGCTGAGCAACTCAGGCTGCAAGGGGCCACTCATGGTGGTCTAGAGCTTGATTGGCAGCTTCATAAAAAAGGGAAAGTTGCTGCCAGGAAAAAAGACATTCTTAATCTGGGACCACAAAGAGGTTATGTCAGAATGCTTTCAGCTCCAAGCGATAGATACCAAAGCAAACAACCATAAGAAAAATAAGGAATTTTTTAGTTCATGTAAGTGGACCAGTTTCAGGCACGGCTGGATCTAGGGGCTGAAACAGTCAGGGTCTGTGTCTGTCTTCACCTCTTTTTTTTTTTTTGAGACGGAGTCTTGCTCTGTTACCCAGGCTGGAGTGCAGTGGTGCAATCTCGGCTCACGGCAAGCTCCGCCTCCCAGGTTCACACCATTCTCCTGCCTCAGCCTCCCAAGTAGCTGGGACTACAGGTGCCTGCCACCATGCCCGGCTAATTTTTTGTATTTTTAGTAGAGACGGGGTTTCACCATGTTAGCCAGGATGGTCTCAATCTCCTGACCTCGTGATCTGCCCACCTTGGCCTCCCAAAGAGCTGGGATTACAGGCATGAGCCACCGCGCCCGGCCACCTCTTTTTTTTTTTTTGAGACAGAGTTTCACTCTTGTTGCCCAGGCTGGAGTGCAGTTGTGCGATCTCAGCTCACCGCAACCTCTGCCTCCCAGGTTCAAGCGATCCTCTTGCCTCAGCCTCCAGAGTAGCTGGGATTACAGGCATGCACCACGACGTCCAGCTAATTTTTTTGCATTTTTAGTAGAGACAGGGTTTCTCCATGTTGGTCAGGCTGGTCTTGAACTCCTGGCCTCAGGTGATCCGCCTGCCTTGGCCTCCCAAAGTGCTGGGATTACAGGCGTGAGCCACTGCTCCTGGCCTATGTCTTCACCTCTTGTTCCTGCTTCCCTTGGTATGCTAACTGAAGGCTTTCTCCACATGGCCGGAAGGATGGCTGCTGGCCATTGGTGATCCAAAAGGAAGAGAGGCCTGGTCTGTTAAAGCAACTGTCCCCAGTCTTTTTGGCACCAGGGACCAGTTTCGTGGAAGACAATTTTTCCACAGGTCAGGACGGGGTGGGGGGTCTGATAGTTTCGGGATGATTCAAGTGCATTACATTTAATGTGGACTTCATTTCTATTAGTATTACATTGTAATATATAATGAAATAATTATATAACTCACCATCATGTAGAATCAGTGGGAGCCGTGAGCATGTTTTCCTGCAACTAGACGGTCCCATGTGGGGGTAATGGGAGACAGTGACAGATCTTCAGGCATTAGATTCTCATAAGAACCACAACCTGGATCCCTCACACGTGCAGTTCACAATAGGGTTTGCCCTCCTATGAGAATCTAATGCCACCACTGATCTGACAAGAGGTGCAGCTCAGGCAATAATTCAAGTGATGGGGAGCAGCTGCAAATACAGATGAAGCTTCACTTGCTCACCTGCCGCTCACTTCCTGCTGTGCAGCCCAGTTCCTAACAGGCCAGGGACTGGTACCAGTCCATGGCCTGGGGGTTGGAAACCCTTGTCTTAAAGCATCCTGAAACTAGAGCTTGGGGAGAGATTCTGATTGGCTCTGCCTGGGTCATGTGTCTACTCTTGAACCAATTACTGTGTTTAGGAGGATGTGGTTCTGTGATTGGTGCAGTCTGGGTCACATGTCCAGCTGTGTAACAACAGGATGGGAGTCAGATGTAGTATAGGGCACTATGAATGCTCACCCCACTGGGATGTCAAGTGGAAGAAGGACAATTCCCTGAAAAGGGAGATTTAGATTGAAGAAAACAAGTCCATAATAGTGGGGAAAAATAATAGCTCTTGGTGATAAGAAGGTTTGGATTCCAGTTCTAATGATCACAAATGTACCTGTGAGCTGAGGATAGCAACGCATTGCCTATTCTATGAACATGTCGTGATAGATTTGGGGCTTGTGTATCAACCCGGCCCCCCTGTTGGAGCTGGCAGGACACCCTGTTTTGAGCTTTGTAGGACAGAATAAGGCACTTCCCATCTCAAGGAAGGGGAGGCCGGGTGCAGGCTTGGCTGGAGACTGACTTCCTGGCCCCGAGCTGCCTGGGATCCCACCCCCGAGTCCAGGATCTACGGTGTAGGGTACACCAGAGTGGGCAGTGCCTGCTCCAGCCCTGTGACAACTTCGGGGAAGCTCGGGGCGGCCCCCACTGCCCCAGGATACCAGAGGCTGTGGAGCCCTGTGCCAGGGGCACAAACAAGGGGACGTGACCACGGGCATCTGCATCTCGGCAGGAGGACGACCGCTACAGGCTCATGCTCAGTCGGAGCAACAGTGAAAACATTGCCAGCAACTACTTCCGATCTAAGCGGGCCAGCCAGATCCTCAGCACAGACGCCAGGAAGAGCCTCAGTGAGTGTCCCTCCCCTGTCCCCACCCTCTCCACACAACTGGGAGAGGCGTGAAGGGGATAGTTTTGAAGTCAGACAGGCCTGGGTTCAAAAACTCCTTTCCCTCTCGGAGCCTCAGTTTCCTTAGCTACAAAATGAGGGGGGTAACACCAACTTCTTAGGATTAGGTGATACGAGGTGAGGAAACGGCCCAGCCCGGGCGCTGGTGCTCAGTACAGAGTCTCCTCTTTGCTCCAGTCTTGTCTCCCCTGGCCCCTAGTAGGCACTCAGTGCATGGCTCAGGGGCCTGGCTGGGGATGCACGGGTTTAGGCCTCACTAGTTACGCGCCAGCTTCCTGGCGAGTCACACGCCAGCATTGTGACTTCCTCCAAATGCAGATTGACTTCACTTATCAAGGGCCACAAATGCAACACACGCTTTTAAGAATTAAGCATCACTTCATTTTATCTGCTTTTAAAACTGAAAGCAAAGCCCGCAGAGCTTCCAATAAAATAGCAATAAAAAGCAAATCTTGGCCAGGTGCAGTGGCTCACCCTTGTAATCCCAGCACATTGGCAGGCTGAGGCGGGTGGATCACTTGAGGCCAGGAGTTCAAGACAAGCCTGGCCAACATGGTGAAACCCCGTCTCTACTAAAAATACAAAAATTAGCCGGGCGGTAGTGGCGTGTGCCTGTAATCCCAACTACTCAGGGGGCTGAGGCAGGAGAATCGCTTGAGCTTGGGAGGTGGAGGCTGCAGTGATTCGAGATCCTGCCACTGCATTCCGGTCTAGGCGACAGAGTGAGACCCTGTCTCAAAAAAAAAAAAAAAAAAAAAAATTAGCTGGGTATGGTGATGCATGCCTGTAATTACAGCTACTTGGGAGGCTGAGGCATGAGAATTGCTTGAACTCGGGAGGCAGAGGTTGCAGTGAGCTGACACAGTGCCACTGCACTCCAGCCTGGGTGACAGAGTAAGACTTTTTCTAAAAAAAAAAAAAAAAAAAAAAAAAAAGAGCAAATTTGAGTTCTATATATTGAGGTTATTTAAGAGACAGAATGGGTGGGGCGGGGGGAATAGGATTAATTGAGTGCCTGGCATTGTGCCCATGTTGCAGATGAGGAAACTGAGGCTCAGAGACGAAGCAGCTTCTCTAAGGTTGTAGGAAGCAGTGGAGCTGGGCTTTGAACCCAGACTTGTCTGGCTTGAGATCCCAGGCTGCCTCAGTCTGATGCTTTAAAACCCCAGCTCCCCAGCCCAGCCTCTTTGGATGCAGACATAGTTGCTGGGTCTGAGACCTCAGCCAGAGCAGCCTCGCAGAGCCTGGGGTCCCAGCTGCAGGGCCAGGGCCTCTGGCTGGGCAGGGGGGCGGGAGTGGGGTGGGCCAGGCTCTCCATCCTACCCACTTGGGGCATTTTCTCTCCATCCCTGCGCTCCTGGCTTACCAGCACCTCTGCCCTCTTCCCCACAGCACATCACAACTCGCCACCAGGCCTCAGCTGCCCACTCAGCAACAACTCTGCCATCCCACCCACCCAGGCCCCTGAAATGCCCCAGCCCCGGCCCTTCCGCCTCGAGTCCCTCGACATCCCTTTCACCAAGGCCAAGCGTAAGAAAAGCAAAAGCAACTTTGGCAGTGAGCCTCTGTGAGCACAGCTGCTTGCCATTGCCTGCCTTATAGGCATGTAGAGACTGCCAGGCCCTCCCAGGGCAGCCCCAACCAGGTCTCCTCCCACCTGCCACACAGCGCTCCGGGGCCTGAGGGCTCCCTCAGCCCTGGGAAGACACATTCCCTTCCCTGTTCCCCAGAGAGCCCACCTCCGCCCTGGGCAGGAGCCCCTCGGAGGCTGTATAGTCCTCCTTAGAGAGGCCTGCTCCAGCTGTTCATACCACATCAGTGTTTCCGTCTGCTCACCTGCCACAGAGCCCACACCCATGCCCACCAGTGTTGGTCTTTGCCTCAAAGCCTGAGACCTGCTTCACGGCCTTCACCAGCCCTGATGGAGAGGGCAGCAGCTGCCACGTGGAGGAAGCTCAATATCAGCTGGGAAGGAACTGTGCCTCTGTCTGACTGGCCCCACTTCCTAAGCACTGCCCTGCCCCATGGGGTGGCACAGGGGTCCCACAGCAGGTCTTCCTGCACTGCCCACCCCTGGCTGGTCTGTGGCCCAAGGAAGGCCACTCCACATTAAGCTGCCCAATAAACTGCTTTTAAGATAAGCTCCCCTTCTCTGACCCTCTGACAGTGTCACTTGGGGCCCCTCCCTGCCATTGTGGCCTGGCTATTCCAGGGAAGTTCTTTCTGGAAAAAGGGTTCTTTTGCCTGGGACCTCCAGGGTTTCTGCAGCTCCCTATAATAGTGAGTACATTCTTCTGGGAAGAGCGTCTGAATTTTCATTAGATTCTCGAAGGACCTGTGACCCAGGAAAGCAAGACCCCTTGTTGTGGAAAATAGGGCCATGTCTCACTGAGGCCAGAAAAGGGCCCAGCTTTTGACAGTCCTGGGGGCTGTGCTGGGACTGGGTGTCCTGATATAGCCAGAAATGAATCCAGGCCACCCTGTTTGTGCCCACATAGGGGGGTACCTAGGACACAGCCTTCCCCTTGCACACTCTATCCCAGGCCAGTCCTGTGGGGGGCTCCACAATCTAAGGGAAAAGGCTTGGCCTTTGGCACAGTCCTGGAACCTCATTTCACTCTGAGCCTCATCTGTGAAATGGGGATAACGCCCACCTCACAGGGTTAATGTGAAGATTAAATGAGATAGTATGTAAAGCTCCTGGGGCATAGCAGGTGCTCTGTGTTAGTCCTCCTCCTCCCTATTTTGTATCAATTTCTATGGCAGGCCCCACAAGCCACATGCCTGGGCCAAGGAGCACACACTCTTGAGAAGCTGGGGTGGGGGTGTTTAGACAACTACAGAGATATCCAGCCAGAGGCAGGCAGCAGTACGTCCTGAGTCAGAGCCGGTGAGATCAGGTCTTTTAAAAATTATTTTTATTTTCTTTGAGACTGAGTCTCGCTCTGTCACCCAGGCTGGAGTGCAGCAGCGGGCAATCTCAGCTCACTGAAGCCTCCACCTCCTGGGTTCAAGCGATTCTCCTGTCTCAGACTCATGAGTAGCTGGGATTACAGGCGCCCACCACCACGCCCGGCTAAATTTTTTGTATTAGAGATGCGGTTTCACCATGTTGGCCAGGCTGGTCACGAACTCCTGACCTCAAGTGATCTGCCCACCTCGGCCTGCCAAAGTGCTGGGATTACAGGTGTGAGCCACCGCGCCTGGTCGATATCAGGTCTTTATGGGGAACAAAGAGTGCCTTTCTGAAGGGAGCAGTGCTGGGTGGGGCTCCCAGAAAGGATGGAGAAGATCCCAGGAGGTTTAAGATGGGGGTGTAAGGAGGGCGCTCCTGGCGGAGAGCGCTGCAAAGCAAAAGGCAGGAGGTGTGGAACTCAGGGTGTTAAAGGCTGGGCCATTCCTGTTCCATGGAAGCCCTGAGCAAGGACTGAGAGGGGACGAGGCTGCTGAGATGAGTGTAGGTGGAGACCTGAGAGCAAAGAGCCTTGGGGTGTCCCTGTGCCGTGGCCGACTCTTAACAGTTTAACACTGTTGGCTCTGAATTAGAGGCGGGCGGATGTGGTACTGTGTGTCGAGGGTGGAAGGGCAGGAGTTAGGGTGCAGGAGCCAGGAGCTCTGCAGAGGCTTAACTTGGGGCAGAGCCAGTGGGAATGGAGAGGAAGTAGAGTCCGTTAAGAAGATGTATGGAGGGAGGTTTTGATTTTTGCTCCATTCTTGGGTTGGTGGACAAGTGTCCGAAAGGAACTGCTACCTTCTGTCTCTACAGTTGCCGTCACCATTGGCCTCAGGATTGTGGTTGGGACCCAGAGGACGGTGGAAGTCTTGCTGCTTGTGGTAGTTTTTACTTAAACCCCTGGTGGACAAAGGCAGGTCTGAGATGAACCGGGTGGCCTCTGTATTAACCTAGAAGAGGTGGGAGCCACATTATTGAATGGATGTTCACTCTAGCCCGGCGCTAAGTGCTTCAAAACCTGCCATGTTCCTCCCAAGAGCCCAGAGATGAGGTAATTAAATGGCTGTTCCTAAGGCACACAGATAAACAGCGGAGCTGGACCTCGTCCTTAGTCCTATTTACAGCCAGGGAAACTGTCCTGGAGAGAAGTGCAATGCCCGGGTAACGGCTAGTGAGAGATGCAACTTGGAAATGGAACCATCGCTAGGCCAGTCTACTGCCCATCCACAGTCTCCAGCGTGGGCCACCGAGCTGGGCAGCACAGGCCCGTCCATGCCATGGCCCCTGGAGCCGTGAGCGGCAGGAAGGAGGCTCCAAGTGCCCTGACCCTGATCTTATTCTTCCAACTCCTCCTCCCTAGAAATGGTGGAGGTGGGGCCTAGTTCCTGGTCCCGAGCCTTCCCAGGCCCAGTGAAGACCCCGCCAGCAAGAAGGTGGCCAAACACCCTGTCCAGGACGCGACGGTCAAGCCCGGGGAGGACCCCGCAAGCTCCAGAGGGAAGTGGGCTCCAGACTAGGGGGCGGGAGGCCGGCCTGGGCGGAGCAAAGGGCGCTCGGCCTCGTTGATTGGCCGCGGCTGCAGAGCTGTCTCTCTAGGATTGAGCCTTTTCTTTAGGGGGACGGGGCCTTGATTCACTCCCACCAATAGGGTTCAAGGAATCCACCTCCCACCAGGGCACTTCCGGCGGCGCTCTCCGCGCCTTATCGCCAAAGCTGCGGCTCTGGACGCCCAGCCGCGGCGTATCCCGATCACTTCCGGGTAGTGCTCCACGGGCACGAGCCGCGATTGGGCTACCGTAGATGGGGTACTTCCGGTGTGCACGTGCTGGGTCCTTCGGCAGGAGGAGGAAGATGGAGCCCAGCACCGCGGCCCGGGCTTGGGCCCTCTTTTGGTTGCTGCTGCCCTTGCTTGGCGCGGTTTGCGCCAGCGGACCCCGCACCTTAGTGCTGCTGGACAACCTCAACGTGCGGGAGACTCATTCGCTTTTCTTCCGGAGCCTGAAGGGTGAGAGCGGGGTCCGAGGGGGTAGCGTGTGGGGGCCTGGGGTTGGTACAGCATCGAGGGCATTGACCACTCTCCTTCCCTCTCCCTTTCCTGGAGCAGGCCGCCCGGGTCTGGCCTGCCGCTTGGCGTGCGGGTCCGCGATGTCTGCAGCAGGGGTTTCCCTTCGCGTCCCGTCTTCCTCAACTACCTGTTTTTTCTTGTCCAGACCGGGGCTTTGAGCTCACATTCAAGACCGCTGATGACCCCAGCCTGTCTCTCATAAAGTATGGGGAATTCCTCTATGACAATCTCATCATTTTCTCCCCTTCGGTAGAAGGTAAGGGTTCCGCGTCGCCCCTAGCACTGGAATTCGAGACCCGGGACTTGATGGATTGCTTTCTTCTGGTTCTTGGGCATGTCCTGGGTCACAGGATGGGTTGCCAGTCCTGGATGGTGCTACCACGGAGATAAGGAAAATGCTCATTTCTGACCTGACCCTAGGAGGGTACATCTTTCTAAAAGAAACAGCTAAGGATTGTGGAGTCAAGTGTTGCTGCAGACCGTGGAACCCAGGGCCCTGCTGCTCTGCTGAGAAGGGAGTTTACTCTGTAAAGGGCCTGATAAAAAGATGGAAAGCTCCTGGGTTGGGTTTGCCTGGGTGGAAAGAGGAAATGGCCTGTTATTAATATGGATTGCTATAAAGAGGCATTGTGCATTGTGGCAGTTGATCTTAAGAATTCAGATAGATTCATAGTCTCGGGCTGAAAAAAGAGCCTTAGCAATTATCTACCACCCCACCCCTCCTCCCATTTGAGGCTGGATAAATATGTCCAGCAGCCTTGCAGTGGGCTAGTCGTTTAACAGAATGAATATCTTGGCCAGATTATCCAGTTGATACTTGAGTATTCTTGTTTTACGAGGCAATCCACTCCACCACTGAACAATTCTGTTAAGAAGTTCTTATATTAAGAAATATTGTCTCCTGCTTTATTTTGTTCTTATGCTCCCCAGCACCTTAGAGAATAGATAGAATGCTTATCTTGTTTGCAGGCATAGCCTTCACATAATCACAGCTTATTCGGTTGTTTCTCCTCCAGACTGAACATCCCCAGCTCCTTAGCTATTTCTCTTTTGCCATACTTTTTTGGTGAGCATGTTAGTCATTCTCTTCTTTATTTGCTTCAGTTTATCTTTTTCTTAAAAGACTCAAGTTGTCCCTGTCTGGGTAAGACAGGACTGCCTTCCTCCCTTCAGTTAATGAAGCTTAGGAAGTTCTTCATTGGTGCCTTTTTTGTTTGTTTGTTTTTTTGAGACAGGGTCTTGCTTTGTCCCCCAGGCTGAGTGCAGTGGTGCTATCATGGCTTACTGCAGCCTCGACCTCCCAGGTTCAAGTGATCCTCCCTCCTCAGCCTCCTGAATAACTGGGACATGGCTTCTTTATTCTCTGTAGTTCATGCGAGATTCAGTTCCACCGAATCCCTCAAGTACTTTCCCTAGGCTTCTGTTACTTACTGTGTCACTCCCAACTCCCTTGCAACATGTGCTTTTGGAATTGGCTTTTTGGAGGCAAGATTAGTTAGGCGGATGTCACCCCAAATTGGTAGAAGTTGAAATCTTCTGATGACTGGGCTTCGGTGCAGTAACTGGTGTTTGCCAAGTTTTTGCTGTGTTTGAAACTTTGAAATAGGTACCTTACAGTGGACTGGGTGAGATCTTAAGGATAGGGAGTCTGCCCTGGAGGAGTTTTTTCAGTCTGTTTTTGAGGAAATAAAGACCTGAAATGAGTTACCAAACCCTGTGTCAGGATGTAAGATGAAGCGGAGGCACTGTCAGCTTGTATAGGTCAGAAGGAAAAAAGCAGTGAATGAGACTGCTCGGGAGAGGGCTGAGAGAGGATACTGTTGGTGGGAGAAACGACAGAGAGTGTAAAACAGTGTTTCCCAAACTTTAGTCATTTGCACACGTCCTTCATGGTTTTTACCATGTTACGTATCTCCTGTGCTAATAACTACCTAATATTTTTCTTCAAATTGACCTGCTTAAAAAAAAAAAAAAGAAAAGGCTAGGTATGATAGCTTATCCCTGTAATCCCATCACTTTGGGAGGCCGAGGCAGAAGGATTGCTTGAGTCCAGGAGTTTGAGACTAGCCTGGGCAACATAGTGAGACCTCATCTCTACAAAAAAATGAACAAAATTAGCCGGGCGTGGTGGTGCATGCCTGTAGTCCCAGCTACTGGGGAAGCTGAGGTGGGAGGATTGCTGACCCTCGGTGGTCAAGGCTGCAGTGAGCTGAGATCATGCCAACTGCACTCCAGCCTAAGCGACAGAGCAAGACCCTGTCTCAAAAAAAAAAAAAAAAAGAAAAGAGAAAAAAAACTAAAACAACATTTTAAAAGGGAAACAATAGCGAGCCCAGAATTACCACCGAAAATGGAAATCCAGTGTCATCACTTGATGTACGTAGAAGGTAACTATAAATAGAATAAAAACAACACCCGTAAGTTCTAGCCAGATGCTGCTGCCTGCCGAAGGCTTTGAACCTGAGGTTCCCTCTTGAAAAAGGAGATTAGCAAGCATTAGAAGCTCTAACAACTAGTATCAAACTAAGACATTCTCTTTGATGGAGAAAGCTTGAAAAATAAGGAAAGGGAGTAACTTTCTGTCTCTGAGATTCAAGGTTATTTAAAGCCCGGTTCCCGCATTCGCGTTGCTGCCTTTTCTGCCTCTGGTGGAGTGGGTTCCACACTTTGGAAGGTGCTGCTGTGGGAAATCCTCAGGCGTTCCTTGGGAGGAAGCTGCAGGGCAGGGTTCGGGGTAGGGGTTTGGTGTCTGCTCCCAGGGCCCTGCCCTCGTCCCATGACTACTGTCACTGTCACCCTCTCAGGTGAGTGAGTGCTGGCCTGGCTTCCCTGTCTGTGCCCCAGTGGCTTCTTTGCCCTCTGGCATCGGAAGGCTCCCAGGTCACTGGCAATCATGTCTACAAGGGAAGAAATTTTCAGCACATCCTCTATACCCGGGAAAAACCGGATCCCTGTTATAGATGGGGAAGTGGGTTCAGAAGGGTGAAGGGATTTGCCTAGTTTTAACTCCAGGTGGTCTCGATTTCAAAGCCCGTGTTCTGTCAGCTTTACAAGAGTTTCTCAACAGGTGCATTCTTGACGTTTCAGACTGGATAATTTTATAGTGAGGCTGTCCTGTGTACTGTAGGGTGTTTAACAGCACCCGGGCCTCTGCCCATTAATGCCAGTGGCCACTTCCCTGTTATGTGACGGCGAAGAAATGTCTCCAGACATTGCTCTGAGGGGCAAAATCGGCCAAGATTGCAAACCACTGCACTGTGCCAATAGGCTGCTTTTGGAATGTCCAAGACTGCCTGGCCTCTCCAAAGGAGAGTAGATAGATGGCTTTTTGAATGTAGCATGAGAGGCAGAGGTAGAGAATATAGGAGCTTCTGCGTATGCCTGAAAGTCAGTCAGGTAAGGCGCTTTTAGTTTTCTGCTGAAGATTACCCCTCAAAAAACAGGGCTCTTATATTCAGATCTTTACAAAGTCATTTCCACCTGCTACTGAGGGTCTAATGGACACACTTCTCTGTCCAGTCTCAGAAATTGGCATGTCCGTCCTTCCGGTTGCTCAGCCAGACTCCTTGGAGCTTTTCTAATGCCCCTGTCGAAGCATCAGCAGGCCCTGCGGCTGTGCCATCAGAAGGCGTGGAGGCCTGCCGCGCCTCCCTCTGTTGCTGCTCCAAGGTCGGCTCAGCACTCTTCACTGCCTAGATTTTCACAGTGGCCTTCTAACCCATCACCATGGCCACTTTCACCCTCGTACCCTAGTCTCTACCCCGCTGCCAGGATCGTCCTTCAAAAATAGGAATGAGATCCTGCCAGGCCCCTGCTCAGAATCGTCCAGCGGCTCCCCACGGCAGGTCCCTCGTGTGGGGTGCAGAGCCCTGCGCAGCCTGGGCCCTCACTTCACCCGGCCTTACCTCCTGCTGCTCACTCCTTTCTCTCCAGCTAAGCCACACTGGGCCCCTTGCTGGTGACCGTGCCCACCCCCCTCGGGGACTTTGCACCTGGTGTTCACTGTGCTGGGAATCCTCTGACCCCACAGACTGCCTGGCTCACGCTTACATCTTTTCAGATGCCACTTGCAGGTCTTCCTTAAACAACCTTGGCACAAGAGCTCCCCTCCCACATTGTCCACTTTGTTTTTCTTCTCGGCTCACAAGAATTACTCATTTAATGAATAAATGGATTACTGAGCACTGTCTTCATTACCTTAGGTTGAATATCAGAGTACACTTTGGGGAGACTCTGGAGCCTCAAATAGCCCCACCCAGTGCTAGTTTTAGATGCTTATGGCAGTAGTCACATGATCCAATTAATTGACCAGAAAAGGATAGGATCTCACAGTTACAGATGTTGGAAATTAATGAGCCCTTTTGGTGATCACTTTTTAAAAAGCAGTGTACTGGGTAGCTCTGTTGTGGATGTCATGGATAGAATCTGTAGGATTAATAGGGAAAAATGGATTAATGCCAGACCAGGGAGTACTATTGTCAAGTGATGGCATCACTGGAGATGCAGAAGTGCTCTTCCTCAGACCATTTAGACAGGGTGGAATTGACAGGCTCTGGAAACTGGCTCCAGTGATCAGCATCACTAGCGTGAAAGGTGCAGGTGATGAGATGAAATATGGGCAGTACGGCATTTCCAAATGCATATTTCCTATGTGAGTTGAAATGTGTACAGCTTACTTGACCAGTGCAATTAGTGGATGTTTGACTGTTTCCTCCAAACCTCCAGAAGTTTCTAATTCTGAGCCATAATTTTGAGTCTTCACGCTGCGAGGATGGGGCCTTGCCCGTTCTGGGATGTGGTGTGGGAAGCCTCTCCCTCATTGTGGCCCCCAGAGGGTGCTGCTCTGTGAGTGATCGTGGCTGCTCTGCCCTTCATGTCCCCTCCCTGCCAGTGTCAGAGGAGCAGGGAGAGGAGACCTCTGGGTCACTGTGTCTGGTGCCTGCTTTCAGATTTTGGAGGCAACATCAACGTGGAGACCATCAGTGCCTTTATTGACGGCGGAGGCAGTGTGCTGGTAGCTGCCAGCTCCGACATTGGTGAGTCCGACCTGGGAGGTTCTGGTGCTTTCCACTTCTCCAGGGAGTTGGAGAGCATTACAAACAGAAGCTGCCAAATTAGCATTCACTGGGTGGGCCTTAGCTGGGGAGTCAGTGAGGGAACCGTTTTCTCAGTTCAGAATCTGACTCCTGGAGGCAGAATACCACACTGCTGTCCAGGGGTCCATCTGGGGCTGAGCCCAGCTGGATGAAGCTGCAGGGCACTGGGGCTGACAGAGAGGGAGTCACAAGGAAGCCAAGGACACTTGGCCCAAGGCCCCCCTGTAAGGGCTCAGCTAGGTGTCTCTTCGGTCTGTGCAGGTGACCCTCTTCGAGAGCTGGGCAGTGAGTGCGGGATTGAGTTTGACGAGGAGAAAACGGCTGTCATTGACCATCACAACTATGACATCTCAGACCTTGGCCAGGTAATCAGGCCTGTCACCTTCCAGGTTTCAGGGGCATATGGCAAAGCTCTGCTTAGCCAAAAGCCAAGAGGGTGTGAGGAGGTTCTCCCTGGCTTGGGGAACCTTTTCCTGACCACCCACCTTTCCATCTACTCTTTGCAGCATACGCTCATCGTGGCTGACACTGAGAACCTGCTGAAGGCCCCAACCATCGTTGGGAAATCATCTCTAAATCCCATCCTCTTTCGAGGTGTTGGGTGAGTGAGTGAGCAGGGAGAGGACAGCAGAAACCTGGGGGAAGAAGGGGTCACTTAATTTTTTTGGGAAATCAAGGCAAAATTGTAATTCTTTAAGGGTACGTAGATGGGATTAATTTGTTATATCAAGGCCGAGTATAGTGGCTCAACCTGTAATCCCAGCGCTTTGGGAAGGCCTAGGCAGGAGGATCGCTTGAGGCCAGGAGTTTGAGAGCAGCCTGGGCAACACAGAACTCCTCTCTTTAAAAAAAAAAAAAAAAAAAAAAAACAAAAAAAAGTTGGCCGAGCGCAGTGGCTCACACCTGTAATCCCAGCACTTTGGGAGGCTGAGGTGGGCAGATCACCCGAGGTCAGGCGTTTGAGACCAGCCTGGCCAACATGGTGAAACCCCGTCTCTGCTAAAAATACAAAAATTAGACAGGTATGGTGGTGTGTGCCTGTAGTCCCAGCTACTTGGGAGGCTGATGCAAGAGAATTGCTTGAACCCAGGAGGCGGAGGTTGCAGTGAGCCAAGGTTGTGCCACTGCACTCCAGCCCAGGTGGCAGAGCGAGGTCTGTCTGAAAAACAAAAACAAAAACAAGTCAGACTCCATTGTTATATCAAGACAAGAGCTAAGTGGTTGGCAATTAAGAAAAAAGGATTCATTCCTGGGAAGAACTGGCTCTCGGGGATCCCATGTCCTTGGGCTCAGTTCCTGGGGCCAGTGCTGGGCTGCTCTCGTCCTGCTGCAGGATGGTGGCCGATCCTGATAACCCTTTGGTGCTGGACATCCTGACGGGCTCTTCCACCTCTTACTCCTTCTTCCCGGACAAGCCTATCACCCAGGTAAGGGCTTCACAACCTTGAGGCTTCGAAATAAAAATGAAGCAGAACAGCACATTTGGCTGAGGCGAAGGAAATGACTAGTTGGTGGGGTGGGGCATGGGCAGAAGCGGTGTGGTCTCAGGCTCCCCCTTCAGGTAGGGCCAGGGTCGTTTTGGTCTGGCCTGCTGTCCTCTTGTTCGGGAGGCGTGGCAGCTTTTCCCTTACTTGGAACTGCTTGGGTCACAGCCTCGTTTTGTTCCCAGTATCCACATGCGGTGGGGAAGAACACCCTCCTCATTGCTGGGCTCCAGGCCAGGAACAATGCCCGCGTCATCTTCAGCGGCTCCCTCGACTTCTTCAGCGACTCCTTCTTCAACTCAGCAGTGCAGAAGGCGGCGCCCGGCTCCCAGAGGTAGCTGCCAGGAGGCTTAGGGGCCGGGGATCCGGGTGGTGCAGTGTGTGTATATGGGGAGGACTCAGAAGGGGAAGAAGGAGGCTTTTAGCTAAAAGTGTCAGAGGCTGAGTGTTTCAGGTGCTGTCAGATTATTTCAGGGCTTTATTGCTATATTGCTGGTATTGGCACTTCCAATTTTTTAAGGTAGTAGTGACTTATCTAGAGATCCCTAACCTCCACCGTTCCTTTTAGAAATTTGTGTATTTGTTGTGCAGATGACAAGCAACCAGCCATATCTTTTCGTTTGTTTCCTGCGTTCCCTTTAACCATGAGTCCCTAGGTGCCCAAGGCCTACAGGCAGAACTTCGCTAGGGTACTGTCATGGTGGACATGAGTGGTCCTGCCCATCAGGCACCACTGGAAAGGTGGCTCTGGTGCCCAAGCTGCTCCTGTTTCCCTCCTGCAGGTATTCCCAGACAGGCAACTATGAACTAGCTGTGGCCCTCTCCCGCTGGGTGTTCAAGGAGGAGGGTGTCCTCCGTGTGGGGCCTGTGTCCCATCATCGGGTGGGCGAGACAGCCCCACCCAATGCCTACACTGTCACTGACCTAGTGGTAAGAGATGTTTGGGGTGGGAGGGCCCAAAGGGTTTGCCAAGCTGACTGAGCTCAGCTCAGAAGCACTTATTGAACACTTCTTTGCTGGCCTAAAGGGCATAAATAAAGATGAATAAGTTAATCCCTACACCTAAGCATGCCAGGTGAGATGCAGAGCCTGGCGTGAAAACTGATGTCCTAATAGGAGCACTTCTTTTGAAGAGGTGTGTGTATTTGCTATGGGGGGCAGCAGTGGGAGGGGCTTCACTGATTAACTCTGCCCAGGAAGTTGGACTTAATAAGAGAAATAGGTCATTAGGTTGAATTTGTTAGGCAAGAGAAAGCGAATATGGAAGCATGAATACTTGAAAGTGCCTGGCACATGTCGGGGCAGGAGGGTGGTTTGGGTCCAGACTTTGATGGGCCATGAATACTGTGTGAAGGAATCTAGGCCTTCAGAGAAGAGGCAGAGATGCTGTGTTGGGGGATTAACCTTGCTGAGGAGAGAGACTGGTTACTGATCAGGGCCGGGTGGCAGGGGCATCTGCAGGTCTTCTGAACTCCTGGGCATTCCTGCCATGTTCGTCGGGTGGGAATTAAGTGCAGCTCTGCCTGCAGGTGGTGGAAGGCCTCCAGTCATGGCCAGCCCTGGCTAACCTGGCCTTTTATCTCAGGAGTATAGCATCGTGATCCAGCAGCTCTCAAATGGCAAATGGGTCCCCTTTGATGGCGATGACATTCAGCTGGAGTTTGTCCGCATTGATCCTTTTGTGAGGACCTTCCTGAAGAAGAAAGGTGAGTGTAGTTCCTGCACGAGGATGCTGCCAGAAACGGCCCCAGGCCTCACTTGCTCTCGAGGCCCAACCAGGAAAAGCTCTGGGAAACCCCTCCCGGTTATTCTTGTTGGTTCTTCCGCAGGTGGCAAATACAGTGTTCAGTTCAAGTTGCCCGACGTGTATGGTGTATTCCAGTTTAAAGTGGATTACAACCGGCTAGGCTACACACACCTGTACTCTTCCACTCAGGTAAGCACAGGTGACAGCTTCTGTTTTCAGCTAGCATGTGCCCTGCCTGGGCTCTGCAGTGGCCAGGTCCTGCCACCTCTGTCCTCCTGCAGGTATCCGTGCGGCCACTCCAGCACACGCAGTATGAGCGCTTCATCCCCTCGGCCTACCCCTACTACGCCAGCGCCTTCTCCATGATGCTGGGGCTCTTCATCTTCAGCATCGTCTTCTTGCACATGAAGGAGAAGGAGAAGTCCGACTGAGGGGCTAGAGCCCTCTCCGCACAGCGTGGAGACGGGGCAAGGAGGGGGGTTATTAGGATTGGTGGTTTTGTTTTGCTTTGTTTAAAGCCGTGGGAAAATGGCACAACTTTACCTCTGTGGGAGATGCAACACTGAGAGCCAAGGGGTGGGAGTTGGGATAATTTTTATATAAAAGAAGTTTTTCCACTTTGAATTGCTAAAAGTGGCATTTTTCCTATGTGCAGTCACTCCTCTCATTTCTAAAATAGGGACGTGGCCAGGCACGGTGGCTCATGCCTGTAATCCCAGCACTTTGGGAGGCCGAGGCAGGCGGCTCACGAGGTCAGGAGATCGAGACTATCCTGGCTAACACGGTAAAACCCTGTCTCTACTAAAAGTACAAAAAATTAGCTGGGCGTGGTGGTGGGCACCTGTAGTCCCAGCTACTCGGGAGGCTGAGGCAGGAGAAAGGCATGAATCCAAGAGGCAGAGCTTGCAGTGAGCTGAGATCACGCCATTGCACTCCAGCCTGGGCAACAGTGTTAAGACTCTGTCTCAAATATAAATAAATAAATAAATAAATAAATAAATAAATAAAAATAAAGCGAGATGTTGCCCTCAAACTTCACCTGGCCCCGGTCCTGGTTTGCTAATGGCTGTGGGTGGGGGTTGCTGTGGGTGATGACTGACTGGATACAAAATCCTAAGTGGCTTCATGAAATTTTGCCTAGGACTGGACTGTCTTTCTTTTAACTGTGAAATGATGGTTCTCCCTAACGTCTCCTCAAAGGATACAAGAAAGTTGTTGTTGCTAGTAGACCGAGGGGTGGGAATCACTGAAATGGAAAATCTAGATGACAGTGCTGGGGAAGAGAAAACTAGAACAGCTCAGTTGAAGACAACCTTTACTGCATGTTGACGCTGATTTAGGCAATAGCTTCCTAAAAATCATGTATAAAGTTAGTTAGTTAGACATGAAATCTCTTCCCCAATGTTGATACCTGCCCACAAAATATTCTCACCTTCAGAGTATAAGAATCATTCTTAAAGCCAAATATTCAGTTCAAGGCACATACGTCATCTGCAGTTGTAAATTTGCATTTAATATTTCACAATTCCTGTAAGAGAGGCTAGTCAGGAGGGAAACCCTCAAGTTTAAATCCCCACACTTACTTACTTACTGCTCATCCGTCACTTTCGCTAAGTGAGATTAATAATTCAGTAGCTGGTCCAGAACGCACAGCTTGGGAACGCAGAGGCCCAGGCCTCATGTAATTTCCCACTCCCGTAACTGAACGTGCTGACCCATGTTGATGTCTGCCTTCATCCAGGTGGCAAATCAGACATGCTACGCTGCCCCCTTCAAACGAGTTCCTCGTGTTAGGGGCAAAGGTCACAGCCAAACTCTGCCACTGACAGCCAGTGCCTTGGCCTGGATCCTCTCTGTGGATGCAGGCCTACCCCTCCTCAGTCCAGCCTCATCTACTAGACCAGCTTGGCCATTCACTTTTCAGATGTCTGTGAGCAGAGGACTGCAGACTGAACTCTCACTCAAGTTCTTCCATTTGCCAAGCCCGAGGCCTTTTCCGGCTAACCAGCCCTCTCTGCGCTGTCTTGTCTCCTGACTCCCACCCTCACCATTCACAGACCATCACGACACAGAGGATGCCATGTTCTTTTAGTAATTCACCAGCTCCATGCAGGGACATCACAGGGCTGCCCTCCATGAGCAGAGGAGGAGGGCTGCCTGGCAGAGCGTTTCACACTCCAGGTTAGCCAGAAAGAGCATCTTCATTTTTGTTTCCACACAACACTTCTCTGTGAGCCTGTTGGCCAACAAAGTGGCGGCCGATTGTTGGAGGAGCCAGCCAACCATCTTGTCTAACTTCAGATTCTTCAGGGCTAGAATATGTTCACCCCAGAGGCTTAGATGAAGCACATTTGCGGCTACTCGGGCAGATGGTCTCTGCAACAGGAAGGGAAGCTGTAGCTAGAACATCTGTTAACACAGTCTCAACCCAAAGCCTGCTTTGTTAGTGAGGGTCTTCCCTTCTCTGGTCCCAACCCAATTCTTCCTCTACCCTATCTCCTACTGATGCCCTTCACTCAGGTGACAAATACTGCCTGTCCCCTGCCCGTGCTCCAAGCTTTTCCATGTGTACACCTCTGCATGGGGCAGCATGCATTGTTGAAATAGCCTTTCCCCCTGGGTGGAAAGCCTAGTGCCTCTTGTGCACAGCTATCTGGTCCCTTGAACCAGGTAAGTAGTCTCCTCTATCATTTCATAACTGGTTGCAGCTGTTGTTCTAACCTTCACTGCGCACCAAGATAGCAGGCCACGTACAGAGAGCAGTTAACGGAGTGGCAGAACAGTGCTGGGGTGCAGGTATGGCTCAGCTCTTTGCACTAAGCCTGCCCCTGAGCCAGCTGCCACTCCAATTATGGCTTCGGATAGGTCTGCCTTTGCATTCCTTTATATTAATTTCACAATGTCCAGATCTGCTCTCAGGAGATGTTTTCCATCTCTCTCTGATCAGTTCTCAGCTGCTTCCATGAGCTACATCTCCATTAAACATTTCTCAAAAATGCCTCCTTTTCTCTCTCTGAATAGCCTTTTTTTTTTTTTTTTTTTTTTGAGACAAAGACTTGCACTGTCACCTAGGCCAGAGTGCAGTGGCGCGATCTTGGCTCACTGCAACCTCTGCCTCCAGGGTTCAAACGATTCTCCTGCTTCAGCCTCCCGAGTACCTGGAATTACAGGCGTGTGCCACGACACTCAGCTAATTTTTGTATTTTTAGTACAGACGGGGTTTTACCATGTTGGCCAGGCTGGACTGGAACTCCTGGTCCCAAGTGATCCACCCGCCTCAGCCTCCCAAAGTGCTGTGATTATAGGTGTAAGCCACCGTGTCTGGCCTCTGAACAACTTTTTCAGCAACTAAAAAAGCCACAGGAGTTGAACTGCTAGGATTCTGACTATGCTGTGGTGGCTAGTGCTCCTACTCCTACCTACATTAAAATCTGTTTTTTGTTCTCTTGTAACTAGCCTTTACCTTCCTAACACAGAGGATCTGTCACTGTGGCTCTGGCCCAAACCTGACCTTCACTCTGGAACGAGAACAGAGGTTTCTACCCACACCGTCCCCTCGAAGCCGGGGACAGCCTCACCTTGCTGGCCTCTCGCTGGAGCAGTGCCCTCACCAACTGTCTCACGTCTGGAGGCACTGACTCGGGCAGTGCAGGTAGCTGAGCCTCTTGGTAGCTGCGGCTTTCAAGGTGGGCCTTGCCCTGGCCGTAGAAGGGATTGACAAGCCCGAAGATTTCATAGGCGATGGCTCCCACTGCCCAGGCATCAGCCTTGCTGTAGTCAATCACTGCCCTGGGGCCAGGACGGGCCGTGGACACCTGCTCAGAAGCAGTGGGTGAGACATCACGCTGCCCGCCCATCTAACCTTTTCATGTCCTGCACATCACCTGATCCATGGGCTAATCTGAACTCTGTCCCAAGGAACCCAGAGCTTGAGTGAGCTGTGGCTCAGACCCAGAAGGGGTCTGCTTAGACCACCTGGTTTATGTGACAGGACTTGCATTCTCCTGGAACATGAGGGAACGCCGGAGGAAAGCAAAGTGGCAGGGAAGGAACTTGTGCCAAATTATGGGTCAGAAAAGATGGAGGTGTTGGGTTATCACAAGGCATCGAGTCTCCTGCATTCAGTGGACATGTGGGGGAAGGGCTGCCGATGGCGCATGACACACTCGGGACTCACCTCTGGGGCCATCAGACAGCCGTTTCCGCCCCGATCCACGTACCAGCTGCTGAAGGGCAACTGCAGGCCGATGCTCTCATCAGCCAGGCAGCAGCCAAAATCTGCGATCACCAGCCAGGGGCAGCCGTCTGGGAAGGAGCAAGCAAAGTGACCATTTCTCCTCCCCTCCTTCCCTCTGAGAGGCCCTCCTATGTCCCTACTAAAGCCACCAGCAAGACATAGCTGACAGGGGCTAATGGCTCAGTGTTGGCCCAGGAGGTCAGCAAGGCCTGAGAGCTGATCAGAAGGGCCTGCTGTGCGAACACGGAAATGCCTCCAGTAAGTACAGGCTGCAAAATCCCCAGGCAAAGGACTGTGTGGCTCAATTTAAATCATGTTCTAGTAATTGGAGCTGTCCCCAAGACCAAAGGAGCTAGAGCTTGGTTCAAATGATCTCCAAGGGCCCTTATACCCCAGGAGACTTTGATTTGAATTTGAAACCCCAAATCCAAACCTAAGAACCAGGTGCATTAAGAATCAGTTATTGCCGGGTGTGGTGGCCTGTAATGCCAACATTTTGGGAGGCCGAGGCGGGTAGATCACCTGAGGTCAGGAGTTCAAGACCAGCCTGGCCAACATGGTGAAACCCCTGTCTCTACTAAAAATACAAAAAAACTAGCCAGGCATGGTGGTGTGTGCCTGTATCCCAGCTACTCGGGAGGCTGAGACAGGAGAATTACTTGAACCTGGGAGGTGAAGGAGGCTGAGACAGGAGAATCACTTCAGCCTGAGCAACACAGCGAGACTCTGTCTCAGAAAAAATAAAAAAAGAATTGGTTATTTGTAAAAGGGTCCACACAAAATTCCTTTAAAAAGCCAGTTCCTGGCTGGGCGCAGTGGCTCACGCCTGTAATCCCAGAACTTTGGGAGGCCGAGGCAGGCGGATCACGAAGTCAGGAGTTCCAGATCAGCCTGACCAACATGGTGAAACCCCGTCTCTACTAAAAATACAAAAATCAGCCAGGTGTAGTGGCGTGTGCCTGTAATCCCAGCTACTCAGGAGGCTGAGGCGGGAGAATTGCTTGAACCCGATAGGCAGGGGTTGCAGTGAGCCAAGATCATGCCACTGCACTCCAGCCTGGGCGACAGAGTGAGACTCCGTCTCAAAAAAAAAAAAAAAAAAAAAAGCCAACTCCCAGCTGGGCGTGGTGGCTCATACCTGTAATCCCAACATTTTGGAGGCTGAGGTGGGTGGATCACTTGAGGCCAGGAGTTTGAGACCAGCCTGGCCAACAGTGAAACCCCATCTCCACTAAAAATAATAATCCCAGCGCTTTGGGAGGCCGAAGCAGGTGGATCACGAAGTCAGGAGATAGAGACCATCCTGGCTAACATGGTGAAACCCCGTCTGTACTAAAAATACAAAAAAATTAGCCGGGCGTGGTGGTGGGCGCCTGTAGTCCCAGCTACTCGGGAGGCTGAAGCAGGAGAATGGTGTGAACCTGGGAGGTAGAGCTTGCAGTGAGCCGAGATCATGCCATTGCACTCCAGCCTGGGTGACAGAGCGAGACTCAGTCTCAAAAAAAAAAAAAAAAAAAAATCAAAAATTAGCTAGGCGTGGTGGCACCTGCCTGTAATCCTAGCTACTCAGGAGGCGGAGGCACGAGAATTGCTTGAACCTGGGAAGCAGAGGTTGCAGTGAGCTGAGATGGCGCCACTGCACTCCAGCCTGGGCAACAAAGCAAGATTCTGTCTCAAATAAATAAATAAATAAATAAGTAAATAAATAAAGAAATAATAAAAGCCAGTTCCTCTAGTCAATTATTTTAAATCTTCTAGTTCAAAAATTTATCAGATGTATGAATCTCCTTACAATTTTCCTAGGCAAGTGGCCATTCAGCTTCTACTTGAATGCTTCCAGTGGTAGGCAACTCATTTCCAGAGGCAACTGGGCTTACATTTGGACAGCTTTCATTGTTTGAAAAATTTAATTAATTAATTAATTTATTTTGAGATGGACTCTCACTCTGTCGCCAGGCTGGAATGCAGTGGCACAATCTCGGCTCACTACAACCTCCGCCTCCCGGGTTCAAGCAATTCTCCTGCCTCAGCTTCCCAAGTAGCTGAGATTACAGGCGCCCGCCACCATGCCCAGCTAATTTTTGTATTTTTAGTAGAGATGGGGTTTCACCATGTTGGCCAGGATGGTCTCGATCTCTTGACCTCATGATCTGCCCGCCTCAGCCTCTCAAAGTGCTGGGATTACAGGCGTGAGCCACTACCCCCGGCCGAAAGTTATTTTTTATAATGAGCTAAAGTCTACTTCTCTTTTACTTTATTATTTTTTATTATTTTTTTGAGATAGGATCTCACTCTGCTGCCCAGGCTGGAGTACAGTGGCACATTCATAGCTCATTGCAGACTCTTAACTCCTAGGCTCAAGTGATCCTCCGACCTCAGCCTCCCAAGTAGCTGGGGCTACAGGTGCATGCCACCATGCCTGGCTAACTTTTTTTCCGGCTAATTTAAAACATATTTTTTTTTTGTAGAGAAGGGATCTCACTCTGTTTCCCAGGCTGGTCTCAAACTGCTGGCCTCAAGCAATCCTCAAGCAAGCCTCCCAAAGTGTTGGGATTACAGGTGTCAGCCACTGTGCCGGGCCTCTTTATTTACCTAGGAAAACTTGCAGCACTGAGGTCCTTGTTCTTTAAGTGGGCTAGAGAAAGGAACTTGGGAAGTGCTGTCTCTCTGCAAAGAGAGAAAAAAAAACCCCGTTCTAAGGGAGAGATTGCTAACCTCTTGTGTGCGGAGCTAAATAAAGACATGACTTAGAACACAAAACCAGAGAGGACCTGAAGAGTCAGTCCTAAATGCTCCTGACCCACCCTCTAGTGCCCCTGGAGAGCTCTGATGGTGCAGCAGGTTCCTACCTGGGTCCAGCTCCACAAGGATGTTGTCGGATTTCAGGTCTCTGTGCGCGATGCCCTGTTGAACCAGATGGTCCACGCCTTCCAGCAGCTGCAGCAGCATCATGGCGGCGAGGCGGGGGCTGGGTGTGTTCACACAAAGGTACTGGCGCAGGGTACAGGGATAGCTGGCGGAGAGGGGAGAGGGCCTCTGGCTACCACACATCGACGACTCCCAATACGTTTTTTTTTTTTTTTTTGAGATGGAGTCTCACTCTGTCGCCAAGCTGGAGTGCAGTAGCACGATCTTGGCTCACTGCAACCTCCACCTTCCAGGTTCAAGCAATTCTCCTACCTCAGCCTCCCGAGTAGCTGGGATTATAGGTGCCCGCCACCACACCAGGCTAATTTTTGTATGTTTAGTAGATACAGGGTTTCATCATGTTGGCCAGGCTGGTCTCAAACTCCTGACCTCAAGTGATCTACCCACCTCCGCCTTCCAAAGTGCTGGGATTACAGGCGTCAGCCACCATTCCCGGCCTCCTAATAACCTTAATCACTGTTAGGGTTAGGCCGTTCCTCTTCCCCTTCCAGGAGCACTTTGATTCCCACTTTTCCCCAGCATCCTTTCTGTTCCCTCCCACTCACCATCCTCAAATTAGGAAGTAAGAGTTGGGGCTCCCTATATTCAAAGTAATGGTGCAGATAATTATTTCCTTAAAATAAAATACCCACTATAGCAAAGTTAGGGGATACAGAGGGTGAGGAAGGAGAACGGTTTTTATGTTAAAAACAGATAAGTCCAGCCACAGAAAAGGTTAACAGTCAAATGGACCAAAAGGACTAGGTGACAAGTATGTTCTGGATGAAGATGAGAGTTTGTTTCCATGAAAAATCGTCCTACAGGGAAAATGCTCTCCAGGGCAGATATGTTCCCTTTGCATGGCTTTCTTCTCCGGAAGGGTGATGACCCTGTTCTCCAAAACCCCCTGATCAAGGTGCACATGGAGGGCAGGAACCAGCTCCCCTTGGGAGATGTATCAGCTCCAGGCCCTGCCGCGCTGCTGTCACTTACTTCTTCATAACGAGGAACAGCGTCCGGCCATGGCCCAGGCCTTCAGGGTGGAGGCGTGAGGGCAGCACATCAGGGTAGTCGACCAGGGCCCCTGGCAGCAGCGGCACGGAAGAGGTGAAGGCGCGGAGAACCCGGATGATGTTGGGGTGAGGGGCTAGTTGCTTGGGACCTCTCTTGGATTTTCTAGTCAGCCAAGTGAGACAAACATATGAGGCCAGCATCAGATACAACACCTGGAAAGAATAACCTAAGGCCACACCAACACTGGCACTGACATTCATTATTCACTTACTATCAAATGTTTATCATAGATTTGCTATGTGCCAGGTACTGTACATGGTGTTGGAGAACACATCTGATGACTCCCCTACCCATCCTTCAATCCATTTGTCCATCCGTCTGTCCGTCCGTCCATCCGTACACCCATCCATCCTATCCATCCCATGTGGCAGAACACAGGTGGAGAAACCCTGGTATCAGACTGCCTGGGTTTGCATTCCAGGTCTGCCACTGTAAGTCCTTGGCTGAGTTGCAGTAGCCCCAACCTTATCCACAGTTTTGCTTTCTGCAATTTCAGTTATCTACAGTTTGAGAATAGGTGAGTACAAGAAGATATTTAGAGAGAGGAGAGAGAGAGAGACCACATTCACATAACTTTTATTACAGTATATTGTCATAATTATTCTATTTTATTAGTTATCTTTAATTTTTTACTGTGCCTAATTTATAAATTAAACTTTACCATAGGTATGTGTGTATAGGAAAAAACACAGTATATATAGGGTTTGTTACTATCTGTGGCTTCAGGCATCCACTGGGGGATCTATCTTGGAATGTGTCCCCTCTGTCCTTATCTTCTCTGGGCTCAATCTCCAGGGTGCAAGGGGAATGCAGTGTTAACACGCTGCATAAGGTTGTCAAAGTGTGGAAGGCACCTAGAATCGTGTCTAGCACAGAGGAAGCTCTCAGCTGCTATTAGCTGTACTATTATTCATTCAACCAATACGCACTGTTTGCATGCTGAGTACCAGACATCATGCTGGAATGCTGTGGAACTATGGCACAGAACAAGACAGAGTCCCTGTCCTCATGGATTTGCAGTCTATCAGGGGAGAGAGATATTCATCAATGAGTAATCATGTGAGCTCCCTAAGAGCAAGGACTGTGCCTG
The DNA here is from genome assembly GCF_000001405.40 of Homo sapiens. Classification (NCBI taxonomy): domain Eukaryota; kingdom Metazoa; phylum Chordata; class Mammalia; order Primates; family Hominidae; genus Homo; species Homo sapiens. Next base: position 20,643,501 of record NC_000001.11, on the reverse strand, counting down.
AATTTTCTCCATTATTCCAAGTCTAGTACAGTAGTTGGCATAGAATATGGGTGTAATAAACCTTTGTTGAATAAGTGAATAGATCCAGATGCAGCTAGTAGTGGTAGTGTCATCTGCCTGCCCTGGCTGCTCCTTATCCTGTGGGGAGCGCCCCCCGACCCCCAAACCACAGCCCTGCTGAGGCACAGTGGCTGGATTTTGGATGGGGTGGCTCTGCCAGCTGTGTGCCAGCCCTGCCCTTCAGCCAAAGCTGACTGGCCCAAGGAGTCACCTGCCCCAACGGCAGTGAACCTACAGTGACACTCGAGACCCAGATGGTTGGACGAAGGGAAGGGAGGGAAGTAGATTCTCTTTTTGGGAGTGTGAGTGAAGAAATCTGCCAGTCTGCAGTGGAGAGGAAGCCACGATACTTCACTGGGGCCATGAGGAGCCAGAGGTGAGCAGGCCAAAGGGAAGCAGGAACAGGAGATGCGAGGAAAGAACAGCATGTGGACAGTGGAACCACGTTCCTACAAGTTCAAGAATCAGTAACTGATGGAAATTCCCGTGGCTCACTCCTGTAATCCCAGCAATTTGGGAGGCTGAGGCAGGCAATTGCTTGAGCCCAGGAGTTCGAGGCCAGCCCGGGCAACATGGAGAAACTCTGTCTCTACAAAAACTACAAAAATTAGCTGGGCATGGTGGCATGTGCCTGCAGACCCAGCTACTTGGGAGGCTGAGGTGGGAGGATCACTTGAGCCCAGGGAGGTTGAGGCTGCAGTGAGCCAAGATCACGCCACTGCTCTCCAGCCTGGGCAACAGAGTAAGACCCTGTCTCAGAAAAATAAAAGAAAATTTGAGTTTGCAGAAACCACTTTCTGAAAGGCTGAAACTCCCTCTGCTTATGAGATAAAAGAACTGGCTGAAATTGGTTGGAACCAATAAGGCCAATTGCAGCTTGCACAGAACAAGTTTGCTGATGTCAAAGCCTGAATTGCCACTGCACGTTTCATACTCACTCCTCCCAAATCTGCACAGGGGACCCATGAGTTGGCATGAACAGATAACTGTGCATGTCCAAGGACTGTCCAGACTTCTCCTTTCCTTCCATCAATCACCTGCTAATCTTAGAATCCACCCCTTAAACCTCCTCTAATAAAATTACCGCCTTAAAGCTAGCACAGGGAGACAGGGTTGAATTCAACTCCTGTCTCCATATGAGTCGACTCACAATAGAAAGCTTGGCTTTTCTCAAAAATCCAGTGTGACTGCTTCTAGCACATCAGGCTAGAGCCCCCTTTGCTGCATAACAATGGTGGAGGGAAGCGAATGGGGCAGAGCCTAGACGGTGCTGGGGAGAGAGCAGGGCACCGGCCTCTCCCAGCACTGCATGGTCCCCAGGCTGTGTGGCTGCAGTCCACGTGTGCCCACGCGCTGCTCCTGCTCTTGAGTCAACCTGAGTGGCCCCTGTTCTATGCAATCAAAGGAGCCAGAGCATCGTTTCCACCCTCGGGCCCCTGGGCAAGTCATGATCACAGCCCCAGGCTGTCAGGGCCCCAGCAGGTGTCATGGGAGCTCAGGGGCAGAGGAGTATGGCTGTACTGGGGAGATACATGGTGGGGTTGCGGGTGTCTGAACTGAGACCTGAAATGTGGGAGGAGGGCAGCCCAGGTATAGCCAGCTGTACGCTCAAGAGATGGTCACAGAGAAGCCTGGCACATTCGGGGAAGGAGCTATGAAGCCAGCGTGGTGGAGTGTAGGGTGCTGATGAGAAGGGTGAGAGATAAGGCGGGAGACGTGGTGAGATGAGCAGGTTAAGCGCCTTCAATCTCTGGGCCCCAGGAGAGCAGAGGCTAGGAGGAAATGAACCCAGGGTGTTCTTGGGAAAGCTTCTCCCAAGGTGTACCAGAAGTTGAGGTAATGTACCTGCTGCCACATCTATCCGGTCATTCAACAGGTATTTACTGAGGGTATGCAGTAAACAAAGAGTGTTTACAGTACAGCTGGAGCAAAAAGGAACCAACAGAAAAAGACGTGTTATTTGAGGCCAGACAGTGAGAACTGCTAAAGGAACAAAGTCCCTGAAGAGGGACAGGGACTATGTCAGATGGGAGGTCTCAGCAGCAGACATCATGGTGCTCCGGCAGCAGGACAGCACCACGTCGGCCGGCTGCCACTCATGCCACAAAAGGAGGCATCAAGGATCATGTTAGCCCCAAAGCAGCTGACATTCAGGTGTCCACTTTCTCCAAAAAGGCCTCAGGAGAAGCAGCAGCCACTTGAGCAGCTACCTCCACCGGCCTGCAGGGACTCCCAGTCACATTGGAAACCTCCAAACCATGGAAGGGGTTTTCCACAACCACTCCCTTAATTTCATACTTTTGCCTCCCTGCTTCTGACAGAATGAAGATCTATAAACCAGCCCTCCAGTAAATCACCAAAAATGCAGCAGACCCACCTCTTCTTGGTGGGTCTACAAATGAGAGACAGGGTCTCACTCCAGGGTCGCCCAGGCTGGAGTGCAGTGGCATGATCTTGGCTCACTGCAGCCTCAACCTCCCTGGACTCAAATGATCCTCCCGCCTCAGCCTCCTGAGTAGCTGGGATCACAGGCATTTGCCCCCATGCCCGGCTAAAATTTATTTTTTGTAAAGGCGGGGTTTCACCATGTTGCCCAGGCTGCTCTTGAACTCCTGGGCTCAAGTGATCTGCCTACCTCAGCCTCCCAAAGTGCTGGGATTACAGGCATGAGCCAGGCTGTAAATATTGAGGTGGGCACAAGTATCTCCTCTGTCATAGCCTGCGCGTCAGTCCTCACCACCTGTGGTGAGGCTGGTGGTGGACATGGGCTTTTCTGAGCTGAAAGCGTAGCTGCTGTTCACTTGCTCTTCCCTCTGCTGGGAATGCCACTTCCCTACTCCTCTGCCCAAGTAATGCCAATTCATCCTTCACAAGGTGGCACAAACTGTCCCTTTGAGAAGGCTTTCTGAGCAGCCCCTCCTCTGCAGCACACGCCTCCCCTGGGCTCCCTCAGCCCAAGCATACTCGATTCTAGCACTTACACCCTGGGCTCTCTGCTGCCACACTGAGACCTCTGGGCCAACAGACCACTTTTTGTTTTTTTTAAAATCTCTTGGCACCATCAGTGCACATAACTATTAGTGAAATGAGTGTTCCCTCTGGTGGGGACAGAGTTCAGTTTATTCCGATAGGTGGCGCTCTACCCGTGCATTTCTTAGGAGGAATCTGAGAACCCCAGTCAATCATGCAACACTGTGAACTGGGCATTTTTGGGGGGCCTCCTCTCCCCTGCTCCAATGTGAATTACGCAAGTGCATCATCATTTGGGGTCAGATTACCTGCAATCTTTCCCAAGTGAAATTATCCACTAACTGAAAATCCATCACCAACATTAAGCCTTTATTATCTACTGTCATATCAGACACTGTACCAGGTGCTGAGGACATAAGTGATGGATGAAGTTGCTCTCAAAGAAGTCCCAGTCAGTCTGGCAGGCAGAGGGCACTTACCTGTAAGTGACTGCTCCATACTCCCCAGCCAAGGCCACTCGGCTCGCTGGGACCAGCTCCTGGCTCATTGTGTTCAAGATGGCTTCGCTGGAGGAACCTGCCTGGAACACCCACAAGGAACCCAGGGTTACACAGGCCGGAGCAGAATGGTAAGTTCCTTGTAAGCCCTGCCTGTAACCTGGAGCAGGGCAGCTACTGCCTAGAATTGGCTCTGACCTTCGAGATAAGATGACCTGTCTTAACTGGCAGGCTGAGACTAGTTACTCCTGGGAGGCAGACAGAGGTACCATCCATGCCAACTCAGAGGATTCTTCACACTCCTCAAACTCTTGCAGCCTAGATGCCAGGGCTGGAGGAGATGCCAAGGTGATCAGGATATGGGGTGCTGCTTCCTGCCATCGGTGCCTCTGGTCCCCACCAGTTCAAAATTGACCACTGGATCACTAACTCATTCTGCAGGCTCCCTTCAGCAGCCAGGCCAGAGCCTGACATGCTCCACCCTGGGTGAAGTTGTACTGAATCACAGAACAGCCTTCCTCCATCCCCCACGACAAACAGACAAAAACCAAAGAGTGGGGAAAGCACCTTATTGTCCTCATTGTATTGGGAAGGGCTCTCAGGACATATGAAACCTGTATCAAGAAGATCTGGTAAGAATCAACAATCTTGTAGCTGCTGTGAATGCAACAGCTGTCATGCCCCAACCAGGGCATGTTTTGATGCTAAGACTGGATGTTTCACAGGCAAAGGATTTGGCTACTTGTTAGCTATTAACCCAGCTTGGAGTGCAACAGTCTAATAACCTTCATTCCCCAAATCAGAACAAGAAACTGCATCCTCTAGGGCCCACCATGAACGGCTGTGGCCACTTCCCACTGCGGCCTTGAATGGATGGGCCCAGGGATGGGCAGGAGACAGAGCATCGGGTCTTAATACATTTTTAAAACCTACCTAGCAATGGCAAGGTAAATAAATTAAGTGGACAGAAATTGTTTTCGTGGGGGAAAAATACTCTTCAATTTCCCAAAGTCTTGAGTCCTTCCAAGAGTTGAGAGTAGGGAGTTGACATGCAAGCCTCTGAGCTGGAGGTGGGCTTGCAGAGTGAGCTTAAAGGAAAGAGATCCAGTTCCCCCTCTCCAGTGAGGCAGGTTGCAGGAAGGAGGGGATGGTGAACTAACCAATCAAGGTAGAAATCAGTGGTTTAGGCACTTGTTACTCAAAGTGTGGTTGACAGAGCAGTGGCATTGGTATCACGTGGGAGCTTATTGGGAAGGCACAATCTTAGGCCCCATCCCTGACCTGCTGAATCAGAATCTACCTTTGGGTTTTTTTTGTTTGTTTGTTTTGTTTTGAGACAGGGTCTTACTCTGTTACCCAGGCTGGAGTGCAGTGCCACAATCTTGGATCACTGCAGCCTCTGCCTCTTGCACTCAAGTGATCCTCCCACTTCAGCCACCAGCCACCCAAGTAGCTAAGACTACATACAGGTGCAAGCTGTCACACCCGGCTAATTTTTGTATTTTTCATAGAGATGGGGTTTCATCATGTTGCCCAGGCTGGTCTCAAACTCCTGAGCTCAAGTGATTGGCCTCCCAAAGTGCTGGGATTACAGGCATGGTCCACCAGGCCTGGCCAAAATCTACCTTTGAACCTGATCTCTGGGTGATCTGTGGGCAGAATACAATTTCAAACATTCTGGTTTAGACTTCTGTGTAACAGGGGGAGGTAACCTGACTATACAGGCACCTTTCCTGTGGATAATCTGTCTTTTCCTACCTACTTCCTGGAAAAAATCCTCACCAGGCCCACTAAGATGGGCATTTTGAGAACATCTCCTTTAAAGATGAAAGGCCTGGTGCTTACCGAGATGTTCCACATCATCTTGATGGCCAAGGGGAAGGCAGGGGCCCCCGGAGCTCGCTCCTGCCCTTCTCCTGGTGCACTGGTACCTGGGCCTCTCCCTGGAAGCAACCCGGTGCTCTTTGTCACCTCCAGGTTCTGGGGCAATGTAGGCATGGTGGCTTCATACACAGCAGCACTGCAGCCCTTACCAATGGACTGCCCTATCAGATACTCCTCCAGCCGAAAGCCCTGCAAGCGTCTCGTGTCCAACGGGTCAGGCCCCGGCTTGCTTTTCTGGGTAAAAATTGCCTGTGATGAGAAAAGAATGCACCGTGAGCCAGGGAGCCTAGGAAGGCCCAAGAAAAGGGAAACAGGGGAGGCAGAGAGAGGTGCAGCAAGGCGTGGTCCACGTCGACCAGATCAATAAACCAGAAAAACACAACCCAACCAGGTTCTACTGCTCAGCCTGGGTCCAGGCCATCTTCTTTCTCATTATTCAGAATGATTTTTCTCAAACTCTGTTGCTTCACTGGGATCACAATACTCAATGATCTGAGAGGTCAGAAACCCCACGTCCCGCAGCCAGTGCACCTCTCCTTGCTGCCTTCACTCTCCAGCAGAGTTCTGGAGGTGTCTGATTATGGAGACAGCTCGCTCTGCAAAGACCTTGGCTGACGGCTCCTGGGCAACTAGCAGGAGTGTGTGATCCACAGTGATCTCAGAGGGTCTCTCAGGCAAGTGGGTGACATCAGGCGCATCCCCAGAGCAGAGGGATTCAGTACTGTCTTTCTCTCTCTGCCTCTTAGGGCCCCGATGAGGCTACTCTGTCCAGAAAGGTAGCAAGAGTACAAGAGTTCAGACAGAAATAGATGGAGGTGCAGGTGCTGGGGGCAGTGCTGCACTGGGAAAGAGGCCATGTGACAAAAATCTGGTGGGTCTTCCCCTGCTTCAGGCAGCGGTGACGTCACTCTTCCAGTCACCCAGGCTCCGCTTTCCCTCTCAAATGGTCTGATCTGCTGAGCTCTTCCTTTCCAAGGTTAGTCACCCCTGGGTGCCAGGCACAGCTCTGCATATGCCCCTTGGCCATAGCCTACCAGGCACCATCTCTAGACTACCCCACTCTCAGTGCCGTGCCTTCCCTGCTCTGAGCCACATCAAAATATGTTGCTTTCATGTGTCACTCGGCTGTCCATCAGACTGCCCAGGAGGTTATCTGTGTTCTGGCTGCTGCCAGGCTGGTCTGCACGCTGCCTGCACTCATCCTTTGGACGCCTCCCTCTGAAAGCTGCTCACAGCATCCTTCCAGCCCCTGTTTCTATAGTATTGCTCTGTCTGGCTCATCCCTGCTCAGCCATCAAGCCCAACTCAAGCTCCTCCTTCCTCTGTGACCAGCCCTGATGACCCAGCCCATGGCAACTTTCCTTCTAGAGGGTTCCTAAAGCACCTGCTATCTGTAAGCAACTTAACCTTGCACTATAACTTTGAACCTTTTAAAAAAATGAAAGTCCAGGCCGGGCGTGGTGGCTCATGCCTGTAATCCCAGCACTTTGGGAGGCCGAGGGAGGCGGATCATGAAGTCAGGAGTTCAAGACCAGCCTGGCCAACATAGTGAAACCCCGTCTCTACTAAAAAATACAAAAAATTAGCCGGGTGTGGTGGTGTGCACATGTAATCCCAGCTACTCAGGAGGCTGAGGCAGAAGAATTGCGTGAATCTGGGAGGTGGAGGTTGCAGTGAGCTGAGATCGTGCCATTGCACAGCCTGGGCGACGGTGTGAGACTCCGTATCAAAAAAAAAAAAGGAAAATCCAACTTCCCTTATAAACTTCATGGAGCAGAAGCAACGTGTGTGTGTATATATATAAAATATACTATATACTATTATATGGAACATACATATTATAGTATACACAACATATATACACATATACATATATATACACATTATATATATATTTTTATAATATAAATTTTTAGAGCTTGCTACTAGCACACTCCTGCTAGTTGCCCAGGATGGGGTGCAGTGTTGCAACTACAGCTCACTGCAGCCTCAAACTCCTGGGCTCAAGCAATCCACCCACCTCAGCCTCCTAAGTAGCTGGGACTATCGGCATGTGCCACCATGCCTAGCTAACTTTTTAATATTTTGTGGGAACAAGGTCTCACTATGTTGTCCCAGCTGGTCTTCAACTCCTGGGCTCAAGAGATTCTCTCACCTTGGCCTCCCAAAGCACCAGGATTATAGGCATGAGTCACCATGCCTGGCTTCAGAATTTTTTATTTTTTTATTTTTTATTTTTTTTGAGACGGAGTCTCACTCTGTCCTCTAGGCTGGAGTGCAGTGGCGCGATCTTGGCTCACTGCAAGCCCTGCCTCCCGGGTTCACGCCATTCTCCTGCCTCAGCCTCCCGAGTAGCTGGGACTACAGGCGCCTGCCACCATGCCTGGCTAATTTTTTTGTATTTTTAGTAGAGGCGGGGTTTCACCATGTTAGCCAGGATGGTCTCGATCTCCTGACCTCATGATCCGCCCGCCTTGGCCTCCCAAAGTGCTGAGATTACAGGCATGAGCCACCCCGCCCGGCCCAGAATTTTTTAAATGTGAAATTAATTCCAGCAAAAGTAGCCAGTGAAAACAACTTTTTCTCCCCCCAGTCAGAGTCTTGCTCTGTCACCCAGGCTGGAGTGCAGTGGCGTGATCTCAGCTCACTGCAACCTCCGCCTCCCGGGTTCAAGGAATTCTCCTGCCTCAGTCTCCCAAGTAGCTGGGATTACAGGCGCCCACCACTGCGCCCGGGTAATTTTTGTATTTTTAGTAGAGACAGGGTTCCACCATGTTGGCCAGGCTGGTCTCAAACTCCTGACCTCGTGATCCGCCCGCCTCAGCCTCCCAAAGTGCTGGGATTACAGGCATGAGCCACAGTGCCTGACCAAAAAAAATTTTTTTAATGTGAAATTAATTGATAACTAATAACATTTTCAGGCATAGGAGGGTGAAGTGTGCGAAGAAGGTGTGTGTGAATGGTAAGTTTAGGAGGATCAATCTCCTCAGTTAAAAAAGCCTCTTTAGTTTTAAGCAGGATTAGTCAAATTTCCCATCCTTAGCTTCTGCCAGTTAAGCTGTGGCAAAAGACAAGGTCAGGGGCTGGGGACTAGGCCAGATGTCACCTGTCACCCCAAACTGGCCAGAGCTCAAACATGAGACAGTGGTGATGAGCAATAAGAACTGGGATGGAAACCAGGAAACCCAGGAGCCACTGCTTGGCCCTAACAGCTGTGTCCTTGGGCAAGTCACTCCCTCTTCCACCACCTCAGCCCTAACCTGTAAAATGCAGGGGCTATGCTAATTTAGTGAGTGGTTCTACACCCCCAGGAAGAAGAGTGACCTCCCTGGAAGAAGATGGAATTCTGCCAGCGGCCAGGCTTCAAACCTGAACTGCACCGCTGGCTCCTCCCTGGCTCTCCAGCCTGCCCGCCTACTCTGCGGCTTTTAAGACTTTGCCAATCCCCATAGGGAGCCAGGTCCTCAAAATAAACCTGCCTCTATATAGACACATCCTATTGATTCCATTTGGAGAACCCTAATACAGACTTTGGTTGGGCAAAAAGAGAAGTCTTGTGCTATTTTAAGCATTAAAAAACCCTAAGAACCCTTGTGTATCCAGTCAGCAGGGATAACTCTACACAGGTAACTAAAATGTTAGGACTGTTTTTCTCGCCGTTCATAGTTTTTACTGCGGTTTCAGCTCTGTCACTACTAATCCTTTGGTTAAACGGCGGAGGCAGCCTGGCTCAGTGGTTAAGGGCACTGCATTTTATTAGCTGTGTGACTTCGAGCAAGTCCCTTCACCTGAGGACTTTCCTTCTCCATAAATTAGGGACGGCAACTACCTCAAAGGGATAGGAATGTTATGATTTAGTTGTCCGTACATTTTAGAAAATTTACACAAAGCCTTTTGCTGTGCTGCGACAGGAGCTGTAATCGGCAACATGTCTTCATTTGAGGAAGGGAAACATTAAAACAAATGGGAGGTGCTGGCTTTATTTATAGCAGCCGATCAGTAATGGTGAAATAGATGAGCTTTAAGGACCCTCGCCTCGGCCCTCGATCTGCTCAGAGCCCCGCCTCCACACCTAGCCCCGCCCCCACCCAGCTGAGGACCCGCCCCCGCGCTTAGCTCCGTCCTCCGCTCGGCTTAGGACCCGGCCCCGCTCACCTGGATCTCCTGACAGGCCGAGACCGCCCGCCGGCTCTCCGCCTGTTTTTCCTCGATGAGGCCCAGCCCTAGCCCGAAGGCCAGAAAGACTGCCCGGCCGCAAGGGCCCGCGCAGCCCCAGGCCCGCACCACGAACTGCCGCTGCAACCGCGCCGCCAGCCCGGCCACCGACTGGCGGAAGAAGCGGAGACGGTTAGGGAGCCCGAGCCCGACCCTGCGAGGCTCCGCGCCCGGTCCTGCGGCCCAGCCTGGACGCTCCCCGCGGACACAGCCCGCCGCCGGGCCCGGCCGCCCCAAGCCGTAGGCCCGGCCGGGCTTGCCCGTGAAGCGCAGCAGCAGCGCTCGACCCAGCTGCAGGCCGCGGCCCAGCGCCTGTCGCACCGCCATGGTGGCGCCGCGGCCCGGTGCCCCCGCAGCCGCCGCTGCCGCCACCACCGGCGTCCCCCGCCGGTCACAACAAACTTGGGGCGGTGCCTCTGCGCAGGCGCAGGCGCTGGTGGGCGGGGCCGGCCCCCGCGGCAGTTCCCCGACTCGGCGCGTGGGGGCGCTATGCTGGTACTGGCGCCTCTAGCAGTGACTTTCCCTTTGCACTTTGGACCCACGTGGAGGGCTTGCCGGTTCAGGCAGGTCCTGAATGTGAACATCACTGGTCCTGGGCAAAATCGAGAAGTCGAGAAGGGAAACTGATATTTTTTGCCAACCATGGTGCCAGACCCTTTACGTCTTTTAATTTATTTAACAGCTCCACCAACAAGATAAAAATGCCGTTTTTATAGATAAGAAAACCGAGGCATAGTAAGGGGCAGCATTCGAGGTCTTGTGAAGGTACCTAGCAGAGCTGAGCTACAGTTCACATTGTCCTAACTGTTGAATGCTTGCCCTCCTCAATGCCGTTAGGCTGCTGTATGTGTCCACAGTCTCAGGGGTTTTGAAGACCCCAAGACAAATCTCACCCAAAAGACACAATTTATGAATGAGTGTGCTGAGGTCCCAAGATAGCAGCTTGCCCAAAGCCACACCGTTTGTTTAATGGCATAGGCCTGCTCACCACAGAACACACACACGCACGACACGCACATTACTGAAACAGTTTGCTGTCTCCTGGCCAGGGGTCCACCCCATAGCCAAGTAAGCCCAGGGGACAGAACTCTTCAGACAAAAAATCCCTTCTTCAGCAGCAGCTCCTATCTACATGACCTTTGACTTCATATTTAAGGAGAAAGGGATTTATGAACAGAAGCCATAGTCTCTGGCTTCAGCGGCAGGGAGACAAGATGGTGGATCCCCATGCCATTACCCCCAAGACCCAGGGCCTATATGCTATAGGAAAGGAATGTGACGGACATTTGAAGTCAGTCCCCCAGGGAAAGGCAAGAATGCTGTGTGAATCTGCCTAAGGGCAGGATTTATGGTAAGTACATACTTTTACACAAGGAACAATAGATAAACTGGAAATCTTAGAGGCCTTCCCTAAAAGCTGGTTAATCAGAAGTCAACTTGGTTGGCCGGGTGTGGTAGCTCACAGCCTGTAATCCCAGCATTTTGGGAGACTGAGGCAGGTGGATCACTTGAGTCCGGAAGTTCATGACCAGCCTGGCCAACAAAACACCATCTCTACTAAAAATACAAAAACTAGCTGGGCGTGGTGGCACACGCCTGTAATCCCAGCTACTCAGGTGGCTAAGGCAGGAGAATCGCTTGAACCCAGGAGGTGGAAGTTGTAGTGAGCAAAGATCACACCACTGCACTCTATCCTGGGCGACAGAGTGAGACTCTGTCTCAAAACAAAACCAAAAAACCAACAAAACACATCAACTTGGTGGATTAGCATCCAAGACGGGGTTGCTTTAGCTTGCACTGTGTGTGTGTGTGCTGGTCTCTCTCATAATCTTCCTTAAGGGAGGAATTTTATGGTTCTTGTGATATCCAATCATATTTATTTGGGAGAGGCATAGATGAATTTCCCATTTGTATAGAGGCACATGAATATCAGATATTTAATTTTTTGGATCAACCTCAGGGAATTTTTAATTATAATTTTAAATGCTCCACTGAAGTTGTAATTTGAAGAATGATAAGGGAAAGAAAGTTGGAGAAATCTCACATTCCAGTAACCACAGGCTCACTCATGGAAACTTAGTTGGGGCACAGATGAGTGGATTTAAAGTTTAAATCCACTCGTCTGAAGCCAGGTTTGCAGTGGTTCACTCCAGCACGTGGGGAGGCTGAGGTGGGAGGATCGCTTGAGGCCAGGAGTTCAAGACCAGCCTGGGCAACATAGGGAGACCCTGTCACTACAGATAATAATAATTTAAAAGACCCCAGCGAGGCATGGTGGCAAGTGCCTGAGGTCCCAGCTACTTGGGAGTCTGAGGCAGGAGGATTGCTTGAGTCCAGGGGGTTGGGGCTGCAGTGGGCTGTGATTGTGCCACTCCACTCTCCACTCCAGCCTGGGTGACAGAGTGAGACTCTGTCTTAAAATAAAATCAATCTACTCATCTGCTGTGTCTCATTACTGTAAACTAAAAATGAGGTTCTAAGCTCCCCAACTGACTAAATGGACCCCCTCTGGGCCAAAGAAAACCTAAAAAACTAAATTTCAGGCCATGAAAGGAAGGGAGGTTGGACACGCCTCCTTATACCCCCTCCCTTTTGGAGTTTAGCCACGACTGACCAGCATTAATATTCAATAGTGCACATAAGACTGACAATAAGATACCAAATTCCAGCCTGACGCTGGTATCATAGCTGTCCATTGGGTTCCCCTTGTTCATTGCCTAGACAGAGCTGATTTATCAAGACAGGGGAATTGCAATAGAGAATGGGTTTAATTCATACAGAGCCACCTGTATGGGAAACCAGAGTTTTATTATTACTCAAATCAATCTCCCTGAAAACTCAAGGATGGTGGTTTTTATGGATAATTTGGTGAGTAGGGGGTCAGAAAGTGGGGAGTGCTGATTGGTTGGGTCAGAGATGAAGTCATAGGGAGTTGACACCGTCCTCGTGTGCTGAGTCAGCACAAAACCTTGGCTTCTGCAACCCCCCTTATCTTAACTCAAGCGTTTCTTTCTACTGAGTTCAATTCTTCAGACAAAGCTTAACTCTTTCAACCAATTGCCAGTCAGAAAATCTTTGACTCCACGTAGAACCTATGAGCATCCACTGCTTCAAGATGTTCCACCTTTCCAGGCTGAACCAATGTATATGCCTTCCATGTATTGATTTATATTTTTGCCTGTCACTTCTGTCTCCCTAAAATGTATAAAACCAAGCTGTAACCCAGCCACCTTGGGCATCCTTTCTCAGGACCTCCTGAGACTGTACTCTGAGCCATGATCACTCATACTGGCTCAGAATAAACCTCTTTAAATAATTTACAGAATTTGGCTTTTTTTTTTTTTGGTCAACATTACCATTATAGCTCCTCTCTTTAATGTTTATAGAGAAGGAAAAAGAGGTTCTCTGAGATATTTAATGTTTCAACTACAAAGATTTTCTTTAATCTCCCAGGAACATAACCTTTTAGTATGAGGCTTATGATGACCACACAGCTTATAAGACATTGTATTGGTTGTCTTGAGTTAAAGAGTACGTTTGTCTTAAGCCTTTGCATTTGTTCCCCTGAGCTGCAAATGAACTCACTGGACCTGCGATACGTAATCCATCAGCTGGAAATGAAATCTCCAGACTGATGTTAATTAACCTTCCATTGTAGGCTGGACTTACTCACTTCTCCATCTGTAGAAAAATCTGAAGTCTGACAGGTCTGAATCAAGCACAGCATGAAGCTTGATTCTTTGGCAGACATCTGTATGGAATGGACAAGTAAGTGGATTTTGGAAGAGAGAGGTTTCCAGCAAGGATTTCAGGGGTTCTGCATTCTCACCTCTCAGGTCAGAGATACAGCCTTACTGTGCCAGGGGCACAGGCATGCATTTCCCAGGGACAATGGTCCTGACTCCATTCATCCCTGTCTATCCTCCTGAGAAGGAAAAATTCTTTTTATGGTGGTGCCATGGGTCTCAGGTCTCAAGGAATCATCTTGAGATTCTCCCATAACATCTCCCATCTTTTTATTTATTTATTTATTTATTTATTTATGAGACAGGGTCTTGTTCTGTCACCCAGGCTAGAGTGCAGTGGTATGATCATGGGTCATTGCAGTCTTGAATTCCTGGGCTCAAGCAACCTTCCTCCCTCAGCTTCCCAAATAGTTGGGACTACAGCTCACACCACTATGTCCAGCTAATTTAAAAAATATTTTGTAGAGATGGGGTCTTGCTATTTGCCCAGGCTGGTCTCGAACTCCTGGCATTAAGTGATACTCCCACCACATCTCTGGGGTTACAGGAATGAGCCACTGCCCCTGGCCTCTCATCTCTTTAATGGTATCCCAAAAAGGTGAAATTGGATATATGATTGATATGTTTTGGCTCTGTGTCCCCACCCAAATCTCATCTTGAATTGTACTCCCATAATTCCCACATGTTGTGGGAGGGACCCAGTGGGAGATAATTTTAATCATGGGGGTGGTTTCCCCCATAATATTCTTGTGGTAGTGAATAAGTCTTATGAGATCTGATAGTTTTATCAGGGGTTTCCACTTTTGTATCTTCCTCATTTTCTCTTGCCGCCACCATGTAAGAAGTGCCTTTTGCCTCCCGCCATGATTCTGAGGCCTCCCCAGCCATGTGGAACTGTAAGTCCAATTAAACCTCTTTTTCTTACCAGTCTCAGGTATGTCTTTATCAGCAGCATGAAAACAGACTAATACAATGATAAATAGTTTTTGTTTGGTTGGTTTTTTTTGTTTTTGTTTTTTTTGAGATGGAGTTTCGCTCTTGTTGCCCAGGCTGGAGTGCAATGGCGTGATCTTGGCTCACCGCAACCTCCCCCTCCTGGGTTCAAGTAATTCTTCTGCCTTAGCCTCCTGAGTAGGGGGGATTACAGGCATGTGCCACCACACCTGGCTAATTTTTGTATTTTTAGTAGAGATGGGGTTTCTCCATGTTGGTCAGGTTGGTCTTGAACTCCCAACCTCGGGTGATCTGCCCACCTCAGCCTCCCAAAGTGCTGGGATTACAGGCATGAGCCACCATGCCTGGCCATGTTTGGTTGGTTTTTAAAAAATTTTTATGAATACATAGTATGTGTATATATTTATGGAGTACATGATAGTATATGGTTTTCTGATGAATATCTGTTTATATTGCAGATTTAATATTCTGTATGAAAGTCTCATTCATTCACAGAACATCAACTCTTTACCAGGTAGGCTTTGATATGCCCAGCCACAGAATTAGAGGAGAATGGAGTGGGGGACTTGATGGAGCGGCCACATTACTATTATTATTTTTTTTTGGTCTACATTCCATTCCGTAGGCATCCTTGTATCTTCTGTCAATGAAAAGAATCAAACTCTGTAAAATATTTGAAGAGGTTTATTCTGAGCCAAATATGAGTGACAAATGGCCTGTGACATGGCCCTCAGGAGATTCTGAGAATATGTGCCCAAGGTGGTCAGACTACAGCTTGGTTTTATACATTTTAGGGAGACATAAGACATCAATCA
This sequence comes from Homo sapiens, assembly GCF_000001405.40. NCBI lineage: Eukaryota > Metazoa > Chordata > Mammalia > Primates > Hominidae > Homo > Homo sapiens. The sequence continues at coordinate 20,628,360 of NC_000001.11, read as the reverse complement.
ATACATGTAAGATATACATTAGTTGGGTCCAGAAAGGTGGGACAACTGGAATTGGGGGCTTCCAGGTCATAGGTAGATTCAGAGATTTTCTGATTGGCAATTGGTTGAAAGAGTGATTATCTAAAAACGTGGCATCAGTGGAAAGAAATGTCTGGTTAGATAAGGGGTTGTGGAGACCAAGGTTTTATCATGCGGATGAAGCCTCCAGGTAGCAGGCTTCAGAGAGAATACGTTGTAAATATTTCTCATCAGACTTAGAGCCTATCAGTCTTAAGGTCTGTGTTGATGTTAATGCTGGTCAGCTGGACCTGAATTTCAAAAGGAAGGAAGGAATAATGAGGCATATCTGAATCCCCCTTCCTATCATGGCCTGAACTACTTTTTCAGGTTAACTTTGGAATGCCCTTGACTGAGAGGGGGAGTCCATTCAGATGGTTGGGGGGTTTAGAATTTTATTTTTGGTTTATATTTCACTACCTTTTCCCTCCTGGTGGGCAAGGACTGTGGAGTTTTGGGAAAGTACATAATCTTCTTAAGAAGCATTATTTAACCTCCCTCCCACCCAAAGGACATGGGGGTGGGGAAGCTGATTTGAATGTAAAAATGGAAAAAGGCAAGACTTCAACAAAGAGAATGTTGAGGGCTGTTTGACCTTCCCTTTCTGGACAGCATCCTTTGGCACAGTTTCAGTGCTCTTTGTCTCCTGCTGGCAGGAGGCAGACACATTTTCCCAGAGCAGCAACATCCTTTATCCACAGACCATTTCAGAAGTGCTATCTCTAAATTGTCTGCAGAGGTGGAAGGCGGTTTTGCTAAAACTGTTGACAGAGCAAAGGTGCAGCCAGATCAAAATCCTGCTACTTGAAACTCCTGGGCGGTAGTTTTTGGAGGTTAGAAGAAGACCACAGTGGGCAGAAAGTGAGATTTCATTGGAAGGAAGCATCCCTATGTTGTCAGGGCAAGACGGATGAAAACATAGTGATGGTGGAGCAGGGAGAGATTGCTCTGTTAAGAAACCCAGGCAATCTGTGGTTCCTTCATCCAATATATTTGCTGTCCTGCAGTGGTTGTTCACATTACAAATATGGCCATGTTGCCTACTGCGTATAAAATCTTCATAAGCTCTGTACCCTTGCCCACTGCCCTTGGGATAAAGCCCAGGCTCCTCAGCCTGGCACACAACATTCCTCACTATTTAGCATCCTTCTTACTGTCCCCCACCCTGCCTTTTATGGTCCAGCATCACTCAATTACTTCTAAATTACTTCCAGTTGTCTCAACCACCATGGTGACTCCTCTGGGTTGATTTACTGCCTGAAAGAATCTCCATTCATACTTGAGGTCACCTCCTCCAGGAAGCCTTCTTTGACCTTCTCTGGACTGTACTAGATGTCCCTTCTTTGTCTCTCCCACTAAAATGTGAGTTCTGTAAGGACAGGGATTGTGATGTTTAAATCTCATATCCCTCAGCACCTAGCATGGGGCCTGTTGGGTCCCCAGCACTTGTTTGAGACACAATTGGGAATTCAAGCCCTTAGTGGGCAGGCTTATGCCCAAGGGGAAGCTGAGAGGAAGGGGCTGGGTGACACTTTGAAACTCCCCAATCATGAGTCACTCTTCCTTCCCAGCAGGAGTGAGGGGAGGGGTGGAGAAAGGCTGGAAGGAAACAGGAGTATTAAGAACTCACATCCCCACCCCAACAGAATCAACTACTGCATTTATGCTTTAGAATGTGCACCACATCATTGCCAAATGAATTTCCTTTCCATGGTTTCTTTTTTATCCACTTTCTGTTTTTTTCTTTGATCGTTTGTTTTGTTTTTAAGAGAGGGGTCTCTCTATGTTGCTTAGGCTGATCTTGAACTCCTGGGCTCAAGCAATCTGCCTACCTTGGCCTTCCAAAGTGCTGGGATTGCAGGTGTGAGCTCTGCTGTTGTTGTTTTTAATTAATAATTATTTTAAATAAAAGTAATATAAATACATGGTTTAAAAAATACTAAGAGCTTATGTAGATAGGCTTATAATGAAAAGCAACAATCTTCTGTCCCAACTCTTTGTAAACCTAATGCCCCAGCCTGGAGACAATGATTTTTTACCTTTTTAGCTTTTTTCTGATAGTTTTCTTCATATCTCTACCTTTTCTTCCTCCATCCCTCCCTCCCTCTCTCCGTCCTTCCCTCCCTTCCTTTCTTCCTTCCTTCCTCCCTTCCTTCCTTCCTTCCTTCCTTCCTCCCTTCCTTCCTTCCTTCCTCCCTTCCTTCCTTCCTTCCTTCCTTCCTCCCTTCCTTCCTTCCTTCCTTCCTTCCTTCCTTCCTTCCTCCCTTCCTTCCTTCCTTCCTTCCTTCCTCCCTTCCTTCCTTCCTTTCTTCCTTTCTTCCTTCCTTCCTCCCTTCCTTTTCTTCCAAGGCAAAGTCTTGCTCTGTTGCCCAGGCTGGAGTGCAATGGCGAGATCATAGCTCACAGTCTCCAAATCCTGGGTTCAAGCGCTCCTCATGGCTTAGACTCCCAGGTAGCTAGGACTATAGGTGTGAGCCACTGAAACCACCTTTGCAAAAATTATGGCAGTGAGAAAATTATGGCAGTGGGAGAGATCTGATATAGCCAACCTCCCCACTCTTGCCTTTAGCTTTCAAGTTGCCTTAATTATTCCTGGGTTTAGGCTGAGCTAACTCTGAAAGACATTTACTTTATAGTTTAAATGATAATAGCCCTTCCCCAAACTCAACTCTCTTTGCAAAGCTAATGAAAGGCCACCAGGCTGGGGGAAGGGGAGCCTGAACTCTGCTAAGGTATAGACATAAATGATTGCCAGCCATTATTCTGGAGGTTACAAGATATGCAACTTCCCCAATTACTCCTGCGAATAACATCACTATTGTAGATTGGCCTTTTGAGATACCTTTTCAAGTTTTTTGCATGTCTGACACCCATGGCTCCACCTGGACCCCCCAGTCAATGGCTCCACTGCTCCTGTGACCCCACACAGTGCAAGAAGAGGCTTCAACTCCCTTGATTTCATCTCTGACCCAACCAATCAGCAGCAAGCACCCATTACCTAGCCAGCCCCACCCCTTTCCCCAAACTGCCTTTGAAAAACTCCTAACCTAGGAGCCTTTGATGAGATTGACTTGAGTAATGATTTTGTCTCCCAAGTGGCATGGCTGGCCTCATGTCTATTCAACTCTTTCTTCACTGCAATGCCATGATTTTTGTTTGTGCAGTGGGCAGGAGGAACCCATTGGTGGTCACACCACCACATCCAGCTAATTTTTAAATTTTTTGTAGAGACAGGGTCTTGCCACATTGCCCAGGATGATCTCAAACTCCTGGCCTCAAGAGATCCTCCTGCATCAGCCTCCCAAAATGCTGGAATTACAGGTATGAGCCATGGTGGCCAGCCTCTACTATTTCTTGATTTAGCAAACTGAGATATTTAAGGTATACAGCTGACCACGTGACCCACACCTGAAACTGATGGCTGCCCTTTGGAATAAAGTCAAACTCCTTAACAGGGCTAACCAGGCCTGCATCTTCTGACCCTTCCACCATGCTTATCTACTTTTTAATTTTATTTTGTTTTCCTTGTTCATGTACATTGTGAATTTTTACATCTTTAGAATACCCACCTCCTGGCATTTATGCCATATATATTATCCCCTCCTCTGGATTGTGGGCTGGATGTTAATGCCTTGCTTCTGTGGACTAAATTTGTCAAAAGTGATGGACTGTCACTTTCATGACATTCCAAAGACTCTGGTTTCTGTCTTGCTTGCTTGTTCTAAGAGAAGTGAGCTTCCAGGTTGTAAACTGCCCTGTGGAGAGGCCCACATAGCAAGGAACTGAATAGTAACAGCAACAGCCCACAGTGAACTGAATCCTGCCAGAAACTGAGTGAGCTTTGAAGTGGATCCACCCCCAGTCAAATCTTCCGATGAGACTGAAGCCCTTCCTGACATATTCATTGCCACTTTGTAAGAGACCTCGAGCCATAGAAGCTGGCTCAGCCCAGAATCCTGCCCCACAGAGACTGTGAGATGATAAGTATTTGTTGTCCTCCGCCACTAAATGTTGGAGTAACTTGCTATACAGCAATAGATAACTAATGTCACCATTATGCCATATAGTTTTCTATTCAGTCATAGAGTTTTCCTTTTTTTTTTTTTTTTTTCTGAGATGGAGTCTCACTCTGTCACCCAGGCTGGAGTGCAGTGGTGTGATCTCAGTTCACTGCAACTTCTGCCTCCTGGGTTCAAGTGATTCTCCAGCCTCAGCCTCCTGAGTAGCTGGGATTACAGGCGTGTGCCACCACACCTGGCTAATTTTTGTGTCTTTTTAGTACAGACTGGGTTTTGTCATGTTGGGCAGGCTGGTCTTGAACTCCTGACTTCAGGTGATCCGTCCACCTCGGCCTCCCAGAGTATTGGTATTATAGGTGTGAGCCACCATGCCCAGCCTAACAATTTAATCTTCTTAACGCCTCTTTCCTGTACCCATCAAAAACTGTGTTTACAGATTGGGCATTCCTATCACATCTGTTCCCGTGCTCATATCACCATATACAAAATATTAAACACAGGCTGGGCGCAGTGGCTCACCCCTGTAATCCCAGCACTTCGGGAGGCCAAGGTGGGCGGATCACCTGAGGTCGGGGGTTGGAGACCAGCCTGACCACCATGGAGAAACCCCGTCTCTACTAAAAATACAAAATTAGCCATGCGTGGTGGCACATGCCTGTAATCCCAGCTACTCGGGAGGCTGAGGCAGGAGAATCGCTTGAACTTGGGAGGCGGAGGTTGCGGTGAGCCGAGATCACGCCACTGCACTCCAGCCTGGGCAACAAGAGTGAAACTCCGTCTCAAAAAAAAAAAAAAAAAAAAAAAAAAAAGAACATGAGCTGCTCCGAAAACACATGTCCTCAGCACTGCATTCTGCACAATGGGACTGCTCCGAAAACGCATGTCCTCCGCGCTGTGTTCTGTACAATGGGGCTGCAAAGTGAAAATGCTTTTATTGCCTCTCTCCAGGCAAATGAGTATTGTTCTTCCAAGAGGCCATTGTTGAAGAATCTCTAGAATCCTTTGAGAATCGCCTTCCATAGATTGTTTCCACATAGTATAAGGATACTAGGCTTAGTCCTTCCATCAGTCTCATATTTTACCCTTCTCCAAACCCCATTCTCTTACTGGATGACACTTCTCTGCTCTGACTAAAACATCCTCTCCTCCGGGTGGTCTTGCATGAAGGCAAGTTTTATTCTTTGTTTTCTCTTTCTTTCTTTTTTTTTTTTTTTTGAGACAGGGTCTGGCTCTGTCATCCAGACTGGAGTACAGTGGTGCAATCTCGGCTCACTGCATCTTCCACCTCACGGGCTCAAGTGATCCTCTCATGGCAGTCTCCTGAGAAGCTGGGATTACACGTGCCTGCCACCACACCCTGCTAATTTTTAAAATTTATTTATTTATTTATTTGGAGACAGAGTCTCGCTCTGTCGCTCAGGCTGGACTACAGTGGCATGATCTCGGCTCACTGCAACCTGTGCCTCCTGGGTTCAAGCGATTCTTCTGCCTCAGCCTCCTGAGTAACTGGGATTACAGGATGTGCCACCACACCTGGCTAATTTTTGTATTTTTAGTAGAGATGGGGTTTCACCATGTTGGTCAGGCTGGTCTCGAACTTCTGACCTCGTGACCCACCCGCCTTGGCCTCCCAAAGTGCTGGGATTACAGGCGTGAGCCACCATGGCTGGCCTAATTTTTTAAACTTTTTGTAGAGATGGGGTTCCACCATGTTGCCCAGGCTGGTCTTGAACTCCTGGACTCAAGAGATCCGCCTGCCTCAGCCTCCTAAAATGCTGGAATTACAGGCATGAGCCACTGTGCCCAGCCAAGTTCTGCTCTTTCTGCTGCTTGCTGCCAGGGCTTTCTTCACTTGTCATGAAGTACTATAATCATGTAGATCTCATTTTCCCACTGATAAACTAGGAGCTCTGTGAGGGCAAAGACTTTGCCTCGCTTACTGCTGTGTCCCTGGGAACTGGTCTCAGCAGTAAGCACCGATAGATAATTGTGAAAAGAGGCTGGGCGTGGTGGCTCATGCCTGTAATTCCAGCACTTTGGGAGGCTGAGGCGGGCGGATCACGAGGTAAGGAGATCGAGACTATCCTGGCTAACACGGTGAAACCCCGTCTCTACTGAAAATACAAAAAATTACCCGGGCATGGTGGCGGGCGCTTGTAGTCCCAGCTACTTGGGAAGCTGAGGCAGGAGAATGGCGTGAACCCGGGAGGCGGAGCTTGCAGTGAGCTGAGATCATGCCATTGCACTCCAGCCTGGGCGACAGAGTGAGACTCCGTCTCAAAAAAATAATAATAATTAAAAAAAAAATTGTGAAAAGAACGTATAGGCTGTATGCAGTGGCTCACCCCTGTAATCCCAGTACTTTGGCAGGCTGAGGCAGGCAGATCACTTGAGGTCAGGAGTTCGAGACCAGCCTGACCAACATGGTGAAACCCCGTCTCTACTAAAAATACAAAAATTAGATGGGCGTAGTGGTGGGCGTTTGTAATCCTAGCTACTCAGGAGGCTGAGGCAGGAGAATCACTTGAACCCTGGAGGCAGAGGCTGCAGTGAGCCGAGATCACGCCACTGCACTCCCGCCTGGGCAACAGAGGGAGACTCTATCTCACAAAAAAAAAAAAAAAAAGGCTGTAAAATTTTGCAAAAACAAATCCATCCTTAAAAAAAACAAAATTTATCACCCTTGTTGAGGGTTAACAGCCAAGATTTACGGAGAATTTACTGAGGGTCAAACACTGGGCCTTTATTTTATTTTATTTTTTTGTGATGGAGCTTCACTTTTGTTGCCCAGGCTGGAGTGCAGTGGCGTAATCTCAGCTCACTGCAACCTCTGCCTCCTGGGTTCAAGCGATTCTCCTGCCTCAGCCTCCTGAGTAGCTGGGATTACAGGCACGCACCACCACGCCTGGCTGATTTTTTGTATTTTTAGTAGGGACAGGGTTTTGCTATGTTGGAGAGGCTGGTCTCGAATTCCTGACCTCAAGTCAGGAGTGATCTACCTGCCTCGGCCTCCCAAAGTGCTAGGATTATAGGTGTGAGCCACTGTGCCTGGCCTGTTGTTGTTTTAGAGACAGTATCTCACTCTGTTGTCCAGGCTGGAGTGCAGTGATGCAATCATGGCCCACTGTGGCCCTGAACTCCTGGCCTCAAGAGATCCGTCTGCTTCAGCCTCCTGGGTAGCTGGGACCACGGGCAAGCATCATAAGGCCAAGCTAATTTAATTTATTTAGTTTATTTTATTATTTAATTAATTTAATTATTTGTTTATTTTAGAGACAGAATCTCACTGTTTACTTGGCTAGTCTTGAATTCCTGACCTCAAGAGGTCCTCTTACCTCAGCCTCCCACAGTGTTGGGATTATAGGTGTGAGCCACTGTGCTCAGCCACCAAAGCCATTTCTAAAGAAAGCCAGGCCGGGCGTGGTGGCTCGCACCTGTAATCCTAGCACTTAGGGAGGCCGAGGCGGGTGGATCATGAGGTCAGGTGTTCAAGGCCAGCCTGGCCAAGATGGTAAAACCCCGTCTCTACTAAAACTACGAAAATTAGCCAGGTGCAGTGGCAGGTGCCTGTAATCCCAGCTACCTGGGAGGCTCAGGCAGGAGAATCACTTGAACCCGGGCAGCAGAGGTTGCAGTGAGCCGAGATCGCACCACTACACTTCAGCCTGGGTGACAGAGTGAGACTCCATCTCAAAAAAAATAAAATAAAATAAAATAAAAGCAGAATGGAGTTGTGTGTCATATAGCCATGCTGGAATGACTGGGATGCTCCCAAGATGCCAGCAGATAAGTCTGAGTGTGTTGTGGCAAAGCCATTCTCATCAGGTGGCAACACTGGATCAGGGTGGAAAGGGCTTCCAGGGAAGGGGTGATGTCCACTTGGGTGCCCCTAGGTACTTGCTTGCCCTGGGAACAGGAAACCTAAGCTGTATTCTTACCCCACCCAATGAGCCAGCCCCAAGACCAACTCCTCCTGGGAGGGCTCCTGGAGCTGTCATCCCCCTCCAGAGCACCCACCCTGTCTCCTTCCTTATTCAGTCCTGACCTTCCTAATTTTGTGCATGTGTGATAACCAATGCACCCATGAAAGAAACAGTCCCTCCCTGTCCTCACACTCCAGACAGCAGCAGGCTCCCCGACACACCCACCTGACACTTGGTTCTGCCTGGATCACAGTGTGCACTCCTGTGCATTAGACCTGTGTACACCTCTCTTTCTCTCAATCTGTCAGGCTGGGAGTTCAAGGGCAGAGGCTGTTTTTCTCTGCAATATTTAGAATATTTGACATATAAAAGATAATCAGTAAATTGAGACATCAGTTATGGGGGAATGGAAAAAAATCCTTGGAATCCTTGTTGTTATTGTTTTTGAGACGGAGTCTCACTCTGTCACCCAGGCTGGAGGGCAGTGGCACAATCTCGGCTCACTGCAACCTCCACCTCCTGGGTTTAAATGACTCTCCTGCCTCAGCCTCCTGAGTGGTTGGGATTACAGGCACCTGCCACCACGCCCGGCTAATTTTTGTATTTTTTAGAAGAGACAGGGTTTCACTATGTTGGCCAGGCTGGTCTCAAACTCCTGACCTCAGGTGATCTGCCCTCCTCGGCCTCCCAAAGTGCTGGGATTACAGGCGTGAGCCACCTTGCCCGGCCCAGACAGATCTAGTTCTGATTCCAGTTCTGCCACATCAGCTGTGTGACTTTGGGTGAGCAACTCAATCACTCTGAGCTTCGAGTTGCTTATTTCTAAATTGAGAACACTAATAATTAACCTTTGAGTTTGACAAATGAGGACTGAACGGGTTCATATATGTCACACACCTTAGCGCAGTGCATGGCAAAAAGCATGCAATGTTTCCGGACCACAGTGGGGGTTAAGGGGCCTGGATTCTGTTCTGAGGTTTGCCATTGTCCTAGAGCAGGGTATTCAACTTCTCCAAAGCCCAGTGCTCTCATCTGTGAAAAGGGGGCATCTCCACACCCTCCTCACAGAACTGTGGAGCATGTTAAACTTAAAATGATGCACACAAATTACCTGACATACAGTAGCTACTGAGAAAACCCTTTGTTACACTGTCTAGACAAACCGTGCTTGACCCTTTATACTCTGGAGTCTCCTGGTGCTCAGGTCTATGATGAGACAAAAACACACTCTAGGATGGTTATTGGCAGTTAGGTCCAGCCCAGGGGAGCTGCCCGTTTAGAGAACGCTGGGGCAAGTTGCCTAAAACCTCAGCTCTCCACACCATAAGGTCCATGGTTCCAAGGTACCCATTTCCTCTCCGAACAGAAAGAGTCCAGCTCTTCCTATAAAGACAAATCATGCTGTCCCTCCTAAGAGCTGCAAGCAAGGATAGAGACAGAGCAAGACACACGCTTTGATCCAGGATGTTCTGTGATGTTTATAATTAGAAAAGTTGCTCGGAACAGGATAGAACCTTGGGAAGGCTGATGGGGAAGCAGTCCAGACTAGGCTGGACTTTGAAAGAGGGCCCACAGGAAGGAAAGGAAAGGTGGGGCAGGGGGCGGCGGTGTTCTAAGTCCCAAGGCAGGTTGCTAGGAGGGGTGCTGACTCAGGCTGGAGTGTAATCTGGAAACATCATCTTTGCCCAGTCCCTGTAGGGCTGGGGCCCACTGGGCAGGTGTCCCCAGGGCTGTGAGACATCTTTATGAAGTTCTCCAGGTGGCTGTTACAGGCAGTGGGCATTCTCTGGCTGTCACTGGGTCTTCTGCAGGTCCTCAGGCCCAAAGGAGGAGGGCAGCAGCTCCTGGACCGTCATGACAATATACGTACCATCCGGCTTGGTCATGTACACGGGCCAGTTGGTGCCAAACTGGAAAAGAGGCAAAGCTGGCGTGAGAGACACAGCGTGGCTGAGGGGGCTGAGACGGACTGGGTCTGAGTCTGACTCTGCCACTGTCTAATGTTCCTCTCTTTACCTTGATTTTCTCATCTGTAAAAGGGGAATGACCATAATTGTACCTGGATCATAGTGCTGCAGGGAGGAGGAAACGAAAGAATGCTGTGAAACTGAACAGTGCATGGTACATCGTGAACAGGCACCATTCAAGACTCACCCAGGGCTTTATAAGAGCAACAGCTAACCCCTGGAACCTCCTTCTGCTATGACAAATGACAACTAACACCCGCTTCCCTTCAGTATCCCCTTTACACCTCACACCAGGAGAAGCTGCAAGCCTGCTACATATACTCAGTGTATTAGTCTGTTCTCAAGCTGCTAATAAAGACATACTTGAGACCGGGTAATTTATAAAGAAAAGAGGTTTAGGCCGGGTGTTGTGGCGCACGCCTGTACTCCCAGCACTTTTGGGAGGCCGAGGCAGGCGGATCTCCTGAGGTCAGGAGTTCGAGATGAGCCTGGCCAACATGGTGAAACTTCATCTCTCCTAAAAATACAAAAATTAGCCAGGCGTGGTGGCAAGCACATGTAATCCCAGCTACTCAGAAGGCTTGAGGCAGGAGAATCTCTGGAACCCGGGAGGCAGAGGTTGCAGTGAGCCAAGATCACACCACTGCAGTCCAGCCTTGGCCATAGAGCGAGACTCGGTCTCAAAAAAAAAAAAAAATAAAATAAAATAAAAAAGGAGGTTTAATGGACTCACAGTTCCACATGGCTGGGGAAGCCTCACAACCATGGCGGAAGAGGAAGGAAGAGCAAAGGGATGTCTTACCTGGCAACAGGCAAGAGAGGACTTGTGTGAGGGAACCCCCATTTATAAAACCATCAGATCTCATGAGACTTATTCACTATCACGAGAACAGCGTGGGAAAGACCCGCCCCCATGATTCAATTGCCTCCCACCAGGTCCCTCCCATGACATGTGGGAATTATGGGAGCTACAATTCAAGATGAGATTTGAGTGGGGACACAGCCAAACCACACCACATAGATACTGCACATGCGTGGTTTCATAATCTACCCTGTGAGGTAGGTGCTATCATGATGCCCATTTTACTGATGAGGAAACTGAGGCTTAGCAGAGTAAAGTCAGCAAAGAAAAATTTGTCTCTTGATCTTTCTCCTATACTATGAGGAGCACTGTTTGTTTGCTGTGTGACCTTGGGAAAATGATAACTTTCTGGGGCTCACTCAGTGTCTTGGTCCATGGAATGGTTTTAGGGATGGGAGAATGCAGGATGGTAGGCAAGAGGTTAATCAGCAGCGGTGTCATGACAAGAGCCCTGGAGGTGGGGTCAACAGACCTAAGCTCTTTCTGGCCAGGTATTCTGAGATGCAGAGATGATTCATGTAAAGCATCTCTATGCACATAGTAGGTGTTCAATTAATAGATGCCATTCTTATTGATTATGTTGGTAGCCAGTGACTGCTCAGGTCTGCAGCCTCCTGTTCTTCCACACTTCTCTCTGAATCACCAAGTTATTCCCGGGCACACTCAATCTTCTGGCTTTTTTAGAATTAATGTTTTAAGGAAGGAAATTTTTCTGCTTGACAGGCTGTGCCTAAGGGTAGGTACAGACAAAAGTTGAGCCGAGGGCGAGTTTACGTGTCAGGTCCCTGGCCCCAACGCCTCATCTCTTATCATTTGCATTTGGTTTCAGTTTCCCCCCTGCCTCCTTCAGCTTTTTCATTTGCCTTCTCTCGTTTGCCAACATCCAATCTGTTTGGAGAAAACAGCACTGAGCAATTGGACCACGTCGGGGCCTTGGGAGCCAGGGACTTGGCGCCCTGTTGTGGCTTCCTTATATGACCTTCGACATTTCCACCGTGCAGGGCAGCTATTTCTGCCCCTCTCAAGTGAGACAAATTCCACCGTGTAAATTCACTGCTTTCCCGGTGGTATGTTTTTGGATTTGGGAAATGTGTCTGATTTGCACTCCTGGCAGGAAGCAGGAGGAAGATGGAAGTGTCTGCATCCCCAGATGCTTTGAAACCCCACGGCACAAAAACAAAGCTAAAACAACCCCCTTTCTCCCAAAACACAACTCCAAAAGCAGAAACTCCCACGGTACAAGCAGCATCCACATGCCAAAGTACCATTATGTTTCCTCCATGGTTGAAAATAATTTTGTCCAACTTACAGAACCACAAAGACAGAGAGGCAGCCGTGAGGAGCACGGGCTTCAGAGTCAGCCTGATGGGCCATGGATACCCATATGTCACCGCCTGGCAGGGGGCCCTTCAGTAAGTCATTTTACTCCTCTGAGCCTCAGAGTGGTCACTGGGAAATGGGAATAACGACATGCATTTCACTCAGTCTTGGGGAGGGGATTAAACAAGATGCTGTAGGTATGTATTTATTTTTGAGACCGGATCTCGCTCTGTCACCCAGGCAGGAGTGCAGTGGCTTGATCACAGCTCACTGCAGCCTTGACCTCCTAGGCTCTAGTGATCCTCCTACCTCAGCCTCTGGAGCAGCTAGGACCACAGGCGTGCACACTATGCCTTGCTAATTTTTAAATTGTTTGAAGGGACCGGGTTTTACTATGTGGCCCAGGCTGGTTTTGAATTCCTGGGCTAAGGTGATCCTCCTGCCTCAGTCTCCCAAAGTGCAGGGCTTACAGGTGTAAGCCATCATGCCCACAAGATGCCGTATTTCGAGGGGCTCTTGATATTATGCTGGAGCTCAGGGCCTGTGGGATTCTCTAATCTTTTGGGACTCTAGAGGACACAGATCTCTTTGAGAATCCACAATAGTTACTGACATTCCCCTTTCCCCAAACGTACATATAAACATGAAAACCTTCCCCTGAGCCTGGATTAAGAACCCATGATCTAAACTATCCCTTCGTTTTCATTTTTTTGTTTTGTTTTATTCCTTTTTTTTTTTTTTTGTGGAGAACAGGGTCTCGCTATGTTGCCCAGGCAGGTCTCGAACTCCTGGACCCAAGCGATCCTCCTGCCTCTGCCTCCCTAATTGCTGGGATTACAGGCTGAGCCACCATACCTGGCTTACCGTTTTGTTTTTAGAGTTGAAGAAATTGCAGCCTTCCATCAAGAGGACTTTTATAAAAAGTCCTTCAAGTTTCTTCTTGAAAATATCCAATGGCTTACCTTTATTCCCTTTTTTCCCAATGTATATAATGTGATAAAATATATATAATGTAAGATTTGCCATTTTAACCATGTTTAAGTGTACACTCCAGGCTGGGCGCGGTGGCTCACGCCTGTAATCCCAGCACTTTGGGAGGCCGAGGTGGGCAGATAACAAGGTCAGGAGTTCAAGACCATCCTGGCCAACATGGTGAAACCCAGTCTCTACTAAAAATACAAAAATTAGCCGGGCATGGTAGCTGGCGCCTGTAGTCCCAGCTACTCGGGAGGCTGAGGCAGGAGAATTGCTTGAACCCAGGAGGCGGAGGTTGCAGTGAGCTGAGACTCTACCACTGCACTCCAGCCTGGGTGACAGAGTGAGACTCCGTCTCAAAAAAAAAAAAGTGTACACTTCAGTTTCCTTTATTCTTGGAATAAAATGTACCCTTCGTTCCATGGCCAGGCCCCATGTGATCTGGCCTCTGCCCACCCCTCTGACTTCAATCCCATTGCTTTCCTTCCACCTACCAGGCCCTAGCTCTCTAGCCCTCGTGGCCTTCTTGCCTCTTCTCAAATTCACCAAGGGTCTGAACTTGCTGGTTCTGAATCTCCTTTTTTGACCTTTGTCTGTCTCATTTTTTTCCTCATTATTTATATTTCTGCTCAAATGTCATGCTCAAAAAGAGGGCCTTCCTGGATATCTAAAGCAGGGGTTGGCAAACCTTTTTCTGTCAAGGACCAGACAGTAAATATCTTAGGTTTAGAGGCCATGTGGCCTTTGTCGTAATGGCTCACCTCTGCTGTGTCAGGGCAAAGTGGCTATGGACAATAGGTGAATGAATGGCCATGGCTGTATACCCATAAAACTTTATTTACAAATACAAGCAGCAGGCTGGATTTGGCCCAAGGGCTGTTGTTTGCTGACCCCAATCTGCAGTGTCCCCTGTTTGCCCGTTTGTCACTGGACTCCTTTTTTTTTTCTGCATTTTGTTTTCCTCTATAGCCCTCTTGACTCAGAAACGCCACTGTTTGTTTATTTATTTTGCTCCTTGTTTATCATCTGTCTCCTGCATTAGCCTATGAGCTCTGTGAGGGCAGGGCCTGGCCCATCTTTTCCCTGTGCCTCCCCAGAGCTACCTCAGGGCCTGGCACAAAGCAGACACTCACTCGGTAAGTATTTGTTAAATGAAGGAATAATTTCCAGTGACTCATGCAAGCGTAGGGAGGCCTTAGAAGTCAGCCAACCAAGCAAACAGGACAGTAGCTGTGTCTCCACGCCTGCCATGCCTGCCATGCCTGCAACTTGGCGTGGCTCCCATAGCCTGCGACAGGGAAGATATTTGCATTCCAGACAGCAAGAGAAGCTGCTTACCTCTCTCATGACTTGCCTGCAGGCCCCACATGGAGAGATAAAATCATCTTGCATGTCACTGGGGAAGCAAAGAATCAAACTCAAATTAGTCTCTCCCAAGGACTGAGGACAATTGCTAAGATTCAGGCCCTGAGACTCGGTCTGTTCCTGATTTGGGTCATACCCCATCAGGCAGTTCCTGATTCACAGATCCACTGTGTCCTGAAGGCTGAGAAGGCCACGTGGTGGCTTTCCACACTGCCACAAGGCAGGGCCATGGGCAGGACTTTCATTAGTGCCATCCATAAACGTTTACTGAGCACTTACCATCACCCACACCCGGGAATACAAAGGTCAAAGAGAATTTGTCTCTGTTATGTAAAAAACCAGCTGAGTTATCATGTTAAACAAAATGCAGCTGGGCTTGGTAGCTCACGCCTGTAATCCCAGCACTTTGGGAGGCCGAGGTGGGTGGATCACCTGAGGGCAGGAGTTCGAGACCAGCCTGGCCAACGTGGTAAAACACCGTCTTTACTAAAAATACAAAAATTACCCAGGCTTGGTGGTGGGCGCCTGTAGCTCCCAGCTACTCAGGAGGCTGAGGCAGAAGAATCGCTTGAATCCGGGAGGCAAAGGTTGCAGTGAGCCAAGACCGTGCCATAGCACCCCAGCCTGGGCAACAAGAATGAAAATCCTTCTCAAAAAAAAAAAAAATTGCAGAAGGAACACACAGTATGAGGGAGCTCATCCCTGCCTGTGGACTGAGAAGGAAGATTTTATGGAGGAGGAGGCATGTGTCCTGGTCCTTGGAGGAAGTGTAGAGTTCATAAGTCACCATTTAGTGAATGTCTACTGTATGCCAGGCTCTGTACCAGGCACTCAACATTCATTAATTCATGGAATTCTCAGAGCAGCCTGGTGTCACGCACGTCTGTGTAAAGAGAGTCCACCAACAGGCTTTTTTTTTTTTTTTTTTTTGAGATGGAGTCTCGCTCTGTTACCCAGGCTGGAGTGCAGTGGCGTGATCTTGGCTCACTGAAACCTCCGCCTCCCGGGTTCAAGCGATTCTCCTGCCTCAACCTCCCGAGTAGCTGGGATTACAGGCATGCACCACCACGCCCGGCTAATTTTTGTAATTTTAGTAGAGACGGGGTTTCACTATGTTAGCCAGGATGGTCTCGATCTCCTGACCTCATGATCCGCCCACCTCGGCCTCCAGGCATGAGCCACCCCGCCCCGCCCCACCAACAGGCTTTGTGTGAGTAATAAAGCTTTTTAGTCACCTGGGTGCAGGCAGGCTGAGTCTGCAAAGAGAGTCAGCAAAGGGAGATCAGGGTGGGGCAGTTTTATAGGATTTGGGTAGGTAATGGAAAATTACAGTTAAAGGGGGTTGTTTTCTTGTGGGCAGGGGCGGGGGTCACACGGTGCAGGGTGGGGAGACCGTGAGACTCATTGTCGGTGGTGGGGGGGTGGAATGTCACAAGATCGATTGGTTAGTTGGGGTGGGGAAGGAACAAATCACAATGGTGGAATGTCATCTCTTGTGGTTCTTCAGTTGCTCCAGGCCATCTGGATGTATATGTGCAGGTCACAGGGGTTAAGACCGCTTAGCTTGGGCTCAGAGGCCTGACATCAAGATGTCAGAATGGCCACTTTAAGGGTGAGGAGATAGGTTCAGTGTGATGAAGAGGCAGAGATGCTATTCGGAAGCCCTGGGTTTCTCTGTGTCGTAGGCGAAGGAAATAAATAGTATGTGCAGGTTGGGCGTGGTGGCTCATGCCTGTAATCCCAGCACTTTGGGAGGCTGAGGCGGATGGATCACCTGAGGTCAGGAGTTCGAGACCATCCTGGCCAACATGGCGAAACTGCATCTCTACTAAAATACAAAAAATTAGCCAGGTGTGGTGGTGCAGGCCTGTAGTCCCAGCAACTCAGGAGAGTGAGGTGGGAGGATCACTCGAGCCTGGGAGGCGGAGGTTGCAGTGAACTGTGATTGTGCCACCGCACTCCAGCCTGGGTGACAGAGTGAGACCCTGTCTCAAAAAACAAACAAACAAAAAAACAGTATGTGCAAAGGCCCTGAGGCATGAAAGAATAAAGTGCATGTGTCTCAGAGAGAAAAATGGGCTCCTTGCACTGAAGAAGCTCACCAGCCAGGGATTGCCTGTGAGAGTTTAGGCTCCTACAGGCAGACCTCCAGCTCTGAGCAGGACAAGGATTGGTCCCTAAAACAGGCGGCTTTGGCCAGGCACAGTGGCTCACGCCTATAATCCCAGCACTTTGGGAGGCCAAGGTGGGTGGATCATGAGGTCAAGAGACCGAGACCATCCTGGCCAACATGGTGGGACCCCATCGCTACTAAAAATACAAAAATTAGCTGGGTGTGGTGGTGCACACCTATAGTCCCAGCTACCCAGGAGGCTGAGGCAGGAGAATCACTTGAACCCGGGAGGCGGGGGTTGCAGTAAGCCGAGATGGTGCCACTGCACTCCAGCCTGGTGACAGAGCGAGACTCCGCCTCAAAACAAAACAAAACAAAACAAACAAGTGCCTTTGATGATGGAAAATTCCAAGCCTGCACCACAGGTGAAGCCAGCAGCCACCATCCTTCTTACTCTTCTGGACCCACAGCTTTGTGATATCTCTGGAAGAACATAGGATTTTTATTTATTTATTTATTTGAGACAGGGTCTTGTTCTGTTGTCTAGGCTACAGTGCAGTGGCACAATCATGGCTCACTGCAGCCTCTGCCTCCTGGCCTCAAAGGCTCCTCCTACCTCAGCCTCCTGAGTAGCTGGGACTGCAGTCACGCACCACCGCACTTGACTCATTTTCTGATTTGTTGTAGAAATAGGATCTTACTATATTGCCCAGGCTGGTCTTGAACTTCTGGGCTCAAGAGATCTTTGCACCTCAGCCTCCCAAAGTACTGGGATTACAGACATGAGCCACCATGCCTGGCAGAACACAGGATTTAAATTTTGGTTTTTAGTTGGCTCTTCCTTTTGCTATGTGTGACTTTGACTAAGTCATTTTAACTCATCCAAGTCTCATTTATTTGCTGTAAAATGTGGATGATACGTCATCTGCTTTGTAAGAATGCTAGAAGATAAAATGAGATAAGGTGTATGGAAGACTTTGTAAACTTTAGAATGTTATATACATATTGTTACTGCCTGTTCTAAGTGCTGGACATTTATTTCCTTACGTATGTAAGCTCTGTCATAATTTTAGTACTTTATCATACACAGTTTTATTATATGCTATGTGATTTATGTACTATTTCATAATTCATCTTATTATATCTTAACAACAATTGTTATTAAGATAATGTGTGCCTATGCCTGTAATCCCAGCACTTTGGGAGGCCGAGGTGGGTGGATCACAAAGTCAGGAGTTCAAGACCAGCCTGGCCAACATGGTGAAACCCTGTCTCTACTAAGAATACAAAAATTAGCCGGGCGTGGTGGCAGATGCCTGTAATCCCTGCTACTTGGGAGGCTGAGGCAGAGAATTGCTTGAACCTGGGAGGTAGAGGTTGCAGTGAGCCGAGATCATGCCACTGCACTCCAGTCTGGGTGACAGAGCAAGACTCCATCTCAAAAAAAAATAAAAATAAATAAATAAAAATAAAAATAAAATAAAATAAAAAAAAAAAAGATAATGTGTGCCTAGAATGTGCCAGGCATTCTGCAAAGCATTTTATATGCATTGTCTCACTTCAACCAACAAATATTTACTGAGCAGTGCTGGGCACTGTCATTGGTGCTAGGAGTGCAGCAGTGAACAAAACAGACAAAATTCACTATGCTCAGGAGTTTATAGACTAGTGAGGGGAGCTAGGCAACTGATCAACCACCCAACCAACCAACCAACCATGCGTCAAGTGGAGATAGGGATGATATTATGATTAGAATAAAGCAGCTGAGGTGCTATTTTCTCTAATCCTCACCATTACTACCTTTTACATGTGGGGGTCCAGTCAATGAAAGGTTCTGTTCCATGGGATGATGGGGACCTCTCTGAGGACGCTTCCAGCTTCAGAAGAAAAACCCACGGGCACATAAGAGGGTGGGGACTCCTGCCCAGGATGCCGAGTGAACTCTTGGAATTACTGGGTGACAGCTGTTGCAGCCAGGGCCTCTTAAGCTTTTTGGGGGTTATTCTTCACTTCATTCCAGACATGTCGACCAAAATCCTTCTCTATGTCAGGCAGGCATGGGAAAGGAGCAACAAAGACCAATCGGACAATTCCTGGAGCTTACCCTCTGGAGGGGGAGATAAAATTTCACACAAATGCCGTAACAAAGGCATGGTTAGGGCCATGGGAGAGTTGCTCTGAATGAAATTCAGCCTTCCTTTCATGGCCTGTAAGGCCCTGTGTGATCTGACCCCTGCTGAGCTCACCGCTTCCTTTCTGAATCTTTTTTTTTTTGAGACGGAGTCTCGCTCTGTCGCCCAGGCTGGAGTGCAGTGGCGCGATCTCGGCTCACTGCAAGCTCTGCCTCCCAGGTTCGCGCCATTCTCCTGCCTCAGCCTCCTGAGTAGCTGGGACTACAGGTGCCCGCCACCACGCCTGGTTAATTTTTTTTGTATTTTTAGTAGAGACGGGGTTTCACCGTGTTAGGCAGGATGGTCTCGATCTCCTGACCTCATGATCCGCCTGCCTCGGCCTTCCAAAGTGCTGGGATTATAGGCATGAGCCACTGCGCCCGGCCTTCTTTCTGAATCTTGTGGCATCTGTGGCCCACTACCCAATGGCTAGCTCCCTGGACAAGGTGATCTGCATCAGGGATTTCAAGGTGGGCAAGCATGCATTCCACTGGGAAGGTAGATTTGGTGTAGGCTTCAACAACCAAAAGTCGCAGGATAGTGTTTCCAGGCAGCCTAGCACTGAGGATGTAGAGACAGCGCATTAACAGTAATGGCTTACACATACATAGTGGTTCTGTGTGCCAGCCTCTGTGCTAAGGACCTTAAGTGGATTAGTTCATTTAATCCCCCAACAACCCTGTAAGGGGCCGGGGTATGCAGGCGCTCTTATCACCTGCATGCTGTAGATCATGAAAGGTGAAACGACTTGCCCAAGGCCACAGAGTTAGTGAAGTGGCAGAATCAGGATTTGAACCCCAAATCTACACACTCTGCCTTTGGTAGTTTTGCAGCTTGCAGAAGAAATAATGATAACTTTAAAACAATATAATAGTTTGAGGCTGAATGCGGTTGCTCATGCCTATAATCCCAGCACTTTGGGAGGCCGAGGTGGGCAGATCACTTGAGGCCAGAAGTTCGAGACCAGCTTGGTCAACGTGGTGAAACCCTGTCTCTACTAAAAATTCAAAAATTAGCCAGGCGTGCTGGCCGGCACCTGTAGTCTCAATTACTCAGGAGGCTGAAGCATGAGAATCGCTTGAACCTGGGAGGCGGAGGTTGCAGTGAGCCGAAATCTTGCCACTACACTCCAGCCTGGGCGGCACAGAGAGACTTGTTCTCAAACAAAACAAAACAAAACAAAACAAAACAAAACTATATAATAGTTTGAATGTATTACATACCCTGTGTCAGGAACTTTACAGAAATCGTTTCTTAAGACCCTGTAACAGACCAGTCTCCTCCATTTCACAGATGAGAAGCCAGGCTCAGGGTCTAAGCAGCATGCCCAAGGTCCATAATGCGGCTGGATTTGGAAACTGGTTTCACTGACCCTGAAGCCTGGGCTTCTAACTTACTCAACGTTCCTGCCAAGAGAGAGCACTCAAGACTGAGCACCTGCTGGCTGCCTCAGGATGTTTCTTCACAGCTTCCCCCTTTCTCCCTCTACCCTGCCCTTCACTCTGTCCTGCCTTTTGCTGGCTATTTACAGTTTTCTGTGGTTTGTGCTCACCTTGGTCACACACTGAGGCCGTACTTATCAGACTTGACGGGCTGGAAACCTACTGACTCTGATCACTACAGCTGGGACCCAGTGGGGCAGTCTCATCTGTCTGTGAGCAGTAAGACACACGGACCTTTCCTGAGTGCGGTCTCCATCCTTAAAGACCTGAGAGGGGTTCTCTCTGAGGTTGCTCAGACCCATCTGATGTTAACAAGGGAGCTGGTACTTCTCATTCATCCTCTAAATCCACAAACGCTCTCAATTTAACAAATCATGAGTGCGATAATGAGTGCATCTTGGGCTCAGGGAAACTGAGCTGAATACCTAGAGTACAGCAGTTGGGTGCTGGAAAAATGGCAGGTTTTGTGTAAATAAGGACATTTGCTAATCATTGCTAGTGATACTTAGTTTTGTTTAAAAGTCGATAATGACCAAGAGAAAAAGCCTCTCATTTGGAAAATTCTAAATAGAGCAAGGCATCATTATCCTTTGGTTGACTTTGGCCTCTTTTTCCCTAGAATATCATTATTTTCTTGGATCAGCTTTGAAATTGAGTTATTTCCCTCCTTTTCTCTTTTTTTTCATAAAGTGCAATTCACATCCTGATCTTGGCCTATCTGCACAAAATGTTCTCAGCACAGCGTCCTTTATTCCTCCGGAAGCCTTAAGGAAGCCAGGACACACCTCGGTGACAGGGAAGGCTATCGGATACTGGAGCCCTTCTCCTTGAGTGCACCTCGGGCTTTACTTACTCAGAAACAAATTAAGCTGGGTCTCCTTGGGGCCAGACTGAGGCAAAGTGTAGGATCTTATAAAAGGCACGTGGGCTTGCTTCTGTGCAGTCCCCACTGGCCTTGCACTAAACCCCTGCATTTCTGCATTTTAGCCAGAAAGGTGCTAAAAGGTGTAGCTCTCTTTCTGTATTTTAGCCAGAAAGGTGCTGTAGCTCTACCACAGGAATTAACTCCACTATGAGTGAAGAGATAATTACCTCACAGAATGTGACCTATGCACCCAGATGTCCCTAAAGACCAACAGGCATGCAGCCTCCTTCTGGGTGGGATCAACATTTCCCATGTCATTTTTCTTGCATCATTAACTTGTTAAGAAAACTGTCATACACAATGCAAAGGTGCACACAGGAGCAATTCACCATTAAGTCATTCAATAATGGAGTCCAGTAAAAGGGCTAATTTACGTGCTTGGATCCTGAAACCACTGAGTCTAGGGCCAGAGCCAACAAGAATTCAACATGCTCCCGTGGAAAGTAAGCCATACCAACTAGGATATTTATGTTTGGGACATATAGGAGCATTGATTGGGGCTCTTGTTCAGCCAGAACCTTGGCTGGACTCTGATTAGTTTGAACCATAACTACTGTTTACCTGACTGTTTTTGTATCCTGGTTCTTGGACCTAGAGGTGAGTGTTGCCAAATGAAGGAGAGAGCAGTGCTGAGTGGCTCATTCAGGATCCTAGCATCAGCTTGTGGAGAACAGGGAAAAGTGTTCCATCTCCTGGCACAGCATGATGTAGTGGAATGAGCCCTGCAGTGAGACTCTGGAACCTGGGTTTTGTCCCAGCTCTGGCACTAACTCCCAGGAAAGTTGTTCAACTTATCGGGGCCTCAATTTCATCAGCTATAAAATGGGGGTGGTGGCAAGGGAGTCTATAGCAGGTGATTTTTAGGTCCCTCCCGCTTTTTTGTTTTGGAGACGGAATCTCGCTCTGTCACTCAGGCTGGAATGCAGAGGCGTGATCTCAGCTCACTGCGAGCTCCACCTCCCGGGTTCACGCCATGTTCCTGCCTCAGCCTCCCAAGTAGCTGGGACTACAGGCGCCCGCCAACCGTCATTTATTCCTCCGGAAGCCTTAAGGAAGCCAGGACACACCTCGGTGACAGGGAAGGCTATCGGATACTGGAGCCCTTCTCCTTGAGTGCACCTCGGGCTTTACTTACTCAGAAACAAATTAAGCTGGGTCTCCTTGGGGCCAGACTGAGGCAAAGTGTAGGATCTTATAAAAGGCACGTGGGCTTGCTTCTGTGCAGTCCCCACTGGCCTTGCACTAAACCCAGCTTTCAGTATTCCTTTTTTGTTATTCAAACAATACAGAACCTATAAGTAAGCCAAGAGAATCCAATGGTACAACACTGTGATAATTACTTGCCGGTGAAGACCTTTCCAAACTGTTCTCAATGCTTTTTTGTTTTGTGTTGTTTTTGAGACAGGGTCTCACTCTGTCCCCCAGGCTGGAGTGCAATGGCATAATCATGGCTCATTCCAGCCTCGAACTCCCAGGCTCAAGTGATCCTCCTGCCTCAGCCTCCCAAATAGCTGGGACTATGGGCATGCCACCATCAGCAAAAAAAAATTTTTTTTTTTTTTGAGACGGAGTCTTGCTCTGTCGCCCAGGCTGGAGTGCAGTGGCGCCATCTCGGCTCACTGCAAGCTCTGCCTCCCAGGTTCACACCATTCTCCTGCCTCAGCCTCCCAAGTAGCTGGGACTACAAGCATCCGCCACCACGCTCAGCTAATTTTTTTGTATTTTTAGTAGAGACGGGGTTTCACTGTGTTAGCCAGGATGGTTTCGATCTCCTGACCTCGTGATCTGCCCATCTTGGCCTCCCAAAGTGCTGGGATTACAGGCGTGAGCCACCGCGCCTGGCTCAGGTTCCCCCCGCTTTATGTTTCAATGCTGCCTTTCTGTTATATCTTGTAGGACAGGAGTCTGTATCACGTTGTGTTGCTGGAACAGGGGCATACTGGCCCTTGTATGAGAGTTGCCTTGCTTATTTACCTGCTTTGCAGGCTCACTGAGGGCAAACTCCATTTCTTATTTATCTCCTTATCCTCAGCACTCATCCCAGGGCCCTGTACAGTGCCTGGCACATAGGAAGTCCACAATAAACATATGTCAGATGAATGAATGAATGAATAATATGTGTAAGGAAGATGTTGGCTAAAGAGATGAATGAATATTGTTGCAACCTGGCTTTCCCACTCACCTGGCGATAGCAATTGCCCTGAAATCCTTGTACCCTTCTGAGACGGCCTTCTGGATAGCGGTCCGTTCAGCACAGATGCCCAGCGGGTAGCAGGCATTTTCTATGTTGCACCCTGAGAAGAGAGCAGAGTCCAGTGGTATGTCTGGCAGAGACACTTCCTGTTGCGTGTGTTGAGTAAGAAGTTTGCCCCATTCCAAAGCAGGAAGGAACTGGTTACTCCAAACAAGGTGGGGAGAAGGACAGGGCAATTAGGGCAATTCGACCTGGGGCACTGGTAGATTCTTTGGCCCATGGTAGTGGCCCTTCCCAAGAACCTGGCACTGTCTTAATTTACCCAATGCCTCCATGATGAAGCACAGCCTGGGAGCAGGGCAGCACAACAGGCAGATTAGGCAGCTCCATCACCCCTGCAGAGGTCAAGGCCAGGGTAGATCCCGAGGCTTACAAAAATAAGTAGAGCCCCCACACCTGCATCTAAGAGATCTAAGAGCCCCATGGTCTGAATGTGTCCCATCAAATTCATATGTTGAAATCCTAGCCCCCAAAGTGATGGTATTAGGAAGTGGGGCCTTTGGAGGAATGATTAGATAATGAGAATGGAATGAAGGGGACCAAGCCTAGGAATGGGAGTCATGCACTTATAAAACCAGAGAACTGCCTTGCCCCATCTGCCGCATGAGGACATAGCAAGGAGTCACCGTCTATGACTAAGCAGGCCCTCACTGAATCTGCCAGTGCCTTGAACCCTGGACTTTCCAGTCTCCAGAACTGTGAGCAATACATTTCTGTTATTTACAAGCTACCCAGTCTATGGTATTCTGTTATAGCAGCCTGAATGGACTAAGACAGATCCTGATTCCAAGTTTGAGCCTGGACAAAATTTTGGGGGTTAGGTACTGGCTGTCAGAGTTCAGCCAGGGTTCTGTGTCAGTTGTGTTGCAAAACAAACACACTGTCAAAACCAACTAACAACGAAATCAATTAACAAACAAACAAAAAAAACACCTCGAGCTTTGTGCGAGTTGCCTGTGATTTCACAAGACTTAAAACAATCCTCGGGCCTCCAGTGGGATGTGGGCTCCTAAGATGGCCCAGCTCTCAGTAAGGGAGTCCTTCCTGTTGGCTCTCTCAGGGTTGTTGCTGGGGGACAATAAGCCAAGGCTGCTCCTAGGAGGCAAGATGTTGGCATAACCAGATTGGCTAAGAAAGTCCCCATATTCAGGGAAGTGAGTCTACGAACAAATCACTATGGGAGCTGGGTTTTCCCCTGACCAGCAAGATGTGGTATTCCATCTGTATCACTGTTTGTAAATTGCCTTTTTCCCTGAGGCGGAGATAGGAGTTGTTCCCCAGTATTCATTTCCTATTTCTTCCTTTAAGTAATACAAGTGCCTCCCATTCCAGCATGGCCGCTCAGCTAGGGACTGTAATTCCCAGACTCCCTTGCAGCACAGTGTGGCCACATGATGCAGTTCTGGCCAATGGGATGTGGCCCAAGGTGATGTGGGAAATTTCTGGATCATACTTTTGGTAAGGAGGTTGCTTGCCTGTTACTTCCATTCTTTTCTCCTTCCACAGACTGGAAGGTGGAGGTGATGGGGTGGGACACTTTTGACTGCGTGGCCAAGGGAATGGAGGAGCAGCAAGGAGAGAGAAGGAATTTGGAAACCTGGTCAACTCATGGGGCAGAGTTGCCCGTTTGCCTGGGGCCTACTCTGAATTGTTGTGTGAGAGAAAAAGAGAATTCCACCATGTTTATATCACTGCATCTTGGAATCTGTTTGTTATAGTAGCATAACCTATGTCTAATACAGACATTTGTGCTGAAGGTGAGATGCAACTTGAACAAAAAAAATCTAAAGTATGTGACATTGGCTTAGTGGTTGAGCAACGCAAAGGAGAAAACACAGATGAGGCAAGATGGCCAGATGGTGACTCCTCCTAGTCTGTTATTTGGTAAAGCTCCACCTGCAATAACCAGGAAGGCAGGCCGTGGTACCCACCACTGAAATTTCTCTCCCTGGCAATGGGAATCAGCCCTGTGGCAAAGATGTGATGTGTCATCTGCCCACACAGCCTGTTGTTTCAGGCACCACAATAGCCAGCATTAAGATGGGGCAGCAGGAATGGGCCAGGCATGGGAGCCAGTTAGGAAAATGCCAGAGTTGGCAGGCTTCAGAACCATGTCCAGAAGGGATCTCTGGGTGTGGCATTTCTGTATGGAAATAATTGGAAGCAAATAGATCAGGATGTTTCCAACTTTTGATAGAATTGGATCGCCAAAGAAGCCACAAGCCTGGCCTATAAAAACACATGATGAGGCTGGGCATGGTGGCTCAAGCCTATAATCCCAGCACTTTGGGAGGCCAAAGCGGGCGGATCACAAGGTCAGGAGTTTGAGATCAGCCTGGCCAATATGGTGAAACCCTGTCTACTAAAAATACAAAAATTAGCCTGGCATGGTGGCAGCCACCTGTAGTCCCAGCTACTCAGTAGTCTGAGGCAGAAGAATTGCTTGAACCTGGGAGGCAGAGGTTGCAGTGAGCCGAGATCATGCCACTGCGCTCCAGCCTGGGCGACAGAGTGAGACTCCATTTCAAAACACAACGAAAAAAAAAAAACCATGATGTGGGTGTGATGATGTGTGTCAGTTTGAACATGCAGATGAGGACACAACTCTAGGGATGGTGGGACATCTAGACAGAAGGAATCTGGTCTCCAGGACAACTTTGCAGGACAGAGAAACACATCTCCTATGCTGTGGACTCCAGCCCGCCCCTGGTCTGTTAGATGAGGGAAATAAGCCACCACATCTTGTTTGAGTCACTGTATACTTATTGATTTCATCAACTTAGCCTTCCCTCCCCTCCCCTCCCCTCCCCTCCCCTCCTTTCTCCTCCTCTCCCCTCTCCTTTCTTTTTGACAGGATCTTACTCTGTTGCCCAGGCTGGTGTGCAGTGGCATGATCATAGCTCACTGTAACCTCAAAGTCTTGGGCTCCACTGATCTTCTCATCCTAACCTACCAAGTAGTTGGTACCACAGGTATACATCACCACACCTGGCTAATTTTTTGTATTTTTTTGTAGAGATGGGGTTGCCCAGGCCAGTCTCAAACTCTTGGGCTCAAGTGATCCACCTACCTTGGCCTCTCAAGGTGCTGGGATTATAGGTGTGAGCCACGGTGCCCAGCCTACACCTCCTTTTATAAGTCCAAGTCTTCATTGTGATTATGCAGTATTTTGTTCCGTGTTGATCACATTTGGGAATTATTTGGTCATTATCTTCTTGTATATTTTTCCTCACATATTTTCTGGTCCCTTCATTATTTACATTGGCATGTTAGGAGTGATTAGTCATTTAACTCGTTCTCAGGATCGCAGGCATTCATGTCCAGAGTTGACGGATGTCATTAGACACTACTGGGTGCCACAGCTGCAGGTCCCTTGTCAGGGTGAGGGTGAATGTGGTCACAGTGGTGCATGGGATGGCTGTATGGTGTTAGATGGGGGCTGGTTTGGAATTCTACTTTGGGGAAGAAAACAGGCTTGTATACTGAGCACCAAAGGGTAGACTATAGTGAGCATCTACTGTTTTGACAACTTAACACCTCTTACATTTTTTCCCCTGAGGAATGACTCTTACTTTATTCCCCAGCATGTAGTTCAAATGGGAGCTGCCATCTTGTCTCCTATGACCTTGCTATGGGCATAAAGATGAACACCTGACTCAAACTGGCCAATCAGAGTTCATCTCTGTGTGGGAACTTCAGTTTCTCTCTTGAGACACTGAGTGTGGGCCGCCATGTTTCCATTCATTATGGAAGAGACCAATGAGAGAGGCTGAAATGGACACTCAGAAGAATGGATGAGAGAAGAGAGATGGAAAGAAAGGAGTCTGGCCAGTGCCAGTTGCCCCTGAGGTCTGGCTACACTCCAGGTCTTCCCACGGTTTAGTTATAGGAATCCATACATCCTCCTTTTGTCTAAAATAGTTCATGTGTATTTTTATCATTTGAAACCATACAGAGATCAGTTAATACAGTTGGAATATGGGGCAGGGTACAATCAGGAAGTTGCAACCCTGAGAGCTTTTGTTTATTTAAATGTTAGTTATTATAGCTGAGATAACTGGCCCCTTATTGCTCAGTCTCTCTGCTGAGTCAATGAAAGTTGAATGTATAAATGAATAATGCCTCTTGCTCCCCACCTTGTCTCCCCAGCCAGGTTCCTGATCCTCACCTGAAATGACTTTCTTTTTCTTCTCTTTTCTTTTTTTTTTTTTTTTGAGACAGAGTCTCACTCTGTCATGCAGGTTGGAGTGTAGTGGCACAATCTCAGCTCACTGCAATCTCCACCTCCTGGGTTCAAGTGATTCTCATCTCAGCCTCCCTAATAGCTGGGATTACAGGTGTGCATCACCATGCCTGGCTAATTTTTTAATTTTTAGTGAAGATGGGGTTTCACCATGTTGTTCAGGCTGGTCTTGAACTCCTGACCTCAAGTGATCCGCCCAGCTCGGCCTCCCAAAATCTTGGGATTACAGGTGTGAGCTAAGATGCCCAGCCCCTGAAAATGACTTTCTTTAAACACCACTCTCACCTGCCATATCTGCTCACCACTCCCACCTTCACTGACATCCCTACACTTGGTTTCTGCCTCTCTCCCAGATTACAGTCCCTGCCAGCCTCACTCCCAGCCTAGTGACTCTCCCAGCCCCGCCCTTCCAGCTTCCCTGCCCGATCCCTGACTAAAGTCTGACACTTTTCCCATCAAAAGTGATGCATGCAGATCTTGGGTTTTGCTGACATGCCGTTAAAGCACATTTCCACACTTGCAGAAGACCCAGTCTCTCAGGATGGTCACATGTGTCTGCTCTGGAAGTTCAGAAAGGCCTCAGAGACAGAAATCTTCCTTTACTTTGTGTAAAACATGTAATAGGCCAGTTAATGAGAAAGAAAGATGGTTGTGGCAGGGGGCACACTCACATGCCCCACTACTCAAACAGCACCCTGTAGAAAGAGGTTCCATTAGGTTTCATTCTGCCCTGGGACTCTTTGCCCAACTGGCTCTGAGAATTGGGGAAAGGGACTGAACCTCTTTGAGGCTCACTGGCTTCATTTGTAAATCGCTAATGATAGAATCTCCCTCATAGTCCTGTTGTGAGAATAAATTGAGATCACTCGTGTAAAGCACTTAACACAAAGCCTGGCACAGAGGAAATGGTCGGCAGCTGTTAGCTGCTGCTGTTATCAATTGCATAAAAATCAAGGCTTTGGTGGCAGTAGGGCTATGTGACCCTCTGCACCTTCTCAACAAGGTATGACAGTGGTCCTGTCCCTGTCCTTCAGGCACTTTGAAATCCTTTATTTTTATTTTATTTTATTTTGTTTTATTTTATTTTATTTTATTTTATTTTATTTTGGAGACGGAGTCTTGCTCTGTCGCCCAGGCTGGAGTGCAGTGGCGTAATTTCGGCTCACTGCAACCTCTGCCTCCTGGGTTCAGGCGATTCTCCTGCCTCAGCCTCCCAAGTAGGTAGGACTACAGGTGCGTGCCACCACGCCCGGCTAATTTTTGTATTTTTGGTAGAGATGGGGTTTCACCATATTGGTCAGGCTGGTCTTGAACTCCTGACCTTGTGATCCACCCGCCTCAGCCTCCCAAAGTGCTGGGATTACAGGTGTGAGCCACCACGCCTGGCCTGAAATCCTTCTTATGACTACAAGGTCATATGTGATCTGGTGCCAAGGTCATATGTGATCTGGTGCTACCTCTTGGCTCGCATCTCCTTTTGTTCTCTAGACCTGTTGTCCTTCCAGCTGCTCCCCTCAGGGCACCAGTATGCTCCTGCCACAGGGCCTTTGCACAAGCTGTT